>NC_000001.11:155684587-156934587 GCF_000001405.40 Homo sapiens
TGAGACAGAGTGTTGCTCTGATGCCGAGGCTAGAGTGCAGTGGCATGATTTCAGCTCACTGCAACTTCCCCCTCCCAGTTCAAGCAATTCTTGGTTCAAGCAATTCTCGTGCCTCAGCTTCCCGAGTAGCTGGGACTACAGGTGCACTCCAACACATGCAGCTAATTTTTTGTATTTTAGTAGAGACGGGGTTTCACCGTGTTGCCCAGGCTGGTCTCGATCTTCTGAGCTCTGACAATCCATCCGCCTCGTCCTCCCAAAGTGCTAGGATTACAGGCGTGAGCCACCCCACCTGACCAATTTCTTGTTCTTTTAAAAGTACAGTAATTATTTTTAAGTTCCAGTAATAAATTAATGGGTAGTCTGTCAAATAGCTACTGGATTTTATATCAGGAGGGCTTTCTACATGTATGTATACCCAAAAATGACATTAAGACCTTTTTACATAAACTCACTGTAGAGATACATCCCAAAACAAGGTAAGGAATATAAATGATGTTTACCTTCTTTTCAAACCAACAGTTCCTTTATACAAAAACACCAGATGATACAAAACATATTTTTTTAAAGTACAAAGTTCCATACAGAATAAAATAAACACTTTATGGTTATTCCTAAGAATAAGTAGTGACAAAAAGTCTTTGCAATTGGGTAATAAAATTTCAGCTTCTAGGAATATGTTTCCCTCTTCCTTGTCCTTTTGAGAGCTGCCACTATCACACAATTCACAGCATCTCTTCAACCACAGAAAATTAGCGTCTCTTCAAGCACAGAGACCATATATTAATTATCTTTGTGTCTCCTGCATAGGATTAACTCAGTGTTTGTTATAACTAAGTTAAACTCCAAGACAGGAGCTTCAAATCACCTCAGGCCCAATCCAAAACTGAAAAAAAGACGCTTCTCAGAGTTTGAGAACAAAAAGATACTGACAAAGAACAAAGCCATAGATACTTGTGCGACATTAGCTTCCCTTTTTACCAAATACAGAGTCATTTACTAATACTGCAGAAATGTTTGCAGACGATAAAAAGAATAAATTAAAAATATGGATCCTGTCAACATGTTCAAATACTAACATAGACTCCTTCACCTTAAACTCATACTAACATCCACACACCCGAACAATGAAAATGAAAGGTTTTCAAATGAGATCTAAATATAAATTGGCTCTATTTCATTACAGTTTAAGTTCCTAAAATCATATATATAAATCATGTGATTGCGCTTATGCTCATCTTCTAACTTGAGGGCCCAGTGTCTTTCATCCGATTCTCTGAAGGATAAGTGACCCCAAAAAACTTTTAAGAACCACTAATCTAGCCTATCAAGAAACATCCCATTTTCCAGAAGAATACAGCTAAGTTGGCTTAGTTCATGCATTCTTACCTCATATTCATAGAGTTCATAGACGGGATCCTTACTACATGAAATCAGTCTTTTTTTTTTTTTTTTTTTTTTTTTTGGAGATGGAGTCTCCTCTGTGGCCCAGGCTGGAGTGCAGTGGCGCAATCTCAGCTCACTGCAAGCTCTGCCTCCCGGGTTCACGCCATTCTCCTGCCTCAGCCTCCCCGAGTAGCTGGGACTACAGGCGCCCGCCACCACGCCCGGCTAATTTTTTGTATTTTTAGTAGAGACGGGGTTTCATCCTGTTAGCCAGGATAGTCTCGATCTCCTGACCTCGTGATTCGATCTCCTGACCTCGTGATCCGCCCACCTCGGCCTCCCAAAGTGCTGGGATTACAGGTGTGAGCCACCGCGCCCTGCCGAAATCAGTCTTTCAAAGGATTCCTTCAGCCCAGCCAAGAAGTTCCAACATCCACAGGCACATATATTAACAATTACCAGTACCCAAAAACAGTTCTCTGGTTTTAATTCCACACTGCCTCCCTCAACTTAATACCTACCACCGTCAAAACAACTCCCCTCAGATTGCATCCAGGCTATTTACAGAGACACCTTGATGATCCTCACCTCAAGGCATGGACCATTCATTGAATGGTTATATTTGTTGAATGAGTGAAAAAGGATCCTTCCTCCCACAGATTTCAAGTTAAGCTGTCAGCACCCATGCAGCTGCTCTGGTACAAGTTAAGCTGTGAAAGCCTTCTCCCTCACGCATACAACCTTAAGTGTCAGAAATGCTCTGCTTCCTCCATAAATCCAAAATAATATAGCCATGGATATGCATTTCATACAGGTCAGACTCGGCAAGGACAGCTACGTTCCACATACATATCTGACACAATCGGTCTCCCCCAAATACAAGCCAACCAGTCTTATGTGCTCCTATCTTTCCAGCATACTCAGATTTGCCGACAAAGACTTCCTGAGGCACCATGGTATGCTGAATATACTGCTGCAGTAGTAGTGAAAATATGGGAGTTACAGTTCCAACTTTGTCACCAATTTAACATGCGGCCTTGGAGAAGTTCTCTCCTTATGCCTAAATTTCCTATTTTGTAAAATGGAAGAAAGCATCCTACCATTTTCACAGAGATTCAGTATCACAAAGAAACTGAAAGAGCTTTCTTATTGTATTGTAAACTATTACTATAAACCCGCGACAACAAATAAGGCCACCCATTCTTTACAGCTTTGTAGCAATGATTCTGTTAAAGATATTTTGGCCCTTCACATTTACACAACTCACTCTAACCAAAGGCACAAACTATTCTTAAGACCACAACTGGCTATGCCAAGTTTCTCCCCTCCCTGACCTCACAGACACATGCTGTACAGAACACTACCATTGCCGCTCTTTCCCAACAAGTAACTAGGGGCTCCCAATCCCTAAAATACACACACATATCAACCTGCAAGGAACCTCCCAACATTTATTCAAGAAATAAGCTAACTTATAAGGGGAACTCCATTACACTTACACAAATAAAGGCAAACTCTTACGGAAACACTTGCCATCCTCACATACACACACCAACACAGCCGCTACACACCAACAGACCATCTGTCTGCTAGACCAAAAACATCTCTTTCCATGTACAAACTAACCAGTGACATTTATTAAACGTACAACACTGAGATCATCCTGTCGTTCCCACATACCGTTCAACGCGGCAGGGACACCACAGACCTTGTCACACAGGTAAAATCCCCTCTCAAGATCGTGTCCTCGACCACTCTTATCCCTTAATTAAACACACACAAACTGGACTATGGGGGAGGCTCCGATCATGCCTACAAACACAAACTAACCTGTCAGGGGCACAGCCGACTCCGCCTCCACTCGCTTACTTCCCAGCCCCCTCCGGGAGTCTGCCTGTCAGGGACACCCCTTCACCCCGCCTGGAGGGACTTCCCGGTAGGCTCAGGATCCCCCTCCCTGCTCTCCCCTCCCCCATCTTCACCACTGCTCTCCCAGAGGTCCAGGTCCGGGAGATGACAGTGGCTCCCAGAAAGCCCAGGATTCAATCGCTGAGAGAGTGCTTAGGCCCGAATGCCGGCCCAAATCGTTCTACTCACCGTGTCGGAGGCCGAGAGCGATGAGAGTACAGGGAAGTGAGGAAGAGGGGGTGGCCGCCAGGCTCCTCCGCTTCCCTGGGTCCACCGCGGATCCCTCCCGCTTGTCAGGAGGCGGCCAGCGGGTAAGCCGACTGGCGGAAATGCGAGAGAGGAGAAGGGAAAGGTGGAGGGCTAAAGGGGCAAACTGAGAGGAGGCGGATCCCGCAACCGACACTGGGATCGTTTCCCCTCGCAAAGCGAACCCAAAATGGCGGCGGCAGCGGCGGCAGCAGAGTGGCCGCGGCAGCTCCTCCAGAGGGAGGGAGCTAAGGGCGCCTAGCGACACCCCCAACCTCCCACTCCTCCCTCCTCGCGTTCTTCCCCACGGTCCCCCGCTTCGCCCGACTCCGGCCATGTAGCGCGCACGTCAGCCCGCACGCGTACGAGTGTCTACGGGCTCGTCGCTGGCTGCTCCCACCAACCACCACCTTCGGCCGTCCTGCGAGCCAGCCATCCCGTACGCGCTCACCCACGGGAACCTCCTCGCCCAGTTCTCCACTCCCCCTCAGACCCTGTCAAGCCGGCTCCAGCGCAGGCCCTCACGCGTACCTTCAGCGGCGCGAGCCCAAGCCTTCTCCACCTCCTCTTCTCTCCTCCCCCTCCCTCCCCGCCCGCACGGCCACCAACCGCCGCCAAAGCAGCCGCCGCCAGCACCCCCACCCTACACTCCTCGCGCGTGCGCCTCCCACAGTCCCCACCGCGGGACTGTTCCATTCCTGGCGGCTGCAGGGGCAGGAGAGGAAGGGACCGGCAAAGCGAGTCTGGCTTGCCGTTTGACTGGAATTGCCAGGGTGGCCGGCCGAGTCCCATGACAACCTACCTCCCTGGGTTCGTCGCCGCGGCGCTGCGGCTCGCCTCCTCCTCCATGGGACCGCGGCGAGGGGATCGAGGGCGGCCTAGCGCCCCTCTGCCGGCCGGTGGTTGGAGGCCGCGGCGGCTGCGCGTTGAGTCGTTTCCTGCCGGATGACCCGACCCTTTTTTGCAGTCTCAGGACGGGCGCTTTGGAGCCGGCCCCAGGCAGCGTGTGTCGGTCGCCTAGTCTGGAGAACTAGTCCTCGACTCACGGTGAGGGAATGGACCGACACGGGTATTGTACCGCTGAGGGAAAGGAGCGGGACTCCGGACCTCCAGGAGGTAGGGAGTGAGGCCGGTAGACCGGCGCGCCTCCGGGGGGGATTCCTCCCGGGCGTTGAGTTGCCAACCTGGGACCCGAGGAAGTTCGGCGTGGTGGTGTGCTTTTTGTTGTTGTTAACCCTCCTCGGATTTCTCGAATTTCACACCACTGTCCATATGCGATGATGTTTGTTTGCCCTTGACGCACTTACTCATGGATGGTACTTCAGCCTCGTTAGACAGCCTGGTGATGGAGGATGAAGAAACCATGTGCTTCTCATTCAGTTCTGGACTCAGTTTCCCTTGTCTTCAGCAAGTTATTTTTGTTAGTTCCTTATCAAAAAGTGTACATAAAAATTAGGCAACTCCAAACATGCCTCCAGGGTTGGTGTGTGAAATAATAAGATAGGGCTGGGCGCGGTGGCTCACGCCTGTAATCCCAGCACTTTGGGAGGCCGAGGCAGGTGGATGACAAGGTGAAGAGATCGAGACAATCCTGGCCAACATGGTGAAACCCCGTCTCTACTAAAAATACAAATATTAGCCGGCCGTGGTGGCGGGCGCCTGTAGCCCCAGCTACTCGGGAGGCTGAGGCAGGAGAATTGCTTGAACCCGGGCGGCGGAAGTTGCAGTGAGCCGAGATCGCGCCACTGCACTCCAGCCTGGCGACAAAGCGAGACTCCGTCACACACACACACACACACACGAAATAATAATATATGTAAAGTGGAATTAGCTCCTAGGCATAGGGAAGGTGCAGAGTATTGCCGTGTTGTCATTTACAGTTCTGTTGATGTCGATAACGTTTGTGGGTGTAATGGGTAGTGTTCTGTCCCTCCAAGTCGTTAATAAAACAAAGCAGGCCGGGCGTCTTGTTAAATAGTTGTATCAATGACTTGATTTAGATTAATGAGGATATATTTTTCAAATTTATGCCTTTTACAAAATTTTTAAAGAGTAGGTAATGTCGGTGATAGATATAAAGAAAGGAAAAGATCTCCAGATGTGGAATCTTCTACTGGATCCTGTAACAGAAAGAAGACATTAGGCTGGGCGCAGTGGCTCACACCTGTAATCTCAGCACTTTGGGAGGCGGAGGAGGGCGCATTGCTTGAGCCTAGGAGTTCGAGACCAGCTTAGGCAACACGGTGAAACCCCATCTCTACAAAAAGACACAAAAATTAGACAGGTGTGGCACACGCTTGTAGTCTGAGCTACTTGGGAGGCTGAAGCAGGAGGATTGAGGAAGAGGTTGCAAAGTTAGCCGAGATCACGCCATCACACTGCAGCCTAGGTGACAGAGCGAGACCCTGTCTCAAAAAAAGAAAGAAGACATTAGCAGAAAAGCTGAGGAAATGCAAATAAAGTCTGCAATTTTTAAATAGTATTGTACCAGCTTTAATTTCTTAATTTTGAAAATTGTACCATGGTCATATGTATGTAACATTAAGGAAACTCTAATGAAAATTGTAAGAAAGCACTTTGTACTACCTTTGCAACTCTTCTGTAAATTTACACTTTTTTTTGTTTGTTTGCTTTGAGATAGGATCTATGTCGCCAAGGCTGGAAGGCAGTAGTGCAGTCCTGGCTCACTGCAACCTCAAGCTCCTTGGCTCAAGGGATCCTCCCACCTCAGCCATCTGAGCAACTAGGACTACAGGCACATGCCACCACATCCAGCTAATTTATTTTATTTTTTTTTTGAGACGGAGTCTCGCTCTGTCACCCAGGCTGGAGTGCAGTGGCGCGATCTCGGCTCACTGCAAGCTCCGCCTCCCGGGTTCGCGCCATTCTCCTACCTCAGCCTCCTGAGTAGCTGGGACTACAGGCACCCGCCACCACGTCCAGCTAATTTTTTGTATTTTTAGTAGAGACGGGGTTTCACCGTGTTAGCCAGGCTGGTCTCGATCTCCTGACCTCATGATCCACCTGCCTCAGCCTCCCAAAGTGCTGGGATTACAGGCGTGAGCCACCATGCCCAGCCTCCACTATCGAACTTTAGAACATTTTTTATCACCCCCAAAAGAATCTTATCAGTAAGTTGCTTTCCATTCCTCCCTCCCATTGCCTCTCGCAACCACTAAATCAGTTTATGTAATTAATAAGCAAATTATGGACATTTCATGTAATTGAAATCATACTATATGCAACTGTCTTCTTTTACTTTGTTTTGAAGGTTCATCCAGTTGTGTAATGCATCAGAACTTTGTTTCGTATTGCCAAATAATATTCCATTATATGGCTATACCACGTTATGTTTATTCATCAATTGATGGACATGTGAGGTATTTCCACTTTTTGGCTCTTATGCATAATACTGCTACGAACATTTGTGTACAACTTTTGCATACACTTGTTTTTATTTCTCTTTTATACCTGAGAGTGGAATTGCAGGTTCATATGGTAACTCCATGTTTTACCTTTTGAGGAACTGCCAAACTTTTCCAAAGTGGCCTCACCGCTTAAAAAATCCTAACAGCAACATATAAGAATCCTAGTTTTTCCAGATTCTATCCAACACATGTTATTATCAGTTCTTTTGAATTTCATCATTCTAGTGGGTGTGAAGTGTATCTCATTGTGGTTTTTATTTGCATTTTCTTAATTTTGGGGGACCAGTCTCAGCACCACCCGTAGGGTATCCGAAGTCCGGTGGCGACAAAGGAATGAGAAGAGACAGGTTAAGTGTTCATAAAGGTGGGAGCCAGGGGGCCAGTTGCAAAATGGAGGCTGCAAAAGGCCCAGAGTTCTGATCTCCACACTGTTTATTGAGTACAGTCACTTAGATCTAAGAAGCAGATGTTCAGGGCGAAACAGTCAAAGGGAAGCAGTACGTCATACACATAATCTGTAGCAGTGGCGGTTTAAGTGAATCTCCTTTGTGCTTAAACAACGTATCTTTAGTTAGCTGGTGGGAGTGGGCTTAACTAGGAGCCTGCATATCTAGCCACATTCCAGTGCTTCAGAGGAGCGTCTTTCTTCTTGAGCACAGTGTTTATAGATAAGAGAGCAGGTTGTGCTCAGAGCATGGGAACATAATGGCGATAAGAAGGCTTTCCTCCTCAGAGTCCTCTTGTGGCTTTCCACAACTTACTGTCCCATGTTTTTATGGCCAGTTTATGCAGGCACCCTGTAAGCCTTTTTCCCAACATGCCCCCCTTTTTTCTTTTTTAAAACTGCCATTGCTATTAAGACTTGTTCCTGGTGTCTGGTCTCTCTCCAGAGGCATCTTCCGCATCTGCAGACTAAAAGCAAACAGCATAAACAGGTACACATTAAAGCAAAATTTGCGATAGTTGATTCTCTAACGGTCTTAATCCACTTAAGAGGATTTATGTTTGAAAGTCCATCAGCAGCTCCAGTGAGAATGTCAGTCCCAGGCAGGAGAGTTAAATGAGCCTGAGATGCTTTAAAAACCTGTTCCTTTAATTTGGCTATATTCAGTGTAAAATTTCCATCCCTTTCTTCCAGATGATGTCTAACTTTTTCCCAGTGATGTTCAGTAGCATTGTATGAATGGGGAGTTATGCAGAAATCAGAAGTATTCCAATCACATTGCATTTGCAATCGATGCTCTAAGCTTATTATACGATCTCTCATCCAAATAACAGTCTGTCTAAGATCATTTATTTGATTTGCCAATTGTTGGTCTATCCGGGTCTGATAATTCCACAATTTTGAGGAATTCTTTTGCCAATTATTTACATATTCTGCAGTTTGAACAGAGGAGTGTAAAGCAATTCCAGCAGCCACAACAGTAGCTGTGACTGCAATAAGGCCCATAATGACTGCTATAAGGGTAAAAATAAATCTTTTTGTTCTGGTAAACACTCCCTTTAACATTTCTGTGAGGATATGAATGGAAGAAGAGGCTTTCCAAGGTCTATTGAGGGAAACCGGTATCTAAACTCCTCTAGCCCTCACCAGCAACACAGATGTTTTCACATCAAACGTGGAATCAATACAGGTGAAAAGGTGACAGTTTTGACAAGTAATAGTTTGAGAATTAGGTCGAATATCAATATTTCCGACCATCAACATAAAAGGAGGCTTGACACAGCTCTGAATGGGCGCCATTCGGTTGGAAGAAAACTGATACACAAATTGAAGTCTCTCACCTTTTCCCTCAAGGTAATATTTTTCTTCTCAAACCTGAATATGAGATTGGGCCATCATTACCTTCCATAATTTGGGATGTTCAGGGCCTATTATTGGATTAATCATTTTTGGATGTGGGCCGGCTATACCAAAATTGGTTGAAATTATGGGAAACTGGGCATGTTTTTCAGTGTAAATAGTGTCATCTCTTTGACAGTATAGTTCCTGTTTTAGTCCTGTCTTGTATCTATCATTCTGATTGGTACAATTAACTGCAAAGGTCCCCTTAGGGGACCAATCAGTGACAATTCCATAGGAATTATTTTGAAGTACCACAGCGTGATCAGAGATGCAATCCTGGCCGGGAGTGGTGGCTCACGCCTGTAATCCCAGCACTTTGGGAGGCCGAGGCCGGCAGATCACCTGAGGTCGGGAGTTCGAGACCAGTCTGGCCAACATGGAGAAACCCCCTCTCTACTAAAAATACAAAATTAGCAGGGTGTGGTGGCACATGCCTGTAATCGCAGCTACTTGGGAGGCTGAGGCAGGAGAATCCCTTGAACTTGGGGGGCGGAGGTTGCAGTGAGCTGAGATTGCGCCATTGCACTCCAGCCTGTGCAACAAGAGCAAAACTCCCTCTCAAAAAAAAAGAAAGAAAAAAAAAGAGATACAATCCTTTCAAATCAATATTTCTAAATCATTTGACTGTTGTTGAGGTTGTTGACACCTCTCTTTTCTGGGCTTAAACTGTTACAGTTGAACTGAACTCTGTGGATGATCCGGGCTCCATCCAGAAAATAAATGATAGGATACTGGTCTTTGATTATGACCTGAAATTTTAACTAGCCAATGTTGTCCGTAGCCTTTTAGGCAACCGACAGCTGGCCCTATGCAAAGAGGAGGGGAACTGATAACCCATGGACATATTTATTAACATTCCTTCCTCCTCTGGGTGAGAGGGCCCTTGAGTATCTGTAGGCTCAGGCATCCAAACACTATTATTAACATAAGCCTCAACCGGGGGTTCCAACCATGTGACAGGCCTAATTAAAGGTGGAAATGGGACGTATGCCCAATAGGTATAATTTTGGTCTGCTGTAGCCACAGGGAGACTTACCACCATGGTAATTACCGCAATCATAGCTACCATCAGGTTACTCGAGGTTAGTGGTTTTTGTTGTGTTTTCAGGTTTTCTTCTGCAAGGTGGGTCAGCCTCTTGATCTGTCCCCAAGTTGGTGGGCTCGCTTGATGGGTTTTGTTGGTCTTCATCTGGTTGGCTGAAATGTTCATTCGAGCCATCAGGCGTGCTGGGAGTGGAGATCTTGGTTCCAAAATCCTTTTCTCTTCTTTGGAAATTTGCTCATGGTAGAATTTAAGATGTCTTGTAGGTACCCAAACTGGAAGCTGGTTTTCTTCTGGGGAAATACAAACAAACCCTCTTCCCCATGTTATATCTCTCTTTTTCCCAGGTCTTTGTTTTAAAGTCCTTCCACCACACAGGTTTTCCTTCATGAACATTTACCTTCTGTCCTGTTAAATGCTCTTCAGCTGCTATAGTAACCTGATTGCGGAAGATGTTCAAAAAATTTAAGGTAACAAGAGCCAATTGTAACTGCATATGAGGGGTGGAATATTCCCTATCTCCCCCTATTTTCTTTTTATGTAATTGCATTTTTAAGGTTCAGTTGGCTCGCTCAACAATCGCTTGCCTTTGAGAATTATAGGGGATAACCGTACTGTGTTCAATGCTCTGTTGTTTTAAAAATGTTTGGAAAGATCTACTACAGTAGCCTGGTCTGTTGTCTGTTTTTAATTTTTGTGGAATTCCCATGACAGTAAAACAGGAAAGCAAGTGTCTTTTTATATGTGTTGTAGTCTGGCTGGTTTGGCAAGTAGACCATATAAATGAGAATATGTATCTATGGTCACATGGACATAAGAAAGTTTGCCAAATGCAGGAATGTGGGTGACGTCCATTTGCCAGATCATGTTAGGTGCCAACCCTCGAGGGTTAACACCAGTTCCTTGATACGGTAGTTGCAGTACCTGGCACTGAGGACGATGTTGTACAATGTCCTTGGCCTGTTTCCACATAATTTGATAGTTGTTTGTAAGTCCTGTTACATTAAGGTGTGTTAATGAGTGGAAAGTCTGGGCATCAGTAAGTATGGGGGAAACCAACAAGTCAGCTTGCTCATTAGCCTCAGTCAAGGGTCCTGGAAGATTGGTATGTGCTCGGATATGAGTTATATAGAAAGGAAAATCCCGAGCACACACAGCTGTTTGTAAAGAGTTGAACAATTGATAAAGCTGTTTATCAATAATATATTTAATTAAGGCAGTTTCAATATGCTGAGTAGCTTATACAACATAAGCTGAATCTGAAACAGTATTAACTGGCTGATTAAAATCTTCTAATACTGCAATCATTGCCTGTAATTTAGCTCTTTGGACTGAGGAAGAGTTAGTGTGGATAACTTTACCACAAGGTCCCACATATGCCGCTTTCCCAGTACTGGAGCCATCAGTAAAAACAATCATGGCTCCTTCCAAAGGGGCATCACGAGTAATTTTCGGAAGAACCTATGTAGTTAATTTTAAGAACTGGAAAATTTTATTTTTAGGATGATGATTATCAATACATTCAATAAATTCTGCTAAATTAACTTGCCATGTAACTGAGTTAATAAATGCCTGCTTAATGTGACTTTTATTTATTGGAACTATAATCTTATTGGGCTCAGTGCCATAAAGTTTAACAATTTGCATATGAGCCTGTCCAATTAAAATTGTGATCTGATCTACATAGACTGTAAGTGTTTTCATGGTATTATATGGCAAAAAAGACCATTCAACCAAATCATTATTTTGAACAATAACCCTCATTGAGGAGTGTGAAGTAGGGAACACAATGAATTGAAAAGGCAAGACTGAGTCAATCCTACTAACCTGGGCTTGCTGAATTTTTTTTTTTCAATTACTCTTAACTCATTCATGGCCTTGGGTGTTAATTCTCTTTTATGGTGTAAGTTGCAATCTCCCCTCAATATTTAGAAAATATTAGACATAGCATAAGTAGAAATTCCTAAGGTGGGCTGAATCCAATTAATGTCTCCTAACAATTTTTGAAAATCATTTAAGGTTTTTAAAGAATCTTTTCTGATTTGAACCTTTTGAGGCTTAATGGCTCTATCTTGTACTTGTATCCCCAAATATTGAAAAGGAAGAGTTGTTTGAATTTTGTCAGGTGTTATAAGCAATCCAGCATTTGTAATTGCCTTTTGCAAAGATGAATAACATTGAATAAGTTGGTCTCTATTTTTTGTTGCACATAGTATGTCATCCATATAATGAATGATGTAACAATCTGGAAATTGATCTCTAACTAGCTGGATAGCTTTGCCTACAAAAGTTTGACAAACTGTGGAACTGTTTAACATACCTTGGGGTAAAACCTTCCAATGATATCTGGCTGCAGGTTCTTTGTTATTAATGGCAGGGATAGTAAAGGCAAATTTTTCAAAATCTGTCTCTGCCAAAGGAATTGTAAAGAAGCAGTCTTTTAAATCTATAATAACAAGCAGCCAGTCTTTAGGGAGCATGGTGGGGGATGGGAGCCCTGGTTGTAAAGCTCCCATTGGTTGCATTACAGCGTTGACCTCTTGCAAGTCGGTCAGCATGCACCATCTACCATACTTTTTTTAAAATTACATATACTGGGGAATTCCAAGGAGAGAAAGTGGGTGAAATATATCCTTTTTCTAGTAGTTTTTTAACTATTTCATGGAACGCCCCCAAGTTTTTCTGAGGGAGCGGCCACTGTTCGACCCAGACAGGATGCTGCAGGGTGAGCCTGAATTGCTTCTTCACCATAGTGAACTGCAGGTTGGGCAGTAATGGGTGCGGCAAGCTGAGTTTCAGGCTCCCTCCCCCTGCACTCACTCAGCTGAGGAGGAGGTGGCCATTCCGGACATTTCTCTGAAGAAGCTGCGGGCTGAACAATTTTCTGTGTAGGTTTAGGGAGACCGGGGGGATTGGTAGAAATCACCTCCGGTATCGGGGGAACCAGCCCCCAATATTTCAACATAGGTTCTATTTTCCGTAAGTGTGCCAGTCTGAGAAATAAAGAGAAAGAGTGCAAAAGAGAAATTCTACAGCTGGGTCTCCGGGGGTGACATCACATTTCAGCAGGTTCCATGATGCCCCTGAGCCGCAAAACCAGCAAGTTTTTATTATGGATTTCAAAAGGGGAGGGGTGTACGAATAGGGAGTGGGTCACAGAGGTCACATGCTTCAGAGGCAGTAAAATATCACAAAGGCAGAGAGGCAGAGCGAGATCACAAGGCCAGGGCGAAACTAGAATTACTGATGAAGGTCCATGTCCCGCTGGGCACATTGGACGTTGATATTGATAAACATCTTAACAGGAAACAGGGTTCGAGAGCAGACAACCGATCTGACTAGAATTCGCCAGGCTGGAATTTCCTAATCCTAGCAAGCCTGAGGGTGCTGCAGGAGACCAGGGCATATTTCATCCCTTATCTCCAACTGCATAAGACAGACACTCCCAGAGCAGCGATTTTACAGATGTCTCCCTGGGAATGCATTCGTTTTCCCAGGGTTATTCCTTGCTGAGAAAAGAATTCAGCGATATTTCTCCTATTCGCTTTCTGAAAGAAGAGAAATATGACTCTGTTCTGCCTGGCCCCACAGGCAGTCAGACTTTATGGTTATCTCCCTTGTTCCCCGAAAATCGTTGTTATCCTGTTCTTTTCAAGGTGCCCAGATTTCACATTATTCAAACACAAATGCTTTACAAACAATTTGTACAGGTAATGCAATCATCACAGGGTCCTCAGGCGATATACATCCCCAGCTTACGAAGATGACGGGATTAAGAGATTAAAGTAAAGACAGGCATAGGAAATTATAAGAGTATTGATTGGGGAGGTGATAAATGTCCATGAAATCTTCACAATTTATGTTCAGAGATTACAGTAAAGACAGGTGTAAGAAATTATAAAAGTATTAATTTAGGGAACTAACAAATGTCCATGAAATCTTCACAATTTATGTTCTTCTGCCATGGCTTCAGCCGGTCCCTCTGTTTGGGGTCCCTGACTTCCTGCAACACTCTGGACTCTCCCTTTTTATTAGTACTTGGTAGGGGTGGTTCAGAGTCCTGATCATTAAACTCCTCTCTCTCCTCTGACTCAGCCTCATCATCTATCTGAAAAGCCTCCAGTGCTGTACACACCAATGACCAAACTGACCAAACAGGCAAAGGAATTTCCTTTCCCTTTCTTTGTGCTCTTTTAAGGTCCTTTCCAATTCTTTCCCAATCTTTCAATTCCAAAGTTCTCTGTTCCGGGAACCAAGGGCAAAATTGTTCCACAGCATAAAACAAATCCATAAGATTTTTTGTATCAACTTTTACACCACTACGCTTCAAGAGCTGCCATAGCAAGCTCAAATACATGGCGTACTTACTTTCAGTTTGTCCCATTTGTGTCCCTAGCTTTCTCCAAGTGCCCCGCTCACCTGCGGAGCTTAAAACTTTTTCGTCTTTGGGAGTCCTTTGTCTGTCGGTCCTCCATTTCACACGCTTGAGCATGCCTTCACTGGATTCTTTCGGGCCTCATGTTGGGCACCAGAATGTAGGGGACCAGCCTCAACACCATCCGTAGGGTACCTGAAGTCCGGTGGCGACAAAGGAATGAGAAGAGACAGGTTAAGAGTTCATAAAGGTGGGAGCCAGGGGGCCAGTTGCAAAATGGAGGCTGCAAAAGGCCCAGAGTTCTGGTCTCTACACTATTTATTGAGTATAATCACTTAGATCTAAGAAGCAGATGTTCAGGGCAAAACTGTGAAAGGGAGGCAGTACGTCATACACGTAATGTGTAGCAGAGGCGGTTTAAGTGAATCTCCTTTGTGCTCAAGCAGCATATCTTTAGTTAGCTGGTGGGAGTGGGCTTAACTAGGAGCCTGCATATCTAGCCACATTCCAATGCTTCAGAGGAGCGTCTTTCTTCTTGAGCACAGTGTTTATAGATAAGAGAGCAGGTTGTGCTCAGAGCATGGGAACATAATGGTGATCAGAAGACTTTCCTCCTCAGAGTCCTCTTGTGGCTTTCCACAACTTATTGTCCCATATTTTTATGGCCAGTTTATGCAGGCACCCCATGAGCCTTTTTCCCAACGCTTAATGACTAGTAATGTTAAACATCTTTTCAGGTGCTTATGGGCCATTTGTATAACTACTCTGGAGAAATGCCTACTCAAATATTTTTCCTTTTCATTTTTTTAATTTGAGGCAGGGTCTTACTCTGTTACCTGGGCTGGAGTGCAGTGGTGTGATCATAGCTCACTGCAGCCTCAAGCTCCCAGGCCCAGGTGATCCTCCCACTTTAGCCTCCCAAGTAGCTAGGACCACAGGCTCACACCACCACACCTGGCTAATTTTTTAAATTTTTGGTAGAGGACAAGGTCTCATTATGTTGCCCAGGCTGGTCTCAAACTCCTGGAATTAAGCAGTCCTCCCGTCTCAGCCTCCCGAAGTGTGAGAATTACAGGTGTGAGCCACTGCACCTGACCCTTTTGCCTATTTTTAAATTGAGTTGCCTTTCTTTTTTTTGAGATGGAGTCTCGCTCTGTCGCCAGGCTGGAGTGCAGTGGCATGATCTTGGCTCACTGCAGCCTCCACCTCCTGGGTTCAAGTGATTCTCCTGCCTCAGCCTCCCCTCTAGCTGGGACTATAGGCGTGCACCACCACGCCCAGTTAATTTTGGTATTTTTGGTAGAGACAGGGTTTCACCATGTTGGCCAGGATGGTCTCAATCTCTTGACTTCATGATCTGCCCGCCTTGGCCTCCCAAAGTGCTGGGATTACAGGCATGAGCCACTGCACCCAGCCTTGAGTTGACTTTATTGTTAAGTTGTAAGAGTTCTTTATATATTATGGATATAAGTTAAGTTCTATGTGATTTGCAAATATTTTCTCCCATTCTGTGGGCTGTCTTTCACTTACTTGATGGTATCCCTTGAAGTACAAGTGTCTGATTTGGATAAAATTCAATTCTCCATTTTTAGTTTTTTTGCTTGTGCTTTTGATGTTATAGTTAAGAAACCATTGCATAACACATGATAATGAAGATTTACTTTCTCTGTAGAAAATTAGAAAACTTGAGGGAGGTGGGGGGGGCGGTCAGCCCCCCGCCCGGCCAGCCGCCCCATCCGGGAGGGAGGTGGGGGGTCAGCCCCCCGCCCGGCCAGCCGCCCCGTCCGGGAGGTGAGGGGCGCCTCGGCCCGGCCGCCCCTACTGGGAAGTGAGGAGCCCCTCAGCCCGGCCAGCCACCCCGTCCGGGAGGGAGATGGGGGGGTCAGCCCCCCAACCCGGCCAGCCGCCCCGTCCGGGAGGGAGGTGGGGGGGTCAGCCCTCCGCCCAGCCAGCCGCGCCGTCTGGGAGGTGAGGGGTGCCTCTGCCCGGCCGCCCCTACTGGGAAGTGAGGAGCCCCTCTGCCCGGCCAGCCGCCCTGTCCGGGAGGGAGGTGGGGGGGTCAGCCCTCCGCCCGGCCAGCCGCCCCGTCCCGTCCGGGAGGTGAGGGGCGCCTCTGCCCGGCCGCCCCTACTGGGAAGTGAGGAGCCCCTCTGCCCGGCCAGCCGCCCCGTCCGGGAGGGAGGTGGGGGGGTCAGCCCCCCGCCCGGCCAGCCGCCCCCTCCGGGAGGGAGGTGGGGGGGGGTCAGCCCCCCTGCCTGGCCAGCCGCCCCGTCCGGGAGGTGAGGGGCGCCTCTGCCCGGCCGCCCCTACTGGGAAGTGAGTAGCCCCTCTGCCCGGCCACCACCCCGTCTGGGAGGTGTGCCCAACAGCTCATTGAGAACGGGCCAGGATGACAATGGCGGCTTTGTGGAATAGAAAGGCGGGAAAGGTGGGGAAAAGATTGAGAAATCGGATGGTTGCCGTGTCTGTGTAGAAAGAAGTAGACATGGGAGACTTTTCATTTTGTTCTGCACTAAGAAAAATTCCTCTGCCTTGGGATCCTGTTGATCTGTGACCTTACCCTCAACCCTGTGCTCTCTGAAACATGTGCTGTGTCCACTCAGGGTTAAATGGATTAAGGGCGGTGCAAGATGTGCTTTGTTAAACAGATGCTTGAAGGCAGCATGCTCGTTAAGAGTCATCACCAATCCCTAATCTCAAGTAATCAGGGACACAAACACTGCGGAAGGCCGCAGGGTCCTCTGCCTAGGAAAACCAGAGACCTTTGTTCACTTGTTTATCTGCTGACCTTCCCTCCACTATTGTCCCATGACCCTGCCAAATCCCCCTCTGTGAGAAACACCCAAGAATTATCAATAAAAAAATAAATTAAAAAAAAAAAAAAAAGAAAATGATCAAAACAAATGACAGGGCTCAGGGCAAGGGGCAAAACTGTTCCCCTGCCAGGCTGTTTGATAGAAAAAGGAATGGTTTTCTTAGTTCTAAAGCTTCAACCACACTGGATCCTTGTGTTTTCACAACCCTTAAGGTTAGAGCCAACTTTCAAAAAGAATAATTAAATCGGGAAATAAGTGGGGTCAGCAGGTTTCGTAGTGCTTTTAAACAGGAAGTCTCAGAACTCATGGAGGGAAGTAGCTGACAGCAAAACTGCTTTCCTACTCATCAACCCAAAGAACTGCTTAATTCCAGAAGAAGATAGAGGAGCACATCTCACCAAAGACAAGTTGACCCTAACTCTTAAATCATCTACAGCCAAAAAACTGATTCTGTACCTGGTTGATCATGCCTGTAAAAAAAAAAAAATTAAAAATTAAAAAAATTGATTCTGCCTATAAAAAAAAAAAAAAAAAAAGAAAATTAGAAAACTTGGGCCAGGCCCCGTGGCTCACACCTGTAATCCCAGCACTTTGGGAGGCCGAGGCAGGTGGATCATGAGGTCAGGAGATCGAGATCATCCTGGCTAACACAGGGAAACCCCGTCTCTACTAAAAAAAATACAAAAAAATTAGCTGGGCATGGTGGCGGGTGCCTGTAGTCCCAGCTACTCGGGAGGCTGAGGCAGGAGAGTGGCGTGAACCCGGGAGGCAGAGGTTGCCGTGAGCCAATGAGCTGAGATCACACCAGTGCACTCCAGCTTGGGGGACAGAGCGAGACTCTGGCTCAAAGAAAATTAGAAAACTTGCCCCTGCAAGTTTTATTCTTGGAGCTCTTATGAGTACGTCTATGATCTATTTTGAGTATGATATGAGGTAGGGGTCCATTTTCATTCTTTTGTGGGTGAATTTCAGGTTGTCCCAACAGCATTTGTTGAAGACACTATTCTTTCCTCATTGAATTGTCTTGGCATCCATGTTGAAAATCAGTTGACCAGGCCGGGCACGATGGCTCACGCCTGTAATCCCAGCATTTTGGGAGGCTGAGGCTGGTGGATCATGAGGTCAGGAGGTGAAGACCAGCCTGGCCAAGATGGCGAAACTCCGTCTTTACTAAAAATACAAAAAATTAGCCAGGCGTGGTGGTGGGCACCTGTAATCCCAGCTACTCAGGAGGCTGAGGCAGAGAATTGCTTGAACCTGGGAGGCAGAGGTTGCAGTGAGCTGAGATGGTGCCACTGCATTCCAGCCTGGGTGACAGAGTGAGACTCCGTTTCAAGAAAAAAAGAAAAAGAAAAAGAAAAATCAGTTGACCGTGATGTAAATGTATGCCAATACCACACTATCTTGATTACTGTAGTTTTGTAGTAAGTGTTGGAATCAGGACATATGAGGCCTCCAAATTTGTTCCTTTTCAAGAATACTTGGGCTATTCTAGGTCTGTTGCATTTCCAAATGAATTTTGAGATTAGCCTGTATATTAGTCCATTTTCACGCTGCTGATAAAGACACACCCAAGACTGCGTAATTTATTAAGAAAAAGAGGTTTAATGGACTCACAATTCCACGTGGCTACGGAGGTCTTACAATCATGGCAGAAGGCAACAAGGAGCAAGTCATATCTTACATGGTGGCAGGCAAGAGAGCATGAGAGCCAAGTGAAAGGGGAAACACCTTATTAAATTATTAGATCTTGTGAGATGTATTCACTGTCACATGAACGGTATGGGGAAACCGCCCCCATGATTCAATTATCTACCATGGGGTCCCTCCTACAACACATGGGAATTATGGGAGCTGAAATTCAAGATGAGATTTGGGTGAGGACACAGCCAAACCAAATCAGCTTGACAAGTTTTTTCTTAAGACAGGGTCTTGCTCTGTCGCCCAGACTGGAGTGCAGTGGCATGAACTTGGCTCACGGCAACCTCTGCCTCCCGGGCTCAAGCAATTCTCCTGCCTCAGCCTCCTGAGTATCTGGGACTACAGGCGCCCGCCACCACACCCAGCTAATTTTTTGTATTTTTAGTAGAGATGGGGTTTCACCGTGTTAGCCAGGATGGTCTCGATCTTCTGACCTCGTGATCCACCCACGTTGGCATCCCAGAGTGCTGGGATTACAGGTGTGAGCCACTGCGCCTGACCTAGACTTTTTTAACTTGAAAACTAGTGAGGGCCAGGCATAGTGGCTCGCGCCTGCAATCTCAGCACTTTGCGAGGCTAGGGCAGGAAGATTACTTGAGGCCAGGAGTTAGAGATCAGCCCAGGCAACATAGCCAGACCCCATCTCTGTAAAAATAAAAAATTAGCCACCAGGTGGTTGCACATGCCTGTAGTCCCAGTTACTTAGGAGGCTGAGAAAGGAGGATTACTTGATCCTAGGAGTTAGGGGCTGCAGTGAGCCTAGATTGTGCCACTGCACTCCAGCCTGGGCAACAGACTGAGACCCGATCTCACAAAATAATCAAGTAGTGAGGAAATACTGAAGAATTTTAAGCAAGGCTTCAGTGGAGAAAATGTTTAAGTCTGGATGCTGGTAGATCATTTATTTTAATTTGGGTTCAAGATGATAGTGTCCTAGAACGGAAGCTGATTACACGTTCTGACCGTCATTTCTCATAGTGTCTATAACATAGGCAAAATAATAGCTCCAGTGTCCACAGGCACGCCTATGGAAAGAAGTGCATCTGGACCATGTCACACACTCCTTCCTCTCCAGTACCCAGCCTGCTTCCTAGTCCACAGCTCTTCCAGTAGTGGTTGTGCCGGGGAGCATTGAGAAGATCTGGGGAGCACAGTGGGGCAGGTCAAATACTATTGGAGTGACATTGCACTCTAGAAAAGGAGCCCTGAAATCCCACAAGTGAAAAGGCAGGCAGGCCAGTAGAGACCATCCCAGTCTTATTCACCACTATAGACTCTGTGTAGTGTGGGCGTGTGGAAGCATGTCATATGCTTCTTGAATGACTGAGTTTAGGAGTGCTTTGGCGTCTTCATTAAATAGTATGGCTGGGCAGGTGGCTTATGCTTGTAATCCCAATACTTTGGGGGGCTGAGGCGGGAGGATCACTTAAGGTCAAAATTTTGAGAACAGCCTAGCCAACATGGCGAAACCCTGTATCTACTAAAAATACAAAAATAAGCTGGCGTGGTGGCGGGCGCCTGTAGTCCCAGGTACTTGGGAGGCTGAGGCAGGAGAACTGTTTGAACTCGGGAAGTGGATGTTGCAGTGAGCCGAGATCATGCCACTGCACTCCAGCCTGGGCGACAGAGCAATATTCCATCTCAGAAATAAACAAACGAATCCAGTATATTTAAGGCCAAGTGCGATGGCTCATACCTGTAATCCCAGCACTTCGAGAGGCTGAGGTGGGAGGATCACTTGAGTCCAGGAGTTCAAGACCATCGCTGGCAACATAATGAGACTCTGTCTCTACAAAATAAAAAAGCCAGGCACAGTGGCACGTGCCTGTAATTCCAGCTACTTGGGAGGCTGAGGTGGGAAGATCACTTAAGCAGGGGAGTTCGAGGCTGCAGTGAGCTGTGATTGTGCCACTGTATTCCAGCTTGGATGACAGAGCAAGACCCTGTCTCAAGAAAAATAACAAATGTGATAAAGTTGAAGCAGAGCATGGTGGCTCACACCTGTAATCCCAGCACTTTGGGAGGCTGAGGCAGGAGGATCACTTGAGCCCAGGAGTTCAAGACCATCCTGGGCACCATAGCAAGGGTTATGTCTACCCAAAAAAAAAAAAATTTTTTTTTTAATATGCCAGGCAATGGCACCTATATTCCCAGCTACTTGAAAGGCTGAGGCAGGCGGATCACTTGAACCCAAGAGTTTGAGGCTACAGTGTGCTGTGATCTTGCCATTGCACCCCATCCTGGGCAATGGAGCGAGACCCTGTCTCAAAAAAAAAAAGAAAGAAAAAAAAAACAGAAAGGAAATAAAATGAAAGGAATTTATGTTATTCTCTCTCTCTTTTTATTTATTTTTAAATATTATTTATTTATTTATTTATTTTTTGAGATGGAGTCTTGCTCTGTCACCCAGGCTGGCATGCAATGGCGCAATCTCAGCTCACTGCAACCTCTGCCTCCTGGGTTCAAGCGATTCTCCCGCCTCAGCCTCCTGAGTAGCTGGGAAAACAGACATGCACCACCATGCCAGGCTTATTTTTTATATTTTAGTAGAGATAGGGTTTCACCATATTGTCCAGGCTGGTCTTGAACTCCTGAGCTCAGGCAGTCCATCCATCTCGGCCTCCCAAAATACTAGGATCACAGGTATGAACCACTGCACCTGGCCTCTTTTCATTTATTTATCTATTTATTTAGACCAGATCTGAGTGTATCATGCAGGCTGGAGTACAGTGGCATGATCATAGCTCTTTAACACCTGGCCTCAAGTGAGCCTTTTGCCTCAGCCTCCTAAGTAGCTACGACTACAGTCCTGCACCACCCTGGCAAACTAATTAATTTTTTTCTTTTGTTTGTGGAATTGGCGGTCTTACTATGTACCCAAGCTGGTCTCAAACTCCTGGGCTCAAGCAGTCTTCTCATCCCCGCCTCCCAAAGGGCCGATATTACAGGCATGAGTCACCATGCCCAGCCTATGTGATTCTCTTGACTGTACTATAAATTCCTTGACTATAAGATCAGGGACTATAATAGTTTGTTCACCATTCCATTCACAGAGCCTGACACACAGTAGGTGCTCAGTAACTGTTGGGTTAATTGGTTGCAACTCTATGGTTGTTATTATTGTTGCTTTAAAGATTTGGGTTGTGAAAGGTGTGTCTGGGTGCGGTGGCTCACGCCTGTAATCCCTTTGGGAGGCTGAGGTGGGAGGATCACCTGAGGTCAGGAGTTCAAGACCAGCCTGGCCAACATGGTGAAACCCCGTTTCTACTACAAGTACAAAAATTAGCTGGACATGGTGGTGTATGCCTGTAGTCCCAGCTATTTAGGCAGCTGAGGCAGGAGAATCGCTTGAGCCCGGGGAGGCAAGGTTCCAGTGAACTCCAGCTTGGGTGACAGAGCAAGACTTCATCGCAAAATAAATAAATAAATAAATAAATAAAATAAAATAAAGAAAGGTGAAAATGATAGCCAAGGGGGCCGGGTGTGGTAATTCACACCTGTAATCCCAGCGCTTTGAGAGGCCTAGGCAGGTGGATCACCTGAGGTCAGGAGTTCGAGACCAGCCTGGCCAACATGGTGAAACCCTGTCTCTACTAAAAATACAAAAATTAGCTGGGCGTGGTAGCTGGCATCTCTAACTTCAGTTACTCAGGAGGCTGAGAGGAGAATCGCTTTAACCCGGGAGGTGGAGGTTGCAGTGAGCCGGGATCATGCCATTGCACTCCAGCCTGGGCAACAAGAGCGAAACTCCATCTCAAAAAAACCAAAACAAAACAAACAAAAAAAATTTATAATAGGCCAGGCGCGGTGGCTCACGCCTGTAATCCCAGCACTTTGGGAGGCTGAGGCGGGAGGATCACAAGGTCAGGAGATCGAGACCATCCTGGCTAACATGGTGAAACCCCGTCATTACTAAAAATACAAAAAATTAGCGGGGCGTGGTGGTGGGCGCCTGTAGTCCCAGCTACTCGGGAGGCTGAGGCAGGAGAATGGCGTGAACCCGGGAGGCGGAGCTTGCAGTGAGCCAAGATCGCGCCACTGCACTCCAGCCTGGGTGACAGAGCAAGACTCCGTCTCAAAAAAAAAAAAAAAATTTATAGCCAAAATGAACTAATTAATTACATAGACATTTAATTCAGTTATTCCATAACTACTGGATATTGAGAGTTACATTTAAGTATTTTAAACCTCTTAGCTCCAAAAGATTCGGGCTTTTAAATTAGATATTTCCTGTATACAAAAAAATGAATATAATACACATGATATGAAAATAATAAATTCTCATGTATCCATTATCCAGTGTTAGTTTATTATCAGTTTCCTTGTGTGCCCTGCCCCAATCTTCTTCCCTTTTCTTCTCCCCAGGAGTAACCATTATTCTAAATGTTGTTTTTATCATTCTCTTGCTTTTTTGTTTCAGTTTTCCTATTTATATCCCCCAAATAATTAATGAAGCTTTTTGGTTTTGAATTTTATATGTTATGTCATGCCAGATGTAATAGCGTTCACTCAGTATTCATTTTTGAGATCCATGTTGATGCATGCAATGGTAATTTTTTCATTTAATTGCTTTCTAATATTCCATTTTATGACTGTCTCTATCTACTGTTCTACTAAGGGACATTAGTTTTTTCTACAGTTTTTTTATAATTCATACTCTGCTAGTATGAACCTCCTTATATATATTTCCCAGTGTACATGTAGAAGTTTTGGTTTTGGTTTTTGTTTTGAGACAGAGTTTCACTCTTGTTGCCCAGTCTGGAATGCAATGGCACGATCTCGGCTCACTGCAACCTCTGCCTCCCAGGTTCAAGGAATCCTCCTGCCTCTGCCTCCCGAGTAGCTGGGATTACCGGTGTGTACCACCACGCCCAGCTAATTTTTTGTATTTTTAGTAGAGATTGGGTTTCACCATGTTGGCCAGGCTGCTCTTGAACTCCTGACCTCAGGTGATCCACCTGCCTTGGCCTCCCAAAGTACTGGGATTACAGGCTTGAGCCACCACACTTTCAACTTTTTGTTTGTACATTTTCAACTTTGCAAAGATAGTGTATTTTCAACTTTGTTTTGTGCATTTTCAACTTTGCAAAGATAGTGTATTTATACTTTCATTGACATGTATGAAAGTTGAATACAATGTAATGTTTCGCAGCCTATTTAACATTTGCTATTGTCTGACTTTTTAATTTTCTTTTTCTGTTTTTGTTTTTTTTTTTTTTTTTTTGAGACAGAGTCTCACTCTGTCACCTGGGCTAGCGTACAGTGGTGTGATATCAGCTCACTGCAACCTCTGGATGCAAGCAATCCTCCTGCCTTAGCCTCCAGAGTAGCTGGGACTACAGGTGCATATCACCACTCCTGACTAATTTTTTTTTTTTTTTTTTTTTGAGACACAGTCTTGCTCTGTCGCCCAGGCTGGAGTGCAGTGGCATGATCTCAGCTCACTGTAAGCTCCGCCTCCCAGTTTCATGCCATTCTCCTGCCTCAGCCTCCCAAGTAGCTGGGACTACAGGCGCCCACCACCACACCTAGCTATTTTTTTGCATTTTTAGTAGAGACGGGTTTTCACCGTGTTAGCCAGGACCGTCTCGATCTGACCTCGTGATCTGCCCGCCTCGGCCTCCCAAAGTGCTGGGATTACAGGCGTGAGCCACTGCGCGTGGCCTCCGACTAATTTTTTAAAATATTTTTTGGTAGAGATGAAGTTTTACCATGTTGGCCAGGCTGGTCTCGAATTCCTGACCTCAAGTGATCTGCCCACCTTGACCTCCCAAAGTGCTGGGATTACAGGTATGAGCCATTACACCTGGCCTATTTTCTTTTTTTTTTTTGAGGTGGTCTCACTCTGTCATCCATGCTGGAATGTAGTGCATCTCAGCTCACTGTGACCTCCACCTCCTCCCAAGCTCAAGTGATCCTCCTGCCTCGGCCTTCCGAGGAGCTGGGACTACAGGCATGCACTACCATGCCCTGCTAATTTTTATATTTTTTGTAAAGACAGGGTCTCACTTTGTTGCTGAGGCCAGTCTTGAACTCCTGGGCTCAAGCAATCCACCCACCTCAGCCCCGAGAAGTGTTCCTCCCAAAGTGTGGGGATTGTACATGTGAGCCACTGTGTCCCGCCTGACTTTTTTATTTTCCCAGTATGATGATTGTGAATGGTATCTGGTTTTCATCATTTTAATTAGCATTTCCCTGATTTGTAATGAGGTTCAAAAATCTTTTCATGGGTTCACTAGCCTTTTGTGTTTCGTTTTCTGTGAAATGCCTGTTCATGCCTTTTGCTCATTTTTTTAATGAAGCTGTAGGCATTCTTTATATATTCTAGATATTAATATAGATTATTAATCCCTATTAATCTATTGTCAGTTTTCCATGTTGCACACATCTTTTCCCATTTGTGGTTTACCTTTTCACTTTTTTTTTTTTTGTAACAGTGCAAGGATGATGCTGAAAGGAATAACAAGGCTTATCTCTAGGATCCATAAGGTGAGTCCTGACTGACCTGAACACTCTGTGCATACTGCCTTTAGGTTCCCAGATTCTTGTTTTCAGATGGATTCATTGTATCTAGAGTGAAATGCTCTGGAAAACTTCATATGTAACAGGTTTCAGTAGAATAATTGTGCTTGAGAATTTACCATGGAATAGGAGAATTAATATTTTTCCAGAAAACATAAGTAAGTTTGACTGTAATTATCTTTATTAACTTTATTTCTCTAGCCAACTAGAGAATGGTTATCATCCCTTAATGAAGTATTTAAAAGAAAAACAAGTTGCCAATTTACAGCTTTAGCATCTAAAATAGAATAAAAAATAAAATTGTACATGAAAAAGACCATTCTGCTGGTTTACTTCATTTTTTCACATATTTACCAAATAGTTTTTCAGTACTTTTTTTTTTTTTTTTTTGAGACAGAGTCTCGCTCTGTTGCCCAGGCTGGAGTGTGCAGTGGCGCAATCTCGGCTCACTGCAACCTCTGCCTCCTGGGTTCAAGCTATTCTTCTGCCTCAGCCTCCCGAATAGCTGGGACTACAGGCGCTTGCCACCATGCCCGGCTAATTTTTGTATTTTTAGTAGAAACGGTGTTTCATCATATTAGCTAGGCTGGTCTCGAACTCCTGACTTCGTGATCTGCCCACCTAGGCCTCCCAAAGTGCTGGGATTACAGGCGTGAGCCACTGTGCCCGGCCTTCAGTACCTTCTATATGGCAGGTACTCAGAATTCTAAGATGCCTCATTTCACTAATAATAGTTATTATTTGTTGGGTATTATTATGTGCCAGGTACTACACTAAGTGATTTATTTTTTTAATCCTCATGATCAACCCATGAACGAGATAATATCCTTGTTTCACAGATGGAGAAACTAAAGATGAGACTGGCTAGGTAACTTACCTGAGGAAATAGCCTGTGAGGTTGCAAAGCCCACACGAGATGCCAGGTCTGTCTGACTTCAAAGCCTGTGGCCTAACCACTGTGCTCTATTGCATTTTATGGTCCATGTTCTCCAGAAGCTTACAGTCCAGTAGAATCATGAAAAAATGACTATTTCAGTATGGTGCTCTTACAGCACCAAAGAGGAGCACCTGAGCGGGATTAGTCGAGTCAGCAGGAGATCCTGAAAGGCTCAGAACTGAGCCAGAAAGACTTGGTCATTTTCAGCTGATTATTTAATTACAGATTAGATTTCCTAGAAAAGGAGCCCTTCCTCCTATATGGCTCCCCCTGCATGTGCCCCCTTCCCTCAGGCCTATATATTAATACATAAAATAACCCATTATTATAAAATGAAACGAAAGCAAGGATCAGCAGAGGGATGGATTCTGGACTCAACTGATCATATTACAAGGCTAAAATAAATTTCCTCTCTCGGCCGGGCACAGTAGCTCATGCCTGTAATCCCAGCACTTTGGGAGGCCGAGGCAGGCAGATCACCTGAGGTCAGCAGTTTGAGACCAGCCTGGCCAACATAGTGAAACCCCGTCTCTACTAAAAATACAAAAATTAGCTGCGTGTGGTGGCACACGCCTGTAATCCCAGCTACTTGGGAGGCTGAGGTAAGAGAATCGCTTGAACCCAAGAGGTAGAGGTTGCAGTGAGCCAAGATCACGCCACTGCACTCTAGCCTGGGCAATAGAGCGAGACTCCATCTCAAAAGAAAAAAAAAAATTTCCTCTTTCTTAATAACAGACAACAAAGACCTGAGGCTAGACTGTAGAGTGCTGTTGGTGAGAGAAAGTTTTGTTTTTTTTTTTTTACTAGTTTGGTTCAGGGTGACTGTATTAGTCAGGGTTCTCTACAGGGACAGCACTAATAGGATAGAAGTATATATGAAGGAGAGTTTGTTAAGGAGTATTGAGTCACACCATCTGGCGAAGTCCCACAGTAGGCCGTGAGCAAGCTGAGGAGCAAGTAAGCCAGTCCAAGTCCCAAAACTTCAAAAGTAGGGAAGCTGACAGTGCAGTCTTCAGTCTGTGGCTAAAGGCCTGAGAGCCCCTGGCAAATCACTGTTGTAAGTCCAAGGGTCCAAAAGCTGAAGAACTTGGAGTCCAGTGTTCGAGGGCGGGAAGCATCTAGCTCAGGAGAAAGATGAAGGCTGGAAGACCCAGCAAGTCGGCTCATCCTACCTTCTTCTGCCTGCTTTATTCTAGCTGCCCTGGCAGGTGATTAGATGGTGTCCACCCACACTGAGGGTGGGTCTGCGTCTCCCAGTCCACTGACTCAAATGTTAATCTCCTTTGGCAACACCCTCACAGACACACCCAGGAACAATACTTTACAGCCTTTAATCCAATCAAGTTGACGCTTAATATTAACCATCACGGTGATCTTCTAGATTGGCTCACAAATGCTCTTTCAGAAACTGCAGGATGTTCATTCTGGAACTGTACAGAGGCAATTGTACAGATGGTTGTTTTCTCTGGAAACAACAGTCTACTTGAGTGATAACATATATAAAACTTTAAGAACTAAAGATTCCATTTTGCTGTAGGCCAGGCATGGTGGCTTACACCTGTAATCCCAGCACTTTGGGAGGCCAAGGCAGGCAGATCACCTGAGGTCGGGAGTTCGAGACCAGCCAGACCAACATGGAGAAACTCCGTCACTACTAAAAATACAAAATTAGCCAGGCGCGGTGGCGCATGCCTGTAATCCCAGCTACTCGGGAGGCTGAGGCAGCAGAATCGCTTGAACCTGGGAGACAGAGGTTGCAGTGAGCCAAGATCACACCATTGCACTCCAGCCTGGGCAACAAGAGTGAAACTCCGTCTCAAAAAAAAAAAAAAAAAAAAAAAGATTCCATTTTGCTAGCTTTTAATTTGCTTCAAAAAGTACCTGTAGTTTCAGCTACTTGGGAGGCTGAGGCAGGAGGATCATGTGGGCCCAGGAATTTGAGACTGTCCGGGGCAATATAGCAAGACCCTACCCTATGTCAAAAAAAAAAGTGTAACAAAAATGTCATCACATTACTGTAGAAATAGGACCACCTTGTGACCCTTGAATAGTTTGTTTTCCACTCTGCTTTCTCTCCAGCTAAAGAGGCATGGTGCTTTCTCTCCGGTAGATAAAATTGAGTAGCGTTTAAGTAGTACTAGGGTGTGTTATTCAGATTGCTACCCTGAAGTAACAAGCCTTGTATTCTCAGTGGCCTAACACAAAGGATATTGTTTGTGTTGTGTGTATGTGTTTTGCTTTGTTTTTGCTGTTCCTGTCTTTCAAAAAGGCTTTGCAAGCAAGACTGAAGTCTGGATGGAGGGACAAAAGTTTACCTTCTTGGGATACATCGCAACATATAGCTTTTAAGGTGGGGAGGGAGAGATAATTTATACCTCACACTTAATTGGCTCTGATTAGAAAGGACACAATGACACAAGTTATTTTCATTCATAGGTCTTTAGCCAAAGGAATCACATGACCCCTCCTGTTTCTGCAAGGGAGGCTGAGAAGTGTAGAGAACGATTTGGATATTTGGATATTTCCCAAGCATTGCTGCTTCAGCTGTAATTTACAGTCATACATTCTCAGACAAAGCTGGAGCAACTCTAGTACTTGACAGTTACTTTATATTAAAATCTACAAGTAATGGTTCAGAAGTTTCTGTGTATACTTCACTAAGTTTCCTATAGAGCATTTACTTTCCTTCGTGGATGCTTTACGTACTCTCTCATTGCATGTTTTCAGTTTCAGATTCTTTATTCCAGGGCAAACTAAATACCTGTAGTGTGTTAAGTACTCAGAGAGGGAGATATGAAAATGAATAAAATCTGACCCCTTTTCTTCCGAGCGTGTAGCCTAGGAGACAAGCATGTGTAAGATAACATGATACAGTTTTTTTAAAATAGAGACAAACTTGGATGTCAATTCTAGTTCACCACCTAAAACTCTGTGACCTTAATCAAAATTACTCAGCTTCCCTGAACCTTATCTTCCCCATCATAACACAGGGTTGATAATATTCTGCCTATCTTCTAGGATTTCTAGGTTTAAAACTAGTACATGTACAATACTGTATTGCCTAACATCTAATAGATACTCAGTTAACAGTAGGCATGAGTACAACTCAAGGCAGTGTAATAAAATTGCTGTGCAATACAAAGAGTGCTATTAGCAGAAAGGAAAGAGAATTACTTTTGACTGGAGGTGTCTGGCAAATTTTCACTGAGGATGTGACATTCGAGTTGAGGCTTGATGAATGGGAAAGATTTAAATGGGGAGAGAGGGAAGTTGAAGTAGAATGAGCAGAAGTATAGAGGCATAAAAGTGACATGTTTCAGCATGGTCATATGGTTATAAATGAAATTACAAAGGTAGGCTGAAGTCATCACAGTGGTCTAGATTGTTATGCTAAGGAATTTGAGACTTATTTTGACATCGTTCTGGAACCTTCTAAGCTTTTTAAAATTTTTTTATTGTCGGGGTCTCACTGTGCTTCCCTGGCTGATGTGGAACTCCTGCCCTCAAGCAGTCCTTCCACTTTAGTTCCCAACTAGCTGGGACTACAGGAGTGGACCACCACACCTGGCTCCATCCAAGCTTTTAGATTAGTCGAAGGTTAAACCTATTTTCGGGAAGGTTAAGGACTATGAACGATGAAAAAATCAAAGATTTAGAGATAAAGATACAAGTTAAAATGTTATGTGTTGGCTGGGCATAGTGGCTCACACCCATAATCCCAGCACTTTGGGAGGCTAAGGCGGGCAGATCACCTGAGGTCAGGAGTTCCAGACCAGCATGACCAACATGGTGAAACCCAGTCTCCACTAAAAATACAAAAATTAGTCAGGCGTGATGGCGGGCGCCTGTAATCCCAGCTACTGAGGCAGGAGAACCACTTGAACCTGGGGGCAGAGGTTGTAGTGAGCTGAGATCATGCCATTGCATCCCAGCCTGGGCGACAAGAGTGAGACTCCGTCTCAAAAAAAAAGAAAAACAAAAGTGATGGGTACAATACTGTCTCTCAACCTGTGTAGTGGGAATGTTAGACACATAATTTAGGATCATGTCATAAAATGGGTGTAAGTGTGAGGAGGGATGGTACAGAGATAACATATATTTTCTGCACTCAAAAAGCTGCTTGGTAGGCTGGGCACGGTGGCTCACGCCTGTAATCCCAGCACTTTGGGAGCCTGGGGTGGGAGGACCACCTGAGGTCAGGAGTTTGAGACCAGCCTGGCCAACATGGCAAAATCCTGTCTCTACTAAAAATAGAAAAATTAGCTGGGCATGGTGGCACACTCCTATAATCCCAGCTGCTCAGGAGGCTGTGTCAGGAGAATCACTTGAACCCAGGAGGCGGAGGTTGCAGAGAGCCAAGATTGTGCCACTGCACCCCAGCCTGGGCAACAGAGCAAGACTCCATCTCAAAAAAAAAAAAAAAACCCACAAAAAGCTGCTTGGTGAGCCAGGTACAGTGGCTCACACCTATCATCCCAGCACTTTGGGAGGCTGAGGCAGGAGGATCGCGTGAGTGCAGCAAGTTGGAGAGCAGCCTGGGCAACATAGCAAGACCCTGTCTACAAAAAATTAAAAAAATTAGCTGGGCATAGTGGCATGCACCTGTAGTCCCAGCTACTTGGGAGCCTGAGATGGGAGCATGGCTTGGGCCTGGGAGTTTGAGACTACAGTGTGCCGTGATCGTGCCACTGCACTCCAGCCTGGGTGACAGAGCAAGACCCTGTCTTAAAAAAAAGAGAGAGAGAGAGAGAGAGAAGCTGCTTGGTGAGACTATAAAATACTGGTAGCTTTCATATGATAACCTATTTATTAAGCAACTCCCTTATTACACTATCCATTATATTTCTGTTCTCTTGCTTCTCCTGGCTGCATTCCCTAATCTTTTCCTCATAACACATCTTTTCACTTTCTACATAAGGTTTGTTATCCTTAAGCTCAGTTTTGGGGTTTTTCACTTACCATTTTGTTAGATTTGTCTACCGAAATCCGCCCCCTTCCCCTCCCTGTTGGTTCAGAGGTTTCGGTGTACAGTTCACTGAGTTACCTATAGAGCAGTTTGCTTTCACTTAGCTGTGTATTTGACATACTCCCTTATTACATGTCTCTAATGAAAGATCCTTTATTCCAGGGCACAATTAGCAGGAAAATTGTTACAGGGCATGTAATTATAGCTGTCACATAGTGAGGAGCATTGCACTGATCCCCTGATAACTGAGGTGACTGACAGAGAATGAGAATTACACAGTTTTGACAACCATTCATCGCTGTGCAAGCGCATTAAAAGAGCTTTCCTGCTTCAAGTTTGCTAATGGCTATGCTATGTATGCTCCTGAATAATCTCTGACAGAATTGTTTGTTTCCGTATAGGACAGACCCCTGATAAGGCAATACACAGACTGGAACAGATACAGAATATGAATAATGTCATTGGACTTAGTGAATTTTAAATAATAACAGGGATCCTTTTTACATAGAAGAAAAATGTTGCCGGGCGCGGTGGCTCACGCCTGTAATCCCAGCACTTTGGGAGGCAGAGGCGGGCGGATCATGAGGTCATGAGATCGAGACCATCCTGGCTAACACAGTGAAACCCCTACTAAAAATACACCTCTACTAAAAATACAAAAAATTAGCCAGGCGTGGTGGCGGGTGCCTGTAGTCCCAGCTACTCGGGAGGCTGAGGCAGGAGAATGGCGTAAACCCAGGAGGCGGAGCTTGCAGTGAGCCGAGATCGCGCCACTGCACTCCAGCCTGGGCGACAGAGTGAGACTCCATCTCAAAAAAAAAAAGAAAAATGTATGTTAGTGACATCCCTATTGCAGACATGGCTCACCTTCTCAGTGTTTTGGCAAGCATAAAAAGTTTGATTAGCCAGGTGTGGTGGCTCAAGCCTGTAATCCCAGCATTTTGGGAGGCAGAGGCGGGCAGATCACCTGAGTTCAGGAGTTCAAGACCAGCCTGGCCCATATGGTGAAATCTTGTTTCTACTAAAAATATAAAAAATCAGCCGGGTGTGGTGGCGCACGCCTGTAATCCCAGTTACTCAGGAAGCTGAGGCAGGAGAATCACTTGAACCTGGAAGGCGGAGGTTGTAGTGAGCCTGAGATCACGCCATTGCACTCCAGCTTGGGCAACAAGAGAGAAACTCCATCTCAAAAAAAAAAAAAAAAAGTTTGATAACCCCGTAACACTGAAATGGTTTCTCTTATAGTTGGACCCTGGGCGTTTTTTACACATGGGGACCCAGGCTCGCCAAAGCATTGCTGCTCACCTAGATAACCAGGTTCCAGTTGAGAGTCCGAGAGCTATTTCCCGCACCAATGAGAATGACCCGGTGAGTTACTAATATGTATATGGGGTTTCTCAGGGCTTATGATTTGTGTTCCTGTCCTCATTTTGCATAGGAAAACTGAAACTGAAAGAAGCTTAGTAGATTTGCATTTACTCAGATAGTGCACCTGAGATAGCACTCTGGAACCCAGATTCTCCCTGTCCCTGTCTGATACTGTGGTAACATACACTGGCCAGCTCGGTCTGTATCAGTTCCCATGTAATCTCTACTAGTGAATTCACCTAGTTCCACGGATTTTGCTGAGCATAGAGTTGTCGAATACTCAATACTTACTAAGTTTAATTTCTTACTGGGCAAGTTTACCAATTATTATTGCTTATATTATGTGTTGGGTGACAGGCTTTTTCTTAAAGGACCATGTAGTGAATATTTCAGGCCGATGGACTGAGATGATCTGTCACAAGTACTCAACTCTGCCATAAACAAATGGGTGTGAACATGTTCCAGTAAAACTCTATTTACAAAACAGGTGCCCAGCCATAACTTAACAAACTCTGGTATGGAGAGTACTAAAGAAATTAAACTACTTGCCCACAATTTTCTACCAGGGCAGGTTCAGAACCCAATTTTTCTAATAACCAATCTGGTGCTATTTTGCAGTTTTGTAAGTGGATTTCCTAGGGTCTGGAGAGGGAACTAACTTGGTTTGTTGTGAGAAGAGCAGCATTTAAAGTGAATTTTGTCTGCAGAAGCCAGGATTCCAGCAGTATCTAGTGTTGCATTTTCTAGTCCAGTTCCCCATTAGACTGGATATTGATTTCTTTTTGTTGCTGCCTCTCATAAATGAAATTAATTTGTGGTGTGTGCTGTAATGTTAGGAACCAATAGCTTTCTTTCCCTGCCCCTACCCTCTGAGTCTTCCCATCTTAATATAGTCTGTGTGGAAAGAAAAAGTAAACACCCATTACCCAAAACATGATCTCAGCAGGGTGTGTTTTAAATATATCTCTAGGCTTCGGCCATGCGGGGTGGCTCACGACTGTCATCCTAGCATTTTGGGAGGCCGAGGCAGGAGGATCACTTGAGGTCAGGAGTTCTAGACCAGCCTAGCCAACATGGCGAAAGCCTGTCTCTACTAAAAATACTAAAATTAGCTGGGTGTGGTGGCGGGCACCTGTAATCCCAGCTACTCAGGAGGCTGAGGCAGGAGAATTGCTTGAACCCAGGAGGCAGAAGTTGCAGTGAGCCAAGATCGCGCCACTGCACTCCAGGCTGGGCAAGAGAGCAAGACTCTGTCTTAAAAAGTATATATATATGGCTGAGTGAGGTGGCTCACGCCTGTAATCCCAGCATTTTGGGAAGCCAAGGCAGGCGGATCATGAGGTCAGGAGACTGAGACCATCCTGGCTAACACAGTGAGACCCCATCTCTACTAAAAATACAAAAAAAAATTAGTTGAGCATGGTGGCGGGCGCCTGTAGTCCTAGCTACTCGGGAGACTGAGGCAGGAGAATGGTATGAACCTGGAGGTGGAGCTTGCAGTGAGCTGAGATCGTGCTACTGCACTCCAGCCTGGGCGACAGTGCAAGACTCTGTCTCAAAAAAAAAAAAAGAAAGAAAGATAGATAGATAGATAGATAGATAGATAGATAGATAGATAGATATAGATATAGATGAAGATATATATATATACCATTCACCTCTTTTCACAAACACAAAATGAAGTAGAATAAATGAATCAAGCCACTGAAGTGTCTTTTCAGCTTTCTTTGTAATTGCAGTCCTTTTATCTGCCAATTCCTCTGGGGTTTCTATGGAAACAGCAGCATGCAGATGATCTTGTCACATGACTGGAGCATCTCTATACACAGCACAGAAGAATCCAGATGGCAAGAATTGTCTTTGCTACCCCTACATCTACGGTTTACTTTGATGAGCAATTGGCTTCATTATTTGGGCCACCACTTTTATATACATACTGGGTTTGAGGGCAGCAACCAGCATTCTTGGCTAAGATAAATGAGGCTGGGCACAGTAGCTTATGCCTGTAATCCCAGGACTTTGGGAGGCCTAGGTGGGAGGATCACTTGAGCTTAGGAGTTCTAGACTAGCCTAGGCAACATAGCAAGACCCTAACTCTAAAACAATTTTTTTTTTTTTTTTTTTGAGACAGAGTTTCACTCTTCTTGCCCAGGCTGGAGTGCAATGGCGCAGTCTCGTCTCACTGCAACCTCCACCTCCTGGGTTTAAATGATTTTCCTGTCTCAGCCTCCCAAGTAGCTGTGATTACAGGCATCCACCACCATGCCTGGCTAAGTTTTGTATTTTTAGTACAGATGGGGTTTTACCATGTTGGCCAGGCTGGTCTTGAATTCCTGACCTCAGGCAATCCGCTCACCTTGGCCTCCTAAAGTGCTGGGATTACAGGCATGAGCCACTGTGCCCAGCCAAAAAAATTTTCTTTTTCTTTTTCTTTTTTTTAGACGGAGCCTTGCTCTGTCACCCAGGCTGGAGTGCAGTGGCGTGATCTTGGCTCCCTGCATCCTCCACCTCCCGGGTTCAAGCAGTTCTCTGCCTCAGCCTCCCGAATAGCTGGGATTACAGGCGCCTGCCACCGTGCCTGGCTAATTTTTTGTATTTTTTGTAGAGACAGGCTTTCACCCTCTTGGCCAGGCTGGTCTTGAACTCCTGACCTCATAATCCACCCACCTTGGCCTCCCATAGTGCTGGGATGACAGGCATGAGCCACTGCACTCGGCCAAAAGTTTTTCAATTAGCAGTGCATAGTGGCATGCGCCTGTAGTCCCAGCTACTCGAGAGGTTTAGGTACAAGGATCACTTGAGCCCAGGAGGTCAAGGCTATAGTCAGCTGAGATCAGGCCACTGCACTCCAGTCTGGGCAACAGGCTTTCTCAAAACAATGGGAGATATCTTTTCCAGCTTTAAGAGATGAGTGGTCCAGGTGCAGTGGCTCACGCCTGTAATCCCAACACTGAGAGGCCAAAGTGGGAGGATCACTTGAGCTCAGGAGTTCAAGACCAACCTGGGCAACATAGCAAGACCTCATCTCTACCAAAAAAGTAAAAAAATGAGCCAGGTGTAGTGGTGCACACCTGTGGTCCCAGCTACTTGTGAGGCTGAGGCGGGAGGATCTCTTGAGCCTGGGAATTGGAGGCCTCAGTGAGCCGTGATTGTACCACTGCATTCCAGCCTGGTAAACCGAGCAAGATCTTGTCTCAAAAAAAAAAAAAAAAAAAAAAAAAAAAGACATAAAGGCCGGGTGCAGTGGCTCACGCCTGTAATCCCAGCACTTTGGGAAGCTGAGGCAGGTGGATCACTTGAGGTCGGGAGTTCAAGACCAGCCTGTCTCTACTAAACATGGAGAAACCCTGTCTCTACTAAAAATACAAAATTAGCCAGGCATGGTGGCACATGCCTGTGATCCTAGCTACTTGGGAGGGTGAGGCAGGAGAATTGGTTGAACCCGGGAGGCGGAGGTTGTGGTGAGCCAAGATCGCGCCATTACACTTCGGCCTGGGCAACAAGAGTGAAACTCCATCTCAAAAAAAAAACAAAACAAACAAACCAAAAAAAACACATAAAGACATGAGTGAATAGCAGGCCTTATCCAATTTTCAAAGTCTTGGTCACAGATAAAAAGACAAGGCTGGGCTAGGCGCTGTGGCTCACGCCTGTAATCCCAGCACTTTGGGAGGTCGAGGTGAGCGGATCACGAGGTCAAGAGATCAAGACCATCCTGGTCAACATGGTGAAATCCCATCTCTACTAAAAATACAAAAATTAGCTGGGCGTGGTGGCGCGTGCCTGTAGTCCCAGATGCTCGGGAGGCTGAGGCAGGAGAATCTCTTGAACCTGGGAGGCGGGGGTTGCAGTGAGCCGAGATTACACCATTGCACTCCAGCCTGGGTGACAGAGCGAGACTCTGTCTCAAAAAAAAAAGAAGACAAGGCTGGGCAAGATGGCTCACCCTGTAATCGCAGCATTTTGGGAGGCTGAGGCAGGCAGATCACCTGAGGTCAGGAGTTTAAGACCAGCCTGGCCAACATGGTGAAACCCCGTCTCTACTAGAAATACAAAAATTAGCCGGGTGCGGTGGCAGATTGTAATGCCAGCTACTGGGAGGCTGAGGTAGGAGAATTGCTTGTACCCAGGAGGCGGAGGTTGCAGTGAGCTAAGATCGCACCATTGCACTCCTGCCTGGGTGACAAAAGTAAAACTCCATTTTAAAAATAATATATATATATGTATGTGTATATATATATGTATGTATGTGTATATATATATGTATGTATGTATATATATATATATATACACATAGACATACATATATACACACACATAGATAAGACAAAAAAGAAAGTCTTGGTCACTTTGTCACCATTATACCTGTTTGCACTCTTATTTCCTAGGCCAAGCATGGGGATCAGCACGAGGGTCAGCACTACAACATCTCCCCCCAGGATTTGGAGACTGTATTTCCCCATGGCCTTCCTCCTCGCTTTGTGATGCAGGTGCTCAAGACAGGGAATGGAATTGGAGGGAGCCCAGAATACAAGCTGCTGCTAGCAAAGGGGTGGGGCTAAATGAGAAGAAAATTTAAAAAGATGAAATTTAATCTGAAAAACAGAAATTCATGTGTTGATTACCTTTTGTGACTAGTACAATTACTTTAAGCTCATGTTTAAACAATATTGATGTTTTCCTCCTTGTATAGCCCAAGAAGATTCCAGTAATTTCAGCATCAAATAACTGTTTTAAATGAACTTAAAATTTGCCTTGGCAAAATATCATGAAAATAGTTAATATGCTGCACAAAAGCAAAATCATAGTACACTCCTGAGCTAAATAGAAGCAATATTTTGATTAGATGCATTGGTTTTTATTCTCTTGTGGATTTTGTGAAAATGTTATCAAACTTGCCTGTGCAGGTGAGTTTTAGCATGCGAGCCAGAGGATCTCATTTCTTTAGTGTGGTTTATTTCGGGAAATTAGATGAATAATAAGGGCATAACAGGCCGGGCGCTATGGCTCACGCCTGTAATCCCAGCTGCACTTTGGGAGGCCAAGGTGGAAGGATCACTTGGGCCCAGGAGTTCGAGACCAGTCTAGGCAACATAGGGAGACCTGTCTCTACAAAAATTAAAAATTAAAAATTAGCTGGGCATGATGCACACCTGTAGTCACAGCTACTCAGGTGGCTGAGGTTGGAGGATCGCTTGAGCTCAGGAGGTGAGGGCTTCAGTGAGCCATGATTGCACCACTGTACCCCAGCCTGGGCAACAGAGCAAGACCTTATCTCAAGCATAAAATAAAATAAGGTATAACAGGCCAGGCAAGGTAGTTTATGCCTGTAGTCTCAGCACTTTGGGAGGTGAAGGTGGGAGGATTGTTTGAGCGCAGGAGTTCAAGACCAGCTGGGCAATATAATGAGACTGTATCTTTATTTAGAAAAGAAAAACATGGGCAACCCTCTCGGGTCCCCTTCCACACTGTGGAAGCTTTGTTCTTTTGCTCTTCTCAATAAATCTTGCTGCTGCTCACTCAAAAAAAAAGAAAAACATTTAGTCATGTGTGGTAGCTGCTTCGGAGGCTGAGGCAGGAGGATGGCTTGAGCCCAGGAGTTCAGGCTGCAGTGAGCTACGATAGTGCCACGGCACTCCAACTCAGACAACAGAGTGAGACCCTGTCTCCAAAAAACAATTTTAATTAAAAAAAATTTTGTTGAAGAAATCATCTGCAGTGGCACTTTAAACTGTTCCAAGACATACACAGTACAATGTTTATTCAGCTTCAGAGCTGTGAGGTTCTATCTTTAATTAACTATTTGAAGTTGTTTTCAGACTGGCTTAACCAACAATGCTCTGTAAGAACTTACAGGTTCTTTTCATAATTTTCATTTACATGAAGGCCTACTTCCTCACCATTGTTTGTGGATATTAGCATTGTCATACTGCCTAATATGACTTTTTTTTTTTTAAATACTGCTCCTTTTGGAGCAGACCTAACTCACGGACAGTGTGCCCAGGGTAGCTGACTTTATTTTATTACTATTATTTTAATTATAGAGACAGGGTCTCACTCTGACAACCAGGCTGGAGTACAGTGGCGTGACCACAGCCCACAGCACACTCTACATCTCTGACCTCCTGGGCTCAAGCGATCCTCCTGTATTGGCATCTCAAAGTGCTGGGATTACAGGTGTGAGCCACAGCTCCCAGCCCTGATGTGACTTTTTTTTGAAATGGAGTTTCACTTTTGTCGCCCAGGCTGGAATGCAGTGATGCGATCTCAGCTCACTGCAACCTACGCCTCCTGGGTTCAAGTGATTCTCCTGCCTCAGCCTCCCAAAGAGCTGGGATTACAGGTGCTCGCCACCACGCCTGGCTAATTTTTATATTTTTAGTAGACATGGGGATTTGCCATATTGGCCAGGCTGGTCTCCAACTCCTAACCTCAGGTGATCCACCTGTCTTGGCCTCCCAAAGTGCTGGGATTACAGGGATGAGCCACCACGCCCAGCCAACATTTGTTTTAATACCTTTATCATGTTTTTTTGAACATTGAGCCTTCCATTAAGTTTGGAATTGCCTGTCAAATCCTACACCAATTCAATTGTTTTGTTAGGATTTCTTTTAAAAATATCAACACTGGCTGGGTACAATGGCTCACGCCTGTAATTCCAGCACTTTGGGAAGCTGAGGTGGGCAGATTACTTAAGGCCAGGAGTTCAAGATGAGCCTGGCCAACATGGTGAAACTCCATCTCTACTAAAAATACAAAAATTAGCTGGGCGTGGTGGCACACGCCTGTAGTCACAGCTACTTGTGAGGCTGAAGCAGGAGAATCGCTTGAACCCGGGAGGCGGAGGTTGCAGTGAGCTGAGATCGTGTCACTGCACTCCAGCCTGTGCGACAGAGCGAGACTCTGTCTCAAAAAAAAAAAAAAAAAATTAACACTATTTTAGTTATACTTACAAACAGTATTTGTTAGATATTCTTATTAGTAGACATATTTTAATATTTTCTTTGCAAATCAGTTTCACACACATTAGTACTTCCCAAATTTCCCACCAAAGTATTCTGGTAGCAAAAGGGGAATTAAACTCTGAAAGGTTAGTATGCTGGAGGTATGAGGTATGGATGGCCTTAGAGTTGTGAGGCAGCTGGTCACACCTGCTCCTGAGCCGCCATGTATTTAGTTCTAGAGAAAAAAGTCTAAATGGTTAAAGTAATAAAAATAAATTTTAGGCCAGGTGCGGTGGCTCACGCCTATAATCCCAGCACCTTGGGAGGCTGAGACGGGTGGATCATGAGGTCAGGAGTTCGAGACCAGCCTGACCAACATGGTGAAAGCCTGTCTCTACTAAAATTACAAAAATCAGCCTGGCATGGTGGTGGCACCTGTAATCCCAGCTACTGAGGAGACTGAGGCAGAAGAATTGCTTGAACCCCGGAGGCGGAGGTTGCAGTGAGCCGAGATCACACCACTGCACTCTAGCCTGGGTGACAGAGTGAGACTCTGTCTCAAAAAAAGAAAAAAAAAAAAAATCAACTAAAAATAAATTTTAGGCCAGGTGCAGTGGCTCACGCCTGTAATCCCTGCACTTTGGGAGGCCAAGACGGGGGTGTCACCTGAGGTCGGGAGTTTGAGACCAGCCTGACCAACATGGAGAAACTCCTTCTGTACTAAAAATACAAAATAGCCGGGCATGGTGGTGGGTGCCTGTAATCCCAGCTACTCGGGAGGCTGAGGCAGGAGAATCACTTGAACTGGGAGGCAGAGGTTGTGGTGAGCCGAGATCGTGCCATTGCACTCCAGCCTGGGCAACAAGAGTGAAACTCCGTCTCAAAAAAAAAAAAAGAAAAAAAATTTAAAGAGTTAATGTTTATTGAATTATTAACTTGTGTCAGAAATTTTAAGCATTTTTCTATATGCTTTCCATATTTACAGTGGCCCTAAGTGGTATACATAATTTTGTTATGAGATATATCAATTATTTATAGATTTCAGCTGAGATAGAATATATGCTTCAGTAATAGGAATAATCAAAAGCTGACTATCATGTTACTTAGTGCGGAATAATGTATTTCAGTTTTTAGCTAAGTTATATGGATAGATTTTCAAACTCAGTACCAACCCAGCTTCTCCTAACTGAGTAAATTAGAGGCATGCAATCTGATGGTCTTGGTTGCCACTTTAGGCAGAGTATATATACCACCCCCCACCCACTCCTTCCACACCCACCCACTCTTTCCTTCTTTCCTACTTTATCAGGTGAAGACATTCAGTGAAGCTTGCCTGATGGTAAGGAAACCAGCCCTAGAACTTCTGCATTACCTGAAAAACACCAGTTTTGCTTATCCAGCTATACGATATCTTCTGTGTATCCTTTCCTGCCTGCGTGGACCCTCATGAACCAATGCTTTCTCCCCTCAAATAAGGCAACAGAAGAAATGAAAAAAAGTACTGTTGAGGCCGGGCATGGTAGCTCACACCTATAATCCCAGGAGTTTGGGAAGCCGAGGCAGGCGTATCGCCTGAAGTCAGGAGTTCAAGACCTGCCTGGCCAACATGGCGAAACCCCGCATTTACTAAAAATGCAATATATTAGCCGGGTGTGGTAGCGTGCACCTGTAATCCCAGCTACTTGGGAAGCTGAGGCAGGAGAATCGCTTGAACCCGGGAAGCGGAGGTTGCTGTGAGCTGATATCAAGCCACTGCACTCCAACCCCATCTCAAAAAAACAAAACAAAGCATAACTACTGTTCACATACAAGTGATCCTTCCAGTCATGTTTTCTTTAACAACATATACTTTAGATGGAGAGAAGGGAACAGGAAAAACCCTAAGTCTTTGCCATGTTATTCATTTCTGTGCAAAACAGGACTGGCTGATACTACATATTCCAGATGGTAAGAACTTCCTGTTGTTTCTTCTGTCTGTTAGGTTTAGTTATCCTGTTACTGTGGTAGCCTTGCAGCTTTAATTTTCTTTTCTTTTCTTTTCTTTTTTTTTTTTTTTTTGAGATGGAGTTTCGCTCTTGTCGGCCAGTCTGGAGTGCAGAGGCGCAATCTCAGGTCACCGCAACCTCCGCCTCCCAGGCTCAAGAGATTCTCCTGCCTCAGCCTCCCAAGTAGCTGGGATTACAGGCGCCCACCACACCACCACGCCCAGCTAATTTTTTTTTTTTTTTTTTTTTGAGACGGAGTCTTGCTCTGTCGCCCAGGCTGGAGTGCAGTGGCACGATCTCAGCTCACTGCAAGCTCCGCCTCCCGGGTTCACACCATTCTTCTGCCTCAGCCTCCTGAGTAGCTGGGACTACAGGCGCCCGCCACCATGCCCGGCTAATTTTTTTTGTATTTTTAGTAGAGACAGGGTTTCACCATGTTGGCCAGGCTGGTCTCGAACTCCTGACTTCAGGTGATCCACCTGCCTTGGCCTCCCAAAGTGCTGGGATTACAGGCATGAGCCATTGCACCCGGCCTCAGCTTTACTTTCCTAACAGGGATCTGATAGCTAAAGGAAAAGCCTTTGCCAGTCACGATGGCTCAAACCTATAATCCCAGCACTTTGGGAGGCTGAGGCTGGAATATTGCTTAGAGCCCAGGAGGAGGCTGCAGTGAGCTGTGATCGCACCACTACACTCTAGCGTGGGCAACAAAGCAAGACCCTGTCTCAAAAAAAAAAAAAAAAAAGAAGAAGAAGAAAAGCCTTTACTCCAGATGTAGAGCAGACTGAGCTCATCCATCATGATTTCTTCGTGATATTACTGCCAAGCAGATTATAAGGTGAAGTCAATGTGACAAAAGGAAATTCGGCTAAAAGCTTCCTGAAGCCTTTTGATGCTAAGCAGTCCTTCTTTTGATATTTAATACCCATGGACATAAACTTCTGCCTTAGAGGTCGCCATGGAGTTTTGTTTTGTTTTGTTTTGTTTTGTTTTTGCCATCTGTTAACAGTCCTGAGTACCCATAGAGCCTTTTACTATTTATCAGCATTCTAGAGTCGTCAGTATGGATTGTCAAAACTTGCATTTGTCTCTTTTTTGTTCAGTGTTGTGTGCATCCACATTTTCTTTCTTTTTTAAACAACCCTGCTTATGTAACATCCACATTTTCTGACTTACCTTTCAAACCTGCCAGAAAGCAGAAGTGATATTTAATACACTTGGTATGTTTTATATATTGATTCTAATGATAATGTTTAGTCTAAGATGGACCTGACAAGGCCAGGCATAGTGGTTCAACAGCACTTTGAGAGGCTGAGGCAGGATGATTGCCTGAGCCTAGGAGTTCAAGGTTACAGTGAACTGTGATCACATCCTGCCTTCTAGCCTGGGTGACAGAGCAAGACCCTGTCTCAAAAAAAAAAAAAAAAAAGAAAAGAAATATATATATGAGAAACTAAAGTCATTTCCCATAACTTAAAAGAGGCATAGAATATTTCGAGTTGAATACAGTTTCTGCCTGGCTTGTTTTCTTCTGCCTCTTTTTTTTAAAGCTCATCTTTGGGTGAAAAATTGTCGGGATCTTCTGCAGTCCAGCTACAACAAACAGCGCTTTGATCAACCTTTAGAGGCTTCAACCTGGCTGAAGAATTTCAAAACTACAAATGAGCGCTTCCTGAACCAGGTGACTAGACTCCCAGAAGTTGAGTGCTAGGTAGTCCTTACATGGATTCTTTGTGCCCTGAGTACCAATAGACTATGGAGAACTGATACTGGAGTTGGAATAACTGTATCATTTTTAATTTCTTTCATACGTTTTGCTCACAGTGGACTCATAACTTGAAACTCATTTATCCATGTGAAATAAATAGGCAACAGTAAGTTGTTCCCATTTTGTGGGTAGCAAAGTGAAATCCAGTTGATTCATTGACTTTTCAAGGTACAGCCTCCAATCCCTCGCAAGCACATTTCCAACTACATGATTTTCTCCAGACAATATCTTTTTAGGGAACCAGAAATGTATTGGAAAAATTCTTCTTTACCCTGGTGATTCTTAGATACCCTGTCTAGACCAGGGGCCTTCAACTCTGGATATAAAGCAGAGTCACCTAAGAGCTTGTTAAAAATGCAGATGCCAGAGTCTCATTCTGGACATTTTCATCAGAATCCCTTATGTATGTTTATTCAAGGCTCCAAGCAGAAATGGATTAGAAAGCATTCACTTTGGTCAGGCACAGGGGCTCACACCTGTAATGTCAGCACTTTGGGAGGCCAAGGCAGGCAGATCACCTGAGGTCAGGAGTTCAAGATGAGCCTGGCCAACATGGTGAAATCCCATCTCTACTAAAAATACAAATATTAGCCGGGTGTGGTGGTGCACGCCTGTAGGCCCATCTATTCAGGAGGCTGAGGCAGGGGAATCTCTTGAACCTGGGAATCAGAGGTTTCAGTGAGCCGAGATAGCGCCATTGTACTCCAGCCTGGGTAACAGAGCGAGATATGGTCTCAAAAAAAAGATAAAAGAGGTCAGGCGTGTGGCTCAGACATGTAATTCCAGCATTTTGGGAGGCCGAGGTGGGCAGATCACCTGAGGTCAGGAATTCTAGACCAGCCTGGCCAACATGGCGAAACCCCATCTCTACTAAAAATACAAAAATTAGCCAGGCGTGGTGACACACGCCTGAAATCCCAGCTACTTGGGAGGCTGAGGCAAGAGAATCCCTTAAACCTGGGAGGTGGATGTTGCAGCGAGCTGAGATCATGCCACTGCACTTCAGCCTGGGTTACAGAGAAAGAAGCTGTCTCAAAAAAAAAAAAAAAGAAAGAAAAGAAAGCATTCACTTCTACATTGAGGTCTCTTACAGAACCTGAACAATAGATTAAAATGAACTCCTGTTAACCTTAGCCTCCAACCTTTTCAAGGGATGGTTTCACCCTTAGGCCAAGTAGCCTTTTTTTTGGTTTTTATTTTCTTTGCTTGCTTTTAGATAAAAGTTCAAGAGAAGTATGTCTGGAATAAGAGAGAAAGCACTGAGAAAGGGAGTCCTCTGGGAGAAGTGGTTGAACAGGTATAAGAAAAAACACTGAATGTGTAACATGCGATAACAAGAGAAGGCCTCTGGTAGCACTACAATCCACTGTCTCTCCCAATAGGGCATAACACGGGTGAGGAACGCCACAGATGCAGTTGGAATTGTGCTGAAAGAGCTAAAGAGGCAAAGTTCTTTGGGTATGTTTCACCTCCTAGTGGCCGTGGATGGAATCAATGCTCTTTGGGGAAGAACCACTCTGAAAAGAGAAGATAAAAGCCCGGTAGGAAAACTGGGTGTCTCTATCTTGTTTCTCTGATTTCTGATTCCATCAGTATGGAGGCTGGGTCTTAGCCTTGTAGACCATGCAATATGTTTTCTTGCCCTAGGAATATTTGAAGATAAACAGTAAAGAGCTGGGTGCAGTGGCTCACGCCTGTAATCCCATTGGCTCACGAGGCTGAGGTGGGAGGATCGCTTGAGGCCAGGAGTTCAAGACTAGGATGGGCACTATAGCAAGGCCCCTGCCTCTAAAAAAATAAGAAATTAGCCGGTAGCTGGCATGGTGGCACACACCTGTAGTCACTGCTACTGGAAGGCTGAGGCCAGAGGATCACTTGAGCCCTGGAGTTCAAGGTTGTAGTGTGGCATGATTGCAACACTGCACACCAACCTGGGTGACAGAGTGAAATCCTGTCTCTTAAAAAATATATATATGGCTGGGCACAGTGGCTCATGCCTGTAATCCCAGCACTTGGGGAGGCTGAGGCGGGCGGATCACCTGAGCTTGGAGTTCGAGACCAGCCTGACCAACATGGAGAAACCCATCTCTACTAAAAATACAAAATTAGCCGGGCATGGTGGTGCATGACTGTAATCCCAGTTACTCGGGAGGCTGAGGCAGGAGAATCGCTTGAACCCAGGAGGCGGAGGTTGCAGTGAGCCGAGATCGCCATATATATATATTCATATATATGTATATATACACACATATATATTCATATATGTATATATACACACATATATTCATATATATTTATATATACATATATTCATATGTTTTCATAATATACGAATATACCTATATGTTCATATATGTATATATAATATTCATATATGTATATATGTATATATAATATTCATATATGTATATATGTATATATACGTATATATGCACACATACATATTCGTATATGCATATGCACACATACATATTCGTATATATATGTGAAGATAAACAGCAAGGCCTGGTGTGATGGCTGATAAATCCCAGCACTTTTAGGAGGCCAAGAGGTGATTTGCTTGAGTCCAGGAGTTTGGAGTTTGAGGTCAGCCTGGGCAGCACAGTGAAACCCTGTCCCTACAAAAAATATAAAAAACTAGCTGGGCATGGTGGTTTGCACCTGTATGTAGCTCCAGCTACTTGGAAGGCTAAGATGGGAGGATGGCTTGAGCCCAAGAGGCAGAGCCCGCAATGAGTGGAGATCGTGCCACTGCATTCCAGGCTGGGCAACAGAATGAGACTCTGTCTCAAAAAAATAAAAAAAAAGAAAAGATAAACAGTAAAATGGAATCAGAGGAGGAGGTAATGCCAAGAGTTCCACTATTCATTGAAAACTAAGGGAGTATGTTGTGGAAAGAGAATGACAGCAGAAGCTATGTTTTCTTTCTTAATTTTTATCTGTCTTTTGATTCTTTTTTCAAAATGAGTCTAGATGGTCTAAGCAGAGGAGATCAGAAGCATCAAAATGGGGCTGGTTTGGGGCAGTGGGTGTTTTTCTCAGTGACTGTTAATCTCCAGAAGCATGGCAGTTCTAGGGCCAGAGGCTACGTGGCTTATCCTAGAGGGAGTACCTTCAGGTATACAATTATGTCTTAGTTGAGGGTTTTAAAAAAATTGTTGTCACCAGGTGCAGTGGCTCATGCTTGTAATCCCAGCACTTTGGTAGGCCGAGGTGGGTGGATCACAAGGTCAGGAGTTTGAGACCGTCCTGGCTAACACGGGGAAACCCTGTCTCTACTAAAAATACAAAAAAATTAGGCTCTGGTGGCGCGCGCCTATAGTCCCAGCTACTCAGGAGGCTGAGGCAGGAGAATCGCTTGAACCCAGGAGGTGGAGGTTGCAGTGAGCCCAAATCGCGCCACTGCACTCCAGCCTGGGCGACAGAGCGAGACTCTGTCAAAAAAAAAAAAAAATTGTTGTCAATTGTTTCGGGAGAACATCTAGGAAAGGCACGTGATGATCTCTTCTCTCTTTCTGTCCGATATGCAGATTGCCCCCGAGGAATTAGCACTTGTTCACAACTTGAGGAAAATGATGAAAAATGATTGGGTAAGTGCATATGATACCTCACACATTTCAGAAAGAAATGTATTATCATTTTAAACATGTTCTACTATTTCATTGCTAATACTTTACAGTCTCTAATTTTATGGACAGTAAGTTATTATGTCTTATTTAATTCCTGTATCTGTACCAAGTTAGAAATAAAGTCTGAATTAAAATCTATATATATGTGGTTTATAATCTTTCCAAAGTAAGTTTATTCAAAACCATTTTATTTAAATATTGGCCTAATTTTATTTTGCTTGCAGACATTTAAAGTGTTTTTGTATCTCCTTACCGTCTTTGGAAAAGAGTTTGAGACCCACAAATATGTCATGGTAAATTTAAAATCAGGTAGCAGTTTATTGTCAGAGCCAAATCTGGAATAACCAATTTAGTTGCCATTTAACTGTGCTAGACCACACTTTTGTAACACTGTATGCCCAAGAAAGAAAAAAAAAATCTACAGATGATTAATGCAGTTTTCCATCCTTTTTAACTTTTTCCAGTTCAGCCTTTTCTCTTTTCTTTCAGCATGGAGGCGCCATTGTGTCGGCTTTGAGCCAGACTGGGTCTCTCTTTAAGCCCCGGAAAGCCTATCTGCCCCAGGAGTTGCTGGGAAAGGTCAAGTCAAAGGAAAATTTGTTTCTACTTAGATTGTTATCCTGTTTAAAGAAAAATATTTTTATTAATCTATGTATTTTGACATAATTTCAGACTTAGAGAAAAATCATATTCCTGTATGCCCTTCCCCTGGATTCCTAAAATATTAACTTGATCATCATTGCTTTATCCGTCTCCGTCTTTCTCCAGAGTTTCTTTTCTTTTTTTTTTTTTTGAGACGGAGTCTTGCTCTGTCAACCAGGCTTGAGTGCAATGGCGCAATTTCGGCTCACTGCAACCTCCGCCTTCCGGGTTCAAGTGATTCTCCTGTCTCGGCCTCCTAAGTAGCTGGGATTACAGGCGTCCACTACCACGCCCAGCTAATTTTTTGTATTTTTAGTAGAGACGAGGTTTCACCATGTTGGCCAGGCTGGTTTCAAGCTCCTGACCTCAAGTGATCCGCCTACCTCAGCCTCCCAAAGTGCTAGGATTATAGGCGTGAGCCACGGCGCCTGGCCTTGATGCTTCTTTGTCTCCAAATAATGTCTCATTCCTAAGAACAAAGATACTCTAATATACCCTGAGCATAATTATCAAAGTCAGAAAATTGACATTGATATCATACTTTTACCTAATTGGTGGGATTTATTCTGATGTAGCCAGTTATCCCAGTATCTTTTATAGAAAAATAAATCCCAGATAATGTGTTACATTAAGTTGTCATGTCTCTGGCTGGGTGCGGTGGCTCATGCCTGTAATCCCAGCACTTTGGGAGGCCGAGGCAGGCGGATCATGAGGTCAGGAGATCGAGACCATCCTGGCTAACATGGTGAAACCCCGTCTCTACTAAAAATACAAAAAATTAGCCAGGCGTCGTGGCGCGTGGCTGTAATCCCAGCTACTCAGGAGGCCGAGGTAGGAGAATCGCTTGAACCCGGGAGGTGGAGGTTGCAGTGAGCCGAGATTGCGCCACTGCACTACAGCGTGGGTGACAGAGCGAGACTCCGTCTCAAAAAAAAGAAAAAGTTGTCATGTCTCTTTGGTCTCCTTTAATCTGTGACAGTCTGTCAGTCTTTGTCATTTGAAATCTTTATGTTTTTGGCATGTGCATGCCAGCTATTTTGTAGGTCACTTTTTGGGGTTGTCTGAGGTTTCCTCCTGAATAGAAGTGATGTTAGAAGTGATGACATGTCTGAGTGAGTGCATCCTATCAGGAGGCACATTTCTCCCATTACTGGTAATGATTTTGGAACTGTTAGCTGAGGTGTTGTCCATCTGGTTTCTCTTCAGTAAAGTTATTATTTTGCTTTGGAATTAATATGTATGTTGTAGAGATATACTTTGAGACTAGGTAAAGATCCTGTTACTTCTCAAACTTCCACCTACTGGTTTTAGTATCCATTACTTTAGTTATACCTGGCATGGAGCCTCCGCAGCTGGTATGGTCTTGTGGATTTTTATTTAATAGAATCTAAATCATTACTGTCACTTTTTATTTTGGTGCTCAAATCATCTTAGATTTGGCCATTAAAAATTCCTTCATTGGCCGGGTGTGATGGCTCACGTCTGTAATCCCAGCACTTTGGGAGGCCAAGGCGGGTGGATCACGAGGTCAGGAGTTCAAGACCAGCCTGGCCAATATGGTGAAATCCTGTCTCTACTAAAAATGTAAAAATTAGCCAGGTGTGGTGGTGCGTGCCTATAGTCCCAGTTACTCTGGAGGCTGAGGCAGAAGAATCGGTTGAACCCAGGAGGCGGAGGTTGCAGTGAACCAAGATTGTGCCATTACACTCCAGCCTGAGCCACAAAGCAAGACTCCGTCTCAAGAAAAACAAAAAACAAAAAAACAATTCCTTCATGGCCAGGCTTGGTAGCTCACAGCTGTAATCACAGCACTTTGGGAGGCCAAGGCAGAAGGATCCCTTGAGCTCAGGAGTTTGAGACCAGCCTGGGCAACAAAGTGAGACCCCATCTCTACAAAAAAAAATTTTAAAACTAGCTGGGCATGGTGGCATTCACCTGTAGTCACAGCTACTCTGGAGACTGAGGTGGGAGGATCGCTTGAGCCCGGGAGGTCAAGGCTGTAGTGGGCCCTGATTTTGCCAGTGTACTCCAGCCTGGGCAATAGAGTGCGGCCCTATCTCAACAGGAAAAAAAGCTCCTTCAAGCTAACTTCTATATCCTTTTAAAATGTCCCCATCATTATTTTTTTGGAGATAGGGTCTCACTCTGTCACCCAGGCTGTAGTGCAGTAGCACCATCATAGCTCACTGTAGCCTTGAGCACATGCCACCACACCCAGCACTGAATGTTGTCTTTTTCTTTTCTTTCCTTTTTTTTTTTAGAGGCATGGTCTTAACTATGTTGTTGCCTAGGGTGGTCTTGAACTGCTAGCCTCAGGCAATCCTCCCACCTCGGCCTCCTAAAGTGCTGGGATTACTGGCGTGAGCCACCATATCCAGCTCCTATCATTCTTTGACCACTTCTTTATTTTCTGTCATGAGAATATGTTCCAGACCCCTCTTATACTTCCCATGCCCAGCCCTGGAATCTCCATTTCTCCAAAGAGCATTGGCTTATTTTAGAGGAGACTGGTATTTAGCAACCAAGGCCTGAGTCCTAGGTATACTCACTGCTACTGAGGTGTCCTTTCTCCTAGGCCCTCACAGCAAAGTTCATAAATAGATGTACATACATACATGTATGTATGTATATGTGTGAACCATATGCATATACATGTTTATACACATCCACACACATCTGCGTTTGTTTCTCTAATCATATTAAAAAACTATGAGTTCCTACTAGTAGCCAATTCCATGCTACCATCACAGCAGTCATTATACCCTTTCCATATCTGTAACTCTAATCTAAAATAATGAGAAATCTGCTGCCAGTAGCCATAGTATATTTACTTATTAGCTCAATACTAGAATATATGAAAAGTAGTTTCAGATTTGATAGCTCTCAGGCTGGGCGTGGTGGCTCATGCCTATAATCCCAGCACTTTGGGAGGCCGAGGCGGGCAGATCACGAGGTCAGGAGATCTAGACCGGCCTGGCCAACATGGTGAAACCCCGTCTCTACCAAAAAATGAAAAAAAAAAAAAAAGAAAAAAAAATTAGCCGGGCGTGGTGGGGCGCCTATAGTCCCAGATACTCCGAAGGCTGAGGTGGGAGAATCGCTTGACCCTGGGAGGCAGAGGTTGCAGTGAGCTAAGATGTGCCAATGCACTCCAGCCTGGGAGACAGTGAAAAAGAAAGAAAAAAATAAGTTCCTTGGGCCGGGCGCAGTGGCTCACGCCTATAATCCCTGCACTTTGGGAGGCCAGGGCGGGCGGATCACCTGAGGTCAGGAGTTCAAGACCAGCCTGGCCAACATGATGAAATCCTGTCTCTACTAAAAATACAAAAAATTAGCTGGGCATGGTGGTGCAGGCATGTAATGCCAGCTACTCGTGAGGCTGAGACAGGAGAATCGCTTGAACCCAGGAGGCAGAGGTTGCAGTGAGCCGAGATCGTGCCATTGCACTCTAGCCTGGGCAACAGGAGCAAAACTCAGTCTCAAGAAAATGAAAAAAAAAAAAGAAATACAGTTTGATTACTTCATTTGTTTCCATTTGTTTTCCATCTAGCGTATTTTTTCCCATTATTTTTATTTTTTATTTTATTTTATTTGAGATGAAGTCTTGCTCTGTCACCCACGCTGGAGTGCAGTGGTGCAATCTCAGCTCACTGCAACCTCCACCTCCCAGGTTCAAGTGATTCTCCTGCCTCAGCCTCCCAAGTAGCTGGGATTACAGGCACGCATCACCACGCCTGGCTAATTTTTTTTTTTTTTTTTTTTTTGAGATGGAGTCTTGCTCTGTCACCAGGCTGGAGTGCAGTGGCTTAATCTCGGCTCACTGCAACATCCACCTCCCGAGTTTAAGCAATTCTTCTGCCTCAGTCTCCCGAGTAGCTGGGACGACAGGTGCATGCCACCACGCCCAGCTAATTTTTGTAATTTAGTAGAGATGGGGTTTCACCATATTGGCCAGGCAGGTCTTGAACTCCTGACCTTGTGATCTGCCCGCCTCAGCCTCCCAAAGTGCTGGGATTACAGGCATGAGCCACCGTGCCCGGCTAATTTTTGTATTTTTAGTAGAGACAGTAATTTTGTATTTTTAGTATTTTCACCATGTTGGCCAGGCTGATCTCGAACTCCTGACCTCAGGCGATCTGCCCTCCTTGGCCACCCAAAGTGCTGGGATTACCAGCATGAGCCACCATATTCCTTTGAAAATATGAAACATTAACTTTGTTTCAAAAGCCAAAACTGTCCAAAATACATACACACAATATGTGTGTGTGCGTGTGTATGTGTGTGTATTCACACAAGTAGCATCCGCCTCCTCAAGCATTGCCTTTTTTTTTGTGTGTGTAGACATGGTCTTACTCTGTCACCCATACTGTGACAGTATGTGTAGTGGAGCAATCGCAGCTCACTGCAATCTCAACCTCCTGGTCTCAAGCAATCCTCAGCCTCCCGAGTACCTGGGGCTAGAGGCACGCAGCACCACTCCTGGCTAATTTTTGTATTTTCTGTCGAGACAGGGTTTTACCACATGGCCCAGGCTCGTCTGGAACTCCTGGGCTCAAGCAATATGCCCATCTCAGCCTCCCAAGGTGCTGGGATTACAGGTGTGAGTCACTGTGCCCAGCCACCTCTTTTTAATATATAGCATTTGTGGCCACGTAGAGCACGAGTAGCCAGCCACCATATGTGGAGTCCATATGTGGAGTCCTGTATCAGGCAATGTTGCCAGAGAATGAGAAGTAGAGTTACATAGAAGAAAAACAAATACCTTACCTTCAAAGTGCTTAAGTAGAGTCTGTCTGTCTGGTGCTTTGTTCCTTAACTAACATGTTTCCTGATCCTTTTTCTTCCCCAGGAAGGATTTGATGCCCTGGATCCCTTTATTCCCATCCTGGTTTCCAACTATAACCCAAAGGAATTTGAAAGTTGTATTCAGTATTATTTGGAAAACAATTGGCTTCAACATGAGAAAGGTCCATCATTTAGTTTTTTCCTATCAGGGCTTTGTGATCACAGTAGAATCCCACTCAGTCAGAGCCTTGATCTCTTCTTCCCTTAACAACAGCCTCTAATTTGTACTTCATCCTTTATCTTGACTTCTTTCTGGCTGATAAATGGTACAGAAAAGCGGGTGGGAGGCAGTTAAGGTTTAATTTACAAAAGAGATTTTATCCCTAAATTTTCCATGATAAAGAAGGGAACAAAGGCAACTCCATCCACTGGGCAGAATTTCCAGGTAATTGGGTTCCTGCCACATTCTCCTTATTGAATTTATTTATTCAATAGACTTCACTGGAGAGACTCATGCTGGGACACCCACAGAAAAATTCATACTGTGCAAGGGCTACTCCAGCACCTAAGTAAATCTTTGCCACACCTGTCCTAGTATATGTACAGAAATTAACTTTCAGCACTATATTTCATCTACTCTGACTGAAAGCATTCCAACTGTTCATTTACTTGCCCTTGACCTCACATTTGAGTATGAAGAGGGGATATAGAAGAAAAGCTAAGGCTGCTCTATCACTAGATAATAGAGTTAATAGTAATCGGAGGCCTGGTGCAGTGGCTCACACCTGTAATCTACACTTTGGGAGGGCAAGGTGGGAAGACCACTTGATGTCGGGAGTTTGAGACCAGGCTAGGCAATATAGTGAGACCCCATCTCTATTGAAAAAAGCAAAAAAAAAAAAATACTATTTAGAATAGCTTATTAAAGGAGTACAGTGAAGAGTGTAAGACTAACTGTAGCATGTTAAGTTGGGATGCACAATAGACAGATTTCTAAGAGTTGGGAGATGTCACAAAATCCTGAAGTCCAGAAGACACTCTTGGAGTGGAGAGAGAGCTCCATGCTGGTTTGGAGGAGTAGACACAGAAAAGGAAGTAATGCATACAAAAGAAGAGTAGCTTGTTGGGGTGAGGGTCTAGAAGTAAGATCTCTTGGGAGATGATAATTACCTCAGAACGTAATTTGGATATGGTAGCCTCTGACTACACGATATTCTGGGGAACACAGTGCAGCAGGAGGAAACTGCCACTTACCTGTGTTTGTCTCCATTTTAGCTCCTACAGAAGAAGGGAAAAAAGAGCTGCTGTTCCTAAGTAACGCGAACCCCTCGCTGCTGGAGCGGCACTGTGCCTACCTCTAAGCCAAGATCACAGCATGTGAGGAAGACAGTGGACATCTGCTTTATGCTGGACCCAGTAAGATGAGGAAGTCGGGCAGTACACAGGAAGAGGAGCCAGGCCCTTGTACCTATGGGATTGGACAGGACTGCAGTTGGCTCTGGACCTGCATTAAAATGGGTTTCACTGTGAATGCGTGACAATAAGATATTCCCTTGTTCCTAAAACTTTATATCAGTTTATTGGATGTGGTTTTTCACATTTAAGATAATTATGGCTCTTTTCCTAAAAAATAAAATATCTTTCTAAAGTGTTGTGTTAGATTAATAATATGGAAGGAGTCTTTAGATTGGCCAAATTGCATTTCTCTGATATTCCTCTTGTTGCAGGTCAGAAGAGATCAATTCTACAGAAATTTCCAGTGGTTCTGTTGAGGCTTTATGGAATTCAGCATGTCAAAATTCACAGCTGGCTGGGCACAGTGGCTCATGCCTGTAATCCCAGCACTTTGGAAGCCCAAGGCGGGCAGACTGCTTGAGTTCAGGAGTTTGCAACCAGCCTGGGCAACATGGTGAAAACCTGTCTCTACTAAAAATACAAAAATTAGCCGGGCACGGTGGCATGCGCCTGTAATCCAAGCTACTTGGGAGGCTGAGGCAGGAGAATTGCTTCAACTTGGGAGGCGGATGTTGCAGTGAGCCAAAATTGCACCACTGCACTCCAGCCTGGGCAGCAGAGCAAGACTCCGTCTCAAAATAAATAAATAAATAAATAAATAAATAAATAATAAATGTATACTGTACTGTTTTACATGACCGACTTCAGCATCTAAGGATGTTGCTACCTGGAGGAAGTGGGATCCTGGAACGAATCCCACATAGGTATGAGGAATAACAATAATGGAAAATCAGGTATCTTCCCTTTCTCCCAGTGCTTTTCTAAAAGGAATTTCTGTTACCAAATCCTAGAGATGATACAATTCTACACAAATATATATATGGCCGGGCGTGGTGGCTCATGCATGTAATCCCAGCACTTTGGGAGGCCGAGGCGGGCAGATCACTTGAGGTCAGGAGTTTAAGACCAGCCTGGCCAACATGGTGAAACCCCGTCTCTACTAAAAATACAAAAAGTAGCCGGGGGTGGTGGCACATGCCTCTAATCCCATCTACTCGGGAGGGTGAGGCAGGAGAATTGCTTGAACCCAGGAGGTAGAGGTTGCAGTGAGCCGAGATCATGCCATTGCACTCCAGCCTGGGTGACTGATAGAGACTCTGTCTCAAAAAAAAATATATATATGTGTGTGTGTGTGTGTGTGTGTGTGTGTATATATGTATATACACACACGATATGCATATCATATGTATATATTATGTCTGTTATACGTATATATATGTTATGTTTATATTAGTATTACTATTAATATGTTAGATACATATTAAAAATATGTTTACTTTGACAGTAATATATAACTATCAAAGTAGTATACTAATAGGTTGTATATTATATATTGTATATGACAATATATAGTATATTACTCATAATATTGGGTCCTATATATTATGTATATGTATTATATATGTTATATGTATTTGTATATATTTTATATATATGTTATATATATATTTTTAATTTATATTTATATATTTTTAAGAGACAGTCTTGCCCTGTCTCCCAGGCTGGAGTGCAGTGGCATGATCACAGCTCACTGCAGCCCCAACTCCTGGGTTCAATCAGTCCTTTTGCCTGAGCCTCCCTAGTAACTTGGGACCACAGGTGTGTGCTACCACACCTGGCTAATTTTTTAGTGTTCAGTAGAGACAGAATGTAGCTTGGTTTCCCAGGCTAGGCAATATGGCAAAACCTCAGAGTGAGAGAGACCGAATCTCTAATAAATAACTTGAACAAAATAACTGCTAAATGTACACTAGAAACCATATTCCTTTTTCTTTTTTTTTTTGAGACGGAGTCTTGGTCTGTCACCCAGGCTGGAGTGCAGTGGTGCGATCTCGGCTCACTGCAAGCTCCGCCTCCTGGGTTCACACCATTCTCCTGCCGCAGCCTCCCGAGTAGTTGGGACTACAGGCACCCGCCACCGTGCCCGGCTAATTTTTTGAAATTTTAGTAGAGACAGGGTTTCACCGTGTTAGCCAGGATGGTCTCGATCTCCTGACCTTGTGATCCACCCACCTCGGCCTCCCAAAGTGCTGGGATTACAGGTGTGAGCCACCGCGCCCAGCCTAGAAACCATATTCCTGATGATAATTTAAAAGATCTTACTAAATGGAAAGATTCTCCATGTTCATTGATTGGAGTACTCAGTAATAAGATGGCAGTTATTCCCATATTGACCTATAGATTCAATGCAATCATTATCAAAATTTCAGAAGGTTTTTTGCAAAACTGGAAAACTGACCAAGCACGGTGGTCCATGCCTGTAATCTCAGCATGCTGGGAGGCTGAGGTGGGCAGATCACTTGAGCCTAGGAGTTTGAGACCAGCCTGGGCAACATGGAGAAGCCTAGGCTCTACAACAAATACAAAAATTAGCCAGGTATGGTGGCATGCGCCTGTAGTTCCAGCTACTTGGGAGGCTGAGGCAGGAGGATCACTTGAACCCCAGAGGTTGAGGTTTCAGTGAGCCGTGATCATGCCACTGCTCATCCTCAGCTGCAGAGTAAGACCCTGTCTCAAAAAACAAAAAGGAAATAAAAAAGGGAAACTGACCTAAAGTTTATGTTTTTATTAATATTATTTTGAGACAGGGTCTCACTCTCTGTTACCCAGGCTGGAGTGTAAGGCCACACTACAGCCTCGACCTTCTGGACTCAATCCTCCTACCTCAGCTCCACGAGTGGTTAGGACTACAGGCACACACCACCACACGTGGCTAATTTTGATTTTTTTTTTTAATAAAGATGGGATCTCACTATATTGCCCAGGCTGGTCTCAAGCTTCTGGACTCAAGTGATCCACCTGTCTCAGCCTCCCAAATTGCTGGGCGTATAGGCTTGAATGACTTTGGCCAGGCTATAACCCCATCGTCTGTTTCTGGGAAGACCTAATGCACCCAAACGCAATGCTACCCTTCAAGAGACAAATCTAAAATTGCAAGTAAAAATTCAAAAGAGGGCCGGGTGTGGTGGTGCACGCCTATAATCCCAGCACTTTGGGAGGCCGAGGCGGGTGGATCACCTGAAGTCAGGAGTTTGAGACCAGCCTGAGTAATACAGTGAAACCCCGTCTCTACTAAATACAAAAACATCAACCGGGCATAGTGGCGGGCACCTGTAATCCCAGCTACTTGGGAGGCTGAGGCAGGAGAATTGCTTGAACCTGGGAGGCGGAGGCTGCAGTGAGCCGAGATCGCGCCACTGCAGTCCAGCCCGGTGACAGTGTGAGACTCTGTCTCAAAAAAAAAAAGTAAGGATATAAAAGATTGAGTAGCATGATTAACACTTGTCCTAATGGAAGTATTTTTAAAAATTGAATCCCCAAACAACTTTTTTTTGGTAGAAGCTCTTTTACATTCACATACTTTATTTTTAATAGCCTAACTACAGTTATCCTTTTCTTTAACCCAGGAAGGCAGAGAGAAAAGAGAGCAAATTAAGTTGCCTAAAGCTGAACTTGGACATCATCAAACTTCTAGAAAGGCAGATTATGAAATAATGCTTTAATAAACATATTATTAATTTAATAAGCATCTGTTGTTCTAAAAAGTAGAAAATACATCAGGTCATTATTGTTGACCCTTAAACAATAACGTTTTTGGACTGCATGGGTCCACTTATTCACATATATATTTTTTTTAAAGGGTCTTGCTCTGTTGCCCAGGCGGGAGTACAGTGGCATGATCTCGGCTCACTGTAACCTCTGCAACCTTGGTTCAAGCTATCCTCCTGACTCAGCCTCCCTAGTAGCTGGGCTTACAGGTGCACACCACCACGTCCGGCTGTTTTGTATTTATAGCAGAGACGGGGTGTCACCATACTGGCCAGGCTGTTCTCAAACTCCTGACCTCAGGTGATCCGCTCACTTCGGCCTTCCAAAGTGCTGGGATTACAGGTGTGAGCCACCGAGCCCGGCCTCACAGATCTTTTTCAATAGAAGTTATACGGAGTGGACCTGCCTTTCTGGCCTCACCTTCCACCTATCAAATCCCAAAACTTCTGAATGTACTTTCTTTTGAAGCACATAAAGAACCTGTTCAAAATTGACTGACAATGGACCATAAACCAGCTCAATATATTTCAAAGAATTTAAATCATACAGCCGTGTACTCTGATTCTAATGCAATTTAAACTAGAAACCAGTAACAAAAAGAGAAATAGAAACTCCTCATGTGTCTGGAAATTAAAACATACTTTTCTGATGTGCCCATTGGTCAGGGAGAAAGATCAGAATGGAAATGAGAAAGTAATTCAAATTAAATGATTGTGAAATTACTAAACACAAAACTTAAAAATTTTGTACGTTGAAAATACTGGCTGGCAGGGCACAGTGACTCAGGCCTGTAATTCCAGCACTTTGGGATGCCGAGGCGGGAGGATTGCTTGAGCCCAGGACTTCAAGACCAGCCTGGGCACCATGGTGAAACCTCATCTCTACCAAAAATGCAAAAATTGACCAGGCGCAGTGGCTCACGTCTGTAATCTCAGCACTTTGGGAGGCCAAAGCGGGCAGATCACCTGAGGTCAGGAGTTCAAGACCAGCCTGACCAACATGGCAAACTCCTGTCTCTGCTAAAAAAATACAAAAATTAGTTGGGCGTGGTGGCAGGCGCCTGTAATCCCAGCTACTCGGGAGGCTGAGGCAGGGAAATTGCTTGAACCCAGGAGGCAGAGGTTACAGTGAGCTGAGATCACGCCACTGCACTCCAGCCTGGGTGACAGAATGAGACTCAGTCTCAAAAAAAAAAAAAAAAAAAAAAAAATTAGCTGGATTCGTGATGGCACATGCCTGTAGTCCCAGCTACTTGCGGGAGCTGAGGTGGGAGGATGGCTTGAGCCCAAGAGGTTGAAGTTGCAGTGAGCTGTTTGTACCACTGCACTCCAGCTTGAGTAACAAAGTGAGATCCTATCTCAAAAAAAAATAAAAAATTAAATTAAAAATTAAATATTTTAAAATATTAAAATTGGCCAGGTGCGGTGGCTCACACCTGTAATCCCAGCACTTTGGGAGGCTGAGGCTGGCAGATCACGAGGTCAGGAATTTGAGACCAGCCTGGCCAACATAGTGAAACCCTTACTAAGAATACAAAAATTAGCCGGGTGTGGTGGCGCATACCTGTAATCCCAGCTACTCAGGAGTCTGAGGCAGGAGAATCGCTTGAACCCGGGAAGTGGAGGTTGCAGTGAGCTGAGATCGTGCCGTTGCACTCCAGCCTGGGCGACAGGACGAGACTCCGGCTAATTTTTGTATTCTTAGTAGAGAGGGGGTTTTGTCATGTTGGCCAGGCTGGTCTCGAACTCCTGACCTCAGGTGATCCACCCACGTCAGCCTCCCAAAGTGCTGGGATTACAGGCATGAGCTACTACGCCAAACCCAGATCCAGTATTTTAAAAGGATAATCAACATAAATGAGTTTGGGATAATTTTAGGAATGCAAGATAGTATTACATGAAAATCAGATGTATTCATTAGTGCAACAAAGGAATGATAAAATAATGTAATTATCTTAGTGCGGAGAAAGCTGTAAAAAACATTCAAATCTATTCATGACCAAAATTCTTAGCAAAACAGGAATACAGAATTTCCTTAAGCTGTCAGAGTACCTACAGAAACTTTTCAGCCCACATCATACTTAGAAGTGAAATGGTAGCTGCGCACAGTGCCTCACACCTGTAATCCCAACACTTTTGGAGGCCGAGGTGGGCAGATCACTTGAGCTCAGGAGCTCAGGAGTTTGAGACCAGCCTGGGCAAGACGGTGAAACCCCATATGTACAAAAAATAAAAAAAATTAGCCAGGTGGTGGTGGTCCATGCCTGTAATTGCAGCTATGCAGGAGGCTGAGGTGGGAGGATCGCTTCAGCCCAAGAGGTTGAGGCTGCGGTCAGCCGAGATTGCACCACTGCACACCAGCCTGGGCAAGAGAGTGAGACCCTGTCTCAAAATAAATAAATAAGACTAAATAAATATGGAATTACAAGGAGCTCAGAATAGACAAGAGAGGCTAAGATTTTATTTTTTATTTTCAGACGGAGTCTTGATCTGTCGCCCAGTTTGGAGTGCAGTGGTGCTATCTCAGCTCACTGCAATCTCCACCTCCGGGGTTCAAGTGATTCTCCTACCTCAGCCTCCGGAGTAGCTGGGATTACAAGCGCCCAACACCATGCCCAGCTAATTTTTGTATTTTTAGTAGAGACGGGTTTCACTATGTTGGCCAAGTTGGTCTACAACTCTTGACCTCAGTGGTCCGCCGACCTCGGTCTCCCAGACTGCTGGGATTACAGGCTTGAGCCACCGCGCCTGGCCACTTTTTTTTTTTTATTTTTTGTTTTATCTGTATTTTTTTGAGACAGGGTCTCACTCTGTCGCCCAGACAGGAGTGCAGTGGTGCGATCATGGGTCACTGTAGCCTCGAATTCTTGGGCCCAAGCAATCCTCCCATCTCAGCCTCCAGTTGGGACGACAGATGTGAGTCGCCTGGCTAACTTTTTGAAATATTATTTTATAGGGAGTTGGGGGCTGGTGTCTCACTAGGTTGCCCAGTTTGGAATTTCTGGATTCAAGCGATCCTCCTGCCTCAGCCTCCCAAAACCTGGGAATGCAGGCATGAGGCTTAGCGCCCGGCCAATATTTGCTTTATCTTTCTAAATATACACAAGGATGTTAATCATAGCACCTAATAGGCCAAAATTGGAAACAATGGAAACAATCCCAAAAGCTATTATCAGCAGAATATATTCATTCTTTAGAATAGATCAGTGGTGGTGTATTCATACAATGGACTATTCCACAGAGATGAAAAATATATATGCAAAAACATAAATTGCATAAACCATATTGAGCAAAAGACAGACGCCAATACTCTATTTACATAAAGTGTTACATACACAGAGATAGATTAATACATGTAAATGATACAGATATGATAGCTAGGTCAGTCCACGGGGATCTGTGGACTTCTGAAGAGTCGTGATCCGTGTGACTTCTGAAGAGATGAGGGGGCATGGGAGGCTTTAGCGGAGCTTCCGCTATTCTGGCAAGGTTTCATTTTTGCCCGGGGAGCTATCAGCCAGCGGAGAGATCTGTAAGAAGAGATAAGACCTCAAGGGAAGTACGAGGCAGAGCCTTCCGCGGCCCGCGCCCTGGCGGCCCCAAGTCAGCGGCGGAGACAGCGCCCACCCCGCTCCAGCGTGGAGCAGGAGCAACGGCGTGGCCCGTGGAGCCCCGCCTCTCGCGGCAACCACAGAGAAGCCGGACTGGGCCACGTCTAGGAAGAGGTAGGAAAGGATCGGCGCATCATTTCTCCAATGGGAAAGGATGTGTTTGCGGACCAATAAGTCGCCAGTATAACACCCGCCCACGCGCCTGCCAAGCCAATCGGCTAGGAGCAGCGAGCGGCGCGGCTGAGGCGCGGCGGCCCCGTGGAGCAGCGCAGTATGGCGGGCGGGGCCCGGGAGGTGCTCACACTGCAGTTGGGACATTTTGCCGGTTTCGTGGGCGCGCACTGGTGGAACCAGCAGGTGAGGTCAGCCGGCAGCTGCCCCCGAGGAGCCCTTCGGGATCTACAGTCCCGACGTTCAGCCGGCCTGCCTCGTCCTCTCTGCTTCCCCAGGATGCTGCGCTGGGCCGAGCGACCGATTCCAAGGAGCCCCCGGGAGAGCTGTGCCCCGACGTCCTGTATCGTACGGGCCGGACGCTGCACGGCCAGGAGACCTACACGCCGCGACTCATCCTCATGGATCTGAAGGGTGAGGTGGTGGCAGAGTTAGCCGATGCCCCTTATTTCCCTTCCGCGTGCCTAGTCCTTGCGCTGCCGTTATCTTCAAGACCCTCCCACTTTACCGAGCTCCAGGACCGGAGATGAGGAGCTGAGCACAACATGCCAACACTCGAGGGGCCCACGACAGTTGCTCAAGAGCCATTTCGGGAATAGGCTGCTAGGCCCTGGAGACAGTGAGGACTTGAACTGCAGCACTCCTGTCAGACCCCTGGATGTGGTTCCCCCCGCGTCCCACAGCTAATGACTAAGCTGGGAACCGAAAGATGGAATCTAGATTCTCCTAAGCCAAGGTTTTTCCCCCAACTAGTGTATATCCCAGAAAGCTTGGAAGAGCCAAGTGCTGGAGAGATGGTGACAGCAGGTTGTCAGGTGATCAGAGGAAGGTTAGCTAGAGGGGAAGGGTGCCCAGGCTTTGACCTAACATTGTCTCTGTTATTTCTGTACAGGTAGTTTGAGCTCCCTAAAAGAGGAAGGTGGACTCTACAGGGACAAACAGTTGGATGCTGCAATAGCATGGTGTGTAACTGATGTATGGATAAGGGTGGGGATCGTGTATGTACGCAGAACGCTGGATAACTCTGATCAGAGTGCAGTTTCTTTGATCAATCTCCAAACTCTTTCAGGCAGGGGAAGCTCACCACACACAAAGAGGAACTCTATCCCAAGAACCCTTATCTCCAAGACTTTCTGAGTGCAGAGGTGAGGGCCTCTGTCCTGAACTTTTTAACCCGGTGCCACAACCTGAGGGTCTCCATAGGGGCAGGTAAACGGGGATTTTAATCATTTTAAATGTCTTAGAATGATATTTTGGGAAAAAGCACTCCTTTTCCTAAGGACTGCGACTCGGTGAACAGAAAGGAGGCTATGCGGTGTGGCCAGCCAACTCAAGGAGGATGAAGCAACCTTTGCCTCTAAACTGCCTGGAACTAAATGTCGATTTTTCTGACCCCTCCCAGGGAGTGCTGAGTAGTGATGGTGTCTGGAGGGTCAAATCCATTCCCAATGGCAAAGGTGAGACTTCTCCAGATACTGATGGATGGGGGCTTGGGTAGAGCAGAAACATGGAGAAAGGTACATTTCCTCTGCTTGTCTTCAGGTTCCTCACCACTCCCCACCGCTACAACTCCAAAACCACTTATCCCTACAGAGGCCAGCATCAGGGTCTGGTCAGACTTCCTCAGAGTCCATCTCCATCCCCGGAGCATCTGTATGATTCAGAAGTACAACCACGATGGGTATGGGGACCCCAGAGGCTTTGAGGCAAGAAACATGGGTCCCCACCAATGCAGGATGAGGCTCTTGAGGCCATCTTCCCTGCCCTTCCCCAGGACAAGAGGCTGAGGAGTTGAGGGAAGAGATGTAAGTCTTGGATCGTGTTTACTTGTGGCAGGGAAGCAGGTCGGCTGGAGGCTTTTGGCCAAGGGGAAAGTGTCCTAAAGGAACCCAAGTACCAGGAAGAGCTGGAGGACAGGCTGCATTTCTACGTGGAGGAATGTGACTACTTGCAGGTAGTGGCGTGGCAATGTGCACTCCAGGGTGGAAGCTCTTCTCATCCTGCTAACTATCTTTCGTCACTCACCCCCGCCCAGGGCTTCCAGATCCTGTGTGACCTGCACGATGGCTTCTCTGGGGTAGGCGCGAAGGCGGCAGAGCTGCTACAAGATGAATATTCAGGGCGGGGAATAATAACTTGGGGCCTGCTACCTGGTCCCTACCATCGTGGGGTGAGTGGAACTTGGAGGAGTAAACATTCGAATCCCATTGGGAGAGTGGCTTAATGCAAACTGGTTTTTTTCTTTACGAGGAGGCCCAGAGAAACATCTATCGTCTATTAAACACAGCTTTTGGTCTCGTGCACCTGACTGCTCACAGCTCTCGTCTGCCCCTTGTCCTTGGGTGGGAGCCTGGGCCTGCGACCTGAGCCACCTGTCAACTTCCCTTACCTGCATTATGATGTAAGTCTCGGTGCTCTTGTTCTGACTGCGGCAGGCTACAGGGCCTCCTCATGCTCCCAGTCAGTCGCTGTCTGTACTGGCTCTGTTCCTGAGGCCCGAGCTTGAACTCAGCTGTGATGTGGCCTCTCAGATCACACTGTCCTATGCTTGTCCAGCCTGGGGTCAAACATACCCCTGATTCATCCCCTGGGTCTCTCTGGTGTTAACATTCTGCCTCCACACATTCTTTTCCAGGCCCGAGGCCAAGTGCCCCTCTTGGTGTCTTCTTACAGGCCATTCTGCCCTTCCACTGCAGTGCCATCCTGGCTACAGCCCTGGACACAGTCACTGTTCCTTATCGCCTGTGTTCCTCTCCAGTTTCCATGGTTCATCTGGCTGACATGCTGAGCTTCTGTGGGAAAAAGGTATGAAGCTTTGTGAGGGGTTGGGTCAGTGCTGAGAAAATGTCCTATAACGTGTTCTCTTCCTTCTCTTTAAGTGGTGACAGCAGGAGCAATCATCCCTTTCCCCTTGGCTCCAGGCCAGTCCCTTCCTGATTCCCTGATGCAGTTTGGAGGAGCCACCCCATGGACCCCACTGTCTGCATGTGGGGAGCCTTCTGGAACACGTTGCTTTGCCCAGTCAGTGGTGCTGAGGGTATAGACAGAGCATGCCACACAAGGTGAGAGCTGTTGGTCCTTAGGAGTCCTTGTCAGATTTTTGTTTCATGTCCTTTTCCCCCTAATTTCTCGGGCATTCTAATGATGTTGTTCCCTCCCCACCCCTTAAAAAGGATAAAAAGAAGGGCTTTGAATATCTTGATCCAGCTGATGGCCTGATAACATAAAAATTCTTAAGTTTCTTGGGCTAGGCATGGTGGCTGACGCCTGTAATCCCAGCACTTTGGGAGGCTGAGGTGGGCAGATCACCTGAGGCCAGGAATTCGAGACCAGCCTGACCAACATGGTGAACCCCATCTCTACTAAAAACATAAAATTAGCCAGGCATGGTGGCACATGCCTGCAATCCCAGCTACTTGGGAGGATGAGGCAGAAGAATTGTTTGAACCTGGGAGGTGGAGGTTGCAGTGAGCCGAGATCACACCATTGCACTCCAGTCTGGGCAACAAGAGCAAAACTCTGTCTCAAAAAGAAAAAGAATTCTTAGTTTGTTATTCATGCTGCCACAGACTAATGGTGGTTTTGGCTTTGTTATGGCAGCCAGCTCACCCCAGGGACACCTCCACCCTCTGCCCTTCATGCATGTACCACTGGGGAAGAAATCTTGGCTCAGTATTTACAACAGCAGCAGCCTGGAGTCATGAGGTCAGTGTAACGGTTGCTCCTGCCCTTCTTGCCAACCGCAACCCTCCCTTGACTTCTTACGCACTTAATGGCTGTTCTCTGCCCCCACAGTTCTTCCCATCTGCTGCTGACTCCCTGCAGGGTGGCTCCTCCTTACCCCCACCTCTTCTCAAGCTGCAGTCCACCGGGTATGGTTCTGGATGGTTCCCCCAAGGGAGCAGGTATGTAGGAGGTGAAGAAAACTGAGATTTCAAGTATGGGAGAGGTTTTACTATCTCCATTCCTGGATTAAAAGTGCTGAAAAAGTCCACAGTTAAACATTCCTTTATTCACCCTATGGCTCCCAAGAAAAGCATTCTTCCTCTGGAGTACTGGTGTACTAAGGGGACAATACACCAAATTTGTTGAGTTTACAATCAAGTCTACTAAGGTTGGACTTCCTTATCAGTTTGGCGAGTCCCAGGGCAGAATAATCATCCATCTACAGGTCTCTGTTTCCTCTCCCTCCACAGCAGTGGAGAGCATCCCAGTGTTTGGGGCACTGTGTTCCTCTTCGTCCCTGCACCAGACCCTGGAAGCCTTGGCCAGAGACCTCACCAAACTCGACTTGCGGCGCTGGGCCAGCTTCATGGATGCTGGAGTGGAGCACGATGACGTAGCAGAGCTGCTGCAGGAGCTACAAAGCCTGGCCCAGTGCTACCAGGGTGGTGACAGCCTCGTGGACTAAAGTTCCCAGTGTGGGAGAAAGGAGCTAGTTTGCAATAAAAACAGCTGGATGCAGGAGCCCAGTGTCTTCATGCAGAGGAGCTCAATGTCGCGGGACTAGCTACACCAACATATGCACTTTTTACATTTAGAAACACTGTGATTAGACCACAGAACAATAAATATGTGCCATCAGACCAAAAAAAAGTAGAGAAAGGAGCTGAACTCCACTCTCGATGCTATTTACAGAGGACATCTGTAAAGTCTTCATAAAAGACCTTGAATGATGCCTAGGATGGCAGAGCCCCTGGGTCCTACTCCATCCTCCAGCCTTTGTCCTTGTCCTGGCCTCCTGCTCTCCAGATCTGTAAACTGGGCTCAAGGACTGTACAAGCAGAGTACAACTACCCCCTCCCCGGTGCCAGGGCGCCTGTTGGGTTTGGTCCTGTGTAGATGATTCCCAGAGTCTCATTCATCCAGCTCCTCTTCAGACAGAAGGTCCCCATGGTCAGACAGCTGGTCTGCATTGCTGGTACTGGTTGCATCATCCTCATCCTCAGAGCTGGCTTCACAGGCAGTGTGGAAGAGCTGCATGAGTTCTCGAAAACGGTGGGAAACCTAAGAAAGGAGGAGGGCTGTATTCACTGGTCTTTTTTTTTTGTTTTTGAGACGGAGTCTCTCTCTGTTGCTGAGACTGGAGTGCAGTGGCACTGTGTCAGCTTACTGCAACCTCCGTCTCCTGGGTTCAAGCAATTCTCCTGCCTCAGCCTTCAGAGTAGCTGGGATTACAGGTGCCCACCACCACACCTGACTAGTTTTTATATTTTTAGTAGAGATGGGGTTTCACCATGTTGGCCAGGCTGGTCTCAAATTCCTGACCTCAGGTGATCCACCCACCTCGGCCTCCCAAAGTGTTGGGATTACAGGAATGAACCACTGCGCCCAGCCTCACTGATGCTTTGTAACAATGTTAACATTTATGAAGCACAATATACTGATTTGAAAAATCTCTTGTTTATTCCTCACAGCAAGGTTGGGAGAGCTATGTCATTATAGATAAGGAAACTCAAGAGGCTAAATGTTTTGCCCAAAGTCACACAACTCCTAAAAACAAAACTGGAATGGAAACTGGGGCTTCCACTTTAAAATCCTGGCCGGGCGCAGTATCTCACCTATTCCCAGCACTTTGGGAGGCTGAGGCAGGTGGATAACCTGAGGTCAGGAGTTCAAGACTAGCCTTGCCAACATGGTGAAACCCCGTGTCTACTAAAAATAAATAAATTAGCCTGGCATGGTGGTGGGTGCCTGTAATCCCAGCTACTTTGGGAGAGGCTGAGGCAGGACAATCACTTGAACCTGGGAGGTGGAGGTTGTAGTGAGCTGAGATTGTGCCACTGCACTCCAGCCTAGGCGACAAGTGAAACTGCGTCTAAAATACATAAATAAATAAAAATTTAAAAATCCTCAAAATCTAGTGTCCTTTCTCTTCTAGAACCACTACCACCCTGATGAGTCAAGCCTTTCCTTAGATCAAACCTTTACAAAAACCACTTATTATCTTGGATATCAAAACTCCTTCTTTGGCCTTTCTGTCTGTTAGTTGGCCACCTTGACCTCTTTTTGCCAGGTCTTCACCCCAACCCGCACCTACCTCAGCAGGGGTCTTATTTCCCAGCTGCTGGGAGATGATGTTGAAGGTCTGTGGCTGTGCCCCTTGCTCCTGGCACATGGTGAGGATCACACGGTCAGCTTCCCTGTAACCCAGGTATCATGATTAACCCTAGGGAGCCACATGGATGTGGTCTATGCTCTTTTCCAAACACACGTCATCCACCCTTACCTACCTTGTCCACAGGACAACCTTTTCCCCAGTGGAGCTGACCTTGCTGTTGTTGGCACACACCGTAGCTTCTGCGGCCTTTGGCTGCTGCTCCCCCTCTGGACCCTTGGCCTGTGTTCCACTGTCTTTAGCCAAACCCCCTCTAGGGGCTTTGGGAGAAGTCTCTGAGGTGTCAATTCCTGATGGAGATTCATGGACAGGGCACGTCCTGTCTCTTGTCTTCACCCGAGCTCTGCTTGAGGGCAGCCATCTCTCTTGAGTGTCTGGTTTCCCGGACACATGTCTTCTCCCTGCATCTCTGGTCTTTGAGGAAACAGGACTCAGGAAGGAAGCAGGGGGTTCCACGGTACCAGGCAATTTCTCAGTTTCTGATGCATCCCAGACCAGCATCAAAGCCTCTGACTCACTCACTGCCTTTTGGCCCTCCCTCTCTTTCTGAAGTCTGGGGGATGCCTTGGGGCAGGAGCGAACCTCAGGCCCAACCTGGTTTCTCTTAACAGTGTACAGTACAGCTCCAGTTGTGGGGGGAAATTGAGGAGTCTCTGGTGAATGAGGTGGTGGGCCATCCAGGAGGAGCCGTTCTGTAACAGTCACTTCTCGAGGGGATGGCAAAGTGCTCCCCACTGCCAATCCTGCTTAGGAGGAAAATAAGGATCTCAGGGTACTGTCAGGTTCAAGATGCACCTAAGCACGAGAAATTACCTGTGGCCAGGTACTGTGCAAAAATTCTAATAAAAAAGAGGGCTGGGCATGGTGGCTCACACCTATAATGTCCGCACTTTGGGAAGCCAAAGTGGTGGGACTGCCAGGGGTTTGAGACTAGCCTGGGCAATATGGTGAGACTCCATCTCTACAAGAAAATATAAATAATAAAAGAGTTGGGTGGAGGTGGGGGGCATAATGTCACTTATGCAAAGATATAAAGTCCTACTGCCAAAGCTGAGAACGGCCCAGTCTTTAGGATGTAGATTACACTAGATTTGGAGACAGGGGGAAGGGTTTTTGGAATAAAACACAAGACAATGTTGAATTGCATGAAATTTGTGGCATTCTTAATTCTGCAAGAGGAGTGAGGCCATATGATAGAAAAAGCCTGAACAGCAGAAGGGCTTCCTATGGGTCCATCAGTGAAAGAGGTGGTATATCCATCCCTGAAAAGGCTATTTATCCAGGCTCATGGAGGTTCCTGTCTGGAGTACAGGATAACGAGACTGAGGAACAGAAGGGCTGCGTTGGCAAATCACTCACCTGAAACAGGCATCTCTCCCTTTCTGGTGGTCCTGACAGTCCTGCTCTGGGTGGCCTCAGTGCTCTCCCGCTCCTCTGGGGCTTCCTCTTCCATCATATCCTTGCCCTGCCCAGCTTCCTTAGCACCAGGCATAGGACTAGCCTCTCGGTGGGGGCTGCTGCCCACCAACTCATGGGGCTCCTTGCTCTTGTAGGATTTGCTGTCACAGACCTGCAGGGATGGTCTTCCGGGTCAAAGGTGTTCTGACTGCCTATGTCTTTGGTTGGGGCCCACCAAAGGAAGAAGCCCTGCCTGATGCTCATCAAGTCAACCCACATGCATGTCTGCTCCAACAATTTTGTTGACAGAGTTTCAACTGGGTGCAGTGGTACATGCCTATAAACCTAGTTACTTGGGAGGCTAAGGTGTGAGCATCACTTGAGCCTAAGGGTTCAAGATCAGCCTGGGTAACATAGTGAGACTCTGTCTCAAATGACAAACAAAAAGAAAAGATAGACAGAGACAGGGTCTCAGATGACACAGATTATCTTGCCCAGGCTGGAGTGCAGTGGCTGTTTACACAGGCATGACCATGGTGGTACACTATAGCCTCAGACTCCTGGGCTCAAGTGATCCTCCCACCTGAGCCTCCTGAGTGCCCTGTTGCCCAGCTATTCCTCCAAGGATTTGATTTTTTTTTTTTTTAAACACGGTCTCACTCTGTCACCCAGGCTGGAGCTCAGTGGTATCATCATGGCTCACTGCAACCTCTGCCTCCCTGCTCCAAGGATTTTAAATGGCCCCGAATAGAGTATTGGATTCCACAACTCCTTCTCTCACCAAGAACTGTGTTTTTCCTGCCAACCAACTCCATTCTAGAGAACCAGGATTACTTGTAGAGACTATTTTCACGACAGAGGTTTATTTCATTTTCTAATATCTGAGGGAAATATTTTAACTGGTATTTTGTTTTTCCAATTCCAAAAGCTTTACTCACAGAATTCTCTTTAAAAAACAAAATCTATCACGTATTTCTAGCAGATTCCATTTATTTTGCATATGTACACATATGTGTATACTGAATGTTATTTATATATGTGCCTTTTTAGGAATTCAGTAAGGTACAATTCTTGGTAGCAAACAATCCCCCAGCAGCTCTGATACCCTCGGGACCCTTGATACTTTCCTCACCTTGCTGCTACAGTGGCTACAGCTCCGCCTTTTGCTCTTCTTCAGCTTGGAATCTGGACCTCCTTCATGGCAGGAGCAGGCACAGTCCTTGGCCCCATCTGGCCATTCAGTCTCCTAGGAGATACTTGGGCTTGATTAGCTGCCAAGTTGTTTTTTTTTTTTTTTTTTTTTTTGAGACAGAGTCTCGCTCTGTGGCCCAGGCTGGGTTGCAGTGGCACGATGTCAGCTCACCGCAACCTCTGCCTCCCAGGTTCAAGGGATTCTCCTGCCTCAGGCTCCTGAGTAACTGGGATTACAGGTATGCGCCACCACACCCAGCTAATTTTTGTATTTTTAGTAGAGACAGGGTTTCACCATGTTGGTCAGGCTGGTCTCGAACTCCTGACCTCTTGATCTGCCCTCCCTCAGCGTCCCAAAGTGCTAGGATTACAGGCATGAGCCACTGTGCCTGGCCGTATTTTTGGTACCAAGAGAGGAAGCTAAAGTTGTGAGCCATATGAACACAACACAGCCCACCCTCTCCCCATGCTTTTTTTTTTTTTTTTTTTTTGAGATAAGGTCTGGCTCTGTCACCCAGGCTAGAGTGCAGTGTCACATTCATGGCTCACTGCAACCTCTGCCTCCTGGGCTCAAGTGATTTTCCCACCTCAGCCTCCCAAGTAGCTGGGACTGCGCACCACCACGCCTAGCTAATTTTTTTTTTTTTTTTTTTTTGAGATGGAGTCTCGCTCTTTCTCCCAGGCTGGAGTGCAGTGGCGTGATCTCAGCTTAGCGCAACTTCCACTCCCCGGGATCAAGCGATTCCCATGTCTCAGCCTCCCAAGTAGCTGGGATTACAGGCGCATGCCACTAAGCCTAATTTTTTTTGTATTTTCAGTGAGATGGGATTTCGCCATGTTGACCAGGCTGGTTTCGAACTCCTGACCTGAAGTAATCCGCCCGCCTTGGCCTTGCAAAGTGCTGGCATTAGAGGTGTAAGCCACAGCACCTAGCCTATGGCTAATTTTTGTATTTTTAGTAGAGATAGGAATTCGCAATGTTACTCTGGCTGGTCTTGAACTCCTGTCCTCAAGTGATCCACCCACCTCGACCTCCCAAAATGCTGGGATTACAGGCATGAGCCACCACGCCCGGACCCCATCCTCTTTTATGTATCAACTCCTCACATCGCCTGGGGAAATCAATAGCCCAAACTAGATTAAGGCCTATTATGAATCCCTGAAACAATCCCTAAATGACCTAAAGACTGACATATCCCAATTGCCCCAGATGTTTCAAGAAATATTTAAGTCAGACATAATCTGAGGCAAAATCACTGGAGAGCTCCATCATGAGATATAATGTCTTTGTTTCTGTCTCTCTGTGACTTCAGCTCTCCCATCTCTTCCAATCCCCTTCAGAGAGAACTTTGTACCCATGGAAAGCCTACTCAGTGACACTGTTTAATAAACCCAAGACGTAAGTAAGTACCATTATCATCCCAATTTATGATGAAGAAACTGAAACAAAGAGAGGTTAAATACGTTTCCCAAGGTCATACAGCTACTAAGAAGCAGTTTCTCCCCAGAAAAGAGAAAAAACGCTTGGTCAGGAAACACGAATTAAAAAAAAAAAAAAAAAATACTGCTTGAAGAGCAGTGACAACCAGTAGACTCCACAGATGGCTTACCTGAGGAGTTCATATCCTAGCACCACCACTTACTAAATATGAGACCCTGACAACAGCCTCTCTGCACTTCAGTTATGTCTTCTGTAAAATGCAAACAAGAGCAATCTCTCCATAGGATTACTGTGAGAATTAAATGTGTCAATAATCCATTAAAATACTTCCCAGAATGCCTGACACTTTGTAATACAACTAAGTATTAGCTGCTATCATTATTATTAATATGGGGAATCTTGGTTCTATTTTATTTTTTTAATAACAAGCTCATCCTCAATTGGCTCTATTTTCTCACATGAGCAAAAATGAAAAAAGTTGAATTAAGGGTAATAACTCTGAGCTAGACAGAAAAGGGGAAGAAACAAATCCTTCTAACTAGGGAATCCTGGGGCCCCTGCAACAACTGCAGTTTTCCCAAAGGCTCTGCATGTCTGTATCAGCCTGACCTTTGGTTTGTTCTCCGTGATCGTCTCAGATCCTAGAGCCTTTGAACTAGAAACCTTGGGCCATAGTAAGCCACAGAAATGTTCAGTGAGAAAACGCAAGGCTTGATTCATGAAACATAGATAATTTTCAATAACTTGGCATACCTTATCATGATTTTAGGCCAGGCGTAGTGGCTCACACTTGTAATCCCAGCACTTTGGGAGGCCGAGGCGGGTGGATCACTTGAGGTAAGGAGTTCGAGACCAGCCTGGCCAACATAGTGAAAATCCATCTCTACTAAAAATACAAAAATTTGCTGGGCGTGGTGGCTGGCGCCTGTCTGTAATTCCAGCTACTTGAGAGGCTGAGGTGGGAGAATCGCTTGAATCTGGGAGGTGGAGGTTGCAGTGAGCCAAGATTACGCCACTGCACTCTAGTTTGGGTGACAGAGCGAGATTCTGTCTCAAAAACAAACAAATAAACAAAGAAAATACCTTATCATGATTTTGGACCCCGATCTCTTTTTTCCTCTTGTTCTTTGAGGCTGTGGGTATCTTGGGAGGCTCCTCCTCTTCTTCCACATCAGGCAGGGCCACTTCTTCAAAGCCATCAAACTGAGAAGGAGTTGGTGCTGCTGAGCACAGACACCAGGCCAATATCCCTCCCACGTGTGGCCTTCCCCCTTCATAAGGCTACAGCAGCCTTAGGTCCTATACCTCATACTCCTTTTCCTCAGTCCAATTGATCTCTTCAAAGTCACCCATCCGGCTAGCTGCTGGGCGCAAGTGGTCAAAGAAGATAGAAAACTCATCCTGCAGGTGGTCGTGGCCCTTGAGGAGCTGCCACATCTGTGTCTTGAGCTGAGGAGAGTCACAGAGGGAAAGAGGAAGTCTCCAGAGCCTCTCTAGGCTGCCCTTCCCAATCAATCCCACATACTTCCATGTTCTGCTTTCCCAGTCAACTGGGAAACACACAGAGACTCTGCCTGGTAACAAAGAATACTAAAACTTTCTCTTCCTCCTTAGCTGCCTATAGGGGAAGGGTACTAATACTGGATTTGATTCCTAATGATTCCACTCTCCACTCCACCCTACTGATCTCCAGCTAGGGCACTATTCCAAGCAGAGCAAGGAGGTAAGGCCCCTCCCAGGTCCCAGAACCTCCTTCGCTGAACATCCCTTCCAGCACATCCATGGCATTCCTGAGCCTGTGAAGATCAGACAGGCTCCGGTTTCAGGTAGCAATCCCTCCCTATCCCAGTGCTTTATGCTTTGGGTGAGCCTGAAAAGTCCTTGCCTTTTTCATCTCCTCCAGGAAGCCCATGAGCCTCCAGAGGCAAAAAGGTATGGAGTAGGTTGGGGAAAGAGACAAGGGAAAGGCCTAAGGCCCGGAAGACAACAGGAAGAAAGCAGGACAGGAAAGAATACCTCGGTGATCTCCTGGGGAAGGCAGTCTGCACAGCCTTGGAGGACCTTGATAATCTTCTGGTGGTGTGAGGGGTTCTCTGCAAAGCAAATCTCCAGCTGCCGAAGGAACTTGCGGCTCTTCTCAAAAGCCTGCTGCTCCTCAAACTACCAGAGTGGAAAGTGGGCAAAAGAGGAGTCATGATACAGCTAGAGCAGGACTTGAGGGTTCTAAGGATAAGAACTAGTGGACTAGGACACAAGAGATGACAGAACCCTGGTTTAAAATTCTAGTTTACAACTATTGAGATCTAATTTAAAACCCTAACCTCCATCCACCTTGGGCCACTGGTGGGTAGCCACCCAAAGCAATTAAGATGTGAGCAACAGCTTCAAGAGATGTATATATTTCAAGTTGTTTGCTGTTTTAAGGATTGTGAAATCAGCCACCAAAATTCATATGATACTTTAGAGTTTATATTACAAAGAACTTTCAGGCTGCACAAGGTGGCTCATAGCTGTAATCCCATGTTGGGAGGCCAAGGCAGGAGGATCGCTTAAGGCCAGGAGTTCAAGAACAGCAACATACTGAGACTATGTCTCTACAAAAAAATTTAAAAATTAGGCAGGGGCCGTGGTGTACACCTGTAGCTTGAGCTACTTGGGAGGCTGAGGCAGGAGGATCCCAGGGGCCTGTGTTGTCCAGGCTCATCTCAAACTCCTGTCTACAGGCCAGCTGTGGTGGCTGATGCCTGTAATCCCAGCACTTCGGGAAGCCGAGGTAGGCAAATCACCTGAGGTCAAGAGTTCGAGACCAGCCTGACCAACATGGTGAAACCCCATCTCTACTAAAAATACATAAATTAGATAGGTGCGGTCATGCATGCCTGTAATCCCTGCTACCCGGAAGGCTGAGGCAGGAGAATCACTTGAACCTGGGAGGCAGAGGTTGCAGTAAGCAGAGATCACACCACTGCACTCCAGCCTGGGTGACAGAGTCAGACTTTGCCTCAAAAAACAACAACAATAAAACAACAACAACAAAACTCCTGGCTACAAGGGATCCTCCCACCTTAGCCTCCCAAAGTGCTGGGATTACAGATGCCAGCCACTGTGTCTGGCCATTGTCTCTCTCTTTTTTGTTTTTGAGACAAGGTCTTGCTCTTGTCACCCAAACTGGAGTGTAGTGGAGCAATCATGGCTGAGTGAAGCCTCAACCTCTCAGGCTCAAGTGGTCCTCCCACCTCAGCCACCCAAATAGCTGGGACCAAAGGTGTGCACCACCACACCCAGTTAGTTAATTTTTTTATTTTATGTAAAGATGGGGTCTTGCTATGTTGTCCAGGCTGGCCTCCCAAAGTGCTGGGATAACAGGTGTGAGCCACCATACCTGGCTGACATTATCTCTTTAAAAAAATTTTTTGGCCAAGTGTGGTGGCTCACACCTGTAATCCCAGCAATTTGGGAGGTCGAGGTGGGCAGATCACCTGAGGTCTGGAGTTCGAGACCAGCCTGACCAACATGGAGAAACCCCGTCTTTACTAAAAATACAAAATTAGCCAGGCGTGGTGGTGGCGCATGCCTGTAATCCCGGCTACTCGGGAGGCTGAGGCAGGAAAATCGCTTGAACCCAGGAGGCGGAGGTTGCAGTGAGCCGAGATCACGCCACTGCACTCCAGCCTGGGCAACAAGAGTGAAACTCCATCTCAAAAAAAAAAAAATTTTTTTTTTTGTTCACGTATACACTGATTGGAACCTCATAATACCAGAAGAGAAAATGGGCATCACACATTATATGCAGAACTACCCCACTGTCATTTAACCCCAATAAAACTCTTAGAATAATCCCGTTCCTCCCTTTGTTCCTATTTTTATGACGATAAGTCCAGGACTACTGGGATATCCCTCATGTTTAGCCTCCTATTCTGCAACATTTCACGTTACCATACCACAGTGGCCTTCCCAGACCGCTGTGTATAAAACCACCCCTCTAGTTTCCTTTCCTGCTTTATTTTTCTGTAAAACATGATCACTATAAAACATTGTATACTATATATTTTGCTGTTTATATTTATTTTTATAATTTATATTTTATATATTATATATATATATATATGATATATATATATATATGTTTTCTGGAGTATCATCTGAATTTCCTCATGATAACGTAAGCTCCACGAGGGCAGGAATTTTAGTCTTTTGTAATTACTATATTCCTAGCAATTGAGGTCAGGAATTGCTAGGAATTCCTGACAGTTAGGAGGCACCTAACAAATATTTGTTAAATGAATGTCTGGCTTGATACCAGTGAGAAGCAGAGAGCATATGACTCACCTAAGGTGTCCTTTGGCAACTATAGGTAAAACCCTCTCATTTATCATGTAAAGAAAATGGGAGAATGGGATTGGAAAGATAATACCCTGAAAAGACAGAGGCTTTTATCACTCTGGGCTAGGGGATGGCTGTGTGTCTGGAAGGAGCTGGGAGACTGAAAGAGTCTTATTCAACCCCATTCAATCCCAGTCTCACTCTGACCCAGGAGTCCCAGTGTACTTTTTTTCCCCATTCACTTACTAATCCACAGGCCAGAGCTTGCTCAGGTAACAGGAAAGCAGCAAAGTCTTTCAACAGCTGAGGCCAGTCTTGGAGCAGAATTTGCAGGCTTTTGTAGAGATCTACAGCCGTCCGTCTCTGGGTACTTGACTCAAATTCATAGATGACTTGAAGGAAGTCTTCATACTTGCCAGGGATATGTTGTAGGGCTTCTCGCACCTACACGGGAAGACTTTCAATCATCAACACCCTTTATTTGGGCCACAACAAGCAATAAGGGTACAAGGGAGAAGGCAGGGTTATGGTTAGAGAGCTCCAAGAATTATCCATCAGAGGCTGTGCCTCCAACAGATCTTAACATCTGACTGTTAATGGAAGACACAGAGCAATAGGCAAGGTAAAGATCTTTTTCTGGGAGTGAGCAAGTGAAAAATCATCTTCCACGTTCCACAGTTCTACCCACAAAACCAAGCAATGCTTTTCTCTAGGTCACAGCCCTAACCTTTCCTTACTGATTACAGCCCCATAATGAAATAGGTAACATGTGTTTGTACATGTATTTCAGCATGGGCGTAATTTGAGAGTAAATAATACATAAGTTAGGAATGTCAGTAAAACATTAGGAGATAAGAAAAAGCTATGACTATCATTGCCAGTATTCTGCTTTCCAGGGGGATAAAGGAATCAGGTGGTTACCAAGAGAAGGACACAGTTCTCCAGGACACTACCAAGAAGTGGTTAGCTTATGTGTGGTTTTTTTTTTTTTTTTTTTTTTTGAGACAGGGTCTCATTCTGTTGCCCAGGATGGAGTGCACTGATGCAATCATGGCTCACTGCAGTCTCAACCACCTGGGCCCAAGTGATCCTCCCACCTCAGACTCCCAAAGTACCTAGGACCACAGGCATGCACCACCATGCTTAGCTCACTATTTTTTTTTTATTTTTGTAGAGATGGAGGTCTCCTGTGTTGCCCAGGCTTGTCTTGTCTTGAACTCCTGGACTCAAGGATCCTCCTACCCCAGCCTCCCAAAGTGCTGGCATTATATGCAAGGGCCACAGCGCCCAGCCTGGTTCATTTTTTTTTTTTTTTTGAGACAGAGTGTCGCCCTGTCACCAAGGCTGGAGTGCAGTGGTGCGATCTCGGCTCACTGCAAACTCCGTCTCCCAGGTTCAAGTGATTCTTGTGCCTCAGCCTCCCCCGTAGCTAGGATTACAGGCGCCCACCACCACACCCGGCTAATTTTTGTATTTTAGTAGAGACAGGGTTTCACCATGTTGGTCAGGCTGGTCTCTAACTCCTGACCTCAGGTGATCCACCCACCTCGGCCTCCCAAAGTGCTGGGATTATAGGTGTCAGCCACCACGCCCAGCTGGTTCATGTCTTAAGAGCAATGTATTTTCCTGAAATCCACTTGCTGGCCAGTGTACCCACTATCTTTCTTCTCAAGCCAAAGGTTCTATAAAGGTCCTTATCAGCGCACCCAGTAAAGTCACAACCTCCCACTGATGATGGTGGTATCATCTTTCTGCCAATCTCTGGTCAACAGAAGGATGATGGCAGGGTACTAACAATAAACATACTTATGATTGAATTCTATGTCTCCTTGTGGTTCTGTCACAGAGATCTTTTGCCAGAAAAGCCAAGATAGAGGAATATGAAGCCTGTTGCATAGCCTGAAAAACAGACTTTATGTTGAAAAACATCTCCCTTGAAGAAGCAGCCACATTCATAGAGACTGGCAATAACAGGAAGCAGCATTTGCCTACCCTGGTCAGATAAGCTTGGGCAAAGGCCAAGTCCTTCTGCTCCCTGAGTGGATCTCGCTCGAGAATGTCCTCATCATACAGCAACAGCAGCTTGGAGGTGTCCTTGCTGGCCCGAGCCCGACTTCCCCGCTTGTTGCGAGCTCGATGATTGTTCCGGCCTTTTCCAGCAGCTTTGATGCTCTCTCCTTGTAGCACACATGAAAAGGATTGTTTCCCTGTCCCTGCAACCTGTGTTCTTCCCATTCCACCACATGCACCACCCCAGCCAAATCCTATTCAATATTATGGAGCAATTCAAGGAAAAGGTTTTTGGGAAAATGGTATGAGAACTAAGTCCGTCAAGTCAGTTCTACGCAGAGTCTGCAGTGTAACTGCCTTAATTGGGATGACAACAAGATAATCAGCTACTTCATATTGAGAAAGGAAGTCTAAAGAGCAAGTGTGGCTTCTGTAGTGCTTTTGAGAGACTATGTCTTGATGAGGAACAAGCAGTGTTTTCTGAAATAAACATGGGTCTTAGCCCCACACATGACAGATAAGGTAACAATCAGTTTAACAAAGTGAACTGCCAGGCACAGTGGCTCACGCCTGTAATCCCAGCACTCTGGGAGGCCGAGGCGGGTGGATCATAAGGTTAGGAGTTCGATACCAGCCTGACCAACATGGTAAAACCCCATCTCTACTAAAAATACAAAAATTAGCTGGGTGTGGGGGCAGATGCCTGTAATCCCAGCTACTCAGGAGGGTGAGGCAGGAGAATCGCTTGAACCTGGGAGGCAGAGGTTGCAGTGAGCCAAGATCGCACCACTGCACTCCAGCCTGGGCGACAGAGCAAGACTCCGTCTCAAAAAAAAAATAAAAAAATAAAAAAAAGAAAGAAAGTGAACGAAGCTAATATAAATCTAGCAACGGATGAGAATTGAATTAAAAATTTCTGAGTATCTGTTCTCCACAAAGATACCACATTAAACATGTTTTGGGGGAGGGGTGTTGCAGAAGAGATCCAGAGGGTTTCCTCTGGAAATCCTCCACCTGGTTTATAAGCTACCCACCCTGCACACTGTCCTCTAGACAATGAGGTTAAGTGAGAATGGTCCTTCAGTATAGGTTTGCCTAGCTCACCTGGTGGAGTTCTGCTGGTCTCCACTTCTGGAGCAGTCTCAGGTGAAGCAAAAGTAGGAGGCTTCTCAGCAGAGTCTCCAACTGCTTCATCCGTCATTTCATCCTCTTTCTGCAGGCTTTCCATTCCTTCTGCTTCTTCTTCCTCCTCTTCTTCTGGCTCAGAGTTCTCCTCCTGAGAATTCTCTTCTTCAGACTCACCCTCCTGACTCATGCGCCTTTCAGATGCCAGCCAAGTCAGTTTCTCCATTGTTTCCTGTAAAACCCTCCAAAGAGTACTTATAATGGCTCTTAGTGGCTCATGAATTGCAAACAACACAAAGCTATATCAGGATAATCTGAAGTTAAACAATGGGGAGCCCACTACAGCTGTCCTGAGGGGAATTCCTTGAGTTATGAAATCCCAGCAATGGGCCAGGTACAGTGGCTCACGCCTGTAATCCTGACACTTTGGGAGGCCGAGGTGGGTGGATCACTTGAGGCCAGGAGTTCAGGACCAGCCTCGCCAACATGATGAAACCACGTCTCTACTAAAAATACAGAAATTAGTCAGGCATGGTGGTACATGCCTGTAATCCCAGCTACTTGGGAGGTTGAGGCATGAGAATTGCTTGAACCCGGGAGGTGGAGGTTGCAGTGAGCTGAAATTATGCCACTGCACTCCAATCCGGGAGACAGAGTAAGACTCCATCTCAAAACAAAAACAAAAACAAACAAAAAAAAAACACAGAAAAAACCACACACAAAACAAGACAAAAAAAAGAAATCCCAGTGATAGCTGACATTCGGCCTGACAGCAGGAGAGGGGAAGAAGTTCCCTTTTACAAACTTCTGTAACCTGAAGATAGTTTTCAGGCTGGAGTGAGATGGTGCAATCGTGGCTCACCGCAACCTCTGCCTCCCCGGTTCAAGCAATTCTCCTGCCTCAACTTCCTGAGTAGCTGGGATTACAGGCATGTGCCACTACGCCCAGCTAATTTTGTATTTTTAGTAGGGATGGAGTTTCTTCATGTTGGTCAGGCTGGTTTTGAACTCCCGACCTCAGGTGATCTGCCCGCCTTGGCCTCCCAAAGTGCTGGGATTTATAGGCGTGAGCCACCGTGCCCAGTTATTTACTATTTTTTTTTTTTTTTTTTTTTTTTTTTTTTTGAGACAGAGCCTTGCTCTGTTGCCCAGGCTGGAGAGCAATGACGTGATCTCGGCTCACTGCAACCTCTGTCTCTCGGGCTCAAGCAATTCTCCTGCCTCTGCCTCCCAAGCAGCAGGGATTACAGGTGTCCGCCACCATGCCTGGCTAATTTTTGTTATTTTTAATATAGATGGGGTTTTACCACGTCGGCCAGGCCAGTCTGAAACTCCTGGCCTTGTGATCCACCCACCTCAGCCTCCCAAAGTGCTGGGACTACAGGAGTGAGCCACCAAGCCCAGCCTATTACTATTTTTTAAGGCATTTAAAGTATGGTCAGGTGATTCAATTTAATGTGTAAACGAGTTTAATATAATAAGTAAAATTTCATCCTTTCCATCTCATTTCACCTCAACTCCACAATCATGTCCCATAATGCATTCACAAATCAAATACAAATGATTTTAGGACTATCCATAGTGCAGCAAGCAAGCAGGTGGCATATCAATAAGTGATACATATTACTGAGTCCACGAAATACTTGAGAATATTCTCCAGCTCTCACCTGGAGTTCTGGGACAGAAAGCACAGATTCCTCAGAAGCTGATGACATTTCATCTTCCTCATCTTGGGTGAGGTCATCAAAGTCCTCTTCTTCCTCTTCTTCTGGCCCATTCTTCTCTCCTCCAGTTTCTGGCCCAACTGGAGTCCCCACTGACTGACCATCAACACTGGATGAATCTTCTGGCTTCCCTGGGGGGCTACTAAGCCTCACTTCAGGATCCATTGAGGACAAAGCATTCTTTGATGATCCTTTGTTCACATCTGTCCCTGAGGTTCCTTCATCAGGGGGCTCTTGAGAAGATGAAGGGGTTTTAGTTGGCTGACTCCTCTCCTCTTCCTTCTGTAAGACTGTCTGTTTCGTTACTTCTCCAGCACTGCTCAACTCCTCGCTTGGGGCACCAGTGTCCAATTCCACAGCATGTTCCACTTTGATGTCATCACAAATATCACGCTCAGGGGATCCACTGATTTCCTCTCTAGCTTCTTCAGGTTCCATCTTGACAATTTCCTCTAAATCCCCAGGGGTAGGGTTGTTTAGAGACTCCTGGATGCCCTGAGGGAGCGGCTCCAGAGCTTGCCTCCCCTCCTCTGTTTTCACAACGGTCCAGCGACAGGCACTATTCTCTGACAATCCTTCTTGGCACTCTGCATCTGCTAGTGGAGGCCCTGGGCTATGTTCCACTTTCGGGAAAACAGTAGCAGAGAGAGGAGATAGTTCCTGGGGCTCTAATTTGGGTTCTAGGCCCTGAAAGGCATTTTCCCCATCAGCCACAGCACAAGCAATGTCCACATTCACGTGGGCCTTATCTTCAGGGGTGGATGGTATAGGAAGATTCACAGAATTGCCAGAAACAATTAAGGGTGAGACAGAGGAGGCCACAAGGGACTGGTTCAATGGACAGGGGAAGGAAGTAGGGTTAACCAAGAGGGTAGTGATGGGAATAGTCTGGGGACTCTGGGCCACAGCCGCATTGACAGGCTGGATCATGTTACAGCCACCGCCAAGGCTCACAATCTTCACAGTGGTAGCAGGAACAGTGAAGATAACAGATGCAGGGTGGTGGATAACAGGGGCAGGTTTCATACAGGGAGAGGCCTTGACTCCTCTTCTCTTTGAGGGTCTCCGTCTCACATATGGCTTTCGAAACTTAGAAGGGGCAAGGGAGGGCAGCATTACCTTGGGCACAGGGGCAGAAGAGAGCAAAGTCTGGGACTCAGACAGAGGGAAGCTTGTCCTGGCCTCAGGGGGCACAGCAGGCAGTGCTGCAGGAGACTCAAAACTCTCACCTCCACTGACCCCCAGTGGAGGGACACCTGGAACTGTCTGTAAAACAGTGGCTGGCTGTATTGGGTGAGGAATCCGGAGCACCATTTTGCTCGGAGGGGCTTCTGAATGAGTTGATCGGGCTGGTGTTTTCCCAGGGTTGAAGCTGGGCTGGAGAGAGGGGCTGGGTTGGATAAGGAGGGGCTTCAGGACTGATGAACGCTTCTGTCTCCAAGCCTTCCTGGGGAAACGGGTGGCAACTGGCTTCAGTTTCAGGACTACACCCTTAGGCAATAGCAGTGGGTACCGAGATTCACTCCCCAACTCCAAATTGTCTTTTTCTAGGCTTCGATCTGAGTTGATCTCAGTGGTTCCAGTCATATTTCCTACCTCTCTAGCACCATCAGCCATGTGCCGCAGTTCTTCCTGGATGGATGGCAGACTGGCCTATTGGAAACAAGAACACTCTGATCCAGCATATGTCAGAATTTGGGAAAAAGAGGCTTGGCACAGTGGCTCACGCCTGTAATCCCAGCACTTTGGGAGGCTGAAGTGGGCAGATCACTTGAGGTCAGGAGTTCAGGATGAGCCTGACCAACACGGTGAAACCCCGTCTCTACTAAAAATACAAAAATTAGTTGGGTGTGGTGGCATGTGCCTGTAATCCCAGCTACTCAGGAGGCGGAGGCAGGAGAATCACTTGAACCTGGGAGGCAGAGGTTGCGAGAAGCCGAGATCGCACCTTAGCCTGGGTGGACAGAGCAAGACTCTGTCTCAAAAACAAAACAAAACAACAACAAAAAAAGAATTTGGGAAAAACAATAGGGCTTTCTAGGTTTTAGAGACCTTAGACAGTCTCAAGGCATCTTTCCAAGAAGGGTCTCTCTGCATATCAAATCTACAAAGACCACATTCTAATTATACACTTTAGAAACTTCTGTGAATTTCCTTTAGCAAATTATTATTTTACCTATTATTTTGAAAATGCTGTAGAATCACCCAGAGAAGGGCAGAAAAGTAAGGGAAGAAAGGTGAATCAGGAAGATTTCTAAAGTCCTAGTTCTACAACTAAAGCATTAGACGATTAAGGAAGCCCTTGATATTCTCTCAGAACTTTCAGTGACCTTCTGCCTCCTACAGACTTCGAGGAAGAGGGCTGTACCTTTAACCAGAATGGGAGCCGGTGTTCTTCTCTCTCTATAGGTGGCTTCCACTGATGTGGCTGGATCTCTTCACAGCATTTTCCTAGGACTGGCAGCTGTTTGGTCTTCTTATAAAACTTAACATGAAAAAAATGCGCATGAATTACATTCCTTCTGGAAACACTGTCCCCTGTCAGGCTGGTGAATGGGGTGGTGGTGGATCAAGAGAAACACACACACACACACACACACACACACAAGACCACATACACAAACATCCATGAACGCACATATATAAATAGCATATGCTGAATACTTGTACATTTCAAATTAAACTAATCTCTATTTAAATATTTCACAATTATTCAATATTTTCTAACTGATGATCTCCATTCTGGTTGCCAGGAAGGGGAGAGTTTAGGTCACAGAGAGAAAAGGAAGCAGATGCTCAGAGCAATCTTATGTAAGATTTGTTCTTGATCAACAGCTGCAAAGACAACATCGTAATCTATACCTTGGACACATGAAAGCTTCCTTTTAAGCAAATGGTGGTGTGAAAGGCATTAGAAGAGAAGGGGGGAAAAAAAGAGCCTGAGAAAGTTCAATTTTAAGAGTAAATGAAGGTTGGGCGTGGTGGTTCATGCCTATAATCCCAGCACTTTCGGAGGTGGGCAGATTACCTAAGGTCAGGAGTTCAAGACCAGACTGGCCAACATGGCAAAACCCCTATTCCTACAAAAATACAAAAATTAGCCAGGCATGGTGGCACGCACCTGTAATCCCAGCTACTCAGCGGGCTGAGGCAGGAGAATTGCTTGAACCTGGGAGGTGGAGGTTGAGGTGAGCTGAGATCAGAGACAGTGCCACTGCACTCCAGCCTGGGTGACACAGTGAGACTCCGTCTCAAAAAAAAAAAAAAAGAATAGGCCAGGCGCAGTGGCTCACCTTGTAATCCCAGCACTTTGGGAGGTTGAGGTGGGCAGATCACGAGGTCAGGAGATTGAGACCATCCTGGCTAACATGGTGAAACCCCGTCTCTACTAAAAAATACAAAAAATTAGCCAGGCGTGGTGGCTGGTGCCTGTAGTCCCAGCTACTCAGGAGGCTCAGGCAGGAGAATGGCATGAACCTGGGAGGCGGAGCTTGCAGTGAGCCGAGATCACACCACTGCACTCCAGCCTGGATGACACAGCAAGACTCCATCTCAAAAAAAAAAAAAAAAATTGAGACAGGTCTCACTTTTTTGCCCAGGCTGGTCTTGAACTCCTGGGCTCAAGTAATTCTCCCACCTTGGCCTCCCAAAGTGCTGGGATTATAGGCGTGAGCCACGGCCCCATTTAACTCTTGAATATTCATGTAACACCTGTTTCTCCCAACCTCTGATAGCATGTAAGATTTTTCCTTTGGCTCCAATGTTTTGAAAATTCATGATAATATGGCTTAGAATTTGTCTAGTTTCATCCGTGGTGCTAAGGCACTTGATAAACCGTATTCTGCTGCAGAAAAATCTTTTTCCTTCACGTTTGAGTTGTGTGTCATTTTCTGTGCACATCTTTGTACTTTTTGTTTGTTTCTCTGCTTCTTGATCTTTGAGACAGAGACTCCTCTGTCGCCCAGGCTGGAGTGCAGGGGAGTGATCCACGCTTACTGAACCTCTGTCTCCCTAGTTCAAGTGAGTTTTGTGCCTCAGCCTCCCGAGTGGCTGGGATTACAGGTGAGTGGCACCATACCTGGTCAATTTTTGTATTTTTAGTAGAGACGGGGTTTCACCATATTGCCCAGGCTGGTCTTGAACTCCTGGCCTCAGGTCATCTGCCTGCCTCAGCCTCCCAAAGACCTGGGATTACAGGCCTGAGCCACCGTGTACGGCCTCAATTTTTAAAAATTTAGAAAAAAATTAAAATAAAAAATGCTACTAGAATGTGTTTCACTAAAGGAAGGAAGTAAAACAAAAACACAGATGTAGAATTCAGGAAATAAGAAGATCCAACACAGTAAGAGGCAAAAAGAATTCCCAGGATGATGGGGAGGAAAAAGCCCAAAACATCAGTGCAGCAAGCCCAGAGAGCAACACGCTTAGAGTGGAATAGTGTCAGAGGGCTCAAGGAGCAATTCCTTCAAGATGAAAGTGACGGAATATCTAGAAGGCCAGACACGCTGAAAGGAGATTAAGAAAATTTAAGTAACCTTTACTGTTGACCTGGGAATAATTACATAATAAAATCAAGTCCAGCCCCATCCCCCTAAAAATGCGATTATTTACTCCAAGAAAAACAAAATGTTCAGCAGGAAAGGCAAGGTATCACAATAACATAGCTGTGAAGAGTATTTATACAGTCCTTAAAATCTTATAGTGTAAACCCTGAATACAACCTAACCAAAATTGTGACATAATTACTAGCGAGGAGATTGGAGAGCAGAAAATGTGCATGTTTGTGGTGGGAGTAAGGGAGTGAGGAGACAGGTAAATCCTCAGCTTCCTTGGCTTATGGTTAATGGTTAATAAATAAGGCCTAAATCCAATATACCAGGAAGTAGCAATTAGAGGCTGAGACAGGAGAATGCCTAAGGCCAAAAATTCGAGACCAGCCTGGGCAATATAGGGACACTCCATTTCTTAAAAAAAAAAAAAAAAAAAAAAAAAAAAAAAAAAATTAATAGGCAAGCATGGTGGCTCATGCATATAATCCCCAGCTCCTTGGGAGGCTGAGGTGGGAGGAATGCTTGAGCCCAGTAGCTGGAGCTTACAGTGAGCTATGACTGTACCACTGTACTCCAGCCTGGGTAGCAGAGTAAGACCCTTTCTCAAGAAAAAAACAAAAACAAAACAAAACAAAAGGCTGGGCATAGTGGCTCACGCCTGTAATCCCAACACTTTGGGAGGCCAAGCTGAGGCAGGCGGACTGACACATGTCAAAACTTCAAGACCAGTCTGGGCAACAAAGTGACACAGCATCTCCACACAAAATAAAATAATGAGCTAGCCTTGGTGGAACACGCCTGTAGTCCAGGATACTTGGAAGGCTAAAGTGGAAGGATCACTTGAACCCAGGAGTTTGAGGCTACAGTGACCTATGACTGAGCCAATGCACTCCAAACAGGATGATAGAGCAAGAACCCGTCTCTAAAAACACAACATAAATATCTAAATAAAAAAGAAGAAACCAGGTGCGGTGGCTCATGCCTGTAATCCCAGCACCTTGGGAGGCCAAGGCGGGTGGATCACTTGAGGTCAGAGGTTCAAGACCAGCCTGGCCAACATGGTGAAACCTCATCTCTACTGAAAATACAAAAATTAGCCAGGTGTGGTGGTGCATGCCTGTAATCCAAGCTACTTGGGACGCTGAGGCAGGAGACACCGAGGCAGGAGAATCGCTTGAACCTGGGAGGTAAAGACTGCAGTGAGCCAAGATTGCGCCACTCTACTCAAGCCTGAGTGACAGAGCAAGAGTCTGTCTAACAACAACAACAACAAAAAGCAAATAAGTGGAATACTGCCAGCGGAATATTGCCCAAAAGGCAATAGGGGAATTAATCTAGTGTAAAGTGGGAGAAATTAGCTTTAGATAAAAGAAGGTTCCTCTTTTCTTTGAGAATAACAAGATAAAAGAATGGGTACATATTGGTGAGGTGCCCGGATGGCGCATGCAGGAAACACTCACTTTAATGATGTTGTCAGGAGCTCTGTTCATGTTGAGGTTCTTGATTCTCACTGTCAGTTGGTGGGCAGTTTTGCAGGTTAGAAGGTACTTGCTGATTAGAGGATTAGGAAACTCAGTTCCTTCAAAATGCTTCAGTCCTAAAGCTAACAAACTGAGAAAGGAGAATAACACTAAATCTCACTTCACAGTCCTTCCTTCTAAAGGGTCTCCCCAGACTAACACATTTTACAATCTACTCTTTCATTTTTTTCTTGAGACAAGGTCTCACGCTGTCACCCAGGCTGGAGTGCAGTGGCACCATCGCAGCTCACTGCAACCTCTACTTCCTAGGCTGAAGCAATTCTCCAGTCTCAGCCTCCCAAAGTGCTGGGATTACAGGCATGAGCCATGGTGTGTGGCCCAATCTACCTTTTCATTTTTTTTCAGACAGGGTCTTGCTCTGTTGCCCGGGTTGGAGAGCGGGTGGCATGATTACAGCGCACTGCAGCCTTGAATGCCTGGGCTCAAGCGATTCCCGTACTTCATCCTCCCAAGTATCTGTGACCACAGACGTTCACCACCATGCCGGGCTAATTTTTTTCTTCCATTATTTGTAGAGACCAGTTCTCACTATGTTGCCTGGGCTAATCTTAAACTCCTGGCCTCAAGCGATCCTCCTGCCTCAGCCTCTCAAAGTGCTGGTATTACAGTTGTAAGCCCACCATGCCTGGTCAATCTACTTTTTGTAAATCTAATTCTTGTACAAGTTGGTGACTACTCAACAGAAAATTTCAGATACTTAGTGAGTACTGATTAAGTATTATGAATAAGAATAAGGCCAGGCGCAATGGCTCACGCCTGTAATCCCAGCATTTTGGGATGCCGAAGCAGGCAGATCACCTGAGTCAGGAGTTCGAGACCAGCCTGGCCAACATGGTGAAACCTCGTCTCTACTAAAAATACAAAAAATAGCCAGGTGTAGTGGTAGGTGCCTGTAATGCCAGCTACTTGGTCAGGAGAATCACTTGAAACCGGGGGCGAAGGTTGCAGTGAGCCGAGATCGCACCATTGCACTCCAGCCTGGGTGACAAAAGTGAAACTCTGTTTAAAAAAAAAAAATCAAATACTTCACAATTATGTGGGAACATAAGAAACTAGGCATAAATCATTAATAAACGTGAGATCATGATGAGCTGTATCATGACGAGCTGTATACTAACAATACAAAGGAAGTTCAAAGAGAATAGAAAGGAAGGAGAATAATTCTAATAAAACTAATACAAAATGAATAGGTACCCTGTCAGACAACTTAAACCGGCACCAATACTACCCTCTAACAACATATATGATCGTGGTTACATATACACATATGTGCTGATAACAGTGTGGCAATACACACAAAGGGCCATAAAAATGTTCATAATCTGGTGGGTGTGGTGGCTCATGCCTGTAATCCCAGCACTTTGGGAGGCCAAGGTGGGAGGATGCCTTGAGTCCAGGAGTTTGAGAGATGCCTGGATAACACAGAGAGACCCTCATCTCTACAAAAAAAAAAAAAAAAATTTAGCCATGTATGGTGGCACACGCCTGTGGTCTCAGCTGCTCCGTGGAGGCTGAGGTGCAAGGATCGCTTGATGTCAGGAGTTCAAGGCTGCAGTGAGCTGTGACTGCCTGGGTGACACAGTAAGATTCTGCCTCTAAATAAATAAATAAATAACATAAAATAAAATAAAAGCGAACCTCCTGCCTTGGCCTTTCAAAGTGCTGGGATTACAGGTGTGAGCCACCATGTCCGGTCTAAAATGCTTTAAAAATGTGTGTGACATCTCCCAAAAAGCAGTATTTGGCACTGCTAGAACAAGCACGTCCTAGAGGGCTCTGCTCATCTATATTGCTTTTCCTTTTGTCTTTTGTGTCCGTGTCTTATTATACAAGTCTTACTTCCCCTAAACTCCTCAAAGGAACTACATCTTCTCCTTGGGATGTTCTGCTGTTTTGATCCCCCAGAGTAAACACTTACTTGTCCTCAGCCTTGGTGAAGACGATCTTATCCTGGGGATTCTTTGCCTTCAGGGAACACACTGGAAGTAACTCTGGATACATGAAAACCTTGCTTGTGGCCAGAATCCAAGCCACTTGCTTTGGCAAACAGGGAAATTCATTCGCTATAAGAAAATAAATCTCGGATAAATCAACTTCTAGGACAAAAGAGGGCTTCATAAAAGCCTGTGAATGCATTTTTGCATTTAGGTAGGAGCTATCCTTACCTAACTTGATTCCCTCCCATCTGCCCACCATCCCCCCAAAAGTTTCCAGTCTTTCTTAAGCTAACATTATATCTAAAGGGAGTCCCATTCAATGGCAATAAAAGTTGACTCATTCTTTCTTATGTGGAACACTTTATTCACTAAGTAAAACAAACACTTAAAAAGCACCTAGTAAAATAAGGTGCTAACAATAGCGTATGCTCAAAAATGTTTTACCTCCTTCCCCCCTTAAATACTTGAAGGATAAGAGACCTTCAACAATGCTTTCTTTCTTCCAGAATAAGATTCCAACTTCTTTAATCTCCCTCACAAATCTGGTATTCCAAATTTTACTTTTATTTGATTCTTACTTAAGTTCTCCCAGATTCCTCCTGAGGCTGGGAACAAAAGAACCATAAAAGGAAGGAGACAATTCAGTCTCATTCATTTCTCTCTCCCTCTCTCAGCCTCTCACTTTCAGGCACCTCTGCATTTCTAGAGACAAAACTACTATATCCATATTTCTCCTTCCATAAGTGTTATTTTTATATCCCCAGAAGAAAGCAACAGGTCAACAGATGTGTAAGATATTATTATAATTTGGTGTTAAATCAAGTTTTCATTACCATTTCATATCATTTAATATAGCTGTTAAAGCAGTTTGGGATCCGTGTCTATGATATAATACACTTAAATACAACTATTTTCAACTTAACGATAAGACTCAGGGATTTAAAATAGAATCCAAAGACAAACCCAAATCCAGAACAAACCACAACTAATTTGCTAAATCAAGAAACAAATCAGAAGCAAATATTTGGCTTAAGTAAATAGCAAGTATTTTCTAAAAAATACTAAACTAATGCAAGGTAGAATCTAAACTTGCAAATTTCTTTAAAATACTGAACATGGCAAATGTATAATCTCTAACTTATGCCTAACTTGCAAGTCAATATTTCATTCAGAATGGAGATATCACTTATGCTGCAGTCAGTATGGTAAATAAAGTTAGTTGATTTTTTTTTTTTTTTTTTTGAGACTGAGTCTCGCTCTGTCGCCCAGGCTGGAGTGCAATGATGCTATCTTGGCTCACTGCAAACTCTGCCTCCTGGGTTCAAGCGATTCTCCTGCCTCAGCCTCCCGAGTAGCTGGGACTACAGGCGCGTGCCCCCATGCCTGGCTAATTTCTGTATTTTTAGTAGAGACGGGGTTTCACTGTGTTCGCCAGGATGGTCTCCATCTCCTGACATTGTGTTCCCCGTGCCTCGGCCTCCCAAAGTACTGGGATTACAGGCGTGAGCCACCGCGCCTGGCCTTAGTTGATCTTAATGAAGACAGTAAAAAGCTAAACATGACCAAACTTTACCACCTGACTTTCATCTTTACCAGGCCCCAGTTTATCTCGATCTGACTCCTAATACTTACCCCTCATATTGCTGTAGTCCAATTCTTAGCACTGAGCCTCAGATCTCTACCTCCCATATTCCTATACTGTCCACTGCCTCCACACTTTACCCAGGCCCAGAGATTATCATGTAATTCTAGAACTTGGATAATGAGTACAAAGGGAGGATAAAAGAGAGAAGGAAGAAATTACAAATGTCCTGTGTCCTCCATTCCTAGGCAAGTATCCTTAGTTATCTATGGGATAAGATTCCCACCACCTCTCACCGCAAGTAAAAACTTAAAGCTGACACATCTGTCTCCTACCAGTCTTCTTGACAGTTTTATGAGGGCTGCAGTCAATGCTGACATGTGTGCTGAAGTCTTCAATCAGCTGCATAGCTCCCATCAAGTTACAGGGTTGGAACAGGGTCTGAAACTTGGGGTTGTACTGATGGTGAAGGGCGATGGAGCTTTGAGCAAAGGTTCCCAGCTCTTTCTGGGAAAACAGGACACAAGAAAGATTTAAGACAATTCCAGACAATTAATACCAGTAGCCTTCAGAATCTAAATGAGAAGCTGACCTTCCTACTACAGGATAAAAACAGGTAAAAATCATCATAAAGTCTTTCACAATAAACTACTCTGTTAAGATTATGCCTGAGTTCCCAGATATTCAGGGATTGTATTCTTGTTTTACTTTTAGACTTAGTGAGAAACACTAAGGAATATATGGTCTAGCTCCTGAACTAGAAGTAAGATTATGAAGAATGAGGACTCATTTTTTTTTTTTTTTTCGAGACGGAGTTTCGCTCTGTCGCCCAGGCTGGAGCGTAGTGGTGCGATCTTGACTCACTGAAGTCTCCACTTCCTGGGCTCAAGCGATTCTTCTCCATCTACCTCCCGAGTAGCTGGGATTAATTACAGGCGCCCGCTACCACGCCCGGCTATTTTTTGTATTTTAAGTAGAGACTGGATTTCACCATGTTGGTCAAGCTGTTCTCGAACTCCTGACCTCAAGTGATCCAGCCACCTCAGCCTACCAAAGTGCTGAGATTACAGGCACAAGTCACCGCACCCAGCCAAGAATTAGGACTATTACTTTTATTTTATTTATTTATTTATTTTGAGACTGGGTCTCACTCTGCTGCCCAGGCTTGAGTGCAGTGGCGCGATCTCAGCTCACTGTAACCCTCACCTCCTAGGCTCAAGCTATCCTTCCACCTCTGCCTCCCAAGTAGCTGAGACTACAGGTACGCACCACCACATCTGGTTAATTTTTGTATTTTGTAGAGACGGGCTTTCGGCATGTTGCCCCAGCTAGTCTGGAACTACTGGGGTCATATAATCTGCCTGCTTTGGCTTCTCAAAGTGCTGGGATTACAGGCATAGCCACCGTGCCCAGTCTCAACATCTATAAAACGAACAGTGGTACCAAAAACCTAAGAAGTTAGGTTGGATCTAAAGATGAGGAGGATTCAATAAAAATATCAGAAAGACAGTATTAAGAAAATTGAATACACTCCTTGTCCTTTCATGGGAATCAGTGGCTTACGTTCTCTCAGCAAACACAGGAAGCCTTAACAGAAAGCAGGCAAAACAATCAAAAATACCCGAGAGAAGAATAAATATAGATTATGATCAGTGAATAACTGAGAAATAACCTGCCAAGCTAATTTCATACTCTAGTCTTTAGAGTTATGGATATTTGGAAACTTACAAGAAATATCCTGGTGGTAGTGGCCTCCGGATTGAGGTTGGGGTTGCAGGTGGCAAGAAGGTGGATTTGGGTCAAGAGCTGAACGTGCTGGGGATGGAAAGAAAATGATGAAGTGACATGTTACCACATTGTCATTTCAGGAATCCAGAGAGATCTTTTTTTTTTTTCTTCTTGGAGAAAGGATCTCTCTCTGTCACTCAGGCTGATGTGCAGTGATGCAATCATGGCTCCACGCCCTCTCAACTTCCTGTGCTCAAGCAATCCTCCCACCTCAGCCTCCTGAGTAGCTGGGACCACAGATGCATGGCACCATGCCTGGCTAATTTATTTTTATTTTTTGCAGAGACAGGGTCTCACTATGTTGCTCAGGTTGCTCTCGAACTCCCTGGCTCAAGCAATCCTCCCACCTCAGCCTCCCAAAGTGCTGGGATTACAGGTGTGAGCCACCGTAACCCAGCCCCCAGAGAGACAATAACCAAGATGTTTGCAACTTTATCACATATATTTTGCTTTCTGAAAGGAGTATGAAAATAACATAGGATCTTGGCATAAATCTCTCAGACATGTTCCCTTGAACAAAATGACAGAACCAGAGGAAGCTTAACCTCAATCCAGAGGGACTGAGGTTAGAAAAAGGAAAAACAAACCTACTTCTCACAGTGAAGGTTGTTAAATTTCAGAATAGATTACTAAGGACTCTTTGAAATCTATATTTCTGAATACCATTAGTGTCCTTGTGTGCTCTCTTCCTTGAGCCATAAGGCATGAACATGATGACTTCTCGAGCTCCTAATGATGTGAAGATACTATGGTTTTAGGAGGTGGTAAGGTAACTATCTCTGACTTTTACAAAGCTGTTAATTTCTGGCCTCAGAGTTAGGCCTTGGTATAATCCAGTATTAACAGCAGGGCGCAGTGGCTCACGCCTGTAATCCCAGCACTTTAGGAGGCCGAGGCGGGCGGATCACAAGGTCAGGAGTTCGAGACCAGCCTGGCCAATATGGTGAAACCCTGTCTCTACTAAAAATACAAAAATTAGCTGGGTGTGGTGGTGGATGCCTGTAATCCCAGCTACTTGGGAGGCTGAGGCAGGAGAAATGCTTGAGCCCAGAAAGCAGAGGTTGAAGTGAGCCGATATCGGGCCACTGCACTCCAGGCTGGGAGACAGAGCCAGACTCTGTCTCAAAAAAAAAAATCCAATGTTAACATGACCAAGAAAAGTCCTACCTGCTGCATCTGCTGCTGGAGTCTCTTCCTCTGTGCTGGGTCCAGAATCAGAGTCTGATGAACTTTCTCACTCTGGGGTTTAACCTTCTCTACTTCCTGCAGCTGTTTGGCTGAAGATTTCTTCATCTTCAGCTGTTCAAATAGCTCCTTCACTGTCCGATGTTGTTCATTTAACAGGTTGGCCAGTGGTTCCTCAAACCTATTCCCAACAGGGAGATGACTGAATTTGAGTGTTTCCGTAGGTCCACAACACATCCAATTCGTTCCAATGATGAGCAAAGAGCCTGAACAATTTTCATTCCCTACTAATCCCCCATCTCACTTTAGCCAACAGTCAAACTCTCAGCCTTTTACAAATCTTTTGCCAAAGTAGTTAGCATGCATCAAATATGATGATTCTATATTACACTCTATCCCATTCCTCTAAAATTCCTCTTCTAAATAATATACAAATAAAGAAAAAATTAAAATGCTAGGAACAGAGAAATATCTGGATAAGAAAGCAGCCAAGGAGCTGGTGGGAACTCATCATTCTCATTTCTTCTCTCATTTACTTGTTACTCCCATCCCAGGTTCAGCTTGTCCCATTTCCCTATCCACTCAGGCTGCACTGCCTTGCATTTTTTTTTCAAAATTTAAATATTTTTTGAGACACAGTCTCGCTCTGTCGCCCAGGCTGGAGTGCAGTGGCACGATCTCAGCTCACTGCAACCTCCGCCTCCAGGGTTCAAGCAATTCTCCTGCCTCACCCTCCCAAGTAGCTGGGACTATAGGCACGTGCCACCACGCCCAGCTAATTTTTTGTATTTTTAGTAGAGATGGGATTTCACTGTGTTAGCCAGGACGGTCTCCATCTCCTGACCTCATGATCCACCCATCTCGGCTTCCCAAAGTGCTGGGATTACAGGCGTAAGCCACCATGCCTAGCCCTCAAAATTTTAATTTTAAGTTTCAGAATACATGTGCAGGACATGGAGGTTTGTTACACAGGTAAACGTGCACCTTGGTGGTTTGCTGCACCTATCAACCCATCACCTTGGTATTAAGTGCAGCTGCATTAGCAGTTTATCCTGATCCTCTCCCTTCCCCCGCTCCCCCAACAGGCCCCAGTGTGTGTTGTTCCCCACCCTGTGCCCATGTGTTCTCATTGTTCAGCTCCTACTTATAAGTGAGAACATGCAGTGTTGTTTTTCTGTTCTTACGTTAGCTTGCTGATGGCTTCACCTCCATCCATGTCCCTGAAACGGACATGATATCATACCTTTTTATGGCTGTATAGTATTCCCTGGTGGGATACTACATTTTCTTATTTATCTACTGCTGTAATATCGGGGATTCCTTGAAATATGATAACCTGCTTGTTGGCCGGACGCGGTGGCTCACGCCTGTAATCCCAGCACTTTGGGAGGCAGAGGTGGGCGGATCACGAGGTCAGGAGATCAAGACCATGGTGAAACCCCGTCTCTACTGAAAATACAAAAAATTAGCTGGGCGCAGTCGTGGGGGCCTGTAGTCCCAGCTACTCAGGAGGCTGAGGCAGGAGAATGGCGTGAACCCAGAAGGTGGAGCTTGCAGTGAGCCGAGATCCCGCCACTGCACTCCAGCCTGGGCGACAGAGCAAGACTCTGTCTCAAAAAAAAAAAAAAAAAAAAAGAAAAAAGAAAGAAAGATAACCTGCTTGTTGTAGCTACATAAACAGATTTTTTTTTCTTTTGAGACGGAGTCTCGCTCTGACGCCAAGCTGGAATGCAGTGGCATGATCTCGGCTCACTGCAACCTCCGCCTCCCAGGTTCAAGTGATTCTCCTGCCTCAGCCTCCTGAGTAGCTGGGACTACAGACACACGCCATCACACCCAGCTAATTTTTGTATTTTTAGTAGAGACGGGGTTTCATCATGTTGGCCAGGATGGTCTCGATCTCTTGACCTCATGATCCACCTGCCTCGGCCTCCCAAAGTGCTGGAATCAGGCGTAAGCCACCAGGCCTGGCCAACAGATCTTACCCTGACTGCATAGGGTATCAGCACATGCTTAATCACTTAGCTATCTTATTCTCCTTTTACTTCAGAACTGACATGCTGGGTTTTTGAATTTTTGCTTCAGCCCTGGAAAAAGTCTCCCAGGAGGGTAGGGGTGGGAAGTTAGGGTTGGGAACCTTAGAAGAGGAATTTATTTATTTATTTATTTATTTATTGAAATGGAGTCTTGCTCTGTCGCCCAGGCTGGACTGCAGTGGCATGATCTCGGCTCACTGCAACCTCTGTCTCCTGGGTTCAAGTGATTCTCCTGCCTCAGCCTCCAGAGTAGCTGGTATTACAGGCACGCATCACCACGGCCAGCTAATTTTTGTATTTTTTTGTAGAGACAGGGTTTCGCCACGTTAGCCAGGCTAGTCTCGAACCACTGACCTAAAGTGATCCACCTGCCTTGGCCTCCCAAATTGCTGGGATTACAGGCGTGAGCCACTGCACCCAGCCAGGAAGAGGAATTTAAAGGGCTAAAATAAAATACCTTCATGGAGAGCAGTAGGGTAATATTTGAACCAACCACTCAGTTCTGTTCAGGTAAACTATCATTACTTTAGTTATTTTAGTATATCCTTTTCCTGCTTCATGCTAGAAGATTTTTGACTTGTTAAGAAAGCAAGCCTTGCCAGTCAGAATGACAATTATTAAAAGGTCAAGAAACAGTCGGGCGTGGTGGCTCAAGCCAGTAATGCCAGCAATTTGGGAGGCCAAGGCAGGTGGATCACTTTAGGTCAGTGGTTCGAGACTAGCCTGGCTAACATGGCGAAACCCTGTCTCTATGAAAAAATACGAAAATTAGCTGGCCGTGGTGATGCGTGCCTGTAATCCCAGCTACTTGGGAGGCTGAGGCAGGAGAATCACTTGAACCCGGGAGGCAGAGGTTGCAGTGAGCCGAGATCGCGCCACTGCACTCCAGCCTGGGCGATAGAGCAAGACTCCATTTCAAAAAAATAAAATAAAATAAATAAATAAATAAAATAAATTCCTCTTCTAAGGTTCCTAACCCTAACTTCCCACCCCTACCCTCCTGAGAGACTGTTTCCAGGGCTGAAGCAAAAACTGAAAAACCCAGCATGACAGTTCTGAAGTAAAAGGAGAAAAAGATACTTAAGTGATTAAGCACGTGCTGATACCCTATGCAATCAGGATAAGACCTGCTGATGTAGTTACAACAAGCAGGTTATCATATTTCAAGTAATCTCCAATATTACAGCAATAGATAAATAAGTGTTTTCAATAGTTAATTTTTAAAAGTTATCATTTATCTATTGGGGATAAAAATCATTCTTTCTTTTATAGTATTTACTGTGGGTTTGGGCAGCACAGGGTAAAAACCTAAAGCCTGTGGGACTGTCTTATGCAATCTTCTGAGAACTGAAAACCTGATCACCTGCACTACTACCACTGAAGGAACAGAAGACCAGAAGCATAAAAAAGTAGGTAATGAAAACATAGCCTGCACGTAGTTGTATTTTTTATTATTATTATTATTATTACTATTATTTTTTTTTGAGATGGAGTTTCGTTCCTATTGCCCAGGCTGGAGTGCAATGGAGTGGTCTCGGCTCACTGCAACCTCTGCCTCCCAGGTTCAAGCAATTCTCCTTCCTCAGCCTCCCAAGTAGCGGGGATTACAGGCACCTGCCAACACGTCCGACTAATTTTTTTTGCATTTTTAGTAGAGACAAGGTTTCGCCATGTTGGCCAAGCTGGTCTCGAACTCCTGACCTCAGGTGATATGCCTGCTTCGGCATCCCAAAGTGCTGGGATTACAGGTGCCAGCCACCACGCCTGATCTATAATTATTATTATTATTATTATTATTATTTTTTGAGATGGAGTCTTTTTCTCTCTCTCAGGATGGAGTGCAGTGGCATGATCTTGGCTCATTGCAACTTCTGCGTCCTGGGTTCAAGCGATTCTCCTGCCTCAGCCTCCTGAGTAGCTGGGATTACAGGCGAGTGCTACCATGCCTGGCTAATTTTTTTATTTTTAGTAGAGACGGGGTTTCACCATGTTGGTCAGGCTGGTCTCAAACTCCTGACCTTGTGATCCGCCTGCCTTGGCCTCCCAAAATGCTGGGATTACTGGCGTGAGCCACCGCACCCGGCCTATTATTATTTTTTGAGAGACAGTTTCACTCTGTTGCCCAGGCTGGAGTACAGTGGCACAATCTCAGCTCAGTGCAACCTCCGCCTCCAGGGTTCAAGTGTTTCTCCTGCCTCAGCCTCCCAAGTAGCTGGGATTACAGGCGTGTGCCACCACACCCAGCTAATTTTTGTATTTTTAGTAGAGATGGGGTTTCACCATGTTGACCAGGCTGGTCTGAACTCCTGACCTAAAGTGATCTGCCTGCCTTAGCCTCCCAAAGTGCTGAGATTACAGGTGTGAGTCACCACACGTGGCCTTGCACCTAGTTTTAATAAGTATTACTTGGATAACTGACAAGGGAAGCACAGATAACTCACTTTCCCAGGGTTTTTGTTTTGTTCTTTTTTTTCCTCTCTCTTCTTTATTGTGTTTTAAGAAGTTTTTACTATCTATGGACTTACAGAATCCAGGATGCTTTATTTAGTCAAAGATTATAACAGGTTTGCATTTGCAACTGAAAGAGAAGCAGCAGCTGCCCAAGTACAGTCATGTGCCACATAATGTTTCAGTCAATAATGAACCACATATTCAGAGATGGCTCCATAAGATTACTGTACCTTTTCTATGTTTACATACATATGTACTTACCATTGTGTTACAACTGCCTACAATATTCAGCAGAATAACATGCTATACAGGTTTGTGGCCTGGGAGCAATATGTTATACCGTATAGCCTAGGTATGCAGTAGGCTAAACCATCTAGGTTTATCCAAGTGCTTTCTACACAATGATGAAATCGTTTAATGATAACATTTCACAGAATGTATCACCATGAGATGATATATGACTGTATTCTACTGAATACCAGAAGGTAACTGAATTCTAACAAGAGTTTTAAATTATTTCTATACTTTACAAATTTTATTTATTTTATTTTATTTTATTTTTTTGAGACAGAGTCTCTCTCTGTCAAGCAGGCTGTCATCTCAGCTCACTGCAACCTCCGCTTTCCGGGTTCAAGTGAGTATCCTGCCTCAGCCTCCTGAGTAGCTGGGATTACACACACCCGCCACCATGCCTGGCTAATTTTTGTATTTTTAGTAGAGATGGGGTTTCACCATGTTGGCCAGGCTGGTCTCGACTCCTAACCTGAGGTGATCCCCCTGCCTCCGCCTCCCAAAGTGCAGGGATTACAGGCATGAGCCACTGCGCCCAGCCTACACTTCCCAAATTTTAAGAAGTTACAAAGAGTCAATCAGCAGAACCAAAACACGTTTATAGATCAAATCCCATTATATGTTCCCAGGATGAATGGTTCCATTCTGCTATAACAGAATTTTGTTGTATGAGCTGTAACTTAAAATAATGGGTCAAATACTGACTTAGCAATCTTGAGGTTTTTGATGTAGTTGTATTGTGATATTTGTTGTAATGGAGAATTACTGGTATTTCTAGTTTTTAGACATTGGTTGGCATATCTTATCTTTTTTCACTAAATTGAAAAATCTCTAAAGGTCTAGCTTTCAGATGGATCCCAAGCTCTCTGCTTAGTAATGCTGTTAGGTTCAAACCCAGGACGAATTACAGGGACTATTCTCTTTGCTTTGTTCCACTTATGGCACAAACTGCATCCTGACATCTAGCCATCCATCTAATGACTACATGCTGCTACTCGCAATGGATAACAATACAATAAAGTGCAGATGCAAATCCACCACAAAATGAGGAAAAAATTAAAGCCTCTACTTTCTGGATGCTGTAACACAAGTGCCAACTTTAGGCAAAAAGGTCAGCACGTATGTTTCAGACTCCTTACTGCAGGTGCTTCAGGGTTTGCTCCACTAATGCCTAGGTGACTAACAAATTTTCAGTCACATTTAGCAGATATTAATGGCACATAAAAAGAACAAAAGGGACAGACAGGATATTACAATATGGGGTAGTTTGTGTGGCTGGCCACATTGAGTCCTACATACCTCTCCAGCACCACTCACCCGGAGAAGTGGATATGGATGCCAGCTACTGTTTTTTCTCCCTTCCCAAACGGATATAGCTTGGCCTACAGCTGCACTGCCCCATAACAAGGAGACTTCACTTGACACCTAACTCCTGACAGGGCTCTGCATCCTTACATCAGTAACAGAAGCTGGTTTGGGATGAAAAATTATCAATTGCAACTTCTGAAAACCTTTTCAGAAATAAACTTTTCCTCTATTCCAAATCTCAAGGTCTTCAACTAGCCTACCGTAGAGCTTGAGGGGTGTTAAAGTTAGGACGAGGCTCAGCTACACACTCCTCCTCTTCTGGGCCATCATCTTCCATGTTGGAGAATCCCATCTCATCTTGGAACTGTGGGCAAAGGAAAGGGAGGGTTTTCCTGGGGAATGGGCCTCTGAATGTTGCTCCAGTATTGGGAAGGAAGAGTGAAAACTATAGATTACAAGACTATAATAATGCTGGCACCCAGAAAGAGCCAATGTCAGAACTTTCTCACTTCAGGATTCCCACAAACCCACACTTGGGATGGCTATTATGCCAAGAAAGAAGTCATTCAACCAGTCAACTTGTAACAGTAAGGACAGAGCGTGGATAACTCAAAATTATCAATCTCTCTCTCCTTTTTTTTTTTTTTTTTTTTTTTTTTTTTTTTTTTTTGAGACAGAGTCTTGCAGTCTTGCTCTATTGCCCAGGCTGGAGTGCAGTGGCACAATCTGGGCTTACTGCAACCTCCGCCTCCCAGGTTCAAGCAATTTTCCTGCCTCAGCCTCTGCAGTAACCGTGACTACAGGTGCCCGCCACCATGCCTAATTTTTGTATTTTTAATAGAGACAGGGTTTCATCATGTTGGCCAGGCTGGTCTCAAACTCCTGACCTCAGATGATCCACCTGCCGTGGCCTCCCAAAGTGCTGGGATTACAAGCGTGAGCCACTGCACCCAGCCTCAAAATGATCAATCTCTTAAAATGAAAAATCTTTTGAAACAAATTTATGAAAAAGGTAATTATTTGTACACAAAGTAGTTTAAAACTAGTTGACAATCTTTAAGGACACACCAAATGACAGTAGGGGAAGTCATCAAAAGTTTTCCAGGGGCCAGGCATGCTGGCTCACACCTATAATTCCAGCACTGGGAGGCCCAAGGCAGGAAAATTGCTTGAGCCCAGAAGTTCCAGAACAACCTGAGCAATGTGGTAAGACCCTGTCTCTACAAATAAAATAATTAGCTGGGTGTGTTGGTATGTCCCAGCTACTCAGGAGGCTTAGACGAAGGACTGCTTGAGCCTAGAAGGTCAAGGCTGCTGTGAGCTGTAATTTCACCACTGCACTCTGGCTTGGGTGATGGAGCAAGAACCCCCTCAAACAAAAAGAAGTTTCAAGGAAAATGTTAATAAGAACAACATACATGTATATAATCAAGAGTCTAGTAGTTAGCAAAATTCCCTTGTCATTATATTCTTTCCCAGGTAGACTAAAAGGAGAATTGGTTCAGTCAGACCCCCTCTCCTAGAGGGAGCATCACAGAGACCAAATGACACATCTTGCTGGAGAACTGACTTAAAATCCCGTGTTCTCACTCGAGGATCATTACTCACAGTTTCAAACAGCTCTTCCATCAGCTCATTTACTTCCTTTTCTGCAAGAAAGCCAGACAGTATATTGTTGGTATAAATTAGATTTTACAATAAGGAGGAATTCCATGAAGACAATGTATAATGTTTTCAACAAGGCATGACAAATTCTTCATATCTATCCTTCTTTTTTTGAGATGGGTCTCACTATGTCACTCAGGCTGGAGCGCAGTGGCACGATCTCAGCTCACTGCAACCTCCGCATCCCCTCCCTGGTCCAATCGCTCCTCCCACCTCAGCTCCCCAAGTAGCTGGGACCACAGACGCATGCCACCATGCCTGGCTAATTTTTGTATATTTTGTAGAGATGAGGGTTCACCAGGCTGGTCTCGAACTCCTGAGCTCAAGTGATCAGCCCAACTCGGCCTCCCAAAATGGTGGGATTACAGGTGTGAGCCACCATGACTGGCTATCCTTCATTCATTTATTCAAAAACATTTATTGAGGCCGGGAGCGGTGGCTCATGCCTGTAATCTCAGCACTTTGGGAGGCCAAGACAGATGGATCACAAAGTCAGGAGATTGAGACCATCCTAGCTAACATGGTGAAACCCCGTCTCTATTAAAAATATAAAAAATTAGCCAGCCGTGGTGGTGGGCGCCTGTAGTCCCAGCTACTCGGGAGGCTGAGGCAGGAGAATGGCGTGAACCCGGGAGGCAGGGCTTGCAGTGAGCCAAGACTGCGCCACTGCACTCCAGCCTGGGCAACAGAGCGAGACTCTGTCTCAAAAAACAACAACAACAACAACAACAACAAAACACATTTATTGAGCACTATGCTTCAATCCATGTTTTAGATGCTTGGGATATATGAGAGAATGAAAGAGAGATAGAGAGAGAGAGTTCTATTCTCATGAAGCTTAAATTCTAAAAGGAAGAAGACAGGAGAAAATGTGAGCTAGATGATTTTATAATTAGATGACCTATCCAAATCCACACAGTACTGAATGGAATCAAGAGATGAGTCTCCTAGCCTGGGCAAAATGTTGAAACCATATCTCTACAAAAAAATTTAGCTGGGCTTGGTGACGCACACCTGCAGTCCCAGCTACTCAAGAGGCTGAGGTGAGAGAAATCTCTTGAGTCCAGGAGGCAGAGGCTGCAGTGTGCCAAGATCATGCCACTGCATTCCAGCCTGGGCGACAGAGCAAGATATTGTCTTAAAAAAAAAAGAGAGAGAGAAAGACAAGTTTCCAGCAGGGTTTCACAGGACGCTGTCTTTGGATCTGAACTATTCAAGAACTCCATCGGTGACTTAGAAGACCCAGAGAACATACCTAACACATCTGTAGATGATGTAAAGCTGAAAGGGACTGCCAATCCAACAGACGGAAAATTCAAAATTATATTTTCTCAAATCAACTGGATGCAACATATACGGATAAATTTAAAGTTCTATGTTTAAGAATTTTTTTTTTTAATAGAGGCAGCATGTTGCTATGTTGCCCAGGCTGGTCTCAAACTCCTGGGCTCCAGCGATCCTCCCACCTTGGCCTCCCTAAGTGTTGGGATTACAGGTGTGAGCCACGGTGCCCAGTCCTACAGTTAAGAGTTTTTTCGTTTTTTTTTTTGAGACGGAGTCTTGCTCTGTCGCCCAGGCTGGAGTGCAGTGGCGCGATCTCAGCTCACTGCAAGCTCCATCTCCCAGGTTCACGCCATTCTCCTGCCTCAGCCTCCTGAGTAGCTGGGACTACAGGCGCCTGCCACCGTGCCTGGCTAATTTTTTGTATTTTTTAGTAGAGACGGGGTTTCACCATGGTCTCGATCTCCTGACCTCGTGATCCACCCGCCTCAGCCTCCCAAAATGCTGGGATTACAGGCGTGAGCTACCGCGCCCAGCAAGAGTTTTAAAGATCAGTTTATTAACTGCATGAAAAGGTGACGTGGCTTAAAAATAATGTGAACAAGACCTGAAAGTTTTGGTTGTTACAAGAATCTGAGGAAAAAAAAAAGTTTTGGTTGATATCAAGTTCAATAAGACACAGTTGCTCCAAAACGGGGCTCATAACCAACAAGGCAAACATATCACTGAACTAGAGCAGAGTCTAACACTATGTCTGGAGGACTGTGAACAATTCTATAAAGGCCCTTCTTAAGAGGACATTAAAAAAATTAAGATCCAGGCCACGGGCAGTGGCTTACGCCTGTAATTCCAGCACTTTAGGAGGCCGAGGCAGGCAGATCATCTGCGGTCAGGAGTTCGAGACCAGTCTGACCAACATGGTGAAACCCCGTCTCTACTAAAAATACAAAAATTAGCCAGGCATGGTGGCATGCACCTGGAATCCCAGCTACTCGGGAGGCTGAAGCAGGAGAATCACTTGAACCCAGGAGGTGGAGGTTGCACTGAGCCAATACAGCACCAATGCACTCCAGCCTGGGCAACAGGGCGAGGACTCCATCTCAAAAATAAATAAATAAATAAATTAGCCAGTCATGGTAGCACATGCCTGTAATCCCAGCTACTTGGGAGGCTGAGGCACAAGAATCTCTTAAACCCGGGAGGCAGAGGCTACGCTGACCAGAGATAGTACCACTGCACTCCAGCCTGAGAGACAGAGTGAGACTCTGTCTCAAACACAAAACAAAAACAAAAACAAAATCATTTAAGTAATTTAATTATTTTTTATTTTATTTTTTTGAGACTGAGTCTCACTCTGTTGCCCAGGCTGGAGCGCGGTGGCGCGGTCTCAGCTCACTGCAACCTCCACCTTCCGGCTTCAAGCAATTCTCATGCCTCAGCCTCATAAGTAGCTGGGACTACAGGCATGCGCCACCACGCCTGGCTAATTTTTTGTAGTTTTAGTAGCGACGGTGTTTCACCATGTTGCCCAGGCTGGTCTTGAACTCCTGACCTCAAGTGATCTGCCTGCCTCAGTATCCCAAAGTGCTGGGATTACAGGTGTGCGCCACCATGCCCAGCCAACAAAAAAAATTAAAATCCAAATGTTACTGAGGATGTAGAGCAACCAGAACTCTGATAAGAATGTAAAATGGAAAGCCACTTTGGAAAATGGTCTGGCAATTTCTTATAAAACTAAACATACCCTGTGACCCAGTGATTTGTCTCCTATACAGCTGACCCAAGATAAATGAAATACGGCTTTTCTAACTCATAGGTGGGAACAAATGAAAGAGAGAGAGAAATGAAGCATTTCCACAAAGACTTGCACAAAAAAGTTCAGCGCAGCTTTATTCGTTACCCAAAATTAAAAATAGCCCAGGTGATCAACACAAAAATAGATAATCTGTAGTATATATACACAACGAAATTCTACTCAACAATATAAGGGAACAAACTAACGACCCATGCAACACAAATGAATCTCAAAAATATTATGCTGAGTGAAAGAAGCCTTACACACAAAGCACATCCTATATGATTCCATTTATGTGAGGTTCTAAAACTGGCAAACATAACCTGTGATTAAGAAAAAAAAAGCCGGGCGCAGTGGCTCACGCCTGTAATCCCAGCACTTTGGGAGTCCAGGGCAGGTGGATCACAAGGTCAGGAGATCGAGATCGCCCTGGCTAACACGGTGAAACCCCGTCTCTACTAAAAATACAAAAAATTAGCCGGGCATGGTAGCAGGCACCTGTAGTCCCAGCTACTCGGGAGTCTGAGGCAGGAGAATGGCGTGAACCTGGTAGGCGGAGCTTGCAGTGAGCCGCACCACTGCACTCCAGCCTGGGTGACAGAGCGAGACTCCGTCTCGGAAAAAAAAAAAAAAAAAAATCAGAACAGTGGTTGCCTCTGAAGGGATGGTGTGGGGATTGACTTGGAAGGGGCATGAGGAAACTTCCTGGGGTGAGGATTCTATATCCTGACAGGGATTTGTGTCACATAGGTACACACATGTCAAAATTCATTAAATGGTACACTTGAGATGTGTGTGATACACTGTGTGTAAAATTACCTATAAAAAGAAATCATAAACAAATATGGAGCTCTAGTTCATTATATGCGTGCTGAAGTGGTTAAAAGTGAAGTATAGGCTCATGCCTGTAAACCCACCACTTTGGGAGGCAGAGGTGGGAGGATCACGAGGTCAGGAATTCGAGACCAGCCTGGCCAAGATGGTGAAACCCCGTCTCTACTAAAAATACAAAAAAAAAGTGACATATAGCCAGGTGCCATTGTGCACACTTGTAATCTCAGCTGGTCAGGAGGCTGAGGTGGGAAGATCGCTTGACCGCAAGAGTTCAAGACCAACCCATGCAACATAGACCTTGTCTGAATTTAAAAAAAAAAAGAAAAAAAAGTGAAGTATAATTTACTCTGAAATGCATTTGAAAACTAAGATGCATCCACAGACGGACAGGGAGATGGACAGCTGCATGATAAGGCAAATAAAGTCATCCCTCAGTATCTGTGGAGGTTGGTTCCAGGAGCCAATCTCCTGGAACCATTTCGTATCCATGGATACCAAAATCTGAGGATGCTCAAGTCCCTTATATAAAAATGATGTAGTATTTGCATATAATCTACACACATCCTCCTGTATACCTTATCTCTAGATTACTTATCACCTAATACAATGTAAATGCTTGTTATACCTTATTATTTTTTATTTATTTATTTGAGACAAGCTCTCACTCTGTCACCCAGGCTGGAGTGCAGTGGTAGTGGTATGATCACAGCTCACTGCAACCTTGAACTTCTGGGCTCAAGGGATCCTCCTGACTCTGTCTCCAGAGTAGCTGGGACTACAAGCACACACCAATGCACCCAGATAATTTTTTTTTTTTGAGACAGCGTCTCACTCTGTTGCCCTGGCTAGAGTGCAGTGGCGCGATCTCGGCTCACTGCAGCCTCCGCCTCCCAGGTTCAAGCGATTCTCCTGCCTCAGCCTCCTTAGTAGCTGGGACTACAGGCGTGAGCCACCACACCCGGCTAATTTTTGTATTTATAGTAGAGATGGGGTTTCACCATATTGGCCAGGCTGGTCTCGAACTCCTGACCTCGTGATCTGCCCACCCTGGCCTCCCAAAGTGCTGGGATTACAGGCGTGAGCCACCATGCCCGGCTGCACCCAGATAATTTTAAAGTTTTTTGTAGAGATGGAATCTCAGTATGTCGCCCAGCCGATCTCAAACTCCTGTGCTCAAGCGATCCTCCTGCCTCAGCCTCCCAAAGTGCTGGGATTACAGATGTTAGCCACTACGCCCAGTTAGTATTATTTTTTGCTGTTGCATTTTTTTTTCTCAGAATATTTTCAAGGTTGGTTGAATCTGCAGCTGTGAAACCCGCACATATGAAAGGCGCACAGTTTATATTAACACTACTGAAAGTTTGGCCGGGCACAGTGGCTCACGCCTGTAATCCCAGCACTTTGGGAGGCCGAGGTGGGCGGATCACAAGGTCAGGAGATCGAGACCATCCTGGCCAACATGGTGAAACCCTGTCTCTACTAAAAATACAAAAATTAGCTGGGCATGGTGGCGCGTGACTATAATCCCAGCTACTCGGGAGGCTGAGGCAGGAGATTCACTTGAACCAGGGAGTCGGAGGTTGCAGTGAGCTGAGATGGCGCCACGGCACTCCAGCCTGGAGACAGAGCGAGACTCCTTCTCAAAAAAAAACCAACAAACTATAGAAAGTAGGTGGTGAGGCTGGGCGCAGTGGCTCGCGCTTGTAATCCCAGCACTTTGGGAGGCTGAGGCGGGCAGATCACCTGAGGTCAGGAGTTCGAGATGAGCCTGGCCAACATGGTGAAACCTCTTCTCTACTAAAAATACAAAAAGTAGCCGGGCATGGTGGCAGGCGCCTGTAATCCCAGCTACTCAGGAGGCTGAGGCAGGAGAACCGCTTGAACCTGGGAGGCGGAGGCTGCAGTGAGCCGAGATCACACCATTGCACTCTAGCCTGGGGAACAAGAGTGAGACTTCGTCTCAAAAAAAAGTAGGTGGTGAGTATATGAATGTTAGCTGTATAATTTTTCAATTTTTCTATATATATTTTTAAATTTCATAATAAGATGTAACAGGGGAAAAGTTTAAAGAAAATAAATGCTAGAATCCAGAGAAGAGTAATGTGCATGGTGAGAGGTCTGGACACCAAGGCTTTGGAGAAGAAGAAACCTGGCAGAAGAAACTTGAAACTTTCCTATGTTTTGCATAGGGAAAAAAAAAAAAAAACTTAAGAAACATCTTTTAATATGTACACTTGGGAATAAATTGCTTTTTTTTTTCTTAACAACAAAAGACAAATAGGAGGCCGGGCACAGTGCGGCTCATGACTGTAATCCCAACACTTTGGGAAGCCGAGGCAGGTGGATCACCTGAGGTCAAGAGTTCAAGACCAGCCTGGCCAACCTGGTGAAACCCCGTCTCTACTAAAAATACAAAAATTAGCTGGGCGTGGTGGCGGGCACCTGTAATCCCAGCTATTCTGGAGGCTGAGGCAGGAGAATCGCTTGAACCCAGGAGGCAGAGTTTGCAGTGAGCTGAGATTGCACCATTGCACTCCAGCCTGGGCGACAACAGCGAAACTCCATCTCAAAAATAACATAACATAACATAACATAACATAACATAACATAACATAACATAACATCACATAACATAACATAACATAAAGACAAATAGGAGGAATATAAAAGGATTGATCTTCCTGCTTTGCATTCAAATTTGGGTTCAATAAGGAAAGTATCTGAATTTGCATTCAGATTTGGGTTCAATAAGGAAAGTATTAATTGAGGAGGTGTTCAAGTTTACAATACACTATCTGCAGAATTGTTGAGCTCCCTGTCACTGAAGGTATACAAACAGGACTAAAAAGGCCACCTCAGAGGAGGTGTAAACAAATTCTCAAGCGGGCAAAAAACATGTGACCACATGGAGCTTTTCAAACTCTGTGATTCTATGCTTTTTAATTTTTTTATTTTAGTTATCCATATAAGGATAAGTCCTTTTAAAGAGATTATAATCAAATATGACAATGAGACACAAGAGGACAAGAGGCAGAAAAAAAAATTAAAAATTCTACTCCAGCTTTCACTATCATTACAGAACTGTATGACTAGAAAGACTGCCCTTCATTTACCCATCTCTATTCGACTGGCAAATATTGCCACCAGCTTTACAGCAATAAACAAAACAAAGCTCTTGAGAAGTTCACAGTCTAGGGGAGAAGACAGATATTAAATAAGCAATTATGAGGTGATCAGTATATAAAAGGACAAAAAGAGTGGTACGGGAATGCAAAGCAAGAAGATCAATCCTAACGAAGGAGGATCTCCCTGAGAAATTATACGTAAACTGAAGAAAGTAACAATCAAAAAGGGAAGGCAAATATATTCCAGGATGATAGCTGAACTTAAGATCTGCTTTTGTGCTTTAAGCAGATGTTTCTTTACTTGTTTCTTTACTGTTGACCATTCTGTCCTTCTTGAAAGACTCTTTTTTTGAAACAGGGTCTTGCTCTGACCCAGGCTGGAGTACAGTGTTGGGATCTCTGCTCGCTACAGCCTCCACCTCCTGGGCTCAAGTGATCCTCCCACCTCAGCTTCCCAAGTAGCTGGGACTACGGGCATGCACCACGACAACTAATTTTCATTTTATTTTTAAAATGTTTTTGTAGAGACAATGTCTCACTATCTTGCCCAGGCTGGTCTTGAACTCCTGGGCTCATGCGATCCTTCTGCCTCTGCCTCAGCCTCCCAAGTGCCGGGATTATAGCCATGAGCCACTGTGCCCCAGCCAAAAGACTCTTCCTTTGGTTTCTACGACACTAGATTTTCTAGGTTTTTCTTGTACCTTCCTAGATTCTCCTTTCAGTTTTCTCAAAGCCTAAATCCTCAAACCTTTTCATTCTACATTTTCTCTAATTCCTGGTGCTTTCCTTTCAATGCTTCCACTATCCCTGTCATAGTATATCAAAATAAATGAAAGATCTTCACAAAGGAAATGGTATTCTAATCTTAAAAGCAAGGTGAAAGGCACAATAAAGCAATAAAATAAAATGTAAGTTCTAAAGGATTGTATTTACATAATTCTCTTTACACAAAGAACTGCATTAATTAGGTATATCTTGGATGTTTATAAAGCTCTCTGCATAACCTGGTCAAGAGCCAGCATCTTACCTTCTCCATGTCGTGTATATTATTCCAGTACAGGGTCATGCATACATGCAATAAAAATCAATGGCTTATGAAATATATTTTTTATTTTTCTTTCTCCCCATAGGTAGAATTTCTTCAGGATGAAATGTATGTTTTCTATGCTTGACACACTAGCCAATGATATAATTTTTTTTTGAGTCAGGATCTCCCTCTGCCACCAAGGCTGGAGTGCAGTGGCACTATCATAGTTTGCTGAATCCTTGACCTCCTGGGCTGAAGCAATCCTCCTGCCTCAGCCTCCTGAGTAGCTAGGACTACAGGTACGTGCCAATACATTAGGCTAATTTCTTAAATTTTTAGTACAGACAAAGTTTCTCTATGTTGCCTATGCCGGTCTCGAACTCCTAAGCTCAAGCAATCTTCCTGCCCCAGCCTCCCAAAGTGCTGGGATTACAGGTGTAAGCCACCACTCCTAGCTCAATGATATAATTTTTTATAGAAATAACTCAAGCTAAGTTATCATAATTGTTTTCCATACCTCCAGTCTTGTTCACTTTACCTAACAAATTAATACATTAAACTGGTATTAAATCAAAGTGATCTTTCTAAAATCCAAATCAGTTCCTACTGATTTACTGCTTAAACCTCTTTTTTTTTTCAGGCGGAGCCTTGCTCTGTCGCCCAGGCTGGAGTGCATTGGCGTGATCTCGGCTCACTGCAACCTCTCCCGCCTGAGTTCAAGCAATTTTTCTGCCTCAGCCTCCGGAGTAGCTGGGATTACAGGTGCCTACTACCACGCCTGGCTAATTTTTGTATTTTTAGTAGAGACAGGGTTTCGCCATGTTGGCCAGGCTGGTCTTGAACTCCTAACCTCAGGTGATCTGCCTGCCTCCACCTCCCAAAGTGCTGGGATTACAGGCGTGAGCCACCATGCCCGCCCTTAAACCTCATTTTGAGAGCTTAAAAATCCTCCATGATGTAAACACTACCTAATCTTATCTACCACTTCTCTGTCTTTTCACTCATACACCACCACCAAAGTACTTAGTATTTTCCAAACATACTTTTTTGATGTTTTACAATTCTGTGGTTTGCAGATGCTCTTCTATTTGCAATATTCCTCTCTGTCCCTATTCACCAAATTTCTTATTCCTCCTTCAAAACTAAGATAAAAAGCCATTTCATTCTGCAAATTCTTTCCTAAGTTCTCCTATCCTAGTCCATATCATACACTAGGAGATGACACTCTCTTTTAGGTCATTATTATACCTTATGTAAAACCTGTTACAGCATTTATCACTTTGTATTGTAACTTTTTCTGTTTCTATCACCCTACTAGGCTGAACTCCTACAGCACAGATGCCATGTCTTATTCATCTTGCACAATCCCTGCCAAACAGTAAGGACTGAATACACGACTGTGGGATATACAAATGAATAACTGATGGGCTTTCTGAATATGTACCTAAATTTAAAGAATCAGATCAATAAATGGGTAAAGGAAACCTAAATGTCTTAACATGGATGAGCTGCAAACTTCACCCCTAAAAATCTACAAAGTAAACAAAGACAGCTGCAAAGCAGTCAAGAGCAGGACTTAGAATAAACACAGACTCACTGGTGATTCTCACTGCCCGGTCAGTCCGGAAATCCTCTGTGTCTGGTTCATCGAGGTCTTCCAGGAAATTATATTCTGGATCATCATCATCATCTGCTTCATCTAGGAAAAAAAAGTGTTTCAGATGCTCATTAACTCTGTTCTCAAACTTCTAAGAATCTGTTCCAATAAAGCACATTTATTCTTTATTTTTTTGAGACAGGGTCTCACTCTGTCGCCCAGGCTGGAGTGCAGTGGTACAGCCTCAGCTCACTGCAACCTCCACCTCCCGGGCTCAAGTGATCCTCCCACCTTAGCCTCCTGAGTAGCTGGGACCACAGGCATACGCCACCACACCCAGCTAATTTTGTGTAGTATATTCCATGAAAATAATACTTTCTGTAAAAGCTACTTGTACAGTGAAGCTGACAGTGAAAAAAGGAGTGGCCCAAATTCCCAACAATTAGAGAATGACTATATAATTATAATTTCTTAGTATAAAATAGTACAGGTTGAGCATTCCAAATCCAAAACTCCAAAATCTGAAACTCTGTGAGTGCAAACATGACTCTCAAAGGGAATAGCCATTGGAGCATTTCAGATTTCAAATTTTCTTTTTCCTTTTTTTTGAGACAGGGTCTCACTCTGTCACCCAGGCTGAAGTGCAGTGGCACGATCATGGCTCACTGCAGCCTTGACTGCCCAGGATCAGGCGATTGTCACACCTCAGCCTCCCAAGTAGCTGGGATTAGGCACATGCCACCATGCCCAACTAATTTTTGTATTTTTAGTAGAGACAGGGTTTTGGTATGTTGCCCAGACTGGTCTTGAACTCCTGGGCTCAAGCGATCTGAATGCCTCGGCCTCCCAAAGTGCTGAGATTACAGTGTGAGCCATTGCACCCTGCCCAGATTTCAAATTTTCAAATTTAGTATGCTTATCTGTTAAGTATAATAATACATATATTCTAATATCTGAAAAAATCTGAAATCCAAAATACTTCCGGTCCTGAGCATTTTGGATGAAGGGGATACTCAACACGTACACATATAAAATGTGAATATGTAACCATTCTATAAAAGTTCAATACATGTATGACAAAAGTACAATATATACATAATAATCATAAGCATGAAAAATTATATCCTTACAATAAGAATCATAAATAACTAAAAATATACAAAAATAATAAACATTTGTTAGGTTAGAATAATAGAAATATGGATGTTCTTCTCCCTTTTAATTTTCTTTTTTCTTTTTTTTTTTTGACATGGAGTCTCACTTTGTCACCCAGGTTGGAGTGCAGTGGCATGATCTTGGCTCACTGCAAACTCTGCCTCCCAGCTTCAAGCAATTCTCCTGCCTCAGCCTACCAAGTAACTGAGATTACAGATGCCCACCACCACGCCCGGCTAATTTTTCTATTTTTAGTAGAGACAAGGTTTCACCATGTTGGCCAAGCTGGTCTCGAACTCCTGACCTCAGGTGATCCGCCTGCATTGGCCTCCGAAAGTGCTAGGATTACAGGAGTGAACCACAGGGCCCAGCCTAATTTTCTTTAATGTTAATGCTAAACTGTCTTTTCAATTACTAAGTAAAAATTATGAAGGAGTCATTAAATTATGGAATTATTATATATTAAGGTAATATTTTTCTCCAGATAATTTTAGATCAGTGTTGTCTAACAGAACTTTCTGTGATGATGGAAATGATCTATACATGTATTGTATTGTATCATACAGTAGCCATTAGCCACATGTGACTTGAGAAATGCAGCTAGTGTGACTGAGGAACTGATTTAAAAAAAAAAAGACCAAAAAGAGAATACCTAAATTTCTTACTATCATGTATCCATTAAATAGAAGAGGTGATCTCTATGTATTATAATGGAAAAATATATGTTATACTGCTAAGTGAAAGAAGCAAGTTGCAGATGAAGACCAATATGTATAGTATGATTCTTTTTGTGGAAAAAAATTCTTGTTTGAGATAAATACATGCTTGACTGAACACCCACAGAGTATCTAGAAAGAAACACATAAAACTATTAACAAAGATTTCTCTGTGTACCCTCCCACAATATTTTTTTTTTCTTTCTTTTTTTAAGGTGGAGTCTCGCTCTGTCGCCCAGGCTGGAGTGCAGTGGCTCGATCTCAGCTCACTGCAACCTCCACCTGCTGGGTTCAAGCGATTCTCCTGCCTCAGCATCCCGAGTAGCTGGGACTACAGATGTGCACCACCATGCCCAGCTAATTTTTATATTTTTAGTAGAGACGGCGTTTCACCATGTTGGTCAGGCTGGTCTCAAACTCCTGACCTCAGGTGATCCACCTGCCTCGGCCCCTAAAAAGTGCTGGGATTACAGGCGTGAGCCACAGAGTCTGGCGCCTCTTCCATAATGTTTTAACTTTTCATAATAAATGAGCATCTTTTTTTTTTTTCGAGAGGGAGTTTCGCTCTTGTTGCCCAGACTGGATACCGTGCCTGGCCATAAATAAACATCTTTTGTTATAAACAGACATATACAGCCTGGGGCCAAGCATGGTGGCTCACGCCTGTAATCCCAGAACTTTGGGAGGCCGAGGTGGGAAGATCACTTGAGGTCAGGGGTTCGAGACCAGCCTGGCCAACATGGTGAGACCCCCCCCCTCCCGTCTCTACCAAAAATACAAAAATTAGCCAAGAGTAATGGTGCGTGCCTGTAATTCCAGCTACTTGGGAGGCTGAGGCAGGAGAATCACTTGAACCCAGGAGACAGAGGTTGCAGTGAGCTGGGATCATGCCACTGCACTCCAGCCTGGGCGAGAGTGAGACTCCATCTAACAAGAAAAAAAAAAAAAAACACATATATATATCCTGGGCAACACAGTGGGAACCAATCTCTACAAATGACTTTTTAAAAATTAGCCAAGTGTCGTGGTGTGTGCCTATAGTCCCAGCTACTCAGAAGGCTGAGCTGGAAGGACTGCTTGAGCCCAGGAGTTTGAGGCTGCAGTGAGTCATGATCACGCCACTGCACTCCAGCGAGGGTGACAGAGTGAGACCCTGTCTCAAAAACAAATATATATTTTTTATATAAATATAAATATATATAAATATATATATACTTATACAGACACACATTTAAAATTCACAATCACTGAAAAATCTGTGCTGATTAAACCCTAATCTAACTTGATAATTCTTTACTCAACATTTATACTCAGCTTATAATATATTAATTTGCATTCTTTACACATAACTAATTATCAAATCTTTTTCATCTATTTGTGGGTTTAACTTATCAGTACAGATTCTTTATTTCTTTAGGAATAGAATACTGTCTTCATAATTCATAATCTCTATAGTACTTTCTATATAAGTCTCTTCACAGCAAGTTCTTTTTTTTTTTTTTTTTTTGAGATGGAGTCTCACTCTGTCGCCCAGGCTGGAGCACAGAGGGGCGATCTCGGCTCGCTGCAAGCTCTGCCTCCCGGGTTCACGCCATTCTCCTGCCTCAGCCTCCCAAGTAGCTGGGACTACAGGCACCCGCCACCACGTCAGGCTAATTTTTTTTTTTTTTTTTTTTTTTTAGTAGAGACGGGGTTTCACTGTGTTAGCCAGGATGGTCTCGATCTCCCGACCTCATGATCTGCCTGCCTCAGCCTCCCAAAGCGCAGGGATTAGAAGTGTGAGAGACACTGCGCCTGATCAAAAAGTTCTTAACAAACATTGCTGAATAACGAAAGTTCTGGAAGAGCCCATAATAATGAGTAGTGTGCACAGGTTTGGACTCCATCTGTTTGGATGCAAGAACTGCAATAGATAGTTCTGCCCACACCACACAAATGGGTCAGCGAATATTATTCTCAGAGCACTCATTTAACAAAGATGCTGAAAAATCATTTAGGGGGATTCTTCTGAGTTCTGCTTAGCTTTTAGTACCCTGATTGTGGAATATGTCCTCTGAGCTTAATCACTTTTTTGACTTATTAACAATGTCAGTATTTACCCAGCTGATATACCCCTCCTGTATTGTCTTTTAACTCAACTGGTAGATCTGGAGGCCACACCCATCCTAATCATTGGCTTTGTGTGCTCTTTTAAAAATCTGTCCGAATAGGCACATACAAAAATACTGAAGTTGCTGGGCGTGGTGGCTCACGCCTGTAATCCCAGCACTTTAGGAGGCCAAGGCGGGCGGATCACCTGAGGTTAGGAGTTCAAGACCAGCCTGACCAATATGGTGAAACCCCGTCTCTACTAAAAATACAAAATTAGCTGGGTATGGTGGCATGTGCCTGTAATCCTAGCTACTAGGGAGGTGGAGGCAGAAGAAGTGCTTGAACCTGAGAGGTGGAGGTGGCAGTGAGCCAAGATCACACCATTGTACTCCAGCCTGGGTGACAAGAGTGAGACCCTGTCTCAAAACAAAACAAAACAAACTGAAGTTTTATTTTAAGAAAAGAGGATTTTCACCCTCCCCCTAACCATTAGTCCAATTCCCCAATCAACCTTTATCATGCACTCTTACCTTTCCCAGACCAGTAGTTTCCAATCCTTTAGATATATCAGAATTAGATCCCTAGACCATACTCATTAGATTCTGATTCAGTAGGTAAGGGGTGAAGCCCTGAAATCTGTATCTTTAATAAACATCACCCTACATATCCATACACTCTTCAATTCTGATTCAAGTTCTCGGAACCAAATTATGAGAAACAAAATCCTGAAAGTCAGTTCTGCCTGGCCTTTCCTTCCCAATAGCTACCATCTTAGGCCTTTGAACCAAAGTGATGAAAATGAGCACCAAAGCTGCTGCTACCAATAACGCTAGGAGAACCTGACTTTCTTACTGTAATTATTTTGTATTAGCCTGTGCCAAAGATAAAAAGCACAGCTTATTATGAAGGCTAGGAGCAGTGGCTCATGCCTGTAGTCCCAGAACTTTGGGAGGCCGAGGAGGGCGGATCACCTGAGGTTGGAAGTTCGAGACCAGCGTGACCAACATGGAGAAACCCCATCTCTACTAAAAATACAAAATTAGCCAGGCGTGGTGGCACATGCCTGTAATCCAGTTACTTGGGAGGCTGAGGCAGGAAAATCGCTTGAACCTGGGAGGCAGAGGTTGCGGTGAGCTGAGATCGTGCCATTGCACTCCAGCCTGGGCAACAAGAGCAAAACTCCATCTCAAAAACAAAACAAAACAAAACAAAACAAAAAACACAGCTCATTATGAAAAGTCATATACTTTTAAAAAATGGTTTAGGCCGGGCGTGGTGGCTCACACCTGTAATCCCAGCACTTTGGGAGGCCAAGGTGGGTGGACCACTTGAGATCAGGAGTTTAAGAACAGCCTGACCAACATGGTGAAACCCTGACTCTACTAAAAATACAAAATTAGCCAGGCATGGTGGCACATGCCTGTAAACCCAGCTACTTGGGAGGCTGAGACAGGAGAATCGCTTGAACCTGAGAGGCGGAGGTTGCGGTGAGCCGAGATCGCGCCACTGCACTCCAGCCTGGGGGACAAGAGTGAAACTCTCTCAAAAAAAAATGGTTTAGGCCAGGTGCGGTGGCTCAAGCCTGTAATCCCAGCACTTTGGGAGGCTGAGGCGAGTGGAACAGAAGGTCAGGAGTTCGAGACAAGCCTGGCCAATATGGTGAAACCCCATCTCTACTAAAAACACAAAAATTAGCTGGGCATGGTAGCGCGTACCTGTAGTCCCAGCTACTCTGGAGGCTGAGGCAGAAGAGTCGCTTGAACCCGGGTGGAGGTTGCAGTGAGCAGGGATTGTGCCACTGCACTCTAGCTTGGGCAACAGAGCCAGACTCTGTCTCAGAAAAAAAAAAAAAAAAAAAAAGGTTTAACTTACCGTGAAACCTGTCTGATTGAGACATGTTCCTAGAATATTAAACTGGGTTCTACTCCTAGGAGTATAACAAATTGATTCTGTAACTTTGAGCAAGACAATGAATTTCTCTGAGATTTCACTGCCTACAAAGTGGTTAGAACTATCTGTCCTTGGGCAACCCACTCGGGTCCCCTACCACGTTGTGGAAACTTTGTTCTTTAACTCTTCACAATAAATCTTGCTGCTGCTCAAAAAAAAAAAAAAAAAAAAAAAGAACTCTCTGTCCTGTCTATTCCTTTTTGTGGAGATTTCTGAACCTGGTAGAAACAGGAAGTGTCAATAAACTTTAAAAGATATGTATCTCCCAAAAATCATATAAAAATTTCATGTATTTGGATATGTACATTTTTTTCTGGGGGAAGGCTGCATAGTTTTCATCAGATTGTCAAAGGGGTGAGTAATGGAAAACTCAGAAGCTTAGACTCCTATCAGAATGACTAATGGGATAATATATCAGTTGCTAATTATGAAGGAACTGATTCTATACTTTGCATGTTAATGACTCAGCTTCAAACTCCATCTTTTTCTCCTTACACAATTTTTTTCATTTTGTGGCTTGTTAGCCCCTCTACTACAGAGGGTGGGTAAAAAAAAGAAATATGATAAGATTTAAAACAATTTGCTTCTTGTTATTTTCTCTCTCTTTTTTAAAATTTTATTTTATTTTAAAAATAGAAATGCCAGGTGCGGTGGCTCATGCCTGTAATCCCAGCATTTTGGGAGGCCAAGGAGGGTGGATCACCTGAGGTCAGGAGTTTGAGACCAGTCTGACCAATATGGTGAAACCCTGTCTCTACTAAAAATACAAAGATTAGCCAGGCAAGGTGGCAGGCGCATGTAATCCCAACTACTGGGGAGGCTGAGACAGGAGAATCGCTTGAACCCAGTAGGCAGAGGTTGCAGTGAGCCGAGATCACACCACTGCACTCCAGTCTGGGCGACAGAGCGAGACTCTGTCGAAGAAAAAAAAAATAGAAATGAGGTCTCACTGTGTTTCCCAGGCTGGTCTTGACTTCCTGGCCTCAAGCAATCCTCATGCCTTGGCTTCCCATAGTACTGGGATTACAGGCATGAGCCACCACGCCTGGACTATCTTTTCTAAATGTTTGAGAAAAGTCTTAAATTTAAATTTAGGACTAAAATTTAATTATTTTTATCCCCACATTAATGTGGAAAACTAAAAAGTAACTACACATTGAAAACTCTCACAGATGCATACCAAAGTATTATCAGTAGTCCCTCTGGGGAACCAAACTTGAACCTTGGTGTCAAAGGCTTTGGAAATGACTGGTAGGAAAATGAAGTGCCAATAAATAAACTCTAAGAGATACATAAACCCCAAAAAAATCATATGAAAAATTTCATGTATGTAGATATGTACATTTTCCTTGGGGGGGGGGAAGGCTTTAATTGTTTTATTTCTGTAATATTTGATTTCTTTATACCAAGCATATATTACTCTTACAGTTTTACAGTGAAAAAAGAGAAAACTCTGGAAAGAATATATCCTACAGAATCCAGCATATAGAGTATATCATGTCACTTCTACTCAGATGCCTTCTCTCTTCCCTGTCACTGTTTTCAAAAATCTTTCCAAGGTCCATTTCAATTACCAGCTCTTTCATGTAGCTGTCTCTGATCATCCTAAACAAAAGTTACCCTGTCCTCTTCTAAAATCTTACAACAGCATTTATGCCACTTTGATGGCATATCTGAGTTTATTCAACAACTTCATTCATTTACAATATACTGGCTGAGCGCGATGGCTCACTCCTGTAATCTCAGCACTTTGGAAAGCAGAGGCAGGAGGATCGCTTGAGCGCAGGAGTTCGAGACCAGCCTGGGCAACATGGCAAAACCCCAACTCTACAAAAAATACAAAAATTGGCCGGGCATGATGGCACAAACCTGTATTCCCAGCTATTTAGAAGGCTGAGGTGGGAGAATTGCTTGCGCCAAGGAGGTCAAGGCTGCAGTGAGCTAAGATCTCACCACTGCACTCCAGCCTGGGTGACAGAGTGAGACCCTGTCTCACACACACACAAAAAAGTACAATGTATTGTGAACCTAACAATGGGCCAGGCACCCTGTCATTCATAAAGCTTTTATTCCATGACCAAATGATTATGCTCCTTTATCCCTCACAGATTCTAGCACAATGCCTTGTATAAAGAAAGTACTCAAACATTTGCCAAATGATATACTATATAACTATTAATAGTATCATAAGGTACATTCAAGGACCTGTTATTTTCTTTCATTCACTTATCCTGACTTACTCCTAGCATTACCTACCCAGCCATTTACTCAGTCTATTTCTTTTTCTTTTTTTTTTTTTTTTGAGATGGAGTCTCGCTCTGTTGCCAGGCTGGAGCGCAGTGGCGCAATCTCGGCTCGCTACAACCTTCGCCTGCCAGGTTCAAGTGATTCTCCTGCCTCAGCCTCCTGAGTAGCTGGGACTACAGGCGTGCACCACCACGCCCAGCAAATTTTTTTATTTTTAGTAGAGACAGGGTTTCACCCTGTTGGCCAGGATGGTCTCAATCTCTTGACCTTGTGATCCGCCCGCCTCGGCCTCCCAAAGAGCTGGGATAATAGGTGTGAGCCACCACGCCCAGCCTACTTAGTCTGTTTCCATCCAAACTTTTATCTGATCAATATTTCTTCCCCATTTCTGATAATACCATTACTTCTTTAGGGTCACCACATACTTCAACCACACTGTTCTATGAGGTGCTATCAATCACCAGACTCCATGCTGAACAGTCTCCCTATCAATCCCATGTAGTACCAAGAGACTGGGCATGAGATCAAACCAAGTCGATCTGACTTGTTCCCCTGGATTTTATAACTGGAGCTTGCAGGGGAGAGTCCTGAAGTGTAGACAAAGCAAAAAGTAATCACGGAGTGTTTATGAACAGAGCTCTAACCTTGTAGAAAAATAAATGTGAGAATGGAGCTGAGTGACAAAAGGAAGTAAAATAGAGAGGAAAGGGGGATCCTAACAGTGCCTCAGTTCCACTGCTGATTTACTACACTTCCCAAAGTCTGGTTTCATTTCACCCCAGCAAGATAGAGTTAGGATTCTTTCACTTGCATCATGAAGACCCTTAACTAACACAGTGTTCTTTTGGTAAATCACTGAACCCTAATGAAATCATACATAAAATTTTGAGTGGGCCAGGCACAGTGGCTCATGCCTGTAATCCTAGCTCTCTGGGAGGCCAAGGTGGGAGGATCACTTGAGGCAGGAGTTTAAGACCAGCCTGAGCAACATTTCTCTACAGAAATTTTTAAAAAATTAGCCAGGCAAGGTGGTGCGTGCCTATAATCTCAGCTACTTGGGAGGCTGAGACCTGAGGACGATCTCTTGAGCCCAGGAGTTTAAGGCTACAGTGAGCTATGATCACCCCACTGTGATCCACCCTGGGCAACACCCTGTTTTGGGACAGTGTCTCAAAAACAAAAGACAACAACAAAACTACATGTGCATGTATGTTTCAAGGGATTCAAATCTTAGCATTCAACAATCTTAGGATTCAAAAGATTCCTTACCCAGAAAAAGAAATGTTAAGAATTGGCCCAGGCACGGTGGCTCATGCCTATAATTCTAGCATTCAGGAGGCCAAGGTAGGAGGATTGTTTGAGGCCAGGAGTTTGGGAACAGCCTGGGCAACATAGTGACATCTCGTTTCTACAAAAAATAAAAAATTAGTCGGGCACAGTGGCATGTGCCTGTAGTCCCAGCTACTCAGTGGGATAAGGGGTAGGATTGCTTGAGCCCAGGAGGTCAAGGCTGCAATGAACCGTGACTGCAACACTGCACTCAGCCTGGGTGACAGAGTGAGACCCTGTCTCAGGAAAAAAAAAAAAAGAAAAATTAACTACTGATTTAAGATAAATTATCAGTTAAATACAAATTAAATCAATTAACCCAAACCATTCCATTCTATACCCTTCCAAATACTAAAAATTTTACAACAGATAATGGACAGTATACATAATAAATCACAAACCAAAACTTACCTTCATTCCCCACATCATCATTCATAAGTCCCCCCAGCCACATCTTCCAGTCCTCATCATCTGCCGTATTGGGGTCATACATATCTGGAGTGATGTCTGGAGCTTGGAGCTCTGCCTCTAATTGGCCCAGGGGAACATCTTTCAGGGGCATCTTAGAACGCGTTCGAAATGCAATGAGACTGTCATCCATGGGCTGGACAATGGAGAAAGAAAAGTCACTGAGTGAGTGATGTTTCCAAACCTCATCATCACTCCTTTTCTTCTCATCTTAGCTTAAGTAACAGGATCCTTCCTCTAAACAATTTGGATTTATTATTGTTTGAGAAACTTTAAGAAACACGACATAAAAAAGAAATAAAATAAATGACATCAGTTTGAAACCAACATTTTAGGAAAATTTATAACAGCTTTATTGATATACAATTCACATACCATAAAATTTACCCTTTTAAAGTGTATAATTGAAAGGATTTTCATATATTCACAGAGTTATACAACCATCACCATTATCTAATTTCAGAACATTCCATTAACCCAAAAAGAAATCCCATACCCATTAGTAGTCGCTTCCCTTTCCCCCTCCTCCCAGCCCCTGTTAAGCATTAATCTATTTTCTGTCTCTATGGATTTGTTTCTGCTGGACATTTCACTTAGATGGAATCATAAAATGTGTGGCCTGTCTCTGGCCGCTTTCAGTTAGCATAATGCATTTAAATCCCACCCTGTTGTAATATCTATCAATACTTTTTTTTTTTTTTTGAGACATAGTCTTGCTTTGTTGCCCAGGCTAGAATGCAGTGGTGCCATCTCGGCTCACTGCAACCTCTGCCTCTTGGGTTCAAGTGATTCTCCTGCCTCAGCCTCCCAGGGAGCTGGGATTACAGGCACCAGCCACGACATCTGACTAATTTTTGTATTTTTACTAGAAACGGAGCTTCACCATGTTGGGCACGCTGGTCTCGAAGTCCTGACCTCAGGTATCTGCCCACCTCAGCCTCCCAAAGTGTTCGGATTACAGCTGTGAGCCACCATGCCTGGTGTTTTTTTTTTTTTTTTTAAGAGATAGAGTCTCAATCTCTCACCCAGGCTACAGCACTGGCACAATCAGAGCTGACTGCAGCTTCGAACTCCTGGGCTCAAGCAATTCTCCTGCCTCAGCCTCCCAAGTAGCTGGGACTATCGGCATGCTCTACCATGCTCGGCTAATTTTTTTTTTTTTTTTTAGATGGAGTCTTGCTCTGTCACCCATTCTGGAGTGCAGTGGTACGATCTCGGATCACTGCAACCTCCATCTCCCGGGTTCGGGTGATTCTCCTGCCTCAGCCTCCCAAATAGTTGGGACTACAGGCGTGTGCCACCACACCTGGCAAATTTTTGTATTTTTAGTAGAAATGGGGTTGGCCAGGCTTGTCTTGAATTCCTGACCTCAGGTGACCTACCTGCTCAGCCTCCCAAAGTGTTGGGATTACACGTGTGAGCCACTGGATCCATACTCAGCTAATTTTTTTCATTTTTTGTAGAGATGGGGGTGGGGGGACTCCCTATGTTGCCCAGGCAAGTTTCAAACTCCTGGACTGGGCTCAAGTAATCCTCCTGCCTTGGCCTTCCTAACTGCTGGGATTAAAGGCATGGTGGTATGTGCCTGTGGTACCAGCTACTCAAGAGGCTGAGTCAGGAGAATTGCTTGGGTTTAGGAGTTCAAGGTGACAGTGAGACACGTACCACTGCACTCCAGTCACCATGCCTGGCCCCGAATTCCTTTTTTCACCCAATAATATCCCATTGTATAGATATACCACTTTTGTTTATCCAATTATCTGTTGATGGAATTCAGATTGTTTCCACTGTGGGGCAATTAAGTATAATACCGCTGGCTGAATGCATTGGCTCACACCTGCAATCCCAACACTGTGGGAGGCCCAGGAAGAACTGCTTGAAGCTAGGAGTTTGAGACCAGCCTGGGTAACACAGTGAGACCTCATCTCTGCCACAAACAAACAAATTAGTTGCGTGTGGTGGCACCAATTGTAGTCCCAGCTACTTAGGAGGCTGAAAGAGAAGGATCTCTTGAGACTAGGAGATCAAGGCTGTAGTGAGCCATGATTGCACCATTGTACTCCAACCTAAGCAAGAGAGACATCTCAAAAAAAAAAAAAAAACAGGGCCAGGCACAGAGGCTCACATTTGTACATCTGTAAACCCAGCACCTTGATAGGCTGTGGTGACAAGATCGCTTGAGTCTAGGAGTTCAAGACCAGCTGGGCAACACAGCAAGACCCCCATCTCTACAAAAAATAAAAAGTTAGATGGGAGTGGTGGCATATGCCTGTAGTTCCAGCTATGCAAGAGCCAACGTGGGAGGATCACTTGAACACAGGAGGAGGTTGAGGCTGCAGCAAGCTGAGATCATACCACTGCACTCCAGCCTGGGCAACAGAGCAAGACTCTTATTTAAAATATTTATTTTAAAAAAATGAGGCTGGGTGCAGTGGCTCACACCTGTAATCCCAGACTTTGGGAGGACAAGGTGGGCGGATCACGAGGTCAGAAGATCAAGAACTTCCTGGCTAACAGTGAAACCCCGTCTCTATAAAAAATACAAAAAATTAGCTGGGCATGGTGGCAGGCGCCTGTAGTCCCAGCTACTCAGGAGGCTGAGGCAGGACAATGGCATGAACCCGGGAGGCAGAGCTTGCAGTGAGCCGAGATCGCACTACTGCACTCCAGTCTGGGTGACAGAGCCAGACTCCGTCTCAAAAAAAAAAAAAAAAAAAAAAGAAAATCAGAAAGTGTGAGACCTCCATCTTTGTACTTTTTAAAGACTGTTTTGGCTATTCTGGGCCTGTGCAATTCCACATGAATTTTAGGATTAGACTGTTAATTTCCACAAAAATGGTAGCTGGGATTTGGATAGGGACTGCATTGAATCTGTAGATCAATTTGGGAAGCTCTCCCTAGACTACACTGCATCAACCTGCTAATGGGTTTCTGTTTACCCTCTTGCTTTACTCTAGTCCATTTCCCACACGTTAACCAAAAGGAATTTTTAACATTAATCCAAAAATATCACAAAAATCTTTTCTTATTTATTTATTTTTTTTTTTTTTTGAGATGGAGTCTCACTCTTTCCTAGACTGGAGTGCAGGGGCATGATCTCAGCTCACTGCAACCTCCACTCCCCACATTCAAGCGATTCTCCTGCCTCAGCCTCCTAAGTAACTGGGATTACAGGTGTGCGCCACCACACCCAGGACATTTTTTGTATTTTTTGTTAGAGATGGGGTTTTACCATGTTGGCCAGGCTGGTCTAGAACTCCTGACCTCAGGTGATCCACCCGCCTCGGCCTCCCAAAGTGCTGGGATTACAGGCATGAGCCACCACACTGGGCATCTGTTCTAATGTTTAAAATAAAATCTACACCCCTTATCATGGTTTCCTAAGACCTTCATGATCTAGCTCTTGCCTTGCTCTCTGACCTCATTTCTACCTCTTTTTCACGATCCCACCCTTCATGTAGTTTCTGTTCCTTAACCATGCCAAGGTTGTTTCTATCTTAGCGACTTAGAATGTGCTGTTTCTTCCATATGGAGCACTTTTTCTCCCCAGATCTTTTACATGCCTGGCTTCCTCTCATTCGGATCTCAGTTTAAATGCCATCTCCTCAAAGAGGCCTTTTTTCTTTTTGTTTTTTGTTTTTTTGACAGTCTTGCTCTGTGGCCCAGGCTAGAGTGCTGTAGCATGATCACAGCTCACTGCAGCCTCGATCTCCTAGGCTCAGCCTCCCAAGTAGCTGAGGCTACAGGTGTGTAACAGGATGCCCAGCTAAGTTTTGTGTTTTTTTTGGTAGGGACAAGGTCTCACTAGGTTACCCAGGCTTGTCTTGACCTCCTGGGCTCAAGTGATCCACTCTCCTTGGCCTCCTAAAGTGTTGGGATTATGGACATAAGCCACCAAACCGGACCCTGTTTTTTAAAATTTTTTTTAAAAAAGTTCTCATACTATTACCCATGCTGGAGTATAGGGGTGCAGTCATGGCTCACTGTAGTCTCAAGCTCCCAGGCTTAATCAATCCTCCTGCTTCAGCCACCAAGCAGCTAAGAATACAGGCATGCGCCACCACACCTATATAATTTTTCTGAGTTTTTGGAGAGATGGAGTCTCACTATATTGCCTAGGCTGGTCTCAAACTCCTAGCCTCAAGCAATCTTCTAGCCTAGGACTCCCAAAGTGATGGAATTACAGCCAAGGAGGTCTTTTTTGATCAGCCTATCTAAAGTTCTCTGACAGGAAGTTTCATATTTCCTCATTTTAATTTAGTTCATAGCACTTAACCACATCCGAATTTACTTGTTTATATGTTTATAGTCTATCTCTCCTCAACAGACTAAGTTCCATGAAGAACAATTTTTTCTGTCTTCTACACTGTTGTTTCTCAACTTCAACCATTCAGTATGTGTTTGGTAAATAAATGATTACATAAAAAACTATTACTGCTCCTACTACTACATACTCCAAAGCATGGTGATTAAATGACTCAGAGCTATTCCATTCAATATTCTATTTTTAATTATATACTTATATATAATTATAAATTATATACTTATAAATTATATACTTATATATACTTATAAATTATATACTTATATATACTTATAAATTATATACTTATATATACTTATAAATTATATACTTATATATACTTATAAATTATATACTTATATATACTTATAAATTATATACTTATATATACTTATAAATTATATACTTATATATACTTATAAATTATATACTTATATATACTTATAAATTATATACTTATATATAATTATAAATTATATACTTATATATAATTATAAATTATATACTTATATATAATTATAAATTATATACTTATATATAATTATAAATTATATACTTATATATAATTATAAATTATATACATATATATAATTATAAATTATATACATATATAATTATAAATTATATACATATATAATTATAAATTATATACATATATAATTATAAATTATATATATATATAATTATATATATATATATATTTTTGAAATGTAGTCTTGCTCTGTCACCCAGGCTGGAGTGCACTGGCGCCATCTCGGCTCACTGCAACCTCCGCTTCCTGGGTTAAAGCGATTTTCGTGCCGCAGCCTCCCGAGTAGCTGGGATTACAGGCACTTGCCACAATGCCCAGCTAATTTTTGTATTTTTAGTGGAGACGGGGTTTCACCATGTTGACCAGGCTGGTCTCAAACCTGACCTCGGGTGATCCACCCGCCTGGGCCTCTCAAAGTGCTGGGATTACAGGTGTGAGCCACCACACCCAGCCTTAATTATATTTTTTAATTTTAGGATTTCTTTTTAAATTATTATATCATACTTTAAAATTTTAGGACAGACATTTTTCATTGACCTGCAAGAATGATAGGGGAAACTTGGAACATTAAAATTTACTGGCTAAGGCCAGGCATGGTGGCTCACGCCTGTAATCCTAGCACTTTGGGAGGCCAAGGCAGGCGGATCATGAGGTCAGGAGATCGAGACCATCCTGGCTAACACAGTGAAACCCCGTCTCTACCAAAAAATACAAAAAATTAGCCGGGCATGGTGTGCACGCCTGTAGTCCCAGCTACTCGGGAGGCTGAGGCAGTAGAATGACATGAACCTGGGAGGCAGAGCTTGCAGTGAGCCGAGATCACGCCATCACACTCCAGCCTGGGCGACAGAGTGAGACTCCGTCTCAAAAAAAAAAAAAAAAAATTTACTGGCTAAGGCCAGGCGCAGTGGCTCATGCCTATAATCCCAGCACTTAGGAGGTTGACAAGGGTGGATCACCTAAGGCCAGTTCAAAACCAGCCTGGCCAACAATAAAACCCTGTCTCTACTAAAAAATACAAAAAATTAGCTGGCGTAGTGGTGTGTGCCTCTGGTCCCAGCTACTCAGGAGGCTGAGGCACGAGAACTGCTTGAACCCGGGAGGCAGATCAGATGTTGCAGTCAGCTGAGATCACACCACCGAACTCCAGCCTGCGTGACAGACTGTGACTCCATATCCAAAAAATAAAAAATTACTCACTAAATGTTAGAATTACAAAGTCATCATTTGACAACGACCATAGTAAAGACTGTTTCAAGAAAGAAAATCAGGCCAAGCGTGGTGGTTCACGCCCGTAATCCCAGCATTTTGGGAGGCCGAGGCAAGTGGATCATGAGGTCAGGAGATCAAGACCATCCTGGCTAACACGGTGAAACCCCCATCTCTACTAAAAATACAAAAAATTAGCCGCGCATGGTGCGGGCGCCTGTAGTCCCAGCTACTCGGGAGGCTGAGGCAGTAGAATGATGTGAACCTGGGAGGCGGAGCTTGCAGTGAGCCGAGATCGCACCACTGCACTCCAGCCTAGAGGACAGAGCAAGACTCCGTCTCAAAAAAAAAAAAAAAAAAAAAAAAAAGAAAGAATAATCAATGGATGCTAATATTAGTGTGAGAAAAATAATTTGATTGATTGGGCTGGGTGCATTGGCTCACGTCTGTAATCCCAGCACTCTGGGAGGCTAAGGTGGGCAGATCACTTGAGGTCAGGAGTTCGAGACCAGCCTGGCCAATGTGGTGAAACCCCATCTCTACTAAAAATACAAAAAATTAGCTGGGTGTGGTGTCAGTCACCTGTAATCCCAGCTACTCAGGAGGCTGAGGCAGGAGAATCGCTTGAACCCCGAAGTGGAGGTTGCAGTGACCCAAGATGGCACCACTGCACTCCAGCCTGGGAGACAGGCAAGACTCTGTCTCAAAAAAAAAAAAAAAAAAAAAAAAAGAAGGCTGGGCGCGGTGGCTGACGCATGTCATCTCAGCACTTTGGGAGGCTGAGGCGGGTCAGGAGATCAAGATCATCCTGGCTAACACAGTGAAACTCCATTTCTACTAAAAAATACAAAAATTAGCCAGGCGTGGTGGTGGGCACCTGTAATCCCAGCTACTCAGGAGGCTAACGCAGGAGAATCACTTGAACCCAGGAAGCAGAGGTGCAGTGAGCTGAGGTCGCGCCACTGCACTCCAGCCTGGGCAAGAGAGTGAGACTCCATCTAGGAAAAAAAAACAGAAAGAAAGGAATTCGGCTTTGAAGTATATCCCCACATGATATATACTAATTAAAAATGGAAAATAATAACTTTACAATGGGAAAACCAAGCACACACCACCTTAACCAAGTGATGAAAGTTAACATTACAGGGATCACGTGCCTTCTGATATGATGCAATGAGAAACACACATCACTCTTCCAGTATTTGTAACAAAAGTGCAAAACCTGAATCTAAGAGGAAATATTAGAAAAATAAAAATTGAAGAACATTCTACAAAATAAATGGTGCATACTCCTCAAAACTGTCAAGGTTATAAAAGACAAAGACTGAGAAACTGTTCCAGATTAAAGGAGACTAAAGAACAAGATAATTAAATAGATATTTAATCCAGGGTTGAATGCTGAATAGGGAAAAAAAAATTTTTTTCCTCCAACATAAAGGGCATTGTTGGGACAACAGATAAAACCAGAATAAGCACTTTAATATATTATGTAATATTACTGTATCCTGATTTTTTTTTTTTTTTGGGACAGAGTCTCTCTCCATTGCCCAGGCTGGAGTGCAGTGGCGCAATCTCAGCTCACTGCAACCTCTGCCTCCCGGGTTCAAGCGATTCTCCTGCCTCAGCTTCCCAAGTAGCTGGGATTACAGGCATGCGCCACGACACCTGGCAAATTTTTGTATTTTCAGTCGAGATGGGGGTTTCACCATGTTGGCCAGGCTGGTCTCGAACTCCTGACCTCAAGTGATCCACCAACCTTGGCCTCTCAAAGTGCTAGGATTACAGGCATGAGCCACAGCGCACAGCCTGTATCCTGATTTTGATTAACACTATTATACTGTGTTAATACAAGATAATAAACTCATTTTTAGAAAATATACACAAAAGCATGCAGAGGTAAAATGGCATCATGCCTGCATCACACTCTAAAATGATTTAGAAAACACTATGTGTATATACAGAGAAAGAGGAAGAGAACCATCAAGCAATTGTGGTAAAAGGTTAATTTGGGGGAATTTGGGTGAAGCTTTTTCCTATGTTCTACATTTTAAAATGCTCTCTGCTACATAGTTCATTTCTTCCTTAGAAACTGCCATTCTCAGCCAGGCACGGTGGTTCACACCAGTAGTCCTACCACTTTGAGAGGCTAAGGTGGGAGGATCACTTGAGCCCAGGAGTTCAATACCAGCCTGAGCAAAAATATAGGGAGACCTCATCTCTACAAAAAACTAAAATATTAGCCAGGTGTGGTGGCATATACCTGTCCCACCTATTCGGGAGGCTGAGGTGGGAAGATCACTTGAGTCTGGGAGGCGGAGGTTGCAGTGGGCCAAGATCACACCACTGCACTCAAGCCTGGGTGACAGGGTGATACCCTGTCTCAAAAACAAACAAACAAACAAAAAAAACCCCAAACTGCCATTGTCACTTTGAGCAGAAAATAGCACTAGCCAAATACAAAGTATCAAAGACTAACTCTTACTTATATAAAATTGTAGTTATCTTTTCCTCTCCCTTCCCAGCCTGAGCAACAACTACATTACTCCACTTGACTTTCTCAGTTAAGTACAGTTTTAATATTTACCTGGAAAGAATCCATGCAGACTGGACTGGAAGCCAGCTCCTCATCTACCGCATGTAACTTCTCCATGAAAGTACTATCTCTGGTCTGTTTCGGCTTTGGAGGGGGCGGGGGCCCCATGGGCACTACCTCAGCACTGATGTGCCTGATGGCTGGTGTGGTGACTTTCTCAGCCTGATTAAAAGAGGTGACTGCATCAAAAAAGGAAGGAGGTAAGAAAGAAAGAGAAAGCAAAAAAAGGAAAAAAAGAGAGGGAAAAAGAGGCAGACTTTCCATACACCATTGTCCTTTCTCTTCTCTAGTTAGAGTTACATAAAAACAAAGACACCAAGTGTATTGATCTAATTAGTTTTCATCCTATTTCTAGAGAAGTCAACAGAATGCTACTTAGTTTACCAAAATGTGGGAAATTAATAACAATGGCTTTAGGACAATATTAAAAAGCACAGATATGAAAGAAGAGAAGGGTAGGAGAAAAGAAACTCTGCTAGTTGCACATTTTTGGCCCCTTAATGAGAACTCAGAAAAGTTCTTTGGCTATCACTGAGTTCTAGCCTTCTCTGAACTGTTTACTAACTTAAGAAACTTTGAAAAAGGGTGACAGCCCAGAATCACCATGGATAAATAATCTACTTATACAGTTAAAAAATCTACTTAGACAGTTATGTCTAACATCTCTTTTGTATGATGCCGATTTACCTCTGATAATATGCCACTCTCCTCATCTGTTTCAGTCATCTCAGAAGACTGCCTCAATCTGGATTTCTTTGCCCCACGTGGAGATGAAGCAGTGCTTTCAACATCACTTTCCAATAAGCTCTACAAAATAAATCCAGTTCGCCTTAATATTTATGCCCCTACCTCATTCCACAAAGTCTGAAGTATCTCAAGAGAAGGAATCATAAAATATCAATCACTCAGCCTGGCCAACATGGTGAACACCCGTCTCTGCTAAAAATACAAAAATAAGCCAGGCGCGGTGGCGTGCACCTGTAATCCCAGCTACTCGGGAGGCTGAGGCAGGAGTATCACTTGAATCCAGGAGATGGAGGTTGCAGTGAGCCGAGATCACGCCACTGCACTCCAGCCTGGGTGGCAGAGCGAGACTCTGTCTCAAAAATAAATAAATAAATAAATAAAATCCATCACTCAACTAGTTACAGTAACAGAAAATAAAATTTAAATAGAAACTTAAAGGCCAGGTGCAGTCAGTGTCTTATGCCTGTAATCCCAGCACTTTGGAAGGCCGAGGCGGGTGGATCACTTGAGGTCAGAAGTCCGAGACCAGCCTGGCCAACATGGCGAAACCCCATCTCTACTAAAAATACAAAAATTAGCCAGGCATGGTAGCGCACGCCTGTTAATTCCAGCTACTCAGGAGGCTGAGGCAGGAGACTTGCCTGAACCCGGGAGATGGAGATGGCAGTGAGCCAACATCGCACACTGCACTCCATGGGCAACAGAGGAGACTCAAAAAAAAAATCCTAAAGGTGGGGACAGGGATCAGATCACTATCCTAATCTGCATTACAAAGTGTAAGGCCTTGGTCTAAAATCCTTTTACAAAACAATTCAAAGAACACATTAAGAAACAAGTCAAAGAACATATTAACACAGCAATGAAAGGGAACGAAGTATAGCTAAAACCAATAGTATAAATGAATCTCAAAAGCTTAATGTTGAATTTTAAAAAGCTAGGAACAAAACATATAAACATGGGTCCATTTATATAAAGTTCAAAACAGTAACAATTGAACTACAGTGTGTAGAGATACATATTGAGGTGATACAACTATAAAGAAAAGCAAAGAAATAATTACTAAAAGGCAGGGTAGTGGTTATTTTTAGGGGGAGGGAGGTGATTGTGACTGGGGAGGGTATACAGGGGTTGTCCTAGTAATGATATATTTCTTGACTTTGCTATGAGTTTCATGAGGATTTGCATTATAATAACCAAAGCTATACATTTTTATTCTATGCACGTTTCTATGCTGTATTTCATAATACAACAAATTCTAAAATTAAGGGAGTATAAAGGGCAGAAAAACAGCTTAAAGCACAGAAATGAGCTGAAAAAAGAACCATGTCTCAATCCTCTCTACAAGTGACATTACTAAGGAAGCAAAGTATACCCTGCTCTATTAAGACAAATATTACCAACTAACATTCACTGACCTCTTCAGCAGTTTCATCTTCTTCTTCATCATCCGGCTGGTATTCTTCATCTGAGGAATCATCTTCTTCAAGGTGGATATCCACAAACTGAGGAGGCTACATTAGTACAATTAGAAAGAAATGAAGTAATGGGAAACACAAATCATACGTATTTGGAAAATAAGGGGAAGAAGCAGGGCAGAAAAAAAAAAAATCCTAAGAGCATAATGTACAGCTAAAGCAAATAACACGAGGCAGAGGTTAAAGTGAATTCCATGAGATACAAACCTAAGAGTAATAGAATGGAAAAAAACAAAGCTGGAATTAAAACAAAGATTGATCAAGAAAAGTTAAAGAGGAAGTACTTAAGTTTCAAAACCGATGAAGTCTTTCTGGAAAAGAATAACAATTATTTCTTCCAAGTTTACCTTAATTTCATTGGCCTTCTTAATTGGTGAAATATTCCATGTTGGAATTACCTACCAACAAAGAATATAAATAATTAAGTTATCTTAACTGAAATAATTGTTTTTCATGTTTACTTCCTCTGTACCATCACTAACAGCCATATACTTAACAAGTAACTGCAGTGATCTAGAGGTGTTGATTATCCCTGAGGGTATACTCTCAATTATTTGTCAGAGTTAGAAAGAAGAAACCAGGAAAGAATCTATTACTGTCATTAGCATTTCTGCCTTACACCTGGTAAGCCTCACTTCTTTCTATAAATGAAGAAAACAATGTCTACCTTGTTCATATCACAGCTGCGGTTTACATGGAACAACAGATGTGACAACTATTTATAAACTATTAAACTACACAAACCTAAGATATTTTGGTTACAGTAGTCTTTTAACAGCAATATATTTTTGTAATCAGTTACATGAATCCACCATAAGTACAACTCCAAAAAGCCAGCCATGAAAAGCTTTTATGGACTATTCTGCCTATGGGGTAGCCCTGCTCTGCCTATGGGCTTTTTTTTTTCTTAAAAAAAAAAAAAAAAAAAAAAGCTTTTACCAGGGCATTTAGGGCAAAGTTTCATGTTGTCCACACTTATTTTTCCAATAGTACAGGAAAAAACAACACAGAGAGATATAAAGCAAATATGGCAAAATATTACTCTTGGAATTTAGATTCATTGTAACAATCTTTCAACTTTTTGAATGTTTGAAAATTTTTATAAGAGCTAGGGGGAAAGTTTTTCTTGTTTTTGTTTTTGTTTTGAGACAGGATCTTGCCCTGTTGCCTAGGCTAGAGCAGCAGCACAATCAGAGCTCACTGCAGCCTCAAATTCCTGAGCTCAAGCGATCCTCCTGCCTCAGCCTACTAATTAGCTAGGACTACAGGCATGCCTCCTCACCAGGCCTCACTAATTTTTTAAATTTTTTGTAGAGATGGAGTCTCATTAGGTTTCCCAGGCTGGTCTCAAAATCCTGGGCTCAAACAATCCTCCCACCTTAGCCTCTCAAAGCACTGGGATTATAGGTGTGAGCCACCACATCTAGCCTAAAGAACTTTTTTAAAGTTCTTATATACTGCTGATAAAATGCCATTGAGGATGTATAATTTCTTGACCATTTAATTGTAACCCAACCAAAAGCACCTTATGAACAAAAGCCAACTGGCCATTAGGTTCTGTCTCTAAAAGGAGTCTTAGCTTCTCAAATCAAATCAGCCCTGCTATGTTCTGACCATTTATCTAGTGCTGTGTAGGTGGGACCAATATAGGGTAAAGGGAATGATGTGATTCAGGCCCATTTCCCTTTCCTACCTACTGCCAAATCCATTAGAAAGGCAAGCCAGCATTCAGAAGTGTGTTGGAGTCAGTCTAGTAAGAATTAAGAAGGCCAAGTATAGCGGCTCATGCCTGTAATCCCCCCATGTTGGGAGATCAAGGCAGAAGGATCACTTGAGCCCAGGAGTTTGAGTTCAGCCTGGGCAACACATTAAGACCCTATTTCTACAAAAGAATGTTTCAAAAAAACCAATTAGCTGGACATGGTGGCACATGCCTATAGGCCTAGCTGTCTGCGAGGCTAAGGCAGGAAGATCCCTTGAGCACAGGAAGGAGTTCAAGGCTGCAGTGAGCTATGATTAGGCCACTGTACTCTAGCCTGAGCAACAGAGCAAGTCACTGAAAAAAAAAAAAAAAAAAAGAAAGAATTAAGAAGCAAGAGACCTACATTTTAATACTTGCTCTCCTACGTAAACTATACCGTCTTGGATGGCCCAACTTCTCCACATCTATATTCATGGCCAATAAACATAATTCAGAGCCTAATTTGATCTCCTTGGATTTTTTTTCCCCAAATCAAATAAAGAATTAATGTTAATTATATTCTTTTTTTTTTTTAAGACAGAGTCTTGCTCTATCACCCAGGCTGGAGTGCAGTGGCATGGTCTCCGCTCACTGCAACCTCTCCCTCCTGAGTTCAAGCGATCCTCTCGTCTCTGTAGCTGGGATTACAGGCGCCCACCACACGCCCAGCTAACTGTTGTATTTTTAGTAGAGACGGGGTTTCGCCATGTTGGCCAGGCTGGTCTCAAACTCCTGACCTCAGGTGATCCAGCTGCCTCGGCCTCCCAAAGTGCTGGGATTACAGGCATGAGCCACCGTGCCCAGCCATGTTAATTATATTCTATATGTCAAGTAGACTTCATAGAACTTCCTCACTGATGGCTGCTTTCATCATAGCTACCACCTATTCATTTGTGAACACATCCTAGAGAAAGATGAAATTTCAATTTATGCAACAAGAGTTAGTCAACCAGACCAAAAAAAGTGATGTGATTGCCAAAAACAAAGGTCAATTTGACCTTAGGCTACATTAGGAGAAATATGTAATCTGGAACACTGTGGAGATAATCTAACTACTAGTCAAACCATATCTGGTTCAGTAGAGTCTTCTTTTGGCATACTTTTAAAAGGATATGGGACGGGCACAGTGGCTCACGCCTGTAATCCTAGCACATTGGGAGGACAAGGCGGGCGATCACATGGGTCAATTGGAAACCAGCCTGGCCAACATGGTGAAACCCCATCTCTACTAAAACTACAAAAATTAGATGCGTGTGGTGGTGCATGCCTATAATCCCAGCTACTCAGCAGGCTGAGGCATGAGAATCGCTTGAACCTGGGAGCCAGAGGTTGCAGTGAGCTGAGATCGCACCACTGCACTCCAGCCTAGGTGACAGAGTGAGACTCCATCTCAAAACAAAAAGGCCAGGCACAGTGGCTCATGCCTGTAATCCCAGTACTTTGGGAGGCCAAGGCGGGCAGATGATTTGAGGTCAGGAGTTTGAAACCAGGCTGGCCAAACATGGTGCAACCCCATCTCTAATAAAAATTTTAAAAAATACAAAAAAATTAGCCGGGCATGGTGGCACGCACCTGTAATCCCAGCTACTCAGGAGGCTGAGGCAGGAGAATCACTTGAGCTTGGGAGGCAGAGGTTGCAGTGAGCCAGAATTGTGCCACTGCACTCCAGCCTGGACGATGAAGCAAGACTCCCAAAATAAAAAGGGGGGGAGAAATTGGGGGATGTATAGCCAAGAAAAGAATGTTATGAAATAACATACTAGTTTTCTTCAACTGTAGGAAAAGTAATGTGGAAGAATACACCAATTCCTTTTCTTGCTTTTTTTTCTAGACAAGGTCTCGGTCTCATTACGTTGCCCAGGCTGGTCTTGAACTCCTGGCTTCAAGCAATCTTCCTACCTCCACCTCCCAAAGTGCTGGGATTACAGGCATGAGCCACCAAGCCCAGCCTAGACCTGTTTCTTCTATCAGTCTCCAAGGAATAAAACCAGGACAGATAAAACCTATGATACATATTTTCGGTCTGTAAGGCAAATCTTCCTTACTATCAGAAATATAATGAACTCCCTCATGACTATTACCTGCCTTGTAAGCACAAACTAGTCAAGTGCTTATTAAGAAGGATATAGCACAGCTCCAAGCACCAAAGAGCTTGCTGCACAGAATACTTCAGATGTCTTCAAGTGGTTCTCAACACTTTAGTATTCAAAAGAATTAACTGTTGTGTTTTTGCCAATGCATATTCCAAGGCCCTGCCCATGGGTCCTGATTCTCAGGTCTGGGGTGGGCTCAAAAGTATGGAGATTTTTTTGTTTGTTTTTGTTTTTTTGAGACAGTTTCACTCCGTTGCCCAGGCTGTAGTGCAGTGGTGCAATCTCCACTCACTGCAACCTCCGCCCCCGGGTTCAAGTGATTCTTGTGCCTCAGCCTCCCAAGCAGCTGGGATTATAGGCGCACACCACCACACCCAGCTAATTTTTGTATTTTTAGTAGAGACAGAGTTTCACTATGTTGGCCAGGCTGGTCTCGAACTCCTGACTTCAAGTGATCCATCTGCCTCGGCCTCCCAAAGTGCTGGGATTACAGGCATGAGCCACTACACCCAGCCAAAAGTATGCATTTTTAATAAGCATGCCTGAGGGATCCCACACCAAAGTGATTTTTATGCAACTGGCCCCTGGAACACACTATGAAAAATACTAAACACTTTGCAACATGTGTTGTAACATAAATAGAAAAACTGGTCTCACCTATTGATTTCAACTATTCCAAATGGTTATCTATCTAGCAATTCCAAAAAGCAATGCTTCATATCTACTAAAATAAACTATGATTATCATAGCTTATGATCATGTAGAAACAATTCTACTGTCTTTTATAAATATTTCTTTAAAGAGGCAAATTCAGACCACAATCTTTCCTATATTTTTCCCTATGGGTGAATTAGATCCTATTCACCAAGCTAAAAAAAAACCAACAACAAAAAAACAGAATACTTACCACTCCTTTTTCCACTACTTCCTTCAGTTTAGAGCGTGTCATTTTAGGCTCCTAAGGAGAAAAAAACAGAAAGGAAATCCTCAATAAAAATCACAGCTCAGTGAGGTGGCTCATGCCTATAATCCTAGCACTTTAGGGGCCAAGGTGGGAGGATGGCTTGAGGCAAGGAGTTTGAGACCAGCCTGAGCAACAGAGTGAGACACCCTCCCTACAAAAAAATTGTTTTAAATTAGCTGGGCATAGTCGCATGTTCCTGTAGTCCCAGCTACTCAAGAGGCTGAACTGGGAGGATCGCTGAGTCCAGCTTAGGAGTTTGAGTCCAGCCTTGGTGACAGAGCAAGACCCTGTCTCTAAAAAAATAATAATAATAAAATAACAAGGCCGGGCGCGGTGGCTCACGCCTGTAATCCCAGCACTTTGGGAGGCCGAGGCGGGCGGATCACAAGGTCAGGAGATCGAGACCGTCCTGGCTAACGTGGTGAAACCCCGTCTCTATTAAAAATACAAAAAATTAGCCGGGCGTGGTTGCAGGCCCCTGTAGTCCCAGCTACTCAGGAGGCTGAGGCAGGACAATGGCCTGAACCCGGGAGGCGGAGCTTGCAATGAGCCAAGATCGCGCCACTGCGCTCCAGCCTGGGTGACAGAGTAAGACTCCGTCTCAAAAAAAAATAATAATAATAAAATAATAATAATAATAAAATAACAAATAAAATAAGTAAAAATTACCAAGTAATTCTTATGTTTTGAAATGCTAACTTTAACCCCAGCTGCCAAACTGTTTACAAACTCCTAAGTGACCTCCTACCCTTAGCCAGTTTAGAGATAACTCTGTTCCAAGACATTAAAAGAGTGATAATCAACTACTCACAAACATTGGCATATCTTCCGTCTCACTGATGGCTGCTTTCATCATAGCTACCACGTGTTCATTTGTGATTACTTCCTGGAGAAAGATGAAATTTCACTTTATGCAACAAGGGTTTGTCACCTAGACAATACTCATCTCTCCATGTAACTGTCAGACCTATGTACAGGACAAATGAGAACCATATACTCGAATAGCATCAGACTGGGGTAAAGCAAGGCAACTGAAAGCAAAGAAGGCAGAAGTAAGTTTTGGCCAGAACCACACAGTTTCAAACAATGTAGCAGCAAATGAACCAATCTCATTAGCTGCTACTAGGAACAGGAATGGCTCACATAAAAGGAGATCCTGAGGTAAGTAACTATATGCTTAAGAGAAAGAGTAACAAGAGCAAAGGCTCTGCAAATAGCTGTGTTGCTACATATCAAGAAAAGTATTTACATATGTACAAAGTGCAATAAACTATTAACCAGGCATCTTTTTAGACATATCGACCCACAAGAGTAAACCCACTATGAACATTATCAACATTGAATCTACTAAACAATACAGTAAATATGAAAATCAGTGGAAGGAAACAGGAACAGTTTATCTTTCCAATTAAATTCTTCTTTAACATGTGTTCATATTTCAAACTTGTACTGAGTGCAAGGAGAAAGCTATCTTAAATATGTAAAAATGTAAAATGTTCTGTCACGGGTAACCCACAAAATCGGTAATTCACGTATCAAGAGTCAAGAATTTGCTGAACATTTTTATATGCTTTCCATGAAAAAGTTCCCTTCCATTTACATAACTGCCCCAGTCTTACTCACATGAAGGATGTTTCGGACATTGACTGCTGTTAGATTGTGCTGCTTGGCACCATCCTCCAAGGTACGGTCAAGCATGTCATCCAGTTTCAGGTCATATGCCAAGGTCCCTTCTTGACCCCTTCCATCTCGTTTCCTCTTGGTACCCTTTTTCTTTTTTCTCCTTTTCTCACTTTCTTCATTGTCTTGTTCTTCTGCAAATAAACCAAGAACATCATCAGAATTCCAAAATAGCTGCTCCAGGAACTTAGCCCAGAAAGCCAACAGTAAAGTGGATAAATCTCAAAAGCATTATGCTGTGAAAGAAACCAGATGTAAAAGGACACATATTATATGACGGTATAACAAGTATAGAACATTTGCATAGAAGATGCAAAACTATGGAAATAGAAATCAGTGCTTGCCAATGTTTGAGAAAGGGGGATAGCAAAGGGGAATTAGGCAACTTTTGGGGTGACAGAAATGTTCCACGTTGGTTGTGGTAGCAGTTAACACAACTGTATATATTTTTCTTTCTTTTGTTTTTTTGAGACGGAGTTTTCGCTCTTTGTTGCCCAGGCTGGAGTGCAATGGTGCAATCTCGGCTCAGCGCAACCTCCGCCTCCTGGGTTCAAGTGATTCTCCTGCCTCAGCCTCCCGAGTAGCTGGGATTACAGGCATGTGCCACCATGCCCGGCTAATTTTGTATTTTTAGTAGAGATAGGGTTTCTCCATGTTGGTCAGGCTGGTATTGAACTCCCGACCTCAGGTGATCCACCTGCCTCAGCCTCCCAAAGTGCTGGGATTACAGGCATGTGCCACCACGCCCGGCTAATTTTGTATTTTTAGTAGAGATGGGGTTTCTCCATGTTGCTCACGATGGTCTTGAACTCCTGACCTCAGGTGATCCACTCGCCTCAGCCTCCCAAAGCTCTGGGATTACAGGTGTGAGCCACCGTACCTGGCCCAACTGTACATATTTTTCAAAACTCATCAGATACATTTTATTTTATATCTCAATAAACCTAATGAAACTTACCACATTAACAAAATGAAAGAGAAAAAAACATGATCTTAATAGAGATAGGAAAAAGCATTTGATGAAATTCAATATATGAAAAAACTCAGAAAACTTAGGAAAATTATTTCCTTAACCTAAAAAATATTTCTATGAAAAGCCTATAACTATCCTCATATATAATGAAGGAATACTGAACATTTTCCTGTTTTGTCCAGAAATAAGACACAGATGTCGACTACCACTACTACTTACAACCTACATAGCAATGAAGGTCTAGAATATGCAATAAGAAAAATTACGTGTCCATTTTAAAAGCATTTGCCAAAGTGAGGCTGGACGCAGTGGCTCACACCTATAATTCCAGCCCCTTGGGAGCCCAAGGCAGGTGGATCACCTGAGGTCACGAGTTCAAGACCAGCCTGGCCAACATGGTGAAACCTCGTCTCTACTGAAAATACAAATTAGCCGGGCATGGTGGTGTGTCCCTGTAATCCCAATTACTCATGAGGCTGAGACAGGAGAATCACTTGAACCCAGGAGACGGAGGTTGCAGTGAGCCGAGATCACACCACTGCACTCAAGCCTGGGCGACGGAGCAAGATTCACACACACACACAAAAAAACCATTTGCTAAATCAAATAAAGAAGTCTTTAGTCATGTGTCTGTGTTATGTTTCACAATAAAAAATTTAGTATTTCAAAAGAATTTTAAGGATGCCCAAACTTATAAGCTAGCATTTCCACCCAACGAAAAAGAAGTACACATGTTCAGCAAAAAATCTATAGAATGTTCACAGCAGCACCACTCACAGTAGCCCACAACTGAAAAGTATCCAAATGCTCATCAAGAATTGAATGGGGCCAGGTGCAGTGGTTTGCACCTGTGACCCAGCACTTTGGGAAGCCAAGGCGGGCAGATCATTTGAGGTCAGGAGTTCAAGACCAGCCTGACCAACATGGTGAAACCCTGTCTCTACTAAAAAAAAAAAAATAATACAAAAATTAGCCGGCCATGGTGGCACGTGCCTGTAGTCCCAGCTACTTGGGAAGCTGAGGCAGGAGAATTGCTTGAACCCAGGAGGAAGCGGTTGCAGTGAGCCGAGATTGCACCATTGCACTCCAGCCTGGGTGACGAGAGCAAAACTCCACATCAAAAAAAAAAAAAAAAAAAAAAAAAAAAGGCTAGGCACGGTGGCTCATGCCTGTAATCCCAGCACTTTGGGAGGCTGAGGCAGGCGGATCATGAGGTCAGGACTTCGAGACCAGCCAGACCAACATGATGAAACCCCATCTCTACTAAAAATACAAAAATTAGCAGAGGAGTGGTGGAGCGCACCTGTAATCCCAGCTACTCAGGAGGCTGAGGCAGGAGAATCACCTGAACCTGGGAGGCGGAGGTTGCAGTGAGCCAAGATCACACCATTGCACTCCAGCCTGGGCGACAGAGTGAGACTCTGGTTCAAAACAAAGACTCTGTCGCAAAAAAAAAAAAAAAAAAGAAGAAGAAGAATTGAATGGGTAACAATGGGCACAAGGAAGCAAAAAGAAAAAACAAAGAGTTGAATGGATAAAGAAAACGTAAAGCAAACCAGGTGAGGAGGCTCATGCCTGTAATCCCAGCACTTTGAGAGATCAAGGAGGGACTGCTCGAGCCCAGAAATACAAAACCAGCCTGGGCAACATAGTGAAAACCGTCTCTAAAAAAATAATAATAATAAAATAAAAATGAAAATTAGCCAGGCATTGTGGCGTGCACCTAGAGTCCGAGTTGCTGGGGAGGCTGAAGTGGGAAGATCACTTGAACCTAGGAGTTCAAATTGCAGTGAGCTATGATCATGGCACTGAACTTCCAGCCTGGGTGACAGAGCAGTACCTATCTCTAAAAAAAAAATTAAAGAAAAGAAAACATACATAAACTATTCAAACAACAGAATGATATACAGCAATAAAAATGAACAATCTACAAGTACATCCAAGAATATGGATGAATTTCATAAAACAATGTTGAGGCCGGGCACGGTGGCTCACGCCTGTAATCCTAGCACCTTGGGAGGCCGAGGCGGGCAGATCACCTGAGGTCAGGAGATCGAGACCAGCCTGGCCAACATGGTGAAAGCCCGTCTCTACTAAAAATAAAAAAACTAGCCCTGCATGGTGGCCGTGCCAGTAATCCCAGCTACCCAGGAGGCTGAGGCAGGAGAATCGCTGGAACCCGGAAGGCAGACACTGCAGTGAGCCGAGATTGCGCTACTGCACTCCAGTCTGGGTGACAGAGCAAGACTCTGTCTCAAAACAAAAAAAAAAAAAATTGAGAGAATAAACGCAGTCACAATGCCAGGCACGGTGGCTCACACCTGTCATCCCAACACTTTGGGAGGCTGAGGCAAGAGGATCAATTGAGCACAGCAGTTTGAGACCAGCCTGGGCAATATAGTGGGGCTCCGTCTCTACAAAAAAAATTTTTTAATTAGCTGGCTGGGCCGGGTGCGGTGGCTCATGCCTGTAATCCCAGCACTTTGGAAAGCCAAGGCAGGCAGATCACCTGAGGTCAGGAGTTCAAGACCAGCCTGGCCAACACGGTGAAACCCCGTCTCTACAAAAAATACAAAAATTAGCTGGGCATGATGGCAGGTGCCTGTAATCCCAGCTACTAGGGATGCTGAGGCGGGAGAATCGCTTGAACCTGGGAGGCGGAGGTTGCAGTGACCTGAGATCAAGCCATTGCATTCCAGCAGCCTGGGCAACAAAGCAAGACTGTGTCTCAAAAAAAAAGAAAAAAAATTAGCTGGCTGTGACGGCACGCGCTTATAGTCCCAGCTACTTAGGGCTGAGACAAAAAGATCACTTTAACCCAGGAGGTCAAGGCCACAGTAAGCCGTGATGGCACCACTACACTCCAGTCTGAGTGACAGAGTGAGACCCTGTCTTTAAAAAAAAAAAGGCAGTTATAAAATGTACACACGATTCCATTCAAATAAAAGACAAAAAGACAGAACAACTGGCTAGGCGCAGTGGCTCACACCTGTAATCCCAGCACTTTGTGAAGCCAAGGTGGGTGGATCATCTGAAGTCAGGAGTTCGAGACCAGCCTGGCCAACATAGCAAAACCCTGTCTCTACTAAAAATACAAAAATTAAGCCGGGTGTGGTGGCAGGCACCTGTAATCCCAGCTACTCCGGAGGCTGAGGCAGAAGAATCACTTGAACCCAGGAGGCAGCGGTTGCCGTGAGCCGAGATCACGCCCCTGTACTTCAGCCTGGGCGACAAGAACAAAACTCCGTCTCAAAAAAAAAAAAAAAAAAATTGAACCAATATATGATGCTAGACATCAGGATAGTGGTTAACCTATGGGTAGAGGGTAATTGAAAGGGAAGACAAGATGGACTTCTGGGTATTGATAACATTCTCTATCTTGATCTGGGTCCTGCTTACAAGGGTGTATTAAATTTGTAAAAATATAGTGAATTCAGGATATCTTAGGACATGTGCAGTTTTCTACATATTATACTTCAATAAAGAGGTTTCATTTAATTAAAAAGAAAAAGAAAGCCTACCCATTGGAATGAAGAGTCCACCATCTTCTATCTCTTCCTCAGGTTGGTGAAACAGAGTCCTGAGTGGCTTTTCTTGAGGAGAGGCACAAACATCTGGCTGGGTTGATTTCCTGGGCTGGCTTACTGGTTTTGCAGATTGGCTGCCTGATGGCAGGGAAGGTATCTCCCCTTCAGAATTCATTTGAGGTTTCCCTGGAAGAATCACAAATATTGCTCCACACTTTGACCATTCTCAGTCATACTCTGTTGTAGAATTTAGCATCTTATTATAGTGTTTTTAGGTAGACAACTTCATGAATTAAGCATATACTATATAGGAATTTTCCTCTCTTAAATCAAAGCTCAGATCCAATTTACTCATCTGTAAACTCAGGGAGTTAAACTAGGTAATTGCTGAGGTCTTTTTATTTCTAATATGCTTTCAGTTTTGCATTTTTTCCTATGAAAAATCAGACTTGTAAAGGAAATTCCTGATGACATTTTATATAGATGACCATTAACACCATATTTCATCAACTATAAATATAATCATAAAATGCCCTGACTTTGTAAATCAATTTGGCAGAGCAGAAGAGTAACTGTCACCATAAAATTGTAAATATATGGTTCTACAGTTCATTAGACAACTTTCTCACCTCAACACTTCATAAACACTCCCTTTGTGAGGGGAGTAGGTGAGGCTAGCATTAAAAAGACAGAGAAAAAAGGGGTGATGGTGCATGCTTGTAGTCCTAGTTACTTGGGGGGGCTGAGCTGGGAGGATGGCTTGAGGCCAGGATTTTGAGGTTACAGGGAGATACGATTCCACCACTGCACTCCAGACTGGACAACGCAGCAAGACCCCGTCACACACACACACACACAAAAAAAAAAGCCAGGTGCTTATAGTCATGAGGTGGCTCATGACTATCATCCCAGCACTTTGGGAGGCTGAGGCAGGAGGATCACTTGAACCCAGGAGTTTGAGACCAGTCTGAGCAACATATCGAGGCTTTGTCTCTACTAAAAATAAAAATAAAAAATTAGGCTAGGCCAGGTGGCTCACACCTGTAATCCCATTACTTTGGGAGGCCAGGGCAGGAAGATCGCTTTAGCCAGGATCCAGGAGTTCGGGACCAGCCTGAGCAACATTTGGAGATACCTTGTCTCTACAAAAATATAGAGCTCTAAAATTAGCTGGGTGTGTTGGTACACACCTGTGGTCCCAGCTACTTAGGAGGGTGTGGTGGGAGAATCACTTGGACCCTGGAGTTCAAGGCTGCAGTGAGCTGTGATCATGCCATTGCACTCCAGCCTGGGTGTCAGAGCAAGACACTGTCACACACACACACACACACACGCAAAGAAATATTCATGTAGTATTAAAAGTAGGCTGGGCGCAGTGGCTCACATCTGTAATCTCAGCACTATGGAAGGCTGAGGCAGGCAGATCACTTGAGGTCAGGAGTTGGAGACCAGCCTGGCCAACATGATGAAACCTCGGCTGTAAAAAAAGAATACAAAAATAAGCCAGGCATGGTGGCAGGCACCTGTAATCCCAGTTACTTGGGAGGCTGAGGCAGGAGAATCGCTTGAACCTGGCAGGCAGAGGTTGCAGTGAGCCAAGATAGTAGTGCCACTTCACTCCAGCCAGGGCAACAGAGCGAAACTCCATCTCAAACAAAACAAACAAACAAACCAAAAAAGAATGCTGGGCACAGTGGCTCACGCCTGTAATCTCAGCACTTTGGGAGGCTGAGATGGGTGGATCACTTGAGGTCAGGAGTTTGAGACCAGCTTGGCCAACACGGCAAAACCCCGTCTCTACTAAAAATACAAAAAATTAGCCAGGCATGGTGGCGGGCACCTGTAATCTCAGCTACTTAGGATGCTGAGGTAGGAGAACTGCTTGAACCCAGGAGGCGGAGGTTGCAGTGTGCCGAGATCGCGCCACTGAACTCCAGCCTGGGCGACAGAGAGAGACTCTGTCTCAAAAAAAAAAAAAAAAAAAAATGGTAAACATCAGAAATCAGGCTATCAAGGAAATAGCTTGCATATATACAGAAAATCCCTGGACTATACACAAAAAATTGTTTAACAGTTACCTGGGAAGAGGACTTGGGGAGCAAGAGTACAAAGTGAAAGGATGCCTAAATTTTCACTGTGTACTTTTTATATTTCTGAATTTTTTCCCTAGTTTGTGTATTACTTAGTTGAACATTTTCTTTCAAAACACATGGCCAGTCTTTATACTTGGGTCTCACTCTGTCGCCTAGCCTGGAGTGCAGTAGCATTGTTATAGCTTACTTCCATCACACCATCCAGCTAAATCTTCTGCTTTAATGGTGTTTATTCTAATAGAATTTTACTTGTTCTTCTGAATTTGACTTACATACCCTAATTTCCACTTATGCTTCTCCTTTCTTTGCCTCCTAAAAGTGAGTAGCATGATTTTAGCTTATAATTAGTTGATTTGTACTGTTCTCAGCTAATTTTGATGTTATGATCAGCCAGGCATGGTGGTTCACACCTGTAGTCCTAGCACTTTGGGAGGCCAAGGTGGGCGGACTGCCTGAGCTCAGGAGTTTGAGACCATGCTGGGTAACATGGTAAAACCTCGTCTCTACTAAAATACAAAAAATTAGCCAGCCGTGGTGGCAGGTGCCTGTAATCCCAGCTATTCAACAGGCACGAGAATCACCTGAACCGGGGAGGCAGAGGTTGCAGTGAGCCAAGGTTGCAGTGAGCCAAGGTTGCACCACTGCATTCCAGCCTGGGCGACAGAGCGAGGCACTGTCTCCAAAAAATAAACAATATAAATTAAAAAATAATAATTTTGATGTTATCAACATACAGTTCTCAGGCTGGCAGTACATAAGTTACAGATATGCTCTGAATAAGGTTTGCTTTCTCTATTTCTCTTATTCTGCTCAGCTTCTCTTTCTGAGGTCTTTTAGCATCCAGCATATCTATAAAGGAAGGTGGGGTCCTAAAGGGCTCTAGGAAGGGGAAATAAATTGAAAAGCATTGTGGAGTCAGAGGGGAAAAAAAGGTTGTAGAAAAAAGGAACATTTCCTCTAGAGTATGAAAAATGATTTTGTGGTGCAGCTGATAATGTGCTTGCAGGGACAGTTTTTTTGTTTTTTTTTTTTCCAGACAGAGTCTCGCTCTGTGGGCCAGGCTGGAGTACGGTGGCATGATCTCAGCTCACTGCAACCTCCGTATCCTAGGCTCAAGCAATTCTCCTGCCTCAGCCTTCCGAGTAGCTGGGATTACAGGCGTGTGTCACCACGCCCAGCTAATTTTTTATTTTTAGTAGAGATGGGGTTTTACCATGTTGGCCAGGCTGGTCTCTAACTCCTGACCTCAGGTAATCTGTCCCTCTAGGCCTCCCAAAGTGCTGGAATTACAGGCATGAGCCACGCACCCAGCCCTGCAGGGACAGTTTTAAAAAGCAGTTCCAATTTTTTTTTTTTCTTGAGACGGAGTTCCATTCTTGTTGCCTAAGCTGGAGTGCAATGGCACGATCTCAGCTCACCGCAACCTCCGCCTCCCGGGTTCAAGAGATTCTCCTGGCTCAGCCTCCCGAGTGGCTGGGATTATAGGCATGCACCACCACGCCCAGCTAATTTTGTATTTTTAGTAGAGATGGGGTTTCTCCATGTTGGTCAGGCTGGTCTCGAACTCCTGACCTCAGGTGATCCGCCCACCTCTGCCTCCCAAAGTGCTGGGATTACAGGCACGAGCCACCGCACTTGGCCAAGTAGTTCCAATTTTTTTGTTGTTGCTGAGACAGGGTCTCGCTCTGTCCCCTAGGCTGAAGTGCAGTGGTACGATCTCAGCTCACTGCGGCCTCAACCTCCTGGGCTCAAGTGATCCTTCCACCTCAGCATCCCAAGTAGCTGAGACTACAGGTTCCTGCCACCATGCCCAGCTAATTTTATTTTATTTTTGTAGAGATGGGGTCTCACTATGTTGCCAAGTCTGGTCTTGAACTCCTGGCCTTAAGCAATCCTCTCACCTCAGCCTCCCAATGTACAGGGATAGGTGTGAACCACCATGCCTGACCCCAAATATTTTTTAAGTAGTAAAAATGTCAGTGGAAGAGGCTCTGCCTACCAAAGTGAATCTCTGTGTTTTGAAGGGCAATACTTGCTTAGATTTAAAAGTTCTGGTATGCTTGTTTAAAAAGTAATTTGTGGGCTGGGCATGGTGGCTCATGGCTGTAATCCCAGCACTTTGGGAGGCTGAGGTGGACAGGTCACTTGAGCTCAGGAGTTTGATACCAGCCTGGTTAATGTGGTGAAACGCTATCTCGACAAAAAATACAAAAATTAGCCAGGCATGGTGGTGCACACCTGTAGTCCCAGCTACTTGGGAGGCTAAGGTGGGAGAATCACTTGAGCCTAGGAGGTCAAGGCAGCAGTGAGCCGTAATTGCACTGCTGTACTCCAGCCTAGGTAACACGGTGGGACCCTGTCTAAAAAAAAGTTATGTGTGGCTTCATGCCTGTAATTCCAGCGTTTTGGGAGGCCAAGGCAGAAAGATTACTTGAAGCCAAGAGTTAGAGGTTGTAGTGAGCCATTATTGTGCTACTGCACTCTAGCGTGGGCTACAGAGTAAGACTCTGTCTCGTTAAAAATAAATAAATAAATAAATAAATAAATAAATAAATAAATAAATAAAAAGTTATTTCTAGTTGAGCCCAGTGGCTCATACCTGTAAGCCCAGCACTTTAGAAGGCTGAAGCAGCAGGATCATTTAAGGCCAGGAATTGTAGGTTGCAGTGAATTATGAGACCTCACCTGTTAAACAAACAAACAAACAAAAAACATTTCTATGCTGGGCAACTTATAGAGACCTTGTGTCTGCAAAAAGTCAAAAAAAAAAAAAGCTGGGTGTGGTGGTGCAGGTCTGTAGTCGCAGCTTTTTTTAGCTGGATGATGTGGCTCCTGCCTATAGTGCCAGTTACTTGGTAGGATCAGTTCAGCCCAGGAGTTAGAAGCTGCAGTGAGCTATGATCGTACCACTGGACTATAGCCTGGATGACAGGGTGAGACCTCATCTCTTTAAAAAAAATAAATAAAGAAAAGGTTTAAACACTAATACCTGCAGTCAAGAAACATGATTTAGGCTGGACAATGCAAACCCAGGAGGCGGAGCTTGCAGTGAGCCGAAATCACACCACTGCACTCCAGCCTGTAATCCCAACACTTTGGAAGGCCGAGGTGGGTGGATCACTTGAGATCAGGAGTTCAAGACCAGCCTGGCCAACATGGCGAAACCCTATCTCTACTAAAAATACAAAACTTAGCCAGGCGCAGTGGCACATGCCTGTAATCCCAGCTACTCGGGAGGCTGAGGCAAGAGAATCACCTGAGCCCGGGAGGTGGAGGTTGCAGTGAGCTAAGATCACGCCACTACACTCCACTCCAACCTGGGCAACAAAGCAAGACTCCGTCTCAAAAAAAAAAAAAAAAAAAAAAAGAAAGAAAAAAAAAGAAAAAAGAAACATGATTTAACAATGTATTGCCCGGCAAGGTGCGCCTAGCGCAGTGGCTCACACCGTAATCCCAGCACTTTGGGAGGCCGAGGCAGGTGGATCACAAGGTCAGGAGTTCAAGACCAGCCTGACCAACATGGGGAAACCCCACCTCTACTGAAAATACAAAAATTAGCCAGGTGTGGTGGCAGGCGCCTGTAATCCCAGCTACTCGGGAGGCTGAGGCAGGAGAATTGCTTGAACCTAGGAAGTGGAGGTTGTGGTGAGCCAAGATCATGCCACTGCACTCCAGCCTGGGTGACAGAGCGAGACTCTGTCTCAAAAACAAACAAACAAACAAACAATAACAACAACAAAAAGGTATCAATTGTAACAAAATGTCAATACTTGAAAATAATCCAACTATCTTTCTATGTATTTTCATTTTTTCTACAGTGTATATGATGCTGCTGCTTTCATAATCAGAAAACTAAAATGTTACTTAAAAGAAAGTAAAACAACAAAAACACATACTAAACAGCAGGGCTACGGGTGATTTTTATTTTCTCCTTTAAAGTTTTCAATATTTTCCAAAGTAGATATATGTGAATTGTCAATCTTTCTTTCTTCCTCTCTGTTTTGTGTTACATTATCTGATTGGCAAAAAAAAAAAAAAAAAAAGTTACTTGAAGAAAAATTCTGGAGAGACACTCATAGTGTACTTTTATTGCTATTACTTGTATATACAACTAATTAAAGTGCAAAGTAGTATAATCAATTTTCAGTTCTCCAGATTAATGAAGGGGAGTGATATCACAGATAATACTAAACAATAAATGTTTATTTAAATCCGGATATCTGTGAACTGATTTTTAAAATCTCTTAATTACACTTATCAATAACTGAGTGACTATGAACCCATAGTTATTTATCCATTCCTTCTCTAGCATTTTAATCTTATAATTTCCTCCAGTTCCTTCTGACAACTTATCTTGAAAAAATATGCAATAATCTCGCTGCCTTCTCTAGCTATTTCTCACCCATTCTCCCACTGCAAAAAAAGGAAGGAAGGCCAGGCATGGTGGCTCACACCTGTGATCCCAGCATTTTGGGAGGCCGAGGCGGGCAGATCACAAGGTCAGGAGATCAAGACCATCCTGGCTACGGGGAAACCCCATCTCTACTAAAAATACAAAAAATTAGCCAGGCATGATGGCAGGTGCCTGTAGTCCCAGCTACTCGGGAGGCTGAGGCAGAAGAATGGCGTGAACCCGGGAGGTGGAGCTTGCAGTGAGCCGAGATCACACCACTGCACTCCAGCCTGGTCAACAAAGCGAGACTCTGTCTCCAAAAAAAAAAAAAAAAAAAAAAAAAAAGGGAAGGAAGGGGAGGGGAGGTGAGGGAAGGGGATAAGAGGGAAGAGGAGAGTGGGGAGGAGAGGGGAGGAGAGGAGGAGGGGAGGAAGGGAGGAGGGGAGGAGGGGGATGGGGGAGAGGAAAGAAAGAAAAATCTCTGGGGTTTCATTCCTCCTCCTTTTTCTTTTTTTTACAGACAAGGTCTTGCTCTGTCACCCAGGTTGCAATGCAGTGGTGCGATCAGAGCTCACTGCAACCTTGAACTCCTGGGCTCAAGCTATCCCCCTAGCTACTCCTGAGTAGCTAGGACTACAGGGATGCACTACCACACTTGGCTAATTTTTAAAATTTTCTGTAGAGATGGAACCTAGCTATCTTGCCCAGGCTGTTCTTGAACTCCTGGCCACAAGATCCTCACACCTTGGCCTTCCAAAGTGTTGGGATTACAGGTGTGAGCCACTGTTCCCAGCCCCATTCCTTCCTCTTTAACTGCTTCATATAATGTCCTTTCCCCAACAAACTCCTGAATCTACTCTCCAAGATCATCAATCTTCAAATGTAACCTTTTTCTCAGGTATTATCCTTATCCCTCCTTTGCTACTAAATTTTAAATTTACATTTTAAAGTACCTTGTTCTTAAAGCTCTCCTTCCTCTTTTCACTTTTACTATTACTTCTCCAGTTGTTCCTTCTCTGTTATCTTCTTCCTCAAGGCAAGGTTGTCTTCAATCCACTGCTCTTCCCCCTCCATGTCTGTTTCCATGGAGAAGAACCATGACTAACACTGAACATTTCTAGTCCTTGCCTCTTACTAAACTTCAATCTCAGATTTCTATTTTTGCTTGCTGGCCCTATTGTCACCTCACATTCCATTTGAGGTAGGAGATCAGCAGGACTTGTTTTCCAAGCACTGTTCGAAAGACCCCGCTGAACAAAACAGGAGCTGATCAAAGAAACTGGCCAAAACCAGCTAAAAGCAAGATGGTGATGAAAGCCACCTCCTGTTGCCCTCCTTTTATCTGCATGCTAAAAGAACCTCCTACCAGCACCATGACAGTTTACAAATGCCATGGCAACCCCCAGATGTTACCTTATATGGTTTAAAAGGGGAGGGACTCTCAGTTCCGGGAAGTCCTCGCCCCTTTTCCAGAAAATCCATTAAAAATCCGCCCCTTCGCCTCTGCCCAGCTGCCCCTACTGGGAAGTGAGGAGCCCCTCTGCCCAGCCAGCCGCCCCGTCCGGGAGGTGAGGGGCGCCTCTGCCCAGCCGCCCCTACTGGGAAGTGAGGAGCCCCTCTGCCCGGCCACCACCCCGTCTGGGAGGTGTACCCAACAGCTCATTGAGAACGGGCCATGATGACAATGGCGGTTTTGTGTAATACAAAGGGGGGAAAGGTGGGGAAAAGATTGAGAAATTGGATGGTTGCCGTGTCTGTGTAGAAATAGGTAGACATGGGAGACTTTTCATTTTGTTCTGTACTAAGAAAAATTCTTATCCTGTTGATCTGTGACCTTACCCCCAACCCTGTGCTCTCTGAAACATGTGCTGTGTCCACTCAGGGTTAAATGGATTAAGGGCGGTGCAAGATGTGCTTTGTTAAACAGATGCTTGAAGGCAGCATGCTCGTTAAGTCATCACCACTCCCTAATCTCAAGGACCCAGGGACACAAACACTGCGGAAGGCCGCAGGGTCCTCTGCCTAGGAAAACCAGAGACCTTTGTTCACTTGTTTATCTGCTGACCTTCCCTCCACTATTGTCCTATGACCCTGCCAAATCCCCCTCTGCGAGAAACACCCAAGAATGATCAATTAAAAAAAAAAAAAAATCTGCCCCTTATTTTAGCATATAATCAAAGTATACCCATATATATATGGCTATACAGGTCTCATGCTTTTGAGGGTCACTGTTGGCCACCCCCTAGGTGCTCTGGGATTTTCGTCATTTGGTATGGGGACCCTCATGGGCTGATGCCTGGATACTCTGGGTATTTTGGCATTTGGCACCGTTTCATTTTTTTTCCATGTTGTCTTTGTATACATACAGCTAGCCAGCAATCCGCAGGTCTGCTGCTGCGGCTGCTTCTCTTACAGAGCAGCCATTTCCCTTCCTCTGTTGCTCTAATAAACTTACTTTCAATTCACTGTTGGCCCATTCATGATTCCTTCCAGTGCGAAGCCAAGAATGCTCCTGGGCTGAGCCCCAATTTGGGGTTCACCTGCGTCATTCCTTGGTGACCATGAAGAGACCAATAATAAGCCAAAAGGAACTGAGGGAGACCTTTAGCCAGACCCTAAATTAAGACTGATTGGGTTGAGCACCGTGGCTCACGCCTGTAATCCTAGCACTTTGGGAGGCCAAGGCAGGTGGATTGCCTGAGCTCAGGAGTTCGATACTAGCCTGGGCAACAGAGCAAAACCCCGGCTCTACTAAAAATACAAAAAATTAGCCAGCCATGGTGGTGCACGCCTGTAGTCCCAGGTACTTGGGAGGCTGAGGCATGAGAATTGCTTGAACCCAAAGACTGACTGGCACCATTTGGCCTCCACGAAAAGATGAGTGTCCCCTTTGTTCCCCCTCAATGTGTGTTTTGTTTTCGTTTTTTTTTTTTTTTTTTGAGACGACATCTTGCTCTGTCACCCAGGGTGGAGTGCAGTGGCACAATCTCGGCTCACTGCAACCTCGCCTCCCGGGTTCAAGCGATTCTCCTGCTTTCAGCCTCCCGAGTAGCTGGGATGACAGGTGCCTGCCACCACACCCAGCTAATTTTTGTATTTTTAGTAGAGACAGGGTTTCACCACATTGGCCAGGTTGGTCTTGAACTCCTGACCTCGTGATCCCCCCGCCTCGGCCTCCCAGACTGCTGGGATTATAGGCGTGAGCCACCACGCCTGGCCGATGTGGTGTTCTTTAACTGATTTACTTTCTCTTTCACTCTCCTCTCCCTTTACCTTTTCAAATCAATCAGGAAATGGGGAATAGTGTCTCTGGGTTGTTAGTCAGTTCGTTGTCCCCCATCATCTGGGTGCCCCAGACAGAAGCACACCTGGACATCCACGTCCTTTGTAATTTACTTTGTCACCTTCTCTCTCAGACCTTTTCTCTTTAGCTTCTAATGACCAGTCATTTTACTTTTCTGCTCTTAGTGCCTAAATGCACACTTATGTTTATCCAGTTGTCATGTTTGTAGTCCCTGTTTTGGCAATTTGGGCAGTTGTTTCTATTCCATGTAAGGCAGGCTTTTGTTATTTTGAGAGGTATTCCTTTGTGCTGACTCTGGGATGTCAGAGTCACATTATTCTATGGCCCCAACTGTGTTAGGTCTCATGCCTTTGGGCCTCACTGTTGGCCACCCCCAGGTTTTCAGCATTTGGTATGGGGACCCTCACTGGCCAATGTCTAGATACTCCAGGTTTTTCAGCATTTGGTGCCGTTTCATTTTTTTCCTTACTCTGTCATTCCATCCACTTCAGCAACTTCTTCTAGTCCCTCCTAAAATCATAAATTTTCTTTTCTGCAACAGGTCTCTTCCTGTCTTTCTTTCTGCTCAAAATGAGGGTCCCAAATGAGCTGCCTTGTTCAAGCCCATTTTTCTGGAGGCCCTGAACCCCTGACCTAATGACGACTCCCTGCAATGGCAGAAAAGCAGCCGCCTGAACACTTTTTTTGGTGTCTCCACTGATGGGTGAGTTCTCCACTGTCTCAGGGACTCCAAGGACACGCCCTGAACAACAACCCCTCTCTTCCCCAATTCACATTTGCTGCTACGGGAGCCTGTTTTTCCTAGCTTCCTTTCCCTTTCTGCCTTTTCAGTCTTCTTTTATTATACTTCTACTGGTTCATGTCTCTCTAGGATTGTGGGTCCCTGGGACAGTCCCAAGGTCTTGGGTCCAAGATATCTGATATTGAAGTTGTCATGGTAAGGTGACCCTTCATCCATCAATGAGTGTTCTGGCTTGCTGTATCTCTCTCTCTCTCTCTCCCCCACCAGAGAAACAAAGGGAAAGGTACCCCTCATCCCCCTACTCTCCCTCCTTTCCCTCTTTTTCTTTCCTGCCCTTTTAAATCATCTCCTCCTCCTCTGAAGCTGAAGGGGGAAAAAAGGATAAAAGAGGGTTTTAAAATTAAAACTGTTATGAAAACTACCTTACCCAAATTCTAGTCTACAGTTTCCTTGGATTACCTATTAGAAAAAAAAAGTTTAGCCATGTGAACAGGTTTCAAAATTGTCAGAAATATTTAAATCCAGCTATCTTTAATAAAGTCCAAAGGCTTTTCAAGTTCACATGAATCCTTTGGTAAATAAAACTTGTTTTCAAATTATTAATAAAGACTGGGTGCTGTCGCTCACACCTCCCAACCTTTTGGGAGGCTAAGGTGGGAGGACTGCTTGAGCCCAGGAGTTCAGGACCAGCCTGGGCAACATAGTGAGACTCCATCTCTAAAACAAAACAAAAAAAATTAGCCAGGTGTGACAGCACACACTTATAGTCCCAGCTACTCAGGAGGCTGAGGTGGAAGATCACTTGACCCCAAGAGGCGGAAGCTGCAGTGAGCTGTGATCATGCCACTGCACTCCAGCCTGGGCAACAGAAACCTTGTCTCAAAAAATTAATTAATTAAATTAAATAATTGATGGAAATAGAAATGTCTTCAGAATTGTATAAATAAGACGAATTTAAGATTGTTGGCTCAATGAAAATAGCTGAATCTTCTCAGTTACTGGCAAAATGCCCATGTGTTTAAGATTCTTACTTAGGGGTTCACCTAATGTTCAGAGTTTAAAAATGGTTAACCAGGAAATAACTTTGAATAATGACCAATTTTGTCTAATATAGTTCCAGCTAGGCACAGGGGCTCTCACCTGTAATCCCAGCACTTTGGGTGGCCAAGGCAGGTGGATCACTTGAGGTCAGGAGTTTGAGACCAGCCTGGCCAACATGGCAAAACCCCATGGCTACTAAAAATACAAAAATTAGCCAGGCGTGGTGGTGCATGCATCCCAGCTACTTGGGAGGCTGAGGCCCAAGAAGCTCTTGAATCCGGGAGGCAGAGGTTACAGTAAGCTAAGATTATGCCATTGCACTCCAACCTGGGTGACAGAGTGAGACTCTGTCTCAAAAAAAAAAAAAGAAAAAAAATTATAAATAATAATAATAAATTAGGTAAATATAATGAGATAAATGCTTATAAGTGAACTTTTTGTATAATTTAAAATCTTAAAATCGTTTTGGATGCTTATTGGATGCCTGGGTCATTTCCAATTAAGAAAGGAATATTATATAGGGAAACATTTTACAATAAAATAAAAAATTTTAAAAACTGTGGAATGGTTCTCATCTATAAAATGCTAATATCTGATAGTTCAGGATTTCTTCCTTCTTAGGTTTATATAAAACTTACCAAAGAAGATGTGTTTTTATTGAGAAAAAGAATAATTGTGTCTAATTCAAAAGTTATCTAAAGGTTGATTCAAATTATGGACTTGAAAAGGTTATTTATATAACCAGGTAGAAAGGAACCAGTAAGTAGGGGAGAGATAGGTAAAGAAAGTTATGGATGTTCAGAGGTATTTTTGGTAAGAAAGGTTATAAATAAAAGAGAATAATTCTACATAAGAAAGAATCCTGCAGATCTCAGTGGGAAAAAAAAAAGGATCTTATATGGTATTGTTCTAGAGTAGTAGAATGACTAGTTATTTAGGAAAAGTAGTATAGGCCAGGCACAGTGGCTTATGCCTGTAATCCCAGCACTTTGGGAGGCCAAGGTGGGTGGATCACTTGAGGTTAGGAGTTTGAGACCAGCCTGGCCAAGATGGTGAAACCTTGTCTCTACTAAAAAATACAAAAATTAGCTGGGTGTGGTGGCACACGCCTGTTAATTCCAGCTACTTTTGAGGCTGAGGCAGGAGAATTGCTTGAACCCGGGAGGCGGAGGTTGCAGTGAGCCAAGATTACACCACTGCACACCAGTCTGGGCAACAGAATGAGACTCTGTCTCAAAAAAAAAAAAAAAAAGGTAGTATTGGACAAGTCAGAAAGTTCATTCAACCATATCATACATGGTCTGTGCAGGTCATAAGATTTATAAAGGAGAATTTATAAAAAGAATTGTTTATGTGATTAAGTTAGCTATAATTAAAAGTGGAATCTTTCTAAAGAATGGTCTCCTATGTTAAAGTAAGGGTTTCAAGGTATTGATTTGCTCTTAATGAAATTACAAGAAAATTTGCTTTTCAATTCTATAACTTGTTTCTTTTGAAAATTTCTCAGATTCATATCTCATAAGTTCAATTGTTCTATCTCACTGCTTTCAGCTTTTTCTCCCCTTGAGAAAGCCTGAGACATTAGTCTCTCCTTCAACCTTTTCATCAGTTGCTGTAACTTTTTCTCTTCCAGTTCTGTTTTTACAGTCAGATGCTGAAATATTTTAGCTTAGAGGTCTATAAAAGCAATGTTTTCCTCCAGTATAACTTGATTCTATACTCTTGGTTTTTCTTGACATGTCTAAATTTTCAGAGTAACCAGAAAACTTTTCATGTTCACCTGCTATATTCAAAACCTTGAACATACTTTGTCCGATTAAATTCAAGTATTATTTTTCTCTTCATCAAATTTAACTTCAAGATTAGTTAAGTGGGCTTCCCATAAGGAGAGACAATTACACTGCAGAGAGATTACCACTTTGGGTAAATAAGTAACTATTACTTACAGTAACCTGTGGTTCTGTGTCAATACAGTATTTTGGGCTTTTTAACATCTTTTACAAATGCCCCCAGAATCGAATCCTAGCTTGATTGTCTGGCTTGTTGCTGGGCTTTATCAAAGCTATAAAAACTAATCACTGCAAGGTTGTGATATATTTTTACAGCCTCCTGACAGGTTGTGGACTCCAGCATTACCACTGCCAGCCCTTTAAAAAGTTCCTTATCGGGTGCTATTAACTAATCAATGTGCTTTTGAGTTACAGGGCTTTGACTCCTGGGTACAGACAGCTCATCTAGAGAAGGCACCAACTCTTGCCAGGATCTAACACCAAACTCAAGTTAACCAAAGCCTTGTCTTTAGACCTGGGCAAAAGGGGCAAAGTAAACTGCTTTAGGACGGGCGCAGTTGATCACGCCTGTAATCCCAGCACTCTGGGAGGCTGAGGTGGGTGGATCACCTGAGGTCGGGAGTTCAAGATCAGCCTGACCAACATGGAGAAACCCCGTCCCTATCAAAAATACACAAAAATTAGCTGGGCGTGGTAGTACATGCCTGTAATCCCAGCTACTCGGGAGGCTGAGGCAGGGGAATCGCTTGAACCCGGGAGGCGGAGGTTGCGGTGAGCCAAGATCATGCCATGGCACTCCGGCCTGGGCAACAAGAGTGAAACTCAGTCTCAAAAAAAAAGTAAACTGCTTTAATGAGACACAGGGACAAGCTTGTATTCATTTAATAATTTTGCCTCTATATGAATTAATATAACTTATTCTATGCCTTGATACTAAATAATTTAAATGTTTAGGTACCTGTAAGATTCCTTTCCTGTCATTCTCAAAACTAGGGCAGGGCTTATGACTTTTTTGTTTGAAACATTGCTAATTCTTTATGTGTTGTTTTATCTACAGAATTTAAAACTATTCAATTCCTCCAGGCCCAAGGACTACTGAAGAGGTGGGCATGAGAGATTATAGGGGCTGGGTTTTGAGGGATATAATTAATTCAGACCTTCCAAATCAAGGACAGGCACACAGATACCTAAATAGCTGAACAAAATGTTTGTGTTTTGTAAACCTAATTGCTGCAAGCCAAGATTACAATAGCTCAATGCACAGAATTTATAGATAAGTCAGTTTTATAACCTTATTTTTTGGCTTCTGGTTTTGGCTCTTATATTGCTTAAAAGGGGTTTTAAGAGATAATAATGAGTGCCTGCCTACCTCCACTTCCATCTGGCCTACAATGTTTAATTGGCTATAAGTCACTTGAATCTAAGTCCCTTGGCCATCAGCGTCCCACCAAGGGACATGAGGGACCTGGGGCAGGTAGCACACCACCTCAGCATTGGTATGGAACAAAATAAAAGCTTGGCCAGCAATATTGCCTCTGGCAGCTGGATGCAGTGGCTCACACCTGTAATCCCAGCACTTTGGGAAGCCAAGGCAGACAGATCACCTGAGGTTAGGAGTTGGAGACTAACCTGTCCAACATGGTGAAACCCCATCTCTACTAAAAATACAAAAAGTAGCTGGGCGTGGTGGCGAACGCCTGTAATCTCAACTACCTGGGAGCCTGAGGCAGGAGAATCACTTGAACCTGGAAGGCGGCTGTTGCAGTGAGCTGAGATCGTGCCACTGCACTACAGCCTGAGTGACAGAGCAAGACTCCGTCTCAAAAAAAAAAAGAAACTTGAAAAACTAATTCAGGCCATGACAAGAAACAAGGGGTTGGACAAGCCTCACTATACCTTCCCCCCGCTCCCCTTTGGAACTTAAGAGACCAGGTTCAAAAGGCACTCTAAGAATATGAAAATAAAGTATTGCCCTTTCCCACAAAGGAAAAGATTGTTCCCTGTTTAACCAGGACACCTAGTCCTATTAAAAACTTGGGGCAGGGGTGGTGGCTCACGCCTGTAATCCCAGCACTTTGGGAGGCCAAGGCGAGTGGATTACGAGATCAGGAGATGGAGACCTTACTGGCTAACATGGTGAAACCTCGTCTCTACTAAAAATACAAAAAATTAGCCGGGCATGGTGGCAGGCACCTGTAGTCCCAGCTACTCAGGAGGCTGAGGCAGGAGAATGGTGTGAACCCGGGAGGTGGAGGTTGCAGTGAGCCGAGATCGTGCCACTGCACTCCAGCCTGGGCGACAGAGCGAGACTCCATCTCAAAAAAAAAAAAAAAAAAAAAAAACTTGGAAAGGGCCGGGCCAGTGGCTCATACCCATAATCCCAGCACTTTGGGAGGCCGAGGTGGGTGGATCACGAGGTCAGGGAATCAAGACCATCCTGGCCAACATGGTGAAACCCTGTGTCTAGTAAAATACAAAAAATTTAGCTGGGCATAGTGGCACATGCCTGTAGTCCCAGCTACTCAGAAGGCTGAGGCAGGGGAATCACTTGAACCCGGGAGGCGGAGGTTGCAGTGAGCCAAGATAGCACCACTGCACTCCAGCCTAGGCAACAGAGCAAGACTTCATCTCAAAAAAAAAAAACTTGGAAAGAAGGATTCCTTGAAGATCAATTATAATATAACCAATATGGAAGGGCACCCACTCCCCATTAGGTATTGTTAAGCACTCCCACTGCTGTTAAACTTCGGGGAATCACTAGCTAGGTACACCTGTCCCGGATTAAACAAACCTGTTTTTGGTGAATCCCTACAGGCACAAGAGGAGGACACCATGACCTACACCTGCAAACCTCTGGAAGACTTAAAGTTGCTATTTCACAAGACAGATAAGTAGCAACCACCTCCTCCTGAGAAACACCTTACTTGTCCTTATTGAGTATAGGGACCACCCTAAAGCCCAGTGTGATACTCAGTTGTCCCTGTTCTTCTTGCTCCCTGCTCCTAATCAATCTAACTCGCTGTGGAATGGGAACAAAACTCCATAGTAAACATTTCTAGAATTATAGCATCAGGAAATAGCCTGCATGATTGCAGAATCTGTCATCAGCACCCTCAGGATAGAGAGCATCACCTTCTGGTGCACCCTGCAAACCTCACAGCCATCTCCCCAAACCTCCTAATTGGCCATAGTGTTCCTTTGGTACCTAGGCCCCTACTTATAAAACAGCTCTCTCCCACACTTAACAGATTGACCTGACTCCTCTCCAACCACCCTCCTACCCCCTACTATTACCTGGACCTAGGATGTTGGGTATCTACAGCTCCAGTGTACTAATGATACTATCTTTTGCACAAATTGTTGTGACAATGACACAGAGACAGAAATTCCCCACGATGCTCTGACCCAACCCTAGTAGCCAAATTCCCAAGGCCATGGGAGGGCAAACGGGATCCCACTGGTAAACAAGGAGACTATACATGGTGCCTCCTCCAGGACCAATACATGCAAGGGAGAAACGACTGCTTAATTTGGGAAGATGGAGGTACCACCCTCTGGTGGAAAACGAGGGCTACTCAATCACCCCCATTGGAACCTGGAAAAGGTATCTCTATAGACCCAGTTTGGCAATAAAAAATGGACGGCATAACTTGCAAGGATTCAATTTGTGACCCATCTGGGCTCACCTTTAGGGGAAGAAATCCTACCCCATACCCACTCCCAACCCTGTAGGGAACCATTTATTCTTCTAGGAATAGCTTTCCATTTTGCTTATCAAAAACTTGAAACACCAGTGAATGTATTTTGGCCACCATTATCCCTTCAGGGGGTATCCATTCATAACCCCATAAAATCTAGAAAAACAAGAAGTAAAAGAGCAATAGGATTAATTTTTACAGGAATTGGGGCAGCAATAGGGGTGGTGGCCCCTTGGCAGGGGCTTTGCATACCACAAGTCAATGCTAAGAAACATAACTCAGGCCCTAGAATCTCTGGCCACCAACACTAGTCAGACATTAAGAAAAATTCAGGAATCTCTGGACTCTTTGGCAATTGTAGCCCTGACAACAGACTAGTCTTGGATTGTTTACTGACTGAAAAAGGTAGAGTCTGCACTGTTATCAATAAGACCGACTGCACATATATTAACAACTCTGGACAGGCTGAGGTTAACATTCAAAAGTTCTAAGAGCAAGCCACCTGGTTACATATATATAACCAGGGAACTGACCCCAACTATATCTGGTTGACCATAAAAAACACCCTCCTGGCCAGGCAGAGTGGCTCACGCCTGTAATACCAGTACTTTGGGAGGCTAAAGTGGGAGGATCACTTGAGCTCAGGAGTCAAGACCAGCCCGGGCAACATAGTGAGACTGTGTCTCTATAAAAACATTTAAAAATCAGCTGGGTGTTGCTGGCAAACACATGTGGTCCCAGCTACTCAGGAGGCTAAGGCAGGAGGATCACTTGAGCCTGGGAGGTTAAAGCTGCAGTGGGCCATGATCACACCACTGCACTCCAGCCTGGGTGACAGAGCGAGATCCTGTCTCAAAAAACCCAAAAAATAACAACAACAAAAAAAACCCTCCCAAGTCTCACCTGGTTTCTACTCTTTTTAGGACCTCTAGCAGCTATCTTGTAACTATGAATCTTTGGCCCTGCCTCTTTTAGCCTCCTTGTAGTGTGTGTCTTCTAGATTGCAACAATTTCCATGTGAAGATAATGCTAGCAAGTGGCTTCCAACACATCCTTGTTCTGACCCCTTAGATGAGGCATCAAGAGATTTTTACTCCTCCAGTGCTAGGCAGGGCCAATGCCCATAAAATCAACAGGAAGCAGTCACAGAAGATGGACTTCCACCCTTCTAAAACCCTGTAAGATTGAAGGGGAGTATATAATCTCTGTGGGGGGAGTGAGGTAGGAGAGAAGCAGGATTTGTTTTCCAAGCACTGGCCAGAGAGCCTGCTGAACAAAACAAGAACAAAACCCTGATCAAAACAGGATGCAGCAAAGAAAGCAGCCAAAACCAGTTACAACCAAGATGGCAACAAAAGTGACATTCGGTTGCTCTCACTGCTTATTATACACTAATTATAATGAATTTGCATGCTAAAAGAAACTCCAGTGGGTCACAGGGAGCCAGGCCTGGTGGCCAGAGTGTATCATGAGGCTGGACCTGGTGGTGCAGAAGGTGGTAGTCCACCCCCAGGTACTGCTCAATGTGGTGGATCATTTCAACAGAATCAGCAAGGTTGGAAACCAGAAATGCATTCTTCATGTGCTTTTGCGGTCATGGCAAATGAAAGTACTTGATGTATCCAGCAGTTTTACAGTCCCTTTTAATGAAGATGACAAAGATAATTGTTTTTTAGCCCACGATTATTTGAAAAACACATACAGAATGTTTAAGAGGGTGAATGCCAGGGAAAGAATAGTTGAGTGGTACCACATAGGCCCTAAACTACACAAGAATGACACTGCCTTCAATGAAATCATGAAAAGATACTGCCGTAACTCAGTATTGGTCACTAGTGACATGAAGCCAAAGGACTTAGGGCTGCCTACAGAAGCATATATTTCAGTAGAAGTCTATGAAGATGGAACTTCAGCCTTGAAAACATTTGAGCATGTGACCAGTGAAACTGCAGCAGAGGAAGCTAAGGAAATTGGAGTTAAACACTTGTTACAAGACATCAAAGACACTACAGTGGGCACTCTTTCCCAGTGTATCACAAACCAGGTCCTGGATTTGAAGGGACTGAACTCCAAGCTTCTGGGTACCAGAAGCTACCTGGAAAAAGTTGCCACAGGCAAACTGTCCACCAACCACCAATTCATCTATCAGCTGCAGGTCTTCAAGCTGCTGCCAGTCATTAGCCTATAGGAGTTTGTCAAGGCCTTTTACCTGAAGACCAATAACCAAATGGTAGCAGTGTACTTGGCCTCGCTGATCCATTCTGTGATCACCCTACACAACCTCATCAACAAGATTGCCAACTGGGATGCAGAGAAGAAAGACAGGAAAAAGAAACCGGCCAGGCGCGGTGGCTCACGCCTGTAATCTCAGCACTTTGGGAGGCCGAGGCGGGCGGATCACAAGGTCAGGAGATCGAGACCAGCCTGTCTAACACAGTGAAACCCCGTCTCTACTAAAAATACAAAAAAATTAGCCGGGTGTGGTGGCGGGCACCTGTATTCCTAGCTACTCGGGAGGCTGAGGCAGGAGAATGGCGTGAACCCGGGAGGCGGAGCTTGCAGGGAGCCGAGATCGCGCCACTGCACTCCAGCCTGGGTGACAGAGCAAGACTCTGTCACCAAAAAAAAAAAAAAAGATAGGAAAAAGAAGAGAGCAAAAAAGGATACAAAAGACGACAAAGAGAAAGATAAAGGAAAAAAGTGATATAAAGAGAAAATGTAAAACATATAGATTTTTTAATTTGTAAACTAAAATCTTATAAACTAAACCAGCGTGCTACTGGGGGGTTCTTTTCCACTTTAACTGCTTGTTAAAAAGCTGTCCTGGGCCAGGCACGGTAGCTCACGCCTGTAATCCCAGTACTTTGGGAGGCCGAGGTGGGTGGATGACTTGAGGTCAGGAGTTCGAGACAGCCTGGCCAACATGGTGAAACCCCATCTCTACTAAAAATACAAAAATTAGCTTGGCATGGTGGCACACGGCTGTAGTCCCAGCTACTCAGGAGGCTGAGGCAGAAGAATCGCTTCAACCGAGCAGGGGCCATTGAGGTTGTGCCATTGCACTACGGCCTGGGAAACAAGAGTGAAACTCTGTCTCAAAAACAAAAAAACAAAAAAAACACAGGAGTTGAATTTTCCCCATCTTGAAAGACTCTTTCAGTCTGTTTCTGGTAATTTACAAAATTGCTAAATGGAATACACAAATTCCGCATGTTCTCTGACTCCGTGAGTTGAACACCGTGAGTTCGAACCCTTCTGAACTCAGAATACCACAAGTTTTGGACCCATAGCTCTAGCACTCTCAGGCTTGGGATCCAGGCTCCATAAATTGTTTACCTTGAAAGACACAATTAAATGGATTGGTTTTAAAAAATAAAAACAGGCTGGGCATGGTGGCTCATGCCTGTAATCCCAGCACTTTGGGAGGCTGAGGCGGGCAGATGATCACCTGAGGTCAGGAGTTCAAGACCAGCCTGGCCAACATGGCAAAAACGCATCTCAATTAAAAATACAAAAAAAGCCAGGTGCAGTGACTCAAGCCTGTAATTCCAGCACTTTAAGAGGCTGAGGAGGGCAGATCATGAGGTCAGGAGTTTGAGACCAGCCTGACCAACATGGTGAAACCCCGTCTCTACTAAAAATACAAAAATTAGCCAGGCATGGTAGCGGGTACCTATAACCCCAGCTACTCAGGAAGCTGGGGCAGGAGAATCGCTTGAACCCAGGAGGTGGTGGTTGCAGTGAACTGAGATGGCGCCACTGCACTCCAGCCTGGGCAACAGAGCGAGACTCCATCTCAAAACAACAAAAAACAAAAAAAATTAGCTGAGTGTGGTGGTGCATGCCTGTAGTCCCAGGTACTCGAAAGGCTGGGGTAGGAGAATCCCTTGAACCCAGGAGGCGGGGGTTGCGGTGAGCCAAGATCGTGCCACTACACTCCAGCCTGGGGAACAGAGTGAGACTCTGTCTCAAAATAAATAAACAATAAATAAATATATACATACATACATACAAAGAAGAAAAGTCCCACCACTGCCATGACAGTTTACAAATGCCATGGCAACCCCTAGAAGTTACCTTATATGGTTTAAAATGGGAGGATCTCTTGGTTCTGGGAACTCCCTGCCCCTTTTCTAGAAAATTGATGAATAACCTGCCCTTATTTAGTATATAATCAAGGAATAGCTATCTATTCACAAGGGCTGCTGCTATTGCTGTGTCTATGGGGCAGCCATTTCCTGTACTCTGCTGCTCTAATAAACTTGCTTTCCTTTTTCTCTATTGGCTTGCAAATGAATCTTGCACAAAGCCAAGAACCCCCCTGGGCTGAGCCCCAATTTTGGGGTTCACCTGCATAACTCATACCCAAATCTGAACTCATATTCAAACTCTCAAATACCTTCCCTATGAAGGCATGCATCACCATCCCCTACCCCAGATATCTTACATGTCAGTCTCTGAGCAGTGTTAATCATTTCTTTGTAATGTGTCTATGGTGTACCCATTCTTCTCTACCCTTACTGCCAGCATCCTATTCTAAATCTTAAGGTCTTAAGGGGAAAGCTTCAAGGCTCTCCATAATCTGGATCTACTCTTTCTACCTGAAGCCTTAGTACTTTCCCACACAAACACAGCATTTCTACATGTTTGCAGAATATGTTATTCTACTTCCACTTCTTCCCTCACAATCTATCAAATCCTGTGAATCCTTCAAGCTCCAATTCCAAAAAGTATATATTTATGGTTGTTTTCCCAATTAAGATTCTAAACTTCCTGAGGTTAGAACTATGTCTTCTGCTTCTTTTAAATGTCACACAGATAGAGATTATGTTTTAAACCAAAACTCAGAACAAAGGATTTCTTTGTCATTTTCAGACAAAAAAAAATCTGAGAGATAAAAGTTAAACATCAAAATGTGTTTTGTAGGTTACTGCAATGGTTTACTAAAACTACGGAATTGTAGGTCGGGCGCGGTGGCTCACGCCTGTAATCCCAGCACTTTGGGAGGCCGAGGCAGGCGGATCACCTGAAGTCAGGAGTTCGAGACCAGGCTGGCCAACCTGATGAGATCCCATCTCTACTAAGATACAAAAAATTAGCTAGGCCTGGTGATGCACACCTGTAATCCCAGCTACTTGGGAGGCTGAGGCAGGAGAATCGCTTGAACCCGGGAAGCAGAGGTTGCAGTGAGCCAAAATCATGCCACTGCCCTCCAGCCTAAACAACAGAGACTCCATCTCAAAAAAAAAAAAAAAAAAAAAAAAAAAAGGGGCTGGGCACTGTGGCTCACGCCTGTAATCCCAGCACTTTGGGAGGCTGAGGCGGGTGGTCATTTGAGGTCAGAAATTCAAAACCAGCAGGGCTGGGCACGGTGGCTCACACCTGTAATCCCAGCACTTGGGAGGCCGAGGCAGGCAGATCACGACGTTAGGAGATCGAGACCATCCTGACTAACATGGTGAAACCCTGCCTCTACTAAAAATACAAAAAATTAGCCAAGCGTGGTGGCGGGCGCCTGTAGTCCCAGCTACTCGGGAGGCTGAGGCAGGAGAATGGCGTGAACCCAGGAGGTGAAGCTTGCAATGAGCCGAGATTGTGCCACTGCACTCCAACCTGGCTGACAGAGAAAGACTCTGTCTCAAAAAAAAAAAAAAAAAAAAGGTAGTTCAAAACCAGCCTGACCAACATGGTGAAACCCCGTCTCTACTAAAAATACAAAAATTAGCCGGGTGTGGTGGTGGGTGCCTGTAATCCCAGCTACTCGGGAGGCTACGGCAGGAGAATTGCTTGAACCCATGAGGCGGAGGTTGCAGTGAGTCAAGATCGCACCACTGCCCTCCAGCCTGGGCAACAGAACGAGACTCCGTCTCAAAAAAAAAAAAAAAAAAAAAAGAAAGAAAACTTGATTCTGTCCTATGCTTTGAATGTACATCTCTCCCGGCTTCCTGAATTAGTAGTTGAACTGATTCTTATCTCCTTACTATTTTCTTTAAACTATCTCAAAGGAAATGCCTTTTTTCCAGTAAAAACACCTAAATTCCAGTATCACCTTAATTTGTCCTGATCTAGTATATTCTGCTCTTAAAAAAAAAAAAAAAGAATAAAAGAGAAAAAAAGGAAAGGCATGGGGAGAATAAAGAAAAACCTTCATTTCTCCTTTCCTTATGTCTAAATAATGAGAACTCAAAAAGACTGAGGCTTAAGCACTTGCCTCATTAAGTGGAAAACTATCAAAATAAGAATTTCAAAGTAATAAAAAGTATTTGTCCACATCAACTATGTGCAGGACAATGTCCTGCCTTGTTTTATTTTTTATTTATGTGATCAAAAGTCAAATCTATGTAATTAGCAAAATGGCACAAGCTATTTACCCTTTTTTATTCTAAAAAATTGTGTAGAAGATTAGCAGTGAAACAATATATAATACACATACAAAAAAAACCGCTATTCCTGTCTACATTTCCAGATAAAACACAGGTGTCCCAAAAGCAATACAACAATGCAAGCTACTGTGAATGAGGCTGAAAATTTAGAGCCACATGCTATGACAAGGGATGATTCCACAGGAGAGCACTTTTCCCCAAAAGAGCTTTCATCTTTGACAATGTGCTTCAGGCAGCTCATGCCAGAGAGGGCGTGACCAACACAGTATACCATCAAGATTATTGCTAAACTCCCTCATCTTGGGCACTCCATCAGTTTTCAAATACAGCAGAGTCAGAAACATGAAATTCTTCAATATAAACACACACAAGACACAATAAAAAACCACATACTGAGAATGTACCAGTAGGACAAAATAAGAACAAGTGGACTTAAAATGCGGCAAAAAAGAAAACATCTTAACAGTCAAAATGAATGAATAGGCCGGGTGCAGTGGTTCACGCCTGTAATCCTAGCACTTTGGGAGGCCGAGGTCGGTGGATCACGAGGTCAGGAGTTCGAGACCAGCGTGGCCAGCATGGTGAAACCCTGTCTCAACTAAAATACAAAAAAAAAAAAAATTAGCTGAGCGTGGCAGCGTGTGCCTGTAGTCCTAGCTACTTGGGAGGCTGAGGCAGAATTGCTTGAACCTGGGAGGCGGAGGTTGCAGTGAGATGAGATCGTGCCACTGCACTCCAGCCTGGCAACAGAGCGAGACTCCACCTCAAAAAAAAAAAAAAAAAAAGGGCCGGGCGCGGTGGCACACGCCTGTAATCCCAGCACTTTGGGAGGACGAGGCAGGTGGATCACGAGGTCATGAAATTGACACTATCCTGGCTAACACGGTAAAACCCCGTCTCTACTAAAAATACAAAAAATTAGCTGGGCATGGTGGCAGACACCTGTAGTCCCAGCTACTCGGGAGGCTGAGGCAGGAGAATGGCATGAACCCAGGAGGCAGAGCTTGCAGTGAGCCAAGACTGCGCCACTGCACTCCAGCCTGGGCGACAGAGCCAGACTACGTCTCAAAAAAAAAAAATGACTATCACCTACCTACAGGAAAAGCTCAAATGCCTTAGTATGAAAAACAAAAACCTTCACAATCTAGGCCGGGCGCAGTGGCTCACGCCTGTAATCCCAGCACTTTGGGAGGCTGAGGCAGGTGGGTTACCTGAGGTCAGGAGTTCAGGACCAAGCTGGCTAACCTGGTGAAACCCCATCTCCACTAAAAATACAAAAATTAGCTGAGCACGGTGGCGGGCGCCTGTAATACCAGCTACTCAGGAGGCTGAGGCAGGAGAATCACTTGAACAGGGGAGGTGGAGGTTGCAGTGAGCTGAGATCACGCCACTGTACTCCAGCCTGGGCGACAAAGCGAGACTCCGTATCAAAAAAAAAATGAATAAGAGAAGTTGGTATCTTTTCTAAAGCATAAATGTGTTCTACTTAGACGTTTAAATGACTATCACCTACCTACAGGAAAAGCTCAAATGCCTTGGTATGAAAAACAAAACCTTTCACAACCTTAGTACAATCTACTACTCTAAAGTCATCTTGGCAGGGCGTGGTGGCTCACGCCTGTAATCCCAGCACTTTGGGAGGCCAAGGTACGTGGATCACCTGAGGTCAGGAGTTTGAGACCAGCCTGGCCAACATGGGGAAACCTCCTCTCTAATAAAAATAAAAAAATTAGCTGGACGTGGTGGCAGGCACCTGTAATCCCAGCTACTCGCGAGGCTGAAGCAGGGGAATCACTTGAACATGGGAGGTGGAGGTTGCAGTGAGCCAAGATCACACCACTGCACTCCAGCCTGGGCAACAGAGCGAGACTGTCACAAAAAAAAAAAAAAAAAAAAAAGAAGTCATCTCCCACCACCTGTTCCAAGCAACCATGTCACCATCCTTTTCTGCCAGTCTATCTCTGTGCACTGTTCTTGGCCTATGTGCCCATACCACTTTCTGTTAAACCGCAATTCATCTTTCAAATTGGAAGGGTCATTCATCTCAGTAGAGCCTTTCCCAGTGTCCCAGGCAGTAGTCTCCCCCTTTAAGCTGCTGCCCAATCACAAAAGACCATACACATCTCCAGACACACCAAATAAAGGATGAGAGAATGGAATGAAAGGGATACAATGGCTGGGTGCAGTGGCTCACGCTTGTAATCCAGCACTTTGGGAGGCCAAGGCGGGCGGATCACGAGGTCAGGAGACTGAGACCATCCTGGCTAACACAGTGAAACCCCGCCTCTACTAAAAATACAAAAAAAATTGGCCGGGCATGGTGGTGGGTGCCTGTAGTCCCAGCTACTCGGGAGGCTGAGGCAGGAGAATGGCGTGAACCTGGGAGGCGGAGCTTGCAGTGAGCCGAGACCACGCCACTGCACCCTGGCCTGGGTGACAGAGCGAGACTCCGTCTCAAAAAAGAAAGAAGAAAGGGGTACAGAAGTGGATATAGCGAATGGGAGGGGAAAAGAAAGTCTATATCCATTCATAAAGTTCACTGCTGGCCAGGCACGGTGGCTCACACCTGTAATCCCAGCACTTTGGGAGGCCAAGGCAAACGTATCACCTGAGGTCAGGAGTTCGAGACCAGCTTGACCAACATGGTGAAACCCCGTCTCTGGTAAAAATACAAAATTAGCCTGGCGTGGTGGCGCATGCCTGTAATCCTAGATACTTGAGAGACTGAGGCAGGAGAATCGCTTGAACCCAGGAGGTGGAGGCTGCAGTGAGTCAAGATCCCACCATTGCACTCTAGTCTGGTGACATGGCAAGACTCCGTCTCAAGAAAAAAAAAAAGTTCACTGTTGACCCTTAGCAACACAGCAGTTCCAATTCCGTACCAAATCAATATCCCCTTTCAGAAATACTACTCTGTAAAGGTATCCAGAAATAGCAATGGCAAAGTGGTATTGACAAGAATGTAACCTAGAGACCTTGTATACCTTACCTCCTTCTTCCTTGACTTCTTCACTAGGCTCTCCTGAAAAAGGCTCCTTTAGGGTAAGATGATCACATCTGTCTTCTTGGGTAACTGGCCCAGGCCTGAGTGTCATTTTTTTCCCTCTCTTTGAGCCAGTAGCGTGGAGTTTTCCTTTACCAATGTGTATATTAAGGGGGTGAAAAGACTCCAAGGAAGGTAGGGTGATTCCCTGAGAGATGGCCACATCAACACCTTCTAGAATTGGTACATTTGTGTTCTGGGTGAGCATTCCAGAGCTCAGAGATGTATCCTCCATACCAAGCTGATTTCCTGCATCCTGCAAAGACTGTACTTCGAAGCCAGCTACTCTGCCATGACTTGGATCCCAGGATAGTGACACCGAACTCAAGTCCTTAACCTGGTCAGATTCTGGTTTAACGGCTGATTCTAGGTCTACGTTGTTTTCCTCTTGATTGCCTTTATGCTGTAGGGACTCTGTCACTGTAGTTCTTCTCTTCTTACAGGGCAACATTTTAAAAGTCCCACTTTTGTTCCATTCTGAAAGAATAAAAAGTTCTTACTGCCTTCATATTAATTAAAAGTAATAACATTTACTCAATTATCTTTTCATTTATTCATGTTCGATCATGAACACAATACTTCACACCAAATGCACAATTTCCCTTTAGGTGGAAGTTGAGAGACAGTGGTTAAGTGACTGAGTTCAAATCTCAACTCTACTGATTACTACTGATGGACTACTGTTACCTAGGCCAAGTGATTTAACCTCGCAAGTCTTCAGTACCCTCAACAGTAAAAAATAATTGCTCTTACTTCATAGAATTGTTACAATTAAAGAGTAAGTGATTAATAAACACTGTGGGTTTATTTTTGTGTTTTTTTGTTTTTGTTTTTGTTTTTGAGACAGAGTCTCACTCTGTCTCCCAGGCTGGAGTACAGTGGCGCAATCTCGGTTCACTGCAACCTCCGCCTCTCGCGTTTTACGCCATTCTCCTGCCTCAGCCTCCTGAATAGCTGGGACTACAGGCGTGCACCACCTACGCCTGGCTAATTTTTTTTGTATTTTTAGTAGAGATGGGGTTTCACCGTGTTAGCCAGGATGGTCTCGAACTCCTGACCTTGAGATCCACCCGCCTCGGCCTCCCAAAGTGCTGGGATTACAGGCGTGAGCCACCGCGTCCAGCAAACATTGTTATTATTACCATCAGGGTGGTAGACTAGCATGATGCTGAGAGTAAACTGTGGAATCAGACTGTCTGGATGTTTCCCAAGTCACCTTCTCTCCAGCTTTATGACCTTGTGGAAGTTACTCAACCTGAATCTCAGTGTCTTCAGCTATAAAATGGAATATAATAGCATCTACTTCATTAGATGGTAAATGATCAATACATGTTTGCTATTGCTGTTTTCATAAACAGGTATTTCCATTAATAGAAACAAATCAAAAGCAAAGTGTGATTGTTTAAAAGGTTAGGCTATGTTGGCTGGGCACGAGATGGCTCACGTCCGTAATCCCAACACTTTGGGAGGCCAAGGTGGGCAGATTACCTGAGGTCAGGAGTTCGAGACCAGCCTGATCAACATGGAGAAACCCTGTCTCTACTAAAAATACAAAATTAGCCGGGCGTGGTGGCACACGCCTGTGATCCCAGCTACTCCAGAGGCTGAGGCAGGACAATCACTTGAACCCGGAGACAGAGGTTGCAGTGAGCCGAGATCACTCCCCATTGCACTCCAGCCTGGGCAACAAGAGCGAAACTCCATCTCAAAAAAAAAAAAAAAGGTTAGGCTACATTAACAACAAACTTTGTGTCGAAACAAGGAAGATAAGAGTCCTACTATCCTCTGCGCTATGTTACTTCTTGGCTTTTTGCTTCAATTCTAGTTATCACATTTTAAGGGCATTACTGACCTAAACCAGAGGGTATCCTCTATGTTCTTTTAGTATCTGTTTGTAAACCTCTTTTACGGTACTTATCAGTTTTGTAATGGTCTCTCATCTTTCTCTTTCTCATCTCCTTCCTCCAAAACTATCAGCTTTTCGAGAAATGGGATTATTTCAACTCATATCCCTAATATCCAGCAGTATCTGGGTTTTTTTTTTTGAAACAAGGTCTTGCTCTGTCACCCAGGCTGCACTGCAGTGGCACGAACATAGTTCGCTGCAGCCTCGACCTCCTGGGCTCAAGCAATGCTCCCACCTCAGCCTCCCAAGTCATTGGGATTACGGTCCCATCCAAGCCACTGCACCAGTTCAGTATTTGGGTATTGTAGATACTCAATGTATCACTGAGTATTGATACTCAATGTGTCACTGAATATTGTAGATACTCAATGAATGCTCCCTGAATAATAAATGAAACAGAGGTTAAACAACTTATTCTGTGCAGCATTTGGGCCAAATGTTAAGCATTATATAAAAACTGATAGTGGCTTGGTGCAGTGGCTCACGCCTGTAATCCCAACACTCTGGGAGGCCAAGGCGGGCGGATAACAAGGTCAGGAGTTCGAGACCAGCCTGGTCAATATGGTGAAACGCTGTCTCTACTAAAAAATACAAAAATTAGCCGGGCATGGTGGTGGGCACCTGTAGTCCCAGCTTCTTGGGAGGCTGAGGCAGGAGAATCGCTTGAACCCGGGAGGTGGAGGTTGCAGTGGGCCAAGATCATGCCACTGCACTCCACCCTGGGCAACAGAGGGAGACTCTGTCAAAAAAAAAAAAAAAAAAAAAAAAAAAAGGCATCTTATTACCCAGGAAAACTTTACTGTCATAAATAGATCCAATAATAGAATAAGCCGCCTTGTGTTAGATCACTGGCAATGTTCAAGCGAAGCCTGAATGTCCACTTATCAGAGTACTAGATGAAAGCCTGAACTAGAGAACTGAAAAATAAAAGTTATTTGTAACTCTAAGCGTCTAAGGTTAGATTTCTCTTTCTTCTTTTCTTTCTTTCTCTCTCTCTCTCTTTCTTTCCAGAGACAAGGTCTCGCTCTGTTGCCCAGACCGGAGTGCAGTGGCAAGATCCTAGTTCACTGCAGCCTCAGACTCCTGGGCTCCAGTGACCCTCTGGCCTCGGCCTCCCGAGTAGCTAGGACTACAAGGCACTTGCCACCACCCTCAACGACTTTTTTTCTTTTTTTTTTTTTGTAGAGACGGGGTCTCGATTTGTTACCCAGGCTGGTCTCAAACTCCTGGCCTCAAGCGATCCTCCCGCCCCAGCCTCCCAAAGTGCTAGGATTAGAGGCGTGAGCCACCGCGCCCGACCTACAGTTAGTTTTAAACCTCCCTTCTGTTTCTCCAAGACATTAGGGGAGATTCTCCATCCCCTCAATCAACTGATGTAATTAAAACTCAGTAACTAAAGCTCAATAAAACATGAAGATTTCGTTGATTCCTGTGAGAGATGGTGGTGACCTTATAAGAAATAGAATGGGAGTAGCCAGGGCAGCTCTTTTATTTCACAGATAATTACTGAGATCAAAAAAAGGGGAAAAAAAGAAAAAGAAAGAAAGAAAAAGAAGGAAAGAAAGACAGCTACTTCAGCTCCAGGCACCTCAAACACAGCAGTAGCTCGACAGAATCCACTTTTTTGGGAACCCAAGTCGGACCAGCAGGGTGAATGAATGCCAATGTGGAGGCAGCCCCGGCACGGCCCTCTCCTAGGAAAACATTTTCAAAAGGGGTCCTAACCGCGCTTCCACCTCGGTGCCCAGGGCTGGCTCCAGTCCCCATTCCCAACTAGACACTGGACTTCACGCCCTTAACTTCCGCCACGCACCCAGCGCCCACCCTCAGACCCGACCTTCTCAACCTGGACATCGTTCGTCCAGGTGTCCCAGCTCCCACCTGCCTCTTCCCACCCCACCACACACAAACCTGTACCCTCACCAGCCGGCCTGATTCCACGGAAACGGCTTTGGCACCACCGGAAGTCAGCCAACAACAGCGAATTGCGTGCGCGTCCCCGAGCCTCGGAGCGCCGCGCCGCAGTGCATCAAGGAGCATGCGCCTAACACTATGCGCCATCCCATTTTAGGGCAGAGTGAAGCCACAACGTTAGTGCGTCAGTTATTGGCAAAAAAATTTAAAGGCACTACTTAGCTTTCTCTGCCCATGGAGTTATCCTACTCAAAACTGAGGTTAAGATTCAGTGGTTTAGATTAACAGCTAATTTGGGGGCCAGGCGCGGTGGCTCACGCCTGTAATCCCGGCACCTTGGGAGACGGAGGCGGGCGGATTACCTGAGGTCGGGAGTTCGAGATCACCCTGGCTAACATGGTGAAACCCCGTCTCTACTAAATATACAAAATTAGCTGGGCGTGGTGGCGCACGCCTGTAATCCCAGCTACTCCGGAGGCTGAGGCAGGAGAATCGCTTGAACCCGGGAGACGGAGGTGGCAGTGAGCCGGCATCGTGCCACTGCACTCCAACCTGAGCGACAGTGAGACTCTGTATCAAAAAAAAAAAAAGATTAACAACTAATTTTTCTCACTACGAGTCACCTGGAACACAGGACCAAGGGACTGAAGAAGTCATAAAATGCCAGAAAAAGAAGTCTCTAAATTACAAATAGTGCAGGCTCCTGATTAAAACTAAGGCACTCTTGGACTCAGGCTATAGTAATTATTCATATATGTACAATATTCTGCATTTTACAAAATGCTCTCACATTTTCTTAGGTGACTTGGTCTCCACAATAGACTGTAAGATTATTATATCATATTCCAGTTTGCACAGGACAAAGTTCTGGCTCATCTGAGTAGGTGATTTCACAACGGTACACAGACAGCTATCAAGGAGAATCAGGTATTAAGTCTCCTAACTCTAGCTAATAATGCATTGACCCAGTGTCCAGGAGGCTGCCTGGGGTGTAACAGATGTTCAATAATTCAATACGTGCTTTTTGAATGAGCGAATGAATGAATGACTTCTAAAATGATGTTATTTCCACTTTTCTAGAAAAACAATGTCTGGAATCCACGGAGATTAAAAAAATAATAAAAAACAGAATGTCAAAAGGTGGAAAAATACTTTCAACCCCCTCATTTTACAGGTAAACCACCAACACAAATTTATACATTTGAACTAATCCTATCTGTAAACAGAATCCAACGGATGAAATTATCCACAGCCAAAATGAAGGTTGAAATTTATGCAAACATGGCAGTAGTCTGACTAACCTGAATCACACCAACTCTCCCAAATACCAAGGAAGACTCCAGAAGCTCGGAGTTTCATGTGTGTTGTTCTTTGACCTACAGAATACACAGATCTTTCGGTTTGGCCTCTCTCATACGAAACCCTAAGCACTTGAGGTTCATGAAAAAAATTCAACACTGATTAACTTTGGCACTTTTCATTAGTTGTTTTTTTTTTTTTTTTTAAACAGCTTTGCATACCACAATATCCATCTGTTTTACGTGTACAACCAAATTTTTTTTTTTTTTTTTTTTTCAGACGGAGTCTTGTTCTGTTGCCCAGGCTGGAGTGCAGTGGCGCGATCTCGGTTCACTGCAACCTCCACCTCCTGGGCTCAAGCGATCCTCGTGTCTCAGCCTCCCAAGTAGCGTGTGCCACCACGCCCGGCTAATCTTTGTATTTTTAGTAGAGATGGGGGTTTCACCATGCTGGCCAGGCTGGTCTCGAACTCCTGACCTCAAGTGATCTGCCCGCCTTGGCCTCCCAAAGGTTTGGGATTACAGGCATGAGCCACCGTGCCCGGCTGTTTTTTTAAAATTAGTAAATGTTCAGAGTTGTGCAACCATCCCCAGGTTTGGTCTTTCATCAGAGTTTCTGAGGTTTAAGACAGTTTCCATCCACTGTGAAATATAAGCCAAAAAAAAAAGTTCTGTAATAACCTTTAGCGGTCTCAGAAATGCATAATGATGGCAGTCGATACTGAAATCCAGGCAGTACAGAATTTTATTTTCCCAAAATTCTGGAACTCAGGACCGAGAACATTTTGCTGCTGTATTAAAGCCCAGAAAACTGAAATCAGAGGATTTCATATAATAATCTACCTATGCTTCTTACCCTTCAGTACTTTCTCGTTTTGGAACCACAGCGCGTCAGTGGGCGCGGCCTCATTCTCGGGAAAACTCGGCGGTGGGAGGAGTCCCCTCCGGGAGAGCTTCCTGAAGGGGGCGAGGGCTGACTTCCGTAATCTTTCGGAAGAGGCGGAGTCTTCTTCCGAGGACCATTCGGAAGAGGCGGAGTCTTCTTCCGAGGACCATTCGGAAGAAGGCGGAGCCTACCTCTCATCAGGACCAGTCTGACTGCACCTGCATCCTTAGCTCAGCGCATCCCCGGAGCATCTTAAGAGCTGAGCGCAGCTGACAACTAGGGGCCGGACCGTCGCAGGAGGCGTCCGCTGGATACCTTCCCCCTTCCCTGACCTAGAGCTCTACAGCTGCTGCCTCGGTACTGACCGAGGGTTCCCAGAGCTGTCTCACCATTGCAAAAACGTTATAGCAACAGCCTCTGATTACGACATGGCTGAGATCACCAATATCCGACCTAGCTTTGGTAAGTAGACTCGGGAAAACTAAGCTTGAGGTGGTCAGAATGGTTGCAAGGCCAAGGGGGCCCAGCGGCAGGGCAGAGAATGCAGCCCAGACCAGAGCCTTCAAAATGCCAGCCCCACTAAAATCGGGCCTGTGGTGGTGGGTAGTGGGTAGTGGGCAGTTGACAGTGCATGAACTTGAGCTATGGGCTGCAGGGACTGGCAGGGCCTGAGCCACACCGAGGGTGGGGAAGTCCAGGATGCTAAAACCTTGTATGGTGCACTGTCAGCACTGCTGGAGGTGAGAAACAGCAAGCGTGCGGAGGATGTGAACCCCTCCTTCTGGGGGAGGAGAGGTGGGGTAGGCCAAGCCCTCCCCCTTGGGGCACACAGGGCGGTGCCCCTTCCTCCCCCTCCCATTCCTAAGGGCTGCGGGGGAGGGAAGTGACAAGGGGGATGGGGCATCAAGATGGCAGCTTGGAGACTGTGGGCCGTGTGGCTGGCAGCCAGGGGAGGCGGCGGCCTCTGGGGAAAGAGGGGTGCGGGGTGGGGAGCAAAAAGGAAGCCACTCCTTAAGCCGGTCAGCTGGATGCTGGGGCTAGGAGGAAACGTGAGCCCTGCAAGCTCCATTCCGCATCGTAATGGTGGGGTCCCTCCGATGCTACCAAATGGCGCTTGGCGCTGCTGGGCTGGGGGATGACGTGATGTCTATTTCTGGGCCTCCTGGCAGCGCCGACGCTCTCCTTCCGGGGCCTTTGTTCCCTGTTTCCCTGGGCCGCCTTTTCAAAAAGGGGGACTGACCAGCGTTGATGCTGGCGGGGGCGCGATCCAGGCCGGAGGGGGAGGGGCGAAAGAGGCCCAGCCCGGGGGAGGCCGCTTTGTGTACCGCAGAAAGCATTACGTCATTTCAGAGCGGCTGGTCCCCGACCCAGCCCTGTGGGCTCCAAGATTAGTTTTACACTCTCTGGAGCAGAAAGTGGAGTGGAAAATAGGGAAGAAGGTGGCAAAGACAAGCTTGAGAAGGAAGTTTTTTCCTCTTTGGGGACTCCTGCAGTATATGCTAAAGGAGCAAACTTCCTGTGTTATGCTTTCCTGATCAAATAAATAAAATATAATTGCCCTGCTTCTCCTTGATTCAGTTTAGATGGGGGAAGCCAGTGAGAGTTGCTGCCAAAGAACCTTCTTATTCCTTCAGGGATTCTATCCCTCAGACAATCCAGTAGGTTTGAGCATCGGGACTCCAGTTTTTAGGGTGGAGACACAATCCAGCTAGGAAATGGCTTTTCTCATTCCTGAATAAGAGGTACAGTGAAATGAGCAGAATCCAGTGTGCTCTATCCCCTCAGAATAAGGAAGAAGAAATCAAATCAGATGTGTTCAGATAACTGATCTTCACACTCATTAACTACTTGTTCTCACTTATTCCACAAGGCTAAATCTTGATGGTATTTTTTCTTCCACTTCACCTTCCGCATCTTTATTCTTTGAGTTCTAAGTTTCCAAAACAAAAGTCCCTTTCATGATCACATGAGCAATCCATGATTTCTTCCTGTTCTTTTTCTTCTTATTCCCTTCCAACAGATTCCTTTCTCTAACTGCAGTTCCAGAATCCTTGAAAAAAGGAGATGGTGTGGAACATAATATAGTGATTTCTCTTAGAGGGACTATTATTGGGAAAGGGAAAATAAATTATATCAGCCTGTTACATACTACATTTTATTTAATCCTAACAAATACCCTCGAGTGTATGTATTATTATATATACTTGCCAGACAAGGAAACCAAAGCTCAGAAATAAAATAACTTGGCTAAAGCCAAACAAATGACTAAAGGTAGCACTAGTTTGTTTTTGTTTTTGTTTTTGAGACGGAGTTTCGATCTTGTTGCCCAGGTTGGAGTGCAATGGCGTGATCTTGGCCCACCACAACCTCTGCCTCCTGGGTTCAAGCGATTATCCTGCCTCAGCCTCCCAAGTAGCTGGGATTACAGACAAGTGCCACCACACCCAGCTAATTTTGTATTTTTAGTAGAGATGGGGTTTCTCCATGTTGGTCAGGCTGGTCTTGAACTCCCGACCTCAGGTGATCTGCCTACCTTGGCCTCCCAAAGTCCTGGGATTACAGGTGTGAGCCACTGCACCTGGCCAATGCTAGGATTTAAACCAATGTCTGGCTGAAGCCAAAATTTATTCTCATTCCATTGTATTATATTTGTCTACTTGACTGCGAAAAGCTATGTTTAGGAAAGGGGGTGTCAATAAAAGCAGTTCTGGTCAGAAGCTGAAGGAGCTGGCCAATAGCCCAGATGTGTCTTGCAGGTCTTTAAACCATTACAGAGGATCTCCTACATAGAGAACTACCACTTCCAACTTTTTCACATCTCATAGAGTACTTCATTTCAAATGCCACAGCACTTGGGTGATACACCAAGCCAACACTCAATTATCCATGACCATGAAGGACAAAAGGAGCGAGAAGCACAGGTCACTGCAATTTATAGCTACTTTAAAACACTCACTTCAGCCATTAGTTTCAACTTCCATTTCCCACCAAGCTTTGGACTAAAGCAAGACAGAGAGCTCTAGGTTTTAATATCTTTGATGATTCTAGCTCATTGTCTTGGTTTCAGGGAGAGAGGCAAGAGTTAACAAATACTAAAATGAAGAAAGAACAGCAAAAATAGGAAACAAGGCCAGGGGGAACAACTAGATAATTCAAAGATGCGTTCATCTGTTTCTCTTCTTTTCCTTCTCTATCCTCCTGGAATATGAGAATTCTTCATCTTCTCTCTTTTCTACCCTATCTCCATTTTCTAACAATAAAAGTTGATGCATTGTAAATATGTAAGCAGCAGTGGGTTGCCCCCCGCTCCTCCACCGCACTGCTGCAGGGAATAAATCTATGATAGAGCCAAAAGAATTGCCCAGGTGTCTCCTAATCTAAGCCTTCAGATCTCTCTTTATGATCATTCCAAAAAATATGCCTGTCTTGGTAGTTTGCTGTGTTCCTCTTCTCATAGAGACAGTGTTCAGTTTCACTAATGAGTAGCAAACAATTTGCAGGAAAGCACCTGATTGATGAATGGAGAGCCACTTCCTTAGGCTGTGCCCATTCTTAATGGCAACTGAATCCAATTAGTTGTTCAACCAAATATTTACTGAACTCCTATTAGAAGCAAGAGACTCTTGAGGGATTCAAAGATCCATAGGATATTGTTCCTGCCTGCCTTCAAGTAGCTTACTACCAAGGCTGTCTCCATTTTGTGAAAACTTTCCCTAAAAGCTATTTCATTTAATACTTTGAGACTAAACACTATTATTATTCGGTATGGATATAGACATGGTCACCTTGATTTATTTTGTTAATAATGTTTTGCTCCTTATCTATATTATTTTAAAATGTACCCGGGTACAGTGGGTCGTGCTTATAATTCCAGCGACTCAAGAGACTGAGGCAAGAGGATCTTGAGGCCAGGAATTCAAAACCAGACTGGGCAACATAGCACCTTGTCTCTAAAAAAAATTTTTTTTAATTAGCCAGGCATAGTGGCATGGTCCTGTAGTCCCAGCTATTCAGGAGTCTAGGGTAGTAAGATTGCTTGAGCCCAGGAGTTCAAGGCTGCAGTGAGCTGTGATTGCACCACTGCACTCCAGCCTGGGCCACAGAGTGAGACCACGTCTCTAAAAAAATAATAACAATAAATATATATTTTAAATAAAATGTAACTCTTCCTTGGTTAGGCATGGTGGCTTGCACCTGTAATCCCAGCAATTTGGTGGAGACTAAAGCAGAATTGCTTGAGCCCAGGAGTTCAAGACCACCTGGGCAATATAGTGAAGACTCATCTCTAAAAAAAATTTAAAAATTAGCTGGGCATGGTGGCTCATGCCTGTAATCCTAGCACTTTGGGGGGCCAAGGCTGGCAGATCACTTGAGGTCAGGAGTTCGAGACCAGCGTGGCCAATATGGTGAAACCCCGTCTCTACTAAAAATACAAAAACTGGCCAGGTGTAGTGGCATGTGCTGGTAATCCCAGCTACTCAGGAAGCTGAGGCAGGAGAATCACTTGAACCAGGGAGGCAGAGGTTGCAGTGAGCCGAGATCGCGCCATTGCACTCAAGTCTGGGCAAAGCAAGACTCCATCTCAAAAAAAAAAAAAATTAACCAGGCATGATGGCACATGCCTGTAGTCCTAGTTCCTCAGGAGGCTGAGGCAAGAAGATCATTTGAACTGGGGAGGTCAAAGCTTCAGTAAGCTGCGATCATGCATGCCACTGCACTCCAGCCTGAGTGACATGGTGAAATTCCATCTCTGCAAAAAATACGAAAATTAGCCAGGTGTGATGGCATGTGCCTGTAGTCCCAGCTACTCAGGAGGCTGAGGCAGGAGGATCACTTGAGCCCAGGTGGTGGAGGTTGCAGTGGGCCAAGCTTGTGCCACTGCACTCCAGCCTAGGCAATAAAATGAGACGCTGTCTCAAAAGAAATAAAAAAAGTAAGCTCTACCACAATGCCTGGCAGGGACATATAAATTTACACAAAAAATAGCAATTTTATTATTGTCACTGCTATACACAATATTACATGTATATTATGACCAGTGCAGATGAAATTATACCTGCCTCTCATGTAATCTGGACATTATGCTCATAGTATTGTGCTCATGATGCTCATAGGCTTTCTAGAGAAGATAAACCCTTCATCTAGGTTTGGAGGGAAGAAAAAGCCATGGATTGGTTGGAGAGGATAGGAGAGGATACCTCTAATAGAAGGGAAAACAGTAGGCATTATACTAATTATAGTCCAAGATTGTGGTTGCCTAAATTCCTAAGTCATTTTTGACTCATCAAGTGAGGTTATTGACTATAAATAGGTTTTTGAGTCCAAATAGAAATTTACATTTATCCCTGATATATGTAATCATCTTGACTCAATCCTTTTTTTTTTTTTTTTTTTTGAGATGGAGTCTCACTCTGTCACCCAGAATGGAGTGCAGTAGCACAATCTCAGCTCACTGCAGCCTCCGCCTCCGAGGTTCAAGCTATTCTCCTGCCTCAGCCTCCCAGGTAGCTGGGATTACAGGCACCTGCCACCATGCCAGGCTAAGTTTTGAATTTTTAGTAGAGACAGGGTTTCACCATGTTGGCCAGGCTGGTCTCGAACTCCTGACCTCAGGTGATCTGCCTACCTCAGCCTCCCAAAGTGCTGGGATTACAGGCATGAGCCACCGCACCAGGCCTCAATCCTCTCTTTCTAATCTGTGGAGGCTGTTTTGAATTCACTGACTCTTTTGTTCACTGAACGCTTACTACATGCCGCATAGTTCTAGGACGTGGAACTATAGCAGTGAACAAAACAGACAAAGTTGCTGTTTTATTAAGCTTGTCTAGTGATCAAAGAAAGATAATAAATATATGTCAGGATAATAAGCTCCATGAAGAAAATTAAGGAAGGGTGATGGGGACATTATCTTACTTGGGGCAGACAGGAAATATTTCCCTCATCCAGTGAGGTTCGGGGCTCACGATAAGTGAAGCAGTGAGCTGCACAGATGCCTGATACAAGAATGCTTTAGGCCGGGCGCGGTGGCTCATGCCTGTAATCCCAGCACTTTGGGAGGCCGAGGCAATTGGATCACTTGCGGTTAGGAGTTCGAGACCAGCCTGACCAACGTGGAGAAACCCTGTCTCTACTAAAAATACAAAAATTAGCCGGACATGGTGGCGCATGCCTGTAATCCCAGCTACTCGGGAGGCTGAGGCAGGAGAATTGCTTGAACTCTGGAGGCGGAGGTTGCGGTGAGCCGTGATCGTGCCATTGTACTTTAGCCTGGGCAACAAGAGCAAAACTCTGTCTCAAAAAAAAAAAAAAAGAATATTCCAGAAAGAATCGGGGAAATGCTGGAATTATGTCTATTTCCTTTTCTTTTTTTTCCTCGCTCTGTTGCCCAGGCTGGAGTGCAGTGGCACGATTTTAACTCACTGCAACCTCCACCTCCTGGGCTCAAGTGATCCTCTTACCTTGGCCTCCCAAATAGCTGGGACTACAGGCATGTGCCACCATGCCCTGCTAATTTTTGTAATTTTTTTGTGTAGAGATGGGGTTTTGCCATGTTGCCCAGGCTACATTTATTTCCTTAGTTCTCCCTCCCTTCCAAGTGGTCCCCTAAAAAGTAAAGTGGAAAAAACTATAGGCCTAATCTGGACCTTTAAAGCCTAAACCCAATTTAGCCTCAATGAACTTGAGGGAGCGAAGAAACTTGAGGGTCCAATTTTTGTGGGAAAAGATAAGACTAGGGTAAGGGAAACAAAAAAAAAATCTATTTCTCTTTCTCTTTTTTTTTTCTTTTTTTTTTTTTTGAGATGGGGTCTCGGTCTTTTGCCCAGGCTGGAGTGCAGTGGCACGATCTCAGCTCACTATAACCTCCACCTCCCGGCTTCAAGTGATTCTCCTGCCTCAGCCTCCTGAGTAGCTGGGATTACAGGTGTGTGTCACCACACCTGGCTAATTTTTGTATTTTATTTTAGCAGAGACAGGGTTTCGCCATGTTGGCCAGGCTGGTTTTGAACTCCTGACCTCAGGTAATCTGCCTGCCTCAGCCTCCCAAAGTGCTGGGATAACAGGCGTGAGCCGCCACACCCGGCCTATTTCTGTTTAGTTATTTGTTCATCCAACACATAGTGCCTGCTATGTGTTTTAAGTGCTGAGGGTACAGCCGTGAACAAAACAGACATAAATTTTTGTCCTCATGAGACTTATATTCTAGTGAAGATAAATAATAAATTGTAAAATAATATGCGTGTGGGTGTTTATTCTTACATATTTGTGTATGTATTTTATATATTTTTTTCTTACATGTGTAGGGGTGTGTGTATCAGAGAGCGAGAATGACGGCATGTTGAAAAAAATTAAGCAAGGCTAGGAAGAGTGGGTGGTGAGGATGGAGAAGATTGCACTTTTAAATAGGTGAGTCAGGAAAGGCCTAAGAAGGTGACATTTGAGCAGAGATCTGACATTTTCCACTAATAGGGAAGAAAACCCCTATTTCTTCCAGTGAAGGATTTATTAAGGTAATAATAATGAAAAGAGAAAGTCTCTATTTCTTCCTATTTAGAATAATATATGTATACATAAATACATATATATACACACACACATATATACATATATACACACACATATACATATATACACATACACACACACACACACACACACACATATATATATATACATACATACACACACCTATTTTTTTGCCTACAATGGATATATTCATCCTGGAGGAATACCTTTTTTTTTTTGAGACGAAGTCTTGCTCCATCACCCAGGCTGGAATGCAGTGGCACGATCTCAGCTCACTGCAACCTCTGCCTCCCAGGTTCAAGCGATTCTCCTGCATCAGCCTCCCAAGTAGCTGGGATTATAGGCACATGCCACCACGCCCAGCTAATTTTTTATATTTTTAGTAGAGACGGGGTTTCACCATGTTGGTCAGTCTGGTCTTGAACTCCTGACCTCAAATGATCCACCTGCCTCAGCCTCCCAAAGTGCCGGGATTACAGGTGTGAGCCACTGCACCCAGCCTTGTATTTTATATACCTGGGAGCTAAAATTTTGGAACATATTTTAAAAGTACATAAACCCAGAATTCTTCCTTTTGGCACCCATCCATTTTTACTACCCTGAACACCCTACCAAGACCATCTAAACTCATCTCCACACCCTTCCACCCTAGCCTGACAGCGAGTCAGTCAGTGCAGGCCCTGTTCTGGATGCTATGGAATATCCTGAAACCAAACATCTTGTGTAACAGTTGAAGTGAACAGGTGCTCATGTAAAAAGGTGATCTTAGAACACGTACAGAGCAGCTTTATGTGAAGCACAAATCAGTATGAGCAAACCAAGTCTATAAGTGCTGAGAGAAGGTCTAGGAAAGAACATAGAGTCAAGTGGGGTGCTTCAGAGAAGGCTTTCTATAGAAGGCTGGGAGGAAAAGCCGTGGAGTGGTTGGAGAGGTTGGGAGAGGGTGCCTCTAATAGAAGGGAAAAATTCTGAAGCCCAGATGAGCACATTTTGCTTTAGAGGCTAGATTGAAGATTAGCTTGGCTCCAGCAGTGGCAATGAGCAGGGGAGATCTAGACAGGAGGTGAAGTCCACCCGCCCTGACACATCTCTGATCTCCGCCTTCAGATGTGTCACCGGTGGTGGCCGGCCTCATCGGGGCCTCTGTGCTGGTGGTGTGTGTCTCGGTGACCGTCTTTGTCTGGTCATGCTGCCACCAGCAGGCAGAGAAGAAGCAGAAGAACCCACCATACAAGTTTATTCACATGCTCAAAGGCATCAGCATATACCCAGAGACCCTCAGCAACAAGAAGAAAATCATCAAAGTGCGGAGAGACAAAGATGGTCCTGGGAGGGAAGGTGGACGTAGGAACCTGTTGGTGGACGCAGCAGAGGCTGGCCTGCTAAGCCGAGACAAAGATCCCAGGGGGCCTAGCTCTGGATCTTGTATAGACCAATTACCCATCAAAATGGACTATGGGGAAGAACTAAGGAGCCCTATTACAAGCCTGACCCCTGGGGAGAGCAAAACCACCTCTCCATCATCTCCAGAGGAGGATGTCATGCTAGGATCCCTCACCTTCTCAGTGGACTATAACTTCCCGAAAAAAGCCCTGGTGGTGACAATCCAGGAGGCCCATGGGCTGCCAGTGATGGATGACCAGACCCAGGGATCTGACCCCTACATCAAAATGACCATCCTTCCTGACAAACGGCATCGGGTGAAGACCAGAGTGCTGCGGAAGACCCTGGACCCTGTGTTTGACGAGACCTTCACCTTCTATGGCATCCCCTACAGCCAGCTGCAGGACCTGGTGCTGCACTTCCTTGTCCTCAGCTTTGACCGCTTCTCTCGGGATGATGTCATTGGCGAGGTCATGGTGCCACTGGCAGGGGTGGACCCCAGCACAGGCAAGGTACAACTGACCAGGGACATCATCAAAAGGAATATCCAGGTGAGTAGGAAGTGTGTGTTGGGGAGCAATGGTAGGTTGGGGGAGAAAATATCTCAGGGGATAAATGGAAGTGGGAGGGGAGTGGGTTGGGTGGCAAAGAAGGGCTGTAGAGAGGAAGCTCTTGGATGTCAAGGATAAGCAGTGGTCAGAGTAAGACAGAGGGCCTGGCAGATGAGGTCTCCTCTAAGAAGCAACTTCCTGGTGAGAGAAGGTTCAATAGCTTTCACCATTTCACTTAGTGGTTGGCATCCTGATGCTGTCCAGCTTACTTGGAACAGGCTGGCCTACCATTTGTAGATCCTTCATTATATCAGGGATATGGGAGCTAATTTCCTCTCCAAAATGATGTGATCTTCCTCCAGTGAATTTATTTTTCACAGCTGAGAAGCTATGACAATAATTCAGTAATTTTTCCCTCAGCTTCCCTTTCCCAACCCTAACCTAGGGGTGTAAATGATACCATGTACATGTCTTTTTTTTTTTTTTTTTTTTTTTTGAGACAGAGTTTCACTCTTGTCGCCCAGGCTGGAGTGCAATGGCGCAATCTCAGCTCATTGCAACCCCCACCGCCCAGGTTCAAGCTATTCTCCTGCCTCAGCCTCCCGAGTAGCTGGGATTGCAAGCACCCATCACCACGCCTGGCTAATTTTTTGTATTTTTAGTAGAAACGGGGATTCACCATGTTAGCCTGGCTAGTCTTGAACTTCTATCCTCAGGTGATCCACCTGCCTCGGACTCCAAAAGTACTGGGATTACAGGCATGAGCCACTGCACCCAGCCGTCATGCACATGTCTTCTTATGACCATTTTACAATGCAATTCAATGAATTGCTTCACCCTTCTAGGCCCAAACCTTTGCCATAGACACTTCCCCTCTCTCCATTTCTCCTGTCCTCCCTCTTTGTATTAGAAGAGGGACGAGGGCCCTCCATCCTGCCTTCTCTCTCCCTCTTCCCACTGGACCGACATTGGCTCTTGAGTTGTAATTTCAGGAGCACAGTAAGTGTAGCCCCACCCAACCCCATTAGTTCATTTATTTCTTCCACAACTGGGGAGGCAGTGAAATGCTGCAGTTAAACACTTGGGCTCCAGAATTGGACTGCACGACTTTACTCTCCAGCTTACCACTTGCCAGCCGTGTGACACGGGTGAGTTACTCGACCCCTCTAAGCCTCTATTTTGTCATTTGTAAAATGGAGCTGATAATATTGTCTTCCTTACAGAGAATCAAATGAGATAATATGCCTGGCATATGATTGCCCTTGAAGAGGTTTCACTTTATTGAAGGAGAAAGACAAATATTTTTTGTAATTACTGTATAGTGAGTATGGTAGGTGCTATGAAAGAAGTTGTTGAAATTTTAAACTTAGAGTTTCATGTCTTTTTCAGGGTATAACATAAGTGGTTAAAATAGCAAGGACTTTGAAGTCAGACCTGAGTTTAAATCCAAATTCCACCAGCTAAATGACCTTGGGCAAGCTGCTTCACTTTCGCTAAGTCTCAGTTTCTTATGGGAATAGAGTAGGATGATGATTTTATATAGCTACTAGGACACAGTGAGCCTTCAATAAATTGTGACCGTTACTATTATTGTTATTCCTATTATTAGTCAAGTTTGATACCTGGGTGATGCATGTGGTTTGTAAATATTTATATTTTGTTTTGACACAGTGAAGGAAGACAAGGGAGGAATTGGTGAAGGAGGTTAGGAAAGAATTTCGAGGCCACTAGAAACAACTGCACATCTCCCAGAAAGAGCTCTGCCTGTGGGCAGATCATACTTATTTCTTGATACCTTTTTTACCTGCAAGTCCTCACTGGACTCAGTGGGTAGACAGGAGGCTCAGGACTGGATAGAAGAGGCTCCTAAGTTAGCAGGTGCAGAGTGTGCAGTGAGTACCCAGGAACAAGGTTTGCCTGCTGAAGAAGGGTACTGTGCCAAGTCTGGGTGGGGGACAGCAGGGAGCACACTTTGTGTGTGTGTATTCTTGCCTTCTCTGCTCTGTAGTAGGCACCTGTCCCCCTGCAGCCAGCCCGGTCCTGCCTTTCATTGCCTGAAGGAACTGCTACTGCCACCTGGCACACTCAGATCCATGTCACAGGGGCCAGGGAAGTCCAAGAATCTTGAAGAATATTAGACACATTTGTGATTGTGATTTAGGGTAGAGGTGGCCCTCAGGACATCTGGCCCCAAGAAGGGTTTATTGAGGTTATGTTCATCCACCTAATACAAGGGCTCCTTGGCTAGAAAATCACTCTGAAAGAGGTTCTGCTAATTATAGGAAAACTTGGTGAACGTCAGAGCATAAACAAGACACTGCCACAACATCTTGTGGTTCTCAATGCCAGGATACAATGAGACATCCCAGAGTCCAGCCCTGAAGGGGTTTTCGCATCCTCTGAGACTGGAATCAGAAGGTGTGAATAGAAATGGAAGCAGTGGCCTGTTTCATCCCCTTCTCTCCCCTCCCCTGTCCCATCTTTTTTCCTCAGGGCTCTGCCGACCCATTCTGCTGTTTCCGTATTCCCTTCACAGCAGCTCCCATCCTCTACTCCTTCCCTTGTCTACCTCTCCTTGAAGGAGGAGCCTTTCCAATACACCCTTCCCTGTGACTCCAACCTTGGTAAAGTCACCAACCAGCTGGACTCCTCCAGACAGCTATACACTTGCAGCCCAAGGCTGGGAGTAGAACATGGCTCTGTGCCAAGCTGCAGCTGGGAAGAGACTGGCAATGAAAGGGACTGATTTGGGCTGGGAACAAAACAGCCTCAAATCAAGGGCACTGGACACAGCACAGACAATGGCATTTGCTAAGCTGCCAGGGGCTCTTGGCAAGAGCCACATTTCTTTCCACTTTATTAACTCCCTTGAGGAGGGATAAGCCAGGGCTAGGATCCTGAGCAACACATGCCCTGGAGAAGGCCCGAGATAGGTTACCCAGAGCCTGTGCAGCCCCACCCTAGAGCCTTCCAGCCTCCCAGGCTTCCTAAACCCATTTTCCCAACCAGTGCCCGTAGGCAGGACTATGTTCCATCTGAGCCATGGCTGTCATCTCCCTAGTCACTCATCCACTAGGTTCCCTAGAAGTGCAGGCTGCAAATGTCTATCCCAAATCCTCCCTACCATAGCAAAGTAGGATCTCTCCTTGGTGAACGTCAGCTAGAGCTGCCCTGGACCATGCCACACTGGCTGTAAAGGGCTTTTTCCTGGTCTGGATTACATAGACCAGGAAAAAGCTACTGCACTCTAGCCTGGATGACAGAAGGAGACCCTGTCTCAAAATAAAAAATAAAAAATAAAAAATAAAAAAATAAAAGAAAATATGGCCAGGCACAGTGGCTCACCCCTGTAATACTAGCACTTTGGAAGGCCAAGGCGGGAAGCCCAGGAGTTTGAGGTTGCAGTGAGCTATTACCACAAACTGCACTCCAGACTGGGCAACAGATCATGTATGTGTATTGCAGGGAGGAAAAGGGGGATGGGATTGAATGTTAAGGTTTTGTTTTCCCATGGTTGTGATTTAGGCTAGAGGTGGCCCTCAGGACATCTGGCCTCAAGAAGGGTTTATTGAGCTTATGATGGTCCACCTAATACAAGGGCTCCTTGGCTAGAAAATCACTCTGAAAGAGGTTCTGCTAATTATAGGAAAACAGACTATCCCTTGCCTAAGTATTATTTCTTCTGAGTGTATTCTTTAGGACCACTGTTCCTGTTCCTCTGTTCCACTGAAGGAGCAAGGAGATTGCCCTCAGAGAGCCGAGCCCCGCAGCTCTGTCAGGCATGAGAAAATCCTTTCTCCCCCTTGTCCTTCTGCTTGCCTGCCCCCCAACAGGGCCTTTGCCTCACTAGGCCAAGGGGCTGGGAAACAGAGCTTGCTCACAGCCTTCAATGGCTCTTTCAAAAGAAAGAGCCATTGACATAGCTACTTGGAATGGGAATTGGGTAGAAAGAGAAAGGGAGGGAGCTTGAGGGAATGACATTAAATTGCCTTCAATGCAGAATGGAGTGGCATTCAGGTGGTGTTGTGGCTACAGACTTGGGCATCACAAAGCGGCGCTGAGTGGGGATGGGCATGCTGCCCGTGTGAGATGGCACAAGGTGAAGGAGGGATCAGATGGAGGACAGTTGCCTGAGGAGTGATTTTAAGGGAGAAAAAAATGAAAAGGGTAACCAGAAGTTGTCAACTTTCCCAAAAAACTAGGAAAGAGGCATGGGGATTTTGATTAGGAAGATTTTCCTAGAATGGATGATTTAGGATACAGAATTTTAAATAAGTAATCGGGAAACCTAAGCTATAATCTTGTCATTCGTGTTATTCTTGCAAATAAAACTGTGCTTTTAAAATCAGATGTCGGCTAGGCGCGGTGTCTCAGGCCTGTAATCCCAGCCCTTTGGGAGGCCGAGGCAGGCGGATCACAAGGTCAAAAGATTGAGACCATCCTGGCCAACATGGTGAAACCCCGTTTCTACTAAAAATACAAAAATTAGCTGGGCGTGGTGGCACGTGCCTGTAGTCCCAGCTACTCAGGAGGCTGAGGCAGGAGAATTGCTTGAACCCGGGAGACAGAGGTTGCAGTGAGCCAAGATCACGCCACTGCACTCCAGCCTGGCGACAGAGCAAGACTCCGTCTCAAAAAAAAGAAATAATGAAACGTTGCTTTTCCCCCACCTATCCTTCCTCTGTATATAAAGTTAGAATCATATTTAAAGACTGCATATTTAGTATTTAGATACTCAGTATTGAAGGATGGCCCCAGAAATGGATATATCAAACCTAGCTAACATTTTATTATTATTCATGGAAACAGACGGGAGCAGTAGCCAAAACAATGCAAAAGTCCTTTCTAGATCAGTGCCGTCTAATGATGATAGAAATGTTCTATATTTGCACCATGCAGTGTGGTAGCTACTAGCTACATGTCGCTATTGAGCACTTGAAATGTGGCTAGTGTAACTGAGGAACTATAATTTTAATTTTATTTAATTTAAATTAAAATGTAAATAGGCACGTGTAGCTAGTGGCTACTGTATTGGATAGCTCAGTTCTGAATGTTTTGGAATCCATTCAATTTTCTTTTCCATATGGGATTACTTTTCATTTGATGTGGCTAATAGTAAAAATGAGTTTATATTCACTGATTACATTCTGATTTCTGGCAAAAGGAAAAAGCCCAGAAGTATACTGGTTGGCAAGAGCAACCAGACTGTAATTCAAAACTGGCTGAGGGCCAGGCATGGTGGCTCACGCCTATAATTCCAGCACTTAAGGAGGCTGAGGTGGGCGGATGGCTTCCACTCAGGAGATCAAGACCAGCCTGGCCAACGTGGCGGAAACCCCAGACATGGTGATTCACGCCGGTAATCCCAGCTACTCAGGAGGCTGAGACACCAGAATCGCTTGAACCCAGGAGGTGGGGGTTACCGTGAGCTGAGATCGTGCCACTGCACTCCAACCTGGGTGACAGAGCAAGACCCTGTCTCGAGGGGAAAAACAAACAAAACAAACAAAAACACATTGGCTGAGGGACCAAGCATGGTGGCTCACACCTGTATTCCCAGCACTTTGGGAGGCTGAGACGGATAGATCACTTGAGCCCAGGAGTTTGAGACCAGCCTGGGCAACATAGCAAAACCCCATCTTTACCAAGAATACAAAAATTAGCTGAGCCTGGTAGCACATGCCTGTAGTCCCATCTACTCAGGATGCTGAGTTGGGAGGATCACTTGAGCCCTGGATGTCAAGGCTGCAGTGAATGCACACCACTGCACTCCAGCCTGGGCAAGAGAGTGAGACCCTATCTCAAAAATAAAAATAAGGCCGGGCGCGGTGGCTGACGCCTGTAATCCCAGCACTTTGGGAGGCCGAGGCAGGCGGATCACGAGGTCAGGAGATAGAGACCATCCTGGCTAACACGGTGAAACCCCGTCTCTACTAAAAATACAAAAAATTAGCCGGGCATGGTGGCAGGCGCCTGTAGTCCCAGCTACTCAGGAGGCTGAGCCAGGAGAATGGCCTGAACCCGGGAGGCAGAGGTTGCAGTGAGCCGAGATCGCGCCACTGCACTCCAGCCTGGGTGACAGAGCAAGACTCCGTCTCAAAAAAATAAAAATAAAAATAATAAAAATAAAATAAAACTGGCTGAGGATACTTTCCATGGATACGATTAAGAGCTGACAATAGGCCGGGCATGGTGACTCACGCCTGTAATCCCCGCACTTTGGGAGGCTGAGGCAGGCAGATCATGAGGTCAGGAGTTTGAGACTAGCCTGGCCAATGTAGCGAAACCCCGTCTTTACTAAAAATACAAAAATTACCCGGGCATGGTGACATGTGCCTGTAGTCCCAGCTACTCGGGAGGCTGAGGCAGGAGAATTGCTTGAACCCAGGAGGTGGAGGTTGCAGTAAGCCATCGCACCACTGCACTCCAGCCTGTGTGACAGAGCGAGACTTCATCTCAAAAAAAAAAAAAAAAAAGCTGACAATACATATGTTATGGGTAAGGACAAAATGTGGGGCTTCTCTCTAGCAGAGAAAAAACATGAAAATATTTTTAAAGTTGATCCCCTTTTGTATTTCAATTTCAAAAGCTAAGGAGTGGGTTTAAACCTTGGTTAGATTTTTTTTTTTTCTGAGACAGTCTCACTCTGTCGCCCAGGCTGGAGTGCAGTGGCACAATTTCAGCTCACTGCAAACTCCACCTCCTGGGTTCAAGCGATTCTCCTGCCTCAGCCTCCTGAGTAGCTGGGATTACAGGTGTGCACCATCATGCCCCACTAATTTTTTGTATTTTTAGTAGACGGGGTTTTACCGTGTTGGCCAGGCTGGTTTTGAACTCCTGACCTCAAGTGATCCGCCCTCCTCGGCCTCCAAAGTGTTAGCATTACAGGCGTGAGCCACCATACCCAGCCTAGTTAGTTATTTTTTATGCCCTGTGAGAGACATTTCCATATGCTCCTAGGACGAAACATAGACTCAATAAATTTTTAAAATCATGTGAAATATCACAGTTTCATTCCTGGAGATGACTTAAGGCCTACAATCAAAGCACAAACTATTAGGCTTATTTCTTGTTTTTTATTGATGAGTTAATTGGCATATTTGCTGCCGCTGTTCTTTCCTGCACCAGACATACCTGAGTAGATAGTGAACTAGCCTGGGAGCTTCTTAAGGGTAGGATTCCTCAGTATCCATCTTTTCAGCCCTAGCTTCTAGCAGAGAGTGCCTGGCACTTAATAAGTGCCTAACAAGTCATTTTTGTGGGTGTGTGGTGTATATAAGGTTGGTGATGAGCATAGTCTATTTTTGCTCAATTTAAGAATTCCTGGAGTAGATGACATTTCTTTGGGGCTTTGAAGAATACAAGGAATAAGGGTGATTGTGGGGGTATGATTTTGTCCCAAATTTAACTTATTATGTTCTACATTCCTCAAAACTCACCTCCCTTTTTTTTTTTTTTTTTTTTTTTCTTTTGAGACGGAGTCTCGCTCCGTCTCCCAGGCTGGAGTGCAGTGGCGCGATCTCGGCTCAATGCAAGCTCCGCCTCCCAGGTTCACGCCATTCTCCTGCCTCAGCCTCCCCAGTAGCTGGGACCACAGGCGCCCGCCACCACGCCCGGCTAATTTTTTTGTATTTTTAGTAGAGATGGGGTTTCACCGTGTTAGCCAGGATGGTCCCGATCTCCTGACCTCGTGATCCGTCCGCCTCGGCCTCCCAAAGTGCTGTGATTACAGGCGTGAGCCACTGCACCCGGCCAAAACTCACCTCCTTTTGTTTTCTTTATCCCAGCCTCATCCCCACTTTCTAAAGCTAAAAACACAAGAAATAGTCCACCCTTTCCTCCCTCTTCCCTACGCTTCACAGCCAATTAACTGCCCAAGCCTAAAAACCCCTGACAATTCTTCCTGAGACATATTTTACCTCCATGTCCATCTCCTCTGCCACAGCCCTAGTTCCAGTCCCAATCATTTCTTCTGTAGCACGTTGCTACAGAACAACGAAGTCTGCTTTTTTGAGATGGAGTCTCACTCTGTCGCCCAGGCTGGAGTGCAGTGGCGTGATCAAGGTTCACCTCAACCTCCACCTCCTTGGTTCAAGCGATTCTCCTGCCTCAGCCTCCTGAGTAGCTGGGGTTACAGGCGCCCGCCACCACACCCGGCTAATTTTTCTATTTCTTTTTTTTTTTTTTTTTCCTGAGACGGAGTCTTGCTCTGTTGCCCAAGCTGGAGTGCAGTGACTACAATCTCGGCTCACTGCAAGCTCTGCCTCCCGGGTTCACGCCATTCTCCTGCCTCAGCCTCCTAAGTAGCTGGGACTACAGGCACCCGCCACCATGCTTGGCTAATTTTTTTGTATTTTTAGTAGAGACAGGGTTTCACCTTGTTAGCCAGGATGGTCTCAATCTCCTGACCTCGTGATCCGCCCACCTCAGCCTCCCAAATTGCTGGGATTACAGGTGTGAGCCACTGCGCCCGGCCTAATTTTTCTATTTCTAGTAGAGATGAGGTTTCACCATGTTGGCCAGGCTGGTCTCGAACTCCTGACCTCAGGTGATCCACCTGCCTTGACCTCTCAAAGTGCTGGGAATAGAGTCGTGAGCCACTGCGCCCAGCCACAGCAGCTTCTTTTTGACAGGGTCTCACTCTGTCACCAAGGCTGAAGTGCAGTGGCTCAAACACAGCTCACTGCAGCTTCGATCTCCGGGGCTCAATCAGTCCTCCCAAGTAGCTGGCTCTATAGGCACACGCCACTGCGCCCAGCTAATTTTTTTTTTTTTTTTTTGAGACAGAGTCTCGCTCTGTTGCCCAGGCCGGAGTGCAGTGGCGCAATCTCGGCTCACTGCAAGCTCCGCCTCCCGGGTTCACGCCATTCTCCTGCCGCAGCCTCCCCAGTTGCTGGGACTACAGGCGCCAGTCACCACGCCCGGCTAATTTTTTTGTATTTTTTTAGTAGATACCAGGTTTCACCGTGTTAGCCAGGATGGTCTCGATCTCCTGAACTCGTGATCCGCCTGCCTCGGCCTCCCAAAGTGCTAGGATTACAGGCATGAGCCACTGCTCCCGGCTATAGCGGCCTCTTAACTGAGCTTTCTGATGTTGGTCTTCCTCGACTTTAGCTCATTTTCCACCTTTCTCTGAAATAATAATAATTTTAATAAAATGATGACAACTGGCCAGGCATGGTGGCTTACACCTGCAATCCCAGCAGTTTGGGAGGCCAAGGTGGGCGGATTGCTTGACCCCAGGAATTTGAGATCAGCCTGGGCAACATAGTGAGACCCTGTCTTTACAAAAAATACAAAATGTAGCCTGGCATGTTGGTGCACACCTGTAGTCCCAGCTACCTGGGATGCTGAGGTGGGAGGATCTCCTGAGCCCAGGAGGTGGAGGTTGCAGAAAGCCGAGATCTCACCACTGTCCTTCAGCCTGGGCAACAGAGTGAGACCCTGACTCAAAAAAATGACAGCTTTGCCACTCCTATACTCACCAACCTCCTCTTGTATGGGTGCTGCTGACTCTGCTCTTTGGTAGTGTCCCAACAGCCCTTTACTCTAGCCTTGCCCACCTTTCCAGGTTCCTGACCTACCCCTCCTATCAGCCACCCCCACTTCAGGCATATTCACCTCTCAACCATTCTCTGAACACAGCTTACCTTTTCAGGCCCAACTCCTTTGTACCAGCCATTTCTGTCAATCTGCCTGATATGATCATCCCTCTGCCCATTGCTTCATGGTTTTGTACCCCCATCAACTCAGTCCAGGCATCAGCTGGTAAAGCCTTCCCTGAATCTCCATGGCCGGGCGCGGTGGCTCACGCCTGTAATCCCAGCACTTTGGGAGGCCGAGACGGGCGGATCATGAGGTCAGGAGATCAAGACCATCCTGGCTAACATGGTGAAGCCCCGTCTCTACTAAAAATACAAAAAAAATTAGCCGGGCGTGGTGGCGGGCGCCTGTAGTCCCAGCTACTCAGGAGGATGAGGCAGGAGAATGGCATGAACCTGGGAGGCGGAGGTTGCAGTGAGCCGAGGTCTCGCCACTACACTCCAGCCTGGGTGACAGAGCGAGAGACTCTGTCTCAAAAAATAAAATTAAAAAATAAATAAATAAATTAATTAATTAATTAATTAAAAAAGCCTCCCCTGAATCTCCCAGCTCTAGGTGCCCAGAGCACTTAGACAGGCTTCTCATTTCTCTGACAAGTCCCGCACAGGTTTATTTACTTCTCTGACTCTTCTACTAAGTGGTAAGCTCCTTGGGAGCAACAACTGAGTCCCATCAGCTCTGGATCCTCAAAACCTGGCATGCAGTGCCTATGAAAATGTTCTTTAAAATGTTCTTGGAGGGGCCAGGCACGGTGGCTCACGCTTGTAATCCCAGCACTTTGGGAGGCCGAGGTAGACAGATCACTTGAGGTCAGGAGTTCGAGACCAGCCTGGCCAACATGGTGAAATCCTGTCTTTACTAAGAATACAAAAATTAGCCGGGCATGGTGGCGGGCACCTGTAATCCCAGCTACTCTGGAGGCTGAGACAGGAGAATCACTTGAACCTGGGAGGCAGAGGTTGCAGTGAGCCGAGATCACGCCACTGCACTCCAGCCTGGGCGACAAGAGCGAGCCTCTGTCTCAAAAAAAAAGTTATTGGAGGACTAGAGGTTTTTTCAAGCTCAAAATGGAGCCTAGCATCACATTTAAAGATGGAGAAACAAAGATCAGGGTGCTGGGGAGGAAGCTGACTTGGCTGGAGAAGATACACTGGAGTGCACATTGGGGTGGGCAGAGCAGGTGTGGATATTCACCCTGTGAAATGCAGGGACAGGTTCAGGGACTTGCCCAAGGACATGTGGTGAGTAAGTGGCAAGGTTAAGATTCAAACCCAGTTCTCCTACCTCCCACTGTACAGTCTTCAGAACTTTTTAAAGGATAAGAACCAAATGAGAGGATGCACTTCTATAGTGCGCACTATGTGCTGGGCACCATTGCAGTTTACAAATTTTAACTTATTTAATCCTTCTGATAATGCTATGTGGTAGGTACAACCTTTCACCCACATTTTATAGGTGAGGAAACTGAAGTACAGAGATGTTGAGTAACTTGTCCAAGGTCACAGATAAGAAATAGCAACTGGGCATGGTGGCTTATGCCTGTAATCCCAGCATTTTGGGAGGCTGAGGCGGGAGGATCACTTGAGACCAGGAATTCAAGACCAGCCTGGGCTACACAGTGAGACTCTGTGTATAGAAAAAAGAAAAATTAGCCAGATGTGGTGGCACACACCTGTAGTCCTAGCTACTCAGGAGGCTGAGGTGGGAGGATTGCTAGAGTCCAGGAGATGGAGGCTGCAGTGAGCCAAGATCACGTCACTGAATTCCAATCTGGGCAACAGAGTGAGAACCTGTCTCAAAAAAAAAGAGAAATAGTCAGGATTTGAATCCAGGCTAATCTGGCTCCAGAGGTCATGCTCATAAATCCAAGGCTATGTGGGCTCTCCATGCAAATTATTTAATATCAGAATTATGGTTATAATGTTTCCTTTCTCCCTCCTTGTTAAATAAAATCATAACACCTTTCCAGGGGATGAGCATCTTTCCAAAAAACTTATCATCCCTGCACTTGTCCTCCCCCAGACTCTTCCCACTGCTCTGCACACTTTTTGTGCTCTGCCCTGCACCCTCTGCCAGGATTCTCACCTGCCATTTTTTCCTCACAGAAGTGCATCAGCAGAGGGGAGCTCCAGGTGTCTCTGTCATATCAGCCTGTGGCACAGAGAATGACAGTGGTGGTCCTCAAAGCCAGACACTTGCCGAAGATGGATATCACCGGTCTCTCAGGTAGCAGCTATTTACTTCAACCTATTTCTTACTGTCTGAACCATCCCCGACTCCTTGCCTGTGGCCCAGATAGACCTCCACACTTCAAGATCCTTGCCTCTTTCACTTTTAATCTGCTCCTCTTTCTGTAGACATTCTCTTCCTGATGAGTATCTACGTCCAATAGATTTCCCTGGCTAGGAAGATTCTTCAGTTGAACAAATGGGGTCTTTACATTTGGCAAGGTATCCTAAATAATATTCATGCCAGGTGCTAAGAGAGACTTCTCAAAAAGGCTGCAGGCATTTGTCTCTGTGCCCTTTAATATACTTCTTGGTATCATGGGATTTCTTCAGACCTAACCTGAGAAAGTTGTTCTGTTCTATTCCTGCTTGGTTTCCTTGGCCCCTCATCCAGGCAGGCAGACTCACATATAGTCAGTGTGTGTTTATTGTGCAATCACTAAAGAACACATGGGATGGCCATCAAAGATACGAACAACAGAGCCCCCCCTTTCCCAACATGAAATTACCATTACATAGGAGAGGACTGTGTCATAGGTCTGTCTCCCTTTTTCTTATCTCTTTGGGGGCCCCAGATCCTTATGTCAAGGTGAACGTCTACTACGGCAGAAAGCGCATTGCCAAGAAGAAAACCCATGTGAAGAAGTGCACTTTGAACCCCATCTTCAATGAATCTTTCATCTACGACATCCCCACTGACCTCCTGCCTGATATCAGCATCGAGTTCCTCGTTATCGACTTCGATCGCACCACCAAGAATGAGGTGGTGGGGAGGCTGATCCTGGGGGCACACAGTGTCACAGCCAGTGGTGCTGAACACTGGAGAGAGGTCTGCGAGAGCCCCCGCAAGCCTGTGGCCAAGTGGCACAGTCTGAGCGAGTACTAATCCTGTTCTTCTCTCCTCTAATCCCCGGGGGCCAAGCTGGGGAGGGATGTGGAGGGGAAAAAGATGACAGAGAAGTGGACTCCAAACCTCATTTTAGTTGTAGAAGAAAATTTCTTACAAAACAAATTCCACAAAGAACACCCTATATGACCACAGCTGCAGATCAGTTCTTAGCAATGATGTTTTTTTTTCTGCTTTGCAAGGCGCTAGAATCTTTTATTTTACTTTATTTTTTTTGAGGTGGAGTTTCGCTCTTGTTGCCCGGGCTGGAGTGCAATGGTGAGATCTCAACTCACTGCAACCTCTGCCCTCCAGGTTCAAGTGATTCTCCTCCCTCAGCCTCCCAAGTAGCTGGGATTACAGGCACCCACGAGCATGCCCGGCTAATTTTTTGTATTTTCAGTAGAGATGGGTTTCACCATGTTGGCCAGGCTGGTCTCGAATTCCAGACCTCAGGTGATCCACCCGCCTCGGCCTCCCAAAGTGCTGGGATTACAGGTGCGAGCCACCGTGCCCGGCCTCTGGTTTTGTTTTGTTTTTTTTTTTTAATGGGGGACAAAAGAGAGGGAAAGACCCCTATAAATCTATATATAACAATGTAACCATATACTTGCATGTCTAATACAAACTGAAGAAATTAGCCTAACTGCCAATATCAAGTTGCAGATTTTAATCCATGGAAATTGTGTTTTGTGCTGAATTGTATTTGCTGATTACCTGAAATTGGCTTCTTTTTATTGGGCTTCTCTGGAGAATTTCTCCCACTCCCCACCTCTGCAGAAGAAAATTTTGCTCTTATAAAACCTCATGTTTTCATCATTCCCATCTTTTCTTTTTATTGCCTCTTATATCTCTGCTCTTTGACCTCAAGGTCTAGAGGTCTGCAGTAAGCCAAGAAACAAAGGTGGGGTGGATGAGGCAAGGTTTGCAGGAGAAAGAGGAATTGAGAAATGGGGTATTTTTGCTATCAGCTCTTCTGCTATGAAGTAGTAAAAGGCAGTCTATAATTAACTGACAGACCTAACTGAAGCACAGAGAATACATCAGACTTATGCATCCAAGACATCAGAACTTGGATTTTATCAAACTTGATGACTTCTCTAAAAGGAGCTTTGGAAACTTCAAATTCAGCTATAGGATAGTACCAATGAACACATCCAGCTGATCCCAAAAGCTGTTTTCAGGTATAAGGACAAGGAGAGGAGACAAGTGACGACAGCCATTCCCCTTTGCAGCTATCTACTGTAGTGACAGCCATTTCTTGGTTGATGGGTTGGAAGTCATCAGAGGTTTGAAGAATTACACTGGCCTTTGTTTTTCTGGAAATGCCGACCATGGAGATGCTTTAGAGTCTTCTCAAATAGCTTAGATGTTGTAATGAGGTTAGCTTTGCTTCATAAAACAGGGGCCCTCAGAAGTTCTCCTTAAATTTTTCAATAAAAATTTAGCTCTTAAAAAAATAACAGTGTGACTGAGTGAATGAAGATAAGTTGGATTCTTTCAGAGCATTCTTTTCCTCAAAACGAGCTGCATAATTCTTGGAATTTATGTCTTACCACATGGTGGAGGGATGGAGGAACTACAGGATGCAATTCTTCTTCTACCAATGGGCAATAGAGGTTGAGAGAGATTCAGCATCTTTCTGGGATTAGAATTCAAGTCTCTTTACTCCTACAGCAGCTGTGTCTCCAACGTTGAGACTTTGCAGATGGCACAGACTCCATGGATAATAGGTAAACTTGGGGCCGGGCGCAGTGGCTCACGCCTGTAATCCCAGTATTTTGGGAGGCCGAGGTGGAAAGATCGCTTGAGCCCAGGAGTTCAAGACCAGCCTGGGCTACATGACGAAACTCCATCTCTATCAAAAATACAAAAAATTAACTAGGTGTGGTGCTGCACGCCTGTGGTCCCAGCTATTCAGGAGGCTGAGGTGGGAGGATCATTTGAGCCCAGAGGTAGAGGCTGCAGTGAGCCATGATCATGCCACTGCACTCTGGGCTGGGTAACAGAGTGAGATCCTGTCTCAAAAATTAATTAATTAATTAATTAAAATAAACTAGGTAAACTTGGATAGGCAGTAGATATTTTTGCCCACCTGAGGAGGAACTCAGTCAAGCTGTTGCTTAACAGCTTGATCCAGGGCGTGAAAGGTTAGTTGAGACTGAAGTGTTCACTTCCATAGAAGAACATCACTTTTAACCTTGCTTTGGCGAAGGGAGTCGGAAAGCTGAGTCTCTATGGACGGGGGGGTGATCTTGCTTTCAGTGTTCCCTCAGCTTTTGTGGATTTAAAACCATTCTGCTCCCCCTAAACCTTTTGTTTGATTTCAGCCCATGTTCTTGACAATGCAGAGCAATTCTGAGCAGTCACAAAGCCTACTCTCTGTTCTTGTCCCTGCCAACCCCCACCCCCCATAATCTGACTCACAACTTCACCATCAGTTGGGGTCATACCACTAGTCTCTGTCCTATACCCCATGAAATGTAAATACTGTATCATAAGTAGAAGAAAATAATTTTTGTTTTCTAAAAATGCATTTTGAGATAGTTTAATGTAAATCTGACAGGAGCATTCTGAAGCCCCATTAGGAAAAAATTTAAATGGTTCCTCTTCATCGCCTTAATGTCTAAAGATCAGAAATCGCTGAGCAAACCCGCTTTTGTTTCCTTCCCAGAAACAATGCAAAACAACAGGTGGAGATAGTCTGGTCTTTGCCCTGCTGTGTGTGCCTCTGTAGCTCCTCCTGACAAACGTCTGGGAAAACAGCCTCACCCCACTCTCCTCTCTCTTCCCCATTTCCTTGTAGCTTTATTCCTTGCATCTTTGGGTCTACTGAGCAGTGGGTGCTGAGGTGACAGGGGAGGAACCAGTTGTTCTGTAGCCTAGGAACTGCCTCAGTGTCTTTGCCAGAAAAAGGCAAAGAGGCGGACAGTGCAGGGCTCCTCCCTCCTACCTCAGGCCTGATCCATCGTGCCCTTGACTTTGCCGTCTCAAAGTTTCTTAGCTGACTTTGGCTTTCACATTTGTTCTTTCCAGAGCTAACTGATAAGAGTGGAGGAGGAATGCCTTCTCCTAAGAGTCAGTTGAAAGAAAGACAAGAGAGTCACATCTTAGCTTTTGCACAAGGCATTCGTGGTCAGGAATAGGTTAGGGAATGGTCACTTCTGATTTTCCAACAGTTGCTCCTTCTCTGAAGAGATCTTGATTCCTTTGGGAAGACAAGAATTTTTCTTAATAACAAAGGTCCCTTTATGAGTTATTCCTTCTTTCAGTTCATCTCACTGGAGCACAGCCAAGATGGACATGTTTATGGACAGTGCTCTAGATGTGAAAACAGATAGAACTGGTTTGTGGGACAGGGGCAGCTTGCTCAGGAGAGGGAATAACGCAGGTCCCTTTTCTTGGAAGGCTTGTACTATGGCCATGACAGTGACATTGCCCTCACCATGATCCCTCTCCAAAGTGGTTGTCTTTCTTTACCTTGTGTCTTCTCTTGTAAAAATGAAACTCAAAAATAAAATAAATGTGTCAAATTTTGAAAAAAAAAGAAAACTGAAAAAGCTAACATGAATTGTGTGAAATTGCATAATGCTGTAATGCTAATCTACAATATGTAATGCTATCTTGTATGTTGAATTTGTTAATGCACCACACAAGTGCAAAATAAAGACTGATTCACATTACATAGGCACAGTGATGTCAGCCTGATTCTCTGGAAAGCTGGAGGACTCTCAGTGAGGTTAACACTCAGACTCCAAAAGGATGTTCTAGGGTGTGTTTTCCAAACTGTGGTCCCCAGACCACTTGATTCAGAATCATCTGAGGCACTTGTTTAAAAATGCAGATTCCAGGCTCCCATCCTAGATACTCTCATTTGACAAGTGAGTTGGTTTGCTGCTTGCTGTAGTTAGGACTTCTGGTCTTTCTGTTTTCCTCTTGAAATGTAATTTCTGAGACCATCACTACCAGAGGGAGAGATGATGGTTCGTAGTGCTGAGAATCAATCTGCCCCTTTAATTGGAAATATTTATCCCAAAAAGCAATCCTGAGACAGGCCAATTCTGTTCCCTCATTCATTCATTTACTTTTTTTTTTTTTTTTTTTTTTTTTTAGACAGTCTCGCTCTGTTGCCCAGGCTGGAGTGCAGTGGCTCAATCTCGGCTCACTGTAACATCCGCCTCCTGGGTTCCAGCGACCTCAAGCAGCTGGGACTACAGGTGCGTGCCACCAAGTTTGGCTAATATTTGTATTTTTAGTAGAGATGGGGGTCTCACCATATTGGCCAGGCTGGCCTGAAACTCCCGGCCTCAAGTTATCCTTCTGCCTTAGCCTCCCAAAGTGCTGGGATTACAGGCGTGAGCCACCGCACCCGGCCTCAAGGCCTGTCAGGAGCTATGAAGGATCTCCCTAGACCTGAACATGGGAGGATGTGGGGCTGAGGCTTCTGTAGTCACTGTGCCCCAGAGAGGAGAGAGCCTGAGAATGGAGCCTGCACAGAAGTACAGCTAAAACAGGGGGAGAGAGAAATCAGACTCCATGACATCTTTGACCTCAGATGAAGCCGTGTCTTCAGACAGATCTGAGCCTTCTCAGTTCCAAGGCTTAATAAATTACCTTTTTCTTTTCTTTTTTTTTTTTTTTTGAGATGGAGTCTGGCTTTGTCGCCGAGGCTGGAGTACAGTGGCGCAATCTTGGCTCACTGCAAGCTCTGCCTCCCGGGTTCACCCCATTCTCCTGCCTCAGCCTCCTGAGTAGCTGGGACTACAGGCGCCCGCCACTACGCCCGGCTAATGTTTTGTATTTTTAGTAGAGACGGAGTTTCACTGTGTTAGCCAAGATGGTCTTGATCTCCTGACCTTGTGATCCACCCACCTCGGCCTCCCAAAGTGCTGGGATTATAGGCGTGAGCCACTGCGCCCAGTCAAATTATCTTTTTCTTTATGCAGCTTGCACTGGGTTATGAAAGTTTAATTTCTGAGTGAAACATTAAATGGCAAAAGTTAATGTTTGATGTTTGGCTTGAATAATTTTCTTTCTTTCTTTCTTTCTTTTTTTTTTTTTTTGAGACAGAGTCTTGCTCTGTTGCCCAGGCTGGAGTGCAGTGGCGTGATCTCGGCTCACTACAAACTCCACCTTCCAGGTTCAAGCGATTCTCCTGCATCAGCCTCCTGAGTAGCTGGGACTACAGGAGGGCGCCACCATGCCCGGCTAATTTTTATATTTTTAGTAGAGACAGGATTTCAACATGTTGGTCAGGCTGGTCTCAAACTCCTGACTTCGTGATCCACCCGCCTCAGCCTCCCAAAGTGTTGGGATTATAGGTGTGAGCCACCACACCCAGCCATAATTTTTTTTTTCAACTTTCATTTTAGATTCAGGGGGGACACATGTGCAGGTTTTTGTTATCTGGCTTTATTGAGTGATGCTGGGATTTGGGATCCTAATGATCCTGTCACCTAGATACTTAGCATAGTACCCAGTTGTTCGTTTGTTTGTTTTAAAACAGTCACTCTATTGCCCAGGCTGGAATAGAGTGGCGCAATCATGGCTCACTACAGTCTCGACCTCCTGAGTTAAATTGATCCTCCTACCTCAGCCTCCCACATAACTGAGACTGGTGCACACCACCATACCTGGCTAATTTTTTTTTTTTTTTTTCTTGAGACAGAGTCTCACTCTATTGCCCAGGCTGGAGTGCAGTGGCACGATCTCGGCTCACTATAAACTCTGCCTCCCAGGTTCAAGCAATTCTTGTGCCTCAACCTCCTGAGTAGCTGGGATTACAGGCACGCACCACCTTGCCCGGCTAATTTTTGTATTTTTAGTAGAGATGAGGGTCTCACCATATTGGCCAGGATGGTCTTGAACTCCTGACCTCAGGTGACACACCTGCCTCGGCCTCCCAAAGTGCTGAGATTACAGGCTTGAGCCACTGTGCCCGGCCACCTGGCTAATTTTTAAATTTTGTTTTGTAGAGATGTGGCCCTCACTATCTTGGGAAGGCTGGTCTTTTTTTTTTTTCCGGGAGACAGAGTCTTGCTCTGTTGCCCAGGCTGGAGTGCAGTGGCATGATCTTGGCTCACAGCAACCTCCGCCTCCTGGGTTCAAGTGATTCTTGTGCCTCAGCCTCCTGAGTAGCTGGGATTGCAGGCATGCATCACCACACCCCGCTAATTTTTTTTTTTTTTTTTTTTGAGATGGAGTTTCACAATTGTTTCCCAGGCTGGAGCGCAATGGCACGATCTCGGCTCACCGCAACCTCCGCCTCCAGGTTCAAGCAATTCTCCCTGCCTCAGCCTCCCAAGTAGCTGGGATTACAGGCCCGCACCACTACGCCCGGCTAATTTTTGTATTTTTAGTAGAGACGGGGTTTCTCTGGTCTTGAACTCCTGACCTCAGGTGATCCACCCACCTTGGCCTCCCAAAGTGTAGGCCGATAGTTTTTAAACCCTCCCCCTTCTGGTAGTCCCCAGTCTCTATTGTTGCCGTTTCTGTGTCCATAAGTACTCAATGTTTAGCTCCCTCTTACTAGTAAGAACATGCAGTACTTGGTTTTCTGTTCCTGTGCTTAGGATAATGGCCTCTCATTCATTTATTAGTCAACAAATATTTATTTGAGTGTCTACTATGTGCCAGGCACTACAGATACAATACATTGGTGAACAAGAGTGCTGTTCTTGTAGAGTGTAGCAGAGGACAATATTAATCAAATAATTACACTAATAAATATATGATTACAAATTAGGAAATGCTCTAAAAGAAAAGAAACACAGGCCGGGTGCGGCGGCTCATTCCTGTAATCCCAGGACTTTGGGAGGCCAAGGCGGGCGGATCACCTGAGGTTGGGAGTTGGAGACCAGCCTGACCAACACGGAGAAACCCTGTCTCTACTAGAAATACAAAATTAGCTGGGCGTGGTGGCACATGCCTGTAATCCCAGCTACTTGGGAGGCTGAGGCAGGAGAATCGCTTGTACCTGGGAGGCAAAGGTTGCGGTGAGCCGAGATTGCGCCATTGCACTCCAGCCTGGGCAACAAGATCAAAACTCCATCTCAAAAAAAAAAAAGAAAGAAAGAAAGAAAAGAAACACAGGAAAATGCAACACTCTAGGGTAATATACTGGGGGTAATATGACCCTTGCAACTGCTCTTTGTGGATTTCTCTACATGCCTTAAAGTCTGGAGTGATTCACTTTTCATATTTTCTGTTCTGTGTAATTTATCCTCCCTGTGAGAGGAAGAGAGAATGGAAGGAGAATCAATTCCTGCTCTTTAAAAGTTTCAGTGAAGGAACTACAAAATATTTTCAAATTATAAACTAATATAAGCACATTATAAGAAAACTGGAGCAGGGCGCAGTGGCTCACGCCTGTAATCCCAGCACTTCGGGAGTCCGAGGCAGGCGGATCACAAGGTCAGGAGATCGAGACTATCATGGCTAACATGGTGAAACACTGTCTCTACTAAAAATACAAAAAAATTAGCCAGGCATGGTGGCATGCACCTGTAGTTCCAGCTACTTGGGAGGCTGAGACAGGAGAATCACTTGAACCCGGGAGGTGGAGGTTGCAGTGAGCTGAGATTGTGCCACCGCACTCCAGCCTGGGCAACAGAGCGAGACTCCATTTAAAAAAAAAAAAAAGAAAACTGGAACCAGATGCAGTAGCTCACAGCTGTCATCCCAGCACCTTGGGAGGCTGGGGCAGGAGGATTGCTTGAGCCCAGGAGTTCAAGACCAGCCTGGGCAACAGGGAGACCTTGTCTCTACAAAAGTCAAAAACTTAGCTAGGCATGGTGGCGTGTACCTGAAGTCCTGGCTACCTGGGAGGCTGAGGTGGGACATCCCTTGAGCCCAAGAGTTCAAGCCTTCTGTAAGCCATCATAGTGCCACTGCACTCCAGCCTGGGTGACAGAGTAAGACCTTGTCTCAAGAAAAAAGAAAAAATTGGAAAATAGAGAAAAGAAAAAAATAGTCAAGATTCCAAAATCTTAATAATTACTTTGTCTCTTTATTTTTTTATTTTTTATATTTATTTACTTATTTTTATAAATAGAGACAGGGTGTTGCTCTATTGACCATGGTCTCGAACTCCTGGTCTCAAGCTATCCTCCTGCCTCAGCTTCCCAAAATACTGGGATTACAGGCATGAGCCACCGTGCCTGGGCCCATTTTGTCTTCTGAGCTTATCTCTTGTGCATATTTTTCTTGATACATCACTCAGAATCAATGTAGAAAATATGTAAAATAAAGTTCAAGTCATAGAAATAGGGGGAAATCCACTCAGAGGCAAGCATTGCTAATTTTGGCACATCTTCCAATTTGTTTTAACTTATGATTGCAATCATGGTATGTATATCATTTTGTATATTACTTTTTTCTAGATGACTGTCTTAAAAATAACAACATCATCATATCACAATGATGGTAAGATTATCTTGGCACTCAGCATACTTTTGGCTACAATTAACAGGAAACCCATTTCAAGTTGGCTTAAACATTAAGAAAATGCATCAGCTAACCTAACTGGAAGTCCAAAGGTGGGGTAGCCTTCCAAGTTGACTTCTGCAAAAGGTCACTAATACTGTCAAGGACTCAGATTCTTTCCGTGGGTCCCCCCTGACATTCAATGTCAGCTTCATCCTGTGGCTTTCATCTGATGAACCACTCCCAAGGTTTCTTGCTTCCTCATTCACCGCCAGGTGGAAAGAGGAGATGGCTCAGGACCTTTCCCAGAAAAATAAGAGAGCCTTATTCCCAGAATAAATTCTGAAAAGCCTCTAGCAATCCTCTCGTCTGTTTTTCCTGATCCAAAATGTAACATGGTCATTTCTGAACCAAACATTGACAAGGAGGATGGAATTTTCTTTAGATCACTTAGGACTGTCCTGGAGCTGGGCACGGGAAAAAGGTGAATTCTTGAATGAAATGTCAGTTTTTCTGGAAGGAGGAATAGATGCTGGGCGGGCAGCCAACCAAGAGCACTGCAGTAGTCCACCCTACCCTAATCCTGGGTTTTGTTTTCTGCAGTTTCACTTACCCACAGTACAACACAATAAAATACTCTATTTTGAGAGAGACCACAGTCATGTAACTTTTATTACAGTGTATTTTTATAATTGTTCTATTTTATTAGACTGTTGATAATCTCTTACTGAATCTAATTTATAAATTTAACGTTATTATAGATACATGTGTATAGGAAAAAGTATACATAGGGTTCGATACTATCCATGATTTCAGGCATCCTCTGGGGATCTATGAATGTATCCCTTGTGGATAACCGGGAGCTACTGTGCCTTGTATTTTTGTTTGTTTGTTTTTTTGTTTTCGTTTTTGTTTTTGAGATGGAGTTTTGCTCTTGCTGCCCAGGCGGGTGTGCAATGGCGTGATCTCAGCTCACTCCCAGGTTTAAGCAATTCTTCTGCCTCAGCCTCCCGAGTAGCTGGGAATACAGGCATTGCACCACCACGCCCAGCTAATTTTGTATTTTTGGTAGAGAAGGGGTTTCACCAGGGTCAGGCTGGTCTCGAACTCCTGACCTCGTGATCCACCCACCTCGGCCTCCCAAAGTGCTGGGATTACAAGCGTGAGCCACCGCGCCCAGCCACTGTACCTTGTTTTCTATAGACCTCTCACTCCAAGGTGCTTTTTCATGTGATCTCCTTATAACAAACTCCCAGAAAAGAGTTGCCCACTATCAGCTGGGCACGGTGGCTCATGCCTGTAATCCCAGCACTTTGGAAGGCCGAGGCAGGTGGATCACGAGGTCAGGAGTTTGAGACCAGCCTGACCAACATGGTGAACCCCGTCTCTACTAAAAATACAAAAATTAGCCGGGCGTGGTGGCACACCCTGTAATCCCAACTACTCAGGAGGCTGAGGCAGGAGAATCGCTTGAACCCGGGAGGCAGAGGTTGCAGTGAGCCAAGATCACAGCATTGCATTCCAGCCTGGGCGACAGAGTGAGACTCCGTCTCAAAAAAAAAAAAAAAAAAAGACTAGTGCCCACCTAGTAAGGGCCTCCAGTACTGCTCTCATCCATCCCCCATACCTTGTGGTCTGAAAAGGCAAACAGCCTGGGCTTTTCTTTGAATACTTCAAGAGCAATGTAAGTTTACACATAGGGCATCATTTTTCAGAAAGCTGAGAAAATATCGATTCTTAACTAGTATAACTTTTACGAGACGGCAAACTGGTGAACATCCCAATTGCCTAACACTGTCTATACTAGGGTCAATACCACCTTCTGGACACCTCTAAGAAATGCTCAAAACTCTGTTTGGCCTTCAGGAAACAAAGTCCTAAAGGAAGTCCTAAGGCTCAACAGGCCCAGGATTAGATGCGCTAACAGAAAATTTTGAATAAAAGTATGGGAATTCATGAGCAAGTCTTGTGTCTAAGCCTGGGGAGCTGGTTAGTTCACCTCAAATACTACTTTTTTTTTTTGAGACAGAGTCCTGCTCTGCCACCCAGGCCGGATTGCAATGGCCTGATCTCAGCTCACTGCAACCGCTGCCTCCCAGGTTCAAGCAATTCTCCTGTCTCAGCCTCCCGAGTAGCTGGGATTACAGGCATGTGCCACCACACCCAGCTAATTTTTGTATTTTTAGTAGAGGCGGGGTTTCACCGTGTTGGCCAGGCTAGTCTCGAACTCCTGACCTCAGGTGATCCGCCCACCTCAGCCTCCCAAAGTGTTGGGATTACAGGCATGAGCCACCATGCCCAGACAGTACATTAAATCTCAATCTAATTGAAAGCCTCTGACAGGGCCATAAGGAGAAAAACTCATTTTCTTTCTTCTTATTTACATTTTGAGACAGGGTCTTGCTCTGTTGCCCAGTCCGGAGTGCAGTGACATGGTTCACTGCAGCCTTAGCCTCCTGGGCTTGGTTAATCCTCACACCTCACCCTCCCAAGTAGCTGAGTAGCTGGCATCACAGGCATGCACCACCACGACACACGTGCTACCACACCTGGCTAACTTAAAAAAATTTTCTGTGGAGACAGGCTGGTTGGAACTCCTGTGCTCAAGCAATCCTCTTGCCTCGGCCTCCCAAAGTGCTGGGATTACAGGCGTGAGCCACCACGCCCAGCCTATGTAGCTATCTGTCTGTCTGTCTATCTATCTATCTATCTATTTATCAATCAATCATCTATCTATCTATTGAGACAGGGTCTCACACTGTCACCCAGGCAGGTGTACAGCGGCACAATCATAGCTCATTGCAGCATCCACCTTCTGGGCTCAAGCAATCCTTCCACCTCAGCCTCTCAAGTAGCTGGGACTACAGGCACACACCAGCACACCCAGCTAGTTTTTAAATTTTTGTAGAGATGGGGGTCTTGCTATGTTGCCTATGCTAGTCTTGAACTTCTGGCTTCAAGTGACCGTACCACTTCAGCATTCCAAAGTGCTGAGTTTACAGGCATGAGCCACCACACCCGGATGAAACTGGATATTTTCATGATTTACATTCACTCACATCAAATCAGCTTCTTCTCAGGCTTTTTTCCAAGTTAACATTTAGTTATTGTTTACCAAGCAGTTGAAATTGCTATGTGTCCCTTACTCCTTCTCATTCTCCCACCATTCAATCCAAATCTGTGTCAGATTTTGCACGTTAGAATTAGAGGTGCCCACTGAAAAGAACTGAGACTCTAAGAACTGTGAGCTTTTTTTTAAATTCACTGTTGAATTCCCAATGCCAACACATTGCTTGGCATGCAGCGGATACCCAAGAAAGGCAGGCAGGCAGGGAACAAAATATTGTCTGGGAAGCAGACTTAAAGCAAACCTGAAAAGGCTGTCTCTTCTTCCTACTTATTCTGAGTTGGAGTTTCAAAAGAAGTTTGGTATAATGATCGGTTTTGGTTTTGTGTTTTTTGATGATGGTGGTAGGTGTGTGTTAGTTGCAACTAGACCCATGTATTTCTCTTCGGGAGTCTAAGGACATGAAAATAAGAGTGTCCAGAATGTTTTGGGTGGGAATGCACAATTTAATTCTCTGGCTGACTAGATTGATGTACATGCCTTCCTGGGCAGCAGAGATTTTATGTTGGATTGCAGTGTATTGAGCACTTGGACCCATCCTCATAAAAGCCATACATTTCTCTGCCTCTGCCCCCTCACCTGCACACTCCTCTGCCAGGAAACTAGGGAAAGCATTTTGTGGGAGATGTTTTGGAGCTAAAGTTTTTCTTCTGGCTCAGAGAAAACTGCAATAAACTCTGGCAATAACTAGCTCCAGGAAGGGCAGGAAATGACACATGTCCCCACTGCAGCAGCTTTTGTTCAAAAAACTGAGTGACTTCATGATATGATCACGTGTGCTGTGGAATGTATGCACTGAACCAAAAGCTGCTCATCATGAGTTTTTTTTTAAGCAAACATTATTAGATAAAGCTAAAACATTTCAGTAGTTTTGTCTCAAGGCCAACTCATGGTTTTTTGTTTGTTTGTTTGTTTTTGAGATGGAGTCTCGCTCTGTCGTACAAGCTGGAGTGCTGTGGCGCAATCTTGGCTCGCTGCAACCTCCACCTCCCGGGTTCAAGTGATTCTCCTGCCTCAGCCTCCCGAGTAACTGGGATTACAGGCGCGTACCACCATGCCTGGCTAATTTTTGTTGTATTTTTAGTAGAGATGGGGTTTCACCATGTTGGTCAGGCTGATCTTGAATCCCTGACCTTGTGATCTGTCCACCTCAGCCTTCCAAATTGCTGGGATTACAGGCGTGAGCCCTGTGCCTGGCATATGTTTAAAAGTTGATTGGACAGCTTTGTACAGTGACAGGATTATAGCCAATGAGGCATGATTATTGCTAATTGAAAACTTTTCCCAATACCCTGGCATTGGCAATTTTTGACAATCTCTATGGAGACTGAACTTAAAAAACAAAAGTTGATTGAAAAAAAATTTTTTTTTTTTTTTGAGATGGAGTCTTGCTGTCGCCCAGGCTGGAGGGCAGTGGCACGATCTTGGCTCACCGCAACCTCTGCCTCCCGGGTTCAAGCAATTCTCCTGCCTCAGCCTCCCAAGTAACTGGGATTACAGGCGCATGCCACCACACCCAGCTAATTTTGTATTTTTAGTAGAGACAGGGTTTCGCCATGTTGGCCAGGCTGGTCTTGAACTCCTGACCATAAGTGATCCATCTGCCTCAGCCTCCCAAAGTGATGGGATTACAGGCATGAGCCACCGTGCCTGGCAAGATTTCAAATTTCTGTACGAGTTTGGAAAAGGCATAACACTACCAATGACTTATTAGGAGTCTACTACATTTACTAATTCCTTCCTTTTTGAATTCCTATAACATTTCCAGTTTGAAGCATATGACTTATTACTTTAAGACTGACCTCTAGCTGTTTTATATATACAAATTTTATTTATTTTTTTGAGACGGAGTCTTGCTCTGTTGCCCAGGCTGGAGTGCAGTGGCATGATCTCAGCTCACAGCAAGCTCTGCCTCCCAGGTTCACACCATTCTCCTGCCTCAGCCTCCCGAGTAGCTGGGACTACAGGCGCCCGCCACCGCGCCTGGCTATTTTTTTTGTATTTTTAGTAGAGATGGGTTTCACCATGTTAGCCAGGATGGTCTCGATCTCCTGACCTCGTGATCCACCTACCTCAGCCTCCCAAAGTGCTGGGATTACAGGCGTGAGCCACCGCACCTGGCTACATATATAAATTTTATCTAAGCTCCAGAGCAGGAATAACATATATATATTTTTGGTGTATATATATATACAATATACATGTACAAAAAAAATATATATATACACTTTTTTTTTTTTAAATACAGAGTCTCACTGTTGCCCAGGCTGGAGTGCAGTGACACGATCCTGGCTCACTGTAACCTCCGCCCCCTGGGTTCAAGTGATTCTTGTGCCTCAGCCTCCAGAGTAGCTGGGATTACAGGTGTGGGCCACCACACCCAGCTAATTTTTTTTTTGTTTTGTATTTCAGTAGAGATGGGGTCTCACCATGTTTCTCAGCCTGGTCTCGAATTCCTAAGCTCAGGCAAACTGCCTACCTCCACCTCCCAAAGTGCTAGGATTACAGTCATGAGCCACTATGCCAGCCCGTATTCTATATTCCTCTGAATCCTTCACAGCTCTTTAAAACAGTGCTTAATACATGGAAGAGGCTTATAAATACTTCACCTGAAATTCCATTACTTATTCTAACAGAGGTTACATTAGAAAATGGAATGCCATTAAGTATGAGTAATTTAATCAAAGAGGGGAACAATTTTTTTTTTTTTTTGAGATAGAGTCTTGCTCTGTTGCCCAGGCTGGAGTGCAATGGCGCAATCTCAGCTCACCACAACCTCTGCCTCCCGGGTTCAAGCAATTCCAATTCTCTGCCTCAGCCTCCCGAGTAGCTGGGATTACAGGCGCCCACCACCACGCCCAGCTAATTTTTGTATCTTTAGTAGAGACAGGGTTTCACCATCTTGGCCAGGCTGGTCTTGAACTCCTGACCTCGTGATCCACCTGTCTTGGCCTCTCAAAGTACTGGGATTACAGGCATGAGCCACTGTGCCCGACCAGGGGAATGATTTTTTAAATCAAGTGAAGAAAAAAAAAAAAAAGAGACGGAAAGAAAAATGGAATGCCACTCCTCCAGTACCTGTTTCTAGTGGACACTGACAGTTACTGACCATTCAAAAATGTTAAATAGGCAGGGTGCAGTGCTCACACCTGCAATCCCAGCACTTTGGAGGCCAAGGCGGGCAGATCACTTGAGGCCAGGAGTTTGAGACCAGCCTGGCCAACATGGTGAAACCCTGTCTGTACTAAATATACAAAAAATTAGCCAGGCGTGGTAGCACATGCTTGTAATCCCAGCTACTTGGGAGGCTGAGGCACAAAGATCACTTGAACCCGGGAGGCAGAGGCTGCACTGAGCTGAGATGGTGTCCCTGCACTCCAGCCTGGGCGACAGAGTGAGACTGTTTCAAAAAAAAAAAAAAACTTAAATAATAATGAGGACATAAAAATCCACTCTTGGGCCAGGTGAGGTGGCTCAAGCCTGTAATCCCAGCACTTTGGAAGGCTGAGGCAGGAGGATTGCTTGAGGCCAGGAGTTTGAGACCCGCCTCTACAAAATATGTAAAAATTTGGCACGGCATGGTGGCATGTGCCCGTAGTCCCAGCTACTGAAGAGGCTGACGCAGGAGGATCTTTCACTTAAACCCAGGAGTTCAAGGTTACAGTGAGCCATGATCACACCACCGCACTCCAGCCTAGCAGACGGAGACTGTCTTTTTTAAACCAAAGACAGGCGAGATACAGTGACTCACACCTATAATCCCAGCACTTTGGGAGGCCGAGGAGGGTGGATCACTTGAGGTCAGGAGTTTGAGACCAACCTGGCCAACATGGCAAAACCATCTCTAATAAAAATACAAAAATTACCTGGTCGTGGTAGTGCGCACCTGTAATCCCAGCTACTCAGGAGGCTGAGATGGGAGAATCACTTGAACCTGGGGGGCAGGGGCTGCAGTGAGCCCAGATCACACCACTGCACTCCAGCCTGAGTGATAAGAGTAAGACTCTGTCTCAAAACAAAAAAATCCATTTGTTTAACGTTCAAATTAGGTCCTCTCTACCAACACTGGTGGCCATTTACAGTAATGGAGATTAAATGACCTTCAGGTAAAAAGTTATCATTCTTGGCTGGGTGCGGTGGCTCACACCTGTAATCCCAGCACTTTGGGAGGCTGAGGCGGGTGGATCACAAGGTCAGGAGATCAACACCATCCTGGCTAACATGGTGAAACCCCATCTCTACTAAAAAATACAAAAAATTAGCCAGGTGTGGTGGCGGGCGCCTGTAGTCCCAGCTACTTGGGAGGTTGAGGCAGGAGAATGGCGTGAACCCAGGAGGCGGAGCTTGCCGTGAGCCGAAATCGCGCCACTGTACTCCAGCCTGGGCGACAGAGCGAGATTCTGTCTCAAAAAAAAAAAAAAAAAAAAAATCATTCTTTCACTTTTCATTTAGTGTATTTACTTATAACAACTTTAAGTAACCCTTGATCAGGTAGCAAATGTGCTGTCATTTTCCATATGTGTTTTTCCTGTCTCCTCCCAAGAGGTAATCTCTTCAAATGAAGGGGGATTCCATGGCATGCTCCCTAGCACTTGACATGGGTGTCTTGTTCATGGTGGGCACTCAAATTTTTTGAATTCATATTTTCCAGAATATCACATCTCATGGTTATGTTTTTCTGAAAACAACTCTTTTGCAATGATTCCAAAAACTCTACCCACTGATAGGGAAGCAAAGGAAAGCCCAAGTTGTTTAAAAGTTTTGTATTATGTCATACAAACTGTCTTCACATACAAGTGCATTAAAAAAATTATCCCCCCCTCCTCCTCCCCAAACATCACAGTAGACCAATTCTTGCTAATATATGACAAAGTTAAAACATATGTCCCCTCTGAATTCTAAACAGCTAATTCTAGACACTAACATCTGGATCTTATAATTTACCGGTCTGGTATGGACATGAACAGTTCCAGTGCCTTTCAACTTATCCCTGAATTTTTCTCTTCTCAAAGTTCTAGGCAGTAATTTTAATGCCCTCAAATTAGATAAAGCTGATTACTTAGAGCTTATAAATTAGCTACACTTTATGACACTAAGAATAGAGCTATGACTTATGCATATCATACCTGTCAAGCTACCTAGCACCACGAATAGAACTAATATTAATGGATGGACTAATACAAGGATCTAATATATGACAGTGATAGTCTTAAAAACACCGATTTGTTATTTTCCTTATATATAATCCAAATTCCTTTCTATCCTTCTGGCAATGTTTCTACTGCCTGACTACCTTAAATAACTATATAGTGTCAATTTCTTGCTTGGGCCAGGTGGTGGCTCATGCCTGTAATCCCAGCATATTGGGAGGATTGCTTGAGCCTAGGAGTTCGAGATCAGCCTGGGCAACATAGTGAAACCTCATCTCTATTTAAAAAAAAAAAAAAAAAAAAAAAAAAATATATATATATATATATATATATATCTCTTAATGTTAATAACAATTCCCTAGGTCACTAGTAATAAGAAGCTATGGGCTTTAAACTTAAAAGGTGCTAAACCAGTTTAAATGTAAAACATTCTCATAATAGAATTGCACTGTATTTCTTTTCTACTTTGATGCTTTTCCAAAGTGCTATAGTTCCTGTGAGATTTGTGTCCTGCACAGAATCAAATGCTAGGTCTTTCACTTTTGGATGGCTGAGTACCATAAAACATGATTTATTTGGTAACAAAAATGTTTCCAGGAGTTTAAAAAGGGACCACTACTCAGAGCTAAAAAAGTTCTAACAGTCACTTTTTAAAAAAGCTAGTTTATCATTTGTTTATAAAGAAAAACACAACTCTGTCCTACTTCCTCTAATAAAAATGGAAAATATTAAGATGAGCTGTGTGCTTATAAAGAGGTGCTACACAAGTCATCTTACGTTTCTAGTCAACACAAACATTGCTTCAGTGACACTTAATATTCAATACATGATGCATTACTCTTAGCATTTTTGCATTTACTCTCCGCATATAACAAGGTCAGATATCAAAACAGTCCTGATCTTAGACAACTCACTACCAATATTTAAAGCTGTTTCCTCCTAGGACTACAGTTCCTAAACTATGCACAGGGAGCAAAGTGGTATTCCCTTAGGATAAACTTGGTCAAGGCTCAGATAACCCTGAGATGAACTTAGCAAAGTCCTTGTAAAGAAATCTTCAGATGGGAAACTCCACCTATGTGAATTTTAAAGCTTTAAGACTGACCCATTCAACAGAAATAGCAGATTTTCTCAGAGCACTGAGTCTAGTGATTGTCCACGTCAAGGAGGCACACACACAATTTTACCCACACCCCTGATGTCTCTTCTGTATGGAAAATGCAATCAGTGATGAAGGGCCGAAAAAACATCTTGCCAGCTGTAGCTCTTTTACAGAGCACAAAGTGGGAGGAAGCAATGAATATAAATGTGTTGGTGTGTGCGTCTGTGGGGAAAAAATAAACCTGTACAAGGCAATGGCTGATCCAACTATGAATTTTGATTAAACACGTTTAGTAATACAGTTATGATTCCCAAAATGTCTACCTTTGAAGGTAAAAAAAAAAAGAAAACCCTGAAATGAAGAGTAAAATAAGGTTCCCAGGAGAAACCTTCATCACATTTTATGCTTCTGGCTGTTCTCACTTATCCCGGTGAATTTGGGCCAAATGTGTACTTCTTAGAAAAGCGAAGCTTGTACTGAGAATACTGTTCTGAACCTACCTTTTTAAGTCCCTGCAAACATATAGCCCAACTTTCCCAAATCTCACCACTCCATAGTCTGCAACAGGTGTCAGCCTCACAGGTATCTGCTGAAATTTGGCACTGATCTCATTAGCCCCAATTTCCCTACATGATTTTTGTTCTGTCTCTAGGAAGCATAGTGTGAATAGAAGAGACTGAGGTCTTTCTCTGGGATAGTCCCAGGAAATTGAAATTAAAGGATAATGTGGAGTGCAGAGCCAAAAACTTCCCTTGTGAACTTAGTCAAACACACATGGTATACATATTCTCCTGGGTATAAACAAATTTACATTAATTAATAGCGCAACAGAACCCAAAACATTGGTAGAACAAATTCTAATGTGACAATTTAAAAGCAGACAGTGCTCCACTGGGTTAATAAATCATACTTAACTAAGAGACAATACTTTAAATACCACATCATTAAAAACTCCTAGTAGGCATGTCCCTCTTATCAGTTAAGTGAAAGAGCAAGCACCATACTCAGTACTGCAGGTTACTGGACTGCTTTGATACAGCACTGCAGTTCACAGATAAACACTTCACATCTTCTCTTCAAGTTACTGAATCTTTCTTCTTCCGGAATGGTGATTTTAGCCTCTTCCATACACTGTTTTTGGGCTTAGATTTTTTCTCCATGGCCAGTACTGCCTCCTTTTCTTTCCTACGTATCTCCCGTACAAGGGCATGGAAAACATCATCAATATAGTAGCGGTATGCAGCAGATGTCTCAAAAAAGGGACAGCTGAATTCTCGGGCCAAGGCCAATCCTTCTTCCTTGGTGACCTTTAAGGGCAAAATGTGAGAAAAGATAACAGTGAAAAACAATTAAATTGTCCAAAAACCTGAATGCACCACCACCTTAACACAAAGAAAGCTTCTCAATTCTGGAGGTGTTCAAGCATACAGCACTAATTTTTGTAATTTTAGGCTAGATTACTTCTAAGGTTTCTTATTCTGCCTTCAAATGATATGATTCTATTTCTAGTCTACTTTTTTTTTTGAGACAGAGTTGCGTTCTTGTTGCCCAGATTGGAGTGCAATGGCATGATTGTGGCTCACAACCTCGGCCTCCCGGGTTCAAGTGATTCTCCTGCCTCAGCCTCCTGAGTAGCTGAGATTACAGGCATGCGCCACCACACCTGGCTAATTTTGTATTTTTAGTAGAGACGGGGTTTCTCCATGTTGGTCAGGCTGGTTGTAAACTCCTGACCTCAGGTGATCTGCCCACCTCGGCCTCCCAAAGTACTGGGATTACAGGCGTCGGCCACTGTGCCCGGTCTCTAGTCTATTTTTAAGATACTTTTTGGAACAGGGAATAGTTTTAGATATCAAATACACAATCTTAATTTTCCCCATACTTTTTATTTTAAGAAAGATAAATAGGCTGGGCTTGGTGGCTCACACCTGTAATTCCAGAACTTTGGGAGGCTAAGGTAGGAGGATTGCTTGAGCCCAGGAACTTGAGACCAAGCTGGGCAATATGGTGAGACCCTACTTTTACAAAATTTTTAAAAATTTAGCTGGGGCCAGGAGCGGTGGCTCACGCCTGTAATCCCAACACTTTGGGAGGCTGAGGCAGGTGGATCACTTGAGGTCTGGGGTTCGAGACCAACCTGGTCAACATGGCAAAACCCTGTCTCCACTTAAAAAAAACTAGCTGGGCATGGTGTTGGGCACCTGTAATCCCAGTTACTCGTGAGGCTGAGGCAGGAGAATCGCTTAAACCTGGGAGGCGGAGGTTACAGTGAGCCAAGATCGCGGCACTGCACTCCAGGTGTCACACTCCAGCCTGGGTGACAGAGCCAGACTCTGTCTCAAAAAAAGAAAAAAAAATTAGTTGGATGTGGTGGTATACACCTGTGGTCCCAGCTACTCAGGAGGCTAAGGTAAGAGGATCACTTGAGCCCAGGAGGTCAAGGCTGCGGTAAGCCATGTTTGCGCCACTGCACTCCAGCCTCAGTGACAGAGCAAGACCCTGTCTCAAGAAAAAAAAAAGTTGGGTGCGGTGGCTCATGCCTGTAATCCCAGCACTTTGGGAGGCTGAAGCAGGCAGGCAGATCACCTGAGGTCAGGAGTTCAAGACCAGCATGGCCAACACGGTGAAACCCCATCTCTACTAAAATAAGAAAGAAACACTAAACAATACAACCATGAAACTGATCACCGGGATTGCAAATCTAATTGGGAAAAGAGTTGAGCAAACAGCTTGGACTGTTTGGAGTTGTTGCCTTACTTTTTAATATGTATTTATAAAGTATTCCAGCAAAAGAGGATGTAGCCTCTGGGAAAAAACAAACATGTTACAGTGTTTTTTGTAGATTCTCGTTCTATATCTCATCACAGTGCCAGCCCTGTTTTTAGCCGGAAAGGATTCAGGAGAAACATTATTATGCATTCTGAACTGGATGCATATTCCTAACTACTGTATTTGTTACCAAAAGTGGTTCTACAAATGCTACTGAAAAAAATCTGGAAATTCCTAATGTCCTGAGTATTAATAATAAAGTTTAAAAATGCTTTTATATCAAAAAAAAAAAAAAGAAAAGAAAAATTAGCTGGGCATGGTGGCAGGCGCCTGTAATCCCAGCTACTTGGGAGGCTGAGGCAGGAGAATTGCTTGAACCCAGGAGGCAGAGGTTGCAGTGAGCCAACATCATGCCACTGCACTCCAGCCTGGGTGATAAGAGTGAAACTCTGTCTAAAAAACAACACAAAACAAAAAAACGCTGGGTGTGGTGGCTCACATCTATAATCCCAGCACTTTGGGAGGCCAAGGTAGGTGGATCACCTGATGTCAGGACTTCAAGACCAGCCCGGCCAACATGGTGAAACCCCGTCTCTACTAAAATACAAAAATTAGCTGGATGTGGTGGCAGGCACATGTAATCCTAGCTACTCAGGAGGCTGAGGCAGGAGAATCGCTTGAACTCAGGAGTCAGAGAGGTTGCAGTGAGCCTAGATTGCGCCACTGCACTCCAGCCTGGGCAACAGAGTGAGACTCTGTCTCAAAACAACAAAATTAAAATAAAAATTAAAAAAAAAGAAAGCTGGGCGCGGTGGCTCACGCCTGTAATCCCAGCACTTTGGGAGGCCGAGGTGGGAAGATCATGAGGTCAGGAGTTTGAGACCAGCCTGACCAACATGGTGAAACCCCGTCTCTACTTAAAAATACAAAAATTAGGCCGGGCGCGGTGGCTCATGCCTGTAATCCCAGCACTTTGGGAGGCCGAGGCAGGCTGATCACGAGGTCAGGAGATCGAGACCATCCTGGCTAACACGGTGAAACCCCATCTCACTAAAAATACAAAAAATTAGCCAGGCATGGTGGCGGACACCTGTAGTCCCAGCTACTCGGGAGGCTGAGGCAGAAGAATGGCATGAACCTGGGAGGCAGAGCTTGCAGTGAGCAGAGATCGTGCCACTGCACGCCAGCCTGGGCGACAGACAAGACTCCGTCTCAAAAAAAAATTAGCCGGGCGTGGTGGCATGCGCCTGTAATCCCAGCTACTCAGGAGGCTAAGGCAGGAGACTCACTTGAACCCAGGAGGAGGAGGTTGCAGTGAGCCGAGATTGTGCCACTGCACTCCAGCCAAGGCAACAGAGTGAGACTCTGTCTCAAAAAAAAAAAAAAAAAAAAAAGAAAGAAACACAAAGGGAGGGAAAGAGATATATGCTTACACTAAAATATTGAAAACTATTAGGAGCCCATAATTGATACATCTAATTATGGATATGCCATAATTTCTACTTTTGGACAGCTAGATTGTTTCTCATTTTCTTCTACCATAAATAGTCTTGCAATGAACATGTTATATATAAATCCCTATAAATTTTTTCCAATGGAGATTAACAGAGAAGCATTATGAATTTGACTACTATCAAACTACTTCCAGCCAGGCGCTGTGGCTCACACTTGTAATCCCAACACTTTGGGAGGCCAAGGCAGGAGGATCACTTGAGTCCAGGTGTTCAAGATCAGCCTGGGCAACATAGTGAGATCCTGTCTCCACAAAAAGTAAAAACAATTAGCTGGGAGTGGTGGCACACGCCTGTGGTCCCAGCTACCCTCAAAGCTGAACTGGGATGATTGCTTGAGCTGGGGAGGTAGAGGCTGCAGTAAGCTGTAGCCCCAACCTCACTGCAACCTCCACCTCCCCAGGTCAAGGGATCCTCCCACCTCAGCCTCCCAACTAGCTGGGACCACATGTGCATGCACCACTATGCCCAGCTATGTTTTTTTGTATTTTTTGTAGAGATGGGGTTTCGCCATGTTGCTCAGGCTGGTCTCAAACTCCTGACCTTAAGCAACCTGCCCACCTTGGCCCCGCAAAGTACTGGTGTGAGCCACCTCACCCAGCCTGATTTTCTATTTTAAGGCAAAAAAATCTGTAAGCCAAGCCAAGAATCTGTAAGCCAAGAAACAAAAATGACTAATTGTATAAGATTATAGACAGTATTTTCTTCTCTATCCTCACCTGTCTTAGCTGTTTGAGGTCTGACTTGTTTCCCACAAGAACCACAGGTGTATCGTCAGTACGTCGGACTCGATAAATAAGCTGTTTAAACTCACGAACTTCATGGAAACTTCGACGATCCGTGATAGAGTAACAGATGATAAACCCTTCTCCTGCCCTCATATACTGGTCCCGCATGGCTGTAAACTCTGCCTAGAGGGAAACAAGGGTCATTATGTATTGACGCAATCTAGCCCAACTACACACACAATTAGCTATTTCTTTCAGATTAAAGAAAACGCATGTCGATTACCTGCTATCCTGAGTCAGAGTGCATGAAAAATTAAGAGAGATAAACTATTGATCTTCTCTGTGTAGGCCTTCCCCTCCCCTTTGCTAGAGTAAAAAAGCCTTTACTCATAACATTCTGGGATTTAATACCTGTCCAGCTGTATCCAAAATGTCCAGATTGGCAGGCTCATCATCAATACGGATCCTGATCTTATAAGCATCTTCTACAGGAGGGAAGAAAGGTGTACTATAAAGTCATAAATGCCGGAAGAAATGCCTATTTAAAACTCATCTTACAGAGTAGTACATTGTATCCAAATTCATTAAATGCCCACATTTTCTCAGGAAGCATGCTAAATCCACTGAGATACATAAACTGAGTCTTCAACTGAAGTTTTTTTTTCCACATAGGTGATGATGTAGTTTATTCACAGCTGAAGATTTCACCTACAATTCTAAGCTAAAAAAGGATTCTGAGAAGATGTCTTTCTTAAAAAAATTAGGCTATCTGGGCACAGTGGTGACTGCCTATAATCCCAGCTACTTGGGAGACTGAGACAGGAGTATTGTTTGAGCCCAGGAGTTCAAGACCAGCCTGGGCAACACAGCAACAGCTCATCTTTTTTTTTTTTTCTTGAGACAGGGTCTCACTGTCACCCAGGCTGGAGTGCAGTGGTGCAATTTCGGTTCACTGTAGCCTTGACTTCCCAGGCTCCAGTGATTCTCCCACCTTGGCCTCCCAAGTAGCTGGAACTACAGGCGTGCTACCACCATGTCTGGCTAATTTTTTTGTATTTTTGGTAGACATAGGATTTTGCAATGTTGTCCAGGCTAGTCTCGAACTCCTGGGTTGAAACAATCCTCCTGCCTTGGCCTCCCAAAGTGCTGGTATTACAGGTGTGGGCCACTGCACTCAGCCGAGACCCCATCTCTTAGGGGAAAAAAAAAATTAGGCCTGAAAAGTAACTTTACCATTTATTAAATTGTTATTATCTACCAGACATTATACTAAGTAACTTATATATATTAATTCTTCAATAATCACAATAATCCAATGAAGTAGGCATTATTACCTCCATTTTACAGCTAAAGAAAATTCAACTTGAAAATATTAATGTCTTCTCTAAATTAGTTAATTAGTGACAGAATGAGGATTAAAATCCAAGATTGCTGAACTGAAAAGCATTATTAACCATGTGTTATACTTCCTCCTCAATACTACAAAAAAGGAAAAAAATATATAATTCACTATTTTTTTTTTTTTTGAGACAGGCTCTCACTCTATCACCCAGACTGGAGTGCAGTGGCATGATCTCGGCTCACCACAACTTCTGCCTCCCAGGCTCAAGGGATTCTCCTGCCTCAGCCTCCTGAGTAGCTGGGATTACAGGCACATGCCACTATTGCCCGGCTAATTTTTGTATTTTTAGTATAGACAGGGTTTCACCATGTTGGCCAGGCTGGTCTTGAACGCCTGACCTCAAATGATCCACCTGCCTCAGCCTCCCAAAGTGTTGGGATTACAGGCGTGAGCCACTGCACCCGGTCTAACTGACTATTTTCTAAATAATCCACAGTTTCGTAATTTCTCTTTTCTGAAAGCAAATTTCTTTATGCATATTACTATAGTAACCTTGGAAAATATAGAAAACTAAAAAGAAAAAAAAAGCCACGCAATATTTCATTCACTTAACAACTGCTGCTTACATCTCAATGTATTTCCTTTTAACATTTTTTCTTGAATTCCTGCTTCTGTCTCTTCCTCAAAGATGAAGAGCTCATTAAATCAATGCTTCTCAATTATTCATTAGGATTAGTGAGTTGTGAAATCTACTTAATGGGCCGGGACCAGCATTAAAATAAACAAGCAGAAACCTAAATAAAAATAGAAAATACCAGGCCAGGCACAGTGGTTCATGCCTGTAATCCCAGCACTTTGGGAGGCTGAGGCGGGTGGATCACCTGAGGTCAGGAGTTCAAGACCAGCCTGGCTAATGTGGTGAAACCCCATCTCTACTAAAAATACAAAAATTATCTGGATGTGGTCACAGGCGCCTGTAATCCCAGCTACTTGGGAGGCTGAGGCAGGAGAATCGCTTGAACTGGGAGGTGGAGGTTGCAGTGAGCCAAGATTGTGCCACTGGACTCTAGCCTGGGCAACAGGAGTGAAATTCTCCGTCTCAAAAAAAAAAAAAAAAAAAAAAGAAAAAAAGAAAAAAAAAGAAAGAAAATACCAGAGTGGGTGAGGTACAGTGGCTCTCACGCCTGTAATCTCAGTGCTTTGGGAGGTCCAGGTGGGAGGATCACTTGCGCTCAGGAGTTTGAGACCAGCCTGGGCAATAGAGCGAGACCTCATCTCTACTAAAAATCCAAAAATATTAGCTGGGCTTAGTGGCCTACGCCTGCAGTCCCAGGTATTTGGTAGGGTGAGGCGGGAGGATCACCTGAACCCAGGAGGTCCAGGCTGCAGTGAGCCAAGATCACAACACTGCACTCCAGCATGGGCAACAGAGTGAGACCCTGTCTCAAAAAAAAAGAAAAGAAAAGAAAATATCAGAGTGCACCAGATGTAGTGAGGTAAAGTTTCATAATATTTTAGCTACACATACACATGCGCTTGTGTATATAATTTATATATACATATGCACACATTCATATGCTTTTTTTTTTTTTTTTTGAGGCAAAGTCTCACTCTGTCGCTCAGGGCGGAGTGCAGTGGTGCAATCTCGGCTCACTGCAACCTCTGCCTTCTGGGTTCAAGGAATTCTCCCACCTCAGCTTCCTGAGTAGCTGGGATTACAGGCATGCAGCAGTAACACGCCCAGCTAATTTTTGTATTTTCAGTAGAGATGGGGTTTTACCATGTTGGCCAGGCTGGTCTTGAACTCCTGACCTCAGGTGCCTTGGCCTCCTAAAGTGCTTCGATTACAGGATTGCAGGCTCAGGATTACAGGCGTAAGCCTCCGCACCCGGCCTTGTATGCTTTTATATCTCTACCAGTTACAATGTAAAGTTTTTCTGAGTTTACAGCCAGAGCTTGAAATCAAATGCACTAAATTAGAAACTCAAGAACAGAAACCTCATCTTTTTGATCACCACTGTACCCTGAGGGTAAGCAGTGCTTGGCACATAATAGAAACTCAGAAGACATAAGTATTTGCTGTTGAATCAGATAATATTGCCAGGAGAGTAGTTAACTGGAGGAAAATTGATTAAAACAGATAACTTGGCCGGATGCGGTGGCTCACGCCTGTAATCCCAGCACTTTGGGAGGCCGAGGCGGACGGATCACAAGGTCAGGAGATCGAGACCATCCTGGCTAACACGGTGAAACCCCGTCTCTACTAAAAATACAAAAAATTAGCCAGGCGAGGTGGCGGGTGCCTGTAGTCCCAGCTACGCTGGAGCCTGAGGCAGGAGAATGGCATGAACCCCGGGGGGGCGGAGCCTGCAGTGAGCCGAGATCATGCCACTGCACTCTAGCCTGGGCGACAGTGAGACTCCATCTAAAAAAAAAAAACAAAAAAAAAAATACAGATAACTCTTACAGGAGACGAGTATTTGAGTTTTACTTTAAAGAAAGGGAAAGACGCGGCCGGGCACGGTGGCTCACGCCTGTAATCCCAGCACTTTGGGAGGCCAAGGCAGACAGATCACGAGGTCAGGAGATCGAGACCATCCTGGCTAACACAGTGAAACCCTGTCTCTACTAAAGGTACAAAAAATTAGCCGGGCGTGGTGATGGGCCCCTGTAGTCCCAGCTACTCAGGAGGCTGAGGCAGGAGAATGGCGTGAACCCGGGAGGCGGAGCTTGCAGTGAGCCAAGACGGCGCCACTGCACTCCAGCCTGGATGACAGAGTCAGACTCTGTCTCAAAAAAAAAGAAAGGAAAAGATGCTTTTGGAGTTCTCAAGTACATATGCGTAAGCCCTAAATTCATTTTATTCCTAGAACTCCCGCCATAATTTGAATCTCTGAACAATTTTTTTTTTTTTTTTTGAGACAAAAGCTTGCTCTTATCCCCCAGGCTGGAGTGTGATGGCACTATCTCGGCTCACTGCAACCTCCGCCTCCCAGGTTCAAGCAATTCTCCTGCCTCAGCCCCCGCAGTAGCTGGGATTACAGGCACCCAGCACCACGCCCGGCTAGTTTTGGTATTTTTAGTAGAGATGGGGTTTCACCATGTTGGCCAGGCTGGTCTCGAACTCCTGACCTCAGGTGCTCCACCCGCCTCGACCTCTCAAAGTGCTGGGATTACAGGCATGAGCCACCGCGCCTGGCCTGAATCTCTGAACAGTGTTCTAAATTTGATATAGTACATGAAAAAGTCAAGACTTTTTCTATTTTTCCCATCCCTGGAATCATGTGCTCTATGAAATGACCATATCAAAGCTGGGCCACCACAAAACATTATTGGCTTTGCGGGAAACAGAGCAGCAGAGGCCTGACCCAATGGAAATCCTTCCTAGAGAACTAGGATCATGGCAAAGAGTGTCACATACTGAAAATAATAAGGCCCGGCGCAGTGGTCACGCCTGTAATCCCAGCACTTTGGGAGTCCGAGGTGGGCAGATCACGAGGTCAGGAGATTGAGACCATCCTGGCTAACACGGTGAAATCCCATCTCTACTAAAAATACAAAAAAAAATTAGCCGGGCTTGGTGGCGGGCGCCTGTAGTCCCAGATACTCGGGAGGCTGAGGCAGGAGAATGGCATGAACCTGGGAGGTGGAGCTTGTAGTGAGCCGAGATTGTGCCACCGCACTCCAGCCCGGGCAACAGGGTGAGACACCGTCTCCAAAAAAAAAAACAAAAAAAGAAAATAACAGTACAGCTGACTTTCTGTGCCCTCTCCCATTCCCACATCCATTTTTCTTTCATATTAGGATATAAACCCTTAGAATCAAACCTGCTTCCTTATGGTTTAGGAATGACAGTAATGTTCTTAGTCTTTGTAGAGATTAGCAATTAAAAAATAAAAAAGTCAAAGCAAACAAAATGACTTTTTTACTCTATTAGCGTTCTGCAACAAGAGTTAAGGACCATAAAAGACATCGGAGGGCTAGGCACAGTGGCTCACGCCTGTAATCCCAGTACTTTTCGAGGCTGAGGTGGATGGATTACTTGAGGTCAGGAGTTTGAGACCAGCCTGGCCAACATAGTGAAATCCCATCTCTACTAAAAATACAAAAATTAGCCGGGTGTGGTGGCAGATGCCTGTAATCCCAGCTACTCAGGAGGCTGAGGCAGGAGAATTGCTTGAACCCGGGAGGCGGAGGTTACAGTGACCGGAGATCGCACCATTGCCCTCCAGCCTGGGAGACAGTGCGAGACTCCATCTCAAAAAAAAAAAAAAAACAACAGACAGACATGGGAGAAGACATTACTACGTAATGAACTTAAGGTATAAGGAAGTAAACCAAGAGCTCCAAGTGCAAGATGTCCAGGCTTGGCATGTCTGGGTTGTAAGAGTTCAGCAGCCTGGCTCTACTTGTTTCTCTGCTTCCTTTTGTGGAAGTTCAAACCAGCTGACTCACAGTTACAGAGCGAGTCTCAAGTCATACCCTTAGAGAAGTGACAGCAAGAAAAGGCTTCGTTAAGTGGCCTGTATACAACCATAAAAAAATACAACAAAGAGAGTTGTCCCATTAATGTTCAGTAAGAGACAAAGACTAAAGATGGCTTATGACATAAAGTCTGAAAAAAAAAGAAATATTCAGTTGCTTACCAACTGCTGATACCCTTGTTTCTAAATAAATCTGAATTAGACTCCAAAAAAGCCTCAAAATATAAATAGTTAGAAACTACTGATATTCATTAAGATATTTTTATGGGGTATATTTGGAAACATAAGTGATGATCTGGCTTACCAATGGTGGGATCATGATCTTCTGGGAATCGGTGGCTGATGAACTGCATGGTCATGGCTTCAAAAGAAGAAATAAAAGTCAAATCCTCACAAAGGTGACCCACAGAGAGAATTTTAAGTATTAACATTGCAAGATAGCAAGTATCCCATCTGGTCATTTAAGTACTTTTCATCCATGCTTCCTGTCAAATGGAAAATGTTACCTACCACTCTTCCCTACACCACCAGCACCCAGCATCACTAGTTTGTACTCCCGTGAGAGCCCAGCGGGGCTGCTACAGCAGCTACCAACTGGGCGAGTTCCAGAATCCATTGTCCTCTTGGGGCCTTCCTCGGTTGCCCCGAGGAAAAGCCACCTAGAAAAGGAGGAGGAAATGCTTAATCCAGGATGGAGACACCACGGCGACAGCCCTCAAGCCAGTGCCTTACCTTTCCATACATATTCTGGCCTGTCCCTCTTACTCTGGCCTGTCCCTCTTGCTCACCACTGCACCCTTTCGGGTGGCCCTAAGAAACCCCCCCATCTTCACCCTCCCTCCTAGACAGTTCAGTCACATGACACATCACAGGTTTTACTTTTTCCAAAGAGAAAAATAAAAAGATACAAATAAATTTACGTCTCGGCACAGTAGGGACAAGGAGAAAGTTTTGGGAAGAAAGGGATGCGGCCCCTTAGGCCGCAGGGGTTCTCTCACGTCTGCGGTACCCAGAGGTTCCGCCCCCTCCCCATTCTCCTCCGAACCCCCTCCCCACCCCCAGCTGCTGCTCCGCCGCCAGACTCCCCACCCCTCTACCTCACAAGCCGACGCCCTGCTGCTCCTACTGGTCAGTGGGGACTGGAACACCACAGCCGGTCGGGTCACGCACTTCGTCTTCCTTCACTCGCGGAGGCTCCGGCACTGACCTGTGACCCCTCCCGCAACCGAGTAAGATGGCGCCACCGGCGCCCGAGTCGCGGAAGGAGGGGCGGGGCCACTCAGTGACGCCCACAGCCTGCCCCGCCCTCTTCCCGCCCCTCCCAGGTCCCTAAAACCCAGTTCCGGGACCCACCGCTGAAGGTCCTCTGGTCACCTACCCAACCTAGGGTGTATGCACTCACAGACAAGGGTATTTAATCACGAGTAGAAAGTAAATTATTTACACAAAAGGGAAGGGAGTACGTGATAAGAGACATGCAGGGACACTTAAATTAACAACTTACCGAGGGTTGTTTGCTGCTTGTGGGAAAAAAAAAAACCCAAAACTAATTTGACCCAATGTAATGAGAGGAAGGGAGGACAGGGGCACCCCCCAAATCCTCCTAAAACACAGGATTTCAGTCAAGTCTACCGGGGATGACTACTCATAGGAGAAAAATGACTTTCCTAAAGGAGCGGCCACAATGACTTTTGCTATTGAAACCTAAATTCATTCTCAGAAACCAGATGTTCACAACACTCCCTAATCAGAGTTCTGTATGTATTTTAAACACGTATAAGACACACAAAAACTTGTTTTAAATAAATGTACCACACTCTGGCAGGAAAGAGAGCTCTGAGTTAACAGAGGCCTTGAGTTAAATACAGAACTGAAGCGCAGCCACTATAACCATATTCCCCTCTATTTACGTAGCACAGGTGCTAGAAGAAACTGACACGAAAATTGTTCTCATGCAGCTCTGCCTACCACTGTTCTTTTTAAATGTCTTTCTGGGCCGGGCGGGCGCGGTGGCTCACACCTGTAATCCCAGCACTCTGGGAGGCCGAGGCAGGTGAGTCATGAGGTCAAGAAATAAGAGACCATCCTGGCCAACATGTAAAACCGTCTCTACTAAAAATACAAAAGAATTAGCTGGGTGTGGTGGCATGCGCCTATAAGTCCCAGCTACTCGGGAGGCTGAGGCAGGAGAATCACTTGAACCTGGGAGGTGGAGGTTGCAGTTAGCTGGCTGAGAGGGTGCCACTGCACTCCAGCCTGGCAACAGAGCAAAACTCCGTCTCAAAATTTAAGTCTTTCTGGCCAGGAGTGCTGGCTCACGCCTGTAATCCCAGGACTTTGGGAGGCTGAAGTGGGCTGATCACTTGAGGATCAGGAGTTCAAGACCAGCCTGGCCAAAATGGTGACTCCCTGTCTCTACTAAAAATATAAAAATTAGTTGGGCATGGTGGTAGGTGCCTATAATCCCAGCTACTCAGGAGGCTGAGGCTGGAGAACCACTTGAACCCAGGAGGTTGCGGTGAGCCAGGATTGCACCATTCCACTCCAGCCTGGGTGACAGAGCGAGACTCCATCTCAAAAAAAAATAAAATGTCTTTCCAAGAATAACATATTTCCTTTAAAACCCGCTTCATTCATGAAGTCCTTTTAATACGCTGTTAAATAAAGGAGGGCTAAAATATGAAAATGGAAAATATCCAGCATAATAATCCTTAACCTTTTCATTTGAACTTTAAGGGTACATTTTGCAGTTACATAACTCTGGGAACTATATGCAAACCTTGGGGTCTGTATATGTATTTTTCTGGTAATGTTATAGTTGCATTGTGCTATGAGTAAAAAAGTTTATGAATTTCAGTGTATGGATGGGTTGTGGAAGAAAACAGAGAAACCACAAGCAGAATATTTATAGATTTATTTATAATGAAATTATGGTCTAAATATTTACAACATATAGGAAACCAGAGGATAAGTTTATACAAAGCCAGCCTGCAAAGTATTCAAATGTGCAAAAATGACAGTTCAATATCTCAAACTATTCCTGGTTCAGCAGACTAGCTCCTTCACTTTCACACATCAATATTTGATACAAAAAGTTATTTTGGCAAAATCTGTAATGCCAAGAAAAAGGACAATTTGCAATTTCAGTCATTAAGTCCAAAATCCTATAGCCAGCAGTCAGATCTCTCTGTTTTAGCTGCAACCAGTTCTGGGAGAGAGAGACCACTGTATTTCATTTCTGTGATGAGTTCTGACCAGTTTTAGTCAAGAAGTTTTCTCTGACCCAGCTGAAGACAGGATCTTAGAAGGGCAATAAAAACAGTAATGGCTATGAGACCAATGTGCCTGAAGGTGCCAGCTTTGGATCACCCCAATTAAAAAACACAATGAAAAAATAATTTCATTTTCCTATCCAGGATCCAGCTATATCCAACAGTTTTAAATGAGACAGCATTTTCCAAAACAGAAATAATCCAAAACAAAACAGGGATGCAGATCTGTCAGAATTAAATACTGAAAAGGACGGTCTTAAAATCATTTCCCCACTAATAAATAGTAAGGCTCTGTTTGTAACCAGTTATATATCAAAATTGACCAAACAGTAGTAAAATACAAATAAAACTTTCTTTATGTCAGAACTGGGGCTATTCACCTGGAAAAGGCTGACCAGGTCAAATGTGTATGGGAACGACCCTGTTAGGATGCTTTGTTGGACAAGCACATTTCACCAACTGTTAAAAAGCTTCTGAGATAAATTTGTGATTCTAATTAAATTTTAACAGATTCTATGCCACTGCAGAAATAAGGATTTTTGTGGTTGTTAAGGAACCCCTTTAAGAAAGGGGGGCACTGAATCTCTAACTTCTGCAAAGGTCCAGATGGTTCCCAGCACAGGCCCCAGAGTCTTGTTAAATCAAATGCATGCATTATTGCTAAGAAGAGTCACTGAGGGTCAAAACTCTGTTCCACTGTTTCCTAGGGAGCCATCCAGAATGGCATCTGTTGTTTAGCTCGTGGTTGTGATGAAGGATATTGGTATCCCAAACTCCAGCCCTGTGGAAAACTACTTGCATTTTTATGACCTCCATGTTCCTCCTCTTCATCAGATGAATCTGCAGCATAAGCCACCAAGCCAAATCCCTTCTCTGTAGTTTTCATCTTCTTGGCTGGATAATCTAGAATAGAGAAAAAACAACCCCAACCCCATCCCCGCCAAGGGAAAAAAAAAAATACCATAAATTCGTTAATTAAAAAAAAGATGTTAATTTTAAGTGGTTAGTTGGACACCATTTTGAGGTCACAGGGTCAATGGTCACCCAAAAACGTTGAAGATCACACGAAAAACAGCACCAGCATCAGCAAATGTGAATCCACCAGAACCATGTAAGAAAACAGAGAAAGAAAAAAGAAACACAAAAAAAGAAAAAAAAAGAAAAAAAGGAAAGTTAGCAAGTGAGTCTCTTGAGGGCTGATATTTCACCTTTTAAAGAGTTAAAAGAAAAGAAGTTAAGAAAAGAAAAAAACGTATTTTCTTCTGTTCATTTTTATGAGTACAGGCAAAGAATAAAATATCCCATGTACCTCTACAGGATTTAGAGTTCTGGAATGCTAAAAGGCAACATTTTCCTAACAGCCACAAACTGACCATTACTGACCAATAGAGTTATAAGGGGAGGTGTGGCTCAGCTCCCAATATAAAGCAAAATCAACCTTTATTAAGTCCGTATCAGATGACCTCCTGGTATTCACATAATATAGGCAACAGGATTTTGAAATGACCTACCACTCATTACTATTCACTGATGCTATGTATAAAATAAGTCGACTAACTCTTTTCTAGATACACGTTGGTTGGAAACAAAAGGTTGTCTGTATACAATTTTTTTAAAACTATTTTCTCTCTCTCTCTCTCGGCACACGTTTGTTGGAAATAAAAGGTTGTCTGTATACAATTTTTTAGAAACTATTTTCTCTTTCTCTTTCTTTTTTTTTGAGACAGAGTCTCACTCTAGTGCCCAGGCTGGAATGCAGTGGTGTGATCTTGGCTCACTGCAACCTCCACCTCCCAAGTTCAAGTGATTCTCCTGCCTCAGCCTTCCAAGCCGCTGGAATTACAGGCATGCACCACCATGCCCAGCTTAATTTTTCTATTTTTAGTAGAGACGGGGTTTCACCATGTTAGCCACGCTGGTCTCAAACTCCTGACCTCAGGTTATCCGCCCACCTTGGCCTCCCAAAGTGCTGGGATTACAGGCGTGAGCCACCGTGCCCAGCCCAAAAGTATTTTCACTGGCCAACAGATTATAGAGGTTGGATTAAACACCTGAATGAACATCAGGTTAGAAAATTAATAGCTTTATTTATGTATTTATTTATTTATGAGATGGAGTCTTGCTCTATTGCCCAGGCTGGAGGGCAGTGGTCTGATCTTGGCTCACTGCAACCTCTGCCTCCCAGGTTGAAGCGATTCTCCTGCCTCAACCCCCTGAGTAGCTGGAATTACAGGCGCCCACCACCATGCCCGCTAGTTTTTGTATTTTTAGTAGAGATGGGATTTCACTATGTTGGCCAAGCTGGTCTTGAACTCCTGACCTTAGGTGATCTGCCCACCTCGGCCTCCCAAAGTGCTGGGATTACAGGCGTGAGCCACTGCGCCCGGCTGAGAAAACTAATAGCTTTAGACCAGTCTTAGCCACTCCCCTGTTCCCCCAGCTATATCACACTCACCATGGCTCCCTGTTAAGGTCCCAGACCCATTCCTTTCATCGGACTCTGTTTTTATTCCAGTCACTGGAAAGGCTGGTGGAGGCATCAACTGCCTATTGAAAAACAAAATGAAACTTTCTTTCAGACAATTTAAATTTTCTTAACTTATCCAGTGGATTAGAAGTGCAATTATGTCTGCAGACAATCCTTCAAATTCATTTTAACCATTAATTTCAACCCCTTCCACCTTCCCCCAGCCCCTTTATAAAAGTATAAGGCCTGTCTACACAGCAATTGCCATGACAAAAATCGAATGAACTGTTATAGAAAGATATCAGCTCCTTTCTTATGAAGGTTAATATACTAATATAAGAAAGGAAAATTCAAGCACTGTGTGGCAGGCTGAACTCCCACATTCATGTACTTCCATCCATGATATTCTAATGACTCTAAAGTAGCAAAAATAGCTGAATTATGTAACATTTCTGTTACTGTCTACCCTTAGGAAAATGGCCAAGATGCAGACAATGGAAGTCAAGAAAGATGTCTGAACAAGTAATAAATTATTCAAAACCGAATATAACTGCTTCTAAATCTGTAAAAGGCCTATCATATTTTACTTCATTGCATCAATTACAACAAACAGAAGCATATTTGATTCAAAGATTTCATTTCAGTTTCAGAATACTTAAGCTCATAGCAATGATCATTACTCTCACTAATGGTGCAAACAAATAACATCTGAATACATTTGCATAATTATTCCAACTTACCTGTCCCTCTCTCTCTCTTTGCCTGAGGAACTTGCTGGCTTCGATCCTGCACCTTCAATCTCATTCTGACTGGAGAAGCCTGTACCTAAATTAGTCATATGAATGGGTCCATGCTATGAGCAGAAAAATACAGTGGCATTAGCAAATCTACAACTGCCGTATTGACTTTAGCTCCTTAATGTAACTGTCAAGTGCCTCATCTTTCTGATAAGTTGTAGTACGTTAAACTACTACAAAGCTCTTTGGGATCTGCTGTGTAACTGTAGTCAAAAGTAGGGATTTTTTTTTTTCTCTATAGGACTTGGACAGGGGTGTTATAATTCATTATGCTATCTATGGCCTGTTTTTAACTGACTGCCCATAGCTCCACTAGTTTCTATAAACCTAGCTAGAAACTATAAAAAAATGCTTTGGTTTAAAGAATGATTCAAGGATTCTGGCAAAATGGAAAGGTACTTCTGATAAAATTGCACCAAAACTACAAATTAAGAATCTTTTTAACTTTAGTGGCTAACTTTACAATTACATGTACAGAATCACTCCTTTTCTAGCAGTCTTGAGGGGTGGGGAGACTGGAGGGAGATATCACTCTCTTTTTTAGGTGGAGGGTAAAAGAGAGAGCACCACTGAAAGCCAAGGTTTTAAATACAAACCACATACTGGTAGATCAAGAGCTTTGAGTGAGATGTATAAGAAAGTAAGAACTCTCAGAGGCTTTCAAGAGTCTGTTGAATAGGATAAAAAACCTAACCAAAATGAATTCCAGAAAGCAGAAATCCTAGTACTGGGAGAATGATGTGAATTTATCTTTTTTAAAGGGAGAATATAGTAGAAGAATAAGGTGAAGATAGGAAAACAGGGTATTTTATTTAACCTGGTATCCAAGCAGTCCAGATTCCCGTTCATCTGGTAGCTCCTCTGTGAATCGTCTCTTCTGTGCCTGGGGCTGACTTGGGAGTGGGGGCTGGGGCTGGGGCTGGGGCTGGGGGCCAGCAGGCAAGGCAGTTTTGACAGGAGCAGCAGGAATAAAAGGACCACCCATCGGACTCTGGGACCAAAACAAACCAAGGAAGAAAAAAAGTGTGAGAATGCCCAAGGAATAAGTAAACAATGATTACAATATACTTTAAGGATCAATAAGTATCATATGAATTTTGCATCTTCAGGTCCTTAGTTTCCTTCATGTATAATTTGGTAACATTATCACCTAAGCCTTCTCACCTTCATCCTAGGGAAACATGAAATTGACAACCTATATACAGTGCTTTGAACTTTTAAGAAAACTCTGTTATGCATTTGGGCTACTAGGAGTAAACATGACCATTAACAAACAGAACTCCAACCACTGACAGTCGATGTGATTAGCTTTCTGTAATAAGCTTTCTGTTATTTATAAATGCTGCTAATGCTTGTGGAAGAAGCAATTTCATCTTCCACTCCCTTAGTTATCACTAAGCTACTATGTCAAGATTAAGTCTAATGTTTGAAGATGTTGTTCCAAAAAGGAATAAGGGGTATCAGAAGACAGTATATATTACAGAGGAATAGGCAGGTCTGAAGAGAAAACTCTATACAGCCATGCATTGCTTAGCAATGGTAATACGTGTTTTGTTTTGTCTTGTTTTTGAGACAGAGTCTCAGTCTTGCTCTGTCTCCCAGGCTGGAGTGCAATGGTGCCAACTCGGCTCACTACAACCTCTGCCTACCAGGTTCAAGCGATTCTCTTGCCTCAGCCTGCCGAGGGACTACAGGCACGTGCCACCATGCACAACTAATTTTTTTTTGTACTTGTGATCCATCTGTCTCAGCTTCCCAAAGTGCTGGGATTACAGGTGTGAGCCACTACGCTGAGTGGGAATATGTTTTGAGAAATGCACTGCAAGGCAATTTTGTCATTTAACAAATGTGTACTTATACAAACTTAGATGAAAATAGCCTACTACACACCTAGGCTATACGATATGGCCTATTCTTCTAGGCTACAATCCTGTATAGCATGTTACTGTACTGAATGCTGTAACACAATGGTAAGTATTTGTGTATCTAAATGTAGAAAAGGTACAGTAAAAATATGCTACTATAATTTTACAGGACAAGCATCATATGTGCAGTCTATCACTGACTAAAACGTTGTAAGGTGGCTGACTGTATTAATAACACAGCTAACGTTTACTGACAGATTGGATCATCTTACTTAATCCTTGCAAACCTCTGAGATTTTTATCACTGTGCCCATTTTACATCTAAGGAAAACCAAACCCTAGACAGGGCAAGTTACATCCCAATATCACACAGCTCAAAAATGGGAAAGCAAGATCAACCCTGTCAATCTAATTCTAACTCCCAGTTTTTTTTTTTTTTTTTTTTTGAGTTTTGCTTGTCACCCAGGCTGGAGTGCAGTGATGCAATCTCGGCTCACTGCAACCTCTGACTCCTGGGTTCAAGCAATTCTCCTGCCTCAGCCTCCCAAGTAGCTGGGATTACAGATGCCTGCCACCGCGCCCAGCTAATTTTTGTATTTTTAGCAGAGACAGGGTTTCACCATGTTGACCAGGCTGGTCTTGAACTCCTGACCTCAAGTGATCCACCCGCCCCAACCTCCCAAAGTGCTGGGATTACAGCTACATGAGCCACTGCGGCTGCCTTAACTCCCTGCTTTTAACCACTCTGCTGTATTGCTTCCCAATTACAAAGGACTGACCTTCAAAAGTAGAGACCTACAGAGCTGTCTAAATATAAAAATTAAAATAATTTTGGCTGGGCACGGTGGCTTATGCCTGTAATCCTTGCACCATAATCCTAGCATTTTGGAAGTCCGAGGCTGCGGATCACCTGAGGTCAGGAGTTTGTGACCAGCCTGGCCAAAATGGTGAAACCCCATCTCTATTAAAAATACAAACATTAGGCCGGGCGCGGTGGCTCACGCCTGTAATCCCAGTACTTTGGGAGTCTGAGGTGGGCGGATCACGAGGTTAGGAGATCAAGACCATCCTGGCTAACAAGGTGAAACCCCATCTCCACTAAAAATACAAAACAATTAGCCAGGCATGGTGGCAGGCGCTTGTAGTCCCAGCTACTCGGGAGGCTGAGGCAGGAGAATCGCGTGAACCTGGGAGGCGGAGCTTGCAGTGAGCCAAGATGGTGCCACTGCACTCTAGCCTGGGTGACAGAATGAGATTCTGTCTCAAAAAATAATAATAAACAAAAATAAAATAAATAAATAAAATAAAATAAATTTGACTAGAGACCACAAATAAAATTTAGTTCATAGCTTTTTTGTTACACACTGTGCAACCCCCTTCAGTGCTCACAGCCCACAGGTAAGGGGACTGGGCAATGGTTCGAGGCTGCCATTTGCTATGGCATGGGTACACTATGAGAGGCCCACAGAGAAGGACCCACCATAAATCCATTACCATGCTCTCATTAAGTCTCTCCCCTGCCTCCAAGACCAGTATATATAATCCATCCAGATTATTATCCAGACATCTACTCTTTTCCTAAAATTCTACTTTCATGATTTAAGAAATTGTGGCCAGGTGCGGTGGCTCACACCTGTAATCCCAGGACTTGGGGAGGCAGAGGCAGTTGGATCATGAGGTCAGGAGATCGAGATCATCCTGGCTAACAGTGAAACCCCGTCTCTACTAAAAATACAAAAAAATTAGCCAGGCGTGGTGGTGGGTGCCTGTAGTCCCAGCTACTTGGGAGGCTGAGGCAGGAGAATGGCGTGAACCTGGGAGGCGGAGCTTGCAGTGAGCTGAGATGCGCCACTGCACTCCAGCCTGGGCAACAGAGCGAGACTCTGTCTCAAAAAAAAAATTTTTTTAAGTATACATTTCTTAAGTTATAAAAGAAACATACCAGCATTTATAATCCTTACATTTGAAAAGTTTATATATCTCTTACATAATGTTGCTTTTTAAAATTTTTTTTGAGACAGTCTCACTCTGTCACTGAGGCTGGAGTGCACTGGCACCATCTTGGTTCACTGCATCCATGACCTCCTAGGCTCAAGGGACCCTTCCATCTCAGCCTCTTAAGTAGCTGAAATACAGGTATGTGCCACCATGTCCAGTTAATTTTTTTTGTAGAGATGGAGTCTCACTATGTTGCCTAGGCTGGTCTCAAACTGTGCTAAAGCAATCCTGCCTCGGCCTCCCCAGATGCTGAGATTATGTTTCCTTCTAAGATTTGAAATGCTAACTCAGTTCCAATTACTGAGAGGTGTGGTGAAGGTAGCCCCATTCTCCTTGAGGACTTTGTTAACACTGCAAAGGTAAGGTTAGGCAAACAATGGCCAAGGGTATGGCAAACTATGACTGTGGCCTGCCACCTGTTTTGTAAATAAAGTTCTACTGGAGTACAACAGCTATGCTTATTCATTGAGGTATTATCCACGGGCTGCTTCTGCACTACAACCACCGAGTGTGATAGTTGTGACAGAGAATGTATGGCCCTTAAAGCCTAAAATATTTGCCATCTGACCCTTTATAGCAAGTGTGCCCACCATCCCCACTTTAAACAGCTATTTGGTGTGCAAGACTTGTGAAAATATAAACTTCAGGATGACATACACACATACACACTAATCCAAAATATTCAGGTAGGTTGGTGGTAGGAACACAGAAGACAGCAGGAAAAAGACATTCCACATCACATGATTTATTTCTGGAATACCACTACTTCCCCTCTTTCCCCAGTTTTTCCTAAATTCAGTAATATGTTGTTGCATATCCTGACATCCTACCTGTCCAGTGCTAGCTGGAGGCTGCACTTGTGTTATCGGGTATTGTGTTGGCACAGGTGGGACTCCAGTAGGTAATGCCGGCAAGACTCCAGGTGCTAATGAAACAGCTGGTGGCACTATGCTTGGTACTCCGTAGGGAGGTTGAACTGGCTGCTGAGGAGGGGGAACAACAGGGTAACCAGACTGATAGCCATTGGATGGATAATATGGTGGTTGAGGAGGGACACTACTTATAGCAGAGGGTTGTGTATAGCCTGAGGGGGAAGAAAAAAAGTGTTTAATCAGCTGCAGCAGAATGAGACAATTTAGCTGAATATTAAACTTAATATCTAGGGAAGAAAAATACTGAGGCATGAATGGCTTTCCAAATTACCCTAAATTAAAGGGAACATTAATAGTGCCCTGGCACAGTCTAGCCTCAAGTATCATAGTTACACATAACTATCACTAGCAAAATATTTTTTAAACACTTCAAGATGTACACACCTGGTAAAGGTACAGCAGTATTAATCTGATTCACAAATCTAGAGTATTCAGCATGAACCTGAAAGAGAGGGGGAAACAAATTAACATGGGACAGCCGAAGCTGTGCATTTACAAGGGTCTGATTACATAATTCTAGGACCAAAGCCATTAGGAATTAAAATATATCTACCAATGTTCCAATCAAATTTAAACTTGTTTAACCCACATTTTTTTTTTTTTTTGAGACAGTCTTGCTCTGTCACCCAGGCTGGAGTGCAGTGGCGCGATCTTGTATCACTGCAAATCTTTTTTTTTTTTTTTTTTTTGAGACAGTCTCACTCTGTCACCCAGGGTACAATGCAATGGCATGGTCTCAGCTCACTGCAACCTCCACCTTCACGGTTTAAGCGATTCTCCTGCTTCAGCCTCCCAAGTAGCTGGGACTACAGGCGCGTGCCACCGCACCCAGCTAGTTTTTGTATTTTTAGTAGAGACGGGGGTTTCACGATGTTGGCCAGGCTGGTCTCGAACTCCTGACCTCATTATCTGCCCGCCTTGGCCTCCCAAAGGGCTGGGATTACAGGCATGAGCCACCGTGTCCAACCCACCTCAACATTTTAATAAGGCAAATCTATAAATTATTAAGCCAATTTTGGGAATTAGGAGAATAATCCTGAATCCCCTAAACCATACTCAATTCTGGGGTACAGAATCATTTAGAAAGCCACAGAAATTAAGTAACTAGGAAATTTCCAAGTTGTTAGTATAACTGGTGAGACCTCAATTCATTCACATTTACTGGGTGACTTTTCCTCAAGGAGCTCACATTTAGTAAGGGTTTCGTATTTTCCTCATACTTCCTTCCTATATATTATTAAGTCCATAACCTCAAGTACCAACAAAGATGGGAAATAGTCAAGAAAATTATCCGGTACAAGGGTTGGTAAATCAGGTGCTATGTACAAAAGTAAAAAAACAAACAAAAAAACCAACCATGAGCTACCCAATAAGGCACCAGAGAACACAAGGTTGAACATATTCAGTGCAAAACCTGATTTCCTCTAAGTGCTATAAAGACAGTCCTGGCCGGGCGCGGTGGCTCACGCCTGTAATCCCAGCACTTTGGGAGGCCGAGGCAGGCGGATCACGAGGTCAGGAGATCGAGACCATCCCGGCTAAAACGGTGAAACCCCGTCTCTACTAAAAATACAAAAAAGTAGCCGGGCGTAGTGGCGGGCGCCTGTAGTCCCAGCTACTTGGGAGGCTGAGGCAGGAGAATGGCGTGAACCCGGGAGGCGGAGCTTGCAGTGAGCCGAGATCCCGCCACTGCACTCCAGCCTGGGCGACAGAAAAAAAAAAAAAAGACAGTCCTAAGGTTTAACTTTTGGTTGTTTATAGAATAAAAAGAATGCATAATCAAATGAGCAATCATCCCCCAAACATGTCTAACTGGTTTTAAATTATTATAGTTCTACCCTTACTTCAGACTGGAGTTATGCTAATACAAGCCAAAGAAAACCAACACAATGACCAGGTGCTAGGAGAGAGGAAAGGCATGGGATGATTTCTCTCTCAAAGACTCCAGAAGGAACCAATTCTGCCAGCACCTTGATTTCAGACTCTGCTTCCTGGACTGTGATAGAATAAATTTGTGTTATTTTAAGCCACCCAACTGCCATAACTTGTTATAGCAGTACTAGGAAACTAAACAGGTGAAAGAAACAGCTAAGACATACTCCAAAATGGCAATTGCTCTTCTGAATGAGTATCAGACAAATACAACTCACTGTTTGCAAAAGATTCTCACAAAGCTTCTTGGCAGCAGCCAGGCCTTCTGGTTTGGGGTGACTGCAAAGAAATAACCAGGAATTCAAAGGAGAGAAAAATAAATAAAAGATGCAGAATTCTGCTTTCATTTTCCATGCTATTTTACATATCTACATTAATACATTCACTGTAGCTCAAATCTAGGCCTCTGAAAATCACAAAACAGAAACACAAAACATAAGTCTTTTAAGATATAACCACTATCATTACCACAAATATTTTATTAGTCTTTCTCTGAGTAATGGTACTTCTCGATATAAAAATGTTTAAAGTTCATAAAATTACTATAAAACGTATTAATATTGACATAGGTTTAAATGAAAATTATTTCAGACTTATCACAGCTCACTTTAAGATTTGCTTTTTTTTGGCCGGGCGTGGTGGTTCACGCCTGTAATCCCAGCACTTTGGGAGACCGAGACAGGCGGATCACGAGGTCAGGAGATCGAGACCATCCTGGCTAACACGGTGAAACCCCATCTCTACTAAAAATACAAAAAATTAGCCGGGCATGTTGGCGGGTGCCTATAGTCCCAGCTACTTGGGACGCTGAGGCAGGAGGCGACAGAATCTTGCTCTGTTGCCCAGGCTGGAGTGCAGTGGCGCGATCTCAGCTCACTGCAAGCTCCACCTCCTGGGTTCACGTCATTCTCCTGCCTCAGCCCCCGAGTTGCTGGCACTACAGGCGCCTGCCACCATGCCTGGCTAATTTTTTTGTTTTATTTTTAGTAGAAACGGGATTTCACTGTATTAGCCAGGATGGTCTCAATCTCCTGACCTGATTCATCCGCCTCGGCCCTGAAAGTGCTGGGATTACAGGCCAAGATTCACTTTTGTACAGACTTGTACAAAACCAAAGGACTTGAATACTAAAGAGATAATTCCGTCTCCTAATTCAATAATTTCTCTTTTTTTTTTTTTTTTTGAGATGGAGTCTTGCTCTGTTGCCCAGGCTGGAGTGCAATGGAGCAGTCTCAGCTCACTGCAACCTCCGCCTCCAGGGTTCAAGCAATTCTCCTACCTCAGCCTGCTGAATAGCTGGGATTATAGGTGCCTGCCACCACACCTGGCTAATTTTTATACTTTTAGGAGAGTCAGGGTTTCACCATGTTGGCCAGGGTAGTCTCGAACTCCTGACCTCAAGTGATCCGCCTGCCTCGGCCTCCCAAAGTGCTGGGATTACAGGTGTGAGCCACCGCACCTGGTTTTTTTTTTAAGACAGGGTCTCACTCAGTCACCCAGTCTGGAGTGCAGTGGTGCAAACACAGCTACCTGCAGCCTTAATCTCCTGGGCTCAAGCCATCCTCCTGCCTCAGCCTACTGAGCAGCTGGGATTAAGGTGTACACCATAACACCTGGCTAATTTTTTTTTTTTTTTGAGATGGAGTCTCGCTCTGTCACCCAGGCTGGAGTGCAGTGGCGCAATCTCAGCTCACTGCAAGCTCCACCTCCCGGGTTCACGCCATTCTCCTGCCTCAGCCTCCTGAGTAGCTGGGACTACAGGCGCCTGCCACCACACCCGGCTAATTTTTTTTGTTTTATTTTTAGTAGAGACGGGGTTTCACCTTGTTAGCCAGGATGGTCTCGATCTCCTGACCTCGTGATCCACCCGCCTCGGCCTCCCAAAGTGCTGGGATTACAGGTGTGAGCCACCGTGCCCGCCTAATTTTTAAAATTTTTTTGGAGAGATGGGGTTTTGCTATGTTGCCCAGGCTGGCCTCAAACTCCTGGGCTCAAGTGGTCCTACGCCTTGGCCTCCAGAAGTGTTGGGATTACAGGCATGAGCCACCGTGCCCCAATTCTACAATTTCTTTAACTAATTATAAAGTAATTACTCCTAGCATTTATCTAAATCCCTCATTACTATTAATTACACCCAGTTTTCTCTTGCTCCTTCTGAATCACTCCTGACTGTACCAACAAGTTGACAAGAATTCACATGTCCCCTGCCCTATCCATCCATACCTGATGTAAATATACATAGGTTCAAAAGCTTCTCGGCCAGATGCTGGCTCAATGCAGCCTGAACCTTTGCCCCGCAGGAAGACTTTGGCACCTGTTTCAATCTGAATGTGCTGCAAATAGGAGCAGCCTGGACCTTCCACCTTCTCCTTGACATTAAAAGTGGGTACAGCATGTTCTAGACCCACAAATAATTTATCTTGAACATAATGCATCTGTAGGAAGAACAGAATACTTCAGATTAAACAGAATATATAATTAAATCCTCAATCTTTGAAATAAGTCAATAAGAAATTATAGCAAAGACAGTCTCCTGTAAAACTGGGGTAGAGTGTTGGGTAGTACAGTCAGCCCTGTGATACTCTTCAGTGAAGGCTGCTCTCTCCAACCCTTTTTTCTAGGAGGAATGTATCAGCAAAGTCTTACTTCATCAGACTCAGCCTTCTTAGTCCTCCAGTTGTCATCAAGTTTACAAATACAAATTAAAACCACTAACTTCAAAATGTACAACATGTATACCTTCTGCTCTATCAATCTCCTTTCTAGAATATATCAATATGAAGAAATGTGTGATCAGGTGTTCATTATACCGTGGAGAGCTGGATAACACACAAACAGAATACCTATGGCAGGTAACTTTCGGGATTGGAATTTGGAATTTCACGATTTTTTTTTCTTTGTATGTATTACTTGGCACTTTTTTTTTTTTTTTTTTTTTTGAGATGGAGTCTTGCTCTGTGGCCCAGGCTGGAGTGCAGTGGCATGGTCTCAGCTCCCTGCAACCTCCACCTCCCGGCTTCAAGCAATTCTCCTGCCTCAGCCTCCCAAGTAGCTGGGGTTACAGGTGCCTGCCACCATGCCCGGGTAATGTTCGTGACGGGGTTTCACCACGTTGGTCAGGCTGGTCCAAATTCCTGACCTCAAATGATCCACCCACCTTGGCCTCCCAAAGTGCTGGGATTACAGGAATGAGCCACTGTGCCTGGCCAGCACATATCATTTTTATAGAAATGATAATGCTATTAACGATCCCTCCCCAAAACATACCCCTGACTGGAAGGGAGGCTTCTGGCTAACAGCTGGAGACAACTGAGCGATGGGTGCTGGCTGGTGATAGACAGTTACTGTTGCACCATTAAAAGTTGGACTTGTTCCTGTGGCAGCTTTTACCACTCCATTGGTGATAATTTCTTTGATCCGGTTTACAGCTCCTTAGAAAAACACAGACAGTAAAACTGAATGGAATGAACTGACTAGTGCCCAGGCAGGCCAGTGTTCAATTATTCACCGTAAATCTGCTTTATACGTTACCCAAATATGTGGCTCTCCATCCCTCTAAACTCCCATACAAATTCGTGTATAGTTCATGAACAAGGGTTAGAACAGCCATCAGGGACACTTTGCCAACTTGCTATACAGAGCCCTGTACTTTGCTCTTCACAAAAAGTGCTACGTGAGCCAAAAACATTACTTACTGTCCACTAATTCCCGTGTCTGGCCCTGAACATGAAGATATAATGGACGATCCCTATAAAGAGAAACAAAAAAGGATGATCTCAATGTGGTCAAAACCAAAAAAGGAGTCAAATGGGTCACCAGATCTAATTTGTAATGTTTCAAGTTTCCAAATAACCAAAAGGGACTATATACATTAGAAGGGTTTTTGCTAGCTAATGTCTCAGAACATGCTTTAACAGCTGGGGAACAAATAAACTTCTTGATTTTAAAAGTCAACTGGCCCACAGAGTTCAGATCAAATCTGTTCTTATGGATTCACTACCATTATTTTCCAGTCTATTGAGATAACCCAATATTTAAGAACAGAATTCCTTTTTGCTGGTTGTCTAATAGGTTATAAACAAATGTGGTCTCGTCTATCCAAATCAATGGGGCAAGCTGGGTGCTGTGGCTCATGTCTGTAATCCCAGCACTTTGGGAGGCTGAGGTGGGTGGATGACATGAGGCCAAGAGTTTGAGACCAGCCTGGCCAACATGGCAAAACCCCATCTCTACTGAAATTACAAAAATTAGCCGGGCATGGTGGCACGCCTGTAGTCCCAGCTACTCAGGAGGCTGAGGCACAAGAATCACTTGAACCCAGGAGGTGGAGGTTGCAATGACCCAAGATCATGCCATTGCACACCAGCCGGGGCAACAGAACAAGACTCTGTCTCCAAAAAAAAAAAAAAAAAAAAAAAAAAAACCACACACACACACACACACACACACACACACACACACACACAAAATTAATGGGGAAAGATTGATCATGCATATAGAGAAACCTCTTAAGGTCTACATCAACTGATAATTTAGATTCTAAATGTGAAGAGGACTTAAATTATAATAAAGTGATCAATAACCATATATAGTTAATAAAAAGTAGCAGGTAAAAATAACTTTTTAAAGACAAAGTTCAAAACAGCAATCAACACATATAGAAAGTTTAAATACATTCTTGGGGCTGGGCACGGTGGCTCATGCCTGTAATCCCAGCACTTTGGGAGGCCGAGGCAGGGGAACCACCCGAGGTCAGGACTTTTGAGACCAGCCTGTCCAACATCGTGAAACCCCATCTCTACTAAAAATACAAAATTTAGCCGGGTGTGGTGGCGCATGCTTGTAATCCCAGCTACTCGGGAGGGTGAGGCCAGAGAATTGCTTGAACCCAGGAGGCAGAGGTTGCAGTGAGCCGAGATGGCGCCATTGCACTCCAGCCTGGGCAACAAGAGCAAAAACTCCTTCTCTAATAAATAAATAAATAAATAAATTCTTGGCTTGGGGTAGGAATTAAATTTTGCCACCTTATTTTGTGTAGTTTAAGCTAATGTTAAAAATGTTGCATTCCCTAAGTACCTATCAACTGACAGTGAAGAGAAACTCAAACACGGAATGATGGAAGGAATAAAATGAAACAGATTAAGTCTTTACCTGAATAATCACAAACTATAACCATCATAAAGACAAAAAAAAAAAAAAAAAAAAAGAGCCCATTTGTGAGGGGAACTATTTCCACAGAAAAAAGTTAAGAAGTATATACAATGCCGGGCGTGGTGGCTCACGCCTGTAATCCCAGCACTTTGGGAGGCCGAGGGGGGTGGATCACAAGGTCAGGAGATCAAGACCATCCTGGCTAACACGGTGAAGCTCTGTCTCTACTAAAAATACAAAAAATTAGCCAGGCGTGGTGGCAGGTGCCTGTAGTCCCAGCTACTCGGGAGGCTGAGGTAGGAGAATGGCATGAACCCAGGAGGCAGAGTTTGAAGTGAGCCGAGATCACGCCACTGCACTATAGCCTGGGCGACAGAGCAAGACTCCATCTCAAAAAAAAAAAAAAAAAGTATATACATTATTTCTGCAGATCATATGGAACAGAAAGAAGAAAAAAGAGTATATACATTAAATGTTAGTGGTTAGTATCTTCTTTTACACTTTCCTATAATTTGTTTCCTCCAATAAAAACATTAAATGTGAAATAAAAGTCCAAAAACAGGTCCCAACATCTTGTATCTGTTTGATATCCAGAATTCTGCTATAGTGTGCACACACATACCCCTCAAACCTTGAATCAAATATTGTGTACACGTATTACCTAAGGATAAAAAACATGAGGCTAACGTGAGTCATACACCCAACCCTTCCATAAACAAGATAAGAGAATACGCACCCTGGTCCCACTTTGGCTTTTTCCTCAGTTGTCATGAACCTCCCTCGAGTTGATACTGCAGCCCCACTAAGTCGGCTGATCTAAAAAAGGAAATGTTCAATTAAAAAAATGTGGCAATTGGTTGATTTCAATGGCAGACAGATTTTCTTCCCATTCATTCATTCAACCAAGTAAAGAAGGAAAGAATTCTCTCCTGTATCTGAAATTTTGATTCCATGGTTTCTTACTCAAACCAACCCAGAGAATTCATTTATATCCATTCCATTATCTTCCTCTGAAGTTAAATTAAACCCAATCCTGACTTTAGAGACTATGACCCAAACCCACTAATAAATATCTGACGCCTGTCTATTTAGAGGTCTTCTTTATCTGAATCCACTCACCGCCCTCCCCAAAGAGTCTCAATGCCTCCTCACCTCGTCTTGAGTCTGTCCTCGAGTCAGCAAGTTCCTACATGTGAGAGGCACATCATTAATTTCTACTTCAGCTACCACCAGGTCATCCTTGCTTTTATTGCTAGTTAGGCCTTTGCCAGGAGCCTGAAGCTAGAAAAAAGAGAAATTAGATTAAAAAGTTTTTATGATGAGATAAAGTCTATTTTTTTATTTTATTTATTTACTTATTTATTTTTTCATTTTTTTGAGATGGAGTCTGTCGCCCAGGATGGAGTGCAGTGGCGTGATCTCAGCTCACTGCAACTTCCGCCTCCTGGGTTCAAGCAATTCTCCTGCCTCAGCCTCCTGAGTAGCTGGGATTACAGGTGTGCAGCACCATGCCCAGCTAATTTTCGGATTTTTAGTAGAGACGGGGTTTCACCGTGTTGGCCAGGCTGGTCTCGAACTCCTGACCTCAGGTGATCCACCTACCTCGGCCTCCCAAAGTGCTGGGATTACAGGCGTGAGCCACTGTGCCCAGCTGAGATAAAGCCTTTTAGTCATCCAATGTACAACTATCCTTTCCCAAGTCCCACACCTCCCTACCCTTCCCTTCATCTGCCTGTAAACACAGTTGGTCATTCTTCATAAACGAATTAACAAGCAAACAAAAATCTCACTAAAATGACATTAAATAAAGTCAATAATAAAGTCAATCTGCTTGAAGGCCACAATCAAGATTTCTCTGTGACCTTGGCCCTATGTGCATTTTTATGACCACCTAATTACAGAAGCTCTAGGGACTAGAAGCTACAACCTTCAAAAAGAAAATTAAAGGGCCAAGTTATGATACTCTATAGCTCAGTTAGTTGGCTGTACATGGAGTAAAACACAATAGAAGGTAGAGGAGCAATGCCTACAATACATATACCTCATGCATACAATAGGAAGTTGTCTTTGTGCCACTCCTATAATCCTAACATAAAATCCAACTAACTCCATCCTTGTAAAGCTCTCAAAAACCCTTAAATTGTATCTAACTAATAATTCCTCACTCTATTACAGCAGAACAAAGAAGAATGAAAAAACAGTAAGATGGTAAAACCTGATCCGGTTTCTTTCAATTTAAACTACATGGAGTTTGTGATCAGCCTGGTCAACATGGTGAAACCCCGTCTCTAGTAAACATACAAAATTAGCCAGGTGTGGTGGTTCGTGCCTGTAATCCCAGCTACTCCGGAGGCTCAGGCAGAATTGCTTGAAGCCGGGAGGCAGAGGTTGCAATGAGCCGAGATCACGCCATCGCACTCCAGCCTGGGCAACAAGAGCAAAACTCTGTCTCAAAAATAAATATATAAATTACAAAAAAAGGCTGGGACCGGTGGCTCACATCTGTAATCCTAGCACTTTAGGAGGCTGAGGAGGGTGGATCGCTTGAGCCCAAGAGTTTCAGACCAGCCTGGGTAACATGGCAAAACCACATCTCTAAAAAAATACAAAACATTAGCTGGGCACGGTGGCATGAGACTGTAGTCTCAGCTACTCAGCAGGCTGAGGCAGCAGAAAGCAGTGATTGTGCCACTGAACTCCAGCCTGGGCAACAAAGCAAGACTCTATCACCAAAAAAAAAAAAAAAAAAGACAGAAAGACAGAAAGAAAGAAAGAAAGAATGAACGAAGGAACCAAACAGGCTCATGCCTGTAATCCCAGCACTTTGGGAGGCTGAAGCAGGGTGGGCAACATGGCAAACCCATCTCTTCAAAAAATAAAAAAAATTAGCCGGGCATGGTGGCATGCGTCTGTAGTCGCAGCTACTTGGGAGGCTGAGCCTGGGAGGAAGAGACTGTGCCACTGCACAGTCACTGCCTGGGCAATCAAGCCAGACCCTGGAACCACAGGCATGCACCACACCTAGCTAATTGTTTTTGTATTTTCTGTAGAGACAGGGTTTCACCATGTTGCCCAGGCTGTTCTTGAACTCCTGGCCTCAAGTGATCCACCCACCCGCTTTAACCTCCTGAGTAGCTGGGACTACAGGGGCCTATCTCCCCAACCTATGTCTAGAAAATCTGCTCAAGAAGGTAACATACTGTTGTTTACTTTGTGCATTAAATACATTTTTTAAATGTGGAGGCAAAACTAAATACAAACTCAGCAATATCACCTTACCTTTATTTAACCCCTTATAGTATTCATTTACATTATCATCTCAATGAATCCTTATGGCCGCCTTTAATAGTACTTATCAATGTTGTCCAAGAGAACTTTTGGTGACAAGGGTTCTAGTCTATCAGTCGAATATGGTAGCCATTAGCCACATGTGTCTCTTGAGCACTTGGCAGGTGGCTAATGTGACTAAAGGTCTAAATTTTAAATTGTATTTTGGTTTTGCTTTGCTTTTTGCTTAAACAACAGGAATTTATTTCTCACAGATATGGAGCCTGAGAGTATTTAATTATTTGTATTATTTAGACAAGGTGTCACTCTGCTGCTCAGGCTGGAGTGCAATGGCAAAATGACAGCTCAATGCAACCTCAAGCTCCTAGGCTCAGGTGATCTTTCCACCTCAGCCTTCCAAGAATCCAAGAAGAATTACAGAGGAGCTGGGACTACAGGTGTGAGTCACCACACCCAGCCCCTTAATTTTAATTTAAATTGCCACATGAAGCTAGTGACTACTGCACTACACAATGCAGGTATATATTACCAACGAGAAAGCTGAGTTTCATTATGCCAAAGCCATGTAACCAGTAACTGTGGATTCTGGGTTTCAAACTGTGGATTCTGGGTTTTTAGGTTTTATGATTCTAAATCCAGTGTTTATGTATCCTGCTGAGGTCAACTACCTAAAGATTATTATTTTAAGAAAAAAAAAGAGCTTAAACGATTAACATCAGTATTAAAAATCTTAATATACAAGGAGCACTACATCTTTGTCAAGATGCTTTTAATTTTTCCTCATAAACCTTATAAATGGATGACTGACTCACACAATCTTTGCAAACAATAGGCTGCGCCTGGTGGCTCATACTTGTAATCCCAGCACTTTGGGAGGCAGAGATGAGCTTGGTCAACATGGTGAAACCCTGTCTACTAAAAACACAAAAAAAAATTAGCCGGGCATGGTGGCATGCACCTGTAATCCCAGCTACTCGGGAGGCTGAGGCAGCAGAATCAGAATCACTTGAACCCAGGAGACAGAGGTTGTAGTGAGCCGAGATCACCCCACTACTGCACTTCAGGCTGGTGACAGAGTGAGACTCTATCAAAATAAATAAATAAATAAATAAAACCCTACAGGTTCTAATTAGAGATGACACTATGGGGCTCACTTGATTTACCTGAACTCCTCTGACTTCAGGGAAAAAGCACATATATTAAAAACATGTTATGTTGCTTTAAATGACTATGGAAATACAGCTTAAGCTGAACTAAGTGAACAAGGACAAGACAAGGTATTTGGTCCATAAATGTAATCAGCCCAATCAAAAACGCCTCGTAAATATGTATTTGTAACAAAATGTGTTCTGGAACATTCCAAAACTAAATGATCTCTCAACTACTATATCCATTTATCCTTTACTAACACAAATTATTATGCGATTACAGGATTACAAACAACTTTTTTTTTTTTTTTTTGAGACGGAGTCTCATTGGGTCGCCCAGGCTAGAGTGCACTGGCACAATCTCGGCTCACTGCAACCTCCGCCTCCCGGGTTCAAGCAGTTCTGCCTCAGCCTCCTGAGTAGCTGATTACAGGCGCGTGCCACCATGCCCGACTAATTTTTGTATTTTCAGTAGAGACGGGGTTTCACCATGTTGGTCAGGCTGGTCTCAAACTCCTGACCTTGTGATCCACCCGCCTCGGCCTCCCAAAGTGCTGGGATTACAGGCGTAAGCCACCGCGCCCGGCAAAACAACTATTAAATTCGCAATTAGTGGAGACCCTTCAACTTCAAATACCTTCTCAGAAGCATTCTGAGTTGGTTTCAGCTTCCCTTTTGCCATGAGCATGGCATTAATCTTGGCAGCCACAGCAGCAGCAGCATCCAAGGCTCCTGAAGGAGCAGCTGTGGTGCCCCCAGGACTTCCCCCACTGCTGGTGACCTCCCCACCTGGGGCCGCTGGCGGGAGGAAGAGAAGTGGGGCTGGAGCTGGTTGGTCCCATTTGCTGCGGCGCCTACATGGAGAAAAAGGAAAACATTAGGCCCCAAAGCTTTCGTGTATGTTATTCTTTCCTTACTACGCCTTAGCACCCCATTTTCCCTCTATTATATTCCATTTACACCTCCGAATCACCTTCCAAATCTAAAACTCCCCTCTCCTTAAACAATTATTGCTTATTTAACAAACCCCCACTTTCAACCCTTCCCCAAAATCTTTCGTTTCTACTGTCACCTATATCGAAAGACTCCACTCTATCCTACACGCTCTAGTTTACGCCTTCCCCTTGGCTCGCCCTTCCAAAAGTCCCCGTTTGCCTCCTCCCTCGGATCCCCGCCGGCCCTTTAAGGGCCCCAGGCCTGCTCAAGATCCTTCTCCCCAAACGTCCAGCCCTTTACTTCCCACTTAAGGACCCTTCCACCCTATACGCAGCTTCTCAGGGTCCCTCCGCCTCTCCTGCGCCCCAGTGCTCGCTCCGATGCCCTCGCCCCTGAAGCCGTACCCGCCAGCTCCAGGATGTGTCGCGCTCCCCGCGGACATGGCGACCGCTTCTACTCAACCACCCGCCAACTATCCGACTACCACCTCTCGTCACTTCCGCCCCCAACGTTCTTACGCACAGCCTCTTCCGGTCGTGGGGCCGAGCGGTTCCGGTGAAAATGTCGATTCCGATTGGACTCTCGATGATTTAAAGGCATCTGGCGTTTCTGAGGCAGGTAGGGTGTGATCTTCCGGGTTGCGCCTTAACCTTAAGAAAGATGGCTGCTGTGCCTACTATAAATGCGGAATCGGGGCTAGCTGAATCCATCTTTATCGTGGGCATGTTGTTAGACTAGAAGACAATATGCATGAGTCAGGAGATTAAACAGGTTTCTCCTCAAATTCCGCTACGTTTGTGTTGAGTCCTAGTTTCTGTCTGGGGAGACAGCCTTCCCGCGGCTTTTGCCCGTTTCACGTTTCTGTTACTTAGGAAAAGGAAAAGGATTCGTTGCAAAGATCATTTGGAGAATTTCTCTGTTTGTTTGCTTCATTTCTGTGCACCAAGCAGGGAATATAAAAATAAAAAGATGAATAAGCCGCAGGCCCTGCCATTCTGGTACTCTCAATGTGGCAAGGCAGGTACGCAGGCAAATATGTATGATAGAGTTGTATATTAAGCAAAGGTCGAAGAAGATAAGCTGCTCATCTTGCTGGAGCGTTTAAGAATGGGACGCTAAAAAGCCGGTTGAGTACTGGAGAGGCGATCAAGCATAGGTTATGGAGCACCCTGTTCTGGCATCTGTGTACTTAACGGTTGAGCTGGCTGGAGTGGGAGGCCAGAAGATGAAAGGCCTTGAATGCTATGCTGAGGAGTTTGAGTTGATTCTGTAGGCTAAAGGTTTCTTTTTTTTTTTTTTTTTTTTTTTTGAGACAGTTTCGCTCCGTCACCCAGGCTGAAGTGCAATGACGCGATCTCGGCTAACCACTCTCCGCCTCCCGGGTTCAAACGATTCTCCTGCCTTAGCCTCCCAAGTAGCTGGGATCACAGGTGCCCGCCACCACGCCCAGCTAATTTTTTGTTGTTGTTGTTTTGTATTTTTAGTAGAGACACAGTTTAGCCATGTTGGCCAGCCTGGTCTCAAACTCCTGACCTCAGGTGATCCACCCGCCTCGGCCTCCCGAAGTGGTAGGATTACAGGCGTGAGCCACCGCGCCCTGCCGAGGCTAAAGGTTTCTAACCTTTAGGATGTCTTGGAGCTTCAATGAGTCTCCTGATCCTCCCACCTCAGCCTCTGAAGTAGCTGGGACTACAAGCACGGGCCACCACACCTGGCTTTTTTTTTTTTTTTTTAAGAGACCGGGGTGGTAGGGGGTGCGGGGGTGGGGGGTGTCTTACTATTTTGCCTAGGCTGGTCTCAAACTCCTGGGCTCAACCGATCCTACCACCTCGGCCTCCCCAAAGTGCCCCTTTTCCTCTTCTCCCCAAAACACAATGCTGTTGGGATTCTGATTGAAATTACATTATTTATTATATTTGTCATTTTAAAAAATTTGTGATGTAACTCCTATGCCATAAATTTACCCTTTTTAAAGAGTAAATTTAAGTGCACAATTCAGTGTTTTTTAGTGTGTCCACAAGATTGTGCCACAATCATCATTATCTAATTCCAGATTATTTTCATCACCCCAAAAAGAAACCCCTCACCTGTTAACAGTCACTTCACATTTCTCTTGCCCCGCAAGACATGGGCTACCACTAATCTACTGTTTCTCTGGATTTACCTATTTTACACATTTTATATAAATGGAATTATACAATGTGTGACCTTTTGTATCTGGCTTCTTTCACTTACAGTGTTTTCAAAGTTTATTCATGTTGTAGCATATGTCAGAACTTCATTTTTTTATCACTGAATAAACTTCATTCTTTTTTATCACTGAATTTCTTTTCCATTGGATGTATAGACCACAATTTATCCATTCATCCATTGATTAACATTTGAGTTGTTTCCACCTCTTGGGTATTGTAAGTAGTGCTGCTGTGAACATTCACAAGTATTTAAGTATCTGTTTTTAATTCTTTAGGGTTTACATGTAGAAGCAGAATTGCTAGGTCATATGGACATCTTGTTTAACTTTTGTGGAACTGCCAAACCAACTGGCTACACTATTTTACATGCCCACCAGCAATGTACCAGGGTTCCTATTACTCCACATCATCCCCGACCCTTGATATTTTCAATTTTTTAAAAATCTTTTTTCTTTTTACTTTCCTTAGTCTTTCCTGTGTCGTATCTTTTTTTTTTTTTTTGCCTTGTTAAAGAACCTAGCTTTTAGTTTTATTCATCAATTCCATATTAATTTTTTTTTTTTGAGATGAAGTTTCACTCTTGTTGCCCAGGCTGGAGTGCAGTGGCGTGATCTTGTCTCACTGCAACCTCCACCTCCCGGGTTCAAGTGATTCTCCTGCCTCAGCCACCTGAGTAGCTGGGATTACAGGTGCGTGCCACCACACCCAACTAATTATTTGTATTTTTAGTAGAGATGGGGTTTCACCATGTTGACCAGGCTGGTCTCCAACTCCTGACTTCAGATGATTTGTCGGCCTTGGCCTCCCAAAGTGCTGGGATTACAGGCGTGAGCCACCACACCCAGCCTTCCTTTTGGGAAAATTTATATTGTTTTCCTCCCTTACTTTTTTTTTTTTTTTTTTTTTTTTTTGAGTCTCACTCTGTTGCCCAGGCTGGAGTGCAGTGGCGCGATCTCGGCACACTGCAAGCTCCGCCTCCTGGGTTCACGCCATTCTCCTGCCTCAGCCTCCCAAGTAGCTGGGACTACATACAGGTGCCTGCCACCACGCCCGGCTAATTTTTTGTATTTTTAGTAGAGACAGGGTTTCACTGTGTTAGCCAGGATGGTCTCGATCTCCTGACTTCATGATCCGCCTGCCTCAGCCTCCCAAAGTGCTGGGAATACAGGCATGAGCCACTGCGCCCGGCCCCCCTTATTTTCTTAAGTTAAATGTTTAGTTCACTTATTTATAATTCTTTTTTTTTTTTTTGAGATGGAGTTTCACTCTTGTTGCCCAGGCTCGAGTGCAATGGTGCTATCTCAGCTCTCTGCAACCTTCACCTCCCAGGTTCAAGTGATTCTCCTGCCTCAGCTTCCTGAGTAGCTGGGATTACAGGTGTCTGCCACCATGCCTGGCTAATTTCTGTATTGTTAATAGAGATGGAGTTTCACCATGTTGACCAGGGTGGTCGTGAATTTCTGACCTCAAGTGATCCTCCTGCTTCGGCCTCCCAAAGTGTTGGGATTCCAGGTGTGAGCCCCGTGCCCAGCCTTATAATTCTCATAAAAGTCTTAATTTCACCAATAACATTTCTCTTTTGATGGCCAAGTGAGGTGACTCATGCCTATAATCCCAGCACTTTGGGATTCCGAGGCTGGTGGATCACTTGAGGCCAGGGCAACAGAGTGAGACCCCATCTCCACAAAAAATAAAAATTAGCCAGTGTGGTGGCACTTCTGTAGTCTCAGCTACTCAGGAGGCAGAGGTGGCAGAATCACTTGAATCGAGAAGGTTGAGGCTACAGTGAGACATGATCACACCACTGCACTCCAGCCTGGGTGACAGAGCAAAGAAACATAAAATAATAAAACATTTCTCTATTGATACAACGGAATCTGATTTTCTAAACTCAATTCAATAGCACTTTGTTCTACTGTTAATTGAAAAACTCTCTCTAAAGTGAGATACGTTAGGCTGAGGTCATTTTTCCTTTCTGTTGGGTGCATGGTCAAAAAATTGACATATGAATCAATTATTCTTTCCTAGTGGTCATTTAGGTATTATTAGGTCATTTACTACCAACTCTAAAGCAGTGACACCATGGAGAGCACATAAAATCCATAGAGCTAGGTCCCATAACCTCTCTGTCAGTCTCCTCTCCTTGCTACTCCCCCTGTGTTTCAGTGGCACTTTCTAGCTAAGATTCAGTCCCCTTTTCTCCAGATGGTGGTGCTACATTCCCATACCTGTCTCCAGAGTATCTCCCTCAAACTCATTTAGATCAGCCCAACCTTGGAAAATGCCAAACCGGGTCATGCTCTTTTGGCCTAATATTCTTTCCCACAGCAGTAGGAGTTGTGATGGGAAAAAAAGAAAAGATGGAGGGTGGGCTTTCTCAGTGTCTCCAGTATTCACCACATCACCCCAGGGGTACTACCTCAAGCATTTATTGAATAATTTTTCCAAACAAGGAGATTTCCTGTGAGGGATTCTGATGTCACCTCTAAAAATAGTTTTAGAAATATTTTTCCACTTTCTTACAAGGGGAAATCTATCAAAAAGAATAATGGAGCAGCTATTCAAAAAGAATAATGGAGCAGCTATTCAAAAAGAATTAGAGTGTATAGCCCCATTTCTAGCCCCTATGAGGCCTGGCTATACTTTGTGCCATGTGCTTGGATTGCCATGAGGTTACCCAGTGTTTTTTTGTTTTTTGTGGGTTTTTTTTTTTTTTTGAGACGGGGGTCTCACTCTGTCACCCAGGCTGGAGTGCGGTGGCATGATCACAGCTCACTCCAGCTTTGACCTCCCAGTCTCAGGTGATCCTCCCACATCACAGGTGCCCGCCACCACGCCCAGCTAATTTTTTGTTGTTGTTGTTTTGTATTTTTAGTAGAGTAGCTGGAACCAAGTAGCTGGAACCACAGGCATGAACCACCATGCCTGGCTAATTTTTTGTTATCTTTTGTAGAGATGGGGTTTTGCCATGTTGCCCAGACTGGTCTTGAATTACTGGGCTCAAGCAATCCATTCGCCTCAGCCTCCCAAAGTGTCACCATGACCAGCTGATTTTTTTTTTTTTTTTTTTTTGAGACGGAGTCTCACTCTGTCGCCCAGGCTGGAGTGCAGTGGCACGATCTCGGCTCACTGCAAGCTCCACCTCCCGGGTTCATACCATTCTCCTGCCTCAGCCTCCCGAGTAGCTGGGACTACAGGCACCTGCCACCACACCCGGCTAATTTTTGTATTTTTTTTTTTTAGAGATGGGGTTTCACCATGTTAGCCAGGATGGTCTCGATCTCCTGACATGCCTGTAATCCCAGCACTTTGGGAGGCCAAGGCAGGAGGATCACCTGAGGTCATTTCAAGAATATTTTTGATGCTAGGCGTGGTGGCTTATGGCTGTAATCCCAGCACTTTGGGAGGGTGAGGTGAGAGGGTTGCTTGAGCCCAGGAGTTCAAGACAATCCTGGGCAACATAGGGATACCCCATCTCTCCTAAAAATACAAAAATTAGCCTGTGTGGTAGCACATTCCTGTGGCTGAGGTAGGAGGATCACCTGAGCCTGGGGAGGTCGAGGCACTGAGCCAAGATTGTGCCACTGCACTCCAGCCTGGGTGACAGAGTGAGACCTCTTCTCAACCAAAAAAAAAAGAAAAAAAGAAAAAAAATTTTTTTTTTTTTTTGAGATGGAGTCTCGCTCTGTCGCCCAGGCTGGAGTGCAGTGGTGTGATCTCAGCTCACCAAAATCTCTGCCTCCCGGGTTCAAGTGATTCTCCTGCCTCAGCCTCCCGAGTAGCTGTGATTACAGGCACTCGCCACCACGCGCCACTAATTTTGTATTTTTAGTAGAGACGGGCTTTCCCCATGTTGGTCAGGCTGGTCTTGAACTCCCGACCTCAGGTGATTCGCTCACCTCGGCCTCCCAAAGTGCTGGGATTACAGGCATGAGCCACCTCGTCTGGCCAAGCAGTTATCTTAATTGCCAGATTAGCAGGGTGATTCTGGGTGGGCAGAGGAGTAGACATGGCCCCGAGAGACAGTGATGACACAGTCACACAGGAGCAGCCATGAGGCCAGAAGGTAGCCTGTGGGGCTCACCTGACCTTGGGCTGGGCACTCCCCTTCTGCCACCCCCTTTATACTCATCCCTGGTTCGAAAGCCCCAACATGTTGGCACCCAGCCTGTATCACTCTCACCTCTGGGTTTCTCCTATGTGTTCACAAGCCCACTGCTGATTTATTGTCGCAAAGGGCCCCTCTCTTCCCTCAGCACTCCAAAGGAACTGAACATCGAACGTTATCTTAATTAGCTGGCAGAGGGCAAGAAGGGGCTGAATATATTGGAATCCTTGAGAAAGCCTTACTCTTTTACCTATCCACCTCCTGCCTTCTCTTTGTCCCCACCTCAGCTCCTTCTGCAGTAGGTAGAGATGTAGGCAATGAAAGGGGAGGGCCCAATGAAGCATTTTTTTTTTCCAGTTATGATTGAGATCATGGGGAGACAGGATGAGGTGTGGTGAGGGCGTATCTCAGGATCCTTAGCTCTGACATGGGGTTTGCAGGAGAGAGTAGGGGGACCGCTGAGCTCTGTCCACAGACTAGAGCAGGAAAGGGGGGAAAGGCGGCGATAGAGGTTAGCAGGAATGTTTAATTATCAGGAGCAGGAACAGAACTGAGGGCATGCCCAGGTCCACACAGGCCCTCATAGGCCCAGTGTTCCCAGTGGGGAGGAAACAGGAAGCTGTGACTTCCTCTCTCTTTTCCCTCCCTGCTCTTAGCCTCAAGGTCACTGCTGCTGAGATGAATTCCAACCTGTTTTAGTTGGCACTGTTCCCTGGGCATGGTAATAGCCTCTCAGTACCCTTCTGCCACAAACACCCCAAACTTCTCCTTTGAAATAATATTCATACAAATTGCTATTTCACATGTGTTCTCTCATTGCATCATGCCACTCCTGTGAAGCAGACTTACCTGAAAATTTTAAGCAAGAAAACAGGCTTAGGGGAGTAAAGTAACTCTCCCAGTCACACGGCTAGTGAGCAGCAGGTCTGGGACTCCGCAGCCTCCGCTCTTTCCTCTCTTGGACACCCATGCTGATTCCCTGCCTCTATGCCACCTCCCAGGCCCCTTGCTTTGGGCCCCAAGGGAACACTTTCTGCAGAGGAGGGAGGCCTCTGCACTGTTAGGAACAGAGGCAGCTCTAGTTTGGTTCCTGTCATCTCTGGGACAGGGAACCTCCAGCTCTCTCCCTGGGGTGGAGGCTTGGGGCTGCCCTCCATAGCGGGGTAACTCTCCCTTCTCCCCTCCCTCTCTGCCATTTAGAGCCCCTCTTACAGGCGGGCGCATGCACATATACCCTGGCATTCAGGCTGTGCCTCGCCCTGCCCCACCTACCACCAATCTTGACCAACAGGAAGGTGGTGGGTTGTCCTTTCCACACCCCTCCCTCTGAGGTGTGGGCGTGGGCCAGGGCTCACCAGAGGCCCCAGAGAAGCACTTAATTCTACAGCCTCCTTCCTAGAGCCTTCAGTGGCCTCTGCCAGTCTGGCAGACACTTGCAGACCTCTCTTCTCAGCACCACCAATCTCTGATGCCCTGCGATGCCCACACTCAATACTTCTGCCTCTCCACCCACATTCTTCTGGGCCAATGCCTCCGGAGGCAGTGTGCTGAGTGCTGATGATGCTCCGATGCCTGTCAAATTCCTAGCCCTGAGGCTCATGGTTGCCCTGGCCTATGGGCTTGTGGGGGCCATTGGCTTGCTGGGAAATTTGGCGGTGCTGTGGGTACTGAGTAACTGTGCCCGGAGAGCCCCTGGCCCACCTTCAGACACCTTCGTCTTCAACCTGGCTCTGGCGGACCTGGGACTGGCACTCACTCTCCCCTTTTGGGCAGCCGAGTCGGCACTGGACTTTCACTGGCCCTTCGGAGGTGCCCTCTGCAAGATGGTTCTGACGGCCACTGTCCTCAACGTCTATGCCAGCATCTTCCTCATCACAGCGCTGAGCGTTGCTCGCTACTGGGTGGTGGCCATGGCTGCGGGGCCAGGCACCCACCTCTCACTCTTCTGGGCCCGAATAGCCACCCTGGCAGTGTGGGCGGCGGCTGCCCTGGTGACGGTGCCCACAGCTGTCTTCGGGGTGGAGGGTGAGGTGTGTGGTGTGCGCCTTTGCCTGCTGCGTTTCCCCAGCAGGTACTGGCTGGGGGCCTACCAGCTGCAGAGGGTGGTGCTGGCTTTCATGGTGCCCTTGGGCGTCATCACCACCAGCTACCTGCTGCTGCTGGCCTTCCTGCAGCGGCGGCAACGGCGGCGGCAGGACAGCAGGGTCGTGGCCCGCTCTGTCCGCATCCTGGTGGCTTCCTTCTTCCTCTGCTGGTTTCCCAACCATGTGGTCACTCTCTGGGGTGTCCTGGTGAAGTTTGACCTGGTGCCCTGGAACAGTACTTTCTATACTATCCAGACGTATGTCTTCCCTGTCACTACTTGCTTGGCACACAGCAATAGCTGCCTCAACCCTGTGCTGTACTGTCTCCTGAGGCGGGAGCCCCGGCAGGCTCTGGCAGGCACCTTCAGGGATCTGCGGTTGAGGCTGTGGCCCCAGGGCGGAGGCTGGGTGCAACAGGTGGCCCTAAAGCAGGTAGGCAGGCGGTGGGTCGCAAGCAACCCCCGGGAGAGCCGCCCTTCTACCCTGCTCACCAACCTGGACAGAGGGACACCCGGGTGAAGGGCGCAAGCTGAACACACTCCTCTTTCTGAGATCCACCAAGTGTAGGATCCTTGAGTCCTGGGGAGAAGCTGCCCTCTCTGCCAGGCTGCAGTGCCCTCAGGGAAAAGTCTGATCTTTGATCCCCAACTCTGGGTGTGGTGAATGGGGGAGGCGGGGGCTCAGATCAGAGCTGGATGTGACAAAGCTTAAGTCTTTATTTGGAGATGGGAAAGAAGAGGATCTGAGAATAAACCTCTGGATTATCCACAAATTGTCTTGACCTTTTATCCCAGTTCCACCTCCAGTTCAGTATGGAACAAAAGGATTCGTTGCTCCATTTCTGCTTTCTGCAAGAATACCTAGGAAAACTTCCCTAAGGGTTCTAGGCTAATGAATCAGAGGTCAGTGCCCATCTCTCTCTGTACCCACCCCCCACCTCAAAACAGGGTATCCCTTGTCTTTCTCCGGTATCAAGGCCAAAAATGCCAGCTTCCCCTGTCCTCACCTTACCATCTCAGTGGTGACCACTGAAACTTGCTGCCTGCAGAGGCCTCAGCTGCAAAAGCTGTAGTTCCCTTGAAGGGATGCCAGGTGTGGGGTATTGCTGGAATTTCCAGCACCTGCCAGGCCCTGGGTGTAAAACCCTGGTGCTGACGGGAGTGCCTGTGTGTCTCCCTTTAAATCAGGATTTGAAAGAAGTGAAGATAATGACAAGTCAAAGACATGGGTGGGGTGAAGGGAGGTGAGCGATTAAAGAGGGGAGGGGGCTGGGAGAACAGGCTGCAGGTAGAGCCAGAAAAGCAGAGACCTCAGAAAGTGGTGCTAGTCCTCCCTGCCCCAAATGCAAAGCCCAGAGTATCAATTTGAGTGTCAGAGCACCTGGATTCACAGCTTTACCTCCAGCAAATTACTTTACCTCTTTGTACCTCACTGTTCTCAACTGTAAAATGGGCTACTAAAGATTTAACAGTGAAATATACTGTTAGCTATTATTCTTGTTTGTTTGTTTGTTTGTTTGAGACAGAGTCTCGTTCTGTCGCCCAGGCTGGAGTGCAGTGGTGTGATCTCAGCTCACTGCAACCTCCGCTTCCCGGGTTCAAGCGATTCTCCTGCCTCAGCCTCCCGAGTAGCTGGGACTACAGGCTCCCGCTACCATGCCTGGCCAATTTTTTGTAATTTTTAATAGAGACAGAGTTTCACCATATTGGCCAGGCTGGTCTCAAACTCCTGACCTCTAGTGATCTGCCCACCTCGGCCTCCCAAAGTGCTGGAGTTACAGGCGTGAGCCACCGCACCCGGTCGAGCTATTATTCTTACACCCTGTGTAAAATGGAGACAGAGAGATGGGAGGAAATAAGCGTGCAGCTGGGAGATGGGGATGGGGAACCATGTCTCAGCTGGAATGGTTGTATATGCTCTGAAGTGGGGTATAATGAAAGTCTCACATAAAGAACTCAGAGGTTGGCCCCTAAGCCCCTCTTGAAGGTGTGTTCTCCAGGACAGGGGTTCCTCTTTGGTTCCTGTATTGAGATGCATCAATGATAAAGGTTAGCCATCAGAAGGATTTTCTAGGAGGCAGCCCCTAGAAAGGAGGGAGGCAGAGGGAAGATGAGGTAGAGCTCCCACTTCCACTGCCCCCCCACCGCCCCCCGCCCCAAGCTCTCTGGCATGACTTGTAACCTATGAGGACGCAGGCTGCTCAGGCTCCTGGGGCAGCAGCTGGGAGCAGTGCCGCCTTATTAAGTGCAGAGCGCCCTGTGAAGGGGGAGGCCACAGTGCCTCCAGGTGCCCCCTGTCCCAGTTCCTTTAATTGCTGGGCAGAGGAGGCTCCAAAGAGGCACCCAATTCACAACAGATTAAGCAATGTGAAAGGAACTTAATTAGCCTCTTGTTTAATTTCCTCTTTTTGATGATGTTTAAACTAGTTCCAAAACTCCACGTCTATTCCTAGCCCATGCAGGCAATGGAAAATCCCTCACCACCTAAGCACCCATCTTCCCACCCCAGCAGCTCCCTCTGATGGCTTTGCTGGGCTCCGGATATTGGCTCCTCTGGGGGCATCTCTGCTTTATGGGCCCCAGAGGTAAATATTGACAAAGTGTACACAGGTCCAAGTTAGAGATGAACTGCATGCACAAAGACCTACTCTTGTGGGGGAGTGGAACGAGGAGGGTGCAGTGGAGGATGGAGAAGGGAGGGCTGGGCAGAGCAGGCGGCCTGGAGCTCCCCTTGGAACGGAGGGAAGGCAATGTTTTGGTGAGAACCTGGGCCCTGGCTCCCTGGAACACCAAGCCAAATGGCTTTGAAACTTCAGCAGGAGGGACAGAGGTTAAGACTGTGGGTTCCCAAAAGTGGGTTAGGGAGGGGACAGGGGACACAACGGTGAAAGATGTGAGGAAGAGGCCTAGCTCTCAGGAGTAGACACATCAGACAAATGCTTGTGCCCCATGTTCTGGGGCTGAAGGTGTGTGTGTGTGTGTGTGTGTGTGTGTGTGTGTGTGTGTGTGGAGGGGGTTGGTACGGGGTGGCAGAAGGGACAGCACTGCTTCAAAGAAAGCAGCGGGGGACTTCACACCCACTCTGGGCTGTGTCTCCAGGTTTCCATGTTCTCTGCTGACCAGCATCTCTCATTGGATCTGTGGGGCATTCTGGGAGAGCCTGCATTCCCCTTTCTTGGTGGTCTCTGCATGCTGTCTAATATCCTCACCCTACCCCCACCTACCTTCCTTCCCCACCTAAAGGTGCCACCCTCACAGCTCTGGGTCGGAGATACTTCCAGCTGACCTGGAAGACAGCTGCTGAGCCCTGTGTCCCTGTGTGTGAAATGTGAAGCCCTGGTGTTTTTTTTTTTTTCTTTTCTCCAGGCAGGGTCTTGCTCTGTCACCCAGGCTGGAGTGCTGGAGTGCAGTGGCACAATCTCGGCTCACTGCAACCTCTGCCTCCCGGGTTCAAGCAATTCTCCCACCTCAGCCTCCCAGGTAGCTGGGAATACAGGTGCCCGCCATCACGCCCGGCTAATTTTTGTATTTTTAGTAGAGATGGGGTTTCACCATGTTGGCCAGGCTGGTCTCGAACTCCTGGCCTCAAGTGATCCACCCAACTCAGCTTCCCAAAGTGCTGGGATTATAGGCGTGAGCCACTGCACCCAGCCAGCCCTGGTATTTTTAGGCAGAGTAGCCAAGAGAGAAAAGTGGTGGACTGGAACTAAGAAGGCCGGCCCCCTCCTGGCCTGGCAAGCTTCGTGCACCTAGGTTTCCCGGCCCATAAAATGAGAACAATTCCCCATTCTCAGGATCCCCGTAATGGCTGAGAAAGCACCTTGTAAAGGCTTGATGCTGGTGGATGAGAGTTACAGAAGGGGAGGGTGCTGGCTGCTCCCCCAGCCTGCTCCCCATGTGACTTCAATTCCTCTTTCTAGCTGAGGGCCTGAGCCCCCTTCTCCTGATCTGACCCCACAGGCTCCAACAGGGATGTGAATTCATACCAGCATTTATACAACCCTAGACTCTCACCTCCTCCCCTCCCCCACAGCCCCAAAGTAAGTACCAACTGGGAACAGGAAGTAAAACCAACTAAAACCAAGAACTGAAACCAGCTCATCTCTCACTGCCTCTCAAAGAGGGACAGTAAATGAGCAGCTCCTGTGACGGGTAACCCCAGGGCCCGACATCATGGAGATCAACAAGGGCCTAGTGGGGGATGGATCTGACAATGAATGACACTGGGGATGGGGGCAATAGGTGGAGGTGATTGCTGAGCATGGCATACAAATACGATGAACACACTTTTCCTGATACCGGAATTCCCAACATTGGAACCTGTGTGCCCCTTTGTTTTTATCCTTGTATTTGTGAATTAAAAAAACAAAAAAAAGATTTGCAGTGGTTACTTTTGTTAGTGCCCCCTCTCTTCAGTGAGGCAGAGGCTGTCCTTGCGGTGAGAGGAAAAGGCCCCTTTCAGAGGAACTTAGGTCACTGCCCGGCTCTCTACTACCATCCTCCTCAGAATTGGCAGACATTATGGAAGACAGTACCTTATGGAGTTCCAGGTTTTTAATTTTCCCTGAATTTTTTTTTTAAACAACAAAATTGGCAAGAAGAAAATTCTTCGACATTTGGGGGCTGGTCGACATTTGGGGGCAAGGGTTCCACTGAAAAATCCCCCAAATTCACGCTGAGGTTTCAGGTCATGGTTGCTGAGGTGGAAGATGAGGTCAGGGCTCTTGGAGATTTTCCAACCCACCCTAGAACTTGTTTCTAAATGGCTGGGGAAGAGGTCAGTATAGGTCCCCCCGTTACTGCAGATGAAGGCAGAAGTCATTCTCTCCCCCACCCCTCAACTTCTTCAGAGATGTGGAGATAGGAGGCTTCGATCTCTAATTGCCTACGATCTCTTAAAAATATAAAACACGTGCAGTTGACTTTGGTACAAAAAAGAAAACAAAAGAACAACAAAACATTCTGGTCCCTGTGGGTTTTTTCCCTCACCCCCAACAAACCATTATGGCCACCCCAACCTTTATTCCATCAACTCCAGGAAGCCAGGTTATCTCCCAGGGCTTCCATGAAGGACGGAGAAAGGGAGAACAGCAGTAAGAGGTTGAGGGGAGAGGAGAAAGGGACATGGCCCTGCCCACAGCCCTCCTTTATTTAAAGGGCAGTAGGGTGCTGTGGCTGCAGCCTCTCCTCCAAGACGGATGTTGCAGGGGAGGGCCGTTAGGGCAAGAACCCAGCAGCTGCGTGGATGAGCCTGAATATACCCCAGTAGTGTTCAAGGACAAGGCCCTCTGATCCCTATGGCTTGGTTCCCATGTCCCTGGTCCTTTAAATCTCCCCTCTCCCCCCATAACTAATAAACAATAAATAAATAAATTTTCCTAAAGTTGCGGGAAGAAGGCATGAACCACTGGCATCTGTGGTGTAGCTTTCGGATGTCCCAGGGGGTGTTGTGGCCTAATTCCCCTAGCTTCTTAAATGGCCCCAGGTATCCAAGGATCCCAAGAGCTGGCAAGGACAATTTGCAGTTCTTTCAAATGTTCCCTCATCATTGGCAAATTGGAGTCCCCAAGGTTAGCCCCCTCAGTAATGTTCTTCAGTGGGGCACGGGGCAGGGGGGAGGGGCCCCCTTAGCTCTCGGAGGCTACAGCCTCCCCGTCGCGGCTCTCCGTCTCCTCCGGGATGTCCTGCATTCTGGTAAAGTCTGAAGGGGGACAGGACAAAGCCAGTGAGTTAGCAGAGACTCCCATGAGGAACTGTACCCCTAGACTAATGCCTCCCCATCTGCAGGCTCAGGGGGCTCTGGGGCTGTGAAGGGATGACAGGGTTCTGTAAATTCTTGGGTGAGAGGAAAACCTTTGGCAACAAAGTAAGCAAGGTATCCATACCTAGGTACCGGATACACTTTTACAGTATCCAAAGATACAATTTGATTAGGAAAATACAAAATACTTTAAGGTTAAAGCTTTTGGTAATTTTTTATTTCATGAACCAACTGTAAAAACTTGAAGTTCTTTGAAACTTTTTTTACTTTAAAAACTGGCCCCATGGCTCGTGCTTATAATCCTAACACTTTGGGAGGCTAAGGTGGGAGAATCACTTAAGGCCAGGAGTTGGAGACCAGCCTGGCCAACATGGTGAAACCCCATCTCTACTAAAAATGCCAAAAATTAGCTATATGTGGTGGCATGCGCCTGTAATCCCAGCTACTCGGGAGGCTGAGGAACAAGAATTGCTTGAACTTGGGAGGTGGAAGTTGCAGTGAGCTGAGATTGTGCCACTACACTCCAGCCTGGGTGACAGAGCAAAACTGTCTCAAAAAAAACAAAACAAAACAAAACAAAAAACTATACCTTCCCAGGCACAGTGGTATGTACCTGTAGCCCCAGCTACTTGGGAGGATCACTTAAGCCCAGGAGTTTGAGTCCAGCCTCGGCAACAGCACAAGACCCTCTCTCTAACATAAAAAATTTTAGAGTGAGATCCTCTGTCTGGGTCTCCGGGTCTCTTTCTGTCGCCCAGGCTGGAGCAATCACGGAGTACTGTCAACTCAACCTGCTGGGCTCAAGTGATCCTCTCACCTCACTCTCACTCTCCGTAGCTAGGACTACAGGCTCACTCCACCACACCTGGCTAATTAAAAAAATTTTGGGGGACCAGGCACGGTGGCTCACACCTGTAATCCCAGCACTTTGGGAGGCCAATGTGGGTGAATCACCTGAGGCCAGGAGTTCGAGACCAGCCTGGCCAACATGGTGAAACCCCATCTCTACTAAAAAATACAAAAAAAATTAGCCAGGTGTGGTAGTGCATGCCTGTAAATCCCAGCTACTCGAGAGGCTGAGGCAGGAGAATCACTTGAACTCAGGAGGTGGAGGTTGCAGTGAGCTGAGATTGTGCCACTGCACTCCAGCCTGGGTGACAGAGTGAGACTCCATCTTAAATAAATAAATAAATAAAATAAAATAAAATAAAATAAAATAAAATAGACCGGGTGCAGTGGCTCACATCTGTAATCCCAGCACTTTGGGAGGCCAAGGCAGGCGGATCATGAGGTCAAGAGATTGAGACCAGACTGGGCAACATGGTGAAACCCTATCTCTTCTAAAAATACAAAAATTAGCTGGGCGTGGAGGCATGTGCCTGTAGTCCCAGCTACTCGGGAGTCTGAGGCAGGAGAATCACTTGGACCTGGGAGGCGGAGGTTGCAGTAAGCGGAGATCTCACTACTGTACTCCAGCCTGGCGACAGAGTGAGAATTCCATCTCAAAAAAAAAAAAAATTTAGCCAGGCGTGGTGGCTCATGCCTGTAATCCCGACACTCTGGGAGGCCAAGACAGGTGGATCGCGAGGTCAGCCGTTCAAGACCAACCTGGCCAACATAGTGAAACCCCATTTCTACTAAAAATACAAAAATTAGCTGGGCGTGGCGGTGGGCGCCTGTAATCCTAGCTACTTGGGAGGCTGAGGCAGGAGAATCGCTTGAACCTGGAAGGCAGAGGTTGCAGTGAGCCAAGATCACGCCACTGCACTCCAGCCCAGGCAACAGTGCAAGACTCCATCTCAAAAAATAATAATGAAATAAATTAATTAAATAAAATAAAAAAATAAATAAATGAATTTTTTTTTGTAGAGAAGGTGGGTCTCACTATGTTGCCCAGGCTGGCCTCAAAATTCTGAGCTCAAGCGATCCTCCTGCCTTGGCCTCCCAAAGTGTTAGGATTACAGGCCTGAGCCGCCATGCCTTTTTAAAAAAGAATCTGTTTTTACTTCTAAAGGTTGGGAATCACCAACCAGTTGGAGGAGAGAGGCCCCTCCTGCTTCCTAGACTTCCACCACCCATTCATCATCAGACAAAACAGGAAGTCCCTCCCTAGAGTTACTACAAGCCTCACAGGTCAGTTAGGGCCCATTTGGAAGCCACAGCCCAATGGCCTGTACCCAGGCTGCACTCTACCTCTGGTCCATGTCTCCGCCAGGGTCTCACCTCGTGGACTGTGGGGCGGAGACAGACGGCTGCTACCTTCCTCCTCGCTGCCAGTGTCAGGGTCACTGCTGTCTTGCAGCCGCTCTTCGGGGCTCCCCAGTTCCTGCCTCTCTCGGTCCTCAAAGTTTCGATGGACAGAGCGAGTAGTGACAGGTAGATCCAGGCGGTCAGTGCCTCGGCTGGGCTGTGGACAGTGGGCAGGAAGAACAGCAGGTCAGGGACTGAGTAGTGTGAAGATTGGAGGTTCTGCTTGGCTGAAGGCAGCAGCTCTCCCCCCTGGGGCTCACCCATGAGTCCCCTTCAGGAGATCCACCACCAACTGGCCTCTTTCAGCACCACGACCCGAGTTAATTTCCTCCACCCCTGCACCCATCTACATTTCTTTTCAGTTCTCCAACCAGTATCTCAATATCCTTCAAGTCAGTTGACTGATTGCATTTGGGCTCAAATCCCCAATGGCCCAATTTCTTTCGGGCTCCATGGACCCTTATGTCCACCCCAGGTCCATTCACCACTGCAGGCCACCTTACCTGTGGGGGGTTGAAACTCAAGTACAGGGCATCGCCTGCGGGGAGGCTGCGCCGCCGAGGATCCACAGGTCTGCGGGCCCAGGGGGCCTCAGCTGGGAGTGGCTCGGTCTGGCCCAGGGCGGCCAGCTGCCTTCGAGCCTCTTCGGCCTCACGCTCCAGCAGTGCCCGGGCCTGCTCACTCTCCCGGAGCCGGGCCTCCAGGCTGCCAGCTTCGGTTGCCCGTTCTTCACCTAGCCGCCGGCAGCGCCGTAGCTCCTCCTGCAGCAGCGCATGTTGCCGCTGCAGTAATGCCAGTTCCGTGGCCTGCTTTTCAGGGGCCACAGGGGCAGCCCCAGCCCTGCCAGCCTCCCCATCCCGAGAGTTGGCTCGGCACAGCTTCTCCCGCCGCTCAGGGCCCTCAGGGAACCGGGCTTCCATCAGAGTGTCCTGCTGGGCCACAGCTGCCTGGGAGTAGAATGCAGGCAGAAGGGTTTATCAGAACCCCTGTGCTCTTCTACCCCTCGCCTTCACCCTCCAAGGCCCAGATCATCGCTCCTGGAGAGCTTGGATTGGGAGGGTATTTAGAAAGGCCTGTTGGGATGACCATGCCCCACCTAAACAGGCATCTCTAGCCTGGCTCCTCCCCTTCCCCATTCAAGCCCTTGTCCTACTGACCTGTAGGCCATGTAGAAGTCCATAGAGATTGACCAATCGCTGTAACGCCTCCTGAGGACAGACAGGGTGGGAACAGGGCCCCAGCTTTAGGATGGGAGAACTGCCCAAAAGTTGAACAAGGGTGGGTGTGGGGACAGTAGGATCCGGAGACATACTTGAATGTAGACGCTTTCCCCACCCCACTCCAAACTGGGCTCTAACTACTCAGACTAAGAACATCCTCCCTTCAGTCTCCTATACCATCAATTCCCATCTCACCTCTTGCGGTGATCTCAGCTGATTTCCATTTCGATCCTGCAGAAATGGGCAAGAATGGGGAGTCAGCAGGCACACAAATCCTGGGTGCCTGCCCCTGACAGCTTTGTGTTGAGGATCCAGAGGCTGGCTGTCCCTCTCCCACCCTCTTGCCAAGTCCCAGAACCTCTTGAGGACCTACCCTCTGGCTAGAGTCTGAGTCAGCTCTGCAGAGTTCAATGGAGCCATTGAAGGTTCTGGCCTCACCATCTGTTGAGAAGGAGAAAAGGATGGCTGAGCTCACTTCCCTGGGGCCCTGATACCACTTGATCCCTGGTACCACTCTACTAACTTTGGCCCCTCCCACCTACTACCTTGGTCCCCTGCCCTGGTACTCACTGGCAGTGACCCCAGGACTCGTGTTACCACCGCTGTCTGGTTCCAAGGGCAGGGCTGGCTCTCGGGGTGTCAAGAGCAGTTCCACTCCTGGCCCCACCAGCAGGTCTTTCAGACCCTCCACTGTGGGGAAAGAGGAAGAGGTGAGAACAGGAATGACACAGGACCCTGAGGGGAATGCCATTCACCCCCACATGTGGGACACTTGGGCATCTGGGGGAATGCCCCCTGCACTGGCAGTGGGGTTTCACTCACACAACCACTGATGAGGTAAAGGGCAGTAAATGCCTACGAGGCAGCAGAGTCCATGCAGCATGGACGATATGGAGCAGCAGCAAGGACCACACCTCCTCCCCTGCCTTTCCCAGGAACTGGCCCAGAAGAGGCACTCAGGGCCGTTTATGGTTTATAGGGTTGGCATCCCACTTGTCTGTGTTTGTCCATGTCTAGTCACATGTCCACATTCTGTGACGGTGAGTGCTTGAGCCTGGACTCTTCCCTGGGAGCTCCCTCACCCTCACGGATGGCATCCTGCAGCAGCCGCTCGCCACGAGGGGACTCAAGGGACTCAGAGCGGAAAAGGCCCCTGGGCAGGGTGGGCAGGGCCATCCCACTGCCACCATCCTCTTCGGCCTGGAAATGGGTCATCTCAGCAAACAGCCCGACCTTCTCTCGCAGCAGCTCCACCAGTGCCCGGTCCTTCTGCTGCAACTCCACTGCAGATAAGGAACAAGTGAGGACATGAGAGGACGTAGGGGTATGCAAGAGCGCCAGTAGAGGACAGCCCTAGGGGAGAGGGGTAGGGTGGGGCAGTGTGGCAGACTTAATTTTGTTATTTTGGCATTTATAAAAAAGAAAAAGCTTTCTGTTGGTCAGGTGTAGTGGCTCACACCTGTAATCCCAGCACTTTGGGAGGCCAAGGCAGGTGGATCGCTTGAGGCCAGGAGTTCAAGACCAGCCTGGCTAACATGGCAAAACCCTGTCTCTACTTAAAATACAAAAATTAGCCAGGTGTGGTGGCACGCGCCTGTAGTCCCAGCTACTCAGGAGGCTGAGGCACAAGAATCGCTTGAACCCAGGAGGCAGAGGTTGCAGTGAGGCCGAGATCACACCACTGCACTCCAGCCTGGGCGACACAGCAAGACTCTGTCTCAAAAAAAAAAAAAAAAGATTTGTGGAAGGGGTTGCAGGTTGTCCAACAGTGTTCATTCTTTCCATCTTCCTTTAATGAGAAAATGCATAGAAGTTTCATCTGGGCACACATGGCTGCCCAGTTAACAACTATGTTTTCCAGCCTGACTTGCACGTGACTATATTGCTACATGACTACATTCTGGCCAATGGATATGAGCATCTTCCAGATCTGCTCTTAAAAGAAATGGGTATAGGCTGGGCATGGCAGGTGGATCACTTGAGGCCAGGAGTTCGAGACCAGCCTGGCCAACATGGTGAAACCCTATCTCTACTAAAAATACAAAAATTAGCCAGGAGTGGTGGTGGATGCCTGTAATCCCAGCTCCTTGGGAGGCTGAGGCAGGAGAATCACTTGAACGTGGGAGATGGAGGTTGCAGTGAGTCGAGATCACGCCACGCCACTGCACTCCACCCTGGGCGACAGAGCAAGACCCTGTCTCAAAAAAAAAAAAAAAAAAAAGAAAGAAAGAAAAAGAAAAAAGGGTATAAACTCTATTCCTTTACTCCTCCTTGCTAGGTGTGATACAGGTGTGACAGTGGGAGCTGGAGTAGCCACTTCAGACATGACATAGAGATGAAAACTTCATGTTAAAGATGGCAGAGCTGCACCACTACTCTGCACTTCCCACTTTGAACTGTTATGTTGACAGCAATAATATTCTACCTTGTTGGGGTTTTTTTTGTTGTTGTTGTTACCCAGACTGGAGTGCAGTGGTGCAATTATAGTGTATTACAGCCTTGAACTCCTGGGCTCAAACAATCCGCCCACCTCAGCCTCCCGAGTAGCCAGGACTACAGGTGTGTACCATCATGCCTAGCTATTTTTTTTTTTTTAATTTTTTGTAGAGACAGGGTCTTGCTATGTATGTTTTGTTGCCCAGACTGGTCTCGAACTCCTGACCTCAAGAGATCCTCCTGTCTCCCAAATCCTTCTGGGATTAAAGGCGTGAGCCACTGCATCCAGCCAATCTACTTCTTTTTTTTTTTTTTTTTTTGAGATGGAGTCTCCCTCTGTTGCCCAGGCTGGAGTGCAGTGGCGTGATCTCAGCTCACTGCAAGCTCCGCCTCCCAGGTTCATGCCATTCTCCTACCTCACTCTCCTGAGTAGCTGGGACTACAGGCACCCGCCACCACCCCCGACTAATTTTTTTTTTGTATTTTTTAGTAGAGACGGGGTTTCACCGTGTTAGCCAGGATGGTCTCAATCTCCTGACCTCGTGATCCGCCCACCTCGGCCTCCCAAAGTGCTGGGATTACAGGCGTGAGCCACCGCGCCCGGCCAATCTACTTCCTTTTTTAAGGAAGAAGATTTTTGTGGTCTTTTAGTATAGCAGTTAAATCATACCCTAACTAATATAAGGCCTTACAGTGAAAAAGTAAGTTACTCACCCAACCTTGGTCTTCCATATTATTTTTACACACATGGTAGTATACACTTTACATTGTTTTAAACCTTGCTTTTTTCACTTAATATGTTTCAGTTGTGGATCTACACCAGCCCTCATAGAGCCATCTCATCTTTTTAACAGTTGCATAATATTCCATTGTGTGAATGTATTATAAATTACTAAGGAGCTCCTTGTGGGTGGACTTACTCTTAATTCGCCGCAGGTAAGCCTCATCCTCTGTCTCAATCAGGGGGAAGTCCTCCCTGGATGGGCATCTGGAGGGGTAACAGGTCGCATGCCATTGAGAGACAGAAGCTAGGTTATAGACCAGAATCAGCCTTCCCTCCTTCCCAAACATGCCTTATGCTTCCATCTTCTGATAAGACTCCTCAGCCTCACACCCTAGCTTTAATTTAGTCCTGACCTTCTCCCTTTTCTTTCTTTTTTTTTTGAGACGGAGTCTTACTCTGTCACCCAGGCTGGAGTGCAAGGGCGCTATCTCAGCTCACTACAACCTCCTCCTGGGTTCAAGTGATTCACTTGTCTCAGCCTCCTGAGTAGCTAGGATTACAGGCACGCACCACCATGCCTGGCTAATTTTTGTATTTTTAGTAGACATGGGGTTTCGTCACGTTGGCCAGGCTGGTCTCAAACTCCTGACCTCAGGTGATCCTCCGCCTCCCAAAGTGCTGGGATTACAGGCATGAGCCACCGCGCCCGGCCGACCTTCTCCCATTTCTTAGCACTGATTATCTGCGTTTACTGAGATATATCTCTCCAAAGGTCGCTTGGAAAGGCAGCACAGTGCAGAGGGTCAAGTACAGGCTTTGGCATCAAGCAAACAGGATGCAAATCCTGGCTCCACTGTTTACCAGGTGGTAACCTCTCTATTTCCTCATTTGAAAAATGAAGGTAATATCTTCCTCATAGGTTTTTCATTAGGATTAAATGAAATGTTAAAGTGCTTTGAACATAACAGAAGCTCAACAAATCAATTACAATTAATATTATTAATTTCCACAATTATAATTTTTTTTTTGAGAGAGAGTCTTGCACTTTCGCCCAGGCTGGAGTCCAGTGACAGGATCTTGGCTCACTGCAACCTCTGCCTCCCAGGTTCAGGTGATTCTCCTGCCTCAGTCTCCCAAGCAGCTGGGACTACAGGCACGCACCACCATGCCTGGCTAAGTTTTATATTTTTAGTAGAGACAGGGTTTCGCCATGTTGGCCAGGCTGGTCTCGAACTCCAGTGGTCCGCCTGTCTCAGCCTCCCAAAGTGCTGGGATTCCAGGTGTGAGCCACAGCGCCTGGCCACAATTATAAATATTAATACTATTAATAAAGAAGCCACTACAGATCTGTCAACAGGACAGGTTATTTTGAACTGCTTTCTTGGAATAGGCAATTTCATAATTTTTTTTTGGAGATGGAGTCTCACTCTGTCACCTAGGCTGGAGTGCAGTGGCACAATCCTGACTCACTGCAACCTCCACCCCCGGGTTCAAGCGATTCTCCTGCCTCAGCTTCCCGCGTAACTGGGATTACAAGCTTATGCCACCACGCCCGGCTAATTTTTGTATTTTTAGTAGAGACGAGGTTTCACCATATTGGCCGGGCTGGTCTTGAACTCCTGACCTCAAGTGATCTACCCGCCTCAGCCTCTCAAAGTGCCGGGATTACAGGCGTGAGCCACTGTGCCTGGCCTGCAATTTCATACTTTTATATGCATTTCTAAAAACCTTTTCAAAATTCCATGGTGCAGAAGTTAAAAAAAAAAAAAGGTTTACAAATTATAAAGTTGAGAACTGATTCCCTGAAAGCTAAAGAAAAATTATAAAAATCTTGGCTGGGCATGGTGGCTAATGCCTGTAATCTCAGCTCTTTTGGAGGCTGAGGTGGGCGGATAAATCTGAGATCAGGAGTTCGAGACCAGCTTGGTCAACATGGCAAAACCCCGTCTCCACTAAAAATACAAAAATTTGGCTGGGTGCAGTGGCTCATGCCTGTAATCCCAGGACTTTGGGAGGCTGAGGCGGGTCGATTACGAGGTCAAGATATCAAGACCATCCTGGCCAACATGGTAAAACCCCGTCTCTACTAAAAATACAAAAATTAGCTGGGCATGGTGGCGTGAGCCTGTAGTCCCAGCTACTCAGGAGGCTGAGGCAGCCCGGCAACAGAGACTCTGTCTCCAAAAAAAAAAAAAAAAAAAAAAAATTTGCCTGGGGTCGTGGTGGGCACCTGTAGTCCCAGCTATTTGGGAGGCTGAGGCAGGAGAATCGCTTGAATCCAGGAGGTGGAGGTTGCAGTGAGCTGAGAGCGAGACTCTGTCTCAAAAAAAATTAAAAAAAAAAAAGAAAGAAAACCTGTAAAAATCTGAATTAGAATTACACTTACACTTCATTCTTTAGGCATAATCTTCCAGAATCCATTTTAAACATCTTACCTGTGCTTTATTTGATGTTTTTTCCCATCACAATTAGACACATAGTTGACTGCCTCAAATCTAATGTGTGTCCAATAGAAGCTAAAGATTTGCTGCTTTGACACACTGATTTCCTTCTTGCTTCTATTGTGTTGAGTCTGTTTATGAGACTTGTTCCTCTCTAGTATCGATGCTTTCATTATCCTCTTTTTCATTCATTTTTAGAAAAATAAATGTAAAATACAATACAATCCAAATAACAGCCCTCTGCCTACAGATGAACATGTGAATGCAGCTGAAATTGTACTGTTGGCTGGCAGGTATGCCACCATGTGACAGCTCAAAGTATTCCCTTGCTTGTCAGCTCATGCTGAATTTGAAAGGGAGTTGAGGTTGGCAATGTATAAAATGTGGCTTTACAGGACATAAGAACATAGGTGACCTTTCCAGTCTTGGGCCATTTTGTCTCTCCCTCAACCTCTTCCCCCACCTCTGAATGCTGGATTCTGTTCCCAGGGAGTTCTATGGTTGGGATCTAATGCTGCAGGTACCCTGAGGTCATAAGCACATGCAGGCGGCAGGCAGACACTCACGTGCGCACGCTCTGCTGAATGACCCGGATCCAGGTGCTCCGGTCATCCCGGGATGCTGTGTGCACCTCGTACATCTCAGGTGGGGCTGCGCTGATCAGAAACATCCCTTTCTCCTGGTTGGCAATGTCTCGTACGATTAGATTCTGCAGCGATACCACTGAAGGCTTGTCCTGCCAGTCAGGGGAAAGGAAGGATTAAGCCTGGGAATCCTGTCCCTTGGCATATTTAGGCCTTCAATCCTTCTGGACGAGGACTGAAAGGACTGAAGAGTCATCTTACAATACCAGTTAAGAGCCAGGCACTGGTGCCAGCCAGAAGGGACTTAGAAATGTGTGCAACCCTTGACAAATTATTTAACTGACTTGAAGCTTTACTTTCATCATCTATAAAATGAGGACGAAAATAATCTTTTCCCACAGGTGTAAAAGTGCCTGTGCACAGTAACAGTACCTGTGAGCTGCTCTTATTTTTTATTATTACGGTAATAGTAACAATTATAGCTGTTTGACTCTGGGGGACTCCAGAGCTCTCGTGGGCTTGGGCAGGAAAGCAAGAAGAGACTAAAACACTTGTCTGTGCTGAGAAAGGTGAAGAATGAATGTCTCACCAGGGTAGGAAAGATGTACTTCTGGTCCTTTTCCTGGAGAAACACCAGTACATCTGTCATCAGCAGCACTAGCACATCTGGAAGGGGATGAAGGTGGGAGAACAGTCAGCACTAGACGGTCTGAGCAGCTGCTTCCCTCTTTCCCAAGGACCAGGCTTATCCCATCAGGTTAGAGCTCCCAGTTTCCCTCTTCCTGGCCTCTCTTCCCTCTGGCTGCTTGCACTTTTTCAGACCTCTCACACCTCACCCATTCTATTTTTTTTTTTTTTTTTTGATACAGAGTTTTCATCTTGTTGTTCAGGCTGGAGTGCAATGGTGCAATCTTGGCTCACTGCAACCTCCGCCTCCCGGGTTCAAGCGATTCTCCTACCTCAGCCTCCCAAGGAGCTGGGACTACTACAGGCGTGTGCCACCATGCCCGGCTAATTTTGTATTTTTAGTAGAGACGGGGTTTCACCATGTTGGTCAGGCTGGTCTCAAACTCCTGACCTCAGGTTTATCCACCAGTTTCGGCCTCCCAAAGTGCTGGGATTACAGATATGAGCCACCGCGCCTGGTCACACATTCTTACAGCTTAAAAACAGTGTGGGTGGGGGGTGGGGGGCGGGCAGGGTGCAGAAAGATTCATGTGCTATCAGACAAAACAGCGTTGTGGGCTAGCAGGAACCACAGGGATCACTCAGTGTCTACAGAAAACCCTTTCTACCTGACTGATTCAGGTTTCTTAACCTAGGGCCTACAGACCCCCTGGGATGTCAGGCTTCAGTGGCTCTGTAAACCTTCTGAAGGTGTGTAAATAGTTTTACATATTAACATAACTCGTGTATTTTTTTGGGTGACAGGGTCCAAGATTTTTGTGAGATTCATAAGGTTCCCCAGAGCAAGAGGGACCATACTTTTATTTTTTATTTATTTTTAATTTAATTTGATTCTATTATTATTTTTTTGAGACGGAGTCTCACTCTGTCGCCTAGGCTGGAGTGCAGTGGTGCCATCTTGGCTCACTGCAACTTCTGTCTCCCAGGAAAAAGCGATTCTCCTGCCTCAGCCTCCTGAGCAGCTGGGATTAAGGAGCACGCCACAACACCTGGCTAATTTTTTGCATTTTTGTAGAGACGGGGTTTCACCACGTTGGCCAGGCTGGTCTCTAACTCCTGACCTCAAGTAATCTGCCTGCCTTGGCCTGCCGAAGTGCTGGGATTACAGGCATCAGCCACTGCGCCTGGCCTATTTTTTATTTTTTGGGACCAAGTATCGCTCTGTCGCCCTGGCTGGAGGGCAGTGGTGTGATCTCTGCTCACTGTGACCTCTGCCTCCTGAGTTCAAGCGATTCTCATGCCTCAGCCTCCCAAGTAGCTGTGGCTACAGGTGAATGCTGCCATGCCTGGCTAATTTTTGTATTTTTAGTAGAGATGGGGTTTCACCATCTTGGCCAGGCTGGTCTCGAATTCCGGACCTCAGGCGATCTGCCTGCCTGATTCAGCCTCCCAAAGTGCTGAGATTATAGGGATGAGCCACCGTGCCCAGCCTGGACCACATTTTTTAGCCTTTAAATTCCATTTCTAATATCTAACTAAGGAAGACCTTTACGGCTATCTGACCTAAATTCTCCCTGTCCTGGCATATTCCCACTTCTAATTTTGAGCTTGGTAGGGAGGGAGAAAGTTTCCTTCCTCTCGCAGAGGACTGAAAGACCATCCCTCACCCACCCATCTCCTTCAACCCCAGCAGGCCCCTGCTTCAATTTCTTTCTCTGCTTCACACTCCAAGCTCTCAGATCCTATGGGGTCAGCACTCCAAGACTGAGGGAGGAAACAAAGATCAATTCCATAAAACTTGGATGTCACAATCAAGAAAACAGAGGGCGAGGCATAGTGGCTCACATTTACAATCCCAGCACTTTGGGAGGCTGAGGCAGGAGAATCACTTGAGGCCAGGAGTCTGAGCAAGACTAGCCTAGGCAACATAGCAAGATCTTATCTCTACAAAAAATTTAAAAATGTGCTGGGTGTGGTGGTGCAGGTCTGTAGTCCCAGTTACTCAGGAGTCTAAGGCAGAAGGATCACTTGAGCCCAGGAGTTTGAGTTACAGTGAGCTATGACTGCACCACTGCACCCCAGCCTGAGCAGCAAAGCGAGACCCTGTTTCTAAAAAAAAAAAAAAAGAGAGAGAAAACATACACTCCTCCTTTGCCCTTGGGGATTTTACTAAACTGTGGGCACACAGAAGGGGAGGGCTTTTGCTAAATGCTTCAGAAATAACACTCTCCAGCCTTGCTATTTTTAATCCCCCATGGTTTATATTCTTAGCTGCTGCGTGGGAGAGATGGGAAGGAGAGAAAGGGATAAAGGAAAGAGGCTGGTGAAGACTGACAATATCCAAACCCAGGGAGCAGGGATTTCATGACACAGGTACAGAGGCTCAGGCAGGCTTTGGCCTCAGGTATCACAGTTTCCTATTGTCCCTCACATCTCATCCCCAAAGCCAAGGCCTGCTATTCTCTTGCTTTGATTTAGGTGAGAAAGACTTTGCCAGTGCAGACAAATTCTGGAAAGAGAGCCTGGGAAAGTGTGCCCTGGCCCCTGATCTGCTCCCTCTGCCCTGCTGTCTCTTCTCCTCCCTGCCTGTCCTTCACCGGCTCAGTCCCCTCCTCTGGGCCTCCTCTGGCTGCGCTCCCCAAAGCTCTTGCTTACTCCCATCCCTGGTAGCTGGGATTCCAGCTGGGGGAATCAACTGATCCTGTCCTCCAGTCTGAGAGCTTCTTTGTCTTCCTCAGTAAAACTAGTAGCTCTCTAGGCATGCAAGGACCAAAGAAATTATAAAATACTGATAGGGAAGGCCCTGTATGGTCCATAAAGTTAACTGCAGAATTCAGGCTTTTCTGCCACAGAGATCCTATTTTTCTCTCCCACTGAGTCTCACTGTTGTATGGGCTGCATAAAGGGAGGTTGATTCTTTTTTTTTTTTTTTTTTGAGATGGAGTCTTGCTGTGTCACCCAGGCTAGAGTGCAGTGGTGCAATCTGGGCTCACTGCAAGCTCCGCCTCCTGGGTTCACGCCATTCTCCTGCCTCAGCCTCCTGAGTAGCTGGGACTATAGGCGCCCACCACCACGCCCGGCGAATTTTTTGTATTTTCAGTAGAGACAGGGTTTCACTGTGTTAGCCAGGATGGTCTCAATCTCCTGACCTCGTGATCCGCCCGCCTCGGCCTCCCTAAGTGCTGGGATTACAGGCGTTGAGCCACTGCACCCGGCCAAGAGAGGTTGATTCTAAGACCTGCAGGCATCTCCCACTCTCCATCTGACTTTGAATTCCTGCCTAGTCTGCCGAGCAGGTCTGACCTTTGAAGCGCCCCGTCGCTGTCTTCCAGAGCAGGCAGCCATCGTGGATGAGTTTGCGCCTCAGAAGTTCCTCTCGGCCAAAGGGGCCCTTGCCAGGCACTGGGGTTTGGGCCCGAGGGTCCATGCGGTTGTAGATCTCCTGCAGACGGGCCCCTTTCTCCAGCTGATAAATACCCTCGTCCACATTGGACAGCAGCTCCTTCACTAGCCCCAGTGCTGTGGTCAGGTCCTGGCGCTCCTCCTCGATCCCTGGCACCGGGGGTTGGCATGGGGAACGGCTCAACCAGTTTCACTCACACCCCAGTTCCCATCGTGTCTTGATTCCACCTTTAGAGGCTGCCCAGGGTTTCACACCCGACCCCACCCTTCCTGTGGTCATACCGAGCCTTTCCTCACCCCAGGTGGCCGTCTCCCAGTGGCCCTCTCCTGGGCCTGCCTACTCACCGTGGGAATGCTGCAGGATGCGGCTGATGAGTAACGGGTACTTGGTGATGCGCTGAGTCACCAGCAGGATGCACTCCTGTACCCCGTGCCGCTTGAGCACGGCGGGGCGGGTCACTTTCTACAAGGGAGGAGGCAGGGCTCAGGGCCAGAGGGGAGGGCAACAGAAAGGCCTGGGGCCTGAGCTCTGGTGCTGGCCCTGGCGTGGCCATTTACCTCATGCTTGCCTAGGTGACATATCTGGAAAATGGGGATAACAACGCCACAGGTTTGTTGTGAGGACCAACTGAAGGAGCAAAAAGTACTTGGGAAACTACCACAACGTGCTCTAGCATTCTGAGGGGTTACTGCTGACAGGATCTGTGTATGGATGGTCTGCACGGGTGGCGAATGCCTGACCTCCATGTGGGTGCAGCTCACAGGCACTACCCCCATGAGTTGGGGAGGGTGGGTTTGGGCCATGAGCATGGGATCTGGAGAGGTCCGCTCACCCGGATGAATTGCTGGAAGCGTTTGTCTCGGGCGTACAGCTCCTTATAGAGCTTTAAGGCCTTGCTGTGGCGGCTGCAGAACTCCGAGTAGGTCTTACACATCTGCTCCGCACTAGGACCTGAGAACTAGAAGTTGGTCGAGTAAGGTTAGGTCAGCATTCCCCCAAAGCCACACTTTACCCACTGGACACACCTCTGGCCTCCTGCCAAACAGGCTGGCTTCCTGTTTCTCCAGCTCTCCCTGGCTCCCCTCCAACCCCTAGAATTTGGACCCAAGAAATGCCCAACCCAGTCACACCTCCTTCCATGAATGTCACCCAGGGGTCCTGCCTTTTCCCACCTGGCTGATGAGCAGATCACCCAAGCGATGGATGACAAAGTTCCGGGTGCTGCCAGGGCACAGGGCCTGGCGTCGGCGTTCTAATAGCTGGCTGAGGAAGCGTGTATGGATGTCACTGAGCTCGTCCACGCAGGGGAACAGGCCCTGGACCACTCCTGGCTCCAAGTGTAGCTCTTCCAGCATCCCCGTGCGGAAGAGGCGGGTCATGATCTTCAGTGTCCTCACATGGTGCAGCTCTGTCTGGATTAGCTCTGTGGGGGACATTGGGACATTTGGCCTCTACCCTGGCTTGGCTAAAACTCGTGGGGCCCTAGGATAAGGACCTCACAGTTCACGTGAGGTTTTCAAGGTCCATTCCAGGTTAATATTCTGCATTATTATGATCTTAGATACTTTTCTAATCATTTTTATCTTTTTTTTTTTTTTTTTTTGAGACAGAGTCTCACTGTATTGCCCAGGCTGGAGTGCAATGGCGCGATCTCAGCTCACTGCAACCTCCACCTCCTAGGTTCGAGCAGTTGTCCTGCCTCAGCCTCCTGAGTAGCTGGGATTACAGGCACGCACCACCAGGCCCGGCTAATTTTTGTATTTTTAGTAGAGATGGGGTTTCTTCATATTGGTCAGGCTGGTCTCGAAATCCTGACCTCGTGATCTCCCCACCTCGGCCTCCCAAAGTGCTGGGATTACAGGCATGAGCCACCACACCCGGCCCTCATTTTTATCTTTCAAAAATTTTATTATTATTTTTTTTTTTCCAGAAATGAGGTCTTACTCTGGTGCCCAGGCTGGAGTGTAGTGGCACAATGATAACTCACTGCAGCCTCGAACTTCTGGGCTCAAGCGATCCTCCTGTCTCAGCCTCCCAAGTAGCTGGGACTATAGGCACATGCCACCACACCTGACTAGTTTTTTAAAATATTTTTTAAAGACGGCTGGGCACGGTGGCTCACGCCTATAATCCCAGCACTTTGGGAGGCCGAGGCGGGTGCATCACCTGAGGTCAGGTGTTCGAGACCAGCTTGGCCAACATGATGAAACCCTGTCTCTACTAAAAATGCAAAAATTAGCCGGGTGTAGTTGTAGGCGCCTGTAATCCCAGCTACTTGGGAGGCTGAGGCAGGAGAATTGCTTGAACCTGGGAGGCGGAGGTTGCAGTGAGCCGAGATAGCGCCAGTGCACTCCAGCATGGGCGACAGAGCAAGACTCTGCTTCAAAAAAAAAAAAAAAAAAAAAAAATATATATATATATATATATATATATATATACATATATATATATATATATTTTTTTTTTAGAGACAGAGGTCTTGCTTTGTTGCCTAGGTTGGTCTCAAAATCCTGGCGTCAAGTGATCCTCCCACCTCGGCCTCCCAAATCGCTGAGATTATAGGCATGAGCCACCACGCCCAGTTCCATTTTTTATCTTTACACCTTATCATCTCAAGCTGTGAGCTATTTTAGGGTAAGAACCATATGTCTTCTACATGTCGAGGCTTCCCACAGTCTCCAGCACGGTGTTAAGCGTGGAACAAGCACAGAGTAAAGACTGAAGACAGAGATAAAGAAGGGATAAAGAGAGGGTGTTGGAGACCAACAGCATCAAGAGGTAGGGACCTAGTGGGCAACCTGTGGGATACCAGGCAGGGTCTTGTAGGCCAAGAGGGAAAGGGTTTTGAGAGGTAGGGGCTGGTAGAAAGAAGGACACAGCCGGGTACGGTGGCTCACGCCTGTAATCCCAGCACTTTGGGAGGCTGAGGCGGGCAGATCACCTGAGGTCAGGAGTTTGAAACCAGCCTGGCTAACATGGTGAAACCCCGTCTCTACTAAAAATGCAAAACTTAGCCAGCATGGTGGCAGGCGCCTGTAATGAGAATCGCTTGAACCTGGGAGGTGGAGGCTGCAGTGAGCCGAGATCATGCCACTGCACTTCAGCCTGGTTGAGAGAGTGAGACTCCATCTCAAAAAAAAAAAAAAAAAGAAAAAGAAAAATAAAGAAGGAAGTAGATAAACAGGACCTGGTGAAGGAAGAGGAAGACTAGGGTGGTCTTGGCTTACCATAGATGACATCTTGCTGCTTCATCACCTCCTTTTTATGCTGCTGCAGGAAGCTGCTGTCCACAGCAAGACTCCAAGAGTCAGCTGCAAAGTCCTTCTCATCCATCTCAAAGTCACTCATCAGCTCACTGTAGATTACCTCTGCTGGACATTAGCAGGGCAAGCAACTCAGAGGTCTTGAGTTCCCTTCCCTGGGTCCCTGGCCCTTCTCTAGATCCCTTCCCTCCTTGTCCTTCCAGGCTACTCCCACCAGCCTCTCATCCCCCAGCCCCTCTTCATGTTCCTCAGGGCTCCCCTGGGCCCAGGCCTGCTCACCTTCGTCAATGAGGGATTCCACGGATAGGGTTCGGTTCCGCATGTTGAGGGAGTCTGTGGACTGTGAGAGGATCCGGCGCAGCCCCAGGGGAGACTCATCATTGAAATGTCTGAAGAAAGTGGAGGCTGTCTGCATCACCCCCAGTCGGGCAAAAGATCCCTTCCCAGGTAGGGAACCAAAGCCAGGATCCAAGAGGCGGTCCCCCTAAGTTCTCCTTATTTGTCTGTCTACAGTTCTGAACTCAGGGATGGAAAGGGACCTCTCAGCACCCCCTTGGCCTCCACTGCCACACTCTCTGGCTGCCCCTTTCCCCAAACAGAGGCTCACCCAGCAATGTTGGTGGTAGAAACACTCTTGGCTAAAGACAAGGAGGAGCGGCCACGGCGGGAGCCCAGGAGGGACTGCCGGAAGCTGTCGGAGGGGTAGATGGCCGAGCTTGGCCGCTCCCGGATGGTTGCTGTGGGGGAGAGATGCCCAGCAGGCAAACATCAGACTCTGGTGCTTCCCAGGATTGAGGCCTCCTAGGCTCCTCAATGAGGAATGAGGCATCCTCTCACTCCACCTCAGCCCCTCTAGTCAAGAAAGATGGTAATGAGAATGCCACCTTACATTTGTGCCATACTCTAATGTTCACAAAGAGCTTTTTCTTACTTATCTCCTCCCTGACATAAGCCTATAAACAAACAGGAGCTCAGAAAGACAAAAAGACTTGTCCAGGGTGACTTGGGTAATGGCTAGGCAGGGACTGAGGCTCTGCTCTTTATACCTAAGGGCCATGCTCTTTCTGTTACACCAAAGCTGTCTGAATTGACACTTGACAGCTGCTACCAACACTCCCGAAATGCAGTGTAAATAACTGATAAAAATGCAGGCTGCGGCCAGGCTCAGGCGACCACCCATCCCCAGCCCTCATCCCCATTCGGACTCTCTCTCCCCTTCTGCCTCTAAGTCCAAGAGTCCGAACCCTCCCTTAGGCCCCCACTATCTGCTTCCAATCAAGAAGAGGAAGGTGCTATGCCTGGGAACAACCTTAGTGGGGCAGCAGAGCCCATGGGTTGAGCAGCCTGGGGTCCAGGGTCTTAGGGGACCTCCTCCACTCCCCAACTACTCACTCTTACTTCGAAGAGAAACGGACTGCAAGGCGGTGTTGTTCTTCAGCAGGGCCGCTTTCTGTTGCTGTGAGACAGAGAGCAGGAGAGAGATACCAAGAATGGCTGTCACCCAAGGATCACCCCCAGAGGCATGGGACAGGAGCTAGGTGGCCGGCCCCCTTAGGAGAAAGCTGGCACTATGGTTAAGGGGATCAGGGTGATTGAGCCCAGTGCTGTGGGGACATGTCTGCAGCAACAGGCCTGGCCTACTTGGGGCCCGAGGCCTGGGGTTGAGGGTCTGGGCTGCCCCTTGGTGAGGAGGTGGGTGGTGAGAAACACAGGGTAGGGAATGAATGGAAAAGGCATGAGGGTACCGCACACTCACTACCCTCTCCCCCAGCCCTCTGCCCTCCCTGCCGTCTCACCTTCTGCTTGACCTTGGTACAGTTGGCGAGGGTGTCTTTACAGCGGTTGTGGATAGTCACATTGCAGGCTGGGAGGGTGGGGTAGAGAGGGTGAAGGGAGGGCCGGGTGGTACAGGAGGGGACACACCCACATGCAGACACCCATCTCCTCCTGGCCACACAGTCCTCGGGGACTCTCCCCCCTTCCCCGACTTCTGGGCCATTACCACACCCCAGTCCCTCTCCTCCCACCTCCCTCTTCCTTCAAGCAGGAAATGAAGTGAGGGGGGTATAGGTGCTGAATGAAATTAAACAATCAAGTGGGATGGGCAATCCTGACCCCAAGGTGGCCTGAAGGGCGGACCAGAGGGGAGCAGGGGTCACTGGCTGCCAGAGATGAGCTCAAGAAGCACGAAGGTGGTTGCGAATGGCAGATGGAAGAGAGGACTCCCACAGAACAGAAGATGGCACAGAGGCAGCCAGAATGGGGGCTAGGGGCAGAGGGGAAATTTACATTCCCTGAGCTTTTATAATAGTAAATGTTCCACATTTACTTAATCCTAACCACCCGTAGAGGGAGGTTCAGTTATCCTCATTTCATGTATGAGGAACCTGTCCTGGAGTGGCTAAATCGTCCATCAGAGGTCACACGGCTAGTGGGAGAGGTGGTGTTTACACTCCGGTGGGCCTGAATCCAAAGGCCGTGCTCCTTCCCTCGCACCACATGCCCTGGACTCTGGCTGGGCCTCAGCAGCTCCAAGGCTGATTGATGGCTCCAGTGGTAAAGAAGGGACAGGCAACTCCCCACCAAGCCTGGCCTTCTCCCTTCCAGGCCCAGGGAGTCCTGTTCCCCCAACTCAGGCAAATCCACAGCTCCCACACTCCATCTGCTTCTCCGCCATCCTCCACCCCACCTTGCCATGGGGTAGGAGAGAAGAAGAAAGGAGGATTCGCTGAGCCTAGGCACTGGGACCCTGGCCGTGCCCTTCCCAGACATGCCCTCAGCTCCCGGCCCTCTCCAGCTTCCCCTCCCCCATCCAACAACACCGGAAACTCTGCTAACTCTTTCAGACAATACCCAGCACCACGCTCACTTCCACAAATACAAGGCAAACAGGGTGGAGCAGAGGGGGCAGACAGAAGTGGGGGTTGCAGCTGCCCCCACCCCCCTGGAGCTCCCTTCTCCTACCCCCAACACTCAGTGTCTCTGGATTGAACCTCCGCTTTCCACCTGCTCTCAAAATAGTGCTGCCCGCCTCCCCTGTTCCCCTGGCAACAAGCTTCCGGATTGGGAATTTTGTCAGGTCTCTATAGGGATCTAGATTGGGGTTCCCTCCTCATCCTCACAACTCTAAATTGAACAGTGAGGAAAGTAGGGAGGCTTCACTGGTTTTCTTTTCTTTCTTTTTTTTTTTTTTTTTGAGCGGTAGCAAGCTTTATTGTGAAGAGCAAAATGACAAAGCTCCCACAGCGTAGAAGGGGACCCGAGCGGGTTGCCCATCACTGGTCCTTTCTGGGGGTTCCTTCCCCAAGTTTCATAGGGATTTACAGGCTAGAGCTTTTGTCCGCTATTCAGTAGCAGGTCACAATACCTTCAATCCTGCTCTAATCAGAGGCATCTCTGCCATAACTTCAGGAGGAATTGAGGGAGAGGGGGCAGCAGGAGCCCTCTGTGTACTGGGGAAGGAAAGAATTCCTGGCTTATACTCCCTAAAGACAGGACTACACTCAGATGTGGATGAAGGGCAGGAATTCTAACCCCTGCCCCTCAACACACACATCCCTGCTACATTCCCTCTTTCTCACTAGAAATTTGAGATGAAGGGTCCTAATCACATCTTCTGCTTGAAACAGCAGAGATTTCAGGCTCCACCCATAGTCAATAGAAAGAAAGGGGCAAGGGGACTGTGAAGTCCTGAATGCCCAGCTCTGCGCAGGAAGACAGGCAGAGCCAGCTGCAAGGCTGGCAGCTTTCCACCCAGTTCCTCTGTCACCCCCCACCCCACCCCCTCCACACATACAACATTCCTGCTCCTTCTCCAATCAGTTCCCCTAACCCTTAGCAGCTGTTCGGGGAGCAAGGGGGGTGCCTGGTGGATGACAGCTGCAAGAGGAGCCAGCACAGCCTCCCCTCCCCCACATTCCCAGATAGTCCGGCTTATGCCATATTCCAACAGCCACCACCCCTCAGAGTGAGGACAGGGAGCAAGGGATCAAGCAACTGGCCCTGGCATTTGGGCCCAGCTGGGGATCAGAGAGAAGAGTGACCCTCATGGATCCAGGCAGAAAAAACAGATGAAAAGATCAGGGTCAGTGGGCACCGAGTCTGGGTGACTCTCAGGGTCCAAACAACTTACTTGGGCAGATGAGGGCTTCCTTGGCTGTGATGCTCTTGTTACAGGCATAGCACATGGTCATGCCTGAAACTGAAATGGTGGTGAAGAGGTGCCCATTGGTATAGCGGGCATCCTTGGCTTCCTTCATCTTCTCCTTTTCCCGGGTCTGTGGAAGGGATGAGAGGGAGAGGAAGTGAGGCTGGAAAATGCCAGGGTGCCTGGAGTCCAGAGAGACAGGCTGGGGGCAGAGGCAAGGAAAAAATGCCAGCCTGAGGATGCTGGAAAGACACCAGTTCCTAAAGCAGAGCCTGCAACTGGGTGTCAGAGGCAGCTGTCCGGGAGTGACCAGGCCAGGCTCTGGGGCAGCCAGCCCGGATGGGTTCTGGGTCCCTGACCTACCTGGCCCCTACGGCTGGGCTGCCTCCTGTTGCCACTCATCTCCCTGGCTCTAGGTCTCTGCGTCCTCACTCCACCTTCCCAGCCCTAGCTCTGCTCACCCCCGAGCTGCTGTACTCTCTTCTCTGTGCTAGGGGGAAGATGCGCAGAGAGGAGGGGAGAGCAGGCGAAGCGGAGGGTGCCAGCTCACCAGCGCTTTCCAATCTATGGGAGTTAGCTCCTCTTATAACCATGACAACCAGTGTTGGATCTGCTGTCTCTGTGGCAGTCACAGTGGGGGGGGCAGGAGATCCCCTTATTAGATTGGCTGAAGGGGGCAGAATGCCTCCCCTGCCACCCCCAACCCAGGGGTCAGGATCCCAGACCTCTAACTCTTTTCACCAACCCTCAGCCACGGCACACAGGGCCTGTCTGGGAGGCAGCATGTCCCCTACTAACCTTGAGGCAAAGGCAGCTAGCTGCCTTTGGGTCACTCTTCCACTCTGGGATCTTTAAGTAAGGAAGCTCAGCCAGCCATCTTGGTTGCTTCCAGCGGAAAATCTCTCCTGCAGTCTAACTTTTATCCCTCTCATACTACTTTCCAGAGTTAAAACCTAGGAGAGTTTCCTCTATTGCTCCTTACCCAACTGGTCTCTCCCATCCTAGGAAGTCCTTTCTGACATCTACCCTCCATCCTTCAGTGTTGATCTCCGCAGATGGCGCACACCTTCCTCGGAGCCTCTGAGCCGCATTTTCCATCTCTGCTGTCTCCCATTTCCCCCAGTGCCCCTGCCTCTGCAAGTCAAGTCATTCTCCCTGACCTCCAATCTGTCCCTCTTCAAGCCCCTGTGATTCCCAAAAAGCCTGAGAAGGTGAGAAGAGGGGGATATCACTCTTCCCACTATTCTAGGACCTTCCTTAGTTGTGACTCTGATCTCTGGATTTTCCCTCCGCTCTTGGAGCAGGACTAGAAGCTGAGAAGACCACTCCCTCCAAGGTTTCCCAGGCTCTCAGAAATCAAAAATCAGGATCCAGATGGCTGAGGGTAGAAGCCCCAAGTCAGAGGACCTGGACTGGGGACAGAGGATTACAGTTCAGCGGGAAGCACTCAGCCCGGACTCTAGGAGACCAGTACTGACTCAGCCGAGGCCACGAGGCCACGCCAGCAGCTGAGAGGTGGAGGAGGGGAAGAGATGCACGGGCCTGGTGCTTGGGGCAGAAAATGGTAGAAAGAAAGGGGAAGTGTGGAGGGGCTGAGTCAACAGTGCAGGGACAGAGGGCATGGGGCTGCAGTGCCTGGGCCCAAGATCCTTCTCTTTCCTGCCTCTCTTCCCAAGCTCCAGGTTTGCCTGATGATGTCCAGAGCCCAGAGGTCTTGGGGTCAATCCCTTCTCCCCTCATGCATCCTCCCCATCCCCAATCATCCATTTTTCGCATCCTCCTCCTGTCTCCTGCTCTCTCTATGTCCTCCCTTCTCTTCTCAGGGTCTCCCTCCTAGGCTCCTCCCGCTCTGCCTTCCCTTTCTCAGCCTTGCTTCTCCGCCACTGTTCTCCTCTCCCGCCCACAGCCTCTCCTCCCCTCCTCCTCACGCAGGCCAACTGCTCCTCTACCTAGGCTTATTCAGGAAGCTGAGCTGCCTCTAGCCTCTAACTCAAACCTCTAAAATGTTCTGGCCTCCTTTTTTCTATTCTGGCACCTACCTACCCGGACCACTAGAAAATGCTCCCTTTGGTCTAACCTCCACCTATCTTGCACCAAATTATACCTCTTTAGAAGTTCAAATTCAGGCTGGGTGCAGTGGCTCACACCTGCAATCCCAGCACTTTGGGAGGTCGAGGCGGGTGGATTACCTGAGGTCAGGAGTTCGAGACCAGCCTGACCAACATGGTGAAACCCCATCTCTACTAAAAATACAAAAAATTAGCTGGGCGTAGTGGCAGGCACCTGTAATCCCAGCTACTTGGGAGGCTGAGGCAGGAGAATTGCTTGAACCGGGGAGGTTGGAGGTTGTGGTGGGTTGAGATTGGGCCACTGCACTCCAGCCTGGGCCACAGAGTGAGACTATGTCTCAAAAAAAAAAAAAGAAGTTCAAATTCACCTTTGAATAATAACCTCACAGGACCTCAAACACCAAGTCCAAAAATCTCTTCCCACTGCCATATACTCTCCCTTTTCTCCTCCTCTCCTGCCCTCCCAGCCTTCTATATAACTCAAACCAAAAGTTTGAGCATGTATTACATTTGAATTAAAAGCAAGAGGCCGGTGAGGTGGCTCACACCTGTAATCCCAGCACTTTGCGGGGCTGAGGTGGGAGGATCGCTTGAGGCCAGGAGTTTGAGAACAACCTGAGCAACACAGCGAGACCCATCTCTATAAAAAAAAAAAATATATACATATATATATATACACACATAAGTAAAAGCAAGCAAGCTGAAAATAGTATTAAAAAAAACAACATGGCTGGACCAGGGTCACTCCAGAATGGGCAGTGCTGCAGCTCTGCCCCAGTGCTGCTACGAGTACTCTCTTCCACACCTGACCTCTGTCCTTTGCCCTCCACCCTCCCCCTGTGGCATCCACAAACACTCATCTGTCTGACCAGCTCAGATGGAGTGGCAAAGGGAGGGAGAAGACTGGGGCAGCCAGAGAACAGGGTCTCTAGTGGCCCTTCCTCTCTCTGGCATCAATGCTCCACAGACAGCCCTGGTACTCTGGGCCCTGCCTCCTCCACCTCCCAACACTCACCCTCTCTCGAAGTGACCCCTGCTCTAGGTGGGCCAGCAGCGGGCAGCAGCCACAGCAGCAGCACATCCCAGCATGGGCACTGCCCAGCAGCAAGCGACCCTGGCACTGCCTAGTGCTATTGTCCCGGAGGTTGCCTGTGCCCGCCCCAGGGCTCAGGCTTCTGAGGATGGAAGGACATAGGGCCTGCTTACCAGGGGTGCCTGCTCCAGAGGTGGAGTGAGTGGGCTTGTTTGGTTCTTTGTCCTACTCTTTTCCAGGTATTCTTAAGATAATCACATTGGTCTCCCATTTACCCACGCCCAAGTAGGACAGCCCTTTACCTCCAAGACCCAACCTATGCACCAAGAAAAAGGGCCCATTACTCCACAATCCATAACACCCACCCCAGTGCTCAGAGGCCCTTCCTGCTTGGTTCAGTCCTTTGCTCTCCAGCATCTAGATACTTTTTTTTTTCTTTTTTTTTTTGAGACAGGGTCTCACTCTGTTGCCTGGACTGGAGTACATTGGCATGATCATGGCTCACCGCAGCCTTGACCTCCCGGGCTCAAGTGATCCTTCCACCTCAGCCCTCCAAATAGCTGGGACCACAGGCATGCATCATGATGCTCACCTAATTTTTAAATTTTTTTTGTAGAGACAGCGTCTTGCTATGTTGCCCAGGCTGGTCTCGAACTCCTAGGATCAAGTGATCCTCCTGCCCCAGCCTCCCCAAAGTGCTAGAATTATAGGTGTGAGCCACCACGCTCAGACCTAGAGTCATTCTGTCTCTTTCTCACAAATCCCATGGGAAGTTCTTCTTGCTACACACCTTCATCCACACTACTGCTACATCAAGGATAAATAAAGAATATGAAAGCCCTTAGCACAATACCTGGTATACAATAGGCACCCAATACATGTCTCAAAATGAAAGAAAAGGAAGGAAGCAAAGAAGCAAGGAAGGATGTATGGACACCAAGACATGGGGTCTCAGTAGCACCCTGGCCCCTATTCTGGAAACCCTCTTCCTTCCTTATCAGAGCTTTAGAACCTTCTGTCTCTTCTTGTTTCTCTTTTCTCCCTCCTCCTGAAGGGCTCTAAGCCATTCTCTCCTATTTCCTTTGAGTTTAGACCCTGAGGGTTTCCTCTGGAAGTCAGAAGACCAACCCCAAACTTCCTTCCACTGTCATCCCAGATCTCAGTCACTTTTGGGAAAGAAAGACAGGGCCAGGCCGAGCGCAGTGGCTCATGCCTATAATCCTAACACTTTGAGAGGCCGAGGCGGGCAGATCACTTGAGATCAGGAGTTTGAGACCAGCCTGGCCAACATGGCAAAACCCCATCTCTACTAAAAATACAAAAATTGGCCGGGTATGGTGGTGGGCACCTGTAATCCCAACTACTCAGGAGGCTGAGGCAGGAGAATTGCTTGAACGCAGGAGGTGGAGGTTGCAGTGAGCCAAGATCATGCCACTGCACTCCAGCCTGGGTGACAGAGCGAGACTCTGTCTCAAAAAAAAAAAAAGAAAAGAAAAAAGAAAGAAAGATGGGAGCAATGGCAGAGGGCATTGTGGATCTCTACTGAAAAGCTCAAAGGCAAACACAGTCTCCCCTCTTCTCTCCACTTTGTCTCCCAGAATAAGGGATGAGGAAACAGTGACGTACATGGAGGGGAAGGCAATGCCAAGGCTAGGACTTTGGCTTCCTGGGCTCCCAGCAGGCAGCAAGGCCAGGCAGATCCACCCAGGCGAGGTAGAGCTTCTCCAAGCAAGCCCTAAGCTCTCATCTGACTTTTTTTTTTTTAATAATAGATTTTAAAAACTTAATGTTTTTGTAGAGATGAGGTCTCACTATGTTGCCCAGGCTTGTCTCAAATTCCTGAGCTCATGCGATCCAGCTGCCTTGGTCTTCCAAAATGCTAGGATTACAGGTGCGAGCCACTGTGCCCAGCTCTCTCAGCTGCCTTTGCTTCTCTCTCAGGTATGTCCAAATCAAGACTTCTGGGAGAGTCACAGAGTACTCAGAATCACCTCTCCTCCAGCTGTACCTGGCAGCAGCCCCTTCCCCAAGATGGTGACACCTCTGTCCACACCCTCTGTAATAGTGACCGGAGAGCCTGTGGAGCATTCCACCAGGATTCGAGTCACCTGTGGCTCAGCCCCTGTACAGCAGAGGCGCCGTTGGCTATGAAGGGCACTGAGTCCTGGAGGAGGAGCTATAGGGCTGGGAAATGAAGAGGTGAGGGATTGCTGGGGGTGGGACTGAGAAGAGGGCTTGGGGTGGTCTCAGCCGGGCCCTGCTCCTTTATGAGCTTCCAGGGACAAGATGAAGACAGGAGGCAGAGGGGAAGGCAGCCAAGTGGAAACACTAATGCCAAAGCCAGAAACAACACAGAAAGACATCACTGCACACACAAAGGCACTTAATAAATGCTTGCTTAGTGAATGAAGATGAGACACTGGCAATGGGAGTGGGTACGGGTGAAACGGAAGAGGATTGCTAAGGGCCACAAGGAATAAATCAGGTTAGGGACCCTGAGACCCAAGCATCCTGGAACCCAGCCTGCCCCCTACGCGGCCACACCTGTCAGGCCAGGAGAGAGAGACAAGCAGAAAGAGAGGGGGGGTAAGCGATGCAAACAGACAGGCATTTGTGCAAGTGAACAATAGCTGTGCCAGGACTCCCTGCCCTCCTGGCACAAGGCAGGCCGGCTGGGTTGGGAGGGGGGCAGCTGCTGCCTGCAACCCCACCCCCACCCTCTCCCAAAGAGACATAAACAAACCCGGAAGGGTCCAGCCAGCTCCTCTCAGCCTTTTCTCTTACCAGCTTCAGAAATCCTAACCAATCCGCTCACTCAGCTCCTAGATGATATTTCCAACCAGAAACTGAAGCTAAGGATGAAGCTACTTCCTCGTGGCCAGAGAGCACGAACCCCCTACTTTGCTGACCACTGTTCAAAACAGTAGCCCAGAGCATCTGGGTACAGAATAGGAGGGCAGGCAGGCAGACAGACACACTGACACACCAGCACACCAGTAACATGCACACAGGGGATGCACACATTCACATCTGTCCCCTCCTTGATTCCAAGGTCAAATTCCACAGCCAGAGTGGCTAAGATCAGACCCCACTGTAACTCCTCTGGTCGGCCTCAGTAGGTCCTTCTCTAGGCCCCATCTAACCTCCTGCAAGTCACTCAGTGACTTCCCTAAGCTTTAGACTCCCTTCCCCTATCCTCACTTCTCCCCTCCCCCTCAACTCTCTCCCTAACCTCCACGACCCCTAGAATTTTTGTCTATGTCCCCAGAAGCCTCAGCCACCAGGAGGACCCCCCATTCTTCCACTCTCCTCCAACACCGTCAGCCCTCTCAGCTCCCTCCTGGGCTCCCCCAGCTCTCCTCTCCACTGCACTCCTAGTCCTGCACACAAAGCCAGCCACCTCTCCATTCCTCAGAACAAAGAAATAGTCGCTCTGCACACTCCCCACTCCACCTGCCCACCACAGAGATTCCAAGGGGACCCCCAGCCTCCACAGCCATCCCTGGACCTCTGGTCCCTGCTTGGCAGAAAAGGACCCTTTGTTCTAAGGGATATGATGGTTGGGGTTTGGGAAAGGAGAAAGGGAAGAACAGGGGACTAAAGAGAGAAAGGGGACCTGTGAGGTTTGGGGCTTGTGGAGGTAGGAAGTAGAGCAGAGAGAACAGAGGAGGTGGAGGACTGAAGACAGCCTGGGAGAACAGAAATGGAGTGAAAAGAAAAAGGAAGCATGGAGGGGGCTACACAGAGAGATCCTGTGAGGATGGGACAGAGAAAGGGGCAGGTTAAACTTACATTCCTCCTCCTAGGAGGAGCTCCCAGGGAATGAGGCAAGGAATGGGGAGGGGCTGAGGTGTCAGGGCTTAGCTGTGACCCATCCCCCCAAGGAGGTAGCAGGGGACACCATCTTCTTCAAATAATGTCTTTTCCAGCGGGTGCCCCTCTACTTCCCACCACAGTATAAAAAGAAAGGAGACAGCTGGTGTGCTGGGGGGAGGGGGAGAGGGGATCCAGGGTTTGTTGGCTAAGAACCAACTCCCCCTTCTGTAACCACAGTTTTCCGGAGGTGGCCCTCCCCTTCCGACCGGCCCAAACTGACAACCACCCTTCTCCGGTGGCCTCTTTGCCCTCTCAGATCCACCCACTCAGCCCCCGACTCCCTGCTGCCAGCCAGATTCCCAAATTACCTGCCCCACACAGCCAGCCCCCATAGTAGAAAGAAGAGCCAGTCCCCCCACCACCAAAAACAAAAACAAAAACAGAGCATGAACACCCAGATGTCTGACGTCCCAGCTCCCCACAATAATGGAAAAGGGATCCCAGTAGCTACCTGCCCCCACAGAACCGCTCTCTATACCCCCTAGCCAGGTCTTCCCCCAACCAGCTCCCCCATGGCTTTCCTTTTTAGGGTGGAACCAAATTTCTGCGGTTTCAAAAAACCTCCCCCGCCCCCCTTGGCTCTACTCCAGGGTCTCAGCTCAAACGGTTGAAAAAATAAACAGACTTTTGGAGCTGGGGCCTGGGCTGGCGCAGGCTGTGAAGAGCCTGTCTGCCACCCCACTGTTCCACCACACTTCAGCCACCTCACCCCGGCCCTCTGTTTGTCTTAGGCCCTACTCGAATCCCCAGTTGCTTTCCAGATAGCAAAATCTAATCCCAACCCCCTAAGGAAAGTCCTTTTAAAGCTGCTTTCCCTGGCCCTCCACCCCCAACCCAGGATGGAACCTCTGTCTCTCCCAGTTTAGCATCAAGACAGGTAGCCTGGCTAGGAACTACCAGGGAGGTGGAGGGGAGGGCTTTCCATCACCCTTAAGGACTCCTAAGGGGTACTGCTCCCTTGGCTGAAGTTGGTGATCAGCATAGGCTGGCACCAGGGTAGTAGGGCACTCAGGTTGGAGAGAAGCCAGAGATTAAACCAACTCTGGGCTGGGACCTGTCCTTTCTGATAATGGGTACAGTGCGGGGGCCCCAAAGGAGCTGGGAGGTGCTGTCTGCAGGCACCACCTTCCTTTCAGCTCTGACTTATTCACCTGCAAGTCAGCTTCATCATTTCCTGGGGTCTGGGTGTGGAAAGGTCAGGGCACTTGGGAATGGGGCTGGGTACAAAGGCAGGGATAAAGGGTACTTGGAGAGGAGTGGCCAAGAGGTCATGATGGGGGAGGCGTGTGGATAATTATACACCCAGACTCATGAAATGCTAGGTGAAGGGACCCCAAGACGAGCAGATAAGAGAATGAGAGCGCTGGGGGAGGAGGAGGAAGGGCAGGGAACACAATGCATAGTGCCAGGTGTGTCAGCCTAAGGGTTTCAGGTTGGGAGAAGGAAGAGCTAGGAGGCTGGCGGGGCAGATAGGGATGGAGGCCCTATGTTCCAGGCAGAAGGGCTCAGGATGGAGGAAAGGAGCCCAGCTACACAAAGACCTCTGCTCCCTTCACCTAGAGGTGATGGTTTGGGGGAAGTAAGCCGTCCCTCGGCCGTCCCGACCCCAGCCACCCGCCCACCCAGAGGGGAGAACTGAATCACAGCTGGAAAGTCCATTTGCGAGGAGAGGAGGAGCTGACTTTTGTCTTGGAGGGGTGGTGGTGGTGGTGGGAGGAAGCCGGGAAACCACCCCCTCCCGTCCCCTCCGCCGGATGGCGGGGACAAAGGGGGAACGACCAAGCCAGCGATTGGGGAGTGATGGGGGGTCGCCACGCCAAGCCCAAGCCGGTGGGGCCCGGGGTGAGAGGAGGTGCCGGAGCTTCCACCGCCCCCACCCGCGAGACACACACCTCCCTCTTCCCGCTCCGTCCCTTACCGGAGCAACTTTCTTTCAAGCGGCCTAAAGCACTCGGTCCCGCCGGCTTGGAGGCGACCAAGCCCAGGTCCGCTCCGCTCCCTCCCGGGATCCCAGCACCGTCGCGTCTGCCGCTCCCCCCACCCCTACCCACTCGCTCGCAGTCCCCACCCACCCCGTCCCGCCGCTCGCCGATCCACCGCTCCGCCCGATTTTGGCGCCCAGAAAGCAGGCGGGGAGACAGGAGATGCACCGCGGGTGCCGGGGTTCGGGGAGCACCCGAGGACCGCGGCGAAAGGAGAGGGGTTTCCGAGCCCACCTTGCTCGCCAGCTCTCTGCTCCGGTCGATCCGCGCCCGCGTGAGGGATTCGATCCGAGACATAATCGGACGGGGGGACCAGGGAGGACGCGGCGCGGACCCCGGCGTCCTGTATTGTTGGGGGAAGGCGGGGGGAGGGGTTCGGCCCGCACGCGTTGGTCTCGGGGACAGGAAGTCTGACTCCCCTCGCCCGGCACCCAGCACCAGTTCCTCAAACCCGAGTCTCCTCCCCCGCCCAAGCTCAGGAAGGGGGTAGGCGGAGCGGAGGGAGGGCGGGGTGCCCGCGCGCAGGACGGGACGCCAGGGTTTGTGTGGGGGCAGCTCGGAGAGGTACGAGGGTCCTAGGACAGGTTTGAGAGGCCCCTCTGCCTATTTCCCCTCCAGCGCCTGGGGGCGCCCTCTAGCCCCAGAGACCCGCCTCTTAGCTCTTCTTTTCCTAAAACCCAGCCCCGCAGCCCTCGCCGGACCCAGGTTGGCCCTTTCCCCTCTGCCCTCCCCTTCTTCCCTTCTCCCCTCGCCCTCCCTTTTTCCCTCCCCTACTGCGTTACCTCAGTCTTTAAAGACCCGCAGGCAGGAGAATTCCATCCGCCCCCAGCTCTTAGAAAACCCAGGACCAGTTCCTTCCTGGCCTTCGGGGTCCCATCAAAGCAGGCCTGAGCAGACTGACCCCTTTTACGATTGGGGGCAGGGGTGGCCAGAGGGAGAGGAAATCAAAGGAGAACTAAACGCTGGATCTTCAGTACACGGGAAGGGTAGGATTCACTCCCAGAGGTCGAAGAACAGAGAGGAGAGAATTCTCCCACATGCCCCACCCTTCTGGGGCCTTCCTGACCCCACTCTGCCCTCCTCCTAGCTCCGCCTCTGCCAGCTACTTTGGGGGACTAGGTTGGGATTCTCCACTTTTACCGAAGGCCTTCCATGTGTCTAACTGCAGTTCTCTCTGTTGCAAGTTAAGCCGGAACTGAAAGACCAGAAACCAGCCTGCCCTAGTCAAAGAAAGTTAGGGCCCAACCAGCCTCTCCCCAAGAAGCAGGGTAAGGTGGGGCATTCATCTCTCTGGACCCTTTTCCCCAGCCTGAGCCAGCCTTTGGGTGAGTTTCCTGCTATTGGGAAAATTCCTCCTCCAGTCTAACTATGATCACTTACAGTGAAGTTCATTTCTGCCTCTCAGGGTCTCCCATTTCTCTGGAGAAACCAGAAGCACAGAGAGGCCTGGGACAGAGCCTTCGGTTAGCAGGGTCCTGCCTGATTCTGGCCCCAAAGGGCGTGGGAGAAGAAGGGAGGGAGGGGAGACCCAACCCAGATCCAGCAGTTCTCTGCCCTGGCTCAGCAGTGGGGCCAGGCTGCAGGTTTCAAGCCCAACTCAGCACTCTTGTAGGTGCCAATTTTAGCCTCTGCCACTATTTTTGGGCTCCACTACCTCACCACTGGCTGAGCTGGTTGGGCTCCTCACCCCCAGCACTACCCCCACACTGCCCCTCCGGCTTCCCCTCCTTCCTAGCAACTCCTTCACCTCCTTCTTCACCCATTCCCCTGTTTAGAATCCTTAAATAGCAAAGACCAGGAAAAAGGAAGAGGAAATAAACCGTGCCCAGTTCAGGCTGGATGGACATTAGAAAGCAGGAAGGACTTCCCCAGGGCCACAGCTTGTTCTTCCTGGCTTGCACCTGCCAAGTATACCTACGGGGAGGGTGTAGGAACTCCCCCAAACCAAGAGGCCTGAGGCTCCTGGCCCCAGAACTCCAGACTCACCTCCCCTGAGGTGGGCAGCCAAGACTCAGGAATGTACTAAATTTAAAAACAGACAGCCAGAGGCTAGAATCTTGGCCTCAAGGTTCCACCCACTGGAGGCCCAGAGACAAGATCTGGGGTGGGACCTCAGCTTCTCTCCCAGGCCTGGGGCAGGAGGGTGCTGCAAGCTATGGATAGAATCTTAAAGGGCCACACTCCAGCCTGGGTACCCAGGAAACATAGAATTTGAACCCTGGGGTTTTTCAAGCGACCTCATGGTCCCTCAACTCAACTAAGAAGGTCTCTATGAAAGAAGAGGACCCGACCCTCCAACTCTTTTCTGTCTCCCACCCCAACCTTCAGTCTACTTTCCATCCCACCTGCTGTTACCCTACCCCTCACCCTATGCCCTCTTCTTCCCCTTAGGAGATGAATAACAAGGAAAGGGACTAGGGACAGGGAAAAGAAAAGTGTTCTGCCTTTAAAAACACCTGTGTTTAGTGAGCTTGGCCTGCAGCTTGACTCAGTTTCCGTTTTCTATATCCTCTTGAACAATGAACACTTTTCCCTTCTCCTTGGTGTCACCTGCCCCCCTTTTCCAAGACCCTTCTTCATTCCAGCGCCCCCTCTACTCCTATCCAGTGATATCTTCCAGATTTTCAGAAATAATTTTTTAGATACACAGAAACAAACATTTCTACCAGGATCTAAAAATAGCCATCACCTTCTTTAGCCCATTTAACTTGACGAAATGTGTCCCTCCCATTTCAGGGGTAGGGAGGAGGTCCCAGGGAAGAACCTGGTTGCCAAAGTCTCGGCCAGTTGGAGAAGAGATGGGTCTCCCGAGGATACCCAAGCCCAAGCTCTACACTGTCCCAAGGTGGTTTGTTTTTCTTCTTTCTTCTATTGGTCTGGACCTTGTATATTCTGGGAGGAGGTGATTAAGGCCAAATTGCCTTAAGTGGCCATCCAGCCAGAAGCTGGAAGAAGGGAAGGATGAGAGGGAATGAACTGTTGTGTTACGGCTATTGAGAGAAACAGTGGCAATACACAGCCAAAGCCCTGAGTTTCTAATACGGCGCCACCTCTTATGAGCTGTGAGATCTTGGGCAAAGTAACTAACCTTTAAGTATTTGTCTGTAGAATTGAGATTGAAATACTTATCTTTGCCAGAATTGTTATAAGAATTAAATGAGTTGAAAGTGTTTCATCAAGTGTGCAATGCTACTCAAGTAGGAGGGACTAAGCTACTTCCTTCTCTCACTGCTTGACTGAGCTTCTCTCCAGCCCCACCCCCTGATGTTTACTGCTTATGGAGAAAGAGATTAAGTGAAGCAGGCCCACACATTCATGAAGGTGGAAGGAAGATGTAGCAGGAGATGGTGGAGAGGGAAACAGAGGAAGACAGGATGACAGACGTGGGGAGGAAAGGCTGAGCGAGGCAATGTCCTGACTCACTCTGGCGCTTCCCTCTTTCCCATCTGGGCTCCAGAGTCTCTGCCCTCATTCCCCTTCACCAGGTTGCTCAACCCTCCATCAGACTGTTAGGTCAAGGGTGGACAAACAGACCAACCGGGATCTGGATGGCCCCTGGGCAGTACTGACTTCCCCTACCATTCCCATGGCAAGAAAAGGGAGTGATTCCACTAGCAGACTCCCCTACCCTGCAGTGAGACAGCCTGTAGGAAGGTGAGACTCAGACCCCAAGGTTTCTGCTTTTGCTTTGTTCCTTCGAGATCTCCATTCCCCCATGGGAGAGAAACCTCTCTGTCCCACCTGCCCTCCCCTCCCATCAGCTTTCAGATTCTCCAGCTGCTCCTCTTCTGAGACTCACCCAGTCTCATGCCTCCATTAGCCTCAACTCCCGACCCATGGCCTGTGGTGAGAGGTGCTAACAACATGACCTGCTTTCATCTTGACCTTCCCAGCCCACCCAGAGAAAAGGGAATCTTGGCTAAAAAAAGGCTGGAAGAGGGGAGAACCCTGGCACTGCGGGTGGGGCTGGGAGGAGCCCAGGCAACCTTACTGGTGAGAATCTCATGGCTCTTCAAGGTGAATATGATGATGATTTCCCTGGGGTTTCTTTCAATACTCAGAAGCCGCCCCGAGTTGGAAAGCACATGCATACTTGGGGAGGCCAGGGGAGGAAAAGGGGGGCGGCTCACTCTGACAGTAAATGAAGAAAGTGGAAACAAATTCAAGGAGCAGGCAGAGCTCCCGGTTTCACCAGAGCCCAACGGTTGGTAATAAGGATGAGAACAATGTGCCTTCACTTCCTGGGATCAGAACAGCACATGGCCGCACATGTACGGGTATGCATGTGCTTCCATAATCATATACTTTCCCAGCTTCTACTCTGCCTGTGGTCTAATTTCAACTCCTTCAGCTGCTGTACCCACCCATAAAATTATGAGTGTAAAAGCACTTTGCAAACCCTGATACTCTATGAAGAAGTAAAAAGTAGTGCTGTAATTATTATCATTATTATGTCCAATGGTTGAGGTTTCCGCTGCCCACCTGTCAGCTATGTGAGGCCTAAAGAGAGGGAGGGCTAGGCCATTCCTCAGCTTCTGAGGTTCCTGGCCCTTTTCCCCTTCCATCTGTCCACAGCTGACTGCTAAGCTGGATGCGTAGGGGAAAGCAGAGAAAAGGTGATTTACTGGGACACAGAGACACAGGCTGGAAGAGATAGCATGTGTTTCCTTAAAATTTGAAGCATTTGGCTGGGCACAGTGGCTCACACCTGTAATCCCTGCACTTTGGGAGGTAAAGGCAAGAGGATTTCCTGGGCCCAAGAGTTAGAGGCTGCAGTGAGCTATGATTGTGCCATTGTACTCCAGCCTGGGAGACAGAAACCCCCTCTCTTAAAAAAATAAAAAAATAAAAAATGGAACCATTGCTCTGAGTTTCTAATAGGGGGAGTGGTGGGAGGTGGCGATGGTGGGATGGGAGAAAGGGAACTGGAGAGGGCAGTGGGTCCCAAGCCTCCTGCTTCCCCAGCTGACTCCTACCTTGGCCTTTCCGGTCATGCCCGAGAGGAAGCTGAAGGTCTGTCGCAGGGAGGAGCCTACCCGGGTACCTGAATGTCCTTCCAGCTGGCTGCAGCTGCATAGAGAAAAAGAAGACATGAGGAGATGGAGGTAATGCTGGAAATGAAGAAAAAGATAACTTCCTGAGAGATGGTGGATGAAGGTGCCATGACCAGCAGAGCCAGAATGGGAAGGAAGAAAGAGGAAGGATTGGGAGAGAAAGATAAGCCCCCATCCTGACCTCCTAGGACTTCCTGGATGTGGGCATTTCAGTTTCCCAGGCCCCTCTATTTAGGAAGAAAACTCCAGGCTCCACCCAGATAAATACAGACTCCTCCTTCCTACCTAATCCAGGCTCAGGATGGGAGGCCCAGCCTCCTCATGCTGCTCCCCAACGGAAGTGGTATGGGGCGGAGGCTCTCCCGGGGGGCATTTTCTCCTCTCAGAACAAGAGCCCTGTGTACGACCCTCTCTGCTGTTTGGAGAAGGCCTCTGGGCCTAAAGCCAATAAGGACTGAATTTCCTGGGATTTCATCAGCCCCATCCCATGAGCTAATCCCAAACCCAGAGCCAGGAGGATGTGTCAGCTAGAGATTTTCAGGACCACAAAGCAGAGCCTGATATCTTAAAGGGACCATTACTTGCTTACACATCCACACTGTCTTAGAGGGCTGACCCACTCTAATCAGGCTTCAGCCATAGGAGCCAAATAAGCAGGTGCTGATTTTGCATGCTTATTTACATAGTTATTCAAATCTCCCAGCCTCCACCTCCAGACCTGAACTCTGCCTTCAGGCCCTGCCCTCTGCTGGGAGCTCCACAGCCCTTGCCCAGCTCTCCTTAGGGCCAATCCCCATTGGTCTATTATCTGAGCCATCCTAAGCTGATCCATGGTCCTTGGTCATTGTCCCTCACTAAGACTGTTCAACAGTCTATCTGCCCTTTTACCCTATACCACTGACAACAGCAAGCAACTCCCATGCTCTATTATTCAATGGACACCCTGTGCCCTGGATACTCCTTTTCTCCTAATTTCTCCCCCCATCTCATGCAGCTACCGGGAACCTGGTGAGCCCACCCAAACCAAAGAAGAGAGGGTGAATTCTATGCAGCTCAGGGAAGGATATTTGGAGGTCTTAGATCAGAAATGTTAAGGGGAGGAATGATTCAGGAAGCAGGGAACCCACTGGGGCTACAAAACCATAGCCTAGACCCTATTGCTGTTCCCCTATAGAGGCTTTTGAAGGATTCTGAGTCCCCCACACTCACCGTTTCCTGAGGTCAATGGCAGAGGACTGGGATACATTCCCTGCCAACACAAAAGGAGATGAGAAGTGTCTAGCTAAAGCCAGACAAAGGCGCCCAGGGCTTCCTCCCCCACCCGCTTCACCTAGATCAGGTTCCCAAGCTGCAGGTGCATGTGACGCTATTCCTGAGGGCGGGCAGTGGGCAGCAGGGAGAGAGGGCGGGGTCTAAGCAGGGCAGAGCTGAAGAATTTAGGAGCCATGGGAACAGAGCACCGGGTTATGTGGAGACAGTGGCTGGGAGACTGATGTTTCAGAGGTTTCACCCAGAGCTCCCAATACTCCATCTTGAGGACAAGGTATATTGCAGGTAACTGTCTTGCATCTCTGGTGACAGGGGAGGCTGGAGAACCTCACTATGTCCTATGTCCGCTTTCATTGGTAGGAGTTTCAGAATTCCAAAGTCCAGAATTCAGATTGCTTATTTGAATAAAGCCATTCTGAGGCCAGGCATGGTGGCTCACGCCTGTAATCCCAGCACTTTGGGAGGCCAAGGCAGGCGAATCACTTGAGCTCAGGAGTTTGAGACCAGCCTGGCCAACATGGTGAAACCCTTTCTCTACTAAAAATACAAAAATTAGCCGGGTGTGGTGGCGCGCTTCTGTAGTCCCAGCTACTCAGGATGCTGAGGTACTAGAATCACTTAAACCCAGGAGGCAGAGGTTGCAGTGAGGTGAGATTGCGCCACTGCACTCCAGCCTGGGCAACACAGTGAGACTCGGTCTCAAAAAAAAAAAAAAAAAAGAAAAGAAAAAAAAATAATAAAGCCATTCTAGGAGTTCCAAGGGTATGTGGCTAAACATAATACAGGACATCTGGACCCTGAACAGCTAGCTATGAGGAGTGGCAACAAGATGTATAGGGGAAGGGGCCACCTCTGCTTTGCTCCCTACTTTTGCTCACCATCTGTATCCGAACGGTCCAAGAGACAGTTGATGCCACTCACGGGTACAGACTTGGAAAGCATGCCAGTGGCCGAGTGGTCCAAAGGGCCAGCAGATGGATGACAGGAATCCTGATCCTGGAATCATGTCAAGAGTCCTCACACCAAGGGCAGGCTTCATCTGTCCTCCCCTCATGCTCTTTACTTCCCCACAGCTTGGCCTCTCTTCAAATCCAGGCCTCCCACCCCTTTCCAAAACCCATATTGGGATATTGCACTTTAAATAGTTGGGAAGTTACTCCGCTGTTTTGCAGTCATTACTCTGTTGCAGTTCAAGCCCAGGCTTTCTTAGTATATAAAAGTATCTAAGAAGAGAGATTTACCCTGAATGGTTTTCAGAGATGGCAAACTCAACCTATAGAGGCCAGCCAGGTAATGAAAAAAACAGGCAGGCCTGGCGCGGTGGCTCACACCTGTAATCCCAGCACTTTGGGAGGCCGAGGCAGGTGGATCACAAGGTCAGGAGATTGAGACCATCCTGGCTAACACGGTGAAACCCCGTCTCTAATAAAAACACAAAAAATTAGCCCGGGTTGGTGGCACACGCCTGTAGTCCCAGCTACTTGGGAGGCTGAGGCAGGAGAATCGCTTGAACCTGGGAGGCGGAGGTTGCAGTGAGCCAAGATCACACCAATGCACTCCAGCCTGGGCAACAGAGTGAGACTCCGTCTCAAAAAATATATATATACATATATATATATAGATTTTTTTCACTAAGTAAGGGTAGAGAAATATTTTTTTGAAGACTTTTTTTTAGACAGCCTAAGTAAATAAATAGTTACATTATTTTTCATGGATAGATAAACTCAATATTGGAAATAGGTCAATTCATCCTACATTAATCTTTGTTTTGTTTTGAGATAGTCTCGCTCTGTCGCCCAGGCTGGAGTGCAGTGGCGGGATCTCGGCTCACTGCAAGCTCCGCCTCCCGGGTTCACGCCATTCTCCTGCCTCAGCCTCCCAAGTAGCTGGGACTACAGGCGCCCGCCACTACGCCCGGCTAATTTTTTGTATTTTTAGTAGAGACGGGGTTTCACCGTTTTTAGCCGGGATGGTCTCGATCTCCTGACCTCGTGATCCGCCCGCCTCAGCCTCCCAAAGTGCTGGGATTACAGGCGTGTGCCACCGCGCCCGGCCTATTGAGCTCATCTTATGTGCCAGCCTCTGTGCTGAATACTTTGACACCTTTTGTTCATTTAATAATCACAATTTTAAAAGACAATTTATTATTCTGATTTTCAGAAAGATAAAATAAATTGCTCAGCGGGTAAATAAATGAAGGATCTAGCAGTCAGTTCGACTCCGAAATCCTGTTCTTTCTACTGTAGTACATTGAAATGGGGATCAGGGGAGACATGCAAAGATGCTGATGGAGAAAAGCGGTTGATGGGATCACTTGAGGTCAGGAGTTTGAGACCAGCATGGTCAACACGGTGAAACTCTGTGTCTACTAAAAATAGAAAAATTAGCCAGGCGTGGTGGCAGGCCCCTGTAATGCCAGCTACTCAGGAGGCTGAGGCAGGAGAATTGTTTGTATCCGGGAGGCGGAGTTTGCAGTGAGCCGAGATCGTGCCACTGCACTCCAGCCTAGGCAACAAACCAAGACTCCATCTCAAAAAATAAAAATAAAAAAAGCAGGTGATGGGATGACATGGAGTTTTTGTTTTGCTTTGTTTTGTTTTGTTTTGTTTTTTGCTGCTTCCCTGATAGGCTATATACTGCTCCCTTCAGCCTCTCCCCCAAACCACAGGCGCCCAAACAATGAGGCCAGGGTTGGAACCCCTGGCCAGCTAGATGATGAGCTGAAGGGGAGGCAACCTTTAGCCAGCAGACTTGAGACATCTCAGTGTACTCAGGGTCTGCTGGCTAGCAGGCCCAGTGGGGTCTCCAAAGCCCTTCTGTATCCTTAATGGTCCTTAAACCCTGGTTGAAGATCCCCCCAGTTGTGTTTACTTAAGCCAGAAGGCTGGGCAATCTCTATATCCTTTCTCCATCGATCATCCTATGATTGTTTTGTTAGAGAATTATTATTGTTCAGGGTACCAGATCTTAGTTTCATTCCACAGATAATAAGTTCGGCTCCAGGCTGGGCATGGTGGCTCACACCTGTAATCCCTGCACTTTGAGAGGCCAAGGTGAGTGGATCACTTGAGGCCAGGAGCTTGAGACCAGCCTGGCCAACATGGTGAAAACCCATCTCTACTAAAAATACAAAACTTTGCAGGGTGTGGTGTTGCGGGAAGTCAGGGACCCCAAACGGAGGGACCGGCTGAAGCCATGGCAGAACGTGGATTGTGAAGACTTCATGGACATTTATTAGTTCCCCAAATTAATACTTTTATAATTTCCTATACCTGTCTTTACTGCAATCTTGGAACATAAAATTGTGAAGATTTCATGGACACTTACCACTTCCCCAATCAATACCCTTGTGATTTCCTATGCCTGTCTTTACTTTACTTTCTTAATCCTGTCAGCTGAGGAGGATGTATGTCGCCTCAGGACTCTGTGATAATTGCGTTAACTGCACAAATTGTACAGCATGTGTGTTTGAACAATATGAAATGTGGGCACCTTGAAAAAAGAACAGGATAACAGCAATTGTTCAGGGAATAAGAGAGATAACCTTAAACTCTGACCACCGGTGAGCCGGGTGGAACAGAGCCATATTTCTCTTCTTTCAAAAGCAAATGGGAGAAATATCGCTGAATTCTTTTTCTCAGCAAGGAACATCCCTGAGAAAGAGAATGCACCCCTGAGGGTGGGTCTATAAATGGCCCCCTTGGGTGTGGCCGTCTTCTATGGTCCAGACTGTAGGGATGAAATAAACCCTAGTCTCCCATAGTGCTCCCAGGCTTATTAGGAAGAGAAAATTCCCGCCTAATAAATTTTGGTCAGACCGGTTGCTCTCAAAACCCTGTCTCCTGATAAGATGTTACCAATAACAATGGTGCCCGAAACTTCATTAGCAATTTTAATTTCGCCCTGGTCCTCTGGTCCTGTGATCTCGCCCTGCCTCCATTTGCCTTGTGATATTCTATTACCTTGTGAAGTACGTGATCTTTGTGACCCACACCCTATTCGTACACTCCGTCCCCTTTTGAAAGTCCCTAATAAAACCTTACCGGTTTTGCGGCTTGTGGGGCATCACGGAACCTACCGACATGTGATGTCTCCCCCGGATGCCCAGCTTTAAAATTTCTCTCTTTTGTACTCTGTCCCTTTATTTATCAAACTGGCCAACGCTTAGGGAAAATAGAAAAGAACCCACATGACTATCGGGGCAGGTTCCCCAATAGTGTGGTGGCAGGCGCCTGTAATCCAAGCTGCTTGGGAGGCTGAGGCAGGAAAATAACTTGATCCCAGGAGGCAGAGGTTGCAGTGAGCCAAGATCGCGCCACTGCACTCCAGCCTGGGCAACAGAGGGAGACCCTGTCTCAAAATACATAAGTAAATAAATAAATAAATAAGTTCAGCTCCAAATTGGGGAAATGTGGGGTCCACAGAAAGAAGTGGTTATAATTACTAGGGGAACAGGGCCCTTTTACTGAGAGAGGAACACATACACCCTCATCAACACAGAGGCACCGACACAGAAAGGAAGAAACAGAGTCTTGGAGAAAGAGACAGAGGCAGGGTACCCGGAGTCAGGGACAGAGCACACAGACCCAGGGGAGCAGACAGAGGTGCATAGACGATAGATTCCCATTCGCTCAGATGGAGCCAGAGCAATGCCCGGGCACAGAGAGACCCAGCAGCTGGCAGAACAGAGGAGACGTAGGATAGAATGGTGGCTAGACAGGCGAGGGGCAGGAGAGGAGGAGCAAGGCAGGGGCCTTCATGGGGATCTGTCTGTCCGTACCAGCCGGGAGGCGTAGCCACCCTGGTGCTGCAGTCCCAGAAAGGTGTCCAGTCCTTCTCGGATCTGCAGGAAGAGGGCCTCCTTGGGGCCTGGGCATCCCGATGCTTGCAGTCTCCTCCTGAAACACACATCGCCACCACTACCGTCTGTATCCAGTGGCCAGTGACGGGCACCAGGGAGGAACACTGCCTCGCCTCAGCCCAGCCCTGTTGCTTGCCCCCAGCCCAGCCCTTCCTGTTGGCATAAGCACAGCCCAGACCCAAACTGGTCCTACTTTGGGGCTCTGCTTTGCCAGGGCTGCAGAGTTGGCTGTGGGCAAGAGTGGCCCCTGCTGGTCAAAGGGCAGTACTGCCTCCAGAAGAAAGCCAGGGTTCAGGGGAAGGCGAACAGCAAGAGCAAGCTGAATTCTCCCTCCTTGCCTGGTTGCTGATGCCAACCTTTGCCCCTGCTCAGCCAAATAGTGCACTCAGGACTCCCTTCCCTCTCTAACCAAGGGGCAGAATTAATGCCTGACTGTGAAAGGTGGGTGACACTTGAAAGACCCTGAGATACAGTTGGTGCCACATAAGGGGGGCCCAGGCATTTGGGCATCTCTGCTTTCAGCCAGCTACCCTTAGGAAGGTGCCATGAGCCCTGCAGGCATTGCTTCTCATCTGAGTTCCCACCCAAGCCAGTTCAGGGACAAGGCCCAGGGTCCTCTCCCCTCACTGAAACCAGCCAGCCCTGCCCGGGAGCTAGGGAAGGTTGGTTCACTCACCAGAGCTAAAGGAACTTGTTCAAGGGGACCATTGTCAAAGCAGAGAGACAGTGCCCTTCCATGGCCAGCAGCCCCTACAATGTTCACTCACACTGAACTCTTCATGCTGACCCCCGGACCTTCTCTTTCTGACTTCCTCTGACTTTGGGGAAGTGGTCAGGGGTTTTCCAAGGGAGGGGGAAGAGATGATCTCTCTGCTCCAGTCCACCAAGCCTATGCAGAAGTCTGAGCAAGAACAACTGATCTCATGTGGCAATGCGGGACCATGAGTTAATCCAAGACATCCTGGGTTGTCCTCAGCCTGCAACCAAAAGCCCGGCAAAGGCCTGGCAATGGGGCAGGCCAAATGTCCCAACCGTGAGACCACCTCTCTCAAGAAATCTCTGAAAGTTCTTTGGGCCTCAGTTTCCTTATCTGTAAAATGAGGAGATTGTGCCATATGCTCTCTGAGTTCCTTTGTGGTTCTATTACACCATTATGTGGTTCTATGAAACCCACCGTGGGAGGCAGAAGCAAGAAGATCCAGTGTCCTGATACTCCCCCTGACTCCACACCTCCCTCCCACTCCCACCCTCAGTCTTCCCTGAGAGAAGGAGGTAAGAGCCACTGTGGAGAGGCATATTTTGGAAGGCAGCATCCATCCTCCCCCAAAGGCCCACAAATGGGATTGAGCTCTGGTTCTCCAGGGAAAGGACTGAGGGCCCAGGTCTCCTTGATTCTTGTTGTTCTTCGGATGGTTGTCTCTTGAGGGAGATGACTAGAGAGTTATCTAGTTCCTTCCCACTTTCCCATTTTCTCCAAGGTCTAGGCCTGGAAGGAAGGAGGTACAGGAGGTCCCCTGGGGGCTTACGTATTCAGTGGGCCCTCGAGCTCCCTGCCAGGCCCCCAACTATGTCTTCTGAAGACGTCTTTGTTTTCGGCCGTGGGCCCGGAAAGCCCCTGACCTTTGGAGGGGTACAGCATGCGAGCCATTCCCCTCCTTTATTTCCCCATCTCTTCTTCCTCCAGTTGTTCTCTGGATTCAACTGCAGAAAGGCAGAGGCCAGTGTGGCCTCACGGGCACCTTGTCTCCACCTGCTCAGAACACGTCTGGGACGGCTCTGTTCGTGGGAGACACACACAGACCAGTCTGCGTCAGCAGGAAATAAGAGTGAGCAGGGTTCTAGAACTCTGAAACCTTGGGACTAGAAGTGTGTCACAGTCAGCTGGACTTAGGAGTGCCTAGCCACCACTCACTTTACTGAGACACATAACTGGATAATGTGTCACATTGTGACACATTGTGACCTCAGGGTCACATTGTGACACATTGTGACCTCAGGGTCACATTGTGAATTAGCTGCAGACTCAAGGCTAGAACTTAGGTTTTCTGGATCCCAGTTCAGTGTCCTTTCTAGTACATAAAGAGATCCTCATTGTCTCCTTCTTATTCCATTTACTGAGGACTTATATAGCAGAAAGCCAAGCAAAGAGAAATAGATATTGTTCCTATCCTCAAGGAATCAGAGTCTAGTGAGTGGGTGAGTGTGTGTGTGTGTGTGTGAACAAGCAAAAGAACAAATCACAGATGACTCCATAACTGGCTCACATATGCCAAATGCCACAAGAGAAGTTTCAACAAAAGGCTTTAGGCTGTTAAAGGAGTGAGGGCACGTGACCAGTTGGGAGACTCAAAAAAGGCCAGGTGCGGTGGCTCAGCCAGCACTTTGGGAGGCTGAGGTGGGTGGATTGCTTGAGCCCAGCTGTTCTAGACCAGCCCGGGCAACATAGCGAGACACTGTCTCCACAAAAAAACAAAATGTTAGCCGGGTGTGGTGGCACGTGCTTATAGTCCCAGCTACTTGGGAGGCTGAGGTGGGAGGATCACTTGAGCCCAGGAGTTCAAGGCTGCAGTGAGCTATGATCATGCCACTGCACTCCAGCCTGGGTGACAGAGTAAGACACTGTTTGCTTTTGTTTTGTTTTGTTTTGTTTTTTGAGACAGAGTTTCGCTCCTGTTGCCCAAGCTGGAGTGCAATGGTGCGATCTCAGCTCACTGCAACCTCTGCCTCCTGGGTTCAAGCGATTCTCCTGCCTCAGCCTCCCGAGTAGCTGGGATTACAGGCACACCCCACCATGCCTGGATAATTTGTATTTTTAGAAGAAATGGGGTTTCACCATGTTAGCCAGGCTGGTCTCAAACACCCAACCTCAGGTGATCCGTCCGCCTCAGCCTCCCAAAGTGCTGGGATTACAAGCGTGAGCCACCGTGCTCGGCCTTGTTTTTTTTGTTTCGTTGTTTTTTTGTTTTTTTTTTGAGACAGAGTCTCGCTCTGTCGCCCAGGCCATAGTGCAGTGGCGCAATCTCAGCTCACTGCAAGCTCCACCTCCCGGGTTCATGCCATTCTGCCATTCTCTTGCCTCAGCCTCCCGAGTAGCTAGGCCTACAGGTGCCTGCCACCATGCCCAGCTAATTTTTTGTATTTTTAGTAGAGAGGGGGTTTCACCGTGTTAGCCAGGATGGTCTCGATCTCTTGACCTCATGATCTGCCCGCCTTGGCCTCCCAAAGTGCTGGGATTACAGGCGTGAGCCACTGCGCTGGGCCTGTTTTTGTTTTTAAAGGGGAGGAGGAAACAGAAATAAGCAGATGGCCTTTGAGATGTGCCTGGAAGGGTAAAGTGGTTAGGATTTGGCCAGGGTAGAGGGAGAGGATTTTAGGCAGATAAAGTAGCAGGGGGAGGCCGGGTACGGTGGCTCACTCCTGTAATCCCAACACTTTGGGAGGCTGAGGTGGGCGGATCACGAGGTCAGGCGTTCAAGATCATCCTGGCTAACACGGTGAAACCCCGTCTCTATTAAAAATACAAAAAAATTAGCTGGGTGTGGTGGCGGGTGCCTGTAGTCCCAGCTACTCGGGAGACTGAGGCAGGAGAATGGCATGAACCCAGGAGGCGGAGCTTGCAGTGAGCTGAGGTCGGACTCCAGCCTGGGCGACAGAGCGAGACTTTGTCTCAAAAAAAAAAGAAAAAAAATTAGCCGGGCGTGGTAGCGGGCGCCTATAATCCCAACTACTTGGGAGGCTGAGGCAGGAGAATTACTTGAACCTGGGAGGCGGAGGTCACAGTGAGCCAAGATTGTGCCATTGCACTCCAGCCTGCATGACAACAGCAAGATTCCATCTCAAAAAAAAAAAAAAAAAAAAGGTAGAAAAAAGTAGCAGGGAGAAAAGGTTCATGAGTGATAAAGTGTTGTGATTTCTCTTTCTCCCTCTCCCTCTCCTCCCCCTTCCTCTTCTTCTCCTTCTTCTGATGGAGCTTCACTCTTGTTGCCCAGGCTGGAGTGCTATGGCGTGATCTCACCTCACCGCAATCTCTGCCTCCTGGGTTCAAGTGATTCTCCTGCCTCAGCCTCCTGAGTAGCTGGGATTACAGGCATGCGCCTCCAGGCCCAGCTAATTTTGTATTTTTTTTTAGTAGAGATGGGGTTTCTCCATGTTGATCAGGCTGGTATCAAACTCCTGACCTCAGGTGATCTGCCCACCTCTGCCTCCCAAAGTGCTGGGATTACAGGTGTGAGCCACCATGCCCGGCATGATTTCTTCTTCTAAGAGTCTGGTCATATGCAGAGTGAAAGCCAGTCTGACCTCTCTCCATGGTGCAAAGAGAAGGGCTCCAAGCATCAGCCACAGAGCACACATTTCCTCCACTCTCTCCCAAATGGGCGTTGTTCTCAGTGCCCAACACTCCCGGTTGGCATCATGGCTTGCCTCAGTGTGTCTCAGAATTAAGAACCCTCAGGTGCTCTTAAAGTTGAAAATGATAAGCCCCACTCCAGAAAGAAGTGCCAAGTCCCAGAGTACCAGGGGCAGGAAGGGCAGGAAGGGAAATAGCATTTACTGCATACCTCTGTACACTTCACTCTTAGGCCATGTCTCTCTCGACCTTCTGCTCTAATGAGTCTCCCAGGCTCCCTTTCTCCTGGGACCACTTCTAGCTACTTAGACATCAGGAGTGCCCAGAAGGATCAGGAAGCCGGGACCCAAAACCTTCCCTCTTTCAAGGCTTTCTGTGGGGCTGTCAGACCTTCTCCAGGTTGTCTTAACCACCCCAGGGAAGTCCAGGTTATCAGTTATTGTCCCTTCAATCTACTTTCCTCCGTCACTGCAATCTGTTCACTGCCCTCACCCCACCCAGAGCAGCTGAGAAGAAAGTGCTGCGCCACAGGCTGGGCGCAGTCGCTCACGCCCGTAATCCCAGCACTTTGGGAGGCCAAGGCGGGCAGATCACGAGGTCAGGAGTCCGAGACCAGCCTGGCCAATATGGTGAAACCCTGTCTCTACTAAAAATGCAAAAATTAGCTAGGCATGGTGGCACGTGCCTGTAGTCCCCGCTACTTGGGAGGCTGAGGCAGGAGAATCGCTTGAACCCAGGAGGCAGAGGTTGCAGTGAGCCGAGATCGCGCCATTACACTCCAGCCTGGGCAATAGAGCAAGACTCCGTCTCAAAAAAAAAAAGAAAGAAAGTGCTGTGCCTGGGGTGGCTGTGTGCCTGTTTACCACAGGGAAGGGAGGGAGGCAGGTGCTCAGGCCTCTACAGACGGCAATGCTATTCCCCCATTGGGTGGGTGTCTAAGGAGAGAAAAGGAGAAGCCTAGGAGAGTGGCCATGGCCCTGTGCCCATCTGTGCTCATCGCGTCTGGGAGCAATGGACAGGGAACCCCTTAGCCAGCCACCAGGAGAGATCCTCTCCCTCCCTGCCTACAAATGGGCCCTGTGCCATCAGGTATGTTGGGTACAAACAGGATGAGCAGATCTACAGGAAGCAGGTCAGAGCCTAAGGGCCATGGCAGGGTCCCTCCCAACCAGTGGCCTCCAAAGCTGAGATTTGGAGGCAGAGGGAGGTTGACAAAAATACTGTGAAAAGCTGGGGTGGAGAGAAGAGTAGGAACTGGAAATATACTAGGAAAAGGGGAACGGGGGCTGGAAATAGGACAGAAACTGAGAGGCCGTGACGGGGAGGCAGGGACACTGCGTAGATACTGTGAGCTCTGGAATTCAGGGACCTCCCAGAAGAAGAAAGTTGGTTTGAACTTTACACCCTGTATTCAACCTCTACCTCCTAGCCTTGTCTCAGCTGTGCCCACCCGGTTGAATTCTTCTTCTTCTTTTTTTTTTTTTTGGAGAGAGGATCTCTCTCCCTCTGTCACCCTCAAGCCTCACTGCAGCCTCCGCCTCCCAGGCTCAAGCAATCCTCCCACATTAGCCTCCTGAGTAGCTAGGACTACAGGTGCATGCCACCACATCCAGCTAACTTTTAAATTTTTGTTTTGTTTTGTTTTGTTTTAGATGGAGTTTTGCTTTTGTTGCCAGGCTGGAGTGCAGTAGCGCAATCTCAGCTCACTGCAACCTCCTCCTCCTGGGTTCAAGAGATTCTCCTGCCTCAGCCTCCCGAGTAGCTGGGATTACAGGCATGCACCACCACACCCAGCTAATTTTTGTATTTTTAGTAGAGATGGGGTTTCACCATGTTGGCCAGGCTGGTCTCAAACTCCTGACTTCAGGTGATCCGCCCACCTCGGCCTCCCAAAGTGCTGGGATTACAGGTGTGAGCCACTGCACCTGGTCTTAAATTTTTTATAGCGATGGGGTCTCACTATGTTGCCTAGCCTGGTCTCAAACTCCTGGGCCCAGGCGATCCTCCTGCCTCAGCTTCCCGAAGTGCTGGGATTACAGATGTGAGCCACTGCGCCCAGCCTGCAGGGTTGAATTTGGCAAGATGAAGGAAGTGCAGTGAACTGGAGACCTTTGCTTTTCTTCTGTCTGTGTGGATGTTCCTGCTAGAGATGGTGTCCTGTCACCCTGGCCCCATTGACAGGTACCTCAGATCTTAAGATCTTTGTGAAACTCACCCTGGCCCCACTGACAGGTACCTCAGATCTTAAGATCTTTGTGTAACTGTTCACCCTTCTTCCTCCAGCTCAGACCAACTGGAGTCTGACCTCTTCTCAAAGATCTACCCTTTTTCCAGCATCTCTGTCATTTCATTCATGGTCTCTGCCCTCTGTGAAAATGGAATCTGTCTGGCAGTTTCTCCCTCACATCCTCATCCCCACCCACTAACCCTGCCTATGCTATGATGCCAATACTTTTTATTCTGTCCCTCAAAGAGATGAGGTTTAACAAGGCTTCCTCAACTCCCTCCTAGCAATATTCCCTCCTCCACTGTCTGAAATTCAAACTGGGGGTCCCATCATCGTGTTGCTTCTTTTTCCATTAGATTAACTCTCCTAGCCCCCCTCCCATTTTCCCTTAGCCTCTTGAGCTCAGGAAATGGTGCAGGGGAGAGGCCAGGGCTGGGTCTCACACAATGGCTTTATTTAGCCCTCAAATGAGATCACATCATGTCATATCACTGCTTCCACTGAGCAAAGAGATAGGAGATTCTGAAATAGGTCTGGGATCAGATGCTTGAGATGGGGGAGGGGAGCTGGGAAAGCAGGAAGGGGCTCTAAGAAGTCATTTTACTTATCTTCCTGCCTCTGGATCAGATGGTCTTCCCACCACTGCAAACCATCAGCGTGTGCTGTCCCTTCCTCCAAGTGTATAACCTCCACAGATTGCACTGGTCATCAAAGATTTCTTAGACATTCTACTGGGAGCTGGAATGGGAATATATAATATTTTAATAGAGAGAGACATCTGTTATTCAAAACTCTGAGACCATAATTTCTTTAGGGTGTTACAGCTTTTAAGTCTGTCAAATTTGCTAGCTCTGCCACTTTCTTTTTTTCTTTCTCTTTCTTTATTTTATTTTTTTTTTTTGAGATGGAGTCTCGCTCTGTCGCCCAGGCTGGAATGCAGTGGCACAATCCTGGCTCACTGTAACGTCCACCTCCTGGGTTCAAGCGATTCTTCTGCCTCAGCCTCCCAAGTAGCTGGGATTACAAGTGCCTGCCACCATGCCCGGCTAATTTTTGTATTTTTACTAGAGACAGGTTTAGACATGTTGGCAGGGCTAGTCTCGAACTCCTGAGCTCAGGTGATCTGCCCGCCTCAGCCTCCCAAAGTGCTGGGATTACAGGCATGAGCCAACGCACCCGGCCTAGCTATGCCACTTTCATAAGCCACATAACCTTGGGAACTTAACTTTTTTTTTTGTTTTTGACACAGGGTCTGGCTCTGTTGCTAAGGCTGGAGTGCAGCTTTGATCAGAGCTCACTGCAGCCTCAAACTCCTGGGTCAGGAGATCCTCCTGCTTTAGCATCCAGTAGCTGGGACTACAGGTATGCACCACCATGCTCTAAGTAAAAAAAAAATTTTTGGGCCCAGTGCAGTGGCTCACGCCTGTAATCCCAACACTTTGGGAGGCTGAGGCAGGTGGATCACAAGGTCAGGAGTTTGAGACCAGCCTGGCCAATATGGTGAAACCCCATCTCTACTAAAAATACAAAAATTAGCCAGGTGTGGTGGCGCACACCTGTAATCTCAGCTACTAGGGAGGCTGAGACAGGAGAATCACTTGAACCCGGGAGGCGGAGGTTGCGGTGAGCCGAGATTGTGCCGTTGCACATTCCAGCCTGGGCAACAAGAGTGAAACTCTGGCTAAAAAAAAAAGAAAAAAAAAAAAGCTGGCTGGTCTGGGCTCAGGGGCTCATATCTGTAATCCCAACACTTAGGGAGACTAAGGCAGGAGGATCACTTGAGGCCAGGCATTCAAGACCAGCCTGGGCAACACAGTGAGACTCCATCTCTAAAAAAAAAAATTTTTTTTTAGAGATGGAGTCTCACTCTGTTGCCCAGGCTGGAGTGCAATGGCGTGATCTCGGCTCACTGCAACCTCCACCTCCTGGGTTCAAGCTATTCTCCTGCCTCAGCCTCCCGAGTAGCTGGGATTACAGGTGTGCACCACCATGCCCAGCCTGGGCACCCAGCCTGCCCAGCCAGCTTTTTTGAGCTTCAGATTCACGTAAAATGGGAATGAGAAGCCGGGTGAGGTGGCTCATGCCTGTAATCCCAGCTCTTTGAGAGGCCGAGGCGGGTGGATCATCTGAGGTCAGGAGTTCGAGACCAGCCTGACCAACATGGTGAAACCCCATCTCTACTAAAAATACAAAATTAGCCAGCGTGGTGGCACATGCCTGTAATCCCAGCTACTCGGGAGGCTGAGGCAGGAGAATCACTTGAACCTGGGAGGCAGAGGTTGTGTGAGCCGAGATTGTGCCATTGCATTCCAGCCTCGGCAATAAGAGCAAAACTCTGTCTCAAAAAAAAAAAAGGAATGATAAGACCTACTTTGTTTTGGGGGTTTTGTTTGTTTGTTTGTTTGTTTGTTTTGAGATGGAGTCTCGCTCTGTCACCCAGGCTGGAGTGCAGTGGTGCGATCTCGGTTTACTGCAACCTCTGCCTCCCGGGTTCAAGCGATTCTCCTGCCTCAGCCTCCTGAGTAGCTGGGACTACAGGCACCCACCACCATGCCGGGCTAATTTTTGTATTTTCTGTAGAGACGGGTTTCTCCATGTTGGTCAGGCTGGTCTCGAACTCCTGACCTCAGGTGATCCACCTGCCTCGGCCTCCTAAAGTGCTGGGATTACAGGCATGAGCCACCATGCCCGGCCTGTTTGTTTTGTTTTTTGAGATAGGCTCTCTCTCTGTCACCCACGCTGAGTGCAGTGGCACGATGATGGCTAACTGCAGCCTTGATTTCTCAGGCTCAGGTGACCCTTCCACCTCAGCCTCCCAAGTAGCTGCGACTATAAGTGCGCACCACCATGCCTGGCTGATTTTTTTTTTGGTATTTTTTAGTAGAGACAGGGTTTCACCATGTTGCCCAGTCTGGTCTCAAACTCCTGGGCTCAACTGATTTGCCTGCCTCGGCCTCCCAAAGTGCCAGGATTACAGGCGTAAGCCACTGGGCCTGTACTTATTTTGTAAGGATGTTGAGAGACTTGATGATAATGTATGCAATGCACCTAGTCCCCCTTCCATCTGTTTTTGGTACATATTAGGTGCTCAATAAATACTATTATTATTGTTGTTATTATTATTTAGAGGCATAGAGACGGCAGGGTATATTGAAACAGAGAGCTAGAAAGAATAATGCTTGGCCTGGTGTGGTGGCTCACGCCTGTAATCCCAGCACTTTGGGAGGCGAGGCGGGAAGATCATGAGGTCAAGAAATCAAGACCATCCTGGCCAACATGGTGAAACCACATGTGTACTAAAAATACAAAAATTGGCCTGGCATGGTGGCTCACACCTGTAATCCCAGCATTTTGGGAGGCCAAGGCGGGTGGATCATCTGAGGTCAGGAGTTCGAGACCAGCCTGACCAACATGGAGAAACCCTGTCTCTACTAAAAATACAAAAAAAAATTAGCCAGGTGTGGTGGTGCATGCCTGTAATCCCAGCTACTCAGGAGGCTAAGGCAGGAGAATCGCTTGAACCTGGGAGGCGGGGGTTGCAGTGAGCCGAGATTGCACCACTGCACTCCAGCCTGGGCAACAGAGTGAGACTCTGTCTCAAAAAACAAACAAAAAAAATTAGCTGGGCATGGTGGTGTGCACCTGTAGTCCCAGCTGCTAGGGAGGCTGAGGTGGGAAAATCACTTGAACCCAGGAGGTGGAGGTTGCAGTGAGCTGAGATCACACCACTGCACTCCAGCCTGGCGACAGAGCGAGACTCCATCTCAAAAAAAAAAAAAAAAAAAAAAGAAAGAAAGAAAAAGAAAGAAGGAGGCAGGAGGCCCAAGATAGAAGCAGAAATAGGCATCATATGATGGTCACCTACTGTTTTCTCTTAGAGAAAGACAATAAATAACCCATGGGCTGACACTAACATAACTATGATGGCAACAGTTACACACCACTTCTGATGGAAAAGTGTATGCAACCAGAGCAAGAAGAGCAAGAAGAAATGAGTGCTTTTCTGTCCTTTGAGACCCTGATGAGCCCTGACAAAGTTGTCCTCTTCAAGGAGAAGAAAGGGATAGAATGGCCTCTGGAAATTTAAAGCAAGGGTTAGCAAACTATAGCCTCTGGGACAAATCTGTCCTGCTATCTTTTTTTAATAGTTGAAAAAAAATAAAAGAATACTTTGAGACACAATATTATATGAAATTCAAATTTCAGTGCTTGTAAATAAAGTATTTTTGGAACGCAGCCATGCTCAGTCATTTACATATTGTCTATGGCTGTTTTTGCATTATGACAGCAAAGTTGGTAGTTGCAACAGAGAGCCCACAAAGCCTGATATATAGATATATCCTGAGTCTGGGATCCTAATATATATGTGTGTGTGTGTCTGTGTGTGTGTGTGTGTATGTGTGTGTGTATGTGTGTGTATATATATATGTGTGTGTGTGTATATATATATATGTGTGTGTGTATATATATGTGTGTATGTATATATATATATTTTTTTTTTTTTGAGATGGAGTTTTGTTCTTGTCACCCAGGCTAGAGTGCAATGATGCAATCTTGGCTCACTGCAACCTCCACCTCCCGGGTTCAAGCGATTCTCCTGCCTCAGCTTCCCGAGTAGCTGGGATTACAGGTGCCTGCCACCACTTCTGGCTAATTTTTATATTTTTTAGTAGAGATGGGGTTTCACCATGTTGGCCAGGCTGGTCTCGAACTCCTGGCTTCAGGTGATCCATCTGCCTCGGCCTCCCAAAGTGCTGGGATTACAGGCATGAGCCACCGTGCCCGGCCATATGTTTGGTTTTTTTTTTTTTTAGACAGGGTCTCACTCGGTCGCCCAGGCTGGAGTACAGTAGCACGACCTCTGCTCACTGCAGCCTTGACCTCCCAAGCTCAAGCAATCCTCCCACCTCAGACTCCCAAGGAGCTAGGACTACAGGCACACAACACCACACTGGGATAATATTTGTAATTTTTGTAGAAACAAGGTCTCGCTTTGTTGCCCAGGCTGGTCTTGAACTCCTGACCTCAGGTGATCCACCCCACTTCAGCCTCCCAAAGTGCTGGGATTACAGGCCACCACACCAGGCCAAGTGGCTAGCTTTGAAAGAAATCCGGCAACATTATTTTTACCCACCTCATTCCTACCTCCCCGACCCCAGCCAAAGAAAAGCAGCAGCTTCCAAAAGAAATGAGATAGGGGTCCCAAAGAAGTTCAATGTATCCTTTCTGCTCCCTCTGTTAGCTTAGACCTCTGAATGAGGTGATGGGGCGCAGGCAGGTCTCTGGTTATGTTTGCTGCCAGCAAACACTGAACATAGGGGAGGAACTGCTGACAGTAACCAAACAGCCAGGCGTTGTGGCCTGGAGGCAATGCTGGCCGGCCCTTTCGCAGACTGAGAAGCTTTCTGAGTCTGGCTCTGGGATCCTAAATCTACCGAGGTGGCCAATATTGGAGAAGACCCAAGAGAACAGGATAATAAAGACTGAGGTGGAAGGGAGAGGCCAAATGACATGTTGTACTGGCTCTCCTCCAAATCTCCTGGCCCTGGGGGTGGGACACAGGGTCACAAAAACTCTTCGATGGTTCAAAATTTAACCTAACATTTCTTCTCCTGTAGAAAGTGAACCATTAATCCAGCAGTGCCCTGCAAAGACGGCTAAAGCAGAGCTTCTCTTCGCCTCAGATAAAGAAGCCAGGAGCTACAATTCCTTCCCACCTGCTCCCTAGATACCCCGTTCCAAGACAGGAGCACCCAAGTCTCTGACACCCTCCTGCTTCACCCATCCGCCTGACTTGGCTGAACGCTGGTGTCCTGGAACTCATTCTCTTTCTCTGATCTTCCTGTCCACTGCCAGAGAGTGGTGCCACAATTCCAAAAATGAAAGGAAAGTAAAAGATATAGAGGATCCATTCATTCAGCAAAGATTATTTTAGCACTTTGTAAGTGTCAGGCACAGAAAAGAGGACCCACAAGGGTCTATGCACAAATACAATGGTGGGACCTGGCTACCATCCCTTAGTGGGGCAGAGGCCAGTATGGGCAAAAGCCATGTGTCCTATCAGCTTCCGGGTTGTCTCCTGAGAGGCATTATCATCTGTACTTAGTTCCTGAATTTCAAGGCATCCCCAGCCCCCTAATCTAACCACACACCCCTCTACTAAGTCAGCCACAGGCATCTCAGACACTCTCCCTAAATCATCCCCATGTCCTTGATGTACTAGGTTCGTAAGTCAGTCAGGAATTTTGCTGCTCTGGGCTTCCAAGTGTGACCACCTTTTTTTTTTTTTTAATTGGTTAGTAAAGTGAACTTAGGGACCCTGCCCTCTTCCTTTCTGCTGGACCTGTAGCTATATGCTTATTCTATCAGGGGCTTGGGACCCAGACTAGCCCTTTATTTATGGCGGATAGAGAAGAAAAGGGTCAAGACCAACCAGTCTTCTTCTACCTCCTGCCAGTTTCCTGGGCATGTGTTCTGGGTGCTATGCCAGATGGGTGTGGCAAGAGAGGGTCTGAGGGTAAGGACCCAGGAAAGGGAAGAGGGAAACTCACCAGAACTGGGAGATATCCCAAAGATGGGGGACCTGTTTCTGCTGTCAGTTGGTGACTTCAGTGTGGGAAAAAGTCCTGCTTCAGGTGGCCCCTTTAAGAACCCAGTCCAGCACTTTGGTGGGGGTCCCCTCTCTCTTGGTCCTTTTAAGGGAGCTGTTCATGGTCCAGAAGTTTGCATAAGAGAAAGGGGGGACTCATTCCAGTCCAGATCAGCTGCCTCTTCATCCACTGTAGCCCTTCCTTTCCCCGCCCTACTTCAAACACCCTAAACAGTGCTGTGCCCAGGACCTTAACTCTTTCAGTGCCATTACTGATCCCAGGGACTCCTGGGTCCCTCTGTCTTCAGCATTCCTTGAACACAGGGTGGCTACAAAATTCAGACTTGTGTAGAAACAGGTACAAGAAGCCATGCTGGGGTCACCCTGAGGAGAGAGTATGTGGGAACCTGACACCCCAGGGAACGTTTACCCTTCCTCCAACAGGGTCAGGGAGAAACTGAGGAGGGGAGAAAGCGGACATCTCTGGGAAAGAAACAGCTGCAGCTGGAAACCTACTTCACAGCAGGGTCCTCAGGTCAGTGGTGTCCTTTGCCCTCTCAAATTCAGCTACAAAACTGATTGTCAGCCGGGCATGGTGGCTCATGCCTATAATCCCAGCACTTTGGGAGGCCGAGGCGGGCGGATCACTTGAGGTCAGGAGTTAGAGACCAGCCTGGCCAACGTGGTGAAACCCCGTCTCTACTAAAAATACAAAAATTAGCCAGGCGTGGTGGTGCGCACCTGTAATCCTAGCTACTGGGGAGGCTGAGGCAGGAGAATCACTTGAACCCGGCATGCAGAGGTTACAGCCAGCCAAAATCACACCACTGCAATCCAGCCTGGGCAACAGAGCAAGACTCCATCTCAAAAAAACCAAAAAAACAAACAAAAAAACCTGATTGTCGGTCCCTTTAAGAGGCAGGTTACAGCAATGGAGGAGGAAAGATTGTATTTTTTTGTGATGAAAGTACAGGGTGGAGCAGTTACAAGGGCAGCTGCACTGAGAAGGGCCCTAGCGTCAGCACCAGGAACAGGGGTGACCAAGCAACTCAGCATATCCGGGGCTCACGGCTTGTTGTGGATACCAGGCGGCAGGATATTTGACCAGCTCCCCAACTCTCTTCCCAGATAACAGCTTCTGGGGTGGGGCGGGGGCTGACTCACCTTCACTGCTTTCCCTGGGGCAGAAGACAGCTGGGGCGGACATCGGACTTCCTGAGGTAAAGGGGAGCACTCCTCGCCTCCTGTGGGCTAGTAGAAAGGGCATATTAGAGCTGGAAGATCTTGGCTGCCTCTGCCAAGTCACTAGTTGCAGGACCTTGTGCCACCTATTTAGCCTCATCCCCTCATCTGTAAAATGCAGATGTTAAATGAAACATGTGCAAACAGTGGAACATAAATGCTGGGTCCATAATAAATAAATATGCTAGCTGCCACTGGCTGGGCAACCTTGGACAAGCCGCTTCACCCCTTATCTTTCCTGATCTATTAAATGAGAGGATCAAATTAGGTAATCTATGGTCTATCCTTGCTCAAAAATTCTCTCTGTCAGTGAGTGGAAGACAGCAGCTGCTGCTGGATGTAGAACTGTGTGTGCCCTTCCCCACCTGGCTGGACCTCACCCACAAGATGAGAAAGTGACAGTGGTTGTTCCTCATGTTCCTCACTGCATAACAACAAAGGGGTAATACCAGCCCTATCGTACTGGTGAGGGGTCCTCAAAAATCCTCCAATTAAACAATTTCATGATTGTGCAGAGGAGGAAACAGGCTCCAAGAGGGAGAGCTATTTTATATATAATATATATATAATATATAAATATGTATATTTATATATATAAAATATATATTATATAAAAATATATTTTTATATTTATATTTTTATATAATATATATTATATATAAATAAATAATATATATTATATATATATTATATATAAATAAATAATATATATTATATATATTATATATAAATATATATAATCTGCCCAAGGTGGGCAGATATATATTATATATATATAATTTTTCTTTTCCGTTGAGATAGGGTCTCACTCTGTCACCCAGGCTGGAGTGCTGTGGCATGATCATGGCTCACTGAAGACTTGAACTCCTGGGCTCAAGCAGTCCTCCTGCCTCAGCCTCCCGAGTAGCTGAGATTATAGGCGTCCGCCACACCTGGCTACTTTTTGTATTTATAGTAGAGACGAGATTTTGCCATTTTGGCCAGGCTGGTCTTGAACTCCTGACCTCAGGTGATCCGCCCACCTCAGCCTCCCAAAGTGCTGAGATTACAGGCGTGTGCCACCACACCCGGCCTGTAGAAATTCTTATACCCGTTTCCCACTCACTTTCTTCGAGTGCCAAAGCCGAGTACAGGAAGGGGGTGGAAATCAAGGCACCTGGCTCCTCCTGGTACCAGGGTGGGGTGTGTGGGTGAGCCGATGCCAGCTGAAAGTCTGCACAATGAGGGAGGGCTGGAGGGCTAGTCTCCAGGAGTGGGGACACCTGGAACATGCTGGTGGCTGACCTACTGTCTGTATTGCCTTTTAGGGAGGAGCCTCAGTTTGGGTACCCAGCCTCCAGGAAGGATGTGGGATCAGTGCTTACTTTCCTCCTCCCTCACAGATCTGCACACAATCCTGAGATCAAGGTTCACACCTCCCTAGGGTGGTTTTCAGTTAGAGCGGAGGAGTGTTGTCTGCCACTCAGCCTCCTATTAAATTACCTCAAGAAGTTAAGAGGGCTCAATCCTAAAGCCAACTATTCCAGCTAAGACTTTCTGTCTATAGATTTTAGAGGCTCTTATATTCTCCAACACCACTACTTAAGGGAGGTTCACATTCCATTCTGACTCCAAGAAAGCTGATCTCTTAGGAGATGAGGTATCTAGCTTTGGCCTTGTTTCAAGGTGCCTGTGACACCAACTGTCTTCACAATGCTTCTCTTGTCATCTGTGTCAGGCCTGGGTTTCCCTCCTAGTTGCCTTCTTCATGACAAGGGCCAGGACACAAAGTGCTGAGTTTTGTAAGGGAAAGGTACAATAAAGACGCCCCCAGCTTTTGGGAAAGGAGCACCTCTCAGAGTTCAGATTAAGGAAGGAATCTTATACAGATGGTCCCGACTTATGATGGTTTGACTTAAGATTTTCGACTTCACAAGAGTGTGAGAGCCATACACATTCAGTAGAAATCCTCTTCCGAGTACCATAAAACCATTCTGTTTTTCACTTTCAGTACAGTAGTCAATAAATTACATGAGATATTCAACACTTTATTATAAAATAGGCTTTCTGGGCCAGGCACAGTGGCTCATGCCTGTAATCCCAGCACTTTGGGAGGCTGAGGTGGGTGGATCACTTGAGCTCAGGAGTTTGAGACCAGCCTGGCCAACATGGTGAACCCTCATCTCTACTAAGAATATAAAAATTAGGCCAGGTACGGTGGCTCATGCCTGTAATCCCAGCACTTTGGGAGACCGAGGCGGGCAGATCATGAGATCAGGAGTTTGAGACCAGCCTGGCCAACATGGTGAAACCCTGTCACTACTAAAAAATACAAAAATTAGCCGGGCGTGGTGGCGCATGCCTGTAGTCCCAGCTACTCGGGAGGCTGAAGCAGAATTGTTTGAACCTGGGAAGCGGAGGTTGCAGTGAGTTGAGATTGGGCCACTGCACTCCAGCCTGGGGGAAAGAGTGAGATTCTGTCTCAGAAAAAAAAAATAATAATAAAATACAAAAATTAGCCAGGCATGGTGGCGGGCACCTGTAATCCCAGCTACTAGGGAGGCTGAGGCATGAGAATTGCTTGAACCCGGGAAGTGAAGGTTGCAGTGAGCTGAGATTGCACCACTGCACTCCAGCCTGGGTGACAGAGTGAGACTCCATCTCAAAAAATAAATAAAAATAATAAAATAGGCTTTGTGTTAGGTGATTTTGCCCAACTGTAGGCTAATGTAAGTGTTCTGAGCATGTTTAAGGTAGGCTGGGCAAAGTTATGATGTTTGATATGTTAAGTGTATTAAATGCATTTTCAACTTAAAACATTTTCAATTTACAACAGGGTTACATCCTGATACGCATATCATATAAACCTATCGGACATAACCCTATTGGAAGTCAAGAAGCACCTGTATTATGTTCCAGAGTTATGAAGTTTACCCTATTCTCTAAGCCAGAACCCCGCCACCACCCCCCACTCCCCCCGCCCATAGGTTAACTCATTACATTTTCCTTGGAGACTACACAGATGGAAAATACCATTTCCTCCTTCAGAGGCTAACACTCCATAGTCCTGGAGTGCAAAATGATGCATATCAGACTAGTTCCCTTTCCCTTCCCCACACCTGTTCTCAAACCCAAGCCTCTGACTCATTGGCCTATCCTCCCCATTCTCCTGAGCAAGTCCCAGGTTTCCACCAGGAACACAATGAACAAAAGCAAATATATCCTCCTTGCCTGTAACCTGGCCAGTCTTGGGATGTCCAAGCTGCAGCCCCTGAAAGAGGGATGTGAGCTGGCAGAGGGCTACTCCATTTGGAGCCTCTCGTCTCCATGTTCTTTTCATCCTCCTGGGCCTGGAGGCTCTGATTGCTGGGCTAAAGAAAGGTTAAACCAGTTGGGCAGGGGAGCCGGGGGAGCAGAATCTAAACTGGGAAACTCGGTAGCAGAAACAAAGCCGGTGTTTGTTGGGCTTCCCTCTTGCCTGGGAGGCTGTTCTCAGACCACGGCATTCCTGAGTTGGACAGAGTCAGCTCAGAGTGGCTTCTCCCCACTGCTGCAGCAGCAAAAGTCACTGCCTTTCCACAGGTCACGCTTAGAGCCCAACTCAAGGGATCCAGGTACTTCTTCCCTGCCAGAGCTCAAAGAACAGAAGCATTACAAGTAAATTCAGGCCAGGTGTGGTGGCTCACACCTGTAATCCCAGCACTTTAGGAGGCTGAGGCAGACAGATCACTTGAGGTCAGGAGTTCGAGACCAGCCTGACCAACATGGTGAAACCCTGTCTCTACTAAAAACACAAAAATCAGCCGGGTGTGGTGGTGTGCACCTCTAATCCCAGCTACTTGAGAAGCTGAGGCAGGAGAACTGCTTGAACTCGGGAGGCAGAGGTTGCAGTGAGCTGGGATTACACCACTGCACTCCATCCTGGGCAACAGAGCAAGACTCCATCTCAAAAAAAAAAAAAAAAAAAAAAAAAAAAAAAGGGCCAGGCGCGGTGGCTGGCTCACACCTGTAATCCTGGCACTTTGGGAGGCTGAGGTGGGCAGATCATTTGAGATCAGGAGTTCGAGACCAGCTTGACCTACATAGTAAAACCCCGTCTCTACTAAAATACAAAAATTAGCCAGGCATGGTGGCAGGTGCCTGTAATCCCAGCTACTCGGGAGGCCGAGGCAGGAGAATCACTTGAACCCAGGAGGTGGAGGTTGCAGTGAGCCAAGATCACAACACTGCATTGTAGGCTGGGCAACAGAGCGAGACTCCATCTCAAAAAAAGAAAATAAAATTAAAGCTCAAGAAAATCTAGTTTTGGCCGGGTGCGGTGGCTCATGCCTGTAATCCCAGCACTTTGGGAGGCCGAGGCAGGCGGATCACAAGGTCAGGAGATCGAGACCATCCTGGCTAACACGGTGAAACCCCGTCTCTACCAAAAATACAAAAAAGAAATTAGCCGGGCATGGTGGCGGGCGCCTGTAGTCCCAGCTACTCGGAAGGCTGAGGCAGGAGAATGGCGTGAACCCGGGAGGTGGAGCTTGCAGTGAGCCGAGATCATGCCACTGCACTCCAGCATGGGTGACAGAGCAAGACTCCATCTCAAAAAAAAAAAAAAAAAAAAAAAGTAAAGTTAGTTCTTTTTTTTTTTTCTTTTGAAACAGAGTCTCCCTCTGTCACCAGGCTGGAGTGCAGTGGCACAATCTGCTGGGACTACAGGCCCATGCCACTGCGCCCAGCTAATTTTTTGTACTTTTAGTAAAGACAGGGTTTCACCACGTTGGCCAGGATGGTCTCGATCTCCTGACCTTGTGATCCGCCCACCTCGGCCTCCCAAAGTGCTGGGATTACAGGCATGAGCCACCGCACCTGGCCAAAAAGCTAGTTCTTAACGAGAAAGGGCTAGAAGTCAGGCATGAGAGATAGCTTTTCAAGAACACTCAGGTGCCAGGCACCGGTGTTCACCACTAGGTGACAGAGCGAGATTCCATCTCAAAAAAAAAAAAAAAACCCACAAAAAAAACAAATACTGAGTCAATAAATCAGATGAGATCTAAGGGGATGACAATAGCTGTTCCTCTGCAGACCATCTTTCCCCATCCTACATTCTCCAGCTGTGAAGAGGAGCTGCCTGGCAAGGAAGGTGTACGGCAATAGGTGGTGACTGATGAGAACAACAATCAGAGGAAAATAAGGGATGGAAGCAAAAGATTCAAAAGGGCAGATATCTCCATGGGAACAGGACCCGCCCACAACCCCTGCAGCAAGGCCAGAACCCAGCTCGCTTGCCCAGGGGTCTGGGCAAAGACTGAGTTCCAATAATCACCTGTGTTCACCCGGGGGCTAAGAAAACAGACAAGTCAATGTGGCATTTGTTTTTATTAGAAAACCCCTTAGTAAGCACTTCTCTAACCCAGAATAGACACTGGGTATCCTCCAAGAGTCCCATAGCTTTCATTTCATCTTCCACCCTCTTCTGAGAGGGGGAGGCAGGGGATAGGGGTGGTGTCAGGCAGTCTCCAAAATGCCCCTCCTAGACCCCTGAGAGAATTCACGTTGCCAGCAATAAACCAACAGCACCTCAGTGGGGCATCAGAGGGCCCTCTAGGCTCAAGGCTATTGCCAAAGGCATTCCTGTTTATGGCTTCACGATGGAACCAAGGAGGCTCTCGCAGACTCCTAGGGCTGGTCCTTCACTATGGCTGAGAGCAGGGCAGGATCCAGGAGAAAGTGGCCAAGGGCTAAGAGAGAAGAGATTGCATTTAAGATACCCTTTGGAGTCTGGAAAGCACCTGGATTTCTTGGGAGAGGAGCCTGGATTTCTTGGGAGAGGAGGGCTGTGGAAGCCCCAATCAGTTCTTCTTCGTTTTGGGAGTGTCATATTTCCTCTTGCTGGAGTACCACAATAGCAGGGGGATGCCGATGGAGGGAAGGGTCATGACCCCAAAGGCTGCCCAGTCCAGCTGTAAAGGAAAACAAAGACCTTGCTTAGAAGTCTGGATTAGGGCACAGGAGAAGCCAGGGAAAATATGAGTCCAATGAGAAAGGGAGCAGTCTAGCCCAAATTTATTTATTTTTGATACAAAGTCTTAGTTTTTTTTTTTGAGACGGAGTCTCGCCCTGTCACCTAGGCTGGTATGCAGTGGCACATTCTCAGCTCACTGCAACCTCCGCCTCCAGGGTTCAAATGATTTTCCTGCCTCAGCCTCCCCAGTAGCTGGGATTACAGGCGCATGCCACCACACCTGGCTAATTTTTGTATCTTTAGTAGAGACTGGGTTTCACCATGTTGGTCAGGCTGGTCTTGAACTCCTGACCTTATGATCTGCCCACCTCGGCCTCCCAAAGTGCTGGGATTACAGGCATGAGCCACCGCGCCCGGCCGATACAAGGTCTTGCTCTGTTGCCCAGGCTGGAGTGGAGTGGCATGGTCACGGCTCACCGCAGCCTTGATCTCCTGGGCTTAAGTAATCCTCCCACTTCAGCCTCCTGAGTAGCTAGGATCACAGGGGCGTACCACCACACCTGGCTAATTTTTTTTTTATTTTTTGTAGAGGCAAAATATCACTATGTTGCCCAAGCCGGTCTCCAATTCCTGGGCTCAAGTGATTCTCCTGCCTTGACCTCCCAAAGTGCTGGAATTACAGGTGTGAGCCACAACACCCAGCCTAAATTTTCTTAATTTTTATTTTATTTTTTTAGAGATAGAGTCTCACTCTGTTGCTCAGGTTGGAGTGCAGTGGCACAATCATAGCCACTGCAGCCTCAAACTCCTGGGCTCAAGCGATCCTCCAGCAGAGATTATAGGTACACACCACCAGGCCTAACTCAGCACAAATTTTAAGCAGAACTTTAGGCAAGAAGGTTCCTCTCTGACCAATCCTGATATAGAATGGCTCTCTAAAGACCAATCTTTCAAGCTGTGAAACCAAAGGACTCACCCGACCCAAACCAGACTGGAAGAGAAGCTTCTGTTCCAGACAATTTTTGAGAATGGAGATGCCCTGGTCTTGCCCCTGACAGTCAAGCCACCTATGATCTAACCCTTGTTTACACTTCAGGCCCCCTCTTTTCCATTCCTCCACCTCACATTCTGCCCTTCAGCCTTGATAAACTACTTGCCATTCCTGAATCACACCATGCTTTTCTCAATCTCGGCTGCTCTCTCTCCTCAAGTGCCTGCCCTTCCTTACCTCCTCCAGAAAGTCCCCTCTCATTAGATGTTCCTGCTGCAGGCTCCTCCAGCACCTGGCATATAACCTCTATCACAGCATTTTCCCCATTTACCTTTTTTTTTTTTGACAGCGTTTCGCTCTTGTTGTCCAGGCAGCTAGAGTGCAGTGGCTCGATCTTGGCTCACTGCAACCTCCGCATCCCGGGCTCAAGCAATTCCCCTGCCTCAGCCTCCCCATTTACTATTTTGAGTCCTCTATGAGCTCGTAAGATCTTGTTATTTTCAGAGGCAGGGTTTTGCTGTGTCACCCAGGCTAGAGTGCAGTGGTGTGATCATGGCTCACTGCAGCCTCAAACTCTTGGCCGCAAGTGGTCCTCTCGCCTCTGCCTCCCAAAGCACTGGCATTACAGGCATGAGCCATGGTGCCTCGCCAGCCTGTAAGATCTTTAATGGAAGGGACTGTGTCTTATTCATCACTGTGTCCCCAAAGCAGAGCACAGAATGAGCACATAATCTGGAACATCATACTTATTCACTGAATGAATTCCAGCATTCAGTACTTCAGGCTCATCTTCAAAAAATTCTTTCCTAGACTAGACCACAGTAAAGTTCCCACTTAACCTACCCAATGATCTATGACCCTCTGAATCTAATCAGATTTTTTTTTTTTAAACCTCAAAATAGACCCAGGAGTTTAAGATGGGTATCTACTCAAAGATGGGACTCTACTTAAGTCAGTTTTATGGTTTTGGCAATTGTGATCTCATTGCCAAAAATCTCTGGACATGGCTAAATCAATCTATTTGATGAGTATCTATATCAGACACCAAAAAACACACAGGGCAAGAACCAACCAACAAAACAAATCTGTGGAAGCCAAGAGGGTCCAGAACCAAAAGGGCATTCTCATACCAAGGAACTGATGAGAGAGAACACTAGAAAGCTTACAAAATGAGGGGAGAATCGCCTGTCAAACTCCCGCTGAGCCAGGATTCCTCCCTGTCCAGGTGCACTGGTAGAGCCAATCTGAAAAGAAGAAAAGAACGACATTAAGGGAAGTCCACCTCATGAAGTTCCACCTCATCTACTCTGAGAAAGGGCAGTCCCAACCAACCCAACTCTATGCATTAGAGTCTTAGTTCCCAAAGGCTCAGAAGAACTTCAAGAAGATGAGGGAAAGCTTTTGGCTAGAGAGAGTTGGATGATTCTCTCTTAGTGTGTTATAAAGAGGAGTACCTAGGAGCCAGAAGACCTGAGAAATACCCCATGGAGAACATATATTAAACAAGGTAGGCCAGGCATGCAACTGAAATTAAAGCCAAATTCTTCTGTCTGAGCCTCAGACTCTGCAAAGAGTGAAGTTGCTCACCACCACTGGTCCCTCTACAGGGCAAGGTGTGCGTGGAATGACTTACCCTTGGTAATCATTTACTTAATCCTCCAGCAAAAATCCACTACTTCACAGGGTTAATGTGAGGCTCAAATGAAATAGCAAAAATATATAATGAAGTATAAAGCCCTACCCAAATGTACATTATTAGAGGAGGGGTTGAGTCTGGTCCACATTCCTTTGTCTTGGAGAGGAAGCCAAGAGTTTGGAGCACACTGCAAACAACTTTATTCCAAAGTGGCAGCAAAGCCTTTGATTTTATGTCTATTAACCCATCAACTACCAGGTAGAACCAAAGAGTCCTGAGGTTGGTTCTGAAAGCAGAAATGATACCGGATGTGAAAACACCGCTAGGTTTAGAAGAATATGGTTCCATGTAGTTTATGAAAAACGAAAATGCAGAAGGTGCAATGAATGTTAGTTCTTTTCATTCTATGGTTGACTGTGTTAAGTCCCTTCCCTACTGTGTACTAATTAGCCTACAGCCCTACTGGTATGGAGGATCACACATTTTGGCTTCATAAATTTATACATTTATTTGGCTTTATACATTTATGACTTAAGCTTTTTGAGGACTTGGACAGTATATTAATCCTCTTGGTATTCCCCAGAGTCTGGCACATTGCAGGGGCTTCATAAATGTCTATTGACCTTTACATCAATCAAAAGACTGTTTACTACTGAGTTTCTATCATATATGGGAAAAAGAAATCTAAGACAGTTACTGGCCTCAGGGAGTTTATAATTAAATTGGGAGGTGGGGGTGGGGAGAGGGAAGATCTATAAATAAGAAACAAACTACTGAAGACAGTGATTAAATGTTCAAGTGCCATAGACTATAAGTGCTACAGAAGTTTAGATGCAGTCAATATATGTTTATGAAAGAATGAATAGTGGCCGGGCACGGTGGCTCACGCCTGTAATCCCAGTACTTTGGGAGGCCGAGGCGGGCGGATCACAGGTCAGGAGTTTGAGACCAGCTTGGCCAATATGGTGAAACCCCATTTCTACTAAAAATATAAAAAAGTAGCCGGGCACGGTAGCACACACCTGTTGTCCTAGTTACTCGGGAGGCTGAGGCAGAGAATCGCTTGAACCCGGGAAGTGGAGGTTGCAGTGAGCCAAGATTGCGCTACTGCACTGCAGCCTGGGTGACAGAGTGAGACTCTGTCTCAAAAAGAAAAAAAAGAAAAAAAGAAAAGAAAAAAGAAAAGAATGAATAGCAAAGAGCAATATGAACTGAAGGCAGAAAACAAGGAGACATAGCTCAAAGCTGGGTCTTGAGAAGGCTTCAGATATAATGGAGTGGAGGGAAAAGGGTACTTCAAACAGAACAAAGGCACAAAGGAAAGAATAAGGACTGAGTTGGGGGAGAAGGTATGGGAAGTAGCTTGGCCTAATTAGGATGTAGGGTCTGTATGGGCAGAGTGGGAGAGAAGGCTGGAGGCAGAAAATAGCTAGACTACTGGAGGGGGGTGCAGTGAGAGGCAGAAAAGCTCAGCCCTGATGCCGTAAGCAGGAGCAATCTAAGCAAGGGAAGGAGAGAGTAACAGTGGAGACTGGGAAGAATCTGACAGTGGCAGAGAAGACAGATCAGAAAGACAAGGACATCAGTAGGCAGCAAATGACACACTCCAGATGAAAAGGAAGGCAGAAGGAATGAAGAGAAGGGGAAGGCCATGGTACACCTCTCCCATCCATTTCAATCACTCTAGTCCAGAACTTTAATTTGAAACATACTTCCTTAGGACAATACCAAGTGTCTGGTTAATGTTATCTCCCTCAGAATTTAGTAGCTACTGTGTAAATTTTCTGTAAGAGGTTTTTGTTTTTACAATCTATACTTTTTAGATGGATATCCATCACCTTAAACATTTATCTTTTTTTTGAGACAGGGTCTCACTCTGTTGCCCAGGCTGGAATGCAGTGGCAATAAAATGGCTCACTGCAGCCTCAACCTCTGGGGCTCAAGCAATCCTCCCACCTCAGCCTCCTGAGTACCTGGGATCACAGGCACGTGCACCATGCCTGGCTAATTATTTGAAATGGGGGTCTCACCATGTTGCCCAGGCTGGTCTCCAACTCCTGGGCTCAAGCAATCCACCTGCCTTGGCCTCCCAAAGTACTGGGATTACAGGCGTGAGCCACCACGTCTGGCCGCATTTATCTTTTCTTTATGATGGAAATGTTCAAATGCTTCTCATCTGGCTATTTTGAAATATACATTAGATTACTGTTAACTATAGTCACCCTACTAAACTATCGAACACTAGGTCTTATTCTTTCTAACTATATATATATATTTTTTGAGACGGAGTCTCACTCTGTCGCCCAGGCTGAAGTGCAGTAGTGTGATCTCGGCTCACTGCAACCTCTGCCTCCTGGGTTCAAGTGATTCTCTTGCTCCAGCCTCCCAAGTAGCTGGGATTACAGGCGCCTGCCACCACGCCCAGCTAATTTTTGTATTTGTAGTAGAGATGGGGCTTCTGCATGTTGGCCAGGCTGGTCTTGAACTCCTGACCTTAGGTGATCTGCCCACCTCGGCCTCCAAAAATGCTAGATTACAGGTGTGAGCCACTGCGCCCAGTCCTAACTGTATTTTGGTATCTATTAATCAACCTCTCTTCATCCCCCTCTTACCCCCACCACAAGAGATTTTAAGGGAAGGCAGATCCAAATTCCATCCAGCTAAGGGTTTGGGCAACTCACCACAACGGGCCCATCCTCCTGGGCCAGGTAAGTAATTGTTGCCGAGGTGAAGTTGAAATAACCAGCCTTGAGAGGGCGCAGGACCACAGTGTGGGAGACATTGCTAGCACTGGCTCAAGAGTTAAGGAACGGAAAGAGATGAAGCTAAAGTTGTAGCAGCCTTTCAACCTGTGGACTAAATGCACCACTTACAAAACATTTGCCAATACATGCTGATCTCATGCCGGCAATATTCTGCAGGAATGAAAAAATATAGGCTTCTTTGCCGGGCATGGTGGCTCACGCCTGTAATCCTAGCACTTTGGGAGGCCGAGGCGGGTGGATTGGCTGAGTTCAGGAGTTCGAGAACAGCCTGGGCAACACGGTGAAACCCCGTCTCTAATAAAATACGAAAAAATTAGCTGGGCATGGCAGCATGCGCCTGCAGTCCCAGCTACTCGGGAGGCTGAGGCAGGAGAACTGCTTGAACCCGGGAGGCGGAGGTTGAGTGAGCCGAGATTGTGCCACTGTACTCCAGCCTGGGTAACAGAGTGAGACTCCGCCTCAAAAAAAAAAAAAAAAAAAAAAAAAAAAAAATATATATATATATATATATATAGGCTTCTTTTTAAAATTTACTGATTTTTTTAAATATTAAAAAAAAAAGAGAGAGAGATGGGGTCTCACTTTGTTGCCCAGGCTGGTCTCAAAATCTTGGGTTCAAGTGATCCTCCCACCTTGGCCTCCCAAAGTCCTGGGATTACAGGCATGAGCCACCATATGGGGCCTAGGCATCTTTTTTAAATCTAAAGTGTATGGTATTTTTTTCCAGCTAAATTTTAAGGGTCCCATGTTATACTCAGTGTCATGGTTTTTGAAGTAAACTTCCAAAGCAATATATGTTATGGATAAAAAAATTATAGTCACTTGGCCAGGCATGGGAGCTCATGCCTGTAATCCCAGCACTTTGGGAGGCCGAAGTGGTTGGATCACCTGAGGTCAGAAGTTCGAGACCAGCCTGGCCAACATGGCGAAACCCCGTCTCTACTAAAAATACAAAAATTAGCTAGGCATGGTGGCGAGTGCCTGTAATCCCAGCTACTCTGGAGGCTGAGGCTGGAGAATCGCTTGAACTCGGGAGCCAGAGGTTGCAGTGAGCCGAGATTGCACCATTGCACTCAAGACAAGAGCGACAAGAGCGAAACTCCATCTCAAAAAAAAAATTACAGTCATTCAATCAGTGCTTCTTCTTGGATGATTAAAAGAAATTATAGTCACTTAAGCTCACAGAAAATCTTTTTTTTTTGTTTTTTTTTGACAGTCTCGCTCCGTCGCCCAGGCTGAAGTGCAGTGGCATGATCTCAGCTCACTGCAAGCTCCGCCTCCTGGGTTCACACCATTCTCCTGCCTCAGCCTCCAGAGTAGCTGGAACTACAGGCGCCCGCCACCACGCCTGGCTAATTTTTTTGTATTTTTAGTAGAGACAGGGTTTCACTGTGTGTTAGCCAGGATGGTCTCGATCTCCTGACCTCGTGATCCACCCGCCTCGGCCTCCCAAAGTGCTGGGATTACAGGCGTAAGCCACCGCGCCTGGCCAAGCTCATAGAAAATCTTTTGTTAACTATAATTGAAGGAAATTATTGAAAATACAAAAAAAAAAGACAAAACAAAAACAAATACAAAGACCACATTTACCCTCACCAATAAACCTAAACGTATACATAATTATTATTGATATGATTTGGATCTGTGTCCCTGCCCAAATCTCATGTGGAATTGTAATCCCCAATGTTGGAGGAGGGGCCTGGTGGGAGGGAATTGGATCATGGGGGCAGATTTCTCCCTTGCCATTCTAATGATATGAGTTCTCACAAGATCTGGTTTAAAAGTGTGTAGCACCTCCCCTCTTACTCTCTTCCTCCTGCTCCAGACATGTAAGACGTGCCTATTTTCCCTTTGCCTTCTACCATTATAAGTTCCCTGAGGCATCCCCAGCCATGCTTGCTGTACAGCCTGCAGAACCGTGAACAAATTAAACCTCTTTTTTTAAAAATTACCCAGTCTCAGCTTATTCTTCATAGCAACTTGAGAACAGATTAATAAAATACAATTAATTATTATTTAAGAGACTAGGTCTCACTTTGTCACCAAGGCTGGAGTACAGCAGCACTATCATAGCTCACTGCAGGCTTGAACTCCCAAGCCCTAGCAATCCTCTCACCTCCATCTCCCAAGTAGCTGGGACTATAGGCATGTGCCACCGCACCTGGCTTAAATATACTTTAATTCACAGGAAGAAAAATACCATCTAATTCAATACTCAGGAGATAATTGGTAGATTAGAATAAGAGACTCACTGAATAAGAGACTTTAAAAGGTCACCCAGATCCTTCATGCTAGCATCCCAGTGAATTTCTTTTTTTTATTTTTGAGACAGAGTCTTGCTGTCGCCCAGGCTAGAGTGCAGTGGCGCGATCTCAGCTCACTGCAACCTGCACCTCCCGGGTTCAAGCGATTCTCCTACCTCAGCCTCCCGAGTAGCTGGGATTACAGGCTCCCGCCACTGCGCCTGGCTAATTTTTGTATTTTTAGTAGAGACGGGGTTTCACTATCTTGGCCAGGCTGGTCTCGAACTCCTGACCTCGTGATCCACCCACCTTGGCCTCCCAAAGTGCTGGGATTACAGGCATGAGCCACTGTGCCTGGCCTGAATTTCTTTTAAAAGCACCTTAAATACCTTTGTCCAGCCACAAACATCTTTATTAAGTGTCTATATCCTCCCAGTATAGTATGTTTCAGGTTTTTTTTTTTTTTTTTTTTTTTTTTTTTGACACAGAGTCTCACTCTGTTGCCTAGGCTACAGTGCAGTGGCAGGATCTCGGCTCACTGCAACCTCCGCCTCCTGGGTTCAAGTGATTCTCCTGCCTCAGCCTCCCAAGTAGCTAGACTATAGGTGCGCGCCATCATGCCCAGCTAATTTTTGTATTTTTAATAGAGACAGGGTTTCACCATGTTGGCCAGGATGGTCTCAATCTCTTGACCTTATGATCCACCCACCTCGGCCTCCCAAAAATGCTGGGATTACAGGCATGAGCCACCGTGCCCAGCTTGTTTCAGGGTCTTATAATCTGAACTTCAGTATCCTCCTTCTTCATGTCTACTCTAAATCATGCTCACACAATTTACACCAACCTCTCTTGCTCCATCTTATCCAGAGAGATGACAGGAGGACAGCCACACATATCCAGCCTATTTGAAGTACCCCTGCTGCTTTGCAGGCAAGGCTCTCCCTGCCCCCCGACCCTTCATCACCAAGTGCCAAGAGGATACGGGGCAATCCGGTCCCATTTGACATTGAGCATTCCAGACACAATGCCAAAGTCTTCTGGAGGGAAGGAATCATCAGATAGTTCCACGTCTAATGCAGCACTAGAAAATGGATGAAACAAAAAGGGTTAGTAAGTAATGGATATAAAATTAAAGCAGGCCGGGCGCCGTGGCTCACGCCTGTAATCCCAGCACTTTTGGGAGGCCGAGGTGGGCAGATCACCTGAGGTCAGGAGTTCGAGACCAGCCTGGCCAACATGGTGAAACCCTGTCTCTACTAAAAATACAAAAATTAGCTGGGCGCGGTGGTGAGCGCCTGTAATCCCAGCTACTCGGGAGGCTGAGGCAGGAGAACTGCTTGAACCCTGGGAGGCGGAGGTTGCAGTGAGCCAAGATCGCACCACTATACTCCAGCCTGGGACAGAGCGAGACTCTGTCTCAAACAAACAAAAAAATTAAAGCAATAGTCCGGGCGCAGTGGTTCACACCTATAATCCTAGCACTTTGGGAGGCTGAGGCTGGCTGATCTCTTGAGGTCAGGAGTTCAAGACCAGCCTGGCCAACATGGTGAAACTCCGTCTCTAAAATACAAAAAATCCTGTCTCTAAAAATACAAAAATTAGCCAGGCATGGTGGTATGCGCCTGTAATCCCAGCTACTCGGGAGGCTGAGGCAGGAGGATCACTTGCAGCTGGGAAGCAGAGGTTGCAGTGAGCAGAGACTGCACCACTGCACTCCTGCCTGGGTGACAGAGTGATACTCCATCTAAAAAATAATAATAAAAAAATTAAATTAAAGCAATAAACAATCAAACCTGCCTGCTTCTCCAAAAAAATCAGAATTGCAAAAGATATGAGTAATATAGCAACTTGGTTCTGTTGCACTGAAGAATCCAGGTCAAGGACTGGATTCTATTGCTCAGAAGCACCAAAATAATCAAGTATCCAGGAGGCAATAGGTCCAAGTTCATCCTTGCCTCAATTTTTCTTCATGTACATGCCTATGTGTGTGGAGGGAGGGAGAAGAGGAACACAGTGAATACAGAGGAGAAAGTTATAAGGGAATAAAATGAAAGAAAGGCAACAAAAATGCTCTAGGCTAATGAAAGAAGGAAAATTACACTTTTTTTTTTTTGAGATGGAGACTCGGTCTTGTGGCTCAGGCTGGAGTGCAGTGGCGCAATCTCCGGCTCACTGCAACTTCCGCCTCCCGGGTTCAAGCGATTCTTTTGCCTCAGCCTCCCGAGTAGCTGGGACTACAGGCGTCCGCCACCACGCCTGGCTAATTTTTGTATTTTTAGTAGTGACAGGGTTTTGCCATGTTGGCCAGGCTGGTCTCGATCTCCTGACCTCCAGCAATCCGCCCGCCTCAGCCTCCCAAAGTGCTGAGATTACAGGCGTGAGCTACCATGCCAGGCTGGAAGATGACACTTTAAACCCCTGAGGTAACAAGGGATTGTGTATTTTCTGTGTCTTTATCTTTCCCTCCTAGTTTTTCCACAATTCTTGCCACTTCCCTACTCTAAAATTCTTCCAACCCGAAACGTGAAAGATGGTTTCTTGTAGCTTAGGTAAGAATGTCCTCCTTTCCAAAAGTAGATCCCGAAGTGTATTCATTCACTCAATATATCTGATGCTGGAAGTGTCCCAAAGAGAAACCACTACCCACCAATATGCTCCCTATTCCCATCTGAAAACTAAGAATCCAGAAATAGGCTTAATCTGTAACTCTAGGGCCTCGAGTTACCTTGAGCCAACATTGTAGATGTTGTACTGCAAGGTCAGGTCTCGTCCCTCCACGGCGTATCTGTTCAGCAGTGATTTGGAAGCCAAAAGCCTGGCTCCTTCCTCTGCTTGAGTGACAGCAAATAGAGCCAACACCACAAATGACAGCAGCCTCATCTTTAGAGAAAAAAGCAAAGTGAGTTATCAAACCAAGTACGTCAAATTCACCAAAATCCTCTTGACAGCGCTCCCGTAGAAAGCTCCTTCGATGCTACCAGAACAGCAGCCCCTTCCACAGAGTAGTCCATAAGCCACCAGAGCAGACCCGTTCTCCAGACTCTCCTACCATCTTCACCCTGCAGCCCTCGAAAAACCGGTACAAGCACCAATATATCTACTGCCCTCTTCCTGTCAGAAGCCCCGGGATGCCCACCGGCTGGTGGAGTCTTCTGAGGGGACACCATGTGGCCAGAGCAGGGCTTCCTTGGGGTGCCTGATTTCGGCCGATCTCGGACCTGCAGGAGCCTGTAGCTTTCCCTCACACAGGAGTGCCCACAGCCTTCCCGCTGCTCCCCTCCTCCTTGGCCACAGCTCTATTGGGATCCCACCGCGGACTCGCGGGGTCCTCCTCACATCCCTGTACCCCACTCTCCAGTCCAGCCCCTGAGATCCCATTCGTCCTCGCCTGTCACATCCCTTTCTTGGTCCCACGGGCGGGGGGGCGGGGGTCAATCACCTCTGCCCCCCGCCTCCCGCCTCTTGCAAGGTTACACGTCCTCCAGCCACCGCGTCCTCTGCCCTTCCCGCCCTCCCCTAGCTAACCCCCAGCCACGGGGTGATGCGCGGACACGAGGCTCTCGCCTCTCCCGTTCGGACGCCCTAAGCCTCCGGACTTACCGTTGGCATCCCAAACGCCTTTCCGGAGCCACAAAGACAGGAAGAGAGCGTCAGCATCCGAAAGACCGGAAATAAGCACTGGCCGGAAACCGTGGTGTTCCGCCCAATGCCTTGTGGGAGTTGTAGTTCTTGGAGAAGCCCCACCTTTCCCTTTGTAGTGCCCGCCTGCCTGAGAGGCTGTGAGCGCTCCTAAGAGGTTTGTGCGTTCTCCAGGCTTCTTATTCGGCCCTCTTTGGGGGGCTTTTCAAGCTGATTTTTCACTACTGTATGTGACCCGCACCTCATTAGGTGCTTTGGGAAACTAGCAAACCTAGAAATTTGGATCATCTATCTAAAATGTCAACTAGTACTGTCGAACAGAGAATTAGAGAAAAGCTATTCCAACCAGTATTTTTTCTATTCTCAGACAAGACACATAGACATTCCCTACATCCAGCAGGTCACCGAGCCCTGAGCTTTATTTAGAAGCCCTTTGAAGTGCCAAAAAAGTAGATCTTTTTTTCTCCATTCCTACTATAACTGCTTCAGTTCTTGCTGGTTTCTGGATGTGGGTTTTACTCTAGTAGTCTTTCTATCTTAGGTCTTTCCTGCACTTTTTATTTTTATTTATTTTATTTTATTTTATTTTATTTTTGAGACAGGGTCTTGCTCTGTACCCCAGGGTGGAATGCAGTGGCGCGATCTCAGCTCACTGCAACCTCCGCCTCCCAGGTTCAAGCGATTCTCCTGCCTCAGCCTCCCCAGTAGCTGGGATTACAGGAGTGTGCCACCTGCCCGGCTAATTTTTTGTCCTTTTAGTAGAGACGGTGTTTCACCATGTTGGCCAGACTGGTCTCAAACTCCTGTCCTCAAGTGATCTGCCCACCTTGGCCTCCCAAAGTGCTGGAATTACAGGCTTGAGCCACCACGCCCGGCCTCCCTGCACTTTTTAATCAGCTGCCAAACTTCCCAAAACAGCATTTTGAACAGTAGATCTTAGGTTCAGAGGATGAACTGTGAAGTTAGGCAGTCATGAATTCAATCCCAGTTCTGTCACTTACTGGTTAGGTAACCTTGAACAAGCATTACTTATATAACACCTTGGTTCCCACATCTGTAAAACAAGATAATTATAGCACTCACAAAAGGTTAGAGTATCAAATAAGATGATGTATGTAAAACTCTTAGTACAGTGCCTGGCACATGTATGTGCTCAGTAAATGGTAATTATCAGTATTGCTGTTATTCTATACCTCCCTTGTAGCATTCCTGCATTCAATATGCGTTTACTGAGCACCTACTTTGTTCCTGGTGCTGCTGTAGGTTCTGGAGATACAGTGATAAATAGGACAGATATGGTTTCTACTTTCTGGGGGTTACATTCTTGTAGAATAATACACATTGCCTGTATCTGCCTTAGTATCTGTCCTTCCATTCTCCACCTCCAAGATTGCAGCTTCTTGAGAAAAGGTTGTCCATTTCCCGTTGCTTAGTGTCTTGCCTGAGCACACAGGAAGTAGTCCAGGAATTAATAATGACTTCTCTACATACAACCTCCAATCTGCTCTGACTTCAGGCCTTGGTGTGTGGCTTCCCTGAAATGTCCTACTGCCTCTCTTTCTTATCCAAATCCAGCCAATCCTTCAGGACCCTGTTCTGGTCTTGTCCTCTCTGGGAAGCCCTCCTTGGCTTTGAGCTCTTTTACACACAACAGTTTATTTGTTTTCCTTTAATTGTTTCTGGCTTGAAAAATGTACCTTAGGCCAGGCACAGTGGCTCATGCCTGTAATCCCAGCACTTTGGGAGGCCGAGGCGGGTGGATCACGAGGTGAGGAGATCGAGACCATCCTGGCCAACATGGTGAAACCCCGTCTCTACTAAAAATACAAAAATTAGCTGGGTATGGTGGCGCATGCCTGTAATCCCAGCTACTCAGGAGGCTGAGGTTGGAGAATCGCTTGAACCCAGGAGGCAGGGGTTGCAGTGAACCGAGATCGTACCACTGCACTCCAGCCTGGTGCCAGAGCAAGACTCCGTCTTAAAAAAGAAAAAGAAAAATGTACCTTAATGATTAGGTCCTATTTCTGTAGTGTACACTTTTTCAAGGGCAAAGAAAGTGCTCAAGAAACGTCTGCTGATTGGAGAAATTTTTTTTTTTGAGACAGAGTCTCACTGTGTTGCCCAGGCTGGAGTGCAGTGGTGCTATCTCAGCTCACTGCAACCTCCGCCTCCCAGGTTCAAGCAATTCTCCTGCCTCAGCCTCCCAAGTAGCTGGGACTACAGGCACATGCCAGCATGCCCAGTTAATTTATTTGTATTTTCAGTAGAGACGGGGTTTCACCATGTTGGCAGGATGGTCTTGATCTCCTGACCTTGTGGTCCGCCCGTCTCAGCCTCCCAAAGTGCTGGGATTACAGATGTGAGCCACCACACCCAGCCAATTGGAGAAATTTTTATTCCTTCCTTCCTTCCTTTTTCTTTCTTTCCTTTTTTTTTCTTTTTAGGCAGAGTCTCACCCTTTGCCCAGGCTGAGTGCAGTGGCACAAACATGGCTCACTGCATCCTTAACCTCCTGGGCCAGCTGATCCTCTTACTTCAGCCTCCCGATTAGCTGGGACCACAGGTGTGCCCTACCATGCCTGGGTAATTTTTTTTTTTTTTACTTTAGGGACGGAGTTTCGCCATGTTGCTCAGGCTGGTCTCTAACTCCTGGGCTCAAGTGATCCACTCGTCTCTGCCTCCCAAAGTGTTGGGATTATAGGCATGGCCCACCTTGTTTGCTCAAATATTGCTTTCTAGAGCCATTTCTTCAGGACCGGAAAGATGGACAGTGTGGGTGTTCTTGTTTCTCAGACTCTGCTGCACCTGAAAGCAATGTATCTTTAGCACACACTCTTTGGACACCTTACTATGTAGCCACTTCTAGGTCCAGAAGAGAAATGTCTTCATCTTTGGGTTGCCCACTTATACACTGACCCTTTTCCTGCCTCTATCCCATCCGAGTCACTTGTTCTTTCATTAGTACATTTAGCATTCATTTTTTGAGCACCTGTTATGTGTCAAGCACTGTGATAGTGACTATAAGAGATACAAAATAGGGCCAGGCACGGTGGCTCATGCCTGTAATCCCAGCACTTTGGAAAGCCGAGGTGGGTGGATCATGAGGTCAGGAGTTAGAGACCAGCCTGACCAACATGGTGAAACCCGGTCTCTACGAAAAATACAAAAATTAGCCGGGCATGGTGGCACACCCTTGTAATCCCAGCTACTAGGGAGGCTGAGGCAGGAGAATCGCTTGAACCTGGGAGGTGGAGGTTGCAGTGAGCCGAGATCGTGCCACTTCACTCCAGCCTGGGTGACAGAGTGAGACTCCATCTCAAAAAAAAGAGAGATACAAAATAGGATATGGTGCCTGCCCTCAAGGAGGATGACCTATAGTCCTAACCATAATGAAAAGACAAATGAGGTGTCAAGCACTCCTCAAAAAAACAAAAACAAAAACAGTCAGGCAAGGTGGTTCACACCTGCAATCCCAGCACCTTGGAAGGAAGGACTGCTTAAAGCCAGGAGTTCGAGACCAACCTTGGCAACAAAGCGATACCTGTCTCTACAAAAAAAATTTTTAAGCAGCCAGGTATGGTGCCATGTTCCTGTAACCCCAGCTTACTCAGAAGGCTGAGGTGGAAGCATCGCTTGAGCCCAGGAGTTCGAGGCTGCAGGGAGCTATGATTGCACCACTACTCTCCAGCCTGGTGACAAAGCAACAACCTGTCTGGAAACAAAACACATGGGCCGGGTGCGGTGGGCTCATGCCTGTGATCCCAGCACTTTGGGAGGCTGAGGCAGGCAGATTACCTGAGGTCAGGAGTTCAAAACCAGCCCTGCCAACATGGCTAAACCTGTCACCACAGCTGGCTAATTTTTGTATTTTTGGTGGATACGGGGTTTGGCCATGTTGGCCAGACTGGTCTCCAACTCCTGACCTCAAGCGATCCACCTACCTCGGCCTCCCAAAGTGTTGGGATTGCAGGCATGAGCCACTATGCCCCGCCTCATTTTTTAACTCATTTCAGTTTAAGTTTGAATAGCTACATGTGACTAGTATATGGAACAGCACAGCTCTAGTGTACTCTGACACATGTCTGGACTTTGGCTTTTGAAATGCAAAAGCCCAGCATTTTGCTACTCAGAAAGCATTTTCTCTGCTTTTTCTCTGAAACAATTCTTCCTCCATCATTGGGAAAGCTCGGGTCTGAGGCACAGGATGTGGGACAGCTCCCAGTGAGTCCCCAAAAAACCTCCAAATCTTGACTGACCCCATTGAATGTCTGAACCCAGGGAAGATACCTTCCTGAGGTAGATGCTTCTAGGTATGCAAAGCACACGGTATACCCCTTCCTCCTACACACATGAAGGATGTCCGTGTCCTCTCAGCCCCTTCACCCTCTTGTTCCCTCTCAGCCTCACAGCCAGTAATGAGGAGCCATTTTAGCATAAGGGCATATCATCCTGAGAGGCAGTCTCTCAGGATGAGAGCGACAGCATGACTTGTTGGTTTGGTTGTAGATATCATACTCTGAAGATGGAATGGCGACGTCAGTGAGGAGGCCAGAAACAGGGGTCTCCTCGACCTCACCCAAGAGGCAGCAGCAGGAAGAAGTAGGGCTCCAACTAAAAGCGGGAAAGTAGCCGGGCACGGTGGCTCACACCTGTAATCTCAGCACATTGAGAGGCTGAGGTGGGTGGATCCCCTGAGGTCAGGAGTTCGAGACCAGCCTGGCTAACATGGTGAAACTCCGTCTTTAATAAAAATACAAAAATTAGCTGGGCATGGTGGCGGGCACCTGTAATCACAGCTACTTGGGAGGCTGAGGCAGGAGAATCACTTGAACCCAGGAGGTGGAGGTTGCAGTGAGTCGAGATGGCACCACTGCACTCCAGCCTGGGCGACAGAGGGAGACTCTATCTTAAAAAAAAAAAAAAAAAAAGCGGCAAAGTAGATAAGAACAAGGCAAGGGTCCTTTGTGAAAAGGGACTTCCGGGTATCTGCTCCAGGCTGGCTCTGGAAGACAACTTTGGGAGAAAAGGCATGCATGCACATCCTACCTCCCGGACCAGGAGTCTATGTGTGTTACCAACCAGCTACCAAGGAGTCTCTTTTCTTTTCCACAATGAGCTGTGTGCACTCAGTCTCCTGCCAGACACTAGGGGACGCTGGCAGTGTCGGCGAGCCTCTGCGCTGTGGTCCTGCTCTGCCACTGCATCCACCACGCTGTAGTCAGACAACTTGTCCCAGCTCTTTCCCCTCCCTGGACTGTGAGTACCTACAGGGCAGGGACACACCTCGTGTTTGTGGAATGGCTTCCCCATAAGTAGTCACTGAGCATAACTGAGCCACGCAGGGAGAAGAAAATCACTGCTGCTGACCCTGCAATGGTCAGGCTTGGCTGGAAAAGGACACCAGATTCCAGAGCCAAGAACAGTGCCCCACGCACAATTATTTATTTTGAAACACTTCAAACCTACAGAAACTTGAAAAAATGGTTGAATTAACACCTGTATACCTTTCATCTGGATTTATCAGTCACTAACATTTTGCCCATTTGCTGTCACTCTATATGTAAATTAATATATGTATACACTGTCTTGTGCCACATAATGATGTTTTGGTCAACAATGGACTGTATATATAATGGTGGTCACATAGATTATGATACTGTATTTTCACTGTACCTTTTCTATGTTTAGATACACAAATATCATATGTTACAATTGCCTACAGTATTCAGTACAGTAATGTGCTGTATAGGTTTGTGCCCTAGGAACAATAGGCTGTACCATACTACTGCCAAGGTGTATAATAGGCCATGCCATCTAGGTTTGTAAGTACACTCTATGATGTTCACACAACGACATCACCTAACACCATATTTCTCAGAATGTATCCCGTGGTTAAGTGATGCATAACTGTATATGTACAGTCGTCCCTTGGCAACCTTAGGGGATTCGTTGCAGGACCATTGCAAATACCAAAATCTGTAGATGCTCATTATCTTTATATAAAATGACAGAATATTTGCATATAGCCTATGCATATCCTCCCATATACTTTATTCTTTTTGTTAATTTTTTTTATAATTTTGTTTAATAAAGTAGAGCAGCCGGGCATGGTGGCTCATGCCTGTAATCCCAGCACTTTGGGAGGCCGAGGCAGGCGGATCACCTGAGGTTGGGAGTTTGAGACCAGCCTGACCAACATGGAGAATCCCTGTCTCTACTAAAAATACGAAATTAGCCGGGCACACCTGTATTCCCAGCTACTGGGATACAGTAGCTGGGATTACAGCTACTTGAAGCTGAGGCAGGAGAATCGCTTGAACCCAGGAGGCAGAGGTTGCAGTGAGCCGAGATCACGCCATTGTACTCCAACCTGGGCAACAAAAGCAAAACTCCGTCTCAAAAATAAATAAATAAATAAATAAATAAATAAAGTAGAGCAGAATCTCACTATGTTGTCCCAGGTCAGTCTCAAACTCTTCAAGCGATTCTCCTGCCTTGGCCTTCCAGAGTGCTGGGATTACAGGCATGAAGCATTGCACCTGGCCCCTACCATATACTATTTATTTATTTATTTATTTATTTATTTATTTATTTATTTATCTGAGACGGAGTCTCACTCTGTCGCCCAGGCTGGAGTGCAGTGGCGCGATCTCGGCTCACTGCAAGCTCCGCCTCCCGGGTTCACGCCATTCTCCTGCCTCAGCCTCCCGCGTAGCTGGGACTAAAGGCGCCCGCCACCACACCCAGCTGATTTTTTTTGTATTTTTTTTAGTAAAGACAGGGTTTCACCGTGTTAGCCAGGATGGTCTTGATCTCCTGACCTTGTGATCTGCCAATCTCAGCCTCCCAAAGTGCTGGGATTACAGGCGTGAGCCACCACGCCCAACTTATTTATTTATTTTTTTGAGATGCAGTCTCACTCTGATGCCCAGGCTGGTGTGCAGTGGTGTAATCTGGGGCTCACCACAACCTCTGCCTCTCAAGTTCAGGCGATTCTCCTGCCTCAGCCTCCCAAGTAGCTGGGATTACAGGCGTGCGCCACCATGCCCAGCTAATTTTTGTATTTTTAGTAGAGACAGGGTTTCATCATGTTGGCCAGGCTGGTCTCAAACTCCTGACCTCAAGTGATTCGCCCACCTTGGCCTCCCCAAGTGCTGGGATTACAGGCATGAGCCACTGTGCTGGGCCTACCGTACACTTTACATAATCTCTGGGCCAGGTGCAGTGGCTCATGCCTATAATCCCAGCTGTTTGGGAGGCAGAGGCAGGAGGATTGTTTGAGACAAGGAGTTTAAGACCAGCCTGGGCAACATAGTGAGACTCTCTCTATTTTTTTTTTTAATTAAAAAAACAATTTTCCGGCCAGGTGAGGTGGCTCATGCCTGTAATCCCATCACTTTGGGAGGCCAAGGTGGGCAGATCACCTGAGGTCAGGAGTTCATGACCAGCCTGGCCAATATGGCAAAATCCCATCTCAACTAAAAATACAAAAAAAGTAGCCGGGCATGGTGGTGTGAACCTATAATCCCAGCTACTTGGGAGGCTGAGGCAAGAGAATGGCTTGAACCTGGGAGGCAGAGGTTGCAGCAAGCCAAGATCTTGCCACTGTACTCCAGCCTGGACAATGGAGCAGGACTTCATCTCAAAAATAATAATAATAACCTCCAATCTGCAGTTAGTTTAATCTATGGATGTGGAACTCACAAATACAGAGGGCTGGTTGTATACACATTCATATATACTTCTTTTTTTTTTTTGAGACAGAGTCTCACTCTCTGTCCCCCAGGCTGGAGTGCAGTGGCACGATCTCGCCTCACTGCAACCTCTGCCTCCCGGGTTCACGCCATTCTCCTACCTCAGCCTCCCGAGCAGCTGGGACTACAGGTGCCCGCCACCACACCCGGCTAATTTTTTTGTATTTTTAGTAGAGACGGGATTTCACTGTGTTAGCCAGGATGGTCTCGATCTCCTGACCTCATGATCCGCCAGCCTCGGCCTCCCAAAGTGGGGGGGATTACAGGCATGAGCCACCGCACATGGCCTTTTTTTTTTTAGACAGAGTTTTGCTCTTGTTGCCCAGGCTGCAGTGCAATGGCGCCATCTCGGCTCACTGCAACCTCCACCTCCCGGGTTCAAGGGATTCTTCTGCCTCAGCCTCCTGAGTAGCTGGGATTACAGGTGCCTACCACCACCCCCGGCCAATGTTTGTATTTTTTTGTAGAGACAGGGGTTTCACCATGTTGACCAGGCTGGTCTGGAACTCCTGACCTCAGGTGATCTGCCCACCTAAGCCTCCCAAAGTGCTGAGATGACAGGCATGAGCCACCATGCCTAGCTTCTTTATGACTTTCAAAAGAAAACTAGAATCCAACCAAGAATCGCATATTACAGCATTGTATTTGACCAATAAAGTTTAGACTAAACCAAATGAGCTTCTCCCCTAGAGAGAGCATGGAGAAAAAGGAGAAATGCATGGTAGATAGAAGAACTTTGGCTACTGAGAGGATGAGTAGAAAGAGGAGCGGAGAAGGCTCAGAAAGAGCTCAAGCTCCTGAAACAGACTCTGAAGGGTCCTTTCTAAGTCCTGGGATCACTTGAAAATCTTGGACAGACCTGGCCACCCCAAGTTGAAAGTGGATGGAGGACTATTTTCTGCTTCTTGCCAAATTTCTCCCCAACACATGCAAATTCCAAGGTGGATTCTGGAATCTATACCTGCTGTCTTGATGTCTTTTGAGGTTTCATCCCATTTTCAGAATTTGACCACCGTCTCCTCTTCTCCCTTTCTATTAGCCCAGGTGGGAGCTGGGGGAGGGGTTGAGCAGGCCCAGCCTCCTCTTGCTGAAGAGTGACAAAGGAGTGTGTGTGTGTGTGTGTGTATGTGTGTGCAAGTGCGTGTGCGTGTGCATCTGTGTGTGTGCATGCATGTGTGTGTGCATGCATGTGCACATGTGGCCTCTCACATCCTTCAGAGGAGCCCTCCTTGAACCCATGGGCCCAGGACCCTACCCTCCTGTTGCTATGACAACCACTTCCGTGAGGACTCCGGGAGTAAAGAATTGTGAATGTGTGGTGAGGGAGGGAGGGGGACATGCCAGTCTCATGGCATTAGTGATCATAGAGCTCTATGATAATGAAGAAGAAAGAGAATGGGTCCAGGCCGGGCGCGGTGGCTCACGCCTGTAATCCCAGCACTTTGGGAGGCCGAGGCGGGCAGATCACGAGGTCACGAGATTGAGACCATCCTGGCTAACACGGTGAAACCCCGTCTCTACTAAAAATACAAAAAATTAGCCGGGCGTGGTGGCGGGTGCCTATAGTCCCAGCAACTCAGGAGGCTGAGGCAGGAGAATGGCATGAACCTGGGAGGCGGAGCTTGCAGAGAGCCGAGATAGTGCCACTGCACTCTAGCCTGGGCGAGAGCAAGACTCCGTCTCAAAAAAAGAAAAAAAAAAAAAGAAAGAGAATGGGCCTTTATCGACTCTCAAAGCCGGCAGGGTATGGGACACAGCCAGGAGCAAGGGCAGGGTGATTCCTGAAGTTCTGCTTGGTGTTTATTTATTTTACAGTGTCACTCTCAGGATATGGGCTGCTCCATTCTTTTTTTTTTTTTTTTTTTTTGAGACAGAGTCTCATGCTGTCACCCAGGCTGGAGTGCAGTGGCGTGATCTTGGTTCACTGCAACTTCCACCTCCTGGGTTTGATTGATTCTAACTCCTCCTGAGTAGCTAAGATTACAGGCGCACACCACCACACCCAGCTATGGGCTGTTCCACTCTTAATTGGACTCTCCACCTCTCCCTTAGGAGATCAAAGAAGCTTGGGGGGCTTCAGGGGAAGAAAATCCCTCCTTTAACAAATTTGCTGTATCCTTGACATCCATCAACAGCTTCATTGATGACTTGGGCTACCAAGGGAGTCAGGAGCTGACCAGTGTAAGTGCCCCACCCTGCATCCCTCCCACCCCTCAGGTCTTGCACCCCTGTTCTACCATCATTTGAGCACTTTAGCTCACTAAGAAATACTGTGGCAACCTCCCGTGCATTCTCTACATGCTTTTGATTCGTATCTTTACTAAAACATGGCTCAAATTTGCTTTGAGGCTGGACTCGGTGGCTCACGCCTGTAATCCCAGCACTTTTGGAGGCTGAGTTGGATGGATTGCTTGGGCCTGGGAGGTTGAGGCTTCAGTGAGCTGTGAATGCCCCACTGCACTCCAACCTGGGTGACAGAGGGAGATCCTGCCTCAAAACAAAACAGAATTACCACTTTCAGAAAAAAAAATTCCACCACCAATAATAATAGTAATATCAACAATAATAGTAATCATAGCTAACATTTATTGAGTACTTACCACATGGTATTTTGTAAGAATTTACATCTCATTTAACTATCATAACAATCCTATAAGGCAGGTGCTACTATTTTCCCCATTTTTCAGATGAACAAACTCAGGCACAGGCAGGTTGAATAACTCTCCCAAGACCGCATAAGTAGAAAGCAAAGATGCTAGAGTTTGAGCTCAGTTTGGCTCAAGAGTTCACACACAAAAGAACCACCTCCCAGTTAGCCACTCGATTCTTATTAGTCCTTCCTAATATCCTTTCAATACTCATATGCTCTTAAACGCACTTGGTATAGGAACTTCTTCTTTTTTTTTTTTTTTTTTTGAGATGGAGTCTCGCTCTGTCACCCAGGTTGGTGTGCAGTGGCACGATCTCAGCTCACTGCAACCTCCGCCTCCCGGGTTCAAGCAATTCTCCTGCCTCAGCCTCCCAAGTAGCTGGGACTACCAGCGCATGCCACCAGGCCTGGCTAATTTTTTTGTTTTGTATTTTTAGTAGAGACGGGGTTTCGCAGTGTTAGCCAGGATGGAGGAACTTCTTAATTGTCTGTTTGAGGGAGGGTTTAAATGCTAGCTGTTTTTTGCTTTTGAGCTCTGACACACAATAAACTGTACATATTTAAAGTGTACAATTTGATAAGTTTTGACATATATATATATACTCATGAAATCATCACCACAATGAAGATAATAAACGTATCCATCAAATATGAACAAGCAGGATTGTTCAAATATGAACAAGCAGGATTTCTAGAGCAGATAAATTAATGGGTGATTATTTGCCTTCCAAAATGAGTTTTTTTTTTGAGCTGGAGTCTTGCTCTGCCGCCCAGCGACTCTCCTGCCTCAGTCTACTGAATAGCTGGGATTACAGGCACGTGCCACCACGCCTGGCTAGTTTTTGTATTTTTAGTAGAGATGGGGGTTTCACCATATTGGGCAGGCTGGTCTTGAACTCCTGACCTCGTGATCTCCTTGCCTTGGCCTCCCAAAGTGCTGGGATTACAGGCGTGAGCCACCGCGCCCGGCCAAAATGAGTCTTTATTTAACCTAAATATTTGCATTACAACCCTTTGAAAAGAATGAGCATTTGGCCGGGCGCGATGGCTCACGCCTGTAATCCCAGCTACTTGGGAGGGCGAGGCAGGAGAATCACTTGAACCCAGGAGGTGGAGGTTGCAGTAAGCAGAGATCACACCACCGCACTCCAGCCTGGGCAACAAGAGTGAAACTCCGTCTCAGAAAAAAAAAAAAAAAAAGAATGAACGTTTAATGCATTCAGGATATGCCTGTGTATCCTTTGCAGATACTGCTTTGTAGCTTGTCTTTAGTATTTTAAGTGAACGTGTCTTCCGGGCCAGGACAGTGTTTTTTAACCTCTGCTGTCTGCTCAGTTCTCACAGAGAGATGGGCGCTTGGTTTAGGTTTGCTCTGTGATCTCCATGCTTCTCTGCGGCACTTCGCCTCTCCGCCAACGACAGAGGCGAAGTCCCATATGTAACAGGATGGGTCGGTGGAGAGCATGCTTCATTCCTTGCTCTTGGATTCCCCCAAGGAAGAAGATCCCAGCCTTGTTCAGACGAAGAGGCGGAAGCAGAACAAGGTTTGCATTCTCCAGATGAGGAAAAATGAGGTGAAAGAGGAAGACAAGGAGGACAAGGAGGATGAGGAAGAGGAGGAGGACCAGAGAGAGGGGCCCCCTACCTCTTTGCAATCACCTAGGACAGGACAGAGGCAATGCCCGTACTCAAGAATCCGCCAAGTGAGGCACAAGGAGCACCTGAGCATCTTGGAAAGTGGCTTGAGCTTATCCACCAATGAAACCAAGTTGTCTGTCCATGTTTTTGCCAATACTTATGTAGCTGCTGCCACAGGAAGCAGAAGTCAGTGGAGGAAAACAAGGCATCCGACTCTGGAGCAAGGAGGAGCCCGGGTGAGACTGACTCAGCTGTGAGCTTCACTAATGGGTGATGGTCCAGATCTCCACGGGGCTCCAAGGAAAGCTCTGGGCAGAAGCCAGAAGAGCAGAGTGTAATCCTTCCGCTTAGAAATAAAGCACATTTTATTTTTGTGAATGGCATGTGTGAGCCTGATGATTCCAGGTTTTTTTTGTTTTGTTTTGTTTTGTTTTTTTGCTAGATGTATTCAATCCCTGCCCCACTTTATCTCTCTGAACATCCCGTTTGCTTGCTCCTTCCTTCCTTGCTTGACCCCAGGAGTTTGAGACCAGTCTGGGCAACATGGTGAAATCCCATCTCTACAAAAAAATATAAAAATTAGCTGGGCATGGGCTGGGCGCGACGGCTCACGCCTGTGATCCCAGCACTTTGGGAGGCCGAGGCTGTCAGATCACCTGAGGTCAGAAGTTCGAGACCAGCCTGGCCAACATGGTGAAACCCCATCTCTACTAAAAACACAAAAAATTACCTGGGTGTCATGGCGGGCACCTGCAATCCCAGCTACTCAGGAGGCTGAGGCAGAAGAATCACTTGAACCTGGAATGGGGAGGTTGCAGTGAGCCGAGATTGCATCACTGCACTCTAGCCTGGGTGACAAGAGTGAAACTCCATCTTGAAAAAAAAAACCAAAAAAAAAAAAACAAAAACAAAACAAAAAAAACCACAGCTCAGCCTCTCAGCAACCTTTTCCTAACTGGCCTCCAGGTCAAAGGCAGCCAGTCTTTAGAGTTTCTTTCCCCTCTGGGTTCCAGTCAGTCTTACTCACTCTTTGATGCTTTTTCCATTTTTTATGTATTTTTCCCAGATTTTAAAATTTCTAGTGAGAGTATCGGTCTCAGGCATCTAGTATACCATTATCAAAGTGGAACCTCCCACTCTTGGCTTATTCATGTTCCACAGAACCGTAGTCCATAACTTCAATGTACAAAAGATAAAACCCCATAGGTGTGAAAAGACTTCCTCAAACTTACATGATTAGTGGTAATGCCAGGTTTAGTCTGAGCTCAAGATTAATAACTACCAAACTTCACTGGCATAAAACCTGACTGCAAGAGTTTTTGTTTTACTTTTTTTTTTTTTTTTTTGAGACGGAGTCTTGCTCTGTCGCCCCCAGGCTAGAGTGCGTGGCACAATCTAGGCTCACTGCAACCTCTGCCTCCCTGGTACCAGCGATTCTCCTGCCTCAGCCTCCTGAGTAGCTGGGATTACAGGCACCTGCCACCGTGCCTGGCTAATTTTTGTATTTTTAGTAGAGACAGGGTTTCACCATCTTGGCCAGGCTGGTCTTGAACTCCTGACCTCGTGATCCACCCACCTCAGCCTCCCAAAGTGCTGGGATTATAGGCGTGAGCCACTGTGCCCAGCCTTGTTTTACTTTTTAACCTAAGGTAAGGGGAGGGCAATCTTGCCAAAAGATCAGAGGATGGAGGCAATAATCTTACAATTCAGTTTCCTCTACCACACCTGACCTATGGGGAAGTAGGGGAAGAGATCTCAGATACCCAATGGTCTGATGGGGAATGGAAGAATGCAGTCCTCCCCATTCCCAAGTCATATATTACTGATACTTCCATCATCAGTTATCCCTTAACCTTCTATATATATATATATATATATATATATATATATATATATATATATAATTTTTTTTTCTTTTGAGACAGGGTTTCACTTTGTCTCCCAGGCTGGAGTGCAGCGGCGCAATCACAGCTCACTGGAGCCTTGACTTCTTGGGCTCAAGTGGTCCTCCTGCCTCAGCCTCCCATGTAGCTGGGACTACAGGCCCACACCACCATGCCTGGCTAATTTTTAAATTTTTCGTAGAGACAAGGTCTCCCTATGTTGCCAGGCTAAAACCTTTTAATATTTCTTGTTTTTTTGAGATGCAGTTTCGCTCTTGTTGCCCAGGCTGTAGTGCAATGGCATGATCTCAGCCACTTTTAATATTTCTTAACATCTGTAGTAACTGAACCAAACTTCAAATTCCTCTAGATCACAACTCTTGCCCTGGAAAACCAAGAAGTTGTTTTCAGCCAGCTTCTTCCTCAAAAAAACAAACGCCAACACACTCTCACAACAAAGACCACGCCATTTATTTACAAAGGCCAGTGTGGGAGCTGGGGGAGGCAGGGAGGGAAAGCCACACAGACATCTTCTCTGGACTGCTTGGGACCCTTTCCCACTTGGAGCAAACTCTGTTCCTCTTGCCGTCATATTCTCAGCCATGGGGTCGGTCCTCCAAGCAGCTGGGCCAAGTAGGAGAGGGAAGAGGTGATATGAGCCTCCTCTGTGCTCTGACAGAGAAATGTCCAATTCCAGATCAAAGGCATCATTGCCACCCTCTCCTCTCCTTCCTCAAAGAAAACTTTCTGGCCTGGAGGGAAATAGTTAAGAACTGAAAGGCCAGGGGCTCTGGAGGAAAAAAACCCTCTACTATTCCCACAAGGCAGTGAGGGGTGATAAGGGTGCTAGTCACAGCCCTGACAGCTTCAGAAAGGGTACCCACATTACCTCTGGGTTACCCAGCATCCAGAGCCCCAAGGGACCTAGCTCTCCCGGATATATATTCCTGCAATGGACTGACCTTTTTACCCACTTGTCTCTGGTGGTGGGAGAGCACTCTGAACCAGAAACCAACAAGGAATCCACTTCCCACCCAACTTAAGAGTGTATGCACACATGTGGATACACATGCACCTCCCCACTACTCACACAGACCCCAACCCCCTTCATGTCTTTTGAGGGGGGCTCAAACTACTGGTGCCTGGGGACACAAGCAAGACCTGGGTCCATGGAAATGTGTGTGTGTGTGCATATAAGCACATATGCTTGAGGAACTAAAGCCAATATGACCCCTTGTGGGGCGTGGCGCTTAGCTTCATTGGGCTCCTTTTTTCAGTTTAAATTCCATTAGCATCTCTAAGTCTCTTCTGCCAGCTCGGGCCTGGATTCTTCTGCCTAAAAGAGCTATGAGTGCTTCTGCTCCCCACTGTTAATTCCAACTTCCAAGCCTTTTACTCAGGCTGTCTCCCCCATTCCCTTCCTCCGAATAATCTCATTCCCTCCTCTTTCACACGAATTTCCTCTGGGCTGCTCCAGCGTTTGTTAATTCCTGTCCAGAGAGCTGTCTCATCTCCCTCTTCAGACAGGGAGAACAGGCATCTTCCTCCTTACCCTGGAATTTCCAACAGTTCCCACCAAAAAGTGCTGAATGAACCAGAATAGGGGCCGAGAAGGAAAATTACCACCTGTTTCACCTGCTCCTCCTTCAGAGCAAGAAATTCTAGCATTGGTTGGGCTAGGGGTTGGGGGGTAGGGAGAAAAAGAAGGAAGAGAGTTACCAAAAGTAAACATAAGACAAAACCCTAGTGGTATAGATGGAAGACTATGTTCCAGTAAACCAGAGAGCTGGTTCCTCCCTCGACTCTGCACAGCCACTGAAAGTTTAAAGATTGCAAAAGTGGTGTGGGGCAAGGAGGTAGAGTCAATCAATGAAACTGTGAAAACTGTTTAAGTAGCACTGCTCAAGGAGACCAGGAGAGAAGAGTCTGTTAGAGACGTAGCAGTAAAACCATAATTCTCAGACAGAGCTAAGGGGTTGGAGCCCATGCCTCTAAAGTCACCCTGCTGTTTGGAAAGGATGAGGGAGAAGACGGAAGGGAGGACAAGCTGCAGAGGGTAAGGATTGACAGAAGAACCGAATGCTGACATCGAGGGAGGGGAGAGGCAGGAGGCATGGGCCGAGGGATTAGGAGAGCTGGGAGCCCAGCAGTCTCTCGATAGCTGCGTTGATGTCCCCTCCTGTGGCAATCAGGGCCTGCAGGTTAGCCTCACGATTGATGAAGCCCATGGAGTTGAGCTGCTCCAGCTGCTGCTGAAATCTCACTTCTGGCGTCTGCACCTGGAGGGGACAGGCCTTGTGAAGTGGGCACAGGACCAATCTTGGGGGCCCTATTTGAATTAAGGGTTTCTAAGACCAGCAGGTCTTCTCTAATATCCTCAGAGTCAATCAGGAGGGCAGGGAAGATGAGCTGCAAATGGGGGCCCAGGAGCCTAGGTCCCAAGTCCTAAATAACTGTGTAATGGCCGGGTACGGTGGCTCACGCCTGTAATCCCAGCACTTTAGGAGGCTGAGGCGGGCGGATCACGAGGTCAGAAGATCGAGACCATCCTGGCTAACACGGCGAAACCCCATCTCTACTAAAAATACAAAAAATTCGCTGGGTGTGGTGGTGGGCGCCCTGTAGTCCCAGCTACTCAGGAGGCTGAGGCAGGAGAATGGCGTGAATCCGGGAGGCGGAGCTTGCAGTGAGGCGAGATCGCGCCACTGCACTCCAGCCTGGGCAACAGAGCGAGACTCTGTCTCAAAAAACAAAAACAAAAAAACAAACAAACAAAACTGTGTAATAATATGGCAGGCGGATATCTTTTTTAGATTTTCAAGATAACTGATAGGCCTAGATCAGCATATATTCCTCATTACTTTCCATAAACACTGGAGATGTTAACAGGCACTCCAAAAGCCAAATGTTCTATGGTCAAATAAGATGCATACTAAGCATGACCTCCAAGGCCCCTCCTAATAGTCATCACACGTACAGCCATATGAAAGGCTAGAGAAGGGTCCCAGTTAAGAAGCTATTTAATTTTGTTTCACTGATCAACAGTTATTTATAAAAGAGAAGTATTTCCTTTTTTTTTGAGACAGGGTCTTGCACCCAGGCTGGAATATAGTGGCAGAATCATAGCTCACTGCAGCCTCTATCTCCTGGGCTCAGGTGATCCTTCTCTCTGAGCCTCCTGAGTAGCTGGGGCTACAGGTGTGTACCACCTTGCCCAGCCAATTAAAAAAAAATTTTTTTTTGGCTGGGCATAGTGGCTCATGCCTATAATCCCAGCACTTTGGGAGGCCAAGATGGGCAGTTTGCCTGAGGTCAGGAGTTCAAGACCAGGCTGGCCAACATGGCGAAACCCCATGTCTACTAAAAACACAAAAAATTACCCAGGTGTGGTGGCGCATGCCTGTAGTCCCAACTACTTGGGAGGCTGAGGCAGAAGAATCACTTGAATCCGGGAGGCGGAGGTGCAGTGAGCTGAAATTGCGCCACTGCACTCCAGCCTGGAAGACAGAGTACATCTTAAAAAAACAAAAGTGCGTGGTGGCTCATGCCTGTAATCCCAGCACTTTGGGAGGCTGAGGCAGGTGGATCACTTGAGGTCAGGAGTTCGAGACCAGACTGGCCAACATGGCGATACCCCGAGACTAAAGATACAAAACTTAGTTGGGCATGGTGACAGGAGCCTGTAGTCTCAGCTACTCAGGAGGCTGAGGCAGGAGAATCGCTTGAACCCGGGAGGCGGAGGTTGCAGTGAGCCGAGACTGTGCCATAACACTCCAGCATGGGGGACAGAGTGAGACTCCATCTCAAAAAAATAAAAATAAAATAAAAAATAAAGAAAAAAATTTTTTTAGCAGAGAAAGGGTCTTGCTATGTTGCCCAGGCTGGTCTCAAGTGATCCTCCTGCCTTGGCCTCTCTAACTGCTGGGATTACAGGCATGAGCCACTGCACTAGGTCTTCTTCTTTTTTTTTTTTTTTTGAGACGGAGTCTCGCTCTGTCACCCAGGCTGGATGCAGTGGCATGATCTGCCTCCCGGGTTGAAGCGATTCTCTTGCCTCAGCCTCCTGAATAGCTGGGATTACAGGTGCATGCCACCAAGCCCGGCTAATTTTTGTATTTTTAGTAGAGACGTGGTTTCACCATGTTGGCCAGGTGGGTTTTGAACTCCTGGCCTCAAGTGATACACCCGCCTTGGCCTCCCAAAATGTTGGGATTACAGGCATGAGCCACCATGCCCAGCTTGCACTAAGACTTTTTTTAAAAGAAAAAAATTTTTACAGACTGGGTCTCCCCGCGTTGCCCAGGCTGGTCTCGAACTCCTGGCCTCAAGCAGTCCCCTGCCTTGGCCTCCCAAAGCACTGGGATTACAGGCATGAGCCACACTCCTGGCCTGGCTTTTTTTTTTTTTTTTTTTTTTGAGATGGAGTTTCACTCTTGTTGCCCAGGCTGGAGTAAAATGGCACGATCTCAGCTCACTACAACCTCTGCCTCCCAGGTTCAAGTGACTCTCCTGCCTCAACCTCTCGAGTAGCTGGGATGATAGGCATGCGCCACGACACCCAGCTAATTTTGTATTTTTAGTAGAGACGGGGTTTCTCCACGTTGGTCAGGCTGGTCTTGAACTCCTGACCTCAGGTGATCTGCCTGCCTCGGCCTCCCAAATTGCTGGGATTACAGAAGTGAGCCACCGCCTGGCTAGCTTGGCTTTTCATTCTTGTCATTCCTCTAATTATCTCCTGTAAATGTTTGCCCAAGGGGTATTTGGAAAGCACAAGCCTTGATTATGAACAAAAGACTCTTATAGTGGCCGGGTGCGGTGGCTGACGCCAGTAATCCCAGCACTTTGGGAGACCGAGGCAGGTGGATCACGAGGTCAGGCGATCGAGACCATCCTGGCTAACATGGTGAAACCCCGTCTCTACTAAAAATACAAAAAATTAGCCGGGCGTGGTGGTGGGCGCCTTTAGTCCCAGCTACTCGGGAGGCTGAGGCAGGAGAATGGCCTAAACCCAGGAGGCGGAGCTTGCAGTGAGCTGAGATCCGGCCACTGCACTCCAGCCTGGGCGACAGAGCGAGACTCCGTCTCAAAAAAAAAAAAAAAAAAAAAAAAGACTCTTATAGCTAGAAAGAGTCCAGCAAGCACCGTCCACCTGGTGTTGAAAGGAACAATGTTCGATCCAGAGAAAAGACAGGACTTGCCTGGGGTCACAGAGAAAGTCAGTCACTAAGGCCCCCTGACTTGCAGTATAAAAGCCCTTTCTGGACGGGTGTGGTGGCTCACGCCTATAATCCCAGCACTTTGGGAGCCCGAGGCAGGCAGATCACCTAAGGTCAGGAGTTCGAGACCAGCCTGGACAACATGGTGAAACCCCATCTCTACTAACAATACAAAAAAATTAGCCGGGTGTGGTGGCGCGTGCCTGTAATCCCAGCTACTCGGGAGGTTGAGGCAGGAGAATGGCTTGAACCTGGGAGGCAGAGGTTGCGCCATTGCACTCCAGCCTGGGCAACAAGAGCAAAACTCTGTCTCAAAAAAAAAAAAAGAAAGCCCTTTCCAGTGCTCCTTGTTGCTTCTTATCACAGTCCACACATTTTTTTTTTTTTTTTTTTTTTGAGATGGAGTCTCGCTCTGTCACCCAGGCTGGAGTGCAGTGGCGCCATCTTGGCTCACTGCAAGCTCCACCTCCCGAGTTCACCCCATTCTCCTGCGTCAGCCTCCTGAGTAGCTGGGACTGCAGGCACCTGCCACCACGCCTGGCTAATTTTTTTTTTTTGTATTTTTTAGTAGAGATGGGGTTTCACCGTGTTAGCCAGGATGGTCTCGATCTTCTGACCTCGTGATCCGCCCGCCTCAGCCTCCCAAAGTGCTGGGATTACAGGCGTGAGCCACCGCGCCCAGCCAGTCCACAGAATTTAACTTGGGTTGCACCTGGACTGGACACCACCTAGTTTAGCTCTCTCGTGCCTTGCACAAAGCTGGGTAAACATACATTTTGGTTGAATGGCTTTTCCAGATGAGTCACAGAGGTCAGAGAAAGGTTAAGAGGCTCACTCGAGGTAGGTCATCCCTGCCCCTCCTGCCAGCCCCTGGCCTTGACTTTCCCAGGGCTTTGGTTACCTCGCAGAATCCCCCTCCCCAGAGTCTCAGAGATGGGGGCTGCTTTAATTATCAAAAGGATCCTTTGATATAAGCAGAAATGGTATAGTGTAAATTCTGGAGGTGGAATGCCTGGGTTTGAGTCTTGGCTTCATTATCTACTAGCTATGTAAGTGAGTAAGCCACTTAACCTTTCCGGGCCTCAGTTTTCCCCATCTTTAACACAGAAATAATAATAATAGCTTTCTCATGAGGCTATTGTGAGGAATGTGGTAAATGAGTCGTAAATGAGCTCCAAAATCTAAAGCATTTAGAACAGTATGTAGTGCACGGGTAAGTACCATTACTCTTCTCATCTCTATTTCACATCTGCACAAACTGAACTCAGGGAGCATCAGTAACCTGCCCAAGGCTAGCAAGTGGCAGAACAGGACCTGACTCCCAAGCTTGCCCTACTGCCTCTATTCTATTGCTTCCCTTGAAACCTCCCAGGATCAAAGTGGTGCTCCCAGCACCTGCCCCCACTGCCTCATGTACCTGTGAGTTTCCACTTCCAGCCAAAAGCTGGATCATCTGCTGCATGAGTTGCTGCTGGGCGCTGGAAGCCCCTGTTGGAGAAGATGTGGCTGGCGTGGCTGGTGAGGAAGTGGGGGCCTCGGGCGTAGACCCTGCGTTGCTGCCTGCTGAGGGTGCTGGGGTCCGGGATATCCCAAAGGAGCCAAGGCTGTAGGCAAGAGAGACCAAGAGGTAGGAGATGGCATCCAAGAAAGGGATGAGAATGTGAGATCCAGAAGGAAAAGCAGTTGGAAGAAACAGGAAAACAGACCCTCAGAGACACAAAGGATGCTGAGAGAGTGGCAGAGAGAAGAGTTGAAGGGGAGAAGTTGCTAGAACCTTGCTGCCCTCCTGCCCCCCTACCCTCACCTGGGTACCAGCCCAGGGGCCTCGGTCTGCAAGGTCTGTAGTCCCTGCTGGATCTGCAGCAATGCCTGCATGGCTCGGGGATTGGTAAGGATGGAGAGTGACTCTGGGTTCTGCATCTGGTGGGAAATAAGCAGAGAAAGGCATCAAGAGGTGGCAGGAAAGAGGAGACAACCTCAACTAGGAGTCCAGAGTCAAGCTCTGCCCCAACTTCATTTCCACCCATTGGGCTTCAGGGACTACCCCTTGCCCTCAACCTCCACCCATCTAGGCTCCTCACTCACCTGCTGCAGGAAGACTGGGAGCTGCAGGCGGAGCTGCTCCTGCAGTTGGGGGTTCCCCGCGAAGAGCGGCACATTCACCATCATCTGCCAGGGTGAAGGTAGCAGGGGGAGACCTGGGCCTTTTCACCCTAAGAATTCCCCCACAGCCTCAGACTCCCTGGGCACCCCCTACCACTGCAGGAAATCTGGCCAGCTTCTCCGGGGATCTCAAAGTATCCTGAAGGCCTAAGTGGGACAGTGAGAGGAAATGGAACTATGCTCTGGGTAATGAAGAGTATGAGGAGTCAGCCTGCTCAGCCCTGGGTCTGATGATGATGAGGACAGCTAACATTTCCAGGTATACAGAACTTACTCTGTCACACGCCATGTTCTAAGCACTTAACGTGTATTAACTCATTTAATCCTCACAACTATAGGAGGTAGGAACTATTGTTATTATCATCTTACAGATAAAGAAACTGGGAGGCTAAATAACTTGCTTAACTCACACAGCTGGGAAGCAGCAGAGCTTGGGATGCAAACCCAGGCAGTCTGGCTCCACAGTGTTTTGACCACAAGAAACTGCCCCCAACCAAGAGGAACTCTCTCCCCAACAATACTCTCCTCATGCTGGTTTCATACCTGAGCAGCAAAGTCGGGGTTCTGGGCAAGCGTCTGCATCATGCTGCGCATGTAGGGTGCTGAGATCACATTCTGCATCAGCTGGGGGTTCTCAGAGATCTGCTGGAGGAGGGCTTGCATTTCTGGGCTATTGAACATCCCTAGGACAAGGCGGAAAAAAAGAAAACAGGAGAGAAAGGGTCCAGATGGAAACCGAAGGCCTCACTTCAATCTACCTTACTTCAGACACCGAATGACTACAAAACTCAGAAAAGCAATGGTCCAGTGGGCACCCTAGGATTGTGGCATGAGTCCAAGTCTCTCCCAAGTCCAAGGTCATCTTGCCCTGCTTTGGCCTGGCCCCTTTTCCATTTACTTGATAAGGACAAGCCAGCTAGGAACTGGGTCTGATTTATGCCTCTCTGGACTGTTCCTGCCATAAGCTCAAATTATGTCCAATTTGGAAAGAAATGATTAAATATCATCTAGATCAAACTTGTCTTAGCAGCAGAGACCCTTTCCTCATGCTAAATCTCACTCAGAAACCAAGTGTGTTAATGGTCTGGCTGGAGCTGGGGCAGGAGGGCTGCAGCCTCTCCCATTGGGTCCTTCCTCATCCTGGAGATGAAGACCTTTCCAGGATGCAGGAGCACAATTTTAAAATCATGGATCAAGTTCCAGTCCTTACTTTACAAATAAGGAAACTAAAACACACAGAGGGAAGGAACTTTCCCAATCAAGATATCCCCCAGAGTGCAGAGAAATTAGAGCATCTGCTGAAGACATCCCCCAGGCCATGTGTACAGTCATAGTCCAGATAAATGGAGCATCCTCTAGGGTTGTGCAGTGCATAACCTGTTCTTCTGTACATGGCAAGCCCTGCACATCCCTTTCCCCCAGCCTCACATCTGCCTCTCCCCAGGTCTGCCTTGATTCCTCTCCAGCCCCCTCTCCCCACAGCAGTCTGAACCTTTTACACTGGATAATACCAGAGGTGCTCATGGAGCTTAGGAAGTGGGGCCTGGTTTACTCATGAGCTATTACTTAGGTCACTCCTAGGGATATCAGGACATGGCCAGAACCAGCCCTCACCCGGCCACTATCCCAGACGGCAGAGCCCCCTCTGTGGCCTCGATAGTCTCACCTCTGTCTTCAAAATCCTGGAGCAGTATGAACCCCATTCAGTCCTGGGACAGAGGGGCTGCCCTGGTGACCCCACTAAGCTCCTTCCATCCTAGGACATACCTGACCCCAGGCTAGCCGCATTGATCCCAAAGGGGTTCGAGACTGTCGGGTGCACCTGGCTGGTCCCCGATCCTCCGGTGCCCTCCCCACCGGACCCGGGGGCCTGGGAGGTGGGGGGCGAGGGGCTCCAGGGGTTAGGGAGGGGCTCTCGATTCTCAGTCCGCAGAGGCTGGGAGGATGAGCTGTCGGAGTTCCCGGCCAGGGAAGAGAAGGGATTGTTGCCAAACTGGGAGGAGGGAAAGGTTTTGGGTTAAGGACTGAAACAAATCAGGGACAAGGGCTAGGCCCATTCTCTCCTCTCACTTAATAGCCTCCCCTTCCCCAGAAAAGGGAGAGAGATCTAAGACCTTAGAGGTCCTCAGTTCAGTTCTTTGCCCCACAATGGATAGCTCCTTCCTTGCTCCATAGGGTGGGAGCTAGCTGATGCTAGTGACTGGATAACTGAACCTCTCAGATAATTGGAAACTTCCCATCCCCCCGGTGGCTTTCAATATTTGGTCTCTAATCATCTCCTATGTAACCCACCGCACTTTACACACAGTTTTCCCATTGTGTAGCCAAATATTTGTGTTCCTGTACCTCAAGGGGCAGAGGCAATGTCAGATTTGCCTGTGCACCCCCAGCCCCGACACTAGTAGGTGCTCAATAACTAACTACTGGCTTAATGGGAGTGGGCTGTCAAACCTGGCTCTCTACTTGAACCCCGATCTTCCCTTTCCCCAGCCTCCTTGGACTAATCCTAACTCCCCAGAACCTTTCCCTCACTCCCCAGGTCCCCTACCTGGCATTCTCTGTCCATCCAGGCACACCACAGTGGCGGCCCCTAGCAGAACACACCTCCAGCAGAATATGCCCTCTCTAGGTTTTCCCCTCCTGCTCCAAACCCTACCTCTACACACTGGCTACTTCAGATGGACAGGCCTCAGTTTACTTCTGGTCCCCCTTGCCCTACCATGCTCCTCACTGTGCTCCCCAGGATATCTCAGGTCCATACCCCATGGGATGGTGTGCTTCCCAAAGGCAACACCGGAACCTCCTCCCCTCCAGCACCTAGCACAGAGCTCTGGCTGAGGGAGTCCCAGACTCAGTTTTCCCTACTCAGCCTTTCTTGTGGTCTAAGAGCTCAGCAGCTCTCTTTCCTGAGTTCCCAGGTGGTCCTACCTCAGCCCCTCCCCACCGTAGGGTTTCATATTGAGCTGCTTTTCCTGTTCATTGAAAGTGGGTCATGGGGACCGGGGCTAACCAAGGATTCTCCTACTCTGAGCTGTTTCCTTCACCTCACCAGATCCTGTTCAGATAACAGAGCTCACAGGCCAGGGTTCATGCACCATGGTTTCAGCCTCTGTGCCTGTTTCAGATTTCTTGTTCTGATACTTGCCTAGCACCTCACCCCACCTTGTTCTGGGCTCGCTTTATTCTTCCTGGTACACTCTAAGGACGAAATCTCTTTTCCTGAACTACCCACAGTGATAACAACCATCATTTATTGAGCACCTACTATGTGCCTGACACATTTATTCTAATGCTTATAATACTCCTCTAATACAACAGTTCTCAAAGTGTGGTCCTGGGACCCCTGCAAGCATTAAAACTGTTTTCATAATTCTAAGACATGAATTTGTCTTTTTCACTCTTATTCTCTCATGAGGATACAGTGGAGTTTTCCAAAGTCTACATGACATGTGACATTGCAAACTGAATGCAGATCTGAGAACCAGCTGTCTTGTAGTAAGCTAGACATCAAAGAGAACTACAAAAATGTAAAACAAGTCCATACTTTCCTCTACAGTTTTGTTTGTTTTGGAAAATAAAGTTATTTTTCAAAATAATGTTATTTATGTTAACTTGTAATAATTTTTTTTTTTTGAGATGGAGTCTCGTTTTGCTGCCCAGGTTGGAGTGCAAAGGCACAATCTCGGCTCACTGCAACCTCCACCTCCAGGGTTCAAGCAATTCTCTTGCCTCAGCCTCCTGAGAAGCTGGGATGACAGGCACCCACCACCACACCTGGCTAAGTTTTGTATTTTTAGTAGAGATGGGGTTTCGCCATGTTGGCCAGGCTGGTCTCAAACTCCTGACCTCAGGTGATCCACCTGCCTCAGCCTCCCAAAATGCTGAGATTATAGGCATGCGCCACTACGCTCCACCAACTTGTAATAAATTGTCATTTTTAAATGAAACAAATATTTTAAAAGTTTGTCAGTTTTAGGCCGGGCACGGTGGCTCACGCCTATAATCCCAGCACTTTGGGAGGCCGAGGTGGGTGGATCACCTGAGGTCAGGAGTTCGAGACCAGCCTGGCCAACATGGTGAAACCCCGTCTCTACTAATAATACAAAAAAAAAAAAAAAATAGCTGGGCATGGTGGCGGGCGCCTGTGGTCCCAGCTACTCGGGAGGCTGAGGCAGGAGAATCACTTGAACCCGGGAGGCGGAGGTTGCAGTGAGCTGAGATCACGCCATTGCACTCCAGCCTGGGCAACGAGTGAAACTTCGTCTCAAAAAAACAAAACAAACCAAAAACACAAAACATTTTTAAAGGTTGTATTAAAAAAAAAAAAAGCAGCCAAGTGCAGTGGCTCACACCTGTAATCCCAGCACTTTGGGAGGCCGAGGCAGGCAGATGACAAGGTCAGGAGTTCGAGACCAGCCTGGCCAATATGGTGAAACCCTGTGTCTGCTAAAAAATACAAAACTTAGCCAGGCGTGGTGGTGCAAGCCTGCAGTCCCGGCTACTCAGAAAGCTGAGGCAGGAGACTCGCTTGAACCCAGGAGGTGGAGGTTGCAGTGAGCTGAGATCGCGCCATTGCACTCCAGCCTGGGCGAAACAGTGAGACTCTGTCTCAAAACAAAAGCAAGTTAAAATAATAAGACCAGCATGGTACCACCTCATATTTAAAAATATGATAATATATAGACGTTTATAGACATATACATAGGTAATAAAAGAATCAGAATGATAAACCCCAACTTCAACTTCAGCATACTAGTTACCTCTGGAAAGAAAAAGAATAGGAGAGGGGAGGGGTTTGTAAAGGCTACAACTCTACCTATGTCTTATTTGCAAATATTAAATATGTCTAGGAAAATAAACAAGATACTAACAACATTAGTTACCACTGAGGTAGAAAAGAGCTGGCTGGGAGATGGAAACAGAGGGATCCCTTCTGTAAACCTTTTTTTAGCCTGTATACTTTTCCATACTTTTTTGGAATACCCTTTTGTTTACTTTGTGTAACTTGTGAATTTTTTTTTTTTTTTTTTTGAGATGGAGTCTCACTCTGTCGCCCAGGCTAGAGTGCAGTGGCACGATCTTGGCTCACTGCAACCTCTGCCTCCCGGGTTCAAGCGATTCTCCTGCCTCAGCCTCCCAAATAGCTGGGACTACAGGCATGTGCCATCATGCCCGGCTAATTTTTTGTATTTTTAGTAGAGATGGGGTTTCACCATTTTAGCCAGGATGGTCTCGATCTCCTGACCTCGTGATCCGCCCACCTCAGCCTCCCAAAGTGCTGGGATTACAGGTGTCAGCCACTGCGCCTGGCCAACTTTTGCATTTTCAAACATACAAACATAGAATGTGTTTAATGTAAAATTAAATTTTTAAAAAGAACCATGGCCAGGCGCGGTGGCTCACTCCTGTAATCTCAGCACTTTTGGAGGCCAAGGTGGGCGGATCATGAGGTCAGGAGATCAAGATCATCCTGGCTAACATGGTGAAACCCCATCTCTACTAAAAATATAAAAAGTTAGCCGGGCGTGGTGGCATGTACCTGTAGTCTTAGCCACCAGGGAGAAGGCAGGAGAATTGCTTGAACCCGGGAGGCGGAGGTTACAGTGAGCCGAGATTGCGCCACTGCATTCCAGCCTGGGCGATAGAGCGAGACTCCATCTCAAAAAAAAAAAAAAAAAAGAAAGAAAGAAAGAACCAAAAGGGCACTGAAATTATATATGGCAACATGTTAGGGCAACATTGATTAAAAACAAAAAAAAAGAATGTTACATTTTTATCTATTTTTTTGTGTGTACTTGAATAGGATTCATAAAGCATTTTTAAAAGTGTATAATCCTGGGGCCCAACCCCAGAAATGGATTCAATAAGTAGCTCAAAGGTGGGGACCAGGATTCTCATTATCAACAAGGTCCCCAGGTGATTCTGATGCAGGTGATCCATGGACCATACTTGAGACATGCTGTATCAGGGCTGGCGTCTGACCTCAGGCCTGCCACGTGACCTTTGAGCCCCTGGTACAAGAAGTTTGTCAGGATGTCAAGTTCCTTGGATGCTATGCCTCAACCACTTCCACAAGGACCTCTGCTTATATTTGTCCATGCCAAAATGGACCATCCCCGGATATGTACTGTTGAGAACTGCCTTCAAGCCAAGGCCCACCCCTCAGGGGACTGGGGAAAGAAAGAAGAGCAGGCCCAGGTTTGCCTGGGGTGGGGGTAGGGAATCTCGAGCCCAGACAGCCCAACCCACTACCCTGGCCCTTGATCCCACCTGTTCCCGGGCAGCACTGAACATGGGCTCCTGGATGTCCGTGTACATGCGGCGGAGGGCATTATACCCTCCAGGGATGCTCTCAAGGTTGCTCAGGGCCCGGTCCTGGTTCCGCATCATCTCTTGCATCATGGCTGGATTCCGAGCAAGCTCCATTGTCTGATCAAGGGAGAGAGACAAAATGGGCCCCGGAACCAGGGGAGCACCAACCTAGGAAAAGGGTGGGCCTTGAGGAAGGGGGGTCTGTATCAGGATCAGGACCAGGGCCCAGGAACTGCCCCACAGTGACAGGGAGTAGAGTAAACTGGACTTCCTTCCTCTACTGTAATCTTGGCTCCAAGCCCGCCTCCCTGTGGGTATTTTGGTTGGCTTTTTCTAGTGGAGGACAATGATCCCAGCTGAAGTGAGGGCAGCAGCTTCCCTCCCTTAGGCTCAGAGTGTCCAAAGAAGTGTCAGGGTGCACAAGGAAACTGAGTCAGAAGAGACACAGAAAGAAAGGGGAGGAGGCAGAAGAGAAAATTAACATCTACTGAGAACCTACTGTATATGGGCACAGGGCCAAGTAGCTTACGGAATTCAAGTCATGTAATCTCCACAATAACCATCTCAGGTGTTTATTTCTGTCCCTATTTTGCAGATGAGCAAATAGGCTCAGAGATGTTAATTGACTTGCTGCCCTGGGACACACAGTCACTGAGTGGTGAAGACAGTGTTCAAAGCCAGGTTGGTTGGTCTGTCCAAGACCATACTGTGATTCCTGGTAAATGACTGCAAGTTGGGGAAGGAAAGCGTTCAAGCTGGAATAAAGCTACTGACACCCTGTAATTCCCACCCCCAAGTCTTTGCTCTGCCTGAACCTTGAGAAACACTGAAGATGGGGGCTTTCTTCTATGGAGCCAATGGCACAATCTCAATAAGGGGTGGCTATGTCAACCCCGGGGGAGTTCATCACAGAAAAATAAGTATAACTACTTGTTCCCATTCAACTTGGAATACCTTCCCTCTCCTTCCCAAATGTGCTCCACACTTGCCTTTTCTAAGACTCCTTTATAACTGATATGCCCAGCTTCCCAGAACTCTGATCTCTTGTTCCGTAATTCATTCATTCAATAAATATTTACTGCATGACTACCACGCACCAGGCACTGTTCTAGACAGTGAACAAAACACTCACAAGTCCTTGACCTTACATAAATTATCTTCTGGTGAGTCCAGCACTGGTGTCCACAGCCCTGCTGGGAAGATCATCTACCTTGGTCCTCTGGTGGAGCGGACCATGAGCTGGAACTCCCAAAGAGCAACATCACAACAGTCTCCCCTGGTTCTCCATTCCCAACTGGGCCCTGCCCAGCCACAGTGCTCCCCAAACAACCTACTATCTTTCACTCCCAGGCCTTTATATTTGCTGTCCCTCAGCCCTGAATGTTCTTCTTTCTTTCCCCCTGGTTCGTCTTCCTCCTTTGGGTCTCAGCTCGGTGACATTTCTTAAGGCCTCCTCTAAGCCTTAGGGTAGGGTCAGGAGCTCTTCTCTATGCTCCTAGAGGATCCCATGATTATCCTTCTGATAGCAATGGCCACATTGTATTCTAATTGCCGGTTTACTTGTCCTACTTCCCTTTGACACCTGGAATTCCTGAAAAGCTAGGCCTGTCTTTTCATCCCTGTACCTCCAGTGTTCAAAACTGCTGAATACACGAATGAACAAATCAATGTAGGACAAAGTAGGAAAGGCTGGGCAGGGCACGGCTGGGCACCAGTGTCCTCCAGCTCTCCAGCCCTCTCATACTCACCTGCCTCATGAGTTCAGGGTTATTGAGCATGTGGCTGATCTCAGGGTTCCGCTCCATCAACTGCTGCATCTGGGGGTTGGCCATAATCATGTGACGCATCAGATCAGGGTTAGACATCATATCCTGGACCAGGGGGTTCTCCATGATCTGTGACAGCATCTCAGGATTGGACATCAGCTGCCGCTGCATCTGCTGCTGCAGCTCCATGAAGTTGGCAGAGCCCAGGCCTAGGCTGCCCAGCCCCAGGATGCCCCCAAAGCCAGCTGTGGGAAGGGGGCAGGGTCACAGTCTGCCACAAGAACAGTGTCCTCACTTAGCCAGAGCCACTGAATTCAGATCTCCAGGACACGCCCCAAATGCTTCTCACATGTCCCTCTTCCTGTCATTCCCACAGCCCGGCCCTGATCCACTGCTGGCAAAAAAATGTGAGCCTACTAGACTGAGGCTGTGCCAAACATAGAACTGAGCAGAGAGAAGGCAACCAGCAATGGTCTGTTGAATGAGTGGCCCATGTGGCTACTGCTGGATCCAACTTTTCCCCAGACTCACAGGGTCTTCCATTCCCTTTACCTAGGGTTCCCCACATCCCCAACCCCATTTCTCCCCTCACTCCTAACCCTTAGCCATGGTCCCCACCTCTGAGAACTCCTCAGACTAGTTTCTTCCCCAGCTTGACTCAAGTATCAATGTCTGGAACTCTGTCATGGGGTCCCCTATCCCCATCAGACCAGGAGCAGGAACTCCTGTTTCTCCCTCCTCTTGGCTTTCCCCAACTCCCCAACCCCAAACAAGATTGTGCTCTCCTCTCTGAGGGCTTACAGAGTATGGACGCAGTAGCACTGGGGGATCCCTCCCCAGCCCCCGGAGAGGGCCCCCCACCACTGCTCCTCCGGCTTCCACTGCCAGCATCTGAAGAGGCACTGCCAGAGGTGGAGGGCTGGGCAGGGGTGGCGGGTGAAGCAGGCGTGGTGGAGGGTGCTGAGGCAGGGTCAGGTGTGGAGGGGGAAGAAGCAGTGGCAGCAGCTGGATCTTGAGCCCTGAGGACAGAGAAAGGAGAATCCTGTTGGAGTGAGCACTAGAAGAGGGAAGGTACCGTGACAATCTCTGTGCTTGCTATGGGACAACTATTTTAACCCAAGACCCCTCCTGAGCAGTCCTGAGGCTGGAGTGGGGTGATGGCGGGAGGGCAGTCAGTAAACCAGCAGAGGGAGAAAGGAGCTAGTATTATCTGTCTTCAGGGCATTCTGGGAATGGTAAATCAGGTTCCCTTCCCCTAGAGATGAGATCATATTCATCCAGGAGCTACCTGCCTGGGCCTCAGCTTAGGCCCTCTGGGTACAGTTAAGCAATGAGTGAGAAAGTATCAGATGGGGAGGCCCAATCAGAAGCTGGATCTGCTCTGCTCCTGAACTTACTTCTGAGGGGTCTTGATGACCAGATGGACAGTGAGCCCGTCCTTGATTCCGTGCTGGTTCAGTGTGTCCCCATCCTTGAGGATCTTGCCTGCGAAGATCAGGACCAGCTGATCCTGCTGAGCCTTAAACCTCCGGGAGATTTCCTCTTTGAACTGTGATCAAGAGGCAGAGGTCACTGTGGAGGCTGCCTGGACTCCCCCTACCAGGGACCCTGACTCTTTTTCAACACCTTCTGCACTCTCTTGCTCTCATCTCTAGTCATGGGAAGTCCTTTCTGTAGTCTCGACGCCATTCCTCCAGCTGCAATAAGCATCTCCTTTCTTAACAAAGGAGATGAACCAGTGAGAGGCTCTTCTCTCAGCTCCATCCCAGAGTCTCCCACCCTAGAAAGCCCCTGCTGCTATCTGCCTCCCAGCTTCAGTCCCTCCACCTAGTTCTCTGTAAGGCAGAGCAGCCTCCCATCCCAACTCCTTCAACAGCTTTGGACCTTCAGCCTTCTGAGACCCAATTTTCTCTCCTCTCTATTCCCAGTATTCTCTTAACAACTACAACAAATAGATGCCAGTTATTGAGCACTACCTATTCACCAGTTAAAGATATAGTATATTGTTATTTTCATTTTATTATTATTTTTATCTTGAGATGGAGTCTCGCTCTGTAGCCCAGGCTGGAGTGCAGAGGTGCGATCTTGGCTCACTGTAACCTCCATCTTCCGGGTTCAAGTGATTCTCCTGCTTCAGCCTCCCGAGTGTCTGGGACTACAGGCACACACCACCATGCCTGGCTAATTGTATTTTTAGTAGAGACGGGGTTTCACCATGTTGGCCAGGCTGGTCTTGAACTCGTGACCTCAGGTGATCCACCAGACTCAGACTCCCAAAGTGCTGGGATTACAGGTGTGAGCCACCACGCCCAGCCGTATCTCCATTTTAAAGATGAGAAAACTGAGGATCAGCGAGGTAAGGTAACTTGCCCCAGGCAGACCAGAACTCAGGTCTTGACACCAAAGTCCAGGCTCTTAACTAAACACACTGCCTCTCAATGAGAGCCGTTTTCAAATTCAGCTTTGTAGGGAACATACAGTATTTAAATTCTGAAATTTAGTAATTCTATGTGGTTAGGGAGGGAGCAAGGATGGAGTTAGACTTCCCAAATTCTACCAGCCCCTCCAAAACACAACACAAAACAAAACACAACACACACTTTAAGTAAAAACAGTGCACTTGTTAAGCAGAGGCTGCTTCCAGATCCCTCTCTTCCAACCAGATGGCCTATCTTAAGCCCCGCCTATGTGAAATTATGGAGCGGCCACAGGGGGTGGCGAACACAGGCAACAGTCCGTCATTCAACAAGATTTTATTGAGCACCTACTGCACACCGTGTAAATCTCAGAAGAGCTGAGAACCAAATGTAACCACGTCGATTTGAAAGAGTGGGAAGGATCTGGGCACAGGGAAATCCTCCCCCGACAGCCCCGTCGCTCAGAGAACACTGGGCGTTCTCTGAGGCACAGAGTAGGCGCCGGCGCTCTCCGCCTGCCCCCGGCCCGTTCTCTCAGTTAGCACCTAGCCCGGGCCCCCACTCCGGCACACTCCCCTCAAACCCAGGGTCCTTCCCCCTTCCCGGTGCAAGGTGTCCCCTCCTCACTCTCCACCACGCCCCCAGGCCACAAGGCAAAACCCGCCCCTCAACACGCGCCACGCTCCCCCAGATCTCCCCTCGCAGGGCGCCCCCTACCCGCCTCTCCTTGCCTTCAGCTCCTCGGAGTCCCAGCCGGCCCCCGCCCTCCTCTCCGGGGCCCTCCGGGACGCCGGACCGTCAGAGAGGCCCCCCATCTCTTCGCAGACCCCTCCTCCGCGCTCCCCCCGCCCCCCGCCTGCTGTACTACCTCCTTGACCGAGGCTCGATCGCAGATCACAATTTCCTCCTTGTCCTTGGGGGTCTTGACGGTGACCCGAATGGGGGGCCTCGTCTCGGCCCCGCTCGGCTCCGCCATGCCGCCGCCGCCACCCGGCCGCCCGCCAGCCCGCCCGGCTCCTCCTCCTCCCCGCCCGCCCGGCCGGCCCGGCTCGGCTTCTGCGCCTCCAACACTCCCCTCTCTCCACCTCTCCCCTCCCCTCCCCTCCCCTCCTCTCTCCTCCCCTCCCCTCCCCGAGGCTTCACCGCCCCCTCCGGACCAGCCGCAGCCACAGCGCCCCGGGCGGACCGGGGGGGCCACTGCAGCGGGGTCCGCCCAGGGCCAAGCCCCAGGTCCGGAGCCCGGCCAGGGTCTCGCCAGGCGGGGGCCCCTGGGGGGCCTCTGGGAGGGGGAAGGGGCGTGCCCTTCATTGCGGGGGCGAGGGCGGACTGCCCCGGGAGACCGCGACCCAACGCTGCCCGCCCGAGCCGTGCCGCGGTCCCCTCCAGCCCAAAGCCTCCCCGCCCCCTCCGCGGCTAACTCGGCTCCGGGACAAAGGACTTTCTGTGTCGCCGCTTTATCTCCGTTCCCTGTGATAACTTGGTCTTTCTTGGAAGCCCAAGTCCCTTCCAGGCCAGGGGACTTTCCCGACTTGGAGGTTGGGTTTTCCCACCAAGCACGTCCACCTAGGTTCTCAGCTCTGGGACTGACCCTATAGCCCCGAGGGTCGCGGCCTGAATGGTCTATTAAGAACGGTTCCAGGGAGCTGGGTTTTGGCTGCGTGGCCTTTCAGAGCCTTGGTTTCCTCAAGATAATAATAATAGTACCTCTCGCCTCATCGCACAGAATTGTGCATAACGGAGAAAACTGTTTTGAAAGTAACCAAAGGCGTGCCTGACAAATATGAGGATGTAGTATAATTATTGAATCGTGGACTGCCAAGCGGACACGTTGATTCCTTTCTCCCCGAAGGGGTTAAATGTCCTTCCAGCGCTGCTGCTGTCCTTTCACTCCCGTTCTTTTCCGCCCCCCAACAACCGCGTGGTCGGCTTGGAAAGGCGAACTATAATTCCCAGGGTGCCTCGCGAGGCCACAAAGAACTACGATTCCCAGAGCCCCCCGCGGTGGGGCGGGGTTGAGTCGGAACCACAATAGCCAGGCGAAGAAACTACAACTCCCAGGGCGTCCCGGAGCAGGCCAACGGGACTACGGGAAGCAGCGGGCAGCGGCCCGCGGGAGGCACCTCGGAGATCTGGGTGCAAAAGCCCAGGGTTAGGAACCGTAGGCATGCTGCGCCCCAAGGCTTTGACCCAGGTGCTAAGCCAAGCCAACACTGGAGGCGTCCAGAGCACCCTGTGAGTGCAGACCACGGACCCGAGCGGCGAGCGCTGCAGTGGGGCGGCGCGCGGCTCCCTGAGGGAGGGGTGGGGAAGGATCACCAGGAAGGGAGGAAGCGGCAGAGGGGGCAGCGGCTGGGGATACCGGCCGGGAGGTCCCCTGTCGAAAAGGGAAGCCGGTGTGCTGGGTGCTTAGGGCATGTTCCGGGACACGCTCAGGCCAGAGCCTTGCTGGATGTGCCCTTGGTGGGACTTGGGATGGAAACCCAGACGTTTTACTCCCCGCTCTGAGCACATCGCTATCCCTCCCCGCCCCTCACCAGGCTGCTGAATAACGAGGGATCACTGCTGGCCTACTCTGGTTACGGGGACACTGACGCCCGGGTCACCGCTGCCATAGCCAGTAACATCTGGGCCGCCTACGACCGGAACGGGAACCAAGCGTTTAATGAAGACAATCTCAAATTCATCCTCATGGACTGCATGGTATGGAGAGGGGAGCCAGACTTCCCCTGTCCCCCAAAGGGGATCCCAAGGGGGCGACCTGGACCCCATCCTGGATGGTTGGAGGGGCAGGGACAGGATCTCCGGAAGATTACTAAGAGTTGGTCTGCAGCAGCATTTGTAATAGGCAGGACCCTATTCATCAAGTGGTGGTGAGGAAGGATCCCTGGACCTGAGAGGTCTGACTTGGGTTCTGGTCTCAGCCATCCACTTATCAGTTGTGGAACCTTGGGTAAGTCGCTTAACCTCTCTCAGCTTCCTTACCTCATGTTTAAGGAGAAGACAATAATTTCCCTCTCCCCGCTCCCCTCATGGGTTGTTGTGAAGGTCAGATGAAATAATGGGTATAAACAGTAGAATGACGTGCAAACACAAAGTGTTGTCATCCCAGTTTCACCGACTCACAGAACCATGGCAGTCTCCAGACCCTAGTCCAACCCCTTAAGCTTTCAAAGAAAGGAAAATGAAGTCCAGAAAGGGGAAGTCACCATTAGATTGTGAACTTCTTAGTATCTGTTCGGTCGACAAGTATTTAGGTCCTTGCAGTATTCTCAGGACTAGGGAAAAAATAGCAAACAGAAAGACAAAACCCCCAGCCCTAATAAATCTTACACAGTGATACAATCACGGCTCACTGCAGCCTCGACCTCCCTGGGCTCAGGTGATCCTCCTGCCCCAGCCTCCTGAGTAGCCGGGACTACAGACATGCACCACCACACCTCGCTAATTTTTGCATTTTTCCAGAGACTGGGTTTTGCCATGTTGCCCAGGCTGGTCTCAAACTCCTGGCTCAAGCGATCTACCCACGTTGGCCTCCCAAAGTGCTGGGATTACAGGCGTGAGTCACTGTGCCTGGCCACATTTTTTAAAATAAGTAAAATATATAGTATATATTAGGTATTGAAAATGCAATGGAGAGAAAGCAGGGAAGTGAAAGAGTATGAGTTTGTTGGGTGTATGTGTCAGGGACAGTCTCACTGAAAAGGTGACATTTGATCAATGATCTGAAGAAAGGTGGGGGACAAGCCATGTGGTTATCTGAGGGAAGAATATTTTGGACAGAACAGCAAGTACCAAGGCCCTGAGGCAGAATTATGCCTGCTCAAGGATCAACAGGGTTGGTTGGTATGGCTGGAGTTACGTGAGATGGAGGAGGGTAGTAGGAGATGAGGTCAGAGAGGCAGGGAGTGCAGTGCTTGGTTCCTGGCATACAATAAATACCTAGTAAAAGTTTGCTGAACTTACTTTTGTTTTTTTCAAATTGGCCAGAAGGTGAACTCTCCAGGAAGGATCTTCATTGTAACTCAACTGCCTACTCTCCCCTACCCCCTGCACAACCAATGCCATTTTTAGTTCAACATATGACTCCTACTGGATGCCTAGAGCTGGTGCTATAGGGCAATAGCTTTCAAACGTTTTGACCACAACCCAGCCATAAGAAATACATTTTAAGGGGCTGGGCATGGTGGCTCATGCCTGTAATCCCAGCACTTTGGGAGGCCGAGGCGGGCGGATCACAAAGTCAGGTGTTCAAGACCAGCCTGGCCAACATGGTGAAACCCCATCTCTACTAAAAATACAAAAATTAGCTGGGCATGGTGGTGCGTGCCTGTAATCCCAGCCACTCAGGAGGCTGAGGCAGGAGAATCACTTGAACCCAGGAGGCAGTGGTTGCAGTGAGCCGAGATCACGCCACTGCACTCCAGCCTGGGCAACAGAGCAAGACTCCATCTCAAAAAAAAAAAAAAAAAAAGAAATACATTTTAAGGCTGAGCACAGTGCCTCACTCCTGTAATCCCAACACTTTGGGAGGCTGAGGCTGGAGGATTATCTGAGGCCAGGAGTTCAAGACCAGCCTTGGTGACCTAATAAGACCCCATCTCTACAAAAAAAATTTTAATAAATAAATAAATAGGAAAAAATTTTTTAAGAAAGACATTTTAAGTCAGAGCTCAACACACACATAGACCCACTAAAACAAAAGTCATGAAACAATACTTTTCCTACTACATGTAATATACTTCATTTTTTCTTTTTTGGTTTTTAATGCTGATCAACCTTCTTAATTTATCTCCTAACTGTGGGGTCAAATCTGCAATTTGAAAAACATTACCATGGGAAAAGAGGAGAAATACCAGTTGGGTTACCACTCCCATGCCCCTCTCAGTGTCTGTGGGGTGAGCTCACAGTAATAACATCACTCATTTGGACAACTGTTGGCAGATATGAAATTTCATGGTATTAGCACCCTCACCAACTGGGATGAGGTAGGGATTACAGAAAGAAAAACTGAATTTCTGAGAGACTAAGTTTCCCAGAGTAACATGGTTAGTAGGTGGCTGTGCTGAGGCTGGAACCTGGGCTCAGAACCCCATGTTCAGGGCTGTGGCCAAAAGCTTTTCCGCTGAACTTCCTGCTGTGCCCAGGGCATGGGAGGAAGATATAGTCTCTCTGGGGCCAGAGAAGCCTTTGGGGAAGGAGGGTGCTAAGGGTGCCAAGCAGAACATCACATCCCATCATATCACCCCCACCAGGAGGGCCGTGTAGCCATCACCCGAGTGGCCAACCTTCTGCTGTGTATGTATGCCAAGGAGACCGTGGGCTTTGGAATGCTCAAGGCCAAGGTGTGTATGTGCCCATCCCTCCATAGCCCTGGGCCCAGCCTTCGTGCTTCTACACTGTGTTCACTCCCACCAGGACCCTGTTTCTAGAGTTCTCATGTCTACTCAGTCCATTTCTGGTGTGGGCCAGCTCCCAAGAGCAGGTGGGGGTTGGGGGCTGGTTGCTTCCTATGGCACTGGGAGCAGACCTGGATTTGGGGTCCCTAATGCCAGGCTGTGTGCGGGACTGATCTCTGTTCTCCCTCTGCAGGCCCAGGCTTTGGTGCAGTACCTGGAGGAGCCCCTCACCCAAGTGGCGGCATCTTAACGGCATTGGTGGAAGCTGGGGTCAGAAAAGAGAAATGACCATTTGGAGGGGCGGGGCCTCCTAGAAGAACCTTCTTAGACAATGGGGGGAGGATGGGACTTTGTTTTTTCCAAGAATAAACTTCAACTCCTGTCATGTGTCTTGGCTACTTTCTTGGATGGGAGGAATCAGAGAAGATAGGAAGAAGCAGGCATCGCTTCTAGGATTCCTCATGTTCTGCAAGGATGGACTTCTACCCACCCCTTCACCATGACCTTCTGCGAACAATGGTTCTTGGCAGTTACGCCAAATAGTCCTTGTCCTCACCAATGGCATGACCTCACCTAGACCCTGCTGCTCAGAACAGAGTCTTACCCACCTCATAGGCAAAACTGGGAGTGAGCTCAGAGGTGCAAGGGTCTGGTGGGGGTTGTGTTGCACAGAGAATATAAAGGCCCTGAGAGGTTAGTGTCTATCATTTCAGGTTTGGGGGCGTGCGTGCCTTTTATTTTTTTGAGAGGGTCTCCCTCTGTTGCCCAGGCTGTAATGCAGTGACACAATCTCAGCTCACTGCAGGCTCAAGTGATTCCACCTCAGCCTCCCGAGTTGCCTGGATTATAGGCACACACCATCATGCCTGGCTAATTTTTGGGTTTTTGTTTTTTGTGTTTTTTAGGGGTTTTTTTTGTTGTTTTTGTTGTTTTTGGTAGAGATGAGGTCTCAATATGTTGCTCAGGCTGTTCTCCAACTTCTGGGCTCAAGCCATCCTCCTGCCTCCCAAAGTGCTGGGATTACAGATATGAACCACTTCGACTGGCCAGTGAGTGCCTTTTCTATTCTTGGGGTTGGGAGGGTGCCCCTAACAGCCTAGAACAAGCTATCCCTTTCTTCTTCTTCCAGGTGTTTATGTGCTTACACAGACCCTCCCCAGATCTTGAAGCCCTTTGTAGACAAGAGGCCTTTGCTGTGAGGCCTCAGGTCCTGTACAGGGAGTAGAAGTAACCCAGACCTCCCAAAGGCCTTCATCTCCAGACCCTGCTCCTACACTCAGACCACTCACCCCAGCTGTCTGTTTCTGCCCCAGGTCTCTGCCTACCCAATATCCTTAAAGCAGGTCTGTATAGGGAGCTACCAGCCCCCTTCCCCAGTGCCATATAAAGGAACCCATCCCAGAGAAGTGGGTAGGTTTCGAGTCCCAGCTCCACCCAAGATGAGAAACACTGCCCATCCCAGGCCCTGGGCTGTCAAGGAAGGGCAGAAGTTACTGTGGCCATGATACTCCCACAGCTCTGCATTGCAGCAGGGTGACTGGTGTTCTATCAGCCCCTGGTCTAATATCCCTTACTCTGGTTCCCCCAGTGTACCCCCCTACCAGCTCTGAAGGAAAAGCAGGCCAAGTGGGTTTCTTCCTTTTTTTTTTTTTTTGAGATAGAATCTCTTGCTCTGTCACCCGGGCTGGAGTGCAATGGCACAATCTTGGCTCACTGCAATCTCCGCCTCCCGAGTTCAAGCAATTCTCCTGCCTCAGCCTCCTGAGTAGCTGGGATTACAGGCGCGTGACACCATGCCTAGCTAATTTTTGTATATTTTTAGTAGAGACAGGGTTTCACCATGTTGGTAAGGCTGGTCTTGAACTCCTGACCTCGTGATCCGCTGGCCTCGGCCTCCTAAAGTGCTGGGATTACAGGTGGGAGCCACCGCACCAGGCCTCTTTTTTTTTTTGAGACGGAGTCTTGCTCTGTCGCCCAGGCTGGAGTGCAGTGGCGCGATCTCGGCTCACTGCAAGCTCTGCCTCCTGGGTTCACGCCATTCTCCTGCCTCAGTCTCCCGAGTAGCTGGGACTACAGGCACCTGCCACTACGCCTGGCTAATTTTTTGTATTTTTAGTAGAGACACAGTTTCACCGTTTCTACCATAGAGCCAGAGAGGGCCCCCTCCTGTTTTTTTATCTCTTACCAAGACCTCCTGGGGCTCCTCATTCCTTCAGGATGGTCTCGATCTCCTGACCTTGTGATCCGCCCGCCTCGGCCTCCCAAAGTGCTGGAATTACAGGTATGAGCCACCGCACCCGGCCTTTTTTTTTTTTTTTTGAGAAGCAGTCTCTGTTGCCCAGACTGGAGTGCAGTGGCACGATCTCAGCCCACTGGAACCTCTGCCTCCCGGCTTCAAGCAATTCTCCTACCTTGGCCGCCCAAGTAGCTGGGATTGCAGGCGCCCACCACCATGCCCAGCTAATTTTTTTTTTTTTTTTTTTTAGACGGAGTTTCGCTCTTGTTACCCAGGCTGGAGTGCAAGGGCGCGATCTCGACTCACCACAACCTCCGCCTCCTGGGTTCAAGCGATTCTCCTGTCTCAGCCTCCCAAGTAGCTGGGTTTACAGCCATGTGCCACCACGCCCAGCTAATTTTGTATTTTTTTAGTAGAAACGGGGTTTCTCCATGTTGGTCAGGCTGGTCTCAAACTCCCGACCTCAGGTGATCCGCCCACCTCAGCCTCCCAAAGTGCTGGGATTACAGGCGTGAGCCACCGCGCCTGGCCTCAAGTGGGTTTCTGAGGGGCTATTTCTTGCTCATTAGTTGGGGGACCGGCCCTCACCACAGATTCCAGAAGCCCAGCAATGCACACTCAGCCCTCAGTGGGCTGTCTCTGAAGGTCCTGTCCCTTTTTCGCTTCCCCCCCGCTGGAGCTGCTTCTCCCGCTTGCGGGAGCCCAGGCTGAGAGCAGACACCCAACCTGTCGAACCTGTCTGACGTCATCATCTCTCCACCCACCTGGGCCCCAGGTCTCCAGCCACCCCGCTCTTCCTGTTCTCAGCTTCCGTCCTCTCTGCTTCCTTACAGCACCCCCACCTGCCAGAGCTGATCCTCCCTAGGCCCTGCCTAACCTTGAGTTGGCCCCCAATCCCTCTGGCTGCAGAAGTCCCCTTACCCCCAATGAGAGGAGGGGCAGGACCAGATCTTTTGAGAGCTGAGGGTTGAGGGCATTGAGCCAACACACAGATTTGTCGCCTCTGTCCCCGAAGACACCTGCACCCTCCATGCGGAGCCAAGATGGGGAATGGAACTGAGGAAGATTATAACTTTGTCTTCAAGGGTGAGTTGGGTTCCCTGAAGCAAGAGGAAGCCTGAGAGACCCAGAAAGAGATTGAATAGAGCCAGAGAGGGCCCCCTCCTGTTTTTTTATCTCTTACCAAGACCTCCTGGGGCTCCTCATTCCTTCAGAAAGAAAGCTGCAGGGAGTGGGGGAGGGTCTGGTTGCAGGGGCAAAAGTCAGGGAGCTTCTGAGTATGCTCTACTGTGGTAAATAATGATGTTGATTCCTCCTTAAGAGTGCTGAGTTAGGCTCCTCTGCCCCGTTCCTAATAGAAACCCAAATCCCTGGTGTCAGCCAGTGCAGCACAAGAGATGGAGGTCAGACTTCAGAAAGGACTTCCCTCTTTTATTTTTTTTTCTGAGACGGAGTCTTGCTCTGTCGCCCAGGCTGGAGTGCAGTGGTACAATCTCAGCTCACTGCAACCTCCACCTCCTGGGTTCAAGCGATTCTTCTGCCTCGGCCTCCCAAGTAGCTGGGACTACAAGCACCTGCCACCACGCCCGGCTTATTTTTGTATTTTTAATAGAGACGGGGTTTCACCATATTGGCCAGGATGGTCTGGAACTGACCTCATGATCCGCCTACCTCGGCCTCCCAAAGTGCTGGGATTACAGGCATGAGCCACCACACCCGGCCAGGACTTCTCTCTTGAGAAGAAAGGGAAACCAGCAAACAAGAGGAAGAAAGTCATCTTTTCTGGGCAGGTGTACAGGGAACGAGAGAAAGGAGAGACACATCCCATTATAGGGTGGGGCAATAAATACATAGGGAAGACAGAAAATATCATGAATTTGCTGCAGAGTCTGATAGAATCCAGAGGACTCCTAGGGTTGTAGCCTCGTCTGCCTGGCCCTTGGCTGACTCACTGGACCTGCATACCAGGCACTGGGCTCAACTTTGCTGTCCCTGGAAGCATGCATGTATCTTTCTAGCCCCTGTGTTTGGTGCCTTTGCTGTTTTCCAACCCCACCTTCATACTTCCTTTAGGGCAGGGTGGACTCTCCAGCCACCCTACCCCAATGCCTCTCCCAACCTCAGCCCGGCCCCTCCCTTGAGCTGGGACTCTCACTCCAGAACCCGCCCTTGAGCTGGGGAACCTGTACTACTGGCATCTTTTCCAGGAAGGAAAGGGTTAGCAATAGTCTGGGGCAATAATATGAGGAACTACCATTTATTGAGCACTTACTATGTACCTGCCACTACCTCATTAATACCATAACAATCCCCGAAAGTCATATTTTATTTTGAGGGGCAGTGTAACATTGTGGTCAGGAGCCAGACTGGGTTCAGATCTCAGCCCTGCCACTTACAAGTATTGCGGGTTGGTCAGCCGGGTGCAGTGGCTCACGCCTGTAATCCTAGCACTTTGGGAGGCCGAGGCGGCGGGATCACTTAAGGTCTGGAGTTCCAGACCAGCCTGGCCAACATGGGGAAACCCTGTCTCTACTAAAAATTCAAAAATTATCTGGGTGTGGTGGCACGTGCCTGTAATCCCAGCTACTCGGGAGGCTGAGACAGGAGAATCACTTGAACCCAGGAAGCAGAGGTTGCAGTAAGCCGAGACTGTGCCACTGCACTCCAGCCTGGGCAACAGAGCAAGACTCTGTCTAAAAAAAAAAAAAAAAAAAAAAAAGTATTGAGGGTTGGGTTGGGGTCCCTAGAAGCAGACGCTGAGAAGAAGTTGGGGTGTTCAATGTTTGTTTGTTTTTTGAGACGGAGTCTCGCTCTGTTGCCCAGGCTGGAGTGCAGTGGAGCGATCTTGGCTCACTGCAATCTCCGCCTTCCTACAACCTCCGCCTCCTGGGTTCAAGCGATTCTCCTGCCTCAGCCTCCTGAGTAGCTGGGACTACAGGTGTGCACCACCACACCCAGCTAATTTTTGTATTTTTAGTAGAGACAGGGTTTCATCATGTTGGCTAGGATGGTCTCGATCTCTTGACCTTGTGATCCGCCCTCCTAGGCCTCCCAAAGTGCTGGTATTACAGGCGTGAGCCACCGCGCCCAGCTCAATGTTTTTTTACAAATCAGCACCTGTGAAAGGAAGGGAGAGGAAACATAATTGGGCAGAGGGAGAAGTCAAACAGCAACACAGGCTGGACAAACCTGGGTCAAGGGCGGGGAGCTCTGTGATTGCCTCACCTTGCTTGAGCACTGGGTGTAGGCTGCCCAGAAAAGGCATGACTTCCAGTGAGGCCGCTGTCTGCACCAGAGGCAGACGCTGAAGGAGCTGACAGCTGGAGCCTGTCTGCAGCCTGCACTCCCTGCAGCTTGGGGCAAGTCCTTCCTTGAAGGCTGATCTGGCCAGCACATCTCTGTGTTTACAACACTAGCCCTGTTATCTTGGGCAAGTCATTTGACCTCCAAAGCGCCTTGTCTGTAAAAACAGGTAAAATAGTAATGGGATTCATGGCATTCTTATGAGGATTAAATGAGGTAATATGTGTAAAGCTTTTAACGACACTGCCTGGCACATAGTAAGCATTCAGTACACTGTAAACATGAACCATTAGTATCTCCACTTTACAACTGAGGCTTAGAGGCAAAGTAGTTTACAAAAGGCCACAAAGTCTGACTTCAATTCCCTTGCCCTAAGCACCTTTGTGGTATGACGCTAGGGCTGAGAGCCCACCCACTGAGAGGGATGAGGGAGATGTGCCCAGTAGGGGAGAGGCAGGAACACACACACACATATACACACACACACACGCATACACACACATCCTCTTACCCACACATATCCATATTATTTCCAGCTTTTCCATACTGTCCTATGCAAATAAGGAATGTTTAAATATATATTTTTTATTTTTATTTTTTGAGACACAATTTCACTGTCACCCAGGCTGGAGTGCAGTGATGCCATCACAGTTCATTGCAGCCACAACCTACGGGGCTCAAACAATCCTTCCACCTCAGCCTCTTGAGTAGCTGGGACTACATGCATGTGCCACCACACTTGGCTAATTTTTTTTTCTTTTTCTTTTTTTTTTTTTGAGTCGGAGTTTCACTCTGTCACCCAGGCTGGAGTGCAGTAACACAAACTCGGCTCACTGCAGCACCCCCAGGGCTCAAGCAATCCTCCCACCTCAGCCTCCCAAGTAGCTGAGACTACAGACACATGCTACCATGCCTGGCTAATTTTTGCATTTTTTGTAGAGATGGGGTTTCACCGTGTTACCCAGGGTGGTCTCAAACTTGTGGGCTCAAGAGATACTCCCGCCTTGGCCTCCCAAAGTTCTGGGATTACAGGCGTGAACCTCCACACCCAGCCAAGGAACTTTTAAAGTTGGAGGAGGCCTTTATAAGTTGTATAAGCAAGGCAACTGAGACTGAGAAAAGGTGAGTCACTTGTTCAAGTTCACACAGTTAGTTAGAAGCTGAGCAGGGACCAGAGCCCACAATATGTGGCTCCCAGTCCTTGGGTGCCAGCCTGCCTTTCCAGAACCACTCTGGGTGGCCTCCTCTAATTCTGTGTGCTTAGTTCAGTGCCAGTGCAATTTGTGGGCTCTACTCACATCAGCCCCCTACACTCTACCCCAGCCCCCAGCTCATCCACATGGGTAAGACTGGGCCCTGGATGCTGCCCACCAGTCTAAAGGGTCTTCATGGCCCCTCAGGTGGATCCTTGTCTCTGAAAACCCAAAGGCAAAAACTCTGGCCTGCTAACAACAATCATACCAGTCATGATTTTTACACTTACTATATCCTGGGCAATGTCTCACTTACTTCCTACAATAACCCTTAAGGTAGATACTAATGTCTTCCCCATTTTTCATATGAAAAGAACAGCTCAGATTGGTTAAATAACTTGCCGAAGGACACATAGCTGGTCTAACACCCAGGCCCATGCTCTTAACCATGCGGGACTGTCCCTCCTTAGGGACAACTGGAACCTAACTTCTTACACACACATGAGCACACATGCCTTCCTCTCACCCACAGATGTGTCAACTGCCAAACTTTCTCCTTACCCACACTTTGATTCACACCTCTGTTCCTTATGCAAACACACACACACCAAACCTCCCACTTGTCCTCCCAGCTCATATATATAGAGACAAGTGCAATGTTCTCATACTCCAAGTCCTAGTCCAGAACTGTGCACCCCCTGACCTCCCACCATCCCTGTCCATATTCACACACAACAGTAATGTCTCCGCATGACACTCATAAAGAGCCCACAGATGTCACTCCCTCACCAGAGATGCAGGCTGACTCTGCAACCATGTATCAACAGACCAGGCTATAACCCGTCAAGCCCCTTTGTTTGTTTTAAACTCTTGGCTTTCCTGCCCACCAGGACAGATGCATTATGCAGAGTTGCAGACTCCAGTCTCACAGGAGACTCCGTTCCCTAATCTTTTTTCTGAGCTCAGTTCCCTTTTTCTGCTGGGCAGACCCTCCAAGCTCAGGTGGGGTTGGAGCTGCTCTACCCCATGCTCAGCCCTTATCTCTCCACTCCTTCAGTGGTGCTGATCGGCGAATCAGGTGTGGGGAAGACCAATCTACTCTCCCGATTCACGCGCAATGAGTTCAGCCACGACAGCCGCACCACCATCGGGGTTGAGTTCTCCACCCGCACTGTGATGTTGGGCACCGCTGCTGTCAAGGCTCAGATCTGGGACACAGCTGGCCTGGAGCGGTACCGAGCCATCACCTCGGCGTGAGCCCGGGCCTGGGGGGCTGCTGGGTGGTGGGAGTTCTGGGGAAGTCGAGGAACACTTCTGGAGGAGAAGTGGGGGAGGAGGAGGCAAGGGGGCTCAGCAGTGGGCTCTGGGGGGTGGGGATGGAGATCACAGAAGATAAAAGGTACTGTAAACAGAAACAGCACAAGCCAGGATATAGTAACACTGACTAGTACTACTAAAAGCAGGAATCATTGCCACTTACTAAGCCTTTGCTATGTGCCCAGGAAGGGACAAGTTACTTTACATTTGGCATTTTATGTAACCCTTAAAGTACCACAGGAGTAAAGTGCTATAATTAGTTAATTTCTGTATAAATACAAACAAGGTGAAATCAGGGTGGAGCTAGGATGGGGGCGAGCTGCACGGATCGAGAGCGCCCCCTCACTTCCGCACAATGCTCTGCACTTGGCAACTTTCATCTAACCACAGAGGACCAAAAGCTGAACCCAGCATCTGCATTTTATGAAGACTCAGAGGACACACAGGAGGTTAGGCCTCCTGACACCACATCCGAAGTGTCTCTTAGGCCGGGTGTGTTGGCTCACACCTGTAATCCCAGCACTTTGGGAGGCCAAGGTGGGTGGATCGCTTGAGCTCATGAATTCGAGACCAGCCTGGGCAACATGGCAAAATCCTGTCTCTACCAAAAATATAAAAAATTGGCCGGGCTTGGTGGTGCGTACCTGTAGTCCCAGATACTTGAGAAGCTAAGGTGGGAGGATGGCTTGAACCCGGGAGGCGGAAGTTGCAGTGAGCCGAAATCGCCCCACTGCACTCCAGCCTGGGTGACAAAGCGATACTGTGTCTCAAGAAAAAAGTGTCAGCTGGGCGCGGTAGCTCACACCTGTAATCCCAGCACTTTGGGAGGCCGAGGCGGGCAGATCACAAGGTCAGGAGTTCGAGACCAGCCTGGCCAACAGTGAAACCCCCGTCTCTACTAAAAATACAAAAATTAGCCAGGCATGGTGGTGGGTGCCTGTAATCCCAACTACTCGGGAGGCTGAGACAGGAGAATCACTCGAACCTGGGAGGTGGAGGTTGCAGTGAGCCAAGATCATGCCACTGCACTCCAGCCTAGCGACAGAGCAAGACTCTGTCTCAAAAAAAAAAAAAAAAGAAAAAGAAAGTGTCTTCCAGTCAGTGTGAGGCCTAAGCATGTGAAATGGGGTCTGTTTGTGTGTATATGGGGTGGATAGCACTTGCCAGGGGGCAGGAAGCAAGAGTCAGGGGCTTTGGTTACACATGCTCCTCGTTACCTGATCTCTTATGAGCCTCAGTTGACTCATCAATGAATTGGGAGTTAGACATCACTAGTCTGAAGACATCCCATCCAACTCCAAGAGGGAGACTGGATGCTTTCAGTGATGCCTTGAATGGTCAGGCCAGGGACTGCTGCAAGAGGTAGGCATTCAGCTAATCCTAGAAAGAAGGCCACGGGAGAGAACAGGCCACTGTTAAGGAGCCATGTGAGGAAGATCTTGAAGGTGGCAGAGTTGGCTAAAGCCCAGATGTGCACTGGTGGAGAGTAGGGGCTAAAATCAGGACGAGAACCTGAGAAAGTAGAGGGGCTGGCTGTGAGGAAGCCAATAGAGATTTTAGAGCAGGGAGGTGAAACTTTATTTATTTAGTTAGTTAGTTGAGACAAATTTTCACTCTTGTTGCCGAGGCTGGAGTGCAATGGAGCGATCTCAGATCACTGCAACTTCCGCTTCCCGAGTTCAAGCAATTCTCCTGCCTCAGCCTTCCGAGTAGCTGGGATTACAAGCATGCGCCATCATGCCCGGCTAATTTTTGTATTTTTAGTAGAGATGGGGTTTCTCCATATTGGTTAGGCTAGTCTTGAACTCCTCACCTCAGGTGATCCACCCGCCTTGGCCTCCCAAAGTGCTGGGATTACAGGCGTGAGCCACCGCGCCTGGCCGAGGGAGGTGAAACTTTACAGGCTCCAAGACTAGTGTCCCTGGAAGGCAGAGGAGCCTTGGGCTGCTCTGTTGGGTTCTGGGCCCCTGGCCGCAAGTTTCTGTATTTCCTGATCTCTAGTACTCTGATCCCGGGTGTTCCAGCTTGACGGCTCTGCTCTGATGCTGGGTCCAATGCCTCTGATCGTATCTCTGTCCATCCTTCTCATTCCCACCCAGGTACTATCGTGGTGCAGTGGGGGCCCTCCTGGTGTTTGACCTAACCAAGCACCAGACCTATGCTGTGGTGGAGCGATGGCTGAAGGAGCTCTATGACCATGCTGAAGCCACGATCGTCGTCATGCTCGTGGGTAACAAAAGTGACCTCAGCCAGGCCCGGGAAGTGCCCACTGAGGAGGCCCGAATGTTCGCTGGTGAGAGCCTGCCACTACCCAGGCTGACTCCTCCAAGCTTAGCCCACCTTTCCCTTGCAGTCTCCCAGCCCCTGCCCCCACCCATAGAGCCCCTAGCCTGGCCTTCCTCCATACAGTCCTCTACCCCATCCCCTCTTCCTCAGGATTTCCCAGCACTTCCCCTTTGGGACCCTGTGTCTCCCATGATGTCCCACCACTTGCCCTGAGATTGTCTTTATTGATTTTTTTTTTTTTTTTTTTTTTGAGACCGGGTCTCAATCTGTTGCCTAGGCTAGAGTGCAGTGGTGCGATCTCGGCTCGCTGCAACTTCCACCTCTTGGGTTCAAGCAATTCTCATGCCTCAGCCTCCTGAGTAGCTAAGACTACAGGTGTGCGCCACCATGCCTGGCTAATTTTTGTATTTTTAGTAGAGATGGGGTTTCATCGTGTTGACCAGGCTGGTCTCGAACCCCTGACCTCAGGTGATCCAGCTGCCTCGGCCTCCCAAAGTTCTGGGATTATAGGTGTGAGCCACTGTGCCCGGCCCGTAGTTAATTTTAAGGCAGCCCCACCCTGTAATGCTCAAAGATCCTATGGAGAGGATAGGCTTCCCAGGAGTTTTCTGAGTTTAGAGGCAGCACAATATGGTGGTTAAGGGTGTTCTGGAGTCCCATGGCCCAGTCTCCCATCTGCTCTTGGCCAGTTACTAAATGTGGGACATGGAGCAATTTCCTTATTCTTTTTCTTTTTCTTTTTTTGAGAGGAGTCTCGCTCCGTCACCCAGGCTGGGGTGCAGTGGCACGATCTTGGCTCACTGCAACCTCCACCTCCTGGGTTCAAGCAATTCTCTGCCTCAGCCTCCCGAGTAGCTGGGATTACAGGTGCCCGCCACCATGCCTGGCTAATTTTTGTATTTTTAGTGGAGACGGGGTTTCACCATGTTGGCCAAGCCGGTCTTGAACTCCTGACCTCGTGATCCACCCACCTCAGCCTCCCAAAGTGCTGGGATTACAGGCGTGAGCCACCGCACCCAGCCCCTTATTTGTTTTCTTTGTGTTTCTGGATTCAGTTTTCTAAATGAACCTACCTTGTAAGTTGTTTTAAGGATTAAATGATCTGCTACATGCCAAGAGTTTAGCACATGGCAAATGTATATAGCAAACATTAATATTATTATTATTATTGCCTTTGACTCCCACAATTAATGGTGTGTTTCCCTTCCTGGCAGAAAACAATGGACTGCTCTTCCTGGAGACCTCAGCCCTGGACTCTACCAATGTTGAGCTAGCCTTTGAGACTGTCCTGAAAGGTTAGAGCCTACCTTTATTCTGCACCCCTATTCCATCCCCGTGGCTTCTACAGGCAGCAGTAGGAATGCAGACACTCAGCCCTCACCCCAGCTAATTTCTCAGCTCCTCTGTGGGTCCTGGCACCACTGCCTGTCCCCCTCAGTCCCTCCCCAGTGCCTCCCACTCAGTCTGGAGCTCAGGGAGGGAACAGGCCACACTCCCCATGGGGCTGACTCTTGGTTCCTTCTCCACCCAAGTAAGTAGAAGGGACCCCTATGTCCACACTTCATTTCCTTCCTGCAAAACCTCCTGCAAGTGTGGCCACCCCCCATGCTCAGAAGGGGCATGCAGTATGTATGGGGGGGTTGGGGAGAAGGGAGCATGGGCTCTAAATCTTCTGGCCTGATCACTGCCCTCTGCCCTCCCAGAAATCTTTGCGAAGGTGTCCAAGCAGAGACAGAACAGCATCCGGACCAATGCCATCACTCTGGGCAGTGCCCAGGCTGGACAGGAGCCTGGCCCTGGGGAGAAGAGGGCCTGTTGCATCAGCCTCTGACCTTGGCCAGCACCACCTGCCCCCACTGGCTTTTTGGTGCCCCTTGTCCCCACTTCAGCCCCAGGACCTTTCCTTGCCCTTTGGTTCCAGATATCAGACTGTTCCCTGTTCACAGCACCCTCAGGGTCTTAAGGTCTTCATGCCCTATCACAAATACCTCTTTTATCTGTCCACCCCTCACAGACTAGGACCCTCAAATAAAGCTGTTTTATATCAATGCCTGGTCATTCCACTGCCTCCCGTCTGTTCCTCCCTCTTCTCCTTGTCTGTGCCTCCCCTTCAACTTTGGCCCCTCCTCTGAGTCCCTAATCCCCTTCCTCTGTCCTCCCCACCATACCTACTGCCCCTCAGGGCCAGCTGCCTCTGGAGTTCTGTGGTCTGGGGACAGTGCCAAGGGGATAGGAGGTGCCTGCCCTTCCCTCTGCCAACCCCCAGGGCAGGTGGGGGAGGGAGGAGAGCATGGAGGGGAGGGGGTATATCTGGAAGGCGAGACAAAGGAAACCATCGGCGGGCACCATCTGGTGCTGAGGGCCCTGGTGCCAACAACTGAGGTCACTCCAATGCCAGGGGCAAGGGGAGGAGGCAGCGGGAGATACAAGGGGAGAAGAGGGAGTGGGGGCCAGTCCTGTAGGTGTGTACTGGGGAAGGGGTTTTTAAGCCTGAGAGGTGCAAGGTCCAAGTCCTCCATCCAGTCTTTTTTTTTTTTGAGATGGAGTCTCACTCTGTTGCCCAGGCTGGGGTACAGTGGTGTGATCTCGGCTCACTGAAACCTCCACCTCTCGGGTTCAAGCAATTCTCCCTGCCTCAGCCTCAGCTGGGATTACAGGTGCCCGCCACCACACTTGGCTAATTTTTGTATTTTTAGTAGAGACGGGGTTTTGCCATGTTGGCCAGGCTGCTCTCAAACTCCTGATCTCAGGTGATCCGCCTGCCTCAGCCTCCTAAAGTGCTAGGATTACAAACTTGAGCCCTTCCAGTCTTCTTCCTGATCCCAAAGAAGAAGGATGGATTGAATCTGGTGGGGTAAATGGGGAGGGTCCCTGTCTCTTAGCTCTCTGCCCCCTTTCCATGGAGCATAGGAGATGGCTGTCCAGGTAGCATCTCTGTCACCCTGCCTCACCTTCCCCTGTTCTTTTTTTTTTTTGAGATGGAGTCTCACTCTGTTGCCCAGGCTGGAGTGCAGTGGCGTGATCTCAGCTCACTGCAACTTCCGCCTCCTGGGTTCAAGTGATTTTCCTGCCTCAGCCTCCCGAGTAGCTGGGACTATAGGCATGTGTTACCATGCCTGGCTAATTTTCTGTATTTTTGGTAGAGACAGGGTCTCGCTATGTTGCCCAGGCTGGTCCTGAACTCCTGGCCTTAAGCGGTCCATCCACCTCGGCCTCCCAGAGTTCTGGGATTACAGGCATGAGCCACTGCGCCCAGTCACCTTCCCCTGTTCTTCAGGTCAGGGTGGAACAAGGCCTGACTGCACCTCCAAAGAAGAGAAGGGAGTAAATGGAGAGAAAAGGCAGGGGATTAGAGCTTGGAGACTCAAGCAGAGCTATGGAGAGCTGAAAGGGGGAGCTTAAGGGTGGCAAGGAACTCCAGAGACATCCACTACTCACAGGTGTGTAGGGAGCCCAAAGCTACACTAGAGGAAACCCCAAGCTGCAATCCCCACCCAGATCCTCCCACTCACCCCAAGATGGCACAGACTTACATGCAGAGAACGAAGACAGAGCCTTAAGTAATAGTACTTTTAATAAAATTAAGTTCTTAATAGCACATTTAATACATTAACCCTCCCCCTTCTTGGTTTCTCTGCATTTTGTGCAACATCACTTTGACTTGATTATTCTTGGGTCTGTTTTATTTCCCGCTTTTATTTTGCTTTTGAAATCTTTTTCCTTGGTGGATTTGTACGTGTCTTCACTAGATGCCTCAAATTAAGTCTGACCACAATCCTACTCTACTTTCTACAGTGGAGAGACCATCCTCCCTGCCCCAGGGCTGTCTCCACCCACCCCCCCTTCCCCACCCGCACCCTCGAGTGGGGAAGGGGAAGCCCTCCCCACCCCAGACGCTACCATCCCAAACTAGCGGGGTTTCTAGGACAAAAAGAGCAGGGGGAATCTGTCCCTAGGTGGGGCGAGAAGAGTAAATTGGGTAGAGGGAGATGTGTTTGGGGTCTAGGGCCAGGGAGGGGGATGGCAGAGTCATTGGTGTAATGAAGCAGGCTCCTCCTGCCAAAAGGAGAGCCAAGGGGCCCCTCCAACCCCTTGGATAGGAGGGGAAGGCCCAGTGATTGCAAGCTGGGGTTGGTAGAAGGCAAGTGCTTTAAAAATGTTGATTTCTCACACGCAGAAGCCAAGCCCTCCAGTTTTGTGTGGGGAGGGCAATGTGTTCCCAGGCCAGGGTACAGTAGATGACCCCTACCTGAACACATATAGATGGAGGTGAACTGGAGCAGAGGGTCAGGGTTAGGGTCACCCAAAGTCCCTGTGCCTTTCCCCAGCCTCTGTGCCCATGGGGATGCCTTTCTCCCAGGCCTTCAAGGACAGTGTTTCCACTCCACTCCGTGGGAAGTCCTTCTTGGAATCTAACTTTTATGAGACAAGAAAGCACTTTGCAAGTAGGTGAAGAACGAGTCAGCTTTAAAGAACAATTACTGAGATTGTTACTGCTACTGCTGCCATGGAGGTCAAAGCTAAGTGGAAAGCTGGATGGGAACAGGGGTAGGGGACTGATCGCCTCAGTGCTCTTGAAGCTCTGAAGGTGAGAAGCGTGTGTGCATGTGTGTCTGTTTGTGGAATGACTTCCCAGGCTCTTAAATCAATCTGTAGAGAAGTGGACCGAGGTCACACTTCAAGAAGGACTTCCTCAGTTAGGCCTGGGGGAAGCAGGCATGGGAGGGTTTGAGCTGGGAGCCCCAGGAGGGGACATACCACATTGGAGTATGGGCTGCCCAGGTACTAGGGGTGCAGGTGAATGTGCTTGGCCTCCTCTGCTGCCCCCAACCCAGCCCCTGTCTTATTGAGATGATCAGTGTGCATCCTTTCCAAGACCCTGGGAAATGAACCCCTCATTTCTTTGTCCTACAATTTAAAAATCCAAGGATTCTCAGAATCAACCCCAGCAGACTGGAAGCTCCCAATCTTAAACTAGCAACCTGATCCAACCCTGGTATCTGAAGATTGGGCAACTCAGGGTGGACTCAGCCACTTCCCTCCTCTATTTATCTTTTCCTTACAACTTTTATACATTCTACTGGACCCAGGGGCCCTCAATGCTACTAAACTTTAAGCTATCTTAATATTGTCTACTAAGTAACTAGTAATTGTTTCTTTCTCTCTCTAGGATTATATGAAATAAATTTGAATTATTATTATTAATAATTATTATTTTGTAGTATTCTTTTCTTTTAAACCCCTCGGTTTCTCTTTTTCTTCTCTTTCTCTCTTGTTTTTGGTTAAAAAAAAATCTAGATCTCTTAAATCTCACACATCTCTGAGGGTTCCTATAGGCCTGCTAGGCCTTAATTCTGGATTCCCCCTCCTCACTTGCCCCTGCGACAGGGCAGGGGAAAGTGGTGGGGGACACCCCAGGATCCTCAGTCCTTAGTCCTACAGCTTCTTCCTTTCTTGTTAATCCCTTTCTTTGTTTGGCTCTGCCGGCTCCCCTGAGGGGGAGGGGGAGAGGGGAGGAGGAGTCCATGGAGTGAAATCCAATCTACTGGAAGGGTCCCAGGAGGGACCGGGTTCCCCCAGCTCCTCTCTCCACCATTCACCCCCGGGATGCTCCCCCAAGAAAAGCAAATGACATTCCTCCCCAAAAAAAAAGTGGGGGAAAAAAGCAACGTAAACCCAAACATATATTAAAAACACTTTTTTTTTTTAAGATTTAACTCTGAATACAAATGTATTTTTTTCTTCTTCTCTCCCTACATATATTCTAAACCTTCTAAAGTTTTTTTATTTTTTTAAGGATCACTTTATCATAAAATAAAATATCCTTTTCATATAATAAATTACCTAATAAAAAGTCTTTTTTTTTCATATTAGCCCAGGTTCTTTGCTACATTTATATGGTAATAAACGCCTTTATTAAAATAGAATATTAAATTATAAAGAACTGCTTTTTTTTTTTTTTTTTGCTATTTTTGTTTTCTCTCCTCTGTGTTGGTCGCCTGTCTCGCTCCCTCTCATGCTCTCTTTCTCTCCTCTATTTTGTCTCTCACTATTCGTGTTTTGTGTTTGTTTCTAGGTTTGGCTCAATTGGTAAGGGTGGGATTGAATTTGCTGAGCCCCCTAGTGTAACAGTCTTCTGCCTTTGTGGGTAAAGAGTGGAGAGGGGGAGGGGGACGACAGACAGACATCCCTTCTTCCCACCCCCCTCCCCACCTGCCCCCCGGCAACCGAGGGTGCCCATTTGGTTTGGTTTCTATTGTACAGACATCTCAGGATGGCTCACATAGGCGGGAAGGAGGGAAGTCGTCACAGGGCAGTTTTCTTGGCTGTGACCTCCTTCCCCACCCCTCCCTGGCTGGTGTTCTGGAGGGGAAGGCTGTGGAGAGGTGTTAATTCTCGACAGGAGGAAGGAGAGGAGGAAATCCCCTCTGCACCTCCACCTGCTCCATCCAGGAAGAATGGGACTCTGGAGCTTTAAGTGCTCGGGTGATCACTCAGAACAGTCCCACCCCACTATTTACAAGGATCTCCTGGGACTCCCATCCCTCCATCCTCTCTTGGCCCGGCCAGCGGAACCAGGAGGGTGGAGAGCTGGTGGCAGCCCCAAATGAGCAGGAGGGAAGCAGCAAAGGGGGTGCAAGGCCTGTAACAATATGTGATTCTCAGAATAGGCCCTGCTGCCCACCTCCCCCCAGTCCTGCTTTGCCCCAGGCTGACCCCTCTTTGAAGACCTGGCTTCTCCTCAACCACATCAGGTGGGACACAGACTCCATGATTTGCATGGAGGATTCAAGCTAATAAGGATTCAAGCTAATAAGGATTCAATAAAGGTTCAGGTCAGGTTGAGAGGGGTGCAGGGAGTCGGGCACTGCATGGGAGGAGCAGCTCTTCCCTCCACCAGTCTCTCCTCCTGCCTCACGCCCTTTCCTGCTCCTTTAAATAGCAGACACACTACTCTGGCGCCCCCACTTCCACAACCAGAAAATCCAGCCCAAGAACTACTCCCTAAATATAATGCCCATAGTGATGAAGGTGGGGGTTTGACCCTTTACCCCAGTATTAGTCCCCTCCTCACATTTTCACTGAGAATGGGGATACATTCCATCAATAATTTGAGATGTTTCTTTGGAGGAGTGGGGGAGAGGGCCTCCAGATGCCTGAAGAGGAATGGAGGGACCATCCAAATATTCCTCCCCCTACTTCTCCCCAGAAGGATGGTGTCCCCAAAGCTGGGCTGGTAGGGGCAGGGGCAGGGGGAAGGGAAGAAAGACAAAGACAAGGAACAAGACAGAGCTGGGAGTGACAGCCACCAAAAGAAAGCAAAGCAAAGAGCTGGAGGGAAAGGAAAGAGTTGAGGAAAGGGAAGATCCCAAAGGAAGGGAAGATAGGCGGAGAGAGTGAAGGGAAACACTGCAGGGGACAGGGGCAGAGAGGAGGACTCCTCTCCAGATTCCTCTAGCCCAGCTTTGTGGGGACAGATGGCTTCTGAGCCTTTCAGCCACAGAAACGATTGACATGCTTCTCTCCCCAACCCCTAGAAGATCTATGCAACTTCTGATAGGACTCCAACTCCCTTACACTGCTGGAAACTGGTGACAGTTTCCCAAACAGGATATGGGGGTGGGGTGGGAGGTAAAGGGTCATGTTAGGAGGTCGGAGGTCAGGACCAGAGGGCTTAGGGATTGCAAAGAGCACCTCTAGATACAGGTGGTAATTCTCCCTCTCCCTTTTACCCACCCCCTCCTCGGAAGAAGGGGTGGAGTGACACACAGCGGGGGAGGTGGGCAGAGGGCGTCAGAATGCCTTAGTGGCCACCTCTGGCAAAACAAAAGTTTCTCTTAGCTGCTTCCAGATTTAAGGGTGTGTTGAGGTATCAGAGTTGTAACTCTAGTAAAATTTTCAGTCTGGCCCCCTCCCAATCTTTCCAGGACAGGGTGACCAGAGGCTCTGAAAGTGGCGCACCCTCCAGCCACCACTGCCTCCCTCCCCCCTTCCCCAGCGAGCGAGTATCTCTAAGCACCTTGCCCCTCAAATCACCGCTTTCCAAAAGGCTTTAGTGGAAAACAGGTCCAGGGTGGGCCCAGTGGAGTGGGCCCCGGAGGCATGGGGCACGGGGCTTAGGAGAATATTCGGATGGCTTGCGTGGCTGTGATGTGGCAGACGGGACACTCTGGGTCCGTCCTCTCGCAGATGCGTACTGCACACTCCATGCAGAACAGGTTGTGTCCGCAGGGCACAAGGGCGGCAGTCACTTCGCTCTCAAAGCAGACCATGCAATCCCGCCCGCCGCCGGGGCTCCGCAGGCCGCCCCCACCAAGTTTAGAGAAGCCCTGGAGCGGCTCTCCCGGGGGGCGCCTCGGGAGTCCGGCCAGCTCGGGTCCCGCGGAAGTGGCAGGGGAGCGGTGTGCGCCCGGGGGCCCAGCGCGGGCCTTGGCGGAAGAGGAGGAGGAGGAGGAGGCAGAGGAGAAGAGCACGGAGGTGGGCGTGGCGTTCTCCTGGCCCGCCCACAGCGGGGGGCTAGTCTCGGCCACGCCGTAGTACACATCCTGCTTGCCCACGCCATAGCCCGGAAAGAGGTACCCGCCGTAGCCAAAGTCCCCGCCCTGCTCACCCAGGCGTGGGGCCTCAAAGCCAGAGTCCACTCCGCACTCGCCGATGCAGCCCAGGCTGTTCTGCCGGAAGGTGGAGAGGGGCTTGCAGCCGGGCTGGTGCACCCGCCAGGCGTCGGAGTAGCGGCTATCGATTGCTGCGTCGGGGCTCCCCGCCAGGAAGTCGTTTTCATTGTTGTACTCGAGGATCTTGCCAGTGCGCACCGCGATGTGCGTCTCGATCTCCTCGCGCGCACGCTCCACGTTGCCTGGGGCACCCGTGATCTCGAACACGGGGTCGCGGTCACGGCTTGGTGTGATAATGTATGTGTTGGTTTGCTGCTGGATGCGCTTGATGGTTGCCCCTTTGGGGCCCACCACCAGCCCCACCACGCGGTAGGGCACCCGCACACGGATGGTCACCTGGCCGGGCAGAGCAGGAGCCACACCAAAGGCGGCGCCTGACTTGTTGCGGGAGGCACGGATCATGGAGAAGTGCTCCGCTGCTGAGATGATTTCCCGCCGGGCTGTGGCCACGTCCTCCCGTCGCCCTGTCACCATGAACACTGGTTCCTCGCCCCTCACCGGTGTCTTGATGTAGGTGTTGGTCTTGGCCCTCAAGGCCTTAATCTTGCAGCCTGGGATAGGGCGGGGAAGGAGAGAGACAAAGAAACGCACACAGCAAGGTTTGTGCTGGGACCAATAAATTCCTGATCCTTACCCAAATACCTAGCCTCCCAGGAACACTTCAGTCTACCCTTTGAAATGCCCACTGCTGCACACACAGTCCACCCTGACTTGAAGAAACCATTTATCAGATCTCAGATGTGCCTAATGTCTCTCTCAGCCACAGATTTCAAAATGTACTAACTTTCCCTGAGTTCCATTCAGGGCCCTCCAAATTCATTCACTCCTCAAAACCCCCAAATAATCACTGACCCTCCCATACAAGCTGGTAACTCAAATCCATTCACAAACTACACTCCTTTCTCCCAACATTTGCTCTTCCTTCAATTTCTCTACTGATTCCTGGCTACTCACAAACTTCCAAATCACTTAATCACCCCCCACATCTGTCACTGACCCTGATCTTTCCACAGAACCCCAATGTGCTCAGTAACCTCATAATCTACTCATCTGACCCTTGATCATTAAAAGTGTCCTCCAAACTACCCAGGGACCACTGAAGTCTATCTGCTCTATGACCGCCCCACATGCCTTCCACTCAGTAGTTTCTCTCAGTGGGCCTCAAATTCATAGCGAGTTTGCAGCAACGAGTAGAGTGTAGGGGACTGGGAAAGGTCTGACAATCATAAGTTCAAGGAGGAAAGGAGGAGTATGGAGTTAAACTTCTGTGTGAGGGAACAGTGCCCAACCCCGTGTCACTCTTGTCCCCCTGTCCCCTGGGGGCAAGACAGCTGAGCTGGGCTGGGGCTGAGTACGGTGAGGGAGAGGTATTTTGGACCCACACTCCTGCTTTGAAGTAGAAGTGAGTTAAAGCTGGGAGGTTAGGGAAAGGCAGGAAGAGAAAGAAGAAAAATGAGACAAAGAGAGACAAAGAGGGAGAAGGCTAGAGAGAAAAGTAAGGGCTATTCTGTTTCTAAAAGCTGCCGACCTGGGGGTCTGGACAAGTCCCTCTCCTCCTTACCCACCTTCCTCTTCCCTGCTCCTAGCTTCACACAGAGCTTCCAAGACTCATACCCTTTTGGGAAGCACACGTCACGTGTGTGAGTTCACACACATGTACCTAAGAGGTGTGCCTTTATCTAAATAATACTTATGGGGCCAATCTAATGTACACTTTTATACACCTCTTTCACACACACATCAAGTCCCTGTGTTTCGGCCTTTCATACATCCCACTGTCCATCCCCATCCTCCCCAGCACACAAACAGCACATTCCTATACACACCCGCACCCATGACTTTCACCCCCAATCACATATAGACCCACTCACACCCTTCTCTGAGCACAACTCACTATTCCCCTTCTCTCTCCAACCGAAACCAAGTGGTCCTACTTTTCTGCCTCTGCCCCAACCCTCCAACCTGAGACCTGAGGTGAGCTCATTTTTTCCTCCTTCCTCCACTCCAGATGGCTGCTTCTTCAACGCTGGCAGATTGGGGGGTGAGGGGAAGAGAGTAGGTTGGGGGACCCTCCCTCACTTTTTTTGTTTGTTTTTTTTTGAGATGGAGTCTTGCTCTGTCACCCAGGCTGGAGTGCAGTGGCATAATCTCGGCTCACTGCAACCTCTGCCTCCTGGGTTCAAGCGATTCTCCTGCCTCAGCCTCCCGAGTAGCTGGGATCACAGGCACCTGCCACCACGCCCAGCTAATTTTTTGTATTTTTTAGTAGAGATGGGGTTTCACCACGTTGGCCAGGCTGGTCTTGAACTCCTGACCTCAGGTGATCCACCCGCCTCGGCCTCCCAAAATGCTGGGATTACAGGTGTAAGCCACCACACCCTACACCCTCCCCTCACTTTTAAAAGACCTTAAGAAGGAAAATTTGCTTGTTTCCTCTTGTCTTCAGACCTCTTAGCAGTTATGAAGTCCTACCTGTTGTCCAGCCCACATCCTTGCTGCTTTAATGTCAGTAAATGATTGTTCTATTTTCGAGGTATGGAGGGTCACAAAACAGTGAACTCCCCTCTCCTACCATTTCTACTCACATATCGTTTGATGGGCACCTGGGTTCTGGCCGTAAGTTTTGGGTCCAAAAACTTAAATGAGAGCTAGGTATCTTTAGCGGTTGGGGTTGGGGTGAGGAGGACAGGCCAAGGCATCGAGTAAGAAGAAACGCTAGAGGCCTGGAGGTGCAAAGCTGGTGGTGGGTCTCTTCCTGGGTTCTGCAACCCCAAAGAAGCATCTCTTGAAGGGAAGACCCACTGGGCTTCACCTTCCTAGAGGTCAAACAGAGGAGCACTAACACTGCAGCAGGAGGAGGGAGGTTAGACAAGAGGGAGGACTTCCATATACTTGACTGAGGGGCAGGCTTATCTTTTGTGAATAAAAATCCCCTTACTTTTATGAGGGACAAGCCCATCTGATGCGGAGGCAGAAGAGGAAAGAATGACTCCATTAAATTCCGGGGCCTCCCAAGACCACCCCCACACCCAAGAAAAGATAGCAATGTCCGTCCCCACCCAATTCCAGGGCTTTGGATCCCCAGTTTCTGACAAGAGGAAATCCAACTTTCTAAATCAGAAATCTCAAGAGATGGAGTGCCCCAGGGGGATGAGGGCTGTGCAGGGGAGTGGCATCTTCCCCTCCTCCATTCTGGATCTCTCCGTGAAATCCCCCTAACCCCCAGCACTCCCAGTGGATAAGGTGGGATGTGGAGTAGGGGCCCCCCTGGCCCGCCTCCCCTTTTCCTCTGCCAGAAGCTGGCCTCCTCCCGCACTCCCAGCCGGAATGCAGCTCCTCTATTGTTCCCCACTGTGGGACAGCTCCTCCCCCACCCCACACCTCCCCAGCCCAGCCTCTTTGCAATTTCCAAATCCTGCCCCCCACACTCTCCTTTGAGAAGCCAGGAGAGGGAAGGGTCCCCAAGATCCCGTCTGCTCAATTTGGACCTTCACCAACACCCCCACTCACCCACCCAGGGATGCTGGAGCAGCAGAGGGTGTGGTACCAGACATACTACGCTGGATTAATTCTGCACCCCCTCCCAACACACCCAGACACACGCCCTCCACCAAATTTCCAGGTGAAGGTTTCTTACCCCCCAGCATTCCCCCTCCTACCCTGTCCTACTCTTTCACTACCAGAGACCCCTCTCTAGGCCTCTGGCCCAAGGCCGTGGCCAGCCCAGAACAAAAGCCAGAGAGGGAAGAGGAGAGGTCCAAGCCAGGACGTAGCACTTCCTTGGAGACACCCCTTCCAAAACCCCAGAGACAATCCAACTTTGGGGTGTGGGTGACCACAGGACCCCCTCCTCTCAGCAGCCCCCCTCACCGCCTCTTCCCCAGGCTGGGACCCTCCCCTGGGCCACACCCCCTTCCATTCCTACACTCAGCCCAACAAAGAGACAGATACTCAGTCTGGCTTCGAGGGCCAGGTCTCCCCCAAAGTCTGTAACTCCAGGCGGCTGGGGGCCCCAGGGATGCCCCCTCCCCAGCCTAGGAGCAGATACCAGAGTACAGGCTTCTGAGTAACTCTTTGCACATTCCGTCAGTTTTTCTGGTTAGGAGTGGACACCCCCTCAGGACAGCCTCCCTGGATTGGGAGACCGATCCCCTCCCCTTTCCCTCTTCCAGTGCGAGGATATTTCTTTGTCTAAAGGCAGAGTCCTGGGGGAGGAAGGATCTGGAGAACCGTCCCGACTAGGGGTAACGGGGAACTTTGTGGCACTTTGAAATCAGGGTAGGGGGCGGGTCCCCCTTTGTGGGGAAGGGACAGAGCCGGAGGCGGGCAAGAAGGGAAGAAATGAACTTTCCGCGCTAGGGACGAGGGTGCCCCCACTACAGTCCCTCTCAGTGGTCCCGGCGCCCCGCTTACCTTGCCTGCCCACGATCTCGGCCACGTGCTCGGAGGTGGGCACGGGAACACACTCCGTGGTGTTGCTGCTGCCCTTCAGGCGCAGCTCGGCCTCTTTGTAGAGAGCGCAGAGCTTGGCGTCGCTCGCCCCTTTGGGGGCGGTGGGGGGCTGGGGCGTCTGCGCTGCGGGGGCCGCCGTCGGGGCGGCCGGGGGCGCCGCGGGCGGCGGCGGCGGGGCCGGCTGCGGGGGGGCGGCCGGCTGCGCGGGGGCGCCGCCCCCCCCACCTCCCCCGTCCTCGCCCGCCGTGGGGGCGGGGGGCTCCCCCAAACCCAGGAGGCAGAGTTGATCGAGAGCCAGCTGAAGGGCGCGCTCGTCTTCCAGCAGCCCTCGGTCCTTAGCGCTTCCCCCGAAACATCCTAGTTCTCCAAAGCCCCCATTTCTTTCCATTATTCCAGATACCACTAGACTAGGCATGGCGAAACAAAAGCTGGGGGAGAGAGAGAGGGAGAGAGAGAGAGAGAGGTGGTGGAAGGGAAAAGAGGAGAGAGGAGGGGAGGGGAGAGGAGAGGAGGGGGTGTGTGGGGAGGGGGGAACAAAGAACTGGGGAGGGGGGAAGAAAGCGAGATAGAAAGATAGACCCTCCCCCTAAGCCCCCCTCCCCAAACACCCTGTAACCCGACTCCCCTCGCCCCAGCCCCCGGGGTGGGGGTGGGGGGAAAGAGAAGCAAAACCAAGAAAGCAGATCTCCTCTCCTCTCCGGGGGTGACGGGGGGCGGGGGGCTGCAGGATCTCTGCCCCCACCCCTCCCGCCTCGGACCTGGGAGTCTCTAGCCCCCGCTGTCCAGGCGCCCCCGTTAGGCTCCCGCACCGAGCCCCAGTCCGGGAGCGGCGCTCAGTGGCCCCCAATAGAGCCCAGCCCCTTCCAGCGCTCAAACTCTTTTGTTTTAAATGAACTGGATGGAGCAGCATGAAACTGACGGGAGGGGGGCGCGCCGGGGGCGCCCGGGGCATGCCGGGAGTTGTAGTTTCCCGCCCTTGGGGGCGCGGGGACAAATTCCTTGACCCGAGGAGGATAGGGATGTGGCCTTCGGTCTTTCCTCGCAGCTCCGGGGCAAGCTAGGAGTGGGATGGAAGTCGAGGTCCCTAATTTTTTAAGGGGAGGGTGCGGGGAGAAGGGGTAGTATGCGGAAACAGAGCGGGTATGAAGCTGGCTAACGCCGCGCGCCCCCTCCCAGGACCCGCTCCTGCCCCGCGCCGGCCGGTCCTGGGGGCCCGCTTTTTTATGGAAATGAGGAGGGGGGGCCGGGGCCGGGGGCGGGGAGCCGGGAGCCGTCCCCGCTCGCTCACTGCGGCTTTCTCTCTCGCTCCCCTCTCCCCGCTCCCTGCCGCGCTCACTCTCCGCTTCCCCCTCCCGCTCTCCCAGAGTCGATCCCGGAGCCCGGCCGCGGGGAGAGGTTCTCGGCAGAGAAGACAAAGCCCGCAGCAGCGATGGGGGGAGAGCTGGGCTCTGCGTGTTGTGGGGGCCAGGAAAGGGTGCCAGGCTGGGGCTGGAACCCCCTGGCAAAGGATGGGGTCCCCTCATCCCTAAACAGCAAGCCATCTCCCCTCGCCCGCCCCCCGCCCCCCCAGTCTCGGAGATCTCAGAGGCACCGACTGGGAGGTGAGTTAGTTCACGTCCTTCTGCTCGGTGGAGGGGGTCGGGAGGGCGGTGGAGTGATGAAGTGCAGAGGTTGAAGGAGTGCAGGGACAGAACTGGGGGTCGGACGGAGAGTGGGCAGGCAGGAAAAGTCTTAAAGGCCTGGGGTGACTTAACCGTTTGGGGTGAGGGCCTTGAGCTTTGGATATGACAGGAGGGAGGAGAGACCAGGATGGACTGGGAACCCAGGCTTCCTTCAGGCCTGGGCTGTGAATACAGCTTGGGGTGATCTGTCCTTTAGCACTCATCGTAATTTCCACTCTGTTTCCTCCACCTCTCTCCCATTGAAAACCTATTCAGGGCCGGGCGCGGTGGCTCACGCCTGTAATCCCAGCACTTCGGGAGGCAGAGGCGGGTGGATCACCTGAGGTCAGGAGTTCGAGACCAGCCTGACCAACAAGGTGAAACCTCGTCTCTACTAAAAATACAAAAATTAGCCGAGCATGGTGGCAGACGCCTGTAGTCCCAGCTACTCAGGAGGCTGAGACAGGAGAATTGCTTGAACCCGGGAGGCGGAAGTTGCAGTGAGTCTAGATCGCAGAGTGAGACTCCGTCCCCCCCACAAAAAAACAAAAACAAAACAAACAAACAAAAAAACCCATTCAGTCCCGTTTGACTCCGGAAATTCGGTGAGAATGAAAATAAGTTTTTAAGGCTTGGAGAGTTAGGCACTTTTAGAGTTTCAGGAAGGTGGAGTGTAATGCAATTTTTTCTTCTCCCTTTACCCCATATTTTCTGCATTTATTTTATATCACCCTTTTTATGTCTGGATCTTTCCCAAGGGAAGAAGGGATGGCACTGCAGCTTGAGGGCTCGAGGTCAGACTTGAAGAAGAACTTCCATAAAGAGTTTTATAATAGTGGGTGGGTGAGCCACAGTGGTAAGGTGTCCTTTTCTGGAGTGACTTGAAAAACAAAAATCTGAACTAGTTTGTAAGATAAAGTCCTGCTGAGAGGCAAGGAAACAGATGAATTGACTTCACAGACTTAGCAATGTGGGGCCTTGAGGGCTGAGCTGTTTAGTCCAGTTCCCTAAACTGTTTCTTGGAAAGAGTGAATTTGCACACTAATGGGAGTGCTGGAACCTGAGCTGAGGATCTCAGAAGGTCGGGGGGTGGTGGGGGCAGTTGGCACACTGCAGGGATTTTTTTCCTTTGCTAGGCAGAAGATCCAGGGAAGGAGAACCTTGACTGAGGAACCCGGGAGGGTCCTGGAGTTGGGGAAGTTTGCCCCCTGGACTGGGGATTTAACATAAGATCAACAGTAAACCTTATTGTGGGATTTGATGCTACTGCCACCAAGCAAGAGTGAAAGAGGAAGAATTAGAGAGACAGGGCCCTGGAGAGTGGGCTATTTCTGCCTCTTGTCCCCTCCGTCTGCCCCAGGAACCTGGATTGCAGAGACTGTGGTACTGGGGACCATGGGGTCTCTTTGGGAGAAAGTTTTTGCTTTGTGGACCAGGTGACTATCTTTCACATAAATAGAAATAGCAAACAGTTGCATAGGTCTTATTGTGTGCTAGGCATTTTTGTGGGGCCACCAGCTGGCTGAGCCTTCCTGTCCCCACTGAAATGAGATTCCCCCCAGACTCCCACCCTGAACTTGCGCTGCCTCTGCTTTCCTCCTCACTAAGCTAATTAAGGCAGGAGGTTAATGACCAAAGAAGCCTTGGGGATTTGGCCAGGGAGGAAAACAAAGGGCAGAAACAAGTATGTGTCAGTGGGGAGGGTCCAGCTGCTGAATGGGGAAGGGGCTGGCTGAAAGGTGGGGTGGGCGAGGCAGGGTCCCTACTGGACCCACTTCGTCCCTGACCCACCAACAAGAATGAATCAGCCCTCTGGGTAAGTTAATGTCCACCCTCAGGGTCCCACTGGGACTCCAGACAAATTTCCTTCACAGCAGATGTGAGCCTGGCACCTGGAGGGCAAAGGATATGTGTGCGAATGCAGTTAGGTGTGTGGCATGGTGTACATGTGAGAGTGTGTGCTGCAGATCATGTAGGAGAGTGCCCAGGTGCAGAGGAGGCCCAGGGTGGGCACCTTGAGGAGCTGGATTCTCAGAGTGTTTTTTACGAATCCTTCGCTCTCTCCCGGAGGCTGGTGGCCTCCTTTGTTCAGGAGACCCCCTCCCTCAACTGAGAAGGTAGATTTCTGTATACAGGCTCTCCTTTTCCCTGCTTGCCTGATCCAGAATTATGGCAATGAGAGCAGAAGGTCTTACTTAAACAATACTCCCCACTCTCTGCCTTATGACCAGAAAGGTGTAGAGGTGGCATACTTCTCCCTTTCAGGACTTTGGAGGACAGCACTATGTCTCTCATCTTCATCATGGTCCCCAACCCTAGCTGCCCAGAACCTAGCATGCAGCCCTGCCCAGAGCAGAGGCTCAATAGGGGTATGTTGAGTGTAACTGCATTTTTAAAACTTCATGGTGTCAGGAGGAAAGAGCAGGTCTCCAAAGATAAACATGCTGCTTATTCTGCCACTTTGGGGAGTCATTTATTGCTAAGCCTCAGTTTCCTTATCTCTCAAATGGAAATAATAAGCCAAGGTCTGGCAGGGCATGGTGGCTCGTTCCTGTAATCCCAGCACTTTGGGAGGCCAAGGTGGGTGAATCACTTGAGGCCACGAGTTCCAGACCAGCCTGGGCAACATGGCAAAACCCTGTCTCTACTAAAAATACAAAAATTAGCTGGGCATGGTGGTGCACACCTGTAATCGCAGCTACTTGGGAGGCTGAGGCATGAGAGTTGCTTGAACCAGGAAGCAGAGGTTGCAGCCAAGATTGTGCCATTGCACTCCAGCCTGGGCAACAGAGGGAGACTCCGTCTCAAAAAATAAAATAAAATAAGCCAAGGTCCTAACACAGTGCCTGGCTATCTTAGGTGTTCAATCAGTTTTAGTTTCCTGGCCCTGGTTGTTCTCCCCTTGTGGTTGACTTTAGCCAGATTGTGGTCTTCATGAATTTTCATTCATTCGTTCATTCATTCAGCCAGCCACTTCCTATTGAGCTCCTGGGATGTGCCAGGCACTGGAGGAGATTTATTCTGACCCATCATAGGTCACTTGAAGTCACTTCTAGGTCTAGACTCGCTGAAATAAGGTCATTCTAAACAAACAGCAAATAATTCTAAAAATAATTCCTGTTAAGCCCTGGAATGCAGGTGACCTCTGACTCTCTCTCTCTCTCTCTCTCTCTCTCTCTCTTTTGTCTTTCTTACACAAGCCAGGCTTCTGGCCTCATGCCTGGGGAACAAAGGACCCTGTTGAGTTGTTTAGTACATACACACACACAAGCCAGGCTGCAGGGCAGGAAAGGTGACACAGTGGAGAGTCCAGGATTCTTGTGGAGGTTGGGGGAGGAGTGGGGTGGATGATCCAGACTGTGTGCTTGTCTGTGTCTGGAGTTGTATCCCTTCTTCTTCCTTTTTTTTCCTTTTGAGACAGAGTCTCGCTCTGTTGCCAGGCTGGAGTGCAGTGGCACGATCTTGGCCCACTGCAACCTCCGCCTCCTGGGTTCAAGCTATTCTCCTGCCTCAGCCTCCTGAGTAGCTGGCATTACAGCATGCACCACCACTCCTGGCTAATTCTTGTACTTTTAGTAGAGACGGGGTTTCACCATCTTGACCAGGCTGGTCTCAAACTCCTGACCTCAGGTGATCCGCCCCCACCTTGGCCTCCCAAAGTACTGGGATTACAGGCGTGAGCCACCGCGCCCGGCCAGGAATTATATCCCTTCTTTCCTCTGAGCACTTCTGGGCACCTGTTATCACTGTCTGAACACTCAGTACCAAGGGATGGGGGTGCACACCTAACACTTGCCCCTCCTTAGCCCTATTCTCAGAACCCTGAGGGAGGGAGACACAGGAGGCTGCCACCAAGGCTGCCTTACCAAGCAGACTGGCCCTTAAAGAGGTCATCTCCCCCATCTTCATACTTCTCTCAGGATGCCTTCTCTATCTGTCCTAGTTAGCTGAGCCTTCTCTCCCATGTATAATGAGATTTTCCCATTTTCTTTTCTTTCCTTTTTTTTTTTTTGTGGGGGGACAGAGTCTTGCTCTGTCACCCAGGCTGGAGTGCAGTGGCGCCATCTCGGCTCACTGCAACCTCCGCCTCCCAGGTTCAAGCAGTTCTCTGCCTCAGCCTCCTGAGTAGCTGGGATTACAGATGCCTGCCACCACGCCCGGCTAATTTTTGTATTTTTAGTAGAGACAGGGTTTCATCATGTTGCCCAGGCTGATCTTGAGCTCCTGACCTTGTGATCCACCCACCTCAGCCTCCCAAAGTGCTGGAATTACAGTCGTGAGCCATCGCGCCCGGCTCCCATTTTCTTTTCTTTTCTTTTCTTTTTTTGAGACAAGGTCTTGCTCTGTCACCCAGACTGGAATGCAGTGGCTTGATCATGGCTCACTGAAGCCTTGATCTCCCAGGATAAAGTGATCCTCCCACCTCAGCCTCTCCAATAGCTGAACCACAGGCACATGCTGCCATACCCAGCCAATTTTTAAATTTTTTGTAGAGATGAGATCTCGCTATGTTGCCCAGTCTGGTCTTGAACTCCTGGCCTCAGGTGATCCTCCCACTTCAGCCTCCCAAAGTGCTGCGATTATAGGAATGAGCCACCATGCCCAGCCTTTCTTTCCTTTTTTTTCTTTCTTTCTTTTTTTTTTTTGAGATGGTGTCTCGCTCGGTCACCAGGCTGGGGCGCAGTGGCACCATCTCAGCTCACTGCAACCTCCGCCTCCTGGGTTCAAGTGATTCTCCTGCCTCAGCCTCCTGAGTAGCTGGGACTACAGGCGCGCACCACCACACCCAGCTAATTTTTGTATTTTTAGTAGAGACAGGGTTTCAACATGTTGGCCAGGATGGTCTGTATCTCTTGACCTCGTGATCCGCCCGCCTCGGCCTCCCAAAGTGCTGGGATTACAGGTGTGAGCCACCAGCCCGGCCCCAGCCTTTTTTTCCTTAATAACCCTTTCTTGTGGGAAGTCTGTGTTGCTATCTAACCACCGTCCTTTCTGCTAAGAGTCCAGACAGTTTTCTCTCCTTTGATAGAATGCACTCAACACATTAATTAATTTAATTTAATTTTTTTGTTTTCTTTTTTTTAACCTTATACCAGCAGTCCAAACCTCACTAGCATTAATTAATTTTAATCAATGAGAATATGGAATAAAATTCTGTAGGCCACACAAAAGAAATGTGAGACTTGATCCCCACCCTCGGTAAGACACAGAAACTGGCCTGCATGACCCAGAGAACATGGGTAAGCAGGATTAAATGTAAGGACAAAATGGTCTTTGGGGTAGAGCACGGTGGCTCCTGCCTATAATCCCAGCACCTTGGGGCCAAGGTGGAAGGATTGCTTGAGCCCAGGAGTTTGAGACCAGCTTGGGCAACAAAGTGAGACCTCATCTAATTTATTTTTATTTTATTTTATATATTTTTTGAGACGGAGTCTCGCTCTGTTGCCCAGGCTGGAGTGCAGTAGCACAATCTCAGCTCACTGGAGCCTCTGCCTCCTGGATTCAAGCAATTCTCCTGCCTCAGCCTCCCAAGTAGCTGGGATTACAGGCATGTGCCACCACAACTGGCTACTTGTTTTTGTTATTTTTAGTAGAGATGGGGTTTCACCGTGTTAGCCAGGATGGTCTCAATCTCCTGACCTCATGATCCACCTGCCTCAGTCTCCCAAAGTGCTGATATTATAGGCGTGAGCCACCGCACCCAGCCTATTTTATTTTATTGATTAATTTATTTGTTTGTTTGTTTATTTTGAGCCAGGGTCTTGCTCTGTCGTCCAGGCTATAATACTGCGGCATGATCTTGACTCACTGAAACTTCGAACTCCCAGGCTCAAGTGAGCCTCCCACCTCAGCTTCCTGAGTTGTTTGGTCTACAGGCATGCGCACCCTGCCTGGCTAATTTTTGTATTTTTTGTAGAGATGGGGTTTTGCCATGTTGGCCAGGCTGGTGTCAAACTCCTGAGCTCAAGTGATCCGCCTACCTCAGCCTCTCAAAGTGCTGGGATTGCAGGCATGTACCACCATACCCAACCCTTGTTTATTTATTTATTTATTTATTTATTTATTTTTGAGATGAAGTCTTGCTCTGTTGCTCAGGCTGGAATGCAGTGGTGTGATCTTGGCTCACTGCAACCTCTGACTCCTGGGTTCAAGCGATTCTCCTGCCTCAGCCTCCTGAGTACCTGGGATTACAGGCGCGCACCCCCACGCCCAGCTAATTTTTGTATTTTTAGTAGAGACGGGGTTTTACCATGTTGGTCAGGCTGGTCTCGAACTCCTGACTTCATGATCTGCCCGCCTTGGCCTCCATTGCACTCCAGCCTGGGCAGCAAGAGCCAAACTCCGTCTAAAAAAAAAAAAGAAAGAAAGAAAGAAAGAAAGGTCTTTGGGACTCGGAGGGCTACAGAGGTTGGGGGAGAGAGGTCACTGTGAGTCCTTCTGTTGTTGTGGATCTGATCTCCAAGGGCTTTGCAGGCTCAGCCTAGGTTTGGAGATGGACAAACGTCTCTGCTTCTCCCCTGGGACTACACTGGCACTTCCTCTGCCAGGTCCCCTGCATTGTCTGATTTCCCCAGGGAGAGTAGCTCAGAGGGGCTGGGGTGGAGTCTGGGCCCCTTAGGACAGCTGGTTGATGAGGCCCCTCTGGGACTTAGGGCTGGACCCAGGCGTCCAGGAGGCGGGTGATACTGGAGCTGTGACAGTTGGTCCCCAGATTCCACACCCAGTGGCGCCAGCTCTGGTTTCGAGCTGCGGTGAGGGAGGGGGAGGGGCACCTGGTGCCAGCCAGGGGCTGGATGCTGTCTTGGGGCAGGGAGGGGGAGGCAGTAAACATGTCCTTCCTAGGTTGTTGAGGATTTTCTAATTGCCCTCTCTGTGCCAGGCACTGTGCAAGGTACTAACGAGATTCTGCAATGCAAGATGCAGTCTGGCACAGATGAATTGACAGCATACAGTATAGAATTAGAATGTCAGAGCTGGACTAGAAGTTGAATGAATGAATGAGTAGGGGAATGAGTGAATGAATAGTTCATCAGTTACCTAATGCACTCATTTTACAGAGGAGACTGAGGCCCAGAGAACCCGAGTCCTGTGACTCCCTTCTGCTTTCTGATCTGTCATGCTTCCTTTTTCAGGAAAGGGAAGCAAAAGGCAGAGAGAGGGGTGGGAAGGGACTTGACGTTTCCTGAGTGCATGTTTGGTGCCAGGCTCTGTTCTGGTCTTTTCAGACTTGATGTAATTGTCTTCACAATTCTGTGAAGATGGACTTGGTGTCTCTGCTTCACATGAAGGGACCTGAGGTTCAGAGAGGCTAAGTAACTTTCCTAGGTCACAGAGCTGGTAAGTAGAGACTTTAGTGTTCAAAACCAGAGCAGTCTGACCCCAGAGCCTGGGACCCCAGAGGTAGACAGTGATACTCAGTGAGTGCTTGGAGCCCACAGAGGGTGGAGGGAGTGGTTCCTGGATGAAGTAGATCTGAAGGGTGGGTGAGGTTCATTTGAAAGGCGAGAATTGGAGGCATGTCTGGAAGTTGGTGCTGGAGGTGCCCAGGGAGACTTGCTGGTTGAGCAGGTGGCCGGCTTGCATGGATCTTGGGGAGCAGGGGACAGGTTCAAAGAAACACATCTTTAAACATTGGCCACCAGGTGGCGCCGCAGGCCAATTCCTAGAAGCGGCTCCAGCCTCAGCGCCCTCACTAGGGCCCAGGTATGACTTCGCTGCTCAGCCAGGGCTCCATGCTCGGCTTGCTTCCTCAGGTGTCATCTCCAGCTTCCGCTTGCCCCTGGCTTCTGGCATCCAACACATGGGGGATAATGATGCTACCAGTCGTTTCCTGACTCGGGACGAACACCCAGGTAGCTGAGACCTGGGAATCCCCGTGGGTCTGAGCAGCTCCCCCGGTCACCCGGAGACCCCTCCAGTCGCCTAAACCTGGCTTCATGTCCAGCGCCCTTCTGAGTTTCTGGGAGACACTGTTCAGAGGACAGGCTGAGGAAACAGGCATTTGAGTCCAACTGACCTGGGTCTGAAGGGAAATAATAATATCTACCTTGTAAGGATTTAAAACATTTCATCTATGGCCAGGTGCGGTGGCTCACCCCTGTAATCCCAGCACTTTGGGAGGCCGAGGCGGGCAGATCACCTGAGGTGGGGAGTTCGAGACCAGCCTGACCAACATGGAGAAACCCGGTCTCTACTAAAAATACAAAATTAGCCGGGCATGGTGGCGCATACCTGTAATCCCAGCTACTCAGGAGGCTGAGGCAGGAGAATCTCTTGAACCTGGGAGACAGAGGTTGCGGTAAGCCAAGATCGCGCCACTGCACTCCAGCCTGGGCAATAACAGCAAAACTCCGTCTCAAAAACAAACAAACAAACAAACAAACCTTTCATCCAATAAATATCTATCAAATACATGCTGTGTCAGGAACTATTCTAGGCCCTGAATACATCAGAGAACAAGATAGACAAGGTCCCTACTTGCACGGAGCTGATACTCTACTGGGGAGGAAGGCAGACAGTAGTCAAGTAGATAATGTACTTTCTGGTAGTGATCATCACTGCAAAGAAAGATAAGCCAGGATATGGGGGCAGAAAGGTTTGAGGTGGCTAATTTAGAAAGGATGGTCATGCTATCTGGCCAGGACAACATAGTGAGACCCCATCTCTACAAAAAAAAATTTTTTTTTTTTGAGATGGAGTTTTGCTCTTGTTGCCCAGGCTGGAGTGCAGTGGCATGATTTTGGCTCACTGCAACCTCCGCCTCCTGGGTTCAAGCCATTCTCCTGCCTCGGCCTCCCTAGTAGCTGGGATTACAGGTATGCATCACCACACCGGGCAAATTTTTGTATTTTTAGTAGAGATGGGGTTTCGCCATCTTGGTCAGACTGGTCTCAAACTCCTGACCTCAGGTAATCCACTCACCTTGGCCTCCCAAAGTGCTGGGATTACAGGCGTGAGCCACAGTGCCCAGCCAAAAAAAATTTTTTTTAATTAGCCAGGTGTGGTGAGTTGCTCTTGTAGTCTTAGCTACTTAGGAGGCTGAGATAGGAGGAGCACTTGAGTTCAAGGTTACAGTGAGCTGTGATCGTGCCACTGCACTCCAGATTGGGTGACAGAGCGAGATCCCATCACTATTCAAAAATTTACAAAAAGGCTGGGCACAGTGGCTCCTGTCTGTAATCCAAGCACTTTGGGAGGCCGAGGCAGGTGGATCACTTGAGGTCGGGAGTTTGAGACCAGCCTGGGCAATATGGCAAAACCCCGTCTCTACAAAAAATACAAAAATTAGCTGGGCGTGGTGGTGGGTACCTGTAATCCCAGCTACTTGGGAGGCTGAGGCAGGAGAATTGCTTGAAGTTGAGAGGTGGAGGTTGCAGTAAGCTGTGATTGCACCACTGCACTCCGGCTCTAGACAACAGAGCGAGACTCCATCTCAAAAAAAAAAAAAAAATGTGATCATGAAATGCCCCTGATAAAAGCACCATCTTAGTTCCCCGTTGCCATCAGATTCACACTCCTTAGTGTGGTGATGATGTCCCTCTTGTCCTGGCCAGCTCCTGCCCACCTCTCCAGCCCATCCTGCTCCTCCTTCCCTTACTCCAGCCACATGGACTTTCTCCTTTCTTTCTTTTCTTTTCTTTTTTTCTTTTTTTTTTTTTTTTGAGACAGAGGAGTCTTGCTGTGTTTATGCTGGAGTGCAGTGGTGCGATCTCGGCTCACTGCAACTTCCGCCTCCTGGGTTCAAGCAATTCTCCTGCCTCAGCCTCCCAAGTAGCTAGGATTACAGATGCCTGCCACCACGCTCAGCTAATTTTTTGTATTTTTTGTAGAGACAGTGTTTCACCATGTTGGCCAGGCTGGTTCGAACTCCTGACTTCAGGTGATCTGCCCACCTTGGCCCCCCCAAAGTGCTGGGATTACAGGTGTGAGCCACCACTCCCAGCCCACATGGACTTTCTTTCAGGGCTTTGGCCTGTGCTATCATCATCTGCTATTCCCTGACCCTTCACCTGGCTAATGTTTGTTCATCTTGCAGGACTCAATTTATATGTCAATTTTTTTTTTTTTTTTTTTTTTTTTTAGATAGGTTCTGGCTCTGTCACCCAGGCTAGAGTGCAGTGGCACGATCTTGGCTTACTGCACCCTCTGCCTCCTGGCTCAAGCCATCCTCTCACCTCAGCCTCCCAAGTAGCTGGGATTACAGGCGTGCGCCACCATGCTCAGCTAATTTTTGTAATTTTTTTAGAGACAGGGTTTCACCATATTGCCCAGGCTGATCTCAAACTCCTGAACTCAAGTGATCTGCCCGCCTTGGCCTCCCAAAGTGCTGGGATTACTGGTGTGAGCCACTGCGTCCAACTACATGTCACTTTTTCCTAGAAATCTCCCCTGGTCACTTCTGGATATCCCTTACAATTCATCATGCTCTATTGTAACTGTATGTTTACACTTCTGTTTCCCCAGTACACGGGAAGCTCTTTGAGAACAGGGATTGGATCTAGTCTACTCCTGTATTCTCAGCACCCAGCACAAAGTAGGTGCTTAATAAATGTTTGCTGTTCGGAAATTGTGTATGCTCATCCATCCTTCCCTCTTGAACACCCTCTCACCCATATATTGCCAAATATTCCACTTCTCCCTCTGCTTTTCTGGCATACCTTTCACTCCCACATCCAGCTCCATCTCTCCTCTCCCCTTCCATCCCCACTCCTACACCTGGGCCCTCGCAGCCTGCCCTCATCTGATCTCCAAGGGGCTACTGTCTGCATGAGGTTTAGTATATCCTGTCACTGGGTTCCTCCACTCTCCAGCACCTGGTCTGGGGCCGTACACAGCAGGAACTCCATAGTGTTGCTAACTCACTGACATGACTTGGTGGATGGCTCAGAAGGGATCCCTAAGCATGCATACACCTCCTCTCAGTCACCGCTAGTAAAATGAGTCTATCACGAGAAGTATACATGGGTCACATGCTCCTGGCCAGGCCCTGTCTATCCTCTAGGGCTTTGCACACACTGTTCCCTCTGCCTCGAACCCTCTCTCTCATTTTGGCTATCTCCCACTCATCCTTCAGACCTGAGCTGAAGTGGAGGAGTCATGTCTTCTCTTTTTTTGAGACAGTCTTGCTGTGTCACCCAGGCTGGAGTGCAGTGGTGCAGTCTTGGCTCACTGCAACCTCTGCCTCCCGGGTTCAAGTGATTCTTCTGCCTCAGCCTCCCGAGTAGCTGGGACTACAGAGGCGTGCCACCATGCCTGGCTAATTTTTGTATTTTTAGTAGAGACAGGGTTTTACCATATTGGCCAGGGCTTTGGCCTGTGCTATCTCAAACTCCTGACCTCGTGATCTGCCCACCTTGGCCTCCCAAAGTGCTGGGATTACAGGCGTGAGCCACCGCACCTGGCCAAGGAGGAGTTGTGTCTTCTGAGAGGCCTTCCTGACCATGCTGATGGTCTTACATATACCCCCAAGTCTGCTGTGGCACTCAGTATTTACCCATTTGTTAGCACTTAGCTCCTAGTGCTTTCTTTTTTTTTGATGGGGTCTTGTGCTGTCACCCAGGCTGGAGTGCAGTGGCATGATCTCGGCTCACTGCAACCTCCGCCTCCTGGGTTCAAGTGATTCTCCTGCCTCAGCCTCCCAAGTAGCTGAGATTACAGGCGTTTGTCACCACAACCAGCTAATTTTTTTTTTTTTTTTTGAGAACGGAGTCTTGCTCTGTCGCCCAGGCTGGAGTACAGTGGCGTGCACTCACTGCAACTTCCGCCTTGCTGGTTCAAGTGATTCTCCTGCCTCAGCCTCCCAAGTAGCTGGGACTACAGGCGCACGCCACCATGCCCGGCTACCGGCTAATTTTTGTATTTTTATTAGAGATGTGGTTGCACCATGTTGGCCAGGCTGGTCTTGAACTCCTGACCTCAGGTGATCTGTCCTCCTCAGCCTCCCAAAGTGATGGGATTACAGGCGTTAGCCACTGCACCCGGCCAACTCCCAGTGCTTTCAAAGCCAGTTTGTGTGTTCATGTTACTCGGACTGATCGCTCTCCATGAATAAGGGATGTGTCTCTCCAAAACCTAGCATATAGGAGGCATTCAATAAAAATTTATTGAGTAAATGATTGATTGAATGAATGAAAGGAATAAAATGACCATGTGATACTGAATGAGTCACTCCCCATCTCAGTTTCCTCTTCTCAAGTGATTCTCCTGCCTTAGCCTCCTGAGTAGCTAGGATTACAGGCACCTGCCACCACACCCAGCTAATGCTTTTTTTTTTTTTCTTTTTTGTATTTTTAGTAGAGACGGGGTTTCACCAGGTTGGGCAGGCTGGTCTCGAACTCCTGACCTCAGGTGATCCACCCGCCTCGGCCTCTCAAAGTGCTGGGATTACAGGCGTGAGCCACTGCGCCCGGTGTCCAAGACACTTCTAACGCCAACATCCTTGTACTAGGCCCTCTTCCAGCTCCCCCAGGAGTCTGGGGGTTAGAGGTCAGGCTGCTCCCCACTCTATTACCTCCCCACACTTCTAATTAATTCTTGTGTTCAGTCCCAGAACCTGGAGAGTTACACTCAGGCTGCCTGGTCCTGCTTATTGCCCATATCCTAGAGGCACTTGCATGCCCTTCCAGGCGGGTAACTGTACATGTCTCTCCCAGGCAGCCTTCACAGACTACTCAGGGGTATGGATTGGCTCCAGCTCTGACACTCAGACCTGAGCAGAGGCGTGATCTACTCTGGCCTCCTGTGTTTCTGTGCCCCACCTTCCCACACTGCCCAGGGCTCCCTGAGAGTGATGCTGAGTCTAGTCTCAGCTTTTATGTTGCTTTGCTTTTGACCTCTGACCCAACACATGCCTCCTTTCCCTCTGAAGTCTTGATTTTCTCCCTGGCTTTTCTCCACCTTCTGGGTGTTCCTTTTTGGCCTTCTTTGCCCATCTCTCCTCCTCTGTCTACACAGCCAGGGGCTCCCCCTTCCGTTTCCTCTGCCTGGAACACACTTGCTTCTCCCTTTCTGACTGGCTATTCAAGCAGGATCCTGTAGGTGGGTGGCAGTGCACTGTGTATTACCTGTGAGCCCTATGCAAATTACCGCACATCTCTGAACCTGTTTTCCCATCTATAAAGTGAAGCTAATAGTAGCAATTACCTCATGGGATTGTTGTGCAATTAGTGGGAAGAGGCATGTAAAGTACTGACATACTGTCTAGTACACAGAAAGTGCTTAATAAATGTTGGTGATTATTATCCAGGACTCAGCTTAATCATCCCTTCCTCAGGCAGGCCTGCCACACAACCGCAGACCGGGTTAGGTGCCGGGTTTTCTGCTCCCCAGCGTTTGGAGGCACTCATCACACATTAATTACTTTATCCATGAAGATGAAAGCTGTCTTTGGCACCCAGATGGTACTGAGTAAATATCTGTGAATGAATGAATGATGTGGAATGTCTCCTCTGGAAGGACACAGTCAGGGCCTCCTGCCACTCAGGACTAGCCTGGATGCACCCACAGGGAAGGAGAAGGTGGGGCTGGTCTCCGCTGGGCCAGCAGGTGGCGCCAGGGCCTGTCGGTCTCTCCCCTTGGCCACCTCCCTTGCGCTTGCTCATCTCATGCCCAGGCGCTGAGGGTTCTCAGCTGGGGCAGGAGAGATGGGGTCCTGAGGCCTGGGTGAAGTTCCAAGCCCTGGGGCTCGGGGGCAGACTCTCGCTCACCCCTCCCAGAAAGATGTTTTCCTAGGGGATGTCCAGCCTAACACGGCAGGGAAGGAAGTGGTGGTCACCTGGGAAAGGGGCCAACCTGAGAGGTTGGGGGTCCTGATGAGGCTGCTATTCTCTTGAGGACATGAAATGAGAGGCGGTGAAGTCAGTCAGTGAGTCAAAAGCTGAGATCTAGGAACCAGACACAATGTGGGAGAAGCTGCGGTGAAATCAATCAGTGAGAGAGGAAGGGGAGGCCCGGTTTCCATGACAACGGTAGTGTTTGTGGCAAGCTGGGGACTCCTGGGTCCCCAGGGCCCGCAAGCAGTGATTCACCACAGGAAAGGGAAGGCTGCAGAGTGACCTGGTGCTGGGGACCGGATGCCTTGTGGCTCCTTCTCACTGCTGAGCATGCATTCCCCCAGCCCAGGCCTTGGATCTCTGCTCTGCCAGCTACTGGCAGGGAAACTGAGGGATGGCAGAACTGAGCCCCAATAAGGGGCAGGCGCTTTGCTCCACGCCGTACATGCACATATCACTTATATCACTTATTGCTCACAACAGTCCTATGGAATTACCGTTATCCCTGTTTTATCAAAGAGGAAACTCTCAGCCTGGCCCACGGTGCCATGGGCAGGACATGAGTGGCAGAGCCAGGATTGGAACCCAGGCTAGCCTGACTCTTTACCATGCTTGGGAAGGCCCAGAAAGCAGAAAAGGAAGAGCAGGAGCATGAGAGTTAGAGGATGGTTCAGACCCCAGAGGAGATGGACCCCAAGGCCCCTAGCCTCCCTGCCTGCCCTGCCCTATGCGAGCCCAACACTGATACGGAGGAAAGCTGGCCAACTGCATGGCCTAATGTGGGCCAGAACCTGGGCAGCCAGCCTACCTCTCACTCTCCTCCAAGCCCAAGAGAGTAGGCCCCAGTTCCAGTCCATCCAACTGGATGGTAGCTCCCCCACCGTTTTCTCTCTGCCCTGGTCCTAGGGGCAGGGGTGCGTGTGCGTGTGTGCGTGCGTGTGTGTGTGTGTGTGATCATCATGTCTACACCACCCACCACCATCACCCCTATCCTCCAGCTTCTGCTATAGCCTGGGAGTTCCCAGCCTTTTAGTCCCTGTCAGGATAGTTTCATTCTTGTTCAGCTTTGGGGCCCACACAATTTCAGTACAAAAGGGGTATGCCCATCTCACCCTGGGCCTTGATAGCATGCAAGAGCATAGTTCAGGCCCTCATCATCTATTCCCTTGTAGTAGAAGGGATGGAGGTTGGAAAGACCTTAGAAATCTTCCAGTCTGGTTCTCTTGTTTTGAAGGTGTGAAAGCTGAGGCTCATAGAAGGGGAGCAATTTTTCTGAGGTCACAGAGCAAGTTAATGGAAGAGTGAACTAGATTCCCTGTCCACAGACTTCAGGTTCTGTAATCCCAGAAAGGACTTCTTGAATTTGGCATTGAGTTCTTAGGATGGGAGTCAGGTAGATGAACAGATGGAGTGAGACAGATGAAATTGGATAACCTAGCATAAAATGCCATGTGAAAAGAAGGTACGCAACTCATGGCCCGACTGTCTACCATGTTACATCAGGAATAACTGAGGTGAGATCATGGGAAAGACTTCTCACATATGTATGTTAGGGGTACAAGATCTGTGGTCAAAATGGGCTGTGTGATCCCAGACAAATCACTTACCTTTTCTGAGCCCCAGTGGTAACTCAGGATACCCTACCTGCAGGCTTGTGGAGAGGATGGAGGGGGTGGTGGGAGAGTACTTGTGAACTGTGGGGTGACATGAATGTTGTCAGTTGTCAGGGAAGGCAAGTCATGTCTAGTGGGACTGAGATAGAGCTACCCTGCAGTGCAAAGGTAAGGGGTAAGCCATGATGCTCACCCCTCCCACCCCCATCCTTGGGAGAGAAAGGGAGGAACATAAACTTCCAGTATGCTTGATACAAGCAACAGTTCTCCCTGGGGGTGGGCAGCAGGTTCCTGTAGACCCCTGGGGTGCCCAGAGGCTGTGGGAAGCTGAGCACTAATTAGCTCTGGCTTTCTAATCGGGCTTAATTGCCTCCTCATGATGGGCAATTAGGAAGCTGCATCAATTAGCACAGGGAGGTGACAACTCAGCTGGGGTTGGTCAGGGCTCCCCGTTGGCAGGGAGGGAGGCAGGCAGGCAAAGGCTGCCCCACTGTCAGCCCCTTCCTTCCCTTTGAAGGAGAGGGCCCTGGAGCCCTCTCCTTAGCAATTAGGCCTTAGTTCCTTAGCTCCTAGGAGCTACTAGCCTTCTAGGCCTGGATTGTGGCTTTTCTGGCCTTGGTTTATTCACCTTCACTGGCTCTCTGACTTTTCTGCCCAGAGGAGACTTGCATTCTGGGCCTAGCTCCACCACTGGCTGCTTTGCAACTTTGGGGTTGACAGCTATGGAGTCAAGGTTGAGAATGTGGCCTTTGAAGCTAGGTCTCTAGGGTTTGAATCCCAGCTCCACCGTTTATTAATTGTGCAACATTGGACCCTTTGTGCTTTGTTTTCTCACCTGTAAAATGGAACTGATAATAAAAGTTCTGTCCTAGCTACACATGAGGCTGGGGCAGGAGGATTGCTTGAGCCCAGGAGTTTTAAGGCTGCAGTGAGGGACAATAGAGTAAGACACCATCTCTAAAAAATAATTTAGGCCAGGCATAGTGGCTCACACCGTAATCCTAGCACTTTAGGAGGCCGAGGTGGTGGATCATCTGAGCTTGGGAGTTCAAGACCAGCCTGGCCAACATGGCGAAAACCCTACAGAGTCTACTAAAAATACAAAAATTAGCTGGGCGTGCTGGTGTGCACCTGTAATCTCAGCTACTCAGGAGGCTGAGGCAAAAGAATTGCTTGAGCTCAGGAGGCAGAGGCTGCAGTGAGCCGAGATGGTGCCACTGCACTCCAGCCTGGGTGACAAAAAAAAAAAAAAAAAAAAGAAAAATGCCCATGTGTCACCCCAGATCAATTACTAATCAAAATATCCAAGACTTTGGGCATTTGCAGTTTTGAAAGCCCCCTTCCTCCAAGCAATGTTGATGCCCAGTGAGGGTTGAGATCACTAGATGAATGGTCTGGAGGGCTCCATCCAGCCTGGCATAGCACCTCCCTGTCACATACCACTCAGGACCCCTCTGCATAGCCCTGGAGGTGCTGCACTTTGGAAGAGAGCTCATTACCACCAGTGTGGCTGGAAGCAGGTTCCTCTCCACTCACTTAGAGGGAGTTCTCCTCTATAAAATGAGAATAATGACCTTGCCATGCTCACCTCCCAGGGCTGCCCAGACATAATGTTTTACTAGTGATAGGACCTGCTTTATAGGTAGGCAATTATATTGTTCCTTCCCTTGAAAAACTTTTATCGAGGTCTAGTGCACACCCATCTCCTTTACACATGGTGACTATGGAGTTAATAATCTCCTGGAGGGACCTGTCCTGAACCATCAGACAAGTTAGGTCATAGGGCCAACCCCCTTTTTTAGCTCCTGCTGGTTATGAAATGAGCCAAGGAATGGAAAGAGCCTAGAACAGGTCCTGACACATGGTGAGTGCTCTCTAAACAGTAGCTCTCCTTACTATTGTTATTGTGACCGTGCCCCAGGCTAGGTTGGAGGGAGGCCTGGTTGCAGTGCACACAGGGAGCTCAGATGAAGGGAGGCAGTGAAGGTGGGGCCTGCAGGAGGAAGGGGAGTTTAGAATGAGGTGCTGAGGAGTAAGGTGTGTGGGAAGAGTAGAGGAAGGAGTAGAGCACATCGAGGTTGCTGGTTGGTGAGGGGGCTATGATGAGGATACTCTACTCAAACATGTATTGAGAACCTTTTGTGCACCAGGCACTGTGCCAGGTGCTGGCAGAGCACCAGATCCACCCAGTCTCTACCCTTGAGGAGTCCCTCTAATGGGGGAAGACACACATACACAGACAATGTCACAGACAGTGTGACAAGGGATACTGGTGGCGAGTGGGGACATTTAATCCAGACTTAGTGGCACTTTTAGCTGAGCCTGGATGATGAGTAGGAGTTGATCAGAGGGTAAAGTAAATGCCATGTCTGGAAAAATTAGTCAGAAAGCAATGAGAGAGGTTGAGATTGCTGGAATTTAGATAAGGCTAGAGATGCAAGCAGAGCCTAGGTCTCGGAGGGCATTACAAGTCAGGTCAAGGAATTTGGACTTATCCTAAATACAATGTGGAGCCACTGTTAGTTTAAAGTCTTCTGGAAACAAAATGAGGCTTTCATTTTGAAAAGATCGCTGTGGGCTGGGCGTGGCACCTCACGCCTATAATCCCAACACTTTTAGGAGGTCAAGGTGGAAGGATCTCTTTGAGCCCCGCAGTTCGAGAATAGCCTGGGCAACAAAGTGAGACCCCAGCTCTACAAATAAAAATAAAAATAATTAGTTGGTTGTGGTTGCATGAACCTGGTCCCAGCTACTCAGGAGGCTGAGGCAGGAGGATCACTTGAGCCCATGAATTTTGGATTGCAGTGAGCTATGATTGCACCAATGCACTCCAGCCTGCTGGATGACAAAGCAAGATCCTGTCTCAAAAGGAGAGAGGGAAGGAAGGAAGGGAGGGAGGGAATCACTGTGGGAAGGAGAAACAATGGGAGCAGAGGCAAGGGTGGAGGCAGAGAGACTGGTTGGGAGGCTGCTGCAGTTACCCAGGAAGGAAGGACGGAAGGAAGGAAGGGAGGGAGGGAGGGAGGGAGGGAGGGAGGGAGCGAGGGAATCACTATGGTTTATAGAGGAGAAAGGATGGGAGCAGAGGCAAGGGTGGAGGCAGAGAGACTGGTTGTGAGGCCGCTGCAGTTATCCAGGTGGGGGTTGGTGGTGAGCAGACCAGAGAGCTGGAGGTAGAACATAGAACAGATAACAATTCTGGAGGTAGGAACCACAAGGACTTGGGGGCTCATTGGCCAAGGGAGATGAAGGAGGAGAGGCTGAGGAAGGAGGAGCAGAGTGAAGCTGTGTGTTGGGAGACATGAACTCCATCTGAGATATCCAAGGAGTGATGATGAGTTATGGATGCTTAGGAATCACTCCTGGTCTGGGAATACTTGGGGTCGTCTTCTAAGAATTCTCAAGAGTGGAAGGCCACTCACCCTTGGCCCAGTGCCAGGCCCTCGCCTTCCCTAGTCTCTCTGGGACAGGCTGGGAATTCCTGGCTCAGAAATACCCTGTTGGGGCAGGCCGGCCTTGATGCTCCCCAGCCCAAAGGGAGGAATGTGCCTGTGCACCTGCTCCGTGATACACGGGGGCGGGACAGTGGAGTGGAGGTGAGTGAATTCAGGGGTGTTCCTCACTTCCCCCATCCTGGACTTCTAGGCTCAGTTGTGGCCCCAGGAATGGATTCTGAGTAAGAGGCCAGAAAGCAAGTTCTCTGGGCCTGGGGTACAGAGGGCAGCAAGGTACAGTTGACATACCGCAGACACCCAGGCAGGGCAAGGGCACCCAGGTTTCAGTCCTGGTTCTGTCACCTCTGGTTAGGAGCTGTGAGCACCCAAGGGCTCATTCTTGTCCTAAAACTGGGTCTTCAAGATGGTTTGGTTTAGGTGGTGTGAATGAACCCTTCCATCTCCACCCTCGAGAGAGCTGAATTTTCCCCCACCCGAGGCGTTCCACAGTGGGCAGAACGCCGCAGCCCAGTCTGCCCTGGCCCACCCAGTGCTCATCTCCATTTCCAGCCCCTCCTGGGCGCCTCTGGCCTCCTGCAGCCGGCTCTTTGCGCTCCTTCATTAAGCTTTGGTTTCTGTGGGAATGTGACTTGAATTAACTCTTGGGAGAAAAATCACAGAAATCAGGAAAGGGGGGCCATGGGGAGGGGGCAGTGAGTCACGTTTCCATGTGTATTTTTCAAACTTTCCGATGGGAGTTTGGAAAACAACAGTCTTTTGGTTGCCAGCTTGGGCCCAGCTCTCCAAGGGTCCCATATGCTGTGTCTATAGGTCTTCCCGTAACTGCTGCGTCCCGGCCCACCCTTCGGGTCTGCCTTATTTCCTGGGATCCCTTCCCACTTCTCCCTGGGGACTTGTGCTGTTGCAGAGGCACTGAGAAGTCCATCCCGTGGTGCAGCTTCCGTCTCTCCCCTGGTTTCATTTCACAGCCAAGCCCTCATCTATCCTTGCCTCAAGGTGGACCCATGGGGGCTGCAGCTGAGCTGGGGACTTTGTCCCTGCAGCTGCTCTGGCCAACCCTCCAACCCTGGAGAACCTCCATAGGCACCAGGAAGTCCTGGGCTCTAGGAACCTCCTTCCTGCCCCCACAGCTTCCTCTTTGTGTCCTGCCTACCAGTCCTTCCCGCCCATCTCTGCATCCCAGTTTCCAGAGGGCCTGTGGCTGAGGGTGAGAAGCCAGCGATCGACCCCCAGGGAGAAGTCTTGCAGAGGAGGGTCCTCATCCTAATGAGGCCGCCAAGGAAGAGGGCCCCCAGTATGCCCCTCTTGTGTGCTGGGCCCTCGCACTTCCTCTGTCTGGGACTCCTCTAACAGCTGTGGGGAGGGTGCCAGGATCCCCATTTTGCATACAGTAGCTGAGGCTCAGCCAGGAAAATGGGTGGGAACCTTAAGGATGGTGGGCAGATGGTGGCCCCCTTGAGGAGGAGATGGGAGGGCAGCGCATACCCCTAGCCAACCCCTCCTTGCAAGCCCTCATTCGGGCGGGGAGAAGGAAGGGGTCCTGGACTAGCTCTCCTGTGTCCCCTCTCCGGGGGCTGCCCCCTCCCAGTTTCTGACTAATCCTTTCCATCGGCAGTGGCATGTCCTGCCCCTGCTGTGCCTGTGCCAACAACAGCCCACATCACAGGGCCACATCTGGCTCCATTTGAACATACCCCACCCTCCCTGCTCTTTATCCCTCAACGCCCTCCCCTGCCCAAGGACCAGAGTAGGGAGTGGCCCTCTGGACCCCCTTCTCTGGCTCCACCAGCCCTGCTCCCCTGCCCTTTCGAAGCCTCTAGTGGAGTCACTCCTTTCCTTCCCCGAACCCGGCCTCAGTTCCTGGGACATCCTGGCTCCATTCTTCAGCACACCCTCCCTCATCATATCCACACTCCTTGGCTCCCCCCTTCACAGCCCCCACTGAAGGAGGGATTGGGAAGGGGACATTTTGCAAGGTCTGAGCCCCAAGAGATGTCCCAGAGTAGAGGGAAGGCCTGGCAGCCCAGGGATTTTCCCTTAGCCCAGCTCTCTGGCATATTGCCAGCTTGGGCGTGTTGGGCGGCAGGGGTCGGGGTGATCCCAAGAGGTGCGTGTATGGAGGGGTATAGCTCAGCCTCCCAGCTCGGGTGGGGAGCGGTGGCTCAGGCCTGTGTAGGCTGGCTTTTGTTGGGGAGGAGCCTGGAAGGGCCTGCAGCTACTGGCCTCCCTCCTCCTTCCTCCTTGCTTAGCAACTGTTGTCGTCTGGTAAATATTTGCCCCAACAGGATCTGGGGCTGGAGCACTGGCGTCAGCCGAGGTAGTTGCCCCCTCCTCAATTTATGAGTCTCCCCTCTGTTCAGTTCCCTATTCCAGAGCCCCCTGGACTGGATTCTAAATGTGGTCCTCACCCCCTCCCTCATGGTTGATTTCCTCCCCAACCTCTTCCCTGTCTCCCTTTTACTCTCCTTCATCCCCACTCATCCTCTGTGCCCAGGTCTCTCTCGTCCATCCTCCACTCCTGGATCCATTCACCAAGGGGCCTGAGTGAGGTCCCACCCCCTAAGCCACACAGGTCCTCTGCTTCTCCCCCGCTACATCTCACTGGGACCCCAGCCTGGCAACGGCTAGTGCGTCGTCGGTGCTCAGTTAGCCCCAACATCTCTTTCCTTTCCTCCAACAGGAAACACACCTTCCACCTCTAAACCTTAGCTCCACCAAGCTCCAAGGGGAGAGAAGAGAGGGCATATGGGAATGTTTTGCTGGACCCCATACTGCACTCCCAGGCCAGGAAGCTCTGCATCAGGAAGCCAGCACCATTTTCACCTCCTCTGGGGTAGGACTGAGGGGACCATGGCCAAGAGGAAACAGATGCCCCCTTAGCTCCTCCCTGGGTAGCCTGAGCGGGCCAGGGCCTGAGAGCATGCCAGTTTTAGCCTGTCTTCCTGTCCTTCCCAGCCAGACCCCTCTCATCCTCCTCCCCCAGTGGTTTTCTCATTACCTGTCACTGACGGAGAGCCCCTCAGAGGTCAAGGCCAAAGTGAGGTGGGCTCTTGGCATGCTGTGCAAGCTTGGAGCTCACCCGGCAAAGAGGGCCAATGGGGTGCTCCTCTGGGGCGGGCCTGTGGGCTGGCTTAGGGATAGCAGACAGGGGAATCTGGGGAGTTGGACTAATGTGGATCTAGAAGGGAGGTGGTTGGGCTGCACGATGCCTTAAGACTCCTCCCAGCTCTGAAGTTCTACTTCTAGGCAATGAATGATGAAACGCTGGCCCAAGTGCAGTCCCTTCCCCATCCCACAGGGCGGAGACCCCAGCCATCCCTACTCTACTTGGCAGCCCCCCTCCCCACTCCTCCTGAGAGTGCCCCTTGCTCCACCCCAGCGGCCAGGAAATCTCCTGCAGATTCACCACCACCCTCCTGGCTGGGAGTTCACTTTCCTAGTTGACCTCCTGGCCTGAGGGCCAGAGGAGAGCTTTCAACGGGGACCTTGAGGAGTGTGAGGGCTGCAGGGGCTGTGGACTGGAGTGGATTCACCAGGGAGCAAAGGAAAGTGAAGTTTCAGGGCCTCTCAGTTGCACGGGCCCTTTCAAGACCCGAAGAGGAGCCCTGCCAAACTTTCCACATGATCCCATGTCCATAACATTTGCAAAAAGATCATTTTGTATTTCTTAAAGAGGGCCTCCCCACAAAATTGTGTGCACTTTAGGTAGGATGAACAACTGTCCCTATTTTAGCATTAAAAGTCCCTTATCTGGCCAGGCACGGTGGCTCACGCCTGTAATCCCAGCACTTTGGGAGGCCGAGGCAGGCGGATCACGAGGCCAGGAGACCGAGACCATCCTGGCTAACACGGTGAAACCCCGTCTCTACTTAAAAAAAAACAGAAAACAAAAAACAAAAAAATAGCGGGGCGTGGTGGCTGGCTCCTGTAGTCCCAGGTACTAGGGAGGCTGAGGCCGGAGAATGGCGTGAACCCGGGAGGCGGGGCTTGCAGTGAGCCGAGATCGCGCCACTACACTCCAGCCTGGGAGACACAGCGAGACTCCGTCTCAAAAAAAAAAAAAAATTCCCTTATCCTAGGAGACTCCTCAGTCCCCGGCAAACCCAGGGCAATTGCCCACCCTAGTTTCAGGCTCCACAAACATTTGGCCCACACTGGGTTGAGGGTGAGGGAGAAAGGGAATCCTTTTCTGCCTCACTTCCTGGAAATGTGTAGGGGCGTGAGCTATGGGGCGAGGGGGCCCTCTCCTCCAGCTCCAGTCCTGGAGTTGTGGCGCTTCTGTTTGTTTCCTTGGCAACAGGGAAAGGAAACCCCCATTTAGGAGGCCGGGGAGGCCCCAGCAACCACACACACACAGAGACACACAGACTCACACGCGGCCGCCCACACGCAGTCGCCTGCGTCAGCACCAGCCGTCAGGCCCTCGCTGCCCGCCTGCGGGGTGTGGAGTGGGGAGAACAGCCCCGCCTGAATCCAGTCCGACTACCCGCCCCTACTGATTTGCCTGGGACGCCGCCGGCCCACATGGCCCCACCCACGCCTCTGTCCCCACCCCCCCACGCCTCTGTCCCCACCCCCCCACCGCCCCCGGCAGCGTTCCCCCCTTAACACCTTCCCCCAGGTGGTGAGGGGCCAAAGCTCGGGGATGGACAAGAGAAAGGAAGGAGATGTCACTGCTGAATTTCTGCTGAATTTCCTTCTGCCTGCTGCCCGATTTCTATTTGACTGGCAATAGTCTGGTGTGTATTGTGACAGTTCAGGGAGCCTGAGACTCACAAGTGAGGTGGCGATTTGGGCCTGGTTGGGTGGGGGAGGTGGTTTGGAATGCCGGGAATGGAGCTCCTGGGGAGACTGTAGGATTTTGCTGTTGGATTGGGTTCCTTGGGATCTGGGTCGAAGAGGGAAAGAGTATATTTAACCTGGAGGCAGAAACCTGGGGTTTGGGCCTGCTTCTGTCACTTGTCAGCTGTGTGGCCTGGAGACAATCAGTTAGCCTGCCTAAGCCTCTGTCTCCTCAGCTGTAATATGCAGATAATGGTGCTTGCCTGTGCACCTCAAAGAAATTTGAGAAGGCTAAGGTAGTAACCTTGATTGTGAAAAGCTTGTCACCGGGGGGACTGGGGCAGGTGGGAGGGCTTGGTTACTACTTATCCAGTCGCCCCTCCAGCCCCGCTGGCTCAGTGAGCCCAGCAGCCACTTCCCGACTTTGTAGGAACCCATGCCAGTCCCTAAGTGGACCTGCTCTTTGACATCTGTCCAGTGTGGCTGCCCTGTCTCCCATGGCAGCGTGGCACTGAGCTGCAGTGCTGTCTTGGAGGTTTTGACCCTGCCTGGCTGTGTGACTTTGGGCAAATCTTTCCTCCTCTGGCCTCAGAATTCCACTTATAAAGAAAGGGGCTTATTCCTCAGAGCCCAGGGGCCTCCTGGAAGTGGGCTGGGGGGATCAACCAGGCAGGGGCCTCAAGCTCCCTAAGTAGAGAAGCTCTGCCTCTGTCATTTAGTAGATTGTGCTTTTTGGGTGAGATTTCATTTGAGTGAGGGGGATCTCTGACTTTACAAATAGCTGTCATTCACTTGCTCCATCTAAGGGCCCGCTTCTCACCCGGCACCACCTATGAGCCTGCCTCATTCCCCCTTGCTGAGCCTGAGAAGAAATCTACTCAGCTGTGCTACCTCAGGTCAATTACAACCTCGTGGAGTTTGGGTTGTTGTTTTTTTTTTCTTTTTTTTCTTTTTTTTTGAGATGGAGTCTCACTCTGTCACCCAGGCTGGAGTGCAGTGACATGATCTCCTGCCTCAGCTCCCTGAGTAGCTGGGATTACAGGTGCATGCCACCACGCCCAGCTGATTTTTTGTATTTTTGGTAGAGATGGAGTTTTACCATGTTGGCCAGGCTGGTCTTGAACTCCTGACCTCAAGTAATCCACCCACCTCAGCCTCCCAAAATGCTGAGATTACAGGTGTGAGCCACTGCTCCCAGCCGGAATTTGGGTTCTTGACACATAAAATGCAGATAATAATACCTACCTCATAAGATTGAGGTGAAGATTAAATGGGATCACCTCCATATAGCCCCTAGCCTGGTTGCTGGCACATGGCAGCCCCTTAAAGAGTAGGCACGGTCTTCCACTGTCAAGGTTATAACTATCACCTGCACATGAGTGACTCAGCACTTCAATCATTGTTTAATACCCTGTAGTCAAAGGATGAATAAGACCCTCCCTCAAGAACTCACTATAAAGAGATTCCCAAACCATGTCCCAGAATCTGTACATCACCTCCACCTCCTCAGACCCTCCTCCAAAGAGTCGCCTGTCTCTGACTCCTACCTGTCCAGGGTTCTAGCCACCTGATGGTAAGATCTTGGCTTTCCAATTCAGGCAAACTCGTATTAAAATTTCAGTTCTGGCTGGGCGTGGTGGCTCATGCCTGTAATCCCAGCACTTTCGGAGGCTGAGGTGACCAGATCACCTGAGGTCAGGAGTTACATGGTGAAATCCCGTCTCTACTAAAAATACAAAAAAATTAGCTGGGCTAATTTTTTAGTGGCGCATGGTTGTAGTCCCAGCTACTCGGGAGGCTGAGGCAGGAGAATCGCTTGAATTCAGGAGGTGCAGGTTGCAGTGAGCTGAGATCGTGCCATTGCACTCCAGCCCAGGCAACGGGCGAAACTCCATCTCAAAAAAAAAAAAATCCAGTTCTGTTACTAACCATATGACCTTAGACAAGTGATTCTCAATAAGGGGTAATTTTATCCCCCAGGGGATGTTAGGCAATGCCTGAAGATATTTTTGATTGTCATAACTGGGAATGGAAGTGCTACTGGCCTAAAGTCGGGAGAGGCTAGGGATGTTACAAACCATCTCAGAGTACAAAGAACCTTCTCTGACAACAGAGAATTATCTGGCCCAAAATTCAGTAGTGCCAAGGTTGAGAAACCTGACCTTAAATGAATAATTTAACCTTTCTGGGCTTCAGTTTCCTCATCTGTAAAATAGGGCTATTAATAGTATCTACCTTGTAGAGCTATTGTATTGGTCCAACAAAATAATGCAAGTACCTAGTGCCTAATAATAAAGGTAGTCCATAAATATTCCCTACACGAATGGTTCTTAGCATGCCTCTGGAATCCCTCCTGGCTTCATCACTGGGCTGAACCCACCGGACCCTAGTTTGGCTTATTTCTTGCCAAGGCCAGTGCTCCTGACTCTTTCTTCACTGGTCTTGATGCTTTCCTTCTCTCCTTGACCTCAAGGCCTATCAAGCAGCTGGAAGCCTCTCCCTCAGGCCCCATCCCAGCACCAGGCCCCTGCCTCCACCTCCCACTTCTCCCTTCCCGTCTCTCTTCCCCCTCTTTCCAGCCTTACCTCTAGTGGCTCCCCATGCCCCTTGGCAGGTCAGAGCACACTCAGCTTTTTCCCACTTCAGCACCTCTGCACAGACTTCCTCCAGCCAGAGTGGCAGAAGACAGAGAAGCATGTCCAGGATTTGGACCAGACTGCCTGGTCCCAGTTCTGCACTGGGCCTGTTACTTACGGCCTAGTTTTAGGAAAGTCAGCCTCATCTGCAAAGCAGGGAAATAATTTCCAACCCATGAGGTTGTTGTATGGACCCAGTTGAGAATGTATGAAAACATGCAACAACTATAAAGATTGTTAAAATGTAAGTTATTCACTGTGTGAGCATTATTCTGCTAAATGTATGCATGTATGTATGTGTGTGTGTGTGTGTGTGCATATATATATATATATACACACACACATATATATGTAATTTTTTTTTTGAGACAGGGTTTCTCTCTTGCTCAGGCTGGAGTGCAGTAGTGCAATCACAGCTCACTGCAGCCTTGACCTCCCAAGCTCAGGTGATCCTCCCATCTTAGCCTCCTGGGTAGCTGGGACTAGAGGCATGTGCCACCACCCCCAGCTAATTTTTTTTTTAAGAGATGGGGTTTCACTATGTTGGCCAGGTTGGTCTTGAACTCCTGGGCTCAAGCAATCTGCAATCTGCCTGTCTCGGACTCCCCAAGTATTGGGATTATGGGTGTGAGCCACCATGCTCAGCCTCTGCTTTATATTTTTATTTCCATAGCTCCTACCGTGTTCTAACAAACTATAACTTTGTCTTTGGTTTATTGACTGTCTCCCTCCACTAGAATGTCAGCTCCATAAGGGTAGGGATTTTTGTCTGTTTTATTCACTTCTGCATCCCTGGTGTCTAGAATAGTTCCTGGTATATAGTAGATGTTCAATAAATATTTGTTGAATGAATGAATTCTCTGTGTATAAGGCAGTTCTGTAAAGCCCCTAAATCTTCCTTCTCCAAGAAGCCCTCCTTCAAATGTATGTAACCTTATTTAGTTATTGCACATCCCCATTTTACAGATGATGAAACTAACGCTGGAAAAACTTGTCCAGAGTCACTGACCTGAAAAGTGGCAGGGCCAGATGCATTTGTTTATCCAAGAAACCCTGAGAGGGCTGGGCATGGTGGCTGGCACCCGTGATCCCAGCACTTTGGGAGGCTGAGGTGGGAGGATCACTTGACTCCAGGAGTTCAAGACCAACTTGGCAACATAGTGAGACCCCCATCTCTTAAAAAAATAAAGAGGCTGGGTGCGGTGGCTCATGCCTGTAATCCCAGCACTTTGAGAGGCCAAGGCAGGCAGATCATCTGAGGTCAGGAGTTCGAGACCAGCCTGGCCAACATGGGGAAACCCTGTGTCTACTAAAAATATAAAAATTAGCCGGGTGTGGTGGTGGGTGCCTATAATCCCAGCAACCCTTGAGGCTGAGGCAGGCAAATCGCTTGAACATGGAAGGCAGAGGTTGCAGTGAGCCGAGATTGTGCCACTGCACTCCAGCCTGGGCAACAGAGCGAGACTCCAACTCAAAAAAAATTAGAAACACCGAGTGCCTGCTGTGTGCCAGGTGTTAGGGAGACAGATGACCAAGACTTGGTCCTTTCTGTCCCTCACAGCACTTTCAGGAATGGGGGTCACAGAGGAAACACTAGGATGCTATAAGAACACAGAGGAGCCCCCCCACCCAATCAAGGTCATTGGTCTTCAAGATAAAGTGCCTAGGCCTGGTGCAGTGGCTCATGCCTGTAATCTCACACTTTGGGAGGCTAAGGTGAGGGGGCACTTGAGGTCAGGAGTTCGAGACCAGCCTGGCCAACATGGTGAAACCTCATCTCTACTCAAAATACAAAAATTAGCCGGGCGTGGTGGCACACGCCTGTAATCCCAGCTACTCAGGAGGCTAAGGCAGGAGAAGCGCTTGAACCTGGGAGGCAGAGGTTGCAGTGAGCTGAGATTGTACTGTTGCACTTCAGCCTGGGTGACAAGAGCAAAACTCTGTCTCAAAAAAAAAAAAAAAAAATTCTCAAACCGTCCGTTGGACCCAACCACTGCATGCTGATTTCACTCATGCATGCTCCAGCTCCCAGACTTCTGGGATCCCTTTGGAATTCATCCAATTCAGAGTCCTCTACTGCTCTTTAATCATTTGTGCTTGTTGGTTTTGCTTCTCCCTCTGTCTTTCCCACTGGTGGGAGGCTCCCTTGGGAGCAAGCATAGTATTGCTATCACCCTGTGGCATAGTGTGCAGAACTCTTGCACACCCAGGAGCTCAGTCCCCGTCTTTGATAGCCACTCTACCCATACTACAGGTAAGAAAACTGAGGTCCAGAGAATTCAGTAGCAGATCTAGCATCACTCAGCAGTTAAGAGGTAGGATTAGAATGTGGTCACCCTCTAGCCACCACTCCCATCACCTCTCACCTCCAGCAGGCTCAGCTCCTCTGGACCTGGCTGCTGCTTCTGGGTTGGTGATTTTTGCCCTGGCAAAGGGAGAGCAGACTTATGACATCTGGAGTCCAGAGTTAGGATTGAATATTCAGGATAAAGTTTCACTTTGAAGTTCAGATTTAGGATTGAGGCCATTTTGATGGTGGTCGCAGGGAACCTTTAGAAAGAGCTTGGAGTGAAATTTGGGGTGAAAGCCCTCCTTCTTTCTCCTGCACCTTTTCCACAAGATGGGGAGGTCTGGCCAGACACAGTGGCTCACACCTATAATCCCAGCGCTTTGGAAGGCTGAAGTGAGGATCATTTGGGGCCAGGAGTTTTAGACCAAATTGGGCAACATAGCAAGGCTCCGTCTCTATCATGATAGCCTATAGTCTCAGCTACTCAGGAGGCTGAGATAAAAGAATCACTTGAACCCAGGAATTCAAGGTTGCAGTGAGCTATGATCCTGCCACCGCACTCCAGCCTGGGCGACAGACCAAGATTCTCAAAAAAAGAGCGGGGAGGTCTAGGACAGGAAGGGTTAAGTGTGGTTTAGCTTTCCCAGCCTGGAAAGGAAGCCAGGCCAAGCAGCTGGGTAGGGGAAAAGGGGGCACTGAGTGCCAGGGAGGGGCTGAGGCAGTGGGAACAGCATGAACCCTTCCCTCACGTTTCACTGGCTTACCCCTCCTGCCTCTGCTTCTGGTGTGGAGAAGAACAAGACTTTTTATTGTCTGGGAAGCTGAGGGTGGGTGCCACGCCCTGGGGGAGAGAAGCCATATTCTGGGCCCCCTCATCCGGGTGCATCCCTAGTGCTCACCATGCTGCCCAGGCACCCTCACTGAGATGAGAACTTTCCTTGTTCCCCTCCCCTAATAACCAAAGTTCCTGCCTTAATCCCACTCCAGTCCCTCATCCACCCCGAGGCCAGGCTTCAGAACCCAGAACTGAGGGCCTGTCCAGCCCTGCTTTCCTTGTGTTTGAGGGAAGCCCTGATATCTTGGAGCTGTACAAGGTAGCAACATAATTTGATTTCCCTGGTTGCTCATCGGAGGATAAGCTGTGGGAGGCAGTTGGGCAGGGCATGCAGGCAGATGGGACCCAGGCCTCAATGCTGTCACCTCTTAGAGAGGATAAGGTGGGACGGGCATGGTGGCTCACATCTGTAATCCCAGAACTTTGGGAAGCTGAGGCAGGCAGATTACCTGAGGTCGGGAGTTTGAGACCAGTTTGGCCAACATGGTGAAACCCCATCTCTACTAAAAATAAAAATAAAAAAAAAATTAGCTGGGCTTGGTGGCAGGTGCCTATAATCCCAGCTACTCAGGAGGCTGAGGCAGGAGAATCTCTTGAACCCGGGAGGTGGAGATTGCAATGAGCTGAGATCATGCCACTGCACTCCAGCCTGGGTGAGAGAGCAAGACTTAATCTCAAAAAAACAAACAAACAAACAAAAAAAACAAACAAACAGAGGATGAGGTGGATGGTGGGACCAGGATAGGGGCCAGGATGAGGGGAGGGGAGTGGAAGGCTTATCAAAAGGGTCCTTGGTGAGGCCTGAGGATGGAGGCTCCAGAGCCTGAGGTAGCGAACCCTGGGGACCTGAGTGATCTCGTTTTGTGAGAGAGCCTGGCCCCTCCCCAGAGCCAGCTGCAGAATGGACCTGGCCAGAGAGGAAAGTAGAGATGAGTATGGTGCTGGCCTTTGCAGCCAGCAAGGCTGTGGGGTCTTTGCTGTTCCTGTCCCCCACTACCTTCTTGCCCCCCACTACCTTCTTTCTGGCTGAAACCAGGATAGAGACCCAATATTGGCTGTCCAGCCCCCAGCCCTGCTTCCCCTTTCAGGCCCCTCTGGGAACCACAGAAATCTGGGACCTAGTGTCTTGGCAACGTAATGAATGCATGCACAGCTCTGGTATCTGTTTTAAATTATCCATTAAAATAAGTACAGTTCTGGGGGAAAAAAATAAGTTGACTGGGTGCGGTAAGCAGTAGAAAGGGACTGAAGGGGGAAGGAACCCAGGCAGTGCTTGGGTCCAAAGGAAGGGGACAGGAGATGGAAGGGGCAGTGCCTGGCTCCTATTCTTGGCTTTCTTTAGGGGACTTCTTTAGGGGACTGTGGCTTGTTGCTTGGGTCTAAAAACGAATGCTTGGCTTTGAAGAGAGATAGATTGGGGCAAAAGAAAGAAAAAAAGGGACCCCCCAAACTCCTTGATCCCTGGCCCCAAACTGGGGGCATAAAGGAACTCAGGTTCCAGAACTTTGCTCCCCCCAGGGAACCCAGGCATTCCTTCTCCACCCCACTCCTGGCACACTGAGATGCAGCTCTGAATGGGCTGCCCACGTGTGGAGGGGGGTTGGGGTGACTCACTATTACTACTGGGAGGACAGGGGGAGCCAGTGGTGGAAGAAGGGTGAGTCACACTGATGGGCACCAGCCTCAGCCCTCCCCCCACTTTCCTGGCTCCCAGCCCTGCCTACCTGACCCTCTCCCTTGCTTTGCGCCCACTTCCCTCTCTTTCTCCCCGACCCTTTTGCCCACCCACTCTCCCTCCTTGGCTCTGCCCTCTAGCCCAGAAGGTCTGAGGCAATGGGGGCAAGCTTGGAGCCGACAGTGCTGAGCAGGCAGGAGCCAAGAGAGGGGAAGCTTGAGCCTCACGCAGTTAGGGGTGCGCTGGAGAGGGTGGGGCCCGACTCCGCCACACCCCAACGGTCCTTCCCCCTCCTCACCACTCCCGCCCCCACCCCCAATGGATCTGGGACTGCCCCTTTAAGAGTAGTGGCCCCTCCTCCCTTCAGAGGAGGACCTATTAGAGCCTTTGCCCCGGCGTCGGTGACTCAGTGTTCGCGGGAGCGCCGCACCTACACCAGCCAACCCAGATCCCGAGGTCCGACAGCGCCCGGCCCAGATCCCCACGCCTGCCAGGAGCAAGCCGAGAGCCAGCCGGCCGGCGCACTCCGACTCCGAGCAGTCTCTGTCCTTCGACCCGAGCCCCGCGCCCTTTCCGGGACCCCTGCCCCGCGGGCAGCGCTGCCAACCTGCCGGCCATGGAGACCCCGTCCCAGCGGCGCGCCACCCGCAGCGGGGCGCAGGCCAGCTCCACTCCGCTGTCGCCCACCCGCATCACCCGGCTGCAGGAGAAGGAGGACCTGCAGGAGCTCAATGATCGCTTGGCGGTCTACATCGACCGTGTGCGCTCGCTGGAAACGGAGAACGCAGGGCTGCGCCTTCGCATCACCGAGTCTGAAGAGGTGGTCAGCCGCGAGGTGTCCGGCATCAAGGCCGCCTACGAGGCCGAGCTCGGGGATGCCCGCAAGACCCTTGACTCAGTAGCCAAGGAGCGCGCCCGCCTGCAGCTGGAGCTGAGCAAAGTGCGTGAGGAGTTTAAGGAGCTGAAAGCGCGGTGAGTTCGCCCAGGTGGCTGCGTGCCTGGCGGGGAGTGGAGAGGGCGGCGGGCCGGCGCCCCTGGCCGGCCGCAGGAAGGGAGTGAGAGGGCCTGGAGGCCGATAACTTTGCCATAGTCTCCTCCCTCCCCGGAACTGCCCCCAGCGGGTGACTGGCAGTGTCAAGGGGAATTGTCAAGACAGGACAGAGAGGGAAGTGGTGGTCTCTGGGAGAGGGTCGGGGAGGATATAAGGAATGGTGGGGGTATCAGGGACAAGTTGGGGCTGGGGCCGGCCTGAATTCGGTCAGATTGGGATTTGCCAACTATTTGGAGCCGGGGGGAGGGGCTTGAGCAAAACAGAACTAGCCCTGCCAGCTCGAAGAACTCTGGGCACCCAGGACACATCGGAGTGGCAGAAAGGGTCCTGTTAGAACTTTGTTAGCGGGCTTGGCACTGTGCTAGCTTTGCCCAAGCTGGCTCTGAACACATGATGCCCACTAAGACATAACTCTCAAGTTGGCATCTGTCCAGCGTGTTGGAGCGAGGTCAGGAAGGCAGGGCAATCCCCCTTTTCCCTCCCAAGGGCTTGGCGGTGGCCCCCCCTCAGCATGACCTTGTCCTGGGTTCTAAGGGTTGGGAAGTTCTCCCTCACTCTGCCACTCTGCGTGTCTGGGACCTTCCTTGGGCTCTGACAGGCCCACCAAAAGAGCTCCGGGAGATGAGAGATCGGCTCCCCCGCAGCTCCCACAGCCCTTGGCCTGCTTGGCCCAGGAATGCAAGGGAGGGAGGGAGGCAGAGGGCAGAGGCTCCCAGCTCAGGAAGTTGTGTTATGCCCAGGTCTGGCCGCACTCCTCCCTTGGCCCTCTGCCTAGTGTCTTCGAGGGTTGGGGGCACTGTCCTTCCCTCCTTGGGGTGAGCCACTTTCATTTTCCCAGCGGGGCCAGGCAGTCTTTGCTCGGGCCCATCCTCTTAGCTGCTGACGTTTTGATCTTTGTCTTATTGAAGTGCTGGAATACAGTGACATTTTTGAAATCCAGCCGTTGGAAGATTCAGGCCACTCCCACTTTACCCACCCCTGCCCCACCCTACCCCACCCTACTCAACTGCACCTTCTTCTTTTCTAAAAAAGCCTTTGGGAGCTTGGAAGTATAGGCCCTCTCTTCCAGCCCCATCAAAATTTGTTTCCCTTCTTCCTGCCTTCCCTTTCTCTATGCAGACCCAGGCCAAGAGCACTAAGGGTGCTTGGAGATCCGTAAAGGGCTGTTGGCTTTGACTTCTTCTCTCTCTTTTATCATCTACTCCAAACTTCTGCTCTTCCTAGAACCCTTTGCTAGGTGTGGTTTTGTTGCCCAGGCTGGAGTGCAATGGCACAATCTCGGCTCACTGCAACCTCCGCCTCCCAGGTTCAAGTGATTCTCCTGCCTCAGCCTCCCGAATAGCTGAGATTACAGGCATGTGCCACCATGCCGGGCTAATTTTGTATTTCTAGTAGAGATGGGGTTTCTCCATGTTCGTCAGGCTAGTCTTGAACTCCCAACCTCAGGTGATCCACCCGCCTCAGCCTCCCAAAGTGCTAGGATTACAGGCATGAGCCACCACGCTGGGCCCATCACCCTTCTTTCTGAAGAGTCAATGGAAGTTGTGTGTAGGAAGACAGGCTTAACGGTTTTTTTTTGAGACAGGGTCTTACTCTGTCACCCAGACTGGAGTGAAGTGGTGCGATCTTGGCTCACCACAACCTCTGCCTCCCAGGCTCAAAAGATTCTCCTGCCTCAGCCTCCTGAGTAGCTGGGATTATAAGTGTGTGCCACCACACATGGCTATTTTTTTTTTTTTTTTTTTTTTTAATTTTTAGTAGAGATGGGGTTTCACCATGTTGGCTAGGCTGGTCTCAAACTCCTGACTTCAAATGATCCACCTGCCTCGGCCTCCCAAAGTGCTGGGATTACAGGTGTGAGCTACCATGCCCGGCCATCAACCTTTATTTTGTTTTTTTGAGACGGAGTCTTGCTTTGTTGCCCAGGCTGGAGTACAGTAGTGTGACCTCAGGTCACTGCAACCTCTGCCTCCCAGGTTCAAGCCATGCTCCTGCCTCAGCCTCCCAAGTAGCTGGGACTATAGGTGCCTGCCACCACGCCCGGCTACTTTTTATATTTTTAGTAGAGACGGGGTTTCACCATGTTGGCCAGGGTGATCTCGAACTCCTGACCTCAAGTGATCTGCCTGCCTCAGCCTCCCAAAGTGTTGGGATTAGAGACGGGAGCCACTGCGCCTGGCTTCTTTTTTTCTTGAGATAGGGTTTCACTCTGTTACCCAGGCTGGAGTGCAGTGGCAAGGTCATGGCTCACTGCAGCCTCTACCTCTCTGGCTCAAGCCATCCTCCCGCCTCAGCCTCCTGAGTAGCTGGGACCACAGGCAGGCACCACCACCCACAGCTAATGTTTTTGTATTATTTTGTAGAGATGGGGTTTTGCCATGTTGCCCACAGTCTTGAACTCCTGGGTTCATTCTGCTGAAAGAGACCACACCTGTCCTTTTCTTTATTTTTATTATATTTTTCAGAGACAGGGCCTTGCCCTGTTGCTCAGGCTAGAGTGCAATGGTACAATCATAACTTGCTGCAGCCTGGAACTCCTCCTGGGCTCAAGCGATCCTACCGTCTCACCTTCCGGAATAGCTGAGACTAAGGGCAGGCACCACCACGCTTGGCTAATTTTTTTTTTTTTTTTTTTTTTTTTGCTTTTTGTTTGTAAAGATGGAAACTTGCTATGTTGCTCAGCTGGTTCCGAAGTTTTGGCCTCAAGCAATCCTCCTGCCTCGGCCTCCGGAAGCACTGGGATTACAGGCATAAGCCACCAGGCCTGACGCCAGGCCTGTCTTTTTTCTACTAGTGATATGAACAATTTAGTTAGCAAGACAGATAGGAAGCAAGGAAGGGGAGACCCAGAGAATTCGTTGCATTCTAAACTAGTCCACTCATCTACCAAAGCCCTGTGAAGGACATTTTTAGCAGTTTTAGCAGTTTTCTGGTCAAAACTTTGATCGAGAAACAGATTGAGTGGATTCGATATTCTCTTGCTCACCCAGCCACGCCAGTTTGTCTCCTCTGCCTCCTAGTGCAGCTGTCCAGGCCTGGGACACCAGGCGGGTATGTGCGCATGTGGGGCAGGGCGGAGGTGGTGTGTGTACTTGTTATATTTAGCCACCTCCCTCTGTTCTCCCCCACTGATCCTGGCTGGAAAGGCTGGGCTTCCGGAAAAGAGAGGTGGATTTGCACACCTGGATCCCAAGCTGATAGAAAGTGGGGTGAAGACAAAGGGGACTCAGACTGGGGTGTCTGTCCTCTTCTATGCCCACAGTAGGAGGAGCCAGGATTGGTTACTCCCTGCTGGGTCTGCTGTGCTCAGAGTGAGGTAGAGAAGTGGGTAGAGTAAAGAATTTGGGAGAGGAAAAAAGGCATTTTCCCAACCCCTCCCACCAAAGCCTAGAGAGAAGGTGTTGTCTGGTTTAATGTTTAATTAGAGCTCAGAGTTCAGGGCCAGATTTGGAGTTGGGATGGAAAGTTGTTTTTAAGACCCTGTAGCAATTTTTGACCCAGCCTGGGTACCTCAACCACACTCAGGAGTTTGGGGGACCTTCTGTTGGGCTGGATTATAGGCTCCAAGAAGAAACCCCTTTCGCCAATACTCTCTCTCTCTTCTTTTTTTGAGACAGGGTCTTGTTCTGTTGCCCAGGCTGGGGTGCAGTGGCATGATCACAGCTCACTGCAACGTCAGCCTCACAGGCTCTGGTGATTCTCCCACCTCAGCCTCCTGAGTAGCTGGGATTACAAGTGTGTGCCACCATGCCCAGCTAATTTTTTTTTTCTTTTTTTTTTTTTGAGACGGAGTCTTGTTCTGTTGCCAGGCTGGAGTGCAGTGGTGCGATCTCGGCTCATTGCAACCTCCACCTCCCAGGTTCAAGCGATTCTCCTGCCTCAGCCTCCCGAGTAGCTGGGACTACAGGCACATGCCATCACGCCCAGTTAATTTTTGTATTTTTAGTAGAGTTGGGGTTTCACCATGTTGGCCAGGATGGTCTTGATCTCTTGACCTCGTGATCCGTCCACCTTGGCCTCCCAAAGTGCTGGGATTACAGGTGTGAGCCACCGTACCCGGCCACTAATTTTTATATATTTTGTAGAGATGGGGTTTCACCGTGTTGCCCAAGCTGGTCTCGAACTCCTAGGCTCAAGTAATCCACCTGCCTTGGCCTTGGCCTCCCAAAGTGCTGGGATGTATAGGCATGAGCTACCGCACCTGGTACCCCCTGCCCCTTCTCTGTCTCTTTCTAGTCTGTAGCCCAAGGGATTTGGATACCCAAGTGCAGGCAGAATGGGAAGGTTGTAAGCACCAGGGAAGCCTGTCTGGAGTCCAGGCTTGCAGCTGGGCCCCACCCCAGGCAAGGCAGCTGGGTGGATGACTCAGATGCTGCCCCCCTCCCTCCCACCCTGGTGGCTTTACAGAAGACAGCAGGAGACAGGGTGGAGACAGCAGTTGTCTTAAAGGGAGGAGTGGTGGTCTGAATGTCTACCTCTTCTGCCCCCCTCCCCATTGCATCCTGGAGTCCCTTGCCTGGCTCCTTCCTGAGACCCTCTGGTGGTGTCTGGACACATAGCTCTCTCTGGACAGGTAACATGCACAAGTAATTAGAATCCAGAGTTGAGTTCAGAGTTATGGATTGGGCTGCAGGATAGTGCCAGGGTCTGTGCCTTCCCATGTGAAACTGATGGAGGAAGGCTGAGTCAGAAGTGGGGAGATCCGAGGCCCACAAAGCAGAAGCGCTACTTCCACTCCAAAAAGGCCCTGGTGCTTGACAACTTCCTGGATTGCCCACTGTTGCAGCCCCAGTGTGGACAGGCAGGGAGATGCAGGCTCCAGTTCATGTAGGCTCTGATCAAGACAAGAACAGCAAAGGCCACAGAGGCACAGATGCTTGTCCCATGTCACACAATAAAGGGGTCAGCACTTGATCACAGGCCTTATGACTTCCAGCTGGGTGTGCTCTTACCATTAAGCCTCACTTCTCTAGCTTGGGGGACAGGTTGGAGGGAGGATCTAGAGGGTGAGGTAAGGTGAAGTCAGGTAGCTGAGGCTCACTTCTGCAGCCTGGAAACTCTGCTCTGGGGCCAGTGACACCTTAGTGCTCTATGGCCATACTTCGTGGCTCATGCCTGTAATCCCAGTGCTTTGGGAGGCTAAGGCAGGAGGATCACTTGAGGCCAGGAGTTTGAGACCAGTCTGGGCAACATAGCAAGACCCCCTTCTGTACAAAAAAATTAGCCGGTCAACACCTGTAGTCCAGCTGCTTGGGAAGCTGAGGCGGGAGGATCACCTGAAGCCAGGAGTTTGAGGCTATTGTGAGCTATGACTGCACTACTGCACTCTAGCCTGGGAGAGAGAAAGACCCTGTCTCTGAAAAAGAAAAAAACAAAACAAAACTCTGCTGTCCTGCAGGGCCTGTTAGCATATGATCGATAGCCTTTGCTCCAGCCTATACCTGGACCCAGGACCCCTGCCAGCCCCTCAATCGTGAGACGGTCAGAGCTCTGGGAGGCTGGTGATTCTTGTCTTGAGACTATCTTGAGACTTGTCATGGGAATTGTCCACCCGGATTGAAAGGAAGCTGTGCCTTTTGGCAGACCCATTAGGTTAATGGGGTTGGAGACCTTTGAGGATGCATGGGCCCTGGGCTTTATCTGAGGGTATCTCCTGGTGTTACCTCTCCAACCCTCCACCACCAAATCCATTCTTTTTTTTTTTTTTTTTTTTTTTTTGACAGTCTCGCTCCCTGGCCCAGGCTGGAGTGCAGTGGCATGATCTTGGCTTACTGCAATCTCCACCTCCCAGGCTCAAGTGATCCTCCCACCTCAGCCTCCCAAGAAGCTGGGACTATAGGCACGTGCCACATGCTCGGCTAATTTTTCTATTTTTAGTAGAGACCAGGTTTCACCATGTTACTCAGGCTGGTCTTGAACTCTGGGGCTTAAGCAGTCCACCCACCTTGACCTCCCAAAGTGCTGAGAGCCACTGAGCCTAGCCCAAATCCACGTTCTGATTCAAAGGGAAAGAAGAAGGGTGCAGCTAAACCTGGGGGGTGAGAAGTACTTAAAAAGCCCAAGAGAAACAAAAGAGAGAATAATTCCTCACTAGGACCCCCTATTGCCTTCCCACTATTGGTGCCCTTGCTTGGCACTTCCCCTGGCCTCCAGGAGTCTGAGACTTACTCTTCCATGGATGTGCCCATTGCCCCCACTTCCAGGTCCACCCCCCAGTGATTCGGTAGCTTAGTGTCTGCGCTGAAGCCCAGGACAGCTGGATGGACAACTGGTAGATCCCTTCACCTACCAACTGTGCTTTCTGCTCCCCTCCCCCTTGCTTCCCTCCTCCCCAGCCCCTCGCCACCCCTAGCAGCTGCAGCAGCCAAGACCAAGTCTTCAGAGACCCAGACACAAGGGCAGGGTTCATTCCATTCTCACCTCCTTGGGGTCCCAGTGTACTGATAGGCCGAACTCTAATATTATAGGAGATCTCTGGAAGATTGCAGGGTCTCTTATCCCTCAATAAGGGGCAAGGCAAGCCGGGCGCAGTGGCTCACGCCTGTAATCCCAGCACTTTGAGAAGCCGAGGGGAACAGATCACTTCAGGTCAGGAGTTAAGAGACCAGCCTGGCCAACATGGTGAAACCCTGTCTCTACTAAAAATACAAAAATTAACCAGAAATCGCTTGAACCCAGGAGGCAGATGTTGCAGTGAGCCGAGATCACGCCACTGCACTCCAGCCAGGGCGACAGAGCAAGATTCCGTCTCAAAAAAATAATACTAATAATAAATAAATAAATAAGGGGCAAGGTAGTCCACCAACAAAATGACAGGCAGTGTGATATAGTGGACACCCTAGCCCTCGGTGCCCTTAGTTCTGTGTGTGGCCCTTTCACTAAATTGCTGTGTGACCTTGAGCAAATCGCCTCCCCTTTCTGGCTTTCCTTAGCTGTAAAAGAAAGGGATTGGAGCGGAAAGTCTCCAGAGACCTTTTAGGTTCCAAAGTAGTACAGTGACCCACAAAGTGAGAAAACAGTCTTCTAAAATACCAAGTTATTAATAGTAAAATCAAATATAAATAATGTGAATATAGTTAATAGCTAATGTTGTTCTCAATAGAAATGTTTCCCACAAGCTGTGGAATTAAACATACTACCACATTTCTCTATTTCCCCGTGAAAGTTTGTTAGAAATGGTTAAATTGTGACATTACCCTCTTGGCAAATGTTTTGTTTTCATTGCTACTAGGAAAGGGCAACTCGTTTTCGATGCCTCTCCCTTCTGGACGGTGGAAAGGGCTGTGTCATAGAGTAGGAACGGGAGATGCGGCACAGGAATGGCTCCCATTGACCCGGGTTGGGGGCTAGGGCGAAGGCCTAGGAGAGGCAGAACTGTTACCTTAGAGCTGGCCAGGATTAGAGAACAGTGCCTGGAACCGGGGGGAGGGGCACGGTGACCTTGGGCTGCCCACCTTCTACCCTTCCAGCACCCATACTGGCTCCCCCAACCTGCGGCTGGGCTGGGAGGAGGTCTTGGCCCCTACCAATCCCTTAAGGAAGGGGAAAGAGTTTGGGAAGGGGAGTCCTCCCTTCACCCCTGCCTCCCCCAAGTTGTGAGAGAGGAAGCCGGAATCCTGCCTGCTGAAGCCAGGAATAATTCTGGCTGAGATCCCAGGCCCGGCAGGGGCGCTGAGTCATGGTAGAGGGCAGAGTGGAGAGTGGACAGGAGACCCTAAGCTTGTCCAGTCAGAAAAGCAGAGGCTGAGGGGTGGCCTTTTCTTGAGAACTACATTCAAGTTGCAGCAAGAAGGACAGTGGTCTGAATTTGACGGGGACAAATGGAAGGGAGATAGGACACATGAGTTCCTTTAGGTCTGGCTCAGGGGAGCTAGACTTCATTTCAAGGGGTCTAGGTTCTGGGCAGTTGAGAAGGAGGCTATTTGGGGTCACCAAGGCTCCCCTTTCTTCCCAAAGCTCTAACACTGCCACCTTCTGCTGGCTAGGAGAGAGCTGTGTCTTCTGAGGCTAGAGCTGGAATGCAGTGAGACCAGACTGCCTAGGTCCTCCCTCACTTCTTCTCCTGACCTTGGGGTGTGGCTCCCACTCTCTCCCAGTGTCCTCAGGGTTAATAACTATGTGCCACCAGATAGAGAGTTAAGGGGCTGCTGAATTGGCTTCTTGTGAAGGGAATCCCCTAAATGTCCCTCGTTTTGGTCACTGGCCTCCCTCCCGCCCCCTTCAGGACATTCTACTATCTTCTTAGGCCATCCCTCCCTCCTCCAGGCACTACTTCTTTTGCTCTATCCCCAAGCCCCACCCCTGCATTTTTGTGACAACACCGGAATGATTTCTAGAGAGAGAGGCCAGGAAGAAGGAAAGTGGCACTTGGCAGGAGACCTTGCAGGGGGCGGCTGGTGAGGAAGCCAGCCGCCCATTGTCCAGGACCCCAGTGCCCTGGCCTCCGGCCTCAGGCTTCTCCTGCCTCTGTACAATGCCACGTTGATACGCCCAGCAGCTGTGACTCAGGCCTGGCCCCCTGCCAGGCCCAGCACTTCTACTGGAGTTGCGTCTGAACATGTCAACAGGCTTCCTATCCCTCTCTCAGCACCAGTTCTCCCCACTTCAGCCCCTCCCTCTGCCTGGAATTAAAACCTGGCTTTGTCTTAGGGAAGGACAGCTGGGAGCCTAGTGGCTCTGGTAGGGGATCTGAGAGGCCTCAGACCCTAGGCATATTTGGCTGTTTGGCAGGTGTCACGCCCAAGGGAAGCGTGTGGAAGCAGAGCCATGCCTGCTGTGGGTGCACATGCCCGCGTGAGGGAGTCGGGGTGTTTCATCCTGGGGCACCTGTGGGCTTTTGAGGTGTATGATATTCAGAACTTCACAGGTTGGGGTTTGGGGAAGGCTCAAGGGGCTTCTAAGTCCCTGGAACAGCTGCCCCCCTCAGTTCCTCTCTCTCTCTCTCTTTTTTTTTGAGATGGAGTCTCGCTCTGTTGCCCAGGCTAGAATGCAGTGGCGCGATCTTGGCTCACTGCAAACTCCGCCTCCTGGGTTCAAGTGATTCTCCTGCCTCAGCCTCCCAAGTAGCTGGGACTATAGGTGCCCGCCACCATGCCTGGCTAATTTTTGTATTTTTAGTAGAAATGGGGTTTCACCATGCTGGCCAGGATGGTCTCAAACTCCTGACCTCGTGATCCACCCACCTTGGCCTCCCAAAGTGCTGGGATTACAGGCGTGAGCCACTGCGCCCAGCCTCAGTTCCTCTCTTTAAGGTCTCCTTTCCAGAGAGGGATAGCACCTCAAATGCCAGGGAGGGGAATTCTCCACATCCTGCCCTTACCCGAGTTGTGGCAGACCCACAGACTAGCCAAGAAACCAAGCAGTGGTTACTTTGCCGGGTTGGGGGGGAGGTAGGGGCTATCAAACCTCATGATTGGCCGCACACAAAGGTGTGAGTATGTGTATATTTGAGGGTGGGTGGGAGTGGCACTTTCACTAGGCCTCCGTATCACTCTCTGACTGGGGTATCTCCCAGCAAGCGAGACAGAGGCAGACACGCTTCCCAGACTGTCTTACTGGGTCTCTCTGTGTTATTCTCTGCAGTGTCTGTGTGTATCGTGCCATTTTCTATGTTTTGCACCAATCTGCTGTGAGTGTCCTCAGGTGACCTGGGGGCAGGTTTTTAGTGCCTGAGCCTACCCGTCTCCAGGCTTTAGTTTCCCCCTGTAAAAGTATAGGAGTTGGTTCAAGAGAAGGTTCCTCTAGAAGCCTTGAGCCTGTGAACCGTCTAGTCTCCGGGTATTTGTGGGACACACAGAAAAAGCCCCACGACCCAACAGGTAGAACACTGGCTGAAATCAGCAGGGCAGAGCTGAGACAGGCTCAAGTAGGCTGAGGGGTAGGGAGGTTTTGGGTGAATGGGAGGGAGGGACAGAGAGAAGGAGGATATATTGCAGTAGGAGGAGTTGCTGGAACAAAAGGAGGGGTGGTAGGAGTGGCTTGGGGTGGCAGCAGAAGACGCCCTGTCACATGGCGGGAAGTCAGCCTGGGCAGAGGTCTAGGTGTCCAGGAGGGGCTGGGTGTGGTGGCTCACGCCTGTAATCCCAGGACTTTGGGAGGCTGATGCAGGAGGATCACGTGAGGTCAGGAGTTCAAGACCAGCCTGGCCAACATGGCGAAACCCTATCTCTACTAAAAATGCCAAAAATTAGCTGGGTGTGGTGGCAGGCGCCTGTAATCCCAGCTACTCTGGAGGCTGAGGCACAAGAATTGCTTGAACCTGGGAGGTGGAGGTTGCAGGGAGCCGAGATCGCGCCACTCTACTCTAGCCTGGGCAACACAGTGAGACTCTGTCTCAAAAATAATAATAATAGGGGCTGGGCGCGGTGGCTCATGACTGTAATCCCAGCATTTTGGGAGGTGGAGGCGGGTGGATCACCTGAGGTCAGGAGTCCGAGACCAGCCTGGCCAACATGGCAAAACTCCGTCTCTACTAAAAATAGAAAAATTAGCTAGGCATGGTGGTGCAGGCCTGTAATCCAGCTACTCGGGAGGCTGAGAAGCAGGAGAATCACTTGAACCTGGGAGGTGAAGGTTGCAGTGAGATCACCTGGGCGACAGAATGAGACTCCACCTCAAAATAATAATAATAGTAATAATAATAAATGAAAAATTTTAAAATTAAACAATTAAAAATTTTAAATTAAAATTAAACAAATTAGATGCCCAGGAGGATACAGGAGAGCATTTGCCACCAGGCGGACTCCCTGTACCCACCCGGCCACAGGGGGCGATGTTCCTGGGAGACAGGAAATGCCCAGGGGCTGGGAGACCCTCTGCTCTTCTGCTCCCTTCCTGTGTGCTGCCTGGCAATGGGGAACTCTGAGGGCTGGTGAGCAGGGCTGCTGAGGAGTGGGTCTAAGGAGTCCCTGCAGGGCTGGGCCAGCTCCTCCACCTCCCCTTTGTCTTCCCCTCCCACTTGTTATTTTTAGCTACAGTGTCTGTCCCTCTTGCTTCTCCCCCAGATTGGGAGAGGAAACGGAGGCCTCTCCCTCCGGGCCTAGCCTGTTGCCCCCAGCAACCGGGCCCAAACAGGCCTGTGGCCGGCCCTGGCTTCCATATCTGGCATCAGAGTTGGGCTGAGCAGGGTGACTCAGAGGGTGGGTCAGCGCCTGGCCCGGTGCCCACCTAGCCCCTTTGCTGTGCTGGTGCCTTTCTTCCCCAAACAGCCCCAAGGGCCCGGGCCTGCTGCAGCTGGGGAGCCGGACTTCCTTGTCCCACCAGGCACAGCTCTTCAGACCCCTGCCTTGGGTCACATTTGCAAGTGCCAACTCTCATTTCTACCTTATTCTTTTCCTCTCTGTTCCCCTCCCCACCCCCTCTCTTCCCTCTTTCTGAGATCAGATTTGCCAGTGATGGGAAGAGTTAGAAACAGGATGCCCAGCCCTTCTCGCCTCAAGAGGCCACTGGGATGCAGCCACTCCTGTGCTTGGGGAACCTGGAGGATGCAAGGGAAAGGACTGGCACTCTGCTGGCACAGCACCCGGCCTGGGGCAGGACACGGGCGAAGCCAGGGTCTCCCCTGTGAGCACTAGAGGATTTCCCGACCCCTGCCCGGGTATTGTGTGCCTGAGCATGAGTCACCTGAGGGGCCCAGGTTCCCACCCTTCCCAGCTCCTCTGGCCTGCCCCACCCTGTCCTCCCTGCCAACCCAGCACGGGGACGGCACTCAGCGTGTGCTCAGCTTTCCTGATGCCAACCCCCAGTGGAGTGGGCTGCACCACCACCCTGGGACCGAATGCCTGGCTAGGGTCTACTTTGGTCCCTGCTAGGTCTGAGGACCCCTCCTAGGAAGGAAATGGCACTTGGGGGCGGGGGCAGGGAGGAGGGAGGAGAGACACTGGGCTCTACTGTACCCCTAGTCATCTCTTGGGGTGTGCGTGTGGCTCCCTGGCCACAGAGCTCCCAAGGTCTGAGTCATGAGCCCATGGGTGATAGTGGCTTCTTCCCCGCAGATGGGAGCTCCCCGTGCCTAAGAAAACCACAAAGGTTCTTCCTCACTTCCCTCTCTGCTCGTGGTTTTTCTCATCTGCAGGGTGTGTCTTAGTCCTTTAATCTCCTCTCTTTGCAGTGCTAGTCAAAACCTCCACCAGGGAAAGACAAATAACCCCCTTACTGTTTTTTTTTTTTTTTTTTTTTTTTTTTGAGATGGAGTCTCGCTCTGTCACCCATGCTGTAGTGCAGTGGCACAATCTCGGCTCACTGCAACCTCCGCCTCCCAAGTTCAAGTGATCCTCCTACCTCAGCCTCCTCAGTAGCTGGGACTACAGGTGCACACCACCGTACCCAGCTAAATTTTTTTTTTTTTTTTTTGAGATAGAGTCTCACTCTGTCACCCAGGCTGGAGTACAGTGGTACAATCTCAACTCACTACAATCTCCGCCTCCCAGGCTCAAGCAATTCTCGTGTCTCAGCCTCCCAAGTTGCTGGGACTATGGACGTGCACCACCTTGCCCGACTAATTTTTGTATTTTTGATAGAGTCAGAGTTTCACCATGTTGGCAGGCTGGTCTCGAACTCCTGGCCTCAAGTGATCCACCTGCCTTGGCCTCCCAAAGTGCTGGGATTACAGGTGTGAGCCACCACACTCAGCCAGCCCCCTTACTTTCCTTGGAGACCATATACTGTGGCTTGTGCCAAAGTGGTACAGCATGGATTTCCAGCTCCCCTATCTACTTGCTGCGGGACCCTAGATATAGCTTTCTGTGCCTATTTCCTCAATTGCATAGGAATAGCACCTATCGCATAGGGTAGCTGTGAAGATGACGTGAGTTAACATAATATTTAGAGCAGTGCTTGGTACCTAATAAGCTCTATATAAGTGTTTGCTATTATATTATTATTATCACTGCCACCACCGCTTTTGCAAGCAGCAGAAGGTGAAGAGGTTAGACTGAAGAAAAAACTTCTGTGCTCATCAGCCCATAAGCTCGCAGAGCACAGGGATCATGCATCTATGTTTTCCTCAGTCAGTGTCTGCCAGGCACTGGCAAGGAAAGGCTGTTACCAGGGGGAACTCCAGGAATTCCTCCTGGCACCTAAGGAGGCTGGGGAGACAGGACTAGGGAAAAGGTGCCCTTGAGACACCTTCTGAAATCATCCCATTGCCTTCCAGCTTCTTTCAGCTCAGGCTGGCTGGTCAGGGAAACGCTTTGTGCCATAGTGTCTGCCCTCTTCCTCCTCCTGGCTTCTCCATTCTCTCTGGAACTTGTGGCTTAGGAAAGCAGTGAGGTGGAGGAGGAGGAACCCTAGATCAGCAGCTAGAATTGACTGGAATGCTGCTGCTGGCTTTCGGTAATTGACACTGGGCCATTCACCTTCCTCCTTTGCACCTCAGTTTCCTCATCTATAAAAGGGAGAGGGTTGAGCTGAATCAACTCTAAGCTCCTTCTAGTTCTCTAAATTCTGAGAGCCTCCTAGTACAGCCAGCAGCAGCCATTAGCCTTCAGGGTAGAGAGGCCTCTTCTGGGAAGCCCCAGCCAGCCTGGGGGTCAGCCCAAGGAGCTCGGAATCTAAGTTGCCCCAGTTGCTTCACTTTACCAGCGGTTTTTCTTCATTTTCCCTCCTCCCCCTGCAGCTGCTTCAGCTTCGGAAAAGTTCTGAAGTCATGGAAAGTTGGGGCTGTGCTCCCAGCCAGGGGCTAGGCCGGATGGCAGCCAAAACCTGAGCTGGGTTTTGACTTTATTTTTAGCTTTTCTGACTGAGACAGAGGAGGGAATACATTCTCCGGTTCTGGAAGGGGCTCTTTTTTGCAGGAGACAGACACTTACATTAAACAACTTGTTCTGAGGTGTGGCCAGAGGCCTGGACTGAGCAAGTGTGCAGGCTGGGGGAGCTTCCTCTGGCTTCTCATGTCCTTCCCCTGCCCCTCTGAGTGTCACTCTATCCTCCTCCCTGCCTGGTGGGGGGAGGTGGGGGTGACTCCTTTTTTGGACTCTCCTAAGCAGAACACTGCCTGGGTCTCGTCCTCCAGAGCTTCTGCAAATCTAGCCTTCCCTATCCCTCTTCACAGTGAATTGCTGGGCCTCTTGGAGTTTAGGACTTTTGTGGTAGAAGAAAAATGTTGGCAGGGCTGCTTTTCTCCTTTCCAGGATAGATTTTTCCTTCTGCCCACGCTTGGTTTTCCTTTTTTCCATCTGCTGTGGTGGGCTCATGCTTAAGCACTGATGAGTTACAGATGGCAGCTGGAACCAGGTCCTCTGGATCTTTCCCTCCGCTCCCTGGGTCTGCTGCTTTCTCTCACCCTATATTTGTGAAGCAATTGTAACATCTAGAAAGTTCTTGGGTTCTCTGGAGGTTTTTAAGAAAATAGGACCTTTCTATTTCTCCAGTCCACTAGCAAAAATAATCAGGGGCCCAGAAAAGGTGAGGGAGGTGGCAGAGGCAGCGCTGTTCGACTGGTTATAGCTAAAGCTTTACCCACTTTGAGGAGCAGGGAGGCTTAAAGCTGGGGCCCAGATGGACCTGGAGGCCTGGGATCCACATCTGGAACCAGATGCTGAGGCTATGGTAGATGGGTAGGGCTCAGCCTTCTCCCAGGGCACGGATGAGGCAGGAGGGAGGGAGGCAGGGACCCCTCTGTTCAGTGCAGATCAGGGCACCCAGACTGGGTCCTGAGAAAGGAAAGGGTCAATATTGTGCCTGGTCATCCTTGTCTGAGGTCCCTCTGAGCTCTAACCAGACTTTCCTTCCCCACAGTCCCACATGTGTAAAAGGGACTAGGAGAGGTGACCAGTACCTTTGGGGCTCAGATCGAGAAGTGCTAGGGACATGTGGGCCATGAGCTTAGTTGTCAGGCTCCTCAGAGGGAGGGAAGCTTGGCCAAAGGGAAGTGAGTAGAGTCCAGGGAGAAGGCTAAGTAAGGCCCTGTGTGGGAAGGGGCAGGAGACAAAGGTACCCCTGTCTCTTTGGGAAAGAATGGGAGGAGAGAGAGGGAAAAGCATTCATATCACGGGGTAGAGCTCTGCCCTTGGCCCCAGGCACGTTCCTGAGCCCTGAGTCATGGGAAGGGTGGAGAAGCAGGAAGGGGGTTTTCAAGGACCTTGGGGAGGTGGGAGCCCAGCCCCAGAGGCAAGCAGATGCAAACCAACCTAATGCAAGGATGCCCTCTCCTGGTAATTGCAGGCATAGCAGCGCCAGCCCCCATGGCTGACCTCCTGGGAGCCTGGCACTGTCTAGGCACACAGACTCCTTCTCTTAAATCTACTCTCCCCTCTCTTCTTTAGCAATACCAAGAAGGAGGGTGACCTGATAGCTGCTCAGGCTCGGCTGAAGGACCTGGAGGCTCTGCTGAACTCCAAGGAGGCCGCACTGAGCACTGCTCTCAGTGAGAAGCGCACGCTGGAGGGCGAGCTGCATGATCTGCGGGGCCAGGTGGCCAAGGTGAGGCCACCCTGCAGGGCCCACCCATGGCCCCACCTAACACATGTACACTCACTCTTCTACCTAGGCCCTCCCCCATGTGGTGCCTGGTCTGACCTGTCACCTGATTTCAGAGCCATTCACCTGTCCTAGAGTCATTTTACCCACTGAGGTCACATCTTATCCTAATTTGGCTGCCAATGGGATCTACCACAGTGAATTTAAAATAATCCAGGAGGCCGGGCATGGTGGTTCACGCCTGTAATCCCAGCACTTTAGGAGGCCGAGGTGGGCCGATCACGAGGTCAGGAGATCGAGATCATCCTGACTAACATGGTGAAACCCCGTCTCTACTAAAAATACAAAAAATTAGCCTGGCATGGTGGCGGGCGCCTGTAGTCCCAACTACTCGGGAGGCTGAGGCAGGAGAATGGCGTGAGCCTGCGAGGCAGAGCTTGCAGTGAGCTGAGATCATGCCACTGCACTCCAGCCTGGGCAACAGAGTGAGACTCCGTCTCAAAAAAATAATAATAATAATAATAAAAATAATCCAGGCCATGTGTGGTGGCTCATGCCTGTAATCCCAGCATTTTGGGAGGCCAAGGAGGCAGGATTGCTTGAGTCCAGGAGTTTGAGACCAGCCTGGGCAACACAGACCCCATCTCTAGAAAATAAAAATTTAAAGAAATTAGCTGGGCATGGTGGTGTGCACCTATAGTCCCAGCTACTTGGGAGGCTGAGGCAGGAGGATGGCTTGAACCTGAGAGGTCGAGGATACAGTGAGCTGTGATTGCACCACTGCACTTCAGCCTGGGTGACAGAGGGAAACCCTGTCTCTACATAAATAAATACATAAAATAAAATAATCCACAAGCCATTTCTACTTAACTTTGCAATGAACTGTACCTGACCCTAGATCCCTCCCAGTTTGGCCCTCCGGTATACAAGGGCCTCCTATAGGCCCTTGTGATTTCTCTGGGGAAAAGGAGGACTGGAGTTGATCATTTATTGAGGCCATCAGAAGCGGATGGCTAATTACATATGGGACATGTGTTAATAATGCTTTGTGTATATAGAGTGGCCTTTACTTTCAAAACACTCTTCTCCAATTTATCATGTTAAAAGCTAGGAATTGGGCTGGGTGCAGTGGCTCACGCCTATAATCCCAGCACTTTGGGAGGCCAAGGCGGGTGGATCATTTGAGGTCAGGAGTTTGAGACCAGTCTGACCAACATGGTTAAACTCCGTCTCTACTAAAAATACAAAATTAGCCAGGCGTGGTGGCACACACCTGTAGTCCCAACAACTACTTGTGAGGCTGAGGCAGGAAAATCATTTGAACCCAGGATCAGAGGTTGTGGTGAACTGAGATTGCACCATTGCACTCCAGCCTGGGCAACAAGAGCAAAACTCTATCTCAAAAAAAATAAAAAATAGCCAGGCACGGTGGCTCATGCCTGTAATCCTAGCACTTTGGGAGGCAGAGGTGGGCAGATCACCTGAGGTTAGGAGTTCGAGACTAGCCTGGCCAACATGGTGAAACCCCATCTCTACTACAAATACAAAAATTAGCTAGGCATGGTGGCAGCCACCTGTAATCCCAGCTACTTGGGAGGCTGAGGCAGGAGAATCGCTTGAACCCGGGAGGTGGAGGTTGCAGTGAGCCAAGATCGGGTCACAGCACTCCAGCCTAGGCAACAGAGCGAGACTCCATCTCAAAAAAACATAAATAAATAAAAATAAAAATAAATAATAAATAAAAGCTAAGAATCAAAGAAGCAGTTTATTCCTAATTTCACAGTCTCATCTGTTCATAGTGGGGCCAGGATTAGAGTCAGTGGCCAAGCTTCCATCCTGGGTTCTTTCCCTTCCCAGGCCCTACCATCATAGTATACCAGGGAAAGACCTGGAGAAGCCAGCAGGTTGACCACCGAACCAAGGCTGGGCCACCTTCCTCCTGGGTCTGGTCTCCAGCCTCCCAGTTGTACCCTTCCCCCAGCCCTTCCTGGATGCACTGATCAGCCTGTGCTTCCTTGCCCTGTTTTTCTTTATAAATAGAGCCATGTTCTCCTCTCTCTCTCTCTCTTTTTTTTTTTTTTTTTTTTGAGATGGAGTCTTACTCTGTCACCCAGGCTGGAGTGCAATGGCACGATCTCAGCTCACTGCAACCTCTGTCTCCCAGGTTCAAGCAATTCTCCTGCCTCAGCCTCCCGAGTAGCTGGGATTACAGGTGCCCACCACCATGCCCAGCTACTTTTTGGATTTTTAGTAGAGACAGGGTTTCACCATGTTGGTCAGGCTGGTCTTGAACTCCTGACCTTAGGTGTTCTGCCCGCCTCAGCCTCCCAAAGTGCTGGGATTACAGGCGTGAGCCACCACGCCTGGCAAGACGTGTTCTCTCTATGTTGTTGAGGCTGGTCTTGAACTCCTGGCTGCAAGAGATCTTCCTGCCTCAGCCTCCCAATGTGCTGGGATTATAGGCATGAGCCACCACACTTAGCCCAGCCTGTGCTTTCTTAAATGAAAATCTAAGCATACGGCTGGGTGTGGTGGCTCACGCCTGTAATCCCAGCATTTTGGGAGGCCAAGGTGGGCAGATCACGAGGTCAGGAGATCGAGACTATCCTGGCCAACATGGTGAAACCCTGTCTCTACTAAAGATACAAAAATTAGCTGGGTGTGGTGGCCCATGTCTGTAGTCCCAGCTACTCGGGAGACTGAGGCAGGAGAATGGCATGAACCTGGGAGGCAGAGCTTGCAGTGAGCTGAGATCGCGCCACTGCTCTCCAGCCTAGGTGACAGAGCGAGACTCCATCTCAAAAAAAAAATAAAAATAAAAAAAAGAAAATCTAAGCGTGGTGCTCCCCTGCTCAAACATCCTCAGGTTCTTTTCATGGCAGATAAGGGCATCTCTTCATGAGCCAGCCCCTGCCTACTGACCCAGCCACCTCTCCCATCCCTTCCCACCCCGTACTTCAGGCTTCAGCAGTACTGATCTTTCCAAAGACCCCAGAACACACATGCCTTCATACCTCTGTGCCTGTACATGCTTGTTTCTGCCCTTGAAATCATGACAGTAGCTCTCTGTAGGCCCCGCTAGCCTGTCCCTTGGGTCTTAGCCTCTTGGAGGCCTTCCCAGAGCCCCCCAAAAGTACCCCAGGCATACTTTGGTTCCTTCTCTCATGTCCCCTCAGTACTTTGCACATACCTCCTTTATAGCAGTTGCTATGTTGTGCCAGAGAAGGGAGTCCTGTGGCTGGGGGGCATATATCTTTTCTTTTTGAGACAGAGTCTAGCTGTGTCACCCAGGCTGGAGTGCAGTAGTGCGATCTCGGCTCACTGCAACCTCCACCTCCTGGATTCAAGCGATTCTTGTGCCTCAGCCTCCTGAGTAGCTGGGACTACAGGCGTGTGCCACCATCATGCCTGGCTACTTTTTTGTATTAGATATATATTTTCTCTCTTAGCACAGTACCTACCAAGAGTGAGTGAGTAGATGTCCTGACCCCTGCAGGCATCCAAGGCCCTCCTTCCCTGGACCTGTTTCCACATGTGTGAAGGGGTGCACAGGCAGCAGCCCACCTCTCAGCTTCCTTCCAGTTCTTGTGTTCTGTGACCCCTTTTCCTCATCTCTGCCTGCTTCCTCACAGCTTGAGGCAGCCCTAGGTGAGGCCAAGAAGCAACTTCAGGATGAGATGCTGCGGCGGGTGGATGCTGAGAACAGGCTGCAGACCATGAAGGAGGAACTGGACTTCCAGAAGAACATCTACAGTGAGGTGGGGACTGTGCTTTGCAAGCCAGAGGGCTGGGGCTGGGTGATGACAGACTTGGGCTGGGCTAGGGGGGACCAGCTGTGTGCAGAGCTCGCCTTCCTGAGTCCCTTGCCCTAGTGGACAGGGAGTTGGGGGTGGCCAGCACTCAGCTCCCAGGTTAAAGTGGGGCTGGTAGTGGCTCATGGAGTAGGGCTGGGCAGGGAGCCCCGCCCCTGGGTCTTGGCCTCCCAGGAACTAATTCTGATTTTGGTTTCTGTGTCCTTCCTCCAACCCTTCCAGGAGCTGCGTGAGACCAAGCGCCGTCATGAGACCCGACTGGTGGAGATTGACAATGGGAAGCAGCGTGAGTTTGAGAGCCGGCTGGCGGATGCGCTGCAGGAACTGCGGGCCCAGCATGAGGACCAGGTGGAGCAGTATAAGAAGGAGCTGGAGAAGACTTATTCTGCCAAGGTGCTTGCTCTCGATTGGTTCCCTCACTGCCTCTGCCCTTGGCAGCCCTACCCTTACCCACGCTGGGCTATGCCTTCTGGGGATCAGGCAGATGGTGGCAGGGAGCTCAGGGTGGCCCAGGACCTGGGGCTGTAGCAGTGATGCCCAACTCAGGCCTGTGCCTCCACCCCTCCCAGTCACCACAGTCCTAACCCTTTGTCCTCCCCTCCAGCTGGACAATGCCAGGCAGTCTGCTGAGAGGAACAGCAACCTGGTGGGGGCTGCCCACGAGGAGCTGCAGCAGTCGCGCATCCGCATCGACAGCCTCTCTGCCCAGCTCAGCCAGCTCCAGAAGCAGGTGATACCCCACCTCACCCCTCTCTCCAGGGGCCTAGAGTCTGGGCCGGATGCAGGCTGGAAGCCCAGGGTTGGGGGTGGGGGTGGGGGTGGGAGGTTCCTGAGGAGGAGAGGGATGAAAAGTGTCCCCACAACCACAGAGAAGGGTCGCAGGATGTGGAGTCAGATGGCCTGTGTGCTGTTTCTGTACACTCTTACCTCACCTTCACTTCTCAGGGCTTTGGTTTTCCCATTCGAAAATGGAGGCTGTTCTTAATCTCCCTAACTCAGAGTTGCCACAGGACTCTGCAATGTGAGGTGTTAAAAGCATCAGTATTTTTCTAGTTGGCTGTGCTATTTGTGACAGGAGAAAAAGTCTAGCCTCAGAACGAGAGGTTTCAGTTAGACAAGGGGAAGGACTTCCCAGTTGCCAGCCAAGACTATGTTTAGAGCTTGTGATGTTCAGAGCTGGCTCTGATGAGGGCTCTGGGGAAGCTCTGATTGCAGATCCTGGAGAGAGTAGCCAGGTGTCTCCTACACCGACCCACGTCCCTCCTTCCCCATACTTAGGGCCCTTGGGAGCTCACCAAACCCTCCCACCCCCCTTCAGCTGGCAGCCAAGGAGGCGAAGCTTCGAGACCTGGAGGACTCACTGGCCCGTGAGCGGGACACCAGCCGGCGGCTGCTGGCGGAAAAGGAGCGGGAGATGGCCGAGATGCGGGCAAGGATGCAGCAGCAGCTGGACGAGTACCAGGAGCTTCTGGACATCAAGCTGGCCCTGGACATGGAGATCCACGCCTACCGCAAGCTCTTGGAGGGCGAGGAGGAGAGGTGGGCTGGGGAGACGTCGGGGAGGTGCTGGCAGTGTCCTCTGGCCGGCAACTGGCCTTGACTAGACCCCCACTTGGTCTCCCTCTCCCCAGGCTACGCCTGTCCCCCAGCCCTACCTCGCAGCGCAGCCGTGGCCGTGCTTCCTCTCACTCATCCCAGACACAGGGTGGGGGCAGCGTCACCAAAAAGCGCAAACTGGAGTCCACTGAGAGCCGCAGCAGCTTCTCACAGCACGCACGCACTAGCGGGCGCGTGGCCGTGGAGGAGGTGGATGAGGAGGGCAAGTTTGTCCGGCTGCGCAACAAGTCCAATGAGGTAGGCTCCTGCTCAGGGTCTAAGGGGATACAGCTGCATCAGGGAGAGAGTGGCAAGACAGAAGGATGGCATGTGGAGAGAGGAACATCCTTGCCCTCAGAGGGTGGACCAGGGTGAGCCTGTATATCTCCTCCACACTCTGGTTCCAGGCCTGGCTCCTGGACTCTTTGGCTGTGAGACCTTGAGCAGGTTATTTAACCTCTCAGAGCATCAGTTTCCTCATCTGTAAAATGGGGATGAATACTGATCCCTAAGTCTTTGAGTTGTCAGGAAGATGAAAGATAAGGTATCCGTGTGCCTGGTGCTGCGTATGTGTCCACAGATCATGGCTATTATCCCCGGGGGAAGGGCAGTGACAGGGGTGTGTGTAGATGGAAGGAGAGGCCTCAATTGCAGGCAGGCAGAGGGCTGGGCCTTTGAGCAAGATACACCCAAGAGCCTGGGTGAGCCTCCCCGACCTTCCTCTTCCCTATCTTCCCGGCAGGACCAGTCCATGGGCAATTGGCAGATCAAGCGCCAGAATGGAGATGATCCCTTGCTGACTTACCGGTTCCCACCAAAGTTCACCCTGAAGGCTGGGCAGGTGGTGACGGTGAGTGGCAGGGCGCTTGGGACTCTGGGGAGGCCTTGGGTGGCGATGGGAGCGCTGGGGTAAGTGTCCTTTTCTCCTCTCCAGATCTGGGCTGCAGGAGCTGGGGCCACCCACAGCCCCCCTACCGACCTGGTGTGGAAGGCACAGAACACCTGGGGCTGCGGGAACAGCCTGCGTACGGCTCTCATCAACTCCACTGGGGAAGTAAGTAGGCCTGGGCCTGGCTGCTTGCTGGACGAGGCTCCCCCTGATGGCCAACATCGGAGCCAGCTGCCCCCAACCCAAGTTTGCCAATTCAGGGCCCCTTTCTAGAGCTCTCTGTTGCAGGCTCCAGACTTCTCCACCCAGTAGGCAAACCAAAAGATGCTTCCTCAACAGCACAAGGGGTGGAAGTTAGACAGTGAGGATTGTTAAAGGCAGAGCCATACTCCTACCCGGAGAGCTTGACAGTGTCCCTCTGGGGTGGAAATGAGTTCCTTAGCTCCATCACCACAGAGGACAGAGTAAGCAGCAGGCCGGACAAAGGGCAGGCCACAAGAAAAGTTGCAGGTGGTCACTGGGGTAGACATGCTGTACAACCCTTCCCTGGCCCTGACCCTTGGACCTGGTTCCATGTCCCCACCAGGAAGTGGCCATGCGCAAGCTGGTGCGCTCAGTGACTGTGGTTGAGGACGACGAGGATGAGGATGGAGATGACCTGCTCCATCACCACCACGTGAGTGGTAGCCGCCGCTGAGGCCGAGCCTGCACTGGGGCCACCCAGCCAGGCCTGGGGGCAGCCTCTCCCCAGCCTCCCCGTGCCAAAAATCTTTTCATTAAAGAATGTTTTGGAACTTTACTCGCTGGCCTGGCCTTTCTTCTCTCTCCTCCCTATACCTTGAACAGGGAACCCAGGTGTCTGGGTGCCCTACTCTGGTAAGGAAGGGAGTGGGAACTTTCTGATGCCATGGAATATTCCTGTGGGAGCAGTGGACAAGGGTCTGGATTTGTCTTCTGGGAAAGGGAGGGGAGGACAGACGTGGGGCATGCCCGCCCTGCCTCTCTCCCCCATTCTTGTTGCATGCATATCCTCTCATTTCCCTCATTTTTCCTGCAAGAATGTTCTCTCTCATTCCTGACCGCCCCTCCACTCCAATTAATAGTGCATGCCTGCTGCCCTACAAGCTTGCTCCCGTTCTCTCTTCTTTTCCTCTTAAGCTCAGAGTAGCTAGAACAGAGTCAGAGTCACTGCTCTGGTTCTCTGTCCCCAAGTCTTCCTGAGCCTTCTCCCCTTTTATGTCTTCCCTCTCCTCCTCCGGGCCCCTAGCCTCCCAAACCCCCATTGCCCGCTGGCTCCTTGGGCACAGAACCACACCTTCCTGCCTGGCGGCTGGGAGCCTGCAGGAGCCTGGAGCCTGGTTGGGCCTGAGTGGTCAGTCCCAGACTCGCCGTCCCGCCTGAGCCTTGTCTCCCTTCCCAGGGCTCCCACTGCAGCAGCTCGGGGGACCCCGCTGAGTACAACCTGCGCTCGCGCACCGTGCTGTGCGGGACCTGCGGGCAGCCTGCCGACAAGGCATCTGCCAGCGGCTCAGGAGCCCAGGTGGGCGGACCCATCTCCTCTGGCTCTTCTGCCTCCAGTGTCACGGTCACTCGCAGCTACCGCAGTGTGGGGGGCAGTGGGGGTGGCAGCTTCGGGGACAATCTGGTCACCCGCTCCTACCTCCTGGGCAACTCCAGCCCCCGAACCCAGGTGAGTTGTCTCTGCTTTGTCTCCAAATCCTGCAGGCGGGTCCCTGGTCATCGAGGGGTAGGACGAGGTGGCCTTGCAGGGGGGAGAGCCTGCCTTCTCTTCCGCAGCCCGGGGGAGTGGGAGCCTCCTCCCCACAGCCTGAGTCCTAGACAGCCCACCTCTGCATCCTGCCCCTCTTGTCTGAGCCCCAGACTGGAGGGCAGGGGCAGGGCTGGAGTGTGAGGGATGGGGGAGATGCTACCTCCCTTCTAGGGGCCAGGGGAGGGAGGGTCTGGGTCCAGGCCCTGCTGCTCACACCTCTCTCCTCTGTTTTCTCTCTTAGAGCCCCCAGAACTGCAGCATCATGTAATCTGGGACCTGCCAGGCAGGGGTGGGGGTGGAGGCTTCCTGCGTCCTCCTCACCTCATGCCCACCCCCTGCCCTGCACGTCATGGGAGGGGGCTTGAAGCCAAAGAAAAATAACCCTTTGGTTTTTTTCTTCTGTATTTTTTTTTCTAAGAGAAGTTATTTTCTACAGTGGTTTTATACTGAAGGAAAAACACAAGCAAAAAAAAAAAAAAGCATCTATCTCATCTATCTCAATCCTAATTTCTCCTCCCTTCCTTTTCCCTGCTTCCAGGAAACTCCACATCTGCCTTAAAACCAAAGAGGGCTTCCTCTAGAAGCCAAGGGAAAGGGGTGCTTTTATAGAGGCTAGCTTCTGCTTTTCTGCCCTGGCTGCTGCCCCCACCCCGGGGACCCTGTGACATGGTGCCTGAGAGGCAGGCATAGAGGCTTCTCCGCCAGCCTCCTCTGGACGGCAGGCTCACTGCCAGGCCAGCCTCCGAGAGGGAGAGAGAGAGAGAGAGGACAGCTTGAGCCGGGCCCCTGGGCTTGGCCTGCTGTGATTCCACTACACCTGGCTGAGGTTCCTCTGCCTGCCCCGCCCCCAGTCCCCACCCCTGCCCCCAGCCCCGGGGTGAGTCCATTCTCCCAGGTACCAGCTGCGCTTGCTTTTCTGTATTTTATTTAGACAAGAGATGGGAATGAGGTGGGAGGTGGAAGAAGGGAGAAGAAAGGTGAGTTTGAGCTGCCTTCCCTAGCTTTAGACCCTGGGTGGGCTCTGTGCAGTCACTGGAGGTTGAAGCCAAGTGGGGTGCTGGGAGGAGGGAGAGGGAGGTCACTGGAAAGGGGAGAGCCTGCTGGCACCCACCGTGGAGGAGGAAGGCAAGAGGGGGTGGAGGGGTGTGGCAGTGGTTTTGGCAAACGCTAAAGAGCCCTTGCCTCCCCATTTCCCATCTGCACCCCTTCTCTCCTCCCCAAATCAATACACTAGTTGTTTCTACCCCTGGCTGCTGTGGTGTCTTTGTTGGTGGACGTCGCTGTGTGTACTGAGGTGCAGACTCGTGGGCATGCGCGCGCGTACACACACACACACACACACACACACACACACACACACACACACAGCGCCGCACGGTCACTGCATCCTCCTGCTCATTGCTGCCCAGCCCTGCCCTGCTCCAGGGGAAACAATTAGAGATCAGAGCACTTTGGGTGCACATCTGGGCACTCGGTGGTGGCTGAGGGGGAAGGCTTTGATATAACCATCACCACCCACTGTACGGCTCTCTCCCAACGGAAGTCCTTCAGAGAAGCAGCACCTGAAGGAGGGCATTTGCTAACTAACTTCCCTCGTCCACCAGCACTTACTGAGTGCTTTCTCTGTGCTGGGCCCTGAGCGAAGCATGAATATAAGACATATGATATAGACCCAGTCTGAGGGTGGTGACATATCAGGACGTAAGGACAAGGACACCCGGGGAGGAGGGAACAGAAGCTGCAGGAGAGGGCAGAGGAAAGGAGCAGTTAATGTCCCTTTGTGCCATGTTGTGCTCAGGTTGGGGGATTGGGAAATGAACAAGACAAGATGCCCACTGTCCTCAGAGAAATTACACCCCAGTGGGAGTCAGAAAATAGACTGCAGACAAAGGGATATGTTAGGCCAAGTAGGAGCCTCCGAGGGGGTTCCAACCTGGGGGCATGAGGTGCCCAGACTGAGGGGAGGGGCCCCAAACAGGGAAAATGAGCTATAGAAGCCAGCCTTTCTCTGGCCCTTCCTAGTTTCCAAAGCATTTCTGCAGCATCTCATTTGGCCTTCGTACTGTCTTGAGAGGTAGGTATTGTCTCCCAGCCCTCTGGAACTCAGGCCACTCAGCTCGAAGGTGGCACAGATCCCAAGATTCTGGAAGTTTATTTATGTTCCTTGGGCAGAGTTGAGCCTGCAGTCAAGAGTCAGTGAGAAACGGGCATGTCTGGCTGGGATCGTGGGAAAACATGTGAGAAAGCAAAATTACTGAGAGGAGAAGGGCCCCTGAGGTCATGCTGGACGCTCCTGATTCCACCATAGGCTGAGACCCCACAGTGCCTTTAGGGAAGGGAAGTTAAGCGGAAGGAGGTTTGAGGAAGGGGTCCCTGCTTGGGTTGGCAGTTTCCAAGAAGGAAACCCTTCCTCTCCTAGGCCTCAGCAAAGACCCTGAGGCCCCGCAGATATGGGGTCTTAGATGTCAGCGAGGGAGTCCGTGTGTCCCAAAATGAGGACTCCCACCTGCAGTTCCTGGGTCGGGCACCTTGGGGCGCCAGAGCCCCACCACGGTGGTGCCTGCACATCCTGGGTAGGGGTCCTTCGCTACTCAGCTGAACCCTGGTGAGCTGGCTGCATGGGCACTGTGGGCTGGGGAACACCAGGGGCAGCAGGCAACGTTCCTAGCTCTTGAGGAGGAGGGCTGAGGGCATAGGGCCGCACACAAACACTGCCCCACAAGCTGGCAGCACGGCGGGGGCGGCAGCCGGGGACTCAGCAGTTAAGGTGTCCACACACGTGGTCACCTCACATGATGCTCACAGCACAAGTCAGCACTCAGCAGCCACATTTCATTATGTAAAAAAAAAAAAGTTGTTGTTGTTAAAATGTAATACATGCTTGGCCTAGCGTGGTGGCACGCACGCCTGTAGTCCCAGCAACTCCTGGCCTGAGGCGGGAAAATTGTCTGAGCTCAGGAGTTCTAGGCCAGCCTGGGCAACAGCAACAACAAAAATACATATCATATGGTAAAATTCAAAACACAGGTAAGGGATGGACACAGTGGCTCACGCCTGTAATCCCAGCACTTTGGGAGGCTGAGGTAGGCGGATCTCAGGTCAGGAGTTTGAGACCAGCCTGGCCAATGTGGCAAAATGCCTCTACTATACAAAAATTAGCTGGGTGTGGTCGTGCATGCCTGTAATCCCAGCTATTCGGGAAGCTGAGGCAGGAGGATCGCTTGAACTGGGTGGCTTATGTTGCAGTGAGCCAAGATCATGCAACTGCACTACAGCCTTTACAGCCTGGGCGACAGAGTGAGACTCCCTCTCAAAAAAAAAAAAAAAAAAAAAGTCAATATGTTGCTCAGGGTATTTATTTATTTATTTATTTATTTATTTATTTATTTATGAGATGGAGTCTCGCTCTGTCACCCAGGCTGGAGTGCAGTGGCGCAATCTCGGCTCACTGCAAGCTCCGCCTCCCGGGTACACGCCATTCTCCTGCTTCAGCCTCCCGAGTAGCTGGGACTACAGGCACCTGCCACCATGCCCTGCTAATTTTTTGTATATTTAGTAGAGATGGGGTTTCACCATGTTAGCCAGGATGGTCTCGATCTCCTAACCTCGTGATCCACCCGCCTCAGCCTCCCAAAGTGCTGGGATTACAGGCATGAGCCACCGCGCCCAGCTATTTATTTATTTATTTTTAATAATTTTTTTTTTTAAAACAGGTAAGAACAAATAATTTTTTTTAAATCCATTTTTTTCTTTCTTTTTTTTTTTGAGACAGTCTCACTCTGTCACCTAGGCGGGAGTGCAGTGTCTTGATCTCAGCTCACTGTAGCCTCCACCTCTTGCGTTCAAGTGTTTCTCCTGCCTCAGCCTCCTGAGTAGCTGCCATTACAGGCATGTGCCACCACACCCAGCTAATTTTTGGCATTTTTGGTAGAGACGGGGTTTCGCATGTTGGCCAGGTTGGTCTTGATCTCCTGGCCTCAAGTGATCTGCCCACCTTGGCCTCCCAAAATGCTGAGATTACAGGCATGAGCCACCACACCTGGCCTGGAAAGATTATCTTTTTCTTTTCTTTATTTTTGAGATGGAATCTCACTCTGTTACCCAGGCTGGAGTGCAGTGGTGCGATCTCAGCTCACTGCAACCTCTGCCTCCTGTTTTCCAGTGATTCTTGTGCCTCAGACTCTGAAGTAACTGGGACTACAGGCATGCACCACCACACCCAGCTTCCTTCTTTCTTTCTCTTTTCTTTTCTTTTCTTTCTTTTTGCATTTTTTTTTTTTTTTTGTATTTTTAGTAGAGATGGGGTTTTGCCATGTTGCCCAGGCTGGTCTTGAACTCCTGGCTTCAAGCAATCCACTGGCCTCGGTCTCCCAAAGCACTGGGATTACAGGCGTGAGTCACTGTGCCCGGCAAGATTATCTTCGTCATATCGCTTTTTGTTTATTGGTGTTTGGGGTTTTTTTAGAATTGGAGCCTCACTATGTTGCCCAGGCTGGCCCTGAACTCCTGGGCTCAAGCAATCCTCCTGCTTCAGCCTCCTGAGTAGCTGGGACTATAGGCACCCCAGCTTCATAGCAGTCCTTAAGATTAGGAGGGGGCCAGGTGTGGTGTCTCACACCTGTAATCCCAGCACTTTAGGAGGCCAAGGAGAATGGATTGCTTGAGTCCAGGAGTTTGAGACCAGCTGGGGCAACATAGTGAGACCCTGTCTCTATTAAATTTAAAAAATAATAATAATAAAATAAAAGATTAAGAGAGGGAGGCTGAGGTGGGTGGATCACGAGGTCAGGAGTTCAAGACCACCCTGGCCAAGATAGTGAAACTCGACTCTACTAAAAATCTTTCAATTTGTAACCACATGCACACAAACTTTTGTCCCTAGCCCAGTCGTCTCCATTCTCCAGAGGACGATTTCACACCTTTGCCTCTCTCTTTACTCTCAGCTGCTTTACACCAAGGAGACTGTTCCCTGCTTTACACCAAGGAGACTGCCCTTTGTCAAGGCCCCCAGCACCCTGCACATTGCTAACCCAGTAACCACTTCTCAGTCCTCATCTAACTTGACCTTGTTTGTCATGGGAGTGTGGTCCTCAGCCTACATTGCCAATCCTTTCTTTTCTCCCTGGCCGCTAAGAGATGGAGTGCCCCAGGGCTTGATTCTCTTCTCTGTCTACACTCAGGCCCTAAGAGATTTCCTCCAGGCCCGTGGCTTTAATGACTGTGCCTATGTTGGTGACTCTTTATCCTTCAGCCCGTTCCTTTGCCTGGAACCCCAGACCGGAATCCCCACGTAAAGGTCTGACGGCATCTCGAAGTTAACATGTCCAACACTGCTACCCAGATTTCCACCTACCCCCAGTCTGCTCTGCTTATCATCTTCTCCATCTCAGCTCATGACCGCACCATCCTTTCCAGTTGCTTTAGCCATAAATCCTGGAGTCATCTTTAACTTCTATTTTCCTCTCATACTTCACATTCAGTCCATTAGTAAAACTCCATCTTTAAAATATGTCTGGAATCTGGCCAGGCGCAGTGGCTCACACTTGTAATCCCAGCAGTTTGGGATGCCGAGGCGGGTGGATCACCTGAGGTCAGGAGTTCAAGACCAGCCTAGCCAACATGGTGAAACCCTGTCTCTACTAAAAATACAAAAATTAGCCAGCTGTGGTGGCACGAGGCCTGTAATCCCAGCTACTCAGGAGACTGAGCAGGAGAATTGCCTGAACCTGGGAGGCAGAGGTTGCAGTGAGCCTAGATCATGCCCCTGTACTCCAGCCTGGGCAACAGAGTGAGACTCCGTCTCAAAATAAAATAAAATAAAAAATAAATACAATAAAATAGTCTGGAATTCAGGCCATTCTCATCACCGCTGCTGCCACCACCATCATCTGTTGTCTGGATTATGGCATTAGTTTTATAACTGGTCTCTTGCCTTTGCTCTGTACAGTTTATTCTCCACACAGCAACAGAGTGATCCTTTAACAGTTTGGTCACTCCTCTGCTCAGAACCCTCAGTGTCTTCCCAAAGCACGAAAATGTTAAAGCCAAAGTCTTCACAATGGCATACAAAGCCGTGCATGATGACCCCTCCCACCTCATCTGTCACTATTCTCCCTTGTTCTCACCCCATTGGAGCTACCGTGGCTGCCTAGATATTCCTAGAACACGCCACGCACACACCTGCCTCAGGACCTCTGAACTAATGGTTCCCTCTGCCTGGACCATTTTTCTCATTAGGTATCTGCATGCCTTGTTTTCACTCTTTCTTCAGATCTCTATTCAAATGTCAGTGTCCAGTAAAGCCTTCCCTGACCAAATTACATTTTATATTTTATTTTACTTTTTGAGGTAGGGTCTCACTCTGTCACCCAGGCTGAGTGCAGTGGTGTGATCATGGCTCACTGCAGCCTCGACCTCCCAGGATTTAAACAATCCTCCTGCCTCGGCCTCCCAAAGTGCTAGGATAACAGGCATAAGCCACCATGCCCAGCCCCCTTACCAAATGTTGTTATTATTATTTTTTTTTGAGATGGAATCTTGCTCTGTCACCCAGGATGGAGTGGATTATGTGATCTGGCACACTGCAACCTCTGCCTCCCAGGTTCAAGCGATTCTCGTGCCTCAGCCTCCCGAGTAGCTGGGATTACAGGCATAAGCTGCCATGCTCAGCTAATTTTTGTATTTTTAGTAGAGACGGGGTTTCACCATGTTGACCAGGCTGGTCTTGAACTCCTGGCCTCAAGTGATCCACCCATCTCGACCTCCCAAAGTGCTGGGATTACCCTACCATACCCAGCCCCCTGACCAAATTTTATAAAAGAGTAGCATCTTCCTCATCCCGAGTTTTAACCTCCCAGCCACTCTTTCTTCTTTATTTTTCTCTGGGACATTTAACACTATTGAGCATACATTACACTTGTGTATTTGTGTCTTCCACCAAAATACATACACCTGAGGGGCAGGTCTTTTGTTGTTTTTTTCATGCTAAGTCCCCAGTACCTATTGCAGTGCCTGACTATATTGTAGGTGCTTTATAAGTATTTAAAGTAAATGCATAGACTCAGAAATTGAATCGCTCAATGTGAGAACTTTTTTTTTTTGAGACAAGGTCTCACCATGTTGTCCAGGCTGGAGTACAGTGGCTATTCACAGGCTTGATCATAGCATCATAGCTCACAGCAGCCTTGGGTTCCTGGCAGCTTCCCAAGTAGCTGGGACCGCAGGCACGCGCCGCCATCCTGCCCAGCTATGTGAGCACTTTTGCAGAACCTGAGACCTATTGCCAAGTATCATCCCAAAGAGTGGAACTAATTTTCACTTTAACCACTAGTGGGCAGGTTATTACCATTCTCATTTTAATGAAGGCGGCTGAGACCCAGCGAGAGAAGAGGTTTACCCCAAGTCACCCAGGACTCCAGATTCTCAGAAAATACAGTGGCAACTCAGAATACTGTGGGAGGACCAGGGGGGCTTTGCAGAGGAAAGGGTTGTTTTGGCATGAAAGGACAAGAAGGGTTTCATCAAGTGGAAATGAGAACTACTATCCCGGAAGAGTACATCTTCCAGGTGGGAGATACCGTAGGAACAGAAACTCAGAGAAAGGCGGAGTCCAGGCTGCCTGGGGAAAAGCCCTCCCTCACTAAAGGGTCGGGAGGGGCCTACAGTACCCTGCGGGGAGTTTGAAATTAATTGCATGGGCTCTGGGAAGCCAGGGAGGGTTGTGAGTAGAGGGGTGATATGAGAATTGAGGCTTTCTGCTATTTGTCTGTCTGCTATCTTCTGTCTCCATTTTCTTTGTCCTTCTCTTCTGCCATGGGTTTCTCTCAGCTGCCCCAGCCCCTCCTGGAGTAACTAAGATTTTCCTTTTCTACGTCACAATCCTGACAGCCCATCAGGAAGCAGAGGGAGCGGGTGAGCCAAGGTCCTCCTCAGAGCCTCGGTGCCCCCTTTGCGCTGTGCCCAGAGGGGCAGAGAAAACAAGAATTGGAGAGGCAACTGGAAAGGAAGGTGCCTCCTACGCCCCCTGACTGACTCTGGGGTGCTGGCCTCCCCCTGCCTTCTGGGGCCAGGCCTCAGGCCCTTCCACTTCTTGGGCTGATTCTCCGTGCCTAGTACCAGTTGGTGCCAGCTGGCAGCTCTCACTGGAGACTGAGGTGGCACGCATATGGGGGAGGGGAGGAAGTGGGCAGGAGCCCAAGGGGAACAGGGGGCAGGGTCTGAGGAGGTGGAGTCGGAAGCTGCGTGGCCAGCATGGGGGTCTCATGGGATGAGGGAAAAGTGAGGCAGAGGACCCTGGGGGCTTCCAGGGGAGTAGGGGAGGTGTCAGGTGGTCCTAGCTCTGGCTTTCCTGCCCCTGGCAAGTCCAGTCCTCTCCCCACCACCTACTTTCCTCTACACTCACCCCCTTAAGCTGCCCCTGGCTAATTCTCCTTGGTCCCTTTAAGAGCTGCCTGGGAACTGGGGCACTGGAGGGGGCTGGCAGGGCCCCCACCCCCTCCCTGCCATGCCTGGCCCTGCTCCACCCCCTGTCCGGTGCAGACTCTGCTGGAAGTCTTGGACGCCTGGGTTAGGGTCTCCACTTCTGGGCTGGGGGTAAGGCTTAAAAGTGGTGGGGAAGGGGGACTGTGGTCCCTGGGGTGGGAGGGAGGGGCGGGATGCCAGAACTCTGGGACTATGGACATGGAGTGTCTGTGTGTCAACTCCAGTGAACAATGCAGGGGGTGGTCCTCTGGCCTCTACTGGGGGAGGGGCAGCCTCAGGGATCTTGAGGGGCATATCCTAAGGAGCAGGATGCCTGGGTCTCCTCCCTCCACTCCCCCATCTCATTTCCCCAAGACCTTCATTTTCTAAATTCCATCAGCCACTCCTTGCCCCCTGCAATCAAAGACACAGGGTCCCAACATCCCCACTCCCCACAGGTGGGGAAATTGAGGCTAGACAAACCAGAGGAAATAGAATTATGTATGCTGCAGCAGGAGAAATGGAGATTAGCTTGTGGAAAGGCTCTCTCTCCCTCTCCACCCCACAGAACTGCAAACAGGAGGTCTGGGTGTCCAGCTCACTCCAGCGAGTTTCTAACTGTGGCTATGGCCACCACCCTGGACTATGTCCCTACTCTCTCATCAAGACTATTTAGCTCTTTTCTGGAAGTTTTGATTCTCATATGGCAAGGCCAGGGGAGGCCCCCAAAGTCCGGCTGGGTGACCTGGATTGAAGTGGAGCCAGGTAGGATCTATAGGCTCCCCCATTCCCTTGGGTTATTTCAGAAAGGTAGCTCCTTCCTTCTCTGCCACAGAGACTGGATCCAATTCCCCTAAAAGGGAAGAAAATAGGGGCAGGGACACAAGGATGTCCAATGGGGGTGTGAGGGCTTCCTGCAGTTCACCTGCTTCCTTCCTGTTATCATACTAGTTCAGGGTCCTCTACTCCCCACCATCTTAATTTCAAATCATGTGTCCCAGTCCCAGGGGAGAGAAGCCTGAACAGGCAGGTCCTTTCTGAGTCCCCACAGCCGAGATGCAGAGAGGCAGTGAGGGTGGAGTGTCAGGAATCAGTGGGGACATGGCGGCCCCGTTCAGGGTCCACTTCCGATTTCAGCACATGCCATGCCCTCCTTGCTTCACCACAAAGCAAATGCTCAACCACCACCCCAGCTCAGATATGAAGGGGAAGCAGTCTTGGTCCATGAAACCCTCTACCCAGGGCCGACACCAGCACACTCATTTCCTTCCTCTTAAAAATACTATGAAGTCTGGCGGAGCCATGCTGCTCCCAGGCAGGTTAAAAAGCCATTATTTTATGGATGTGAGGCAGGGAGGGTAAATGCTCTGCCCAGCATCACACAGCAGGCTACAGGCAACCAAGCCTGGGATCTAGGGCCCTTCGCCCCAGACTCATGGTGCCTTTTCTAGTCCCCTGCCAGCTGACAGAGAGGCCAGCCTGGAAGGGGCTTTTTCTTTTTTCTTTTTTTTTTTTTTTTTTGAGATGGAGTTTCGCTCTTTTTGCCCAGGCTGGAGTGCAATGGCATGATCTCGGCTCACTACAACCTCCGCCTCCTGGGTTCAAGTGATTCTCCTGCCTCAGCCTCCCGAGTAGCTGGTACTGCAGGCATGCGCCACCATGCCCGGCTAATTTTGTATTTTTAGTAGAGATGGGGTTTCTCCAGGTTGGCCAGGCTGGTCTCGAACTCCTGACCTCAGGTGATCCGCCAGCCTCAGCCTCCCAAAATGCTGGGATTACAGGCGTGAGCCACCGCACCCAGCCGGAAGGGGCTTTTTCAACTCCTCATTTTGCCAACAAAGTTAGGGCCCAGTAGAGACATAAGGGAGCTCTAGTAACAAGGCTGTTTAGGATCAGGGCTGGGAGAGGGCACAGGCTTGGCTCTCAAAAAGGCTCCATACAAACCGCTGCCTGCCTGTGCTCCTCCCCGAATGGGAAAGAATCCGGCTGTCTTCTTTCCCTATGTCCATCTAGTCTAGACCCTTGGAAAGTCCTGTCTGAAGTCTGCTCTCTACAGCACAAACCTTCCCCTTTTAATACATCTCAGAGGGTGTTAGCCACAGAAGGCTTCTGGGGGAGCCACCTTCTTCTCAGGCAGCTTAGGAAGGAGAGGCAGAACCTGAACCTGGCAGTGGACCCCCTCCCTCAGAAGTCAGGATACTGTAAATAGAAGAGGGCTCCTTGGGGTTCTTAACAGAGTCTGTCCCTTGGCTTATTTGCATAGTTGCATAGATATTTGTGGGCTCATTCGTGTCCTCATTGGCAAACTGAATTTGCATGGGGTTGGGCTGCGGTCCAGCTGTGTCGCCCCGGCATATACACAGTTCCCGGGGTAGAGGGAAACCCAGAGGAACTGGTTGTAAAGAGGAATGGGCCCCAGCTGACCCCCTGAACCCAGGTGGTGACATGTGCACGGTGGTGCCTGCTGAAGGTGGGCAAGGGAGCTGAGCAGGGACCGGGGGCTACTGTACCTCCTTTTCACCTCCTCCCGCATCTGGAGCCCCTCCTCCTCCACATGTGCGAATCCAGGAGCCACAGAAGGTGGGGCGCAGTGGGACATGGGTAGGAGGAGGAAGAATATGGGGAGATTCTAGTCCCTCCCACTTAGAGATGCGGTCGCCATGGTGACTGAGGACCAGTGAGGCGGGATGGGGTTGAGAATGGGGGTGGGGGTGTGGCAGGGGCTGAGGCACTGAGAGACCGGAAAGCCTGGCATTCCAGAGGGAGGGAAACGCAGCGGCATCCCCAGGCTCCAGGTAAGGGAGCGGGGGAGCTGACAGTTCTGAAGGGAGGGGGCGGGGCCATTGTCTGGTGCTGGCTCTGCCCTAAAGAGGGGGCTGACAGAGGGGTCGGGCTATTGTGTGTGATACTCAGCGCAGCCTTCCAGAGCTAGTCAGACTGGAGGAGGGGACCTGGGAAGCTCTGGGTAAGGGGTTAGGAGGGACTGAGCTGGTGGGTGGCAAAAAGGCTGGGAGACAGTGGGGATGGGAAGAGGTGGAGGGACACAGGGGGCGTAGAGGCTTGGGGACGTCCCTAGTGCCTATACACGCTAGGCACTCAATACATATAAGTTGACTTGACTTGCCTGTGACCATAACAAGAGGGCAGATGAGGGCCAGGGCAGGTGGAGCTAAGGCAGGGAAGTCAGGAGGCAATGTTCCCCAGAACTGGACTCTTCTGTGGGCTGCCCCTGAAGCTGAAAGGGAGGAGGTGGGGGAAACTGGACCTGCCAGATCACTCGTGAAGCCAGGAGTTGCTTCTCTCCTGGCTCCAGGAGCTGCTCCTTTAGTGCAGCATCCGTGTTCTGCAGGGGCTCAGAAGAGACTGAGCGTCTGGGGCTGGTTGAAGCTCAGAGGTAGCATAGAGTCGGGGCGGGAAGCAACCTCTCCATCTCCCCTCCCACCTCCACATCTAGACCTTTCCTCTGCACAATAGAACCTGGCAGGAAGGGGCTACATCGCATGCTGTGTAAGGGTTGCAGGGGAGGAGCTGGACTCTGGCAGGGCAGAGGGTGCACTCAGTGTTGTTGTCATGGCAGGACCCAGGGCTGGGCTCCAGGGCTTGTGGAGAAATGGGCTGGGGGAAACCCCAGATTGGAGCTGTGAAAATGACACGGCCCCTGTGGGCAGGTCCCTGAACATCTGACCCCTTCCCACTGCCACCCCACCTGACCTGCTGCCTGACACCATTCCCAGCCAAGGTACTTCTGCTCCTTGGCCTTGGTTTCCTCATTTGTACGGTTGTCAGGAAGGGTATGTCTGAGTACCCTGTCAGCCCTGAGCTTCTTTGATGCTGTGTGCAGGACCTGCTATATTATTTGTGGGGCCCAGTGCAAAATAAAAATGTAGAGCCCCTTGTTTAAGTATTATGAGGACTTTCAACAGAGCAACAGCAGAGCATTAAACCAAGTGTGGCCCTTCTGAGCACAGGGCCCTGTGTGGCTGCACAGGTCTCGTGCCCACGAAGCCAGCACTGGCTGGGGCCCTGCCAGCTGAAGCAGGGGAGATGGCAGTGGGGCTTGGGGTCTGACCCCAGAGACTGGTGTGAGGGGTGCACTGCTGGGGGCAGGGTGCCCTTCCTATTGCTGTTTTTGACCAGGAGGCCCTTGCAGAGGCAGGGGGTGGTACCTCACAGCCTTCCTTCAAGAAGGTTTCTGTTCCCTCTGAAACGCTTTATTGACACAAATAAGCTTGCCCATAAGGGCCACGCTTGGGGCTGGGCACAGTGTCTCACGCCTGTAATCCTAGCAGTTTTGGAGTCTGAGTCAGGCGGATCACTTGAGGTCAGGAGTTTGAGAGCAGCCTAGCCAGCATGGTGAAACCCCATCTCTACTAAAAATACAAAAAAAATTAGCCGGGCTTGGTGGCACATGCCTGTAGTCTCAGCTACCTGGGAGGCTGAGGCAGGAGAATGGCTTGAACCCGGGAGGTGGAGGTTGCAGTGAGCCGAGATCGCACCACCACACTCCAGCCTAGGCAACAACAGAGCAACACTTCGTCTCAAAAAAAAAAAAAAAAAAAAAAAAAAGCCCACTCTTGGTTTAATGCTGTGCGGTTGCCCTGTTGAAAGTCCTCAGAAATCACCCCAGAGATCTGATTTCTTAGCCTAGAGTAGATAAAGCTCACTACCCTCCCAGCCCACCCTTGCCTTCTCTATCCAAGTGGCTCAGAACTGTGGACTGGGGCAGGAGGGAGGACTGAGGGACTAGGACTCTGTAGAGTCTTTGTAGCTAAGAGATTTGCTATTGAATGAGGCAGATCTGAATTTAACTTGGCTTCTAGCTGTGTAACCTCCCTTCTTGATCTGTAAAATGGGATTATGGCAGTACCTAGCTGCTAAAATTGTTGGGAGGGCTAAAGCCTGATAGTGTGAACTATTCATATTGGCTAGAGGGGCTGGGGAAGAGGACGTCCGGAGTTGGGAGAATTCTGGATGTCTGGAGGAAGAACTGGGGGCAGGGCATGGAGTCTATGACTTCCAGAAAGGTGGGAATAGGACATCAGGCTGGGAGTGTAGGGCTGGAACTCCCCCAGCCTCCCCGTATCAGAACTCTTCCCAGTGACCCAAATGAGCCAATCTGTTTAAGCAGAGAGGCCCAGGGGCAGACTGGCTTCCCAAATCTGAGCTGGGGGTTGGGGAGACACAGAAGGTAGGGTCTGGATAAATGGGAGTTTCTCTTGATTCTAAGAAACTGGAAGGGACCTGGCAACCAGCCTCTGGGAGAGTCTGGGGGAGTCCTAGGCAAGTCTTGACAGAAACGATTGTCAGGCAGGATATGTCTGAGACCAACCCCCGGGGAAACTGAGAGAGATGAAAGAAGGCTGAGTACCTCAGATGAGGAATTATAAGGAGTAGCCTGAGCTGTAACATCCCCCATGTTGGCTGGTGCTGTAGCAGGAGGGATGGAAGTTACACTACAGGAAGGACTTCCTGCCAGGGAGGAATGTGCATGTCAGATGGAAGTGGATTATTTATTAGAGTTGGATTAGCCCTGGGATGTCTGTGCTCTTTAACCTGCAGTCAGCTGACCATGTCGAGTGGGCAGGAACCTACCCACTTTGTAGGCCACAGAGTTCTTGGCGCTGGATGCCTCATTAACCCCGCGTTATGAGGCTCCCCCTGGAGCCTTTAGGGAGGGGTGAGCAGCCACCTTTGGGGGTTGGGTGCCTCCAAAGTGTGGTCCAGTGAGCACGAGTTCAGATGGGAAATGTTCTGGGCTTTCTACTGGCCTGATTTCTGGGCTTCCTATTGGCCTGATGTCAAAGAGTGATGGAGATTAGACTGCAAGGGGGACTTCCTCAGCAAAATCATGGATAAGAGCCTAATACAATTATTTTATTTTATTTTTTTAAAGACTGTGGCCCAGCTGAGAGTGGGAGGTTTAAAGGTTAGACCACTGCAGGGACTTCCCAGTAGGTAGGAGTAGAGAGACCCCACCTTGTGGGTAAGTGAAAAGAAGAATATGTCATGTCCCCTATCTGGGAAATCTTAAGCAAGAGAAGAAACCACTGCTAGGCTGGTTATACTGGCTGTGACATGATGGAGAGGCAGGGGAATCGCTGAAATGACCTAGAAGGGCCTCTTAAACTTTCTGGTTGGACCGAGCAGAGGAGGGAGAGAGAGGTGTGTCTCTTGTGAGGTGGGTGAACGTCTTTTTATTCCCTCCCAATCCACCAACTTCCGCCCAAGCCAGGATCTGTCACAACTCGAGAGGTGGAAATTCCGGTTTCCCTGGCCTAGAGCTCCCAGTGCTGGCTTTGGCATGATGGGCACCTGGAGGGCCGCACTCCCGTTCCAGCCAGGCTGAGCCTTCTGTCCCCTGCCTCTGGGGCCTGGGAACCCCCCTTCTTCTTTCTCCTGAATGGCACCCCCGCCCTAGAATCCAGACACCGAGTTTCCCACTGTGGCTGGTTCAAGGGTATGTGAGGTGAGATGGGTGGCTTGGGGTGGGTGGTCTTGGGGAAGATTATGTAGAGGCCCAGGGAGGCAGACACAGGAGCAAGAGACAAGGGGGCCGGGGAGCTGCAGAGGCTGGGAGCCGGCCAGCCACCCCTGCCCAGGCAGCTCCCCGGGAAATGCTGATAACCAACCTGGTGGGATGGACCCTCATTGCCTCCCTGGAAGTATCAGGCCAGGCAGGCCTGAGCCTCAAAGACCCTGAACCCAGCTGGGGCTGGGGGAGAGGTTAGAGCAGGCAGACTCAAACCCAGTCTGCCTACCTGGGTCAGAGCTGAGTATGAGGCACAGGTGTCAACAGATCTGAAAGTGACAGGAGAGTAAGGTCTGAGGAATTTATATTTTGGGTACAGGAACCTGCTCCCCAAAATGTTCCCTGCCCAGAGCCAGGCAACGGTTTGGGCTTGGGCTATGAGAAGAGGGAAGGCAAAGGAGGAAAGACAGGAAAGACTTCCTGAGAGTAAGGCAAAAAAAGGCAAACCAGAGCTGTTGGTGAGAAGACAACAGAAGAAGCAGGATAGGGGAGACCTGGGCTCCTACCCATAGGGGACAGTGAGGTGACAGGCTGAGGCCTGGAAGGATGATGAAAGTGAGACCGTCTTAGGGCCCTTCCAGATAGGGAACCTTCTCTGCCCCAATGCCCCACCCCTGCCACCAATACACACGCTTCTGCTGCCTGGGGCTCTCCTATTGGTCCTCGGGGGGATGTGGTAAGAACTGCTCACCCAGAAAGTGCCCGGGTGCCTGTTTCCCCAGAGCTCCCTGGTGACAGTCTGTGGCTGAGCATGGCCCTCCCAGCCCTGGGCCTGGACCCCTGGAGCCTCCTGGGCCTTTTCCTCTTCCAACTGCTTCAGCTGCTGCTGCCGACGACGACCGCGGGGGGAGGCGGGCAGGGGCCCATGCCCAGGGTCAGATACTATGCAGGTAAGTGTCCGACAGCAGGAAGTGTGGGGATAGCAATAGAGAGCTGGAGGTGGGTGGAGGAAGGAGAGAGGAACAGAGGAGGGGAGGAAATGGATATGGAGAAACAGGGACACAGAGAGAGATGCCAGGGAGAAACAGAGGATCTCGGAGAAAGAGAGACACAGCCAGAAACAGAAGTCCAAAAGGAAAGAAAAGCCACTGGAGAGCAGATTGAGGAAAACAGGTGGCCACGGGGCCAGGGGCACGCTTCTTCCAGTTCTCCATGTTGGTAATTTTTCTTTCCTTCCTTAAATATCACTGTCACCAAGCTGGGCACCTCAAACTCCTAACTGCTTCACACTCCCAGGTACCCCAAAGTCAAGGCCCATGCTAGAAGACCATATGTGGACCCGGTGACCCGGAGCTCGCCAGGCCCATGCCAACCACATAGATCATGCTGGACCATACCATGTCCAGGACCATGGGATGGCTGGTTGGAGAATGGGCCCTGGAACCCACACACAAGCACAGCTTGGCTGGTTTCTTACTGAGACTGTGGAGGCTGCTGGCCCCCTCACCTCCAGGGAGAAGACTCAGGAAAGGATGTAGACACTGTAGGAGTTGTAGGTGACTGGGCATGGCTGTGTCTTTAGCATCTTTCTGGGGCAATTGGTAAAAGAAATGTATATTGCTCATTGATGCAGAGACCTCCTCTGTGTTGGATGCTGGGCGCACAAACACGGATAAGCCTCAGCCCCTGCCCTCAAGGTGTTCACAGTCACAAGGGGGAAGACATGAGCAATCAGACCATCAATACAGGGTGATCTGTTCAGCAACTGAGGGGTTTATGGCAGCTCTGGGGGAGGCCTGGCCTCCAGGAGATGCTCCTCCCTGAGGCTGGCCCTTCCATCCCGCAGCCACACCAGATTCCCCAACTTCTCCCCTCTGTACTGTGTAAGATTCCCTGAGCCTGCAAAGGTATCAATTAGCTAGTCAGCTTTCTAACTAATGCAACAGTGCAAGTGCTAATGAGAGAGGATCTGAGGAGCTCCTTCCTCCTTGCCGATGTGCCAGTGGGACAGGAAAATACACCCCCACCCACCCCACCATGCCAAGGTCATGGAGAGGACCTAGGTGAGCCTCCCACACCTGGCTCACCATCCCTGCCCAGGGGACATCCAGCCATGCCCACATGGATCTTTGAAGAAAAATGCTTCCTCTCTGTTCGTGGTGACTCTACTGGTGGGAATTTCCTTTAACAGAAGAGGAAGAAAGCAGGGGTGGTTGGGGGGATGGCGAGAGGGACTCTGACATACGCCCTCCTGTCTGCATATAGCTTTGCTGCTTGTGGCTGCCAACACTTTCCTGTTTGTCTGTCTGCCTGCTGCTCCTCATCCTAGTGAGGACCAAGGCGTCCTCCCCGACGGTAGCCCTCCCTGTCCCAGGCCTGGAAGAGCATCCACTGTGCCTCACTTTATTTCCCGTCCCCATTACCCTGCCTCTGGCTGCCTCTCCTCTCTACTGCGGGCTCAGCACACAACGCTCTTGTGTTGGGGTGGGGTGAAGGGAAGAACTGCTGGTGGAGGAGAGTGCATCTAGCTGCCAAGGCCTGGGGAGCACACTCAGGCAACCCTTCCCCTTCCCCCACTTTTATCTCAGGAGTCAGCTGCCTGCCCACCAAGTCCTCATCACTCTCTCTGTCTTACTCCTCCAACAGGGGATGAACGTAGGGCACTTAGCTTCTTCCACCAGAAGGGCCTCCAGGATTTTGACACTCTGCTCCTGAGTGGTGATGGAAATACTCTCTACGTGGGGGCTCGAGAAGCCATTCTGGCCTTGGATATCCAGGATCCAGGGGTCCCCAGGCTAAAGAACATGGTGAGGAGTCCAGGGATAAAGAGTGTGGGCTGGGAGTGAAGAGGGGGCCGGCAGCTACCCTGGGCTTGGCTGCCTGTGCATGAATAACTTAGTTGCTGTTATCTGTAATCAGCAGTTCTCTTTATATGTATATCGTGACAATATAACAGACAGGAAATGTCGTGGCCTCACTTTTTTTTTTTTTTTTGAGATGGAGTCTTGCTCCGTTGCCCAGGCTGGAGTACAGTGGCACGATCTTGGCTCACTGCAACCTCCGCCTCCCAGGTTCAAGCAATTCTCCTGCCTCAGCCTCCCAAGTAGCTGGCACTAGCATGCACCACCATGCCAGGCTAATTTTAATAGAGACGAGATTTTACCATGTTGGCCAGGCTGGTCTCAAACTCCTGACCTCAGGTGATCCGCCTGCCTCAGCCTCCCAAAGAGTTGGGATTACAGGCGTGAGCCACCGCACCCGGCCTGTGACTTCACTCTTCACTGGTATTGTGAATAGTGATTGAATAATATTAATTGCAAAAATGGCTGATATGGAAATCATTGACATATGAGATAAACACTGACTCAAATTATATCAATAATTTGATATCTACCCACTAGTAGAAATCACTGATGCTTCTGTGTCTTTTTTTTTTTGAGATGGAGTCTCACTCTGTTGTCCAGGCTGGAGTGCAATGGCGTGATCTTGGCTCACTGTAACCTCTGCCTCCTGGGTTCAAGCAATTCTGCCTCAGTCTCCTGAGTAGCTGGGATTACAGGCGCCCGCCACTAGGCATGGCTGATTTTTCTGTTTTTAGTAGAGACGGGGTTTCACCATGTTGGTCAGCCTGGTCTCGAACTCCCGACCTCAGGTGATCCATCCGCCTCAGGCTTTCTAAGTGCTGGGATTACAGGTGTGAGCCACTGTGCCTGGCTGCTTCTGTCTTAGTCGCCCTATTAATGGGAACAATGTGAGGAAGGAAGGAAGAAAGGGAGAGAAGGCACTAGCAATATTAGCAATCACCTCCATGGTTCATGTATCCTGATGTGTAGTCTGCTGACCACCTGCACATATGAGATGCTGGTTAAAAATGCAGATTCTCTAAGGCGTGACCCAGGAACCAACTTGTTAAACAATTTCCCCAGGAAATGTGCGGTTTGACAACTGCTGCCATATATACCATTCATCGTGTTAGGTGTTTTGTATATGCCACCTGGTTGTATCTGCCAGTAGCCTATGAAATTGACCAAGATCTCTCAGTCAGGAAATAGCCAAGTCTAGATTTAAACTTGGGTCTGTCTGATTCCTTAGGCTGTGTTCAACTATGGAGCTATGTCTGATACCAGTATTATTCAAGTAATAGCCATGGTCACAAACTGATGTTATTACTGCCCATCAGCATGTCACTAACCACCATGTCTGCTGGTTATTTCACATCAGAGCAGAGAAGGGAGGCAGGTCACAGCTAGAACTGAGGACCTTATTTCTTTTCATCTCGCCCTCCCAACTCCCCACTTTCAGATACCGTGGCCAGCCAGTGACAGAAAAAAGAGTGAATGTGCCTTTAAGAAGAAGAGCAATGAGGTAAGTGGAGGTGGGGGAGTAGGGGTAGAGTGGGTAGAGAGCTCTGGCATCCCTAGACCATCCCTGGATGACCTCAGGTTGGGCGGCAGTGGAGGGCACTTGTTTGCACGGTTATCTCCTGGATTATGTTCTACAGAGGCGTACAGGGACTGCCCCAGCATTACCTAGCCTTTCTCCTCAGTGAGGGGGCAGCCTCTGGGGGTCCAGCAATTTGAGTCAGGTGGCCTGGAGACCTAAATTCTCTGTCTCCCTCAGACACAGTGTTTCAACTTCATCCGTGTCCTGGTTTCTTACAATGTCACCCATCTCTACACCTGCGGCACCTTCGCCTTCAGCCCTGCTTGTACCTTCATTGTGAGTTCTCTGGTGCCCAGCGCTCAGGCCCCCAAGCATCCCTTCTCACATCTACCCACGACTTTCCTCTGTAGCTCTGGAAAACTCTGGCCTTCCAGATGCAGGACCCTCATGAACTTCCTGGCCCCAGACCAATTTCCCTCTATGTCCCTTTCCCTTCCTTCCTCAAGCCCCTCATTTCCCAGATGTGAGACCTTGGCGTTCTGGCCCCCCAGCCTCTCTCCCCATTTAGGAACTTCAAGATTCCTACCTGTTGCCCATCTCGGAGGACAAGGTCATGGAGGGAAAAGGCCAAAGCCCCTTTGACCCCGCTCACAAGCATACGGCTGTCTTGGTGGGTGAGTATCAGGTTTCCCACTTCATCCCAACATCTACTTTCTCCAGTCACGCTGTGAAATATGGAATATTACAGAGTTTTCCAAAAGGCAGGGGAAACTGGGTGTGGTGATGCGTGCATATGGTCCCAGTTATTTGGAAGCTGAAGTTGAAGGATGCTTGAGTTTAGGGGTTTGAGTCTAGCCTGGGCAACACAGCGAGATCGTCTCAAAAAAAAAAAAAAAAAGCCTCAGTGCCTCATGCCTGTAATCCTAGCAGTCTAGCAGTTTGGGAGGCTGAGGTGGGTGGATCATGTGACCCCAGGAGTCTGAGACCAGCCTGGTAAACATGGTGAAACCCCATCTCTACTAAAAATACAAAAATTATCCAGGCGTGGTAGGGCGCACCTATGGTCCCAGCTACTCGGGAGGCTGAGTCACAAGAATTGCTTGAACCCAGGAGGTGGAGGTTGCAGTGAGCCAAGATCGCGCCACTGCACTCCAGCCTGCGCAACAAAGCAAGACTCTGTCTCAAAACAAAACAAAACAGAAAATGCAGAGGACAGAGAGAGAGAGGGAAGCCAGAAGCCTCAGAACACAAGATCAGAGGGAGAATTAAGCACCCCAACCACCAGCTCCTGCTGAAATTGCCACAAAAAGTGGTGGAGAAAGATGCATGTGGAGAGACAGAGGCACGAGGGCCCGGGAAGGGTATTGGGTAGAGAAGAGGCCTGAGACTGAGCCACTGTTCAACAATTGTGTGAACACTTCCTCTGGTGTACTGGGCACTGTGCTGGGTAGTATAGGAGTTATAAACAAGAAATCAGGCTGGGTGCAGTGGCTCACACCTGAAATCTCAGCACTTTAGGAGGCTGAGGCGGGTGGATCACTTGAGCCCAGGAGTTTGAGACCAGCTTGGGCAATAGTATAGTGAGACCTCGTCTCTACTAAAAACAAAACAAAACAAAAACAACAACAACAAAATTAGCCGGACAAGCGCCTGTGATCCCAGCTACTTGGGAGGCTGAGGTGGGAGGATCGCTTGAGATGGTCAAGGCTACGGTGAGTTGTGATGGCACCACTGCACTCCAGCCTGGATGTGAGCAAGACCCTGTCTTGAAAAAAAAAAAAAAAAAAAGGGAGAGAGAAACCATGTATCAATGCACTACTGGACACCAACCATTACAGACTTCCCACCTGCCTTCCTGGAGGAGATGGCCTTCGGCTTTTCAGCAGGACCTTGAAAAGATAGGTAGACAGATGGCAGGGAAGGTGTTCCAGGGAGAGAAGGGTAGGACCCAAGGTGTGGAAGTGGAAAACACAGTCACCTTCCAGGATCAGTAAGTGATTCTACTTGGCAAGTGGTTCAGCTAGGTATGTGACGAAGTAGCCACAGAAAGGCTGGAAAAGTGCCCAAACACGGAGGGCCACACAGGATGGCCATTTCCTGTGGAGAGAGGAAGCTAAGAGGGGTGCTTAGTGAGGAGGGGGAGCTGGCCTTTGAGGCTCCCCAGGAAGGTGCAGAACTGATGCAGGGCCCCCGAGACTGATATGGATGCCAGCCCCAGTCAGAGGCAGGTCTGTGGAGGGCAGAGGAACCCTCCACCCCATCAGTTCTCTCTTCTCCTCTCCTCCACCCTAGATGGGATGCTCTATTCTGGTACTATGAACAACTTCCTGGGCAGTGAGCCCATCCTGATGCGCACACTGGGATCCCAGCCTGTCCTCAAGACCGACAACTTCCTCCGCTGGCTGCATCGTAAGGACCTGACCCCCGCTGGCCTCCTTTCCTGAGTCCTGGTGACCTTGCTAATTCACTCAACTTTCATTTGCGGAAGGTACAATGTGTCCATTACTGTTAGGCGCAGGGGGTATATGGCAGGGAAGAAGGCAAAGCTCCGGTTCTCTTGAAGCTTTCGTCTTATGTAAACACATTAAAGAAGTACCAGTCATCCCCACCCCACATCGCTACCCCTCGACAAGCTGTGGGACCCGAGGAAGCCTGTGTGTCCTGGCCTCCAGGGCCAAACCAACGGTTTTCACTCAGGCAAACCCAGGGCATGCAGGGGCTCAGTCCCTAAGCCCATCTGCCCCTCCCCCGCAGATGACGCCTCCTTTGTGGCAGCCATCCCTTCGACCCAGGTCGTCTACTTCTTCTTCGAGGAGACAGCCAGCGAGTTTGACTTCTTTGAGAGGCTCCACACATCGCGGGTGGCTAGAGTCTGCAAGGTCCGCGGCCTGGGCGGGGGGCGGGGCTAACTGGAGGAGAACCAATAGGGAGATGGCAGGGGCAGGACTGAGTGGTGGGCCCCCAGTGAGAGCGGGGGAGCGGGGCGGGGAACAAGCGGGCCTGGCGGGGTGGGGCGGGGGACAGCGGGGCTGGGCGGGTGGGGCGGGGGACAAGCGTGGCTGAGGGGGCGGGGTGGGGACACGCGGGGCTGGCGGGGACTGGGGGGACACGCCGAGCTGCGGGGGGCGGGGAGGACACGCGGGGCTGGGGGGTCGGGGCGCCCGGGGCGCCCCCTGACTCCCCCTGTGCCCCCAGAATGACGTGGGCGGCGAAAAGCTGCTGCAGAAGAAGTGGACCACCTTCCTGAAGGCCCAGCTGCTCTGCACCCAGCCGGGGCAGCTGCCCTTCAACGTCATCCGCCACGCGGTCCTGCTCCCCGCCGATTCTCCCACAGCTCCCCACATCTACGCAGTCTTCACCTCCCAGTGGTGAGCAGCAGGGCTGGACCATGGGGGCTGGACACGGGACTTGACGCCAGTGAGGCCCCAGCTCGTGAGCGGAGGCAGGAATTGACATGAGCCAGCACCTACTCAGCACTTTCACATAGGAAGGCATTAAATCGTCACCACCTCTCAGGAATTTGACTCATGCCCTTTTTGTAAATGGGAAAAATAAGACGCAGAGAGGTTCTAACTAGTTTATATTCTGCCTAGTTCCAAAAGGGATAGGAAGCATTTTACAAAAGGCAAATATTAAAATCGATAAAATAGATACAGAAATGGGAATAAAAGGAGAATATGAGAAGCCAAGGGTAAGGCCAACACACTACAAATGCTTGTCATAAGATGTAGGATAGTCCCTGGATGCCAGCCACAAATTTAGCTCTGCATTTCCTAATGGCCAGGGCAAACAGGGAAACGCTATCCGTATCAGAAGATAAAAATAAAGTCGGCCGGGTGCGGTGGCTCATGCCTGTAATCCCAGCACTTTGGGAGGCCGAGGTGGGCAGATCACGAGGTCAGGAGATCAAGACCATCCTGGCCAATATGGTGAAACCCCGTCTCTACTAAAAACACAAAAATTAGCTAGGTGTGGTGGCGCATGCCTGTAGTCCCAGCTACTCGTGAGCCTGGGGCAGGAGGATCCCATGAACCCGGGAGGCGGAGGTTGCAGTGAGCCAAGATCGCACCACTGCACGCCAGCCTGGCAACACAGTGAGACTCCGTCTCAAAAAAAATAAATAAAAATAAAGTCATTGCTTGAAGGTTGAGAAAGGTTAACCAATTTGTCCAAGGTCCCCGAGTCATGGTCTGGCCCCACAGTGTTTAGGTACCTGCTGACAATGTGTCAGGTACCAAAGGTATTTGGGGTAAGTGGGATCTGGTATCCACAGGATCCAGAATTGAGAGCCTGGTGTATACAGTAGTCAGCTTCAAGAGAGCAGAGAAACAGACCTCCTGTCTCCACAGACCAGGGTTGAGGAATAATAACAGTCTGGTAGTCAGGCACTGGTCGGTTCTCTGAGGACCAGGGATCCAAGAGACTCAAAGGAAGAGGGGTTTGTGTGGAGCCAGGCTAGAGCTGGTTACACTGTCCCTCCAATGGGTGCAGCCCAGTGTAGGCAGGACAGGCAGGGGCCACCCCAGGGCCTGAGCCCCAATTAATTCTCATTAAGGATAATCAGACTTCAGATCCCAAGATGGGCCTAGAGCCAGGCCCTGGGCCAGAGTCAGGGAATTCCATGGGGCTCCCTTGGCCCTTATCAACACAGTGAGGGGAAGGAGTGGTAGCTGGAGGCTGGCCCAGCTCTCCACACTCTTGCCTCCTGGGTTTTCTCACTGAGGGCCAGCGCTGGAGAGAGAGCTGCTGGTGTGGCAGAGACCACAGACAATGTTCCCTCTGGCTGTCTCCAGGCAGGTTGGCGGGACCAGGAGCTCTGCGGTTTGTGCCTTCTCTCTCTTGGACATTGAACGTGTCTTTAAGGGGAAATACAAAGAGTTGAACAAAGAAACTTCACGCTGGACTACTTATAGGGGCCCTGAGACCAACCCCCGGCCAGGCAGTGTGAGTACTACCCCCCACACTGAGCACAGTCTACACATACATAATGTGCATGAAAAAACACCTATCATGGCATAGTAAATGCCCAATAAATGTTAGTGCTCTCCACCCCACCAATCTCGCCTGCTCAGACGTACACCTGGTATAGCTGCCTATATTCCACATGTGCCTAGCACCCTTTTATACACGGAGCAGTTGCTGGAGCCATCTCCCTTCACCAAGGCTAAGTGTACACCAAATATCTGGGTATATCACTATGGAAACAAGGGAACATGCGCTGTGTGCCAAGGACTGTCTTGGGCATTGCCACCTGCATTTATTTAACTTTTTAAAAAAATCAGAGGCCAGGGCCGGGTGTGGTGGCTCACACCTGTAATCCCAACACTTGGGGAGGCCGAGGCAGGTGGATCACTTGAGGTCAGGAGTTTGAGAACAGCCTGGCTAACATGGTGAAACCTCATCTCTACTAAAAATACAAAAATTAGCCAGGCATGGTGGCACGCGACTGTAATTTCAGCTACTGGGAGGCTGAGGCAGGAGAATCGCTTGAACCCGGGAGGCAGAGGTTGCAGTGAGCCAAGATTGCGCCACTGCACTCCAGCCTGGGTGAAAGAGTGAGACTCAGTCTCAAAAAAAAAAAAAAAAAAAAAAAAAAAAATCAGAGGCTGGGCATGGTGGCTCATGCCTGTAATCCCAGCCATTTGGGAGACTGAGACAGGAGGTTCACTTGAGGCCAGGAGTTTGAGACCAGCCTGGGCAACATTGTAAGACTCTGTCTCTACCAAAAAAAATGAGCTGGGCCTGGTGGCATGTGCCTGTAATCAGCTACTCAAGAGGCTGAGGTGGGAGGATCACTTGAGCCTGGGAGTTCAAGGCTGCAGTAAGCTATGATCACGAGAATGCACTCCAGCCTGGGTGACCAGAGCAAGATGCTGTCTCTAAAGAAGTTTTTAAATGAAAAAAAAAAAAAAAAAATCACAGCCTGGGCAACATGGTGAGGCAACATTTTCTCCTCTACAAAAAGAGAAAAAATCAGAGCTATTATATGTACATGATTTGAAGAATCAAATAGATCTAAAATGAAATAGATCTATAGGGTTGACTATAAAAAGCAGTCCTATTTCCCATCCTCCACCTCTCCCCAACCATTTTCAACTCTTTTAGCTGATTCTTTTCAAATTTATCTCAAAATTTCTAAATAACATGATTTATTGCTACTTCGTGACGTTTCAGTTTCAGACAGTATCTGTTGAATTCCCACTGTAGAAAGTGAGGATTTAACTATGTTCCCCAACCCCCACCTCCACCCAGTGGTGTGCTAGAGCTGACTTGCAGCAGCCAGCAAGAACTGTTTTTGCCCATCTTTTTCCAAATTTGTGTTTAGTGATACTACACTGGTAGCTTGAAATTAGCCATGGTGGAAGTATACATCACGGAAATCAGCAAACAATGCAAATCGGCTTTCTAACCCTCTCCCGCAAAAGCTGACTTGGACCAACATACAGTAACTGCACCCACCCCCAATCTCCTAACGTAGTTTTCTAGTAATTTTGGTTAGATCAATATTTATATTATGACTCTTCTTATTCACAGCCTAGCCAGGCAGTAAGCCATGATTACTTTTCCTTTTTGCATAGTTTTGTTTTCCCTGGGGTTAGTAATTATCTTGACTTTTCTGCTTGCTTTGTTTTCTAAGCTTTTTATTTATTTTTATTTTTATTTTTTTTGAAACAGAGTCTCACTCTGTCGCCCAAGCTGGAGTGCAATGGCGTGATCTCGGCTCGCTGCAACCTCGGCCTCCTGGGTTCAAGCGATTCTCCTGCCTTAGCCTCCCGAGTAGCTGGGATTACAGGTGTGCGCCACCACACCCAGCTAATTTTTGTAATTTTAGTAGAGATGGGGTTTCACCATGTTGGCCAGACTGGTCTCTAACTCCTGACCTCAGTTGATCCTCCTACCTTGACCTCCCAAAGCGCTAGGATTACAGGCATGAGGCACTGTGCCTGGTCTAAGCTCTTATCTTTAATCCAACCCCAAACTCTTCTTAAATTATCTGAATCTCTTCTGAAGACAGACCTATTAGCTTTTCTAACAGTTTCATCTTCCTGGAGAGCCTTTCTGACTGCTCCAGTCTAGACTAGTGCCGTCTACTCCCGGAGCACAGATGCCATCCTGGAATTCCCCTGCCTCATCATTCTGGGGATTCCCTTTGCCTCTTTCCTGTGACAGATCTCTTGTTTCTTGTGTCCCATGGCTTCCTCTTTTTTTTTTCTTTTTTCTTTTCAACTATTTCATTTTGGTGGAGGTTATCCTTTGTAGATTCCTGGAAAAGGATACATGGCAGGTAAAACATTTTAAGATCTTGAGTGTCTGAAAATGTATTCTACTTTCCTATTTGATAGTTCAGCTAGGTATACGTAATTCTAGAATAGAAATACGTTTCCTTCAAACTTTGAAGGCCTTGCTCTATTATCTTCTAGCTTCCAGAGGTACTGTTGAGAAGCCCAAAGTTATTCTGATCCCTAGCCCTCTGAATGTAACCTGGTTTTATTTCACTGAAATCTTTTTTTTTTGTTTTTTTTAATACTGATCCTTGTGGAGCAGGGCTACCTTATAGGCAGTGTACCTCACTGCCCTCACTGGAATCTTATAGTGCTTTTTCTTTGTCCTGGTGTTCTGAAATTTCATGGTGTTGTGCTTTGATGGAACACTACTCATTTATTGTGCTGGGTACTCAATGGGCCACTTCAGCCTGGAAATTAGTTATCTTAGTTCTTTCAGTTCTGAGTTTTCTTGAACTATATCTTCCTATCTTCTTTTTTTTTTTTTTTTTGAGATGGAGTCTTGCTGTGTCCCCCAGGCTATAGTGCAATGGCTCTATCTTGGCTTGCTACAACCTCCACCTCCCAGGTTCAAGCACTTCTCCTGCCTCAGCTTCCCGAGTAGCTGGGACTACAGGTGCCCTCCACCATGCCCAGTTAATTTTTGTATTTTTAGTAGAGACAGGGTTTCACCATGTTGCCCAGGCTGGTCTCAAACTCCTGACCTCAGGTGATCTGTCTGCCTTGGCTTCTCAAAGTGCTGGGATTACAGGTGTAAGCCACTGTGCTCGGTCTTTTTTTGGTATTTTTAGTAGAAACTAGGTTTCACCATGTTGCCCAGGCTGGTCTTGAACTCCTGAGCTCAAGCAATACACCTGCTTTGGCCTCCTAAAGTGCTGGGATTACAGGTGTGACCCACTGTGCCCGGCCCTATCTTCTTTTCATTCAACAAATATTTTTTGAGGACACATGCTACTATTCTGGGCAGGGAATATAGAAGTGAGCAAAACAGATGAAAGTCCCTTGCCTCATGGGGCTTACATTCCAATGGGGTGTTTTCTCACTTTTTTCTGGACCTCCTAGACTAGTCTTCTCACTTTTTTTAAGCTTTCCTACTGTCCAAGTCTTTGGTTGTGTTCTATTTTTCTGGAAGAGTGTCTCAACTTTGTCTTCCAATCTTTCTGTCAGGTTTTTCATTTCTGTGTTCAGAGACAGTGAAAGAAAAAAGAAAGAAGGCCAGGTGCAGTGGCTGACACCTGTAATCTCAGCACTTTGGGAGGCTGAGACAGGTGGATCACCTGAGGTGAGGAGTTCCAGACCAGCCTGGCCAACATGGTGAAACCCCGTCTCTACTAAAAATACAAAAATCAGCCAGGCGTGGTGGCACACACCTGTAGTCCCAGCTACTCCGGAGGCTGAGGCAGAAGAATCTCTTGAACCCAGGAGGTGGAGGTTGCAGTGAGCCAAGATGGTGCCACTGCACTCCAGCCTGGATGACAGAGCAAGACTTCATCTCAAAAAAAAAAAGAAAGGAAAGAAAGAAAAAGATTTTTCGTTTCTGCCAAACAGTCTCGACCTCCTGGGCTCAAGTGATCCTCCTACCTCAGCCTCCTGAGTAACTAGAACTACAAGCACCCACCACCACACCCAGTTAATTTTTTAATATTTTGTAGAGGCAGGGTCTCAAACTCATGGGTTCAAGCAATCCTCCCACCTCAGCCTTTCAAAGTGCTGGGATTACAGGTGTAAGCCACCATGCCTCACCTGGGATTGTATAGATTAAAAGAAATTTAAGACCAGGTACAGTGGCTCGAGCCTGCAATCCCAGCACTTTGGGAGGCTGAGGTGGAAGGATTGTTTGAGCCCAGGAGTTTGAGAGCAGCCTGGGCAATATAGTAAGACCCCCATCTCTACAAAATATTTAAAAATTAGCTGGGTGTTGTGCCACGTGCCTGTAGTCCTAGCTACTTGGAAGGGTGAAGTAGGAGGATCACTTGAGCCCGGGAGGTCGAGGCTGCACCCCACTGTACTCCAGCCTGGGCAACAGAGTGAGACCCTGTCTCAAAAAAAAAAAAAAAAAAAAGAAAGAAAAGAAAAGAAAAAGAAAAATATTTACATAATCCCTTTCCATCTTCTATTTTTCTCGTGCATTTTTTTGCTTGTCAGAGTCTTCCACAGCCTGGATCTTGATGATTGCATCTCTGTAGTGTAGTTTAAGTATTTCCTGTAAATTGTTCAGTAGTTGGATCTAGAGACTTAATCGGATTCAGATTTGGTTTGGAGGAGGGGCAAGATTACTTCATCGTGGTTGTGTGCTCTTTGTTCTGGATGCACGTAATGCCTGGCAGCCCTCTTTGTGTGAAGGAAAGACTCTTCTTTGGCAGCATTCGCTTCCTGTTTCATGGATGCACTGTTTTCACATATCTCTCATAGGATAGTAATGATGGATTTCTGTGAAGTTTTCTTCTTTCTGATTCATTTCTGTTTCCTCTTAGTTTTTTTGTTTGTTTGTTTTTTGTTTTTTTTGAGATGAAGTCTCACTCTGTTGCCCAGGCTGGAGTGCAATGGCGCGATCTTAGCTCACTGCAACCTCCACCTCTCGGCTTTAGGCAGTTCTCCTGCCTCAGACTCCTGAGTAGCTGGGATTACAGGCGTGCGCCGCCACAGCACCCAGCTAATTTTTGTATTTTTAGTAGAGATGGGATTTCACCATGTTGGCCAGGCTGATCTTGAACTCCTGACCTCAGGTGATCCACCCGCCTCGGCCTCCCAAAGTGCTGGGATTACAGGCATGAGCCACTGCGCCCAGCTTACTTTTTTTTTGTTTGAGACAGAGTCTTGTTCTGTTGCCCAGGCTGGGGTGCAGTGGCACGATCTCGGCTCACTGCAACCTCCACCTCCCTGGTTCAAGCGATTCTCCTGCCTCAGCCTCCTGAGTAGCTGGGATTATAGGCGCCCACCACCACGCCCAGCTAATTTTTTTCTATTTTTAGTAGAGATGGGGTTTCACCGTGTTGGCCAGACTGGTCTCGAACTCCTGACCTCAGGCAATCTGCCCGTCTCGGCCTCCCAAAGTGCTGGGATTACAGGCATGAGCCACCATGCCTGGCCTCTCAGGTTTTTGTTGGTTCTTCTTCTTCTTCTTTTTTTTTTCCCCTATTTGTTTATTTTGGTTTCCTTCATGTTGGTGGTTTTACTTACATGTCTGGTAGTCCTTGAATGTGTACTCATATTTAACAGTGGGAGACCTTGAAGCTGTTTGGAGCTCTGTGTCCATAACTAAGTCTTGGCAATTTGGTCTCTGTTATGTCACCACTGAGGGTGGTCTGGCTGGGCTGTTTGGTGGGAATCTTCAATGTCAGTATCTTTACTGTATCTTAGGTCATTAAGTCTTTCCTCTTAGACCTCCAGTCAGTTTCCCAGAGCAGCCTCTTCTAGTCTTCTGTGCAGAGGCAGATGATCTGGCTCTTGGTGTCTGGGAGCCACAGGGGAAGAGGGTTGGGTTTGGGAAAGAGTCTCATCATGTAGTGTACTTACCTTATTGAATCCCCCTCTTTCAGGATGGTGTCCCCATCAACTGGGCCTGCTATCCTCCATCCAGAAACCCTCTGTTTTACTCTCTCTGGTGGATAAACCTCCAGTCTTGGGCCAGGATGTGGAAGGGGCAGTCACCCAGCTCTGTGGAGTTTGGAGAGTACCTGCCTGTTTCTTAAACAGACTTTCAAATAATCCTCCTTATTTAGCATCCCCATTAACCTCACTTCCAGAGGTTGCTGAGATTAGTAATTCGTGAACTTTAGGAATCCTGCCTTCCAAATGTTTTGGGGCTTCCTCCAGGGCTGGCTTGAGAAGATTCTTCTCTCTCTCTCTCTCTTTCTCTGTTAAGTCTTTTCTATTTGTTCATTCGCTTTCCAGCTTCCAAAATGTGGATGCTTTTGCATTTCTCTCTTGTTCTCCCCATCCCTCCCTCATCTAGGTTTATGTCTTTTCTTTTCTTTTTTTTTTTTTTTTTTTTTTTTTTGAGACGGAGTCTTGCTCGCTCAGTTGCCCAGGCTGGAGAGCAGTGGTGCGATCTCGGCTCACTGCAAGCTCCGCCTCCCAGGTTCATGCCATTCTCCTGCCTCAGTCTCCGGAGTAGCTGGGACTACAGGCGCCCGCCACCATGCCTGGCTAATTTTTTTGTATTTTTAGTAGAGATGGGGTTTCACTGTGTTAGCCAGGATGGTCTCGATCTCCTGACCTCGTGATCCGCCCGTCTCAGCCTCCCAAAGTGCTGGGATTACAGGTGTGAGCCACCACGCCTGGCTGGTTTATGTCTTTTTAAAAATTCCCTGGTCGGGCGTGGTGGCTCACACTGTAATCCCAGCACTTTGGAAGGCCGAGGCACGTGGATCATGAGGTCAGGAGATCGTGACCATCCTGGCCATCATGGTGAAACCCCGTCTCTACTAAAAATACAAAAATTAGCTGGGTGTGGTTGTATGTGCCTGTAATCCCAGCTAGTTGGGAGACTGAGGCACGAGAATTGCTTGAAACCGGGAAGTGGAGGTTGCAGTGAGCCGAGATCGTGCCACTGCACTCCAGCCTGGCGACACAGCAAGACTCCGTCTCAAAAAAAATTCCCTTTGGCCCAGGTGCGATGGCTGATGCCTGTTATCCCAGCACTTTGGGAGGCCGAGGTGGGAGGATAACTTGAGGCCAGGAATTGGAGATCAGCTTGGGTAACATAGTGAGACCCCCATCTCTACAAATAATAAAAAATTAGCTGGGTCCAGGCGTGGTGGCTCATGCCAGTAATCCCAGAACTTTGGGAGGCAGTGGTGGGTGGATCACTTGAGGTCAGGAGTTGGAGACCACCCTGGCCAACATGTTGAAACCCCGTCTCTACTAAAAATACAAATATTAGCTGGGCGTGGTGGCGGGTGCCTGTAATCCCAGCTACTTGGGAGGCTGAGGCAGGAGAATCGCTTGATTCTCCAGGCGGAGGTTGCGGTGAGCCAAGATTGTGCCACTGCACTCCAGCCTGGGCAACAGAGCGATACTGTCTCAAAAAAAAAAAAAAAAAAAAAAAAGGCCAGGCGCTTGTAATCCCACAGCACTTTGGGAGGCCGAGGTGGGCAGATCATGAGGTCAGATCGAGACCATCCTGGCTAACATGGTGAAACCCCATCTCTACTAAAAATAGAAAAAAATTAGCCAGGCGTGGTGGCGGGCGCCTGTAATCCCAGCTACTCGGGAGGCTGAGGCAGGCGAATGGGGTGAACCCGGGAGGCGGAGCTTGCAGTGAACCAAGATCAGGCCTCTGCACTCCAGCCTGGGAGACAGAGTGAGACTCCGTCTCAAAAAAAAAAAAAAAAAATTAGCCAGGCACAGTGGCACACACCTGTGGTTCCAGCTTCTCAGGAGGCTAAGGTAGGAGGATGGCTTGAGGCCAGGAGGTCAAGGCTGCAGTGAACCAAGATCATGCCACTGCACTCCAGCCTGGATGACAGTGAGACCCTGTTTCAAAAAACAATTTTTTAAAAAAAAAACCCTTTGACCTATAATCCCAGCACTTTGGGAGGCCAAGGTAAGAGGTTCACTTGAGGCCAGGAGTTTGAGACCAGCCTTGGCAATATAGTAAGACCCTGTCTCTATTTGTAAAAATAAAAAACAACAAACAAAAAAACCCTTTGGGAGGACATGAGAGTAGGTGCATGTGCTCATTCTGGCATCAAAATGAGATGTAGATGTTATTACCTATTTTGCAGATGAGGTTGAAGGTCAGAGAGGTGAAACAGCTTGTCTAAGGACACAGCTTATAGGTGACAGAGTTGGGGCTGGCCCTAAGACAGTGCTCTTGGAGAACAAGGATCCTGACTGAAGATCAAGACACGGGTGTCCCAGAGCCACAGCATCCTCATATTAGCAGGGCCTTTAGAGAACAGTTGGTCCAACCCCCTCATTTTATGGGTGAGAAAAAGGAGGCTCAGAATGGAGAAGGGATTCTCCCAGAGTCATGCAGCAAGTTCGTGCAAAACCGTGAGGAGAAATGCTCCGTGCTACACCACCCCTTTCTGTGACATCCATTCAGTCATTGACTCAGCAAACATTTATTGAGCACCAACTGTGTGCCAGATCCTGTGCTATGCTGGGAAATACAGACATGAGTAAAACTTGGTCCTTTTTTAAATTTCTTTTTTGAGACACAGTTTCACTCTGTTGCCCAGGCTGGAGTACAGTGGCACAATCTTGGGTCACTGCAACCTCCGCCTCCCATGTTCAAGTGATTCTCCTGCCTCAGCTTCCTGAGTAGCTGGGATTACAGGTGCCTGCCACCATGCTTGGCTAATTTTTGTATTTTTTAATTAATTAATTAATTAATTAATTAATTTATTTATTTTGTTTTTGAGACCGAGTCTCACTCTGTCGCCCAAGCTGGAGTGCAGTGGCGCAATCTCGGCTCACTGCAACCTCTGCCTCCCGGGTTCAAGCGATTCTCCTGTCTCGCCTTCCCGAGTAGCTGGGACTACAGGTGCCTGCTACCACATCCAGCTGATTTTGTTTTATTTTTTGTAGAGACGGGGTTTCACCATGTTAGCCAGGATGGTCTCGATCTCCTGACTTCGTGATCCGCCAGCCTCGGCCTCCCAAAGTGTTGGGATTACAGGCGTGAGCCACTGTGCCCGGCTGTTTGTTTGTTTGTTTATTTATTTATTTATTTATTTATTTATTTATTTATTTGAGACGGAGTCTCTCTCTGTCGCCCAGGTTGGAGTGCAGTGGCACAATCTCGGCTCACTGCAACCTCTGCCTTCTGGGTTCAAGTGATTCTCCTGCCTCAGCCTTCTAAGTAGCTGTGATTACAGGCATGCCACCACCCCCAGCTAATATTTGTATTTTTAGTGGAGACGGGGTTTCACCATGCTAGCCAGGCTGGTCTCGAACTCCTGACCTCAGGTGATCCACCCACCTAGGCCTCCCAAAGTGCTGGGATTACAGGTGTGAGCCACTGCGCCCAGCCATAAAACTTGGTACTTGCCTATAAGGAGGCTTCGTCCTGCTTCCTGCTGGCTGCCAGGCCTCCTTGCTGGAGGTGCAAAGGAGGAGAACAGTAATAACAGTTAACATTTGCTGAGTGCTTGCTTCATGCCAAGCACTGTTTGAATTATTTTTCATGTATTAGTGCATTTCATTTTCCCAGCGAGCCTATGAGGCAGGTCTTGGTAATAGGCCCACTTCACAGCTGAGAAACTTCAGGCATGCAGAGGCTGGGACGCACAATCAGGCAGCTCCAGAGTCGGAGCTTTAACCACCACCCTGAAATGAGGACTGCCATGAGGGAGGGGGTAAAGGGAGAAGAGCAGGCGTTGGAGGGAGGGTGAGCTGAGGGGAAGGGGCAAACCAACCTGATCTGCCTCCCTCCTCCTTTAGTGCTCAGTGGGCCCCTCCTCTGATAAGGCCCTGACCTTCATGAAGGACCATTTCCTGATGGATGAGCAAGTGGTGGGGACGCCCCTGCTGGTGAAATCTGGCGTGGAGTATACACGGCTTGCAGTGGAGACAGCCCAGGGCCTTGATGGGCACAGCCATCTTGTCATGTACCTGGGAACCAGTGAGTAAAGAGTTCCGGGACATCCCCCAGAGGACTAGAGCAGAGGATGCCCCCAGGTTGAGGAGGGAAACCCTTGAGTTCATTCACTTATTCATTCAACAACTGTTTACTGAGCACCTGCTATGTGCCTGGCATTCTGCTAGGTTCTGGAAATACAGCAGAGGAGCAAAACAGTCCACTCCCTACCCTTTCTGAGCTTCCTATGGTGGGGGAGGCAGACAGGGAGGTCTTTGGTGGCTTTATCAAGAGCTGTGTGTCTTATGAGGGAAGCTATGTTAGAGGAATGAAAGGTGAGTGGGTGGAGGGGAGCTGGAAACCGCACATGTAGAGATCACTCCTTCAGGAAGCTCGTCTGTGAAGGGAGAGAGGAAGGAGGTGGTGGCTGGAGCACGGAGTGGGGCGCAGCTGGGGTTCTTGGTTTTGTTTTTTCCCCCTCCTTGCCCCCAGGGTTCTTGTTTTGTAGACAGGAAGGACTAAGCATCTAGTAGACAGGGGGATGGCAAAGAGATGGGTAGAAGAAGGGATAAGTGGCAGGTAAAGTTGTGGCGGGAGCAGGCGGCCAGAGTCCAGGACACATGTCGAGCTGGGCAGCTGTGGGTGGCGGGGGGGACAGCACCTGAGCTGGGCTGGGAGTGAAGCTGTAGCAGCGGGGTGTGACTTGGTGGGTGTGCAGGCTCAGGGTAGGAAGCCAAGGGAGCTCTTATTTGAAGGCTTTTGTGTTCTCTATGTAGGTGGAGGACACAAGGTCATGAGCTGGGAGTGAGGGGGCAGGAAAGGTGGGAGGTTTGAGGAGAGAGAGGTAGATTCAAATAGCCATTGTGGGCTGGGCACAGTGGCTCACGCCTGTAATCCCAGCACTTTGGGAGGCTGAGGTGGGTGGATCACCTGAGGTCAGGAGTTCGAGACCAGCCTGGCCAACATTGTGAAACCCGTTTCTACTAAAAATACAAACAAATTAGCAGTGTGTAGTGGCACGCACCTGTAATCCCAGCTACTCGGGAGGCTGAGTCAGGAGAATCACTTGAACCTGGGAGGCAGAGGTTGCAATGAGCCAAAATTGTGCCACTGCCCTCCAGCCTGGGTGACAAGAGTGAAAATCCGTCTCAAAAAAAAAAATAGCCATTGTGGAAAGAGGGAGACGGAGTCAGCAGAGAATGCAGCAAGACTGCCCAGGCAGACTGCTCAGGCAGGATAACCTTGAGGGTCAGTGGAAGAAATTTGTCAAGTTCATTCATTCCTTCAGGACAGATTACTAGGCACTGTATCAGCTGTGCATGTATTGGGTATACAGCAGAGAACAAAACAGTCAAAAATCTCAGTCTTTGTGGAGTGGATGGAGACAGACAATAGCATCCTGAATAAGTAAATTACATGGCACATCATGAGATTTGAGTCACGTAGAGGTGTGTGCGGGGGAATCAGGAATGCCAGGTAAGGAGGTTGCACCTGTTAAAAGGGTGGCCAGGTAGACCTCACTGAGGTGCTTGATGGATGTGAGGGAGGCAGGTGATGTGATTTTCTACAGAAGCACCCAGCCGCCCACTGTTTCATGCCTATGGAGAAATAGCTGGGTTTCTCCAGGGACAAAGTTTTGTCAGGGAGTTGCAAAGGAAGGACAGGGGTCCAAGGGATTTTAGTCATTTACAAGAGACTGCCATCTCCATGGCACAGAGGAAGGTGAATGATCTGGCTGACCCGCGCCCAGTACATATCACCCTCAGAAGGAGCTTTCTTACAGCTGGGGAGGCCCCCGGAAGTTGGGAAGGGATCTGTGGATGAGATGAGATGACTTCCACTCTCTCTGTCTCCCCATAGCCACAGGGTCGCTCCACAAGGCTGTGGTAAGTGGGGACAGCAGTGCTCATCTGGTGGAAGAGATTCAGCTGTTCCCTGACCCTGAACCTGTTCGCAACCTGCAGCTGGCCCCCACCCAGGTGGGAAGGGACCTGACCATCAAATGGCCTTCCAGTGGGGCTGGCCTTGGGGGCCTGTTGGGCTGGCTCCCTGGGCCTGCACCAGCGTGCTGGGACTTTACTAGATGTGGCTGGGGCTCCCTGACAATCTCCATCTCTCTTCCAGGGTGCAGTGTTTGTAGGCTTCTCAGGAGGTGTCTGGAGGGTGCCCCGAGCCAACTGTAGTGTCTATGAGAGCTGTGTGGACTGTGTCCTTGCCCGGGACCCCCACTGTGCCTGGGACCCTGAGTCCCGAACCTGTTGCCTCCTGTCTGCCCCCAACCTGTGAGTGCCAGTCCTGGATGGTGGCCTGGATGGCCAGCCAGGACCCTTCTCAGCCAGCTTCTGCTACTGTTCTTCCTCTCTCCAGGGGCTACTGACATATTCACTCCAAGAGTCCTCCCATCCTGCAGTGGGTTCCTCCAGGGATGGAGTTTCCAGGCAGTTTTGAAGCTGCTCTGGCCATTCCGCGTTCCTCTCTCTGTTCCTAGTCTCCCCTGGCCTACCTTCTTCCCTACTGCACTTCCTCCCTTCCTCCTTCCTCTTCCCACTTTCAGCTCTTTTGAAGGATAATTTTTACTTTCTCTGCTCTCTTAGGAACTCCTGGAAGCAGGACATGGAGCGGGGGAACCCAGAGTGGGCATGTGCCAGTGGCCCCATGAGCAGGAGCCTTCGGCCTCAGAGCCGCCCGCAAATCAGTGAGTGTAGGACCACTCACCAGGGGAGGTGCAAAGGCTCTGGAAGACTTTTGGGCAGGGGTGGGCATTCCTGCTCCAATTTCCTCCCCCAGCACCTGCCTGGCTTGAGATCTGAACACCCGAGTTGGGATGGATTTGGGTCCTGGCTATAGGGAAGAGGCATAGGAATTCTGAGCTGGAGGCCAAGCTGGGATTCAGGATTGAGGTTGCAGTTGATTTTGGTGTCTGAGTTGGAGTTAGGTGGACTGGGGCTTAGTTTGGGGTCCAGACTGGAGATTAAGGAGGAGTGAAATTTGAGTTTGGGATTGAAATGGAAGTTGGAGATAAGAGTTAGGGTCCAGGCCAGGCTCAGTGGCTCACTCCTGTAATACCAGCACTTTGAGAGGCTGAGGCGGGACTCCCTTCTACCATTGTTTGAGCTCATGAGTTTCAGACCAGCCTGGCCAACATGGTAAAACCCCATCTCTACAAAAATTAACCAGGCGTGGAAACACATGCCTGTAGTCCCAGCTATTCGGGAGGCTGGGGTGGAAGGATGCCTTGAGCCCAGAAGGCAGAGGTTGCAGTGAGCTGAGGTTGCAGTGAGCTGAGGTTGTGCCACTGCACTCCAGCCTGGGCAATAGAGCCAGAACCTGCCTCAAAAAAAAAAAAAAAAGAGGGCTGGGGTCCAAAGATAGGTTAGAGACTCTCTCCTGTCTCCATCCTTCACTTCTCCCTTAACCCTTTTGCTCCTTTCTTTCTCCTACAGTTAAAGAAGTCCTGGCTGTCCCCAACTCCATCCTGGAGCTCCCCTGCCCCCACCTGTCAGCCTTGGCCTCTTATTATTGGAGTCATGGCCCAGCAGCAGTCCCAGAAGCCTCTTCCACTGTCTACAATGGCTCCCTCTTGCTGATAGTGCAGGATGGAGTTGGGGGTCTCTACCAGTGCTGGGCAACTGAGAATGGCTTTTCATACCCTGTGATCTCCTACTGGGTGGACAGCCAGGACCAGACCCTGGCCCTGGATCCTGAACTGGCAGGCATCCCCCGGGAGCATGTGAAGGTCCCGTTGACCAGGGTCAGTGGTGGGGCCGCCCTGGCTGCCCAGCAGTCCTACTGGCCCCACTTTGTCACTGTCACTGTCCTCTTTGCCTTAGTGCTTTCAGGAGCCCTCATCATCCTCGTGGCCTCCCCATTGAGAGCACTCCGGGCTCGGGGCAAGGTTCAGGGCTGTGAGACCCTGCGCCCTGGGGAGAAGGCCCCGTTAAGCAGAGAGCAACACCTCCAGTCTCCCAAGGAATGCAGGACCTCTGCCAGTGATGTGGACGCTGACAACAACTGCCTAGGCACTGAGGTAGCTTAAACTCTAGGCACAGGCCGGGGCTGCGGTGCAGGCACCTGGCCATGCTGGCTGGGCGGCCCAAGCACAGCCCTGACTAGGATGACAGCAGCACAAAAGACCACCTTTCTCCCCTGAGAGGAGCTTCTGCTACTCTGCATCACTGATGACACTCAGCAGGGTGATGCACAGCAGTCTGCCTCCCCTATGGGACTCCCTTCTACCAAGCACATGAGCTCTCTAACAGGGTGGGGGCTACCCCCAGACCTGCTCCTACACTGATATTGAAGAACCTGGAGAGGATCCTTCAGTTCTGGCCATTCCAGGGACCCTCCAGAAACACAGTGTTTCAAGAGACCCTAAAAAACCTGCCTGTCCCAGGACCCTATGGTAATGAACACCAAACATCTAAACAATCATATGCTAACATGCCACTCCTGGAAACTCCACTCTGAAGCTGCCGCTTTGGACACCAACACTCCCTTCTCCCAGGGTCATGCAGGGATCTGCTCCCTCCTGCTTCCCTTACCAGTCGTGCACCGCTGACTCCCAGGAAGTCTTTCCTGAAGTCTGACCACCTTTCTTCTTGCTTCAGTTGGGGCAGACTCTGATCCCTTCTGCCCTGGCAGAATGGCAGGGGTAATCTGAGCCTTCTTCACTCCTTTACCCTAGCTGACCCCTTCACCTCTCCCCCTCCCTTTTCCTTTGTTTTGGGATTCAGAAAACTGCTTGTCAGAGACTGTTTATTTTTTATTAAAAATATAAGGCTTATGTATGATGGGTGCTGTGTTTGCTGGAGCAGAGTGCTCCGGCAGAGAATTGCTGGGATGTCAAGGGAGCAAGCAGTCCAAGCACATCAGTTGGGAGGAGGACTAGGTTTGTGGGGGGATTGTTCTCTCCAACTCCAGACTACCTCCTCTGCCCTGCCAGCTCCCCACCCAGAACCAGCCCACCCAGAACCAGCCCACAGCACTTTCCTCCACTCTGAGCATTGCTAGAGGGTGCTGCAAACTTTTGCCTTTTGGGCCAACCACAGGTTGGTGTTGACCAGGCTCAGCTTGTATCCTTCTGCTAGACAGGCGATACCTCATCCATCACTAACTCCCCTGCTGCGGCCCCCACAGTTGCTGTCCACACCTCTCCCACACTTCTCGTGACTCCAATTCAGCCCTGCTTCCCCACTGCAGCAGTTGGCTTCAACTGTTGGTAGACAAATTTATAGAAAGACTGTGCATCCACCCCCATCCTGGCCACATCTCTCTCAGTATCTGATAATGCTCTGTCCACACCTCCACACCACCTTCCTCCTCTACCCTCTGTCACAAAGGCACAGGTCCCTCTTCCACCAAGACTAACCAGCACATCTCTCCCCCCATCACTGCCAGGGATCTGTTCTCTAATCATCTGACCTCCAGCATCCCCACTCGCTTTACCCACTTCCTCATCTTTCATCTCTCCTCTCCCACCTACAGGTGTGTTCAGGCGTTCTCTAGATAAAAAAACAACAGAACACTAATCTTACCACAAACTCTATCCATTCACGTCACCCCCACTCAGTCTCTCTTTCCTGGTACCACCAAACATGGGAGTGAGTCCATTCTGGCTGCCCCCACCTCCCTCCAGTGTCGCCTGAGCTCTCTCCAATCCCCTGAGGTCTAGCTTCTTTCCCCACCTTTCTGCTCAAATGGCTCTCTCCGAAACTACCCATAAACCCCTAATGCCAAATCTGACCTTGGTGTGTGTATGCCCCTCACATATTGACCACCCCATTCTCACAATTTTCTTCTATTATGTGTTCTCAAATTTTTTTTAATTTAAATCTTGGTTAAAAAAAAAACAAACCATACAACGTACCCCCTTAGCCATAAAAAAAAAAAAAAAGAAAAAAAAAAAAAGGCCTGGCACAGTGGATCATGCCTGTAATTCCAGCATTTTGGGAGGCCGAGGTGGGTGGATCACCTGAGGTCAGGAGTTCAAGACCCACCTGGCCAACATAGCGAGACCCCATTTCTACTAAAAGTACAAAAAATTAGCCAGGTGTGGTGGCAGGCACCTGTAGTCCCAGCTACTCTGGAGGCTAAGGTAAGAGAATAACTTGAACCCAGGAGGCAGAGTCTGCCGTGAGCCGAGATTGCGCCACTGTGTGTGTGTGTGTGTGTGTGTGTGTGTGTGTGTGTGTGTGTGTATGTGTGTGTGTATTTTTTGAAACAGAGTCTTGCTCTGTCGCCCAGGCTGGAGTGCAGTGGCACTGTGGGGAAAAGCAAGAGAGATCAGATTGTTACTGTGTCTGTGTAGAAAGAAGTAGACATAGGAGACTCCATTTTGTTATGTACTAAGAAAAATTCTTCTGCCTTGAGATTCTGTTAATCTATAACCTTACCCCCAACCCCATGCTCTCTGAAACGTGTGCTGTGTCAACTCAGAGTTAAATGGATTAAGGGCGGTGCAGGATGTGCTTTGTTAAACAGATGCTTGAAGGCAGCATGCTCCTTAAGAGTCATCACCACTCCCTAATCTCAAGTACCCAGGGACACAAAAACTGCGGAAGGCCGCAGGGACCTCTGCCTAGGAAAGCCAGGTATTGTCCAAGGTTTCTCCCCATGTGATAGTCTGAAATATGGCCTCGTGGGAAGGGAAAGACCTGACCGTCCCCCAGCCCGACACCCGTAAAGGGTCTGTGCTGAGGAGGATTAGTAAAAGAGGAAGGAATGCCTCTTGCAGTTGAGACAAGAGGAAGGCATCTGTCTCCTGCCTTTCCCTGGGCAATGGAATGTCTCGGTATAAAACCCGATTGTATGCTCCATCTACTGAGATAGGGAAAAACCGCCTTAGGGCTGGAGGTGGGACCTGCGGGCAGCAATACTGCTTTGTAAAGCATTGAGATGTTTATGTGTATGCATATCTAAAAGCACAGCACTTAATCCTTTACATTGTCTATGATGCCAAGACCTTTGTTCACGTGTTTGTCTGCTGACCCTCTCCCCACAATTGTCTTGTGACCCTGACACATCCCCCTCTTTGAGAAACACCCACAGATGATCAATAAATACTAAGGGAACTCAGAGGCTGGCGGGATCCTCCATATGCTGAACGCTGGTTCCCCGGGTCCCCTTCTTTCTTTCTCTATACTTTGTCTCTGTGTCTTTTTCTTTTCCAAATCTCTCGTCCCACCTTACGAGAAACACCCACAGGTGTGTAGGGGCAACCCACCCCTACATGGCACAATCTCAGCTCACTGCAGCCTCTGCCTCCCAGGTTCAAGCGATTATCCTGCCTCAGCCTCCTGAGTAGCTGGGACTACAGGCGCCTGCCACCACACCCAGCTAATTTTTGTATTTTTAGTAGAAACATGCTTTCACCATGTTGGTCAGGTGGGTCTGGAACTCCTGGACTCAGCTGATCCGCCCGCCTCGGCCTCCCAAACTGCTGGGATTACAGGTGTGAGCCACTGCGCCCAGCCTAACAAGTACATATTTATTTTTTAAAATTAGAGACGGAGTCTGACTGTCACCCAGTCTGGAGTGCAATGGCGTGATCCTAGCTCACTGCAGCCTCATACTCCTGGGCTTAAGGGATTCTCCTGCCTCAGCCTCTTGAGTAGTTAGGACTACAGGCACATGCCACCACACCTGGCTATTTTTTTTTTTTTAGAGATGGGGTCTTGCTATATTGCCCAGGCTGTCCCGAATTCCTGTCCTCAAGCAACACCCCTCCCTCAGCCTCCCTAAATGCTGGGATTACAGGCATGAGCCACCATGCCCACCCCCAACCCTTCTTAGCCATCTCTACCTATATATATGTATATAAGCTGGATATGGTAGGTGGCCCATGCCCATAGTCGCAGCTACTCAGGAGGCTGAGGTGGGAGGATTGTTTCAGCCCAGGAATTTGAGGCTGCAGTGAGCTATGATCATGCCACTGCAATCCAGCTGGGGCAACAGAGTAATCCTGTCTCTAAAAATAATAATAATAATACGAAAAATAAAATATATTAACTATTCATTAAGTGGAAATGGATCATCACAAATGTCGGCTGAGTAGTCTGAGGAGGAGGAGGAGAAAGAGGAGGGGGTTGGTCCTGCTGTCTCAGGGCAGAGGCGGTAGAAAATCTCCTTAAGCCGGGCACAGTGGCTCACGCCTGTAATCCTAGCACTTTGGGAGGCCAAGGTGGGCAGATCACCTGAGGTCAGGAGTTCAAGACCAGCCTGGCCAACATGGTGAAACCCCGTCTCTACTAAAAATACAAAAATTAGCCAGGTGTGGTAGCACACGCCTGTAATCCCAGATACTTAGGAGGCTGAGGCAGGAGAATTGCTTGAACCTGGGAGGCGGAGGTTGCAGTGAGCCAAGATCACGCCACTGCACTCCAGCCTGGGTGACAGAGCAAGACTCTGTCTCAGAAAAAAAAAAACTACTTAAAAATGGACTTACATAATTAAAACTCATGTTGGTCAAGGTTCAACTGTATAAATAAGTAAGCTAGGTAGTGTGGGGAAAAGAAAGAGATCAGATTGTTACTGTGTCTGTGTAGAAATAAGTAGGCATAGGAGACTCCATTTTGTTCTGTACTAAGAAAAATTCTTCTGCCTTGAGATTCTGTTAATCTATAACCTTACCCCCAACCCCGTGTTCTCTGAAACATGTGCTGTGTCAAACTCAGGTTTAAATGGATTAAGGGCGGTGCAAGATGTGCTTTGTTAAACAGATGCTTGAAGGCAGCATGCTCGTTGAGAGTCATCACCACTCCCTAATCTCAAGTTCCCAGGGACACAAAACACTGCGGAAGGCGGCAGGGCCCCCTGCCTAGGAAAGCCAGGTATTGTCCGAGGTTTCTCCCCATGTGATAGTCTGAAATGTGGCCTCATGGGAAGGGAAAGACCTGACCGTCCCCCAGCCTGACACCCGTAAAGGGTCTGTGCTGAGGAGGATTAGTATAAGAGGAAGGCATGCCTCTTGCAGTTGAGACAAGAGGAAGGCATCTGTCTCCTGCCTTTCCCTGGGCAATGGAATGTCTCAGTATAAAACCCGATTGTACGTTCCATCTACTGAGATAGGGAAAAACCGCCTTAGGGCTGGAGGTGGGACATGCGGGCAACAATACTGCTCTGTAAGGCATTGAGATGTTTATGTGTATGCATATCTAAAGCACAGCACTTAATTCTTTACCTTGTCTGTGATGCAGAGACCTTTGTTCACGTGTTTATCTGCTGACCTTCTCTCCACTATTATCCTATGACCCTGACACATCCTCCTCTCCGAGAAACACCCAAGAATGATCAATAAATACTAAGGGAACTCAGAGGCTGGCAGGATTCTCCGTATGCTGAACCCTGGTCCCCTGGGCCCCCTTATTTCTTTCTCTATACTTTGTGTCTTTTTCTTTTCCAAGTCTCTCGTTCCACCTAACGAGAAACACCCACAGGTGTGGAGGGGCAACCCACCCCTTCAAGGTAGGGTACATTAGATGATGATGTACTACAGGGAAAAAATGGATCTGGGGAAAGCAGTTTGGGAGTAGGAAGGGTGTCTACAATTGTTTTTTGTTACAGTTAACAGGGTCTCACTCCGTTGCCCAGGCTGCAGTGCAGTGGCTCAGTTGTAGCTCACTGCACCCTCAACCTCTTGAGCCCAAGTGAGCTTCCTGCTTAGCCTCCCAAGTGGGTGGGACTATAGGCATGTGCTATCATGGCTGGCTAATTTTTAATTTTTATTTATTTATTTATTTATTTATTTTTTGAGACGGAGTTTCACTCTTGTTGCCCAGGCTGGAGTGCAATGGCGCGATCTCTGCTCATCGCAACCTCTGCCTCCCAGGTTCAAGTGATTCTCCTGCCTCAGCCTCCCAAGTAGCTGGGATTACAGGTATGCGCCAACACGCCTGGCTAATTTTTGTATTTTTTTTAGTAGAGAAGGGGTTTCTTCATGTTGGTCAGGCTGTTCTTGAACTCCCGACCTCAAGTGATCTGCCCGCCTCAGCCTCCCAAAGTGCTGGGATTACAGGCGTGAGTCACCATGCCCAGACAATTTTTTATTTTTTGTAGAGACAGGATCTTACTATGTTTCCCAGGCTGTTCTTGAAATCCTGGACTTAAGCAATCCTCACTCCTTGGCCTCCCAAAGTGCTGGGATTACAGGCATGAGCCACATTGCCTGCCTTTTTTTTTTTTTCTTTTTTGAGATGGAGTCCCACTCTGTCGCCTAAGCTAGAGTGCTGCAGTGGCATGATCTTGGCTCCCTGCAACCTCTGCCTCCCAGGTTCAAGTGATTCTCCTGGCTCAACCTCCTGAATAGCTGGGATTACAGGTACCTGCCACCATGCCTGGGTAATTTTTGTATTTTTAATAGAGACAGAGTTTTGCCATGTTGGCCAGGCTGGTCTCGAACTCCTCAGGTGATCTGCCCACTCGGCCTGCCAAAGTGCTGGGATTACAGGTGTGAGCCAAGGCCCCCGGCCCTTTTTTTTTTTTTTTTTAGAGATGGGGTTCTCATTATGTTTCTCAGGCTGGTCTTGAAGCAATCCTCTCACTTTAGCCTCCCAAAGTAGATATTTTTTTTTCCTTTCTTTTTTTTCTTGAGATGGAGTCTTGCTCTGTCACCCAGGCTGGAGTGCAGTGGTGTGATCTTGGCTCACTGCAACCTCTGCCTCCTGGGTTCAATCAATTTTCCTGCCTCAGCCTACTGAGTAGCTGGGATTACAGGCGCACGCCATCACACCTGGCTAATTTGTGTGTGTGTGTGTGTGTGTGTGTGTGTGTGTGTGTGTGTGTGTGTGACGGGGGTTTCACCATGTTGGCCAGGCTGGTCTTGAACTCCTGACCTCGTGATCCACCCACCTTGGCCTCCCAAAGTGCTGGGATTACAGGCGTGAGCCACCGCGCCTGGCCACAAGTAGATTTTATATATACATGTTGTCAAGTCTGTCCCACAGACTCTGGCCGAGCAATGAATGAAAGGAGTACTCAGACACGGGTATCCAGTGAATTCACAGCCCCCCTAAGCCGGTAACGCATTTATTCAGTACAGATTTTTTTTTTTTTTTTTTGAGATGGAGTATTGCTCTGTCGCTCAGGCTGGAGTGCAGTGGCGCGATATCAGCTCACTGCAAGCTCCGCCTCCTGGGTTCATGCCATTCTCCTGCCTCAGCCTCCCAAGTAGCTGAGACTACAGGCACCCGCCACCGTGCCTGGCTAATTTTTTTTTTTTAAATATTTTTAGGAGAGACGGGTTTCACCACTTTAGCCAGGATGGTCCCGATCTCCTGACCTTGTGATCCGCCCACCTCGGCCTCCCAAAGTGCTGGGATTACAGGCGTGAGCCACTGTGCCCGGCCTATTTAGTACAGATTTAACGACAAGGGCTTGGAGCAAACACAATTTGTGGGTAATAAACATTGTCGACCCCCCAAGTAGAGAGCAGTCCTGCAGGCGAATGATCAAAGGTTGGTTTCTGCAGACAGGAGTAAACAAATTTATCTAGATAAGTTCCTTTACATTCCCTTGTTATCTACCCTTTGCTCTCAGGCTCTGGATAAGAGAATTTGGCTGCCTTCAGCCAAATTTTATTTCGAAGCTTTTGCAAAACCTCCCGGCCTTCCAAGAAGGTTTGTGTCTTTCCCTATAATTTCTTCCACCACCCTGACCAATTTCCTACATCTCCCCCTTTTCTGTTTTTTGCATCAGGTTTTGTTGATTGAAGAGTACAGATGTGTGCAGCAACAGGTTTGTCAGGCGTAGCGGTCACTGCTTGTATTTTGGCTTTGCATCCTAGAATTAGTAAATAACGTAAGACAAACCTGAGTATAATCAGTAACATTCCTTTCCAATCAAGGAGTGACATGTAGTGTTACCTAGCACCTCAGTCTAATGTGTGCCATTACTGAGGAACCCCACTTGGGGTAAGTCAATCCCTTCTAGCCTAGCAGTTGCTTTATTAGAAGCTGGGAAGGGGGTGTTTGTCTAAGTAACAGGGTGGAAGAAAGGCAGAATTAGAAGATGGGCCTAATAGAGTGTAGCAGGTACAGGTAGTAGGCAAAGTGAGAGAATAAAAAAGGAACAAATTATTTGGAGTGAACATGTTTGTGTTTGGAGCAGGATTCGCTTAGCCTCCTGAGTTGTCTTCTTTAGCATTCAGTCTGGGGCCTGTGTTGTCTGAGGAAGCCACATTGTCCAGGGCTGAGTCCTGCAGGATTATTTTCTTTATTACCGGGTTAGGTTCTACCCACACTCTGGTAAGGTTTGATGCATTGTGCTGGAATCCAAAGAGGACCTGAGGGGGGTGTGAACACAAGCATATCCTCTTCCTCACGTTAGCAAATCATTTGGACCACACCATACATTACTATTTACATCTTTCCATAAAACTGTGGGTTTTATGTCTCGAGAGGTTTTAGCAAAGTGCTTTTCTATAGCTGATTGAAATTTATCATTTAAATTTAAGAAATTAAGGGTAAATAAGGCTTGTGCTAGTAGTGTTGCAGGGTCCTTACTCATAATTCCCCTTTTTGGTTTTCTGAGCATATTTTTAAGAGAGGAATGGACACATTCTACTATGGCCTATCCTTGGGGGTTATACGGATGCCTGTGGAATGCTGGATATTCCATGTATAACAAAATTGTTGAAATTGTGAACTAGCATAAGCCAGACCATTATCAGTTTTAATTTTTGTGGGTCACCCCATAAGTGCAAAGGTTAAAAGAAGATGTTTAATGACATACCAGGTGGACTCTCCAGGAAGAGCATGAGCACTAATTAAGTGAGAACTGGTATCAACGGATGCATGTACATATCTTAGTTTTCCAAATTCAGGGACTTGAGTAACATCTCTTTGCTATAACTGATTAGGTTCTAGTCCCTAGGGTTAATACCTGTTAAAGGAGGGGACGTGCCTGTGAGCTGGCAATCTGGGCACTGCAGGATAATTTGTTTATCTAGTCTTTGGTTAAGTTGAAATTGTTAAGTTCCTCCAATTTTGGTGGAAAAATTGATGTGATTATGTGGTTTGGTCAAGCAGTGACATCATAACTTGCAGGTCTGCTTGATTATTGCCATAAGCCAGTGGGCCAGGCAGTGAGCTGTGGGCTTGAATAGTGTATGATAAAAATAGGGTGTGTACGTTGATCCAGCAATTGCTGAAGTTGAAGAAAACGTGCACACGGTGGGCTCGACAGTAGACTTAATGAGGCCTGTTTCAAGGTTCTGCAATAAACAGAGTAAGCAAAGTCACCAACAATATTGATAGGCTGAGTGGAAAAGTTCTCCAGGCCAATATTAAGGCTTCAACCCCAGCTCTCTGAGTGCTAGTAAATCCAGAACAAGTGAGGGAATTATGTGGTCTCCACCAAATAGCCACTTTTCCATTTTTACCAGAGCCGTCAGTAAAAAGCATTAAAGTGTTAGGTATGTGCCTACTTTTGTAGGCACAATTACAGGAGTACAAGATAAGAACTGAATGAGTTTGTCAGCAGTAAAGGCATGCTCTATATGGCCTACATAATTAGAAAGTGTTATCTGAAGATTTAGAGATGGGGCAATGCTGCTTCAAATTGCTTTTTACTCAAAGGAATTCTTATGACATCAGGGTCATAACCTAGCAACTGATTGCATCATCTGCAGCTTGTGTAGGTGACTTCAATAACTAGCTGGATATAGGGAGATAGTGTTTTAGTCCCGGTATGTGAGCAAAAAACCCATTCTAGAAAGCATAGCCCTGGGGCCATCTGTCCTATTAATTCTGTTGGGGAATGCTTAGTAGGAAAAACAAACAATAGAACTGAATATCATGGGTCTATGTGATCTAGCTGCCTCTGAGAAATAGCTTGCTCTATTTCCTCAATTTCCCTTTTTGCTGCAGGAGTTAAATACCTGGGAGAGTCTAGGGCTGTATTGCCCTTTAGGATAGAAAACAGGTTTTGTAACTTATCAGTAGTTATGCCCAAGATGGGGTGAAGCAAATTAATACCACCCAGTATTTTTTGATAATCATTTAAGGTGTGTAAGTTGCTAATATTTAATTTAACCTTTTGACATCTTACTGACCGAGAAGTTAGTATGTATCCAAGATACTTCCAAGGAGAGGACAACTGTACTTTTTCAGGTGCTATGATTAAACCTCTTAACTGTGTATTCTTTATGACAGAGGCATAGAAACTGAAAAGCATTGGCTCCATTGGGGCTGCTAGTAAAATATGATCCATAAAATGAATAATCTTGCAATTAGGAAATTCTTTTCTATTGGGGAGCAAAGCCTGATTTATATGATACAGACATATCCAGACACAGGTATCCAGTGAAAGAGTGGGCTAGGACTGTTCAGCATTCCTTGAGGAGGAACTTTCCAATGAGATTTGTGAGCTGGCCTTTCATTATTGATAGCTGGTATTGTAAATACAAATTTTTCTCTGTCCTGTTCTGCAAGGGGAATAGTATAAAAGCAGTCTTGGCCGGGCGCGGTGGCTCATGCCTGTAATCCCAGCACTTTGGGAGGCCGAGGCGGGCGGATCACGAGGTCAGGAGATCGAGACCATCCCGGCTAAAACGGTGAAACCCCGTCTCTACTAAAAATACAAAAAAATTAGCCGGGCGTAGTGGCGGGCGCCTGTAGTCCCAGCTACTTGGGAGGCTGAGGCAGGAGAATGGCGTGAACCCGGGAGGCGGAGCTTGCAGTGAGCCGAGATCCCGCCACTGCACTCCAGCCTGGGCAACAGAGCGAGACTCCGTCTCAAAAAATAAAAAAAATAAAAAAAATAAAAAATAAAAGCAGTCTTTTAAGTCAATAACGACTATAGGCCAATCTTGAGGAATTACCATGGGGGAGGCCCTGTTGAAGGGGCCCCATAGGTTGCAAATTAGCATTGATAGCCCGTAAGTCATGCAAAAGTCTCCGTTTGCCAGACCTTTTGGGAATGACAAAAATGGGTGAATTCCAAGGGCTGTTTGATGGTTCTATATGGCCGGCTTTTAATTGTTCCTCAACTAATTAATGGACTCCTTATAATTTCTCTCCCTTTAAAGGCTACTGTTCTACCCAAATAGGATTTTGAGAGAGCCATGTTAGGGGTAGGGGAGGAATAACAGTGGCCATTACTAGAAAAGGGTTGGTTGTTTACATTATTCATCAAATTCTGCCCTCCAGAGGGGGTATTGACTGGTGTTTAAAGTTGTTTTTGCTAGCATTGACCAGTCCCATGGAGTCATACGGAAGTTGTCTGCTATGGACTCAATTAATCCTTTTGTAAATGGGATAGCGGCTCCGTTTTCTCTAATGCTTTTTCTTATCTCTTTACAAGCATCAAAAGAAAGGGGTTCATGTACCTGATTGCCTTGTCGATCTTGCATTACCAGGCAGGCTAAGAGCTCCCCTTCTAATGCCGCTTGCCTAAGATAGGGTCCCATAACTGTAGCATATCCCTTGTCTTTTTAACAATTTATAGGAGGCTGGGCGGAGTGGCTCACATCTGTAATCCTAGCACTTTGGGAGGCCGAGGCGGACGGATCACCTGAGGTCAGGAGTTTGAGACCAGCCTGACCAACATGGAGAAACCCCATCTCTACTAAAAATACAAAACTAGCCAGGCGTGGAGGCGCATGCCTGTAATCCGTTACTTGGGAGGCTGAGGCAGAAGAATCGCTTGAACCCGGGAGGCAGAGGTTGCGGTGAGCCGAGATCGCGCCGTTGCACTCCAGCCTGGGCGACAAGAGCGAAAACTCCATCTCAAAAAAAAAAAAAACAATTTATTGGAGGGGGGGCTCAGGTATTTTTTCCCAGTGATAGCGGGGCTGAGGTAGAGGGAGGCAGATAGGAAGGTGACTGTTTCTCCTCCCTTCCCTTTTGAGGCTCTTCTGTGTAGAGCAGAGCCAAAGCAGCCCTGACTAAGGCCCATAACGTTAGAGATGTTACTGGGACCTGTTGCCCTTGTGCATAATGTTGTTTAAGATTTCTCCCCACTTGTTCCCAGAGCTCTATGTCTAGCATGCCTTCTTCTGGGAAAAATGGGTTAGGGGAAACAACAGTTTGCATTAGGTCCCTTAATTGAGCCTGTGAAACCGAGGTTCTGCTAGCTTTAAGCAGCTGTTTCAATACTTTTATATACTGTTGCTGTTGAGCTGATAACTGTTGTCCATGATGAAACCCTAGCATGAACAATTCCCTTGAATTTGGAAATCCCAAGTGGGCACCAATGACTTACTGACTTACTGACCGCACAGTCTCTTCACCTTCGTTTTCGAGGGTTCCATTGCAATCCATTGCAGCACTTCTCACATGGGGCACCACCTGCTAAGTCTGTCCCTCAGACTCTAGCCCAGCGATGAATGAAAGGAGTACTCAGACATAGGTATCCAGTGAAAGAGCGGGATAGGGAACTACCAGCACTAGGGGCCGAAGAGAGTTCGCAGCCCCACTAAGCTGGTGACACTCACATTTATTTAGTACAGATTTAATGACAAAGGCTTGGGGCAAACACAATTTGTGGGTAATAAACATTGTCACCCCCCCAAGTAGAGACCAGTCCTGTGTGTGAATGATCAAAGGTTTGTTTCTGGAGACAGGAGTAAACAAATTTATCTAGGTTAGTTCCTTTATATTCCCTTGTTATCTACCCTTTGCTCTCAGGCTCCGAATAAGAGAATTTGGCTGCCTTCAGCCAAATTTTCTTTCGAAGCTTTGCAAAACCTCCCAGCCTTCCAAGAACGTTTGTGTCTTTCCCTGTAATTTCTCCCATCACCCTGACCGCTCTCCTACAATATATAAAATTTATAATATATAAAAAGTATTATAAATAATGTGTAAAATATGTATATATAGAAAATATATTCTATATACAGAGCATTTATATACATATATACAGTTTTTCTTTTTCTTTTTTTGAGACAGAGTCTCATTTTATCACCCAAGCTGGAGTGCAGTGGCATGATCTCAGCTCACTGCAACCTCTGCCTCCCATGTTCAAGCAATTCTCGTGTCTCAGCCTCTCAAGTAGCTGAGATTACAGGTGCACGCCACCACGCCCAGCTAATTTTTGTATTTTTAGTAGAGACAGGGTTTCGCCATGATGGCCAGGATGGTCTTGAACTCCCGACCTCAAGTGATCTGTCCATCTTGGCCTCCCAAAGTGCTGGGATTACAGGCATGAGCCACTGCGCCTGGCCTGCATATTTCTTTTTTCTTTTTTCAAGGAACTGGCTATTTGATTGTAGGAGCTGGCAAGTCTGAAATCTGTAGGGCAGGCCTGCAGGCTGGGAACTCTGGGGACAGCAGGTGATGTTACAGTCTTAATGCAGAATTTCTTCCTCGGGGAAACCTTGGTTTTGCTCTTCAGGCTTTTCAAATGATTAGATGAGACCCACCCACATTATTGAGGCAATCTCCTTTACTTATAGTCAACGGACTAGATGTTAACTGTGCCAGCAAAATAACCTTTATAGCAACATCTAGATTAGTGGGGTTTTTGTTTGTTTTTTGAGACAGAGTCTCCTTCTATTGCCCAGACTAGAGTACAGTGGCGCAATCTGGGCTCACTGCAACCTCTACTCTCAGGTTCAAGTGATTCTCATGCCTCAGCCTCTCAAGTAGCTGGGACTACAGGCACGTGCCACTACACCCGGCTAATTTTTGTATTTTTTTCTTTTTAGTAGAGACAGGGTTTCCCCATGTTGGCCAGGCTGGTCTCAAACTCCTGATCTCAAGTGATCCACCCGCCTCTGCCTCCCAAAGTGCTGAGATTACAGGTGTGAGCCACCATGCCTGGCCTATATTAGTGTTTGATTGAATAAAAAGGTAGTATAACCTAGCCATGTTGATAGAAAACTAACCATCACACTAAGATTGAAATGTCCATTAGATATTTTAAGGCAGTTATAAATAAGTCTGGAGTTTAGAAGGAGGGACCCATCCTAGAAATATCAATTTTTAAAAATAGTAGGCCCAGCACAGTAGCTCATGCCTGTAATCCCAGCACTTTGGGAGGCCAAGGCAGGTGGATCACCTGAGGTCAGGAGTTTGAGACCAGCCTGGCCAACATGGTGAAACCCCATCTCTACTAAAAATACAAACAATTAGCCGGGCACGGTGGCTGGTGTCTATAATCCCAGCTACTTGGGAGGCTGAGGCAGGAGAATCACTTGAACCCATGAGGCAGAGATTGCAGTGAGCCAAGATCATGCCACTGCGCTCCGGCCTGGGAGACAGAGTGAGACTCTGTCTCCAAAAAAATAAATAAATAAAAATAAAAATAGTAAAATACACACAACATAAAGTTTACTATTAATAACATTAATACATACACAGTATTGTGCAACCATCACCACTACCTAGTTCTAGAACATTTTCATTGCCCAAAAGGAAACCCTGAACCCATTAGTTACTTTCCATCCTCTCCCTCAATCTCCAGACTTCCGGCAATCACTTATCCACTAATCTGCTTTTTGTCTCTATTGATTTGTCTATTCTGGTTATTTCAAATAAATAGGATTACCTAATATGTGGCCTTTGTATCTGGTTTATATCACTTAGCTTAATGGTTTCAAGGTTCATCTATGTTGTAGCATACATTCATTCCTTTTTATTGCTTAATACTATTCCACTGTGTAAATATACCACATTTTGTTTACCCATTCATGGGTTGATGGACATTTGGGTTGTTTCTACTTTTGGCAATTGTGAATAGTGCTGCTAAAAATAAACATTTGTGTATGAGTTTTTGTTTGAATACCTGTTTACAGTTGTATTGGGTATATACCCAGGAGTAAAATTGCTGAATCATATGCTAATTTTATGTTTAGCTTATTGAGGAACTGCCACTGTTTTCCACAGCAACTGTAGCATGTTACATTCCCACCAGCAAGATCCGAGGGTTCCAATTTCTCCACATCCTTACCAACGCTCATTTTCGGCTTTTTGTTTGTTTTAATTTTAGCCACCCTAGTGGGTGTGAAGTGGCATTTTATCAACTTGGTTATGATTTGCATTTCCTTAATGACTAATGATGTTGAGCATCTTTTCATGTGCTTCTTGGCCATTTGTATATCTTCTTTGGGGAAAGGTCTATTCAAGTCTTTTGCCCATTTTTCTTTCCTTTTATTTCTTTTATTTCACCTGTGACTATAGACAGGCTCCAAAGAGGAGTTTTCCAGTCTCTTTCCTGGGTTTAATGGAGACTTACCTTACCCTTCTGTGTTATTTTTTAATTTGGTTGTGTGGGCGGCAAGCCACCCAGGTGCCGACACAAGAGACCGAGGACATGAGCTGTTCCAGTATAATAAAATATAAAAGAAGAATAGTTATACCAGATATAGATCTTAGATATGATTATATATATCATTAATCAGTAGTTTGTAGCAATTACTCTTTATTCCAATATTATAATAATCCTCGCTCTATAATCATAACCTAGGAAAAACCAGGCCATACAGAGATAGGAGCTGAGGAGACATAGTGAGAAGTGACCAGAAAACAAGAGTGTGAGCCTTCTGTTATGCCCAGACAGGGCCACCAAAGGGCTCCTTGGTCTAGCGGTAATGCCAGCGTCTGGGAAGATGCCCCTTGCCAAGCGGACCGTGGTCTAGCAGTAGCGGACCGGGAAAGGGAGTCTTCCTTTCCCCGGGGGAGTTTAGAGAAGACTCTACTCCTCCACCTCTTGTGGAAGGCCTGACATTAGTCAGGCCCGCCCGCGGTTATCCGGAGGCCTAACCGTCTCCCTGTGATGCTGTGCTTCAGTGGTCACGCTCCTAGTCTGCCTTGATGTTCCATCTTGTACACCTGGCTCTGCCTTTTAGTTAGCAGTAGCAAATTAGCGAAAATACTAAAAATCTCTGATAAGCAGAAATAATAGTGTAAGCTGTTTCTCTCTTTCTCCTCTCTCTCTCTCTGCCTCGGCTGCCAGGCAGGAAAGGGCCCCCTGTCCAGTGGACACGTGACCCATGTGGCCTTACCTATCATTGGAGATGGCTCACACTCCTTATCCTGCCCCTTTGTCTCGTATCCAATAAATATCAGCGCAGCCTGGCATTCGGGGCCACTACCGGTCTCCGCGTCTTGGTGGTAGTGGTCCCCCGGGCCCAGCGGTCTTTTATCTCTTTGTCTTGTGTCTCTATTTCTACACTCTCTCGTCTCCGCACACGAGGAGAAAACCCACTAACCCTGTCATTTTTCTCCACCTTAATGTCATTTTTCTCCACCTTCAGGTTGTCCCCCATTGCTGCAGTTTTTTGAGTTCCCAAACTTCAAAATTGGCTATGTATCCTCAGTGATTCCTGCTGCATGTTGTCCTCTACTATTTTGGCTCTATAAATAATGAGAAATGTGGCAAGCGCAGTGGCTCACGCCTGTCATCCCACCGCTTCGGGAGACTGAGTCCGCAGCATCGCTTGAGCCCAGGAGTTCAGGTTACAATGAGCTATGATCTTGCCACTGCACTATAGCCTGGGCGATAGAGTAGTATTTTGACTCTAAAAAACAAAAAAGAGGAAAGAAGAAAAAGTTATACAAAAATCACACATTAGATTTGTTCTTTTTTTTTTCTTTTTGAGACAGTCTCGCTCTGTCGCCGTCCAGTGGCACGATCTCGGCTCACTACAACCTCCGGGTTCAAGCGATTCTCGTGCCTCAGCCACCCGGCTAGCTGGGATTACAGGCGCGCGCCATTACTCCCGGCTAATTTATTTCGTATTTTTAGTGGAGACGGGGTTTCGCCAAGGCGGCCAGGCTGGTCTCGAACTTCGGACTTCAGGTGATCCGTCCGACTCGGCGTCCCAGAATTCTGAGATTACAGGCGTGAGCCACCGTGCCCGGCCTTGATTTGAATATAAAGGTTCCAACACTCCCAAACACAAGGTGACCCCATTTACAACTGGATCTTCAATAAGCGTCTGGTGATTCAATTTCCGCCAATTAGAAAGAGCCCAACCAGAACACGCAGGCGCCTTAACGCTGAGGGCATAACGAAGGTAAAGAAGGCGTGGCTACTGCCCAAATCCAAGATGGCTACCAGGAGGCCGTCAGTTCTCGGAAGTGCGGCACATCCTCACTCCTGGGAGGCTCAAAGGCTCAAACGCCATTGGCAGAATCCCCGACAGCTCATCCTCCGCCCCCTGCAGGGGGCGGTAATGACAGAGTCCTAATTTCCGGTTCCGGCAGTACCGGTAGCCCAGTCGAGATGGAGGAAGATGCGACCGGCAGACGGCATTCGCTGGGAACGACGGATAGACTGGGGGCTGCGGCCTAGAGGTCCGGGCTTGGAGTTCGCCTCAGACGCGGTGGAGCCGCCGGAGTCTGAGAAGGTAAGAAGCCGCCGGCTTGAGGTCCCTGACAACTAAGGTCTCTGAGGATCTGCACTTGTCAGGGAGGCAAAGGATGCCTGGGGTGTCAGGCTGCGGTACCATGCAGTTTTGGGAATGAAGGACAACTGCGGTGAGGCGTCTCTTCCTGGCAGAGGATCGTGAGATTCGCTGACAGCGAAGAAGCACGGCAAGGGGCATGTTCGAAGACCCAGAGTTGGGTGTGCGGGGGCCAGGACAGAGGCTGCATAAAGGGGGTGTCCCACGGAGTATCTTGAGAGGATTGTCATGTGGTGTCTGTGATGAGGGATCACGTGGGTACCTATGGAAGACCAAAGGAAAGCTGGGTGGGAATCTCACCATGTCCGAGGTAGGGAGGAGATGATCTCGAAGGAGGGTTCGGAGGCATCCCCAGGCATTCCCCTAGGGAAATGTATATTCAGTAGGACAGGTGGGCAAGCATGTACATATATTCACGTTCATGTGGTAGATAGCTCCCAGGATGCAGATGCAATAGGGAGAACAGAAGGAATGGAGGATGTTGGTCTCTATTCCCTGTTTCCAGCTGAGAAATGGGGACCCATGGGTGTCTTGTCAGGAGTTGTAGAAGATGATTTGATTTGAAAAGATCTGATTATTATAAAAGTTTGGTTCTTATTCAGCAGGTCTAGGGTGCACCCTGAAATTCTGTATTTCTAACAGGCTCCCACGTGATGTCCATGATGCCAGTCTGTGGACCACCTTGGGTGGCAAGGACTTAGAGCATCACTGTCCAGTAGAACTTTCTGTAATGATAATGCTTTGCTGTTAACAAAATGCCTTCACAATTCTTAACTCATATGAGTTGTACTACAGCTCTATTTTTTTTTTTTTTTTTGAGACAGAGTCTCGCTCTGTTACCCAGGCTGGAGGGCAGTGGCGCAATCTCGGCTCACTGCAAGCTCCGCCTTCCGGGTTCACACCATTCTCCTGCCTCAGCCTCCCGGGTAGCTGGGACTACAGGCGCCCACCACCACGCCCGGCTAATTTTTTGTATTTTTAGTAGAGACGGGGTTTCACCGTGTTAGCCAGGATGGTCTCGATCTCCTGACCTCGTGGTCCGCCCGCCTCGGCCTCCCAAAGTGTTGGGATTATAGGCCCGGCCTCACCTCAGTTCTCGGAAGGTCAGCCCATCCTCGCTCCTGGGAGGCTCAAAGGCTCAAATGCCATTGGTGGAATCGCTGACAGCTCATCCTCCGTCCCCCGCAGGGGGCGTTAATAACAGAGTCCAAATTTCCGGTTGCGGCAGTACCGGGAGCCGAGTGGATATGGAGGAAGATGCGACCAGCGGACGGCATTCGCTGGGAACGACGGATAGTCTGGGGGTTGCATATCATATACAGCATTGATAGGCTTTATTAGCCCGATTCAACAGACAAGGAAACTGAATTTCAGTGAAGTGACTTGGTTCCAGTCTTACACTACTGAGTAATGGAAGTGAAACTCAACATGGATCTCCTGATTGCTGGTGTTCTTTCCGTTGTATGACCTTGCCTTCTAGGTGACACTACCTTCTCTCGAGCCAGAATCTTATCCCAGAACCTAGTGAATAGTCAGTCCCATGTGAATTTTCTGGTACAAGGAGAGTAGAGGTGGAGAGGAGGAGGCATATGCCCCTGGGCCTATTTGTCCCTTTCCATTGGTAGGGTCAATAGTGAGAGCTCTGCCTCTAACATTTCACTTGATTACTTCAGGACAAAGTGCTCACTAATTCTGCGTCACCTGTTAGGTCCCTTGAGGAAGCACGTCAACATTTGTGCCTGAGCAGTGTTAAAAAGTGGAAGAAAATCCGGAATTGGAGCCATGCACATGAGGGTCTGAGAAAGAGCCCTAAAGAAGTTGGGCTGACTAAGTTGGGAGAAGGGAAGGCTGGAGGAACTTTGCATACAGGTATCTGCAAAGAGGATTTTTTCAGAGGGTAAAACAAGAAGAATGGGATTGATATTTCCGCAGGAAGTTTGGAAGTTATGTAACAGAGCAGGTTGAGATCCTACCTTTTAGGAGCAGCCTGCCCCTTTTGAAGGGGTAAAGGGAGTGGGTGCAGTGCCCTCTCTTCTGTTGTAGTGGCTTATCCCTCTAAGGCATGACCCTTGGATAGGGGTTACCTGCCTCGGAAAGTCCCCACTTCCTTGTGGGAGTTTAAAATAGATTGGCATATGTGAGAGATGGAGACAAGGTGGGAAATCGGATCCTGTCTTAGGATTTCTCATCAGGAGATGCTGATACTTGGTGTTTCAGCTTGATAAATTGAGAAGGTGCCATGAAACCAGGTCCTGGAACAGAATCCCTGGTTGCTCTGTCTTTTAGCTGCTCTGACCCTCTGCCCTGCAGAGCATGCATTTTGCATGTGCCTGGCAGGAGGCCCTCCTGCTTGAGCCCTGCTGTATTTGTCTGTGTTGACAACGTGACTGCCAGCCATTAAGCTTGGTCAGTCCACAGACACACTAGGAAAGCAGAGGCAGCTCTTGGTTTCTCTGGAACAGAGCTGCAAGAAGTCTCTGGGCATCTGCATGGCCAGGAGCTTATGCTTAACTGTTGAGTGACCTGCAGCCATAAGGGCATTAATTCTGCCTTCCAGAGGTGGGAATGACTTGGCTTTAAACAGTGATTTGTGTGAGAATTCTTCAAATCCCATAAGGTAGAAGGCATGGTGGAGTAGAGGAGAAATCTTGGCTCATATCTGCCTCTTCCATTGACCAGCTGTGTGACCTTGGGCCTGTTACTTTTAACCTACCTGACCCTCCATTTCCTCATTTATCAGAAGTGTCTAACTGTACACAAGTTAAACTGTAAGGATTACATGAGGTAGTAGTCAATCCTGGTGTTTCTCTGTATCTTCTCACTTCTCACTGGTGTTGGAAATATGATCTTGCGACCCTAGATGGCAGCCACTCTGGGGCAGAAGAGACAGTGACCACCTTTTGAAGAGCTCAAAGGAGAATATTGCCCCACAGGGCTTAGTGGGTCCCCCAGGCTGAGGCTGGGGAGGAGGGCCACCTTTGCCTACAGCAAGTGGCATATCATTGTTCTAGGGGTTCTCTTGACGGCAGAACTTTGCCTCTAGCTCATTTTCCACAGCCTAGATTTTCCAATCTTGCCAATCCAGTTGACTTCTGTCTTCTCATTTCCAAGCCATTGTTCTCTCTCTTTCACTATCTACATGGATTATCCTTCATTCAAACTGCTTTGTCCCGGCTGGGTGCGGTGGCTCATGCCTGTAATCCTAGCACTTTGGGAAGCCGAGGCGGGTGGATCACGAGGTCAGGAGATCGAGACCATCCTGGCTAACATGGTGAAACCCCGTCTCTACTAAAATTAAAAAAATTAGCCGGGCGTGGTGGCAGGCGCCTGTAGTCCCAGCTACTTGGGAGGCTGAGGCAGGAGAATGGCATGAACCCGGGAGGTGGAGCTTGCAGTGGGTGGAGATCGCGCCACTGCACTCCAGCCTGGGCGACAGAGCGAGACTCCGTCTGAAAAAAAAAACAAAAAAACTGCTTTGTCCTGTAGGAATCCTGTGCGGGTTATGTGCACCTCCCTCAATCCTTACCTTGAAGCTAAGGTTTCCCCTCAGCTCTCAAGTACTCAGTTTGCACTGCAGGTAGTCCCTATTTTAACGAAAGTTATACGGTCCAGCTCAGGGAATCCTGAAAAGCTGCCCTTGCTTCCATGGTAATCAAAAGGCAGTTCTCATGGAATAAAAGCTACCTGAAGCCTGAGTTGGGACCTTTGGCTGGGGAAGGTGGTTGAGGACGTTCTCTGATTAGATGCTTGGCATGAGGTTTGCTACTGGAACTGCTAGTGTAGAATGTTTCAGCCCCCTAGAGTTGTCCCTGTGATGTGGCTACCTCCTTTCTCTGGGATTTCTCTTAAAGTCTGGGGAGCCCCTGCTTCTCATTTCCTGGAATTTATCTTCCCAGTCTCCCTTTCTGGCTGAAAATTTCTAGTATCTTACAGAACAGCGGTGGGATACACTGGAGCACATCATATTACCACTAAGTATGTCTAATAAATGATGTCCTCTGATTTGACATTTCCTAAATGTGAAGCTCCTGATTTTATACAATTTTGAAATTAGTAAGCTTGTTAGTTTTGTTTGAAATTCTAGGCATTGGATACACTTAACATGAGGGCTACATGTGCATCAACATACTCTGGTTTCCTTCCCTCTGTATCTTTTTTTTTTTTGAGATGGAGTCTCACTGTCTCCTAGGCTGGAGTGCAGTGGTGTGATCATGGCTCACTGCAGCCCCAACCTTCAGGGCTCAGGTGATCCTCCCACCTCAGCCACCCAAGTAGCTGGGACCACAGGTGCATGCCACCATGCCTGGCTAACTTATTTTTATATATTGTAGAGACGGAGTCTCCCTATGTTGCCTAGGCTGACCTTGAGCTCTTGGGCTCAGGTGATCCTCCCACCTTGGCCTCCCAAAGTGTTGGGATTATAGGCGTGAGCCACTGTGTCCAGCCTTTTCCTCTGTATCTTGTATCCATTCCCCAGAGCGATACTGTGTATCCTTGAACAGACGGTTTCTTGAAGTCAGAGTCTATCTCCTCTGTCACTTCTCCCCCTTCATTATCTAAGACTGAGGTTGTGGTTTATATGCTTAGAGTTGAAAGCATGGGGTCCAACGTGTTCTGTACTCTGTAGTTCCCCAGACTCTTCAGGGAAACTACTTAGCTCTCAGGTGGTTCTTTTCTGTTTTTCTCAGAGCAAGTTATCTAATAACTGAAGAGGACTCTGCCCTTTGGCCTGTTCCTGACTTTCTAACTCCTTTTGCTGGAGGAAGGGGAGGTTGAGGGGGGTGCCCTGTGGTGTGAAAGCCCCACTTGCCCTCTCCTCTATACTTTCTTCCAATGCAGACGGGAGAAAGTATCATAAATGTAGTGACTGTGGGTCAGGGGAGCTCTGAGAGGCCAGCACAGGAAACCAGAAACAAAATGAGTCAGTTCGTAGGTGGCGATCAGAGGCACCCTGCTGAGGGTGCAAGGCCACAGGTGATGCCTCCTCAGTAGGCCCAGGAGCATCAAAACGGGAACAGTCCCTTTCAGCCTTCAGGAGCCTCCCAAATGTCACTTAGTGATGTCCCATTCACCTGCTTAAAGGCCCTGCATCCTGCCAGGTAGTTGGTTTGTCCATAGCATCCTGAGCTCTGCTTGGGTGAGCCAGACAAAAAGAATGATTCCTGGCCAGAGTAGTGATACCAGGGCCCAGACAGAGGCAGAGAGTCCGGATAGAAGATCCTGTAAGCTGGGGTAGGGAGCCGAGGAGGCCATGGAGCCAGGGGAATCATTGAAGTGAGGGACAATTTCTGGAGGAGGGAAACTGAGTAAGGAAGGCCTGGCCAAGGACCAAGAAGGGGACAGTATCCTGATCTATGAAAGAAGACTCAAGTGGGGATTGACAGAGCCAGATTGGGTGGAGTCCAAGCTTTGGGCAGGTGAGTGTCCAGGAGATGAGGGCTGAGAATGGGCCTTCAGAGCCCAGCCAGAAGGGGAAAGCACAAAGCTCCACCCTCCTTCTTCACATCCCTCCATACTGCTCAAATCCCAGGTCTTCAGGCACCATGGAGGACAAACGCAACATCCAGATCATCGAGTGGGAACACCTGGACAAGAAGAAGTTCTACGTGTTTGGTGTGGCAATGACAATGATGATCCGTGTCAGTGTCTACCCATTCACCCTCATCCGCACCCGGTTGCAAGTTCAGAAGGGGAAGAGCCTCTACCATGGGACCTTCGATGCCTTCATCAAGATCCTGCGAGCAGATGGTATCACTGGCCTCTACCGAGGGTTCCTGGTCAATACCTTCACCCTCATCTCTGGCCAGTGTTATGTCACCACTTATGAGCTCACCCGGAAGTTTGTAGCTGACTACAGCCAGAGTAACACAGTCAAATCACTGGTGGCTGGTGGCTCAGCCTCCCTTGTGGCCCAGAGCATCACAGTGCCCATTGATGTAGTCTCCCAGCACCTGATGATGCAACGCAAGGGTGAGAAAATGGGCCGCTTTCAGGTGCGGGGGAACCCAGAGGGACAAGGGGTAGTTGCCTTTGGCCAAACCAAGGACATCATCAGGCAGATCCTGCAGGCTGATGGACTTCGCGGCTTCTATCGAGGCTATGTGGCTTCACTGCTTACCTATATCCCAAACAGTGCTGTCTGGTGGCCCTTCTATCACTTCTATGCAGGTAAGCAGGGGCCAGGACAGTGGGGGAGGAAGGTGGGATTTCTAATGGGGCTGAGATACTGTTGCTTTGTGCATGTTAGAGTGGAGGTGAGATTTAATGGGGGAATGGGTCATTCACTCAGCAAATGTTTGAATCCAGGAGGATTTAAAGATGCATAAAACATGGTTTTTATACTTTCAAGGAGCTTCTAATGTAGTGAGGGAAGCAGACAGGTATAAAGGCTAGAACAGTGTGCAGCATATGCTCTGTGTGCTTTGGAGTCACTGGAAGGTGGGGGAGGACAAAAGCCATGGGATGTTTAGGATTTGAAGTTTAGGATGGGTAATAGTGAGCTTTTGACTTGGATGTTTTCCTCAGCATTTTTTTTTTTTTTTTTTTTTTGAGATGGAGTCTCACTCTGTCACCTAGGCTGTAGTGCAGTGGTGAGATCTTGGCTCACTGCAACCCCCACCTCCCGGGTTCAAGCGATTCTTGTGCTTCAGCCTCCCGAGTAGCTGGGACTATAGGCGTTTGCCACCATGGCTGGCTAACTTTTGTATTTTTAGTAGAGATGGGGTTTCACCATGTTGGTCAGGCTGGTCTTGAGCTCCTGACCTCGTGATCTGCCCGCCTCGGCCTCCCAAAGTGCTGGGATTACAGGAGTGAGACACCAGCCCCTCAGCATTTTAAATTCAAGGTGTGATATAACCTTGAACCTCTCCACTCCTGTAATGTATCTTTGTTCATAAGACATTTTACTTTTTAAGTATTTCCTATTTCCTAGAAATGGGGTTACTGAGTCAAAGATAACATTTTTGAGGGCTTCCATAAACATACTGCCAGATTGCCTTCTCAAAGGGCAGGGTGCATTGTTGAAGAGCAGGACTTGAGTGTGCCTGCTACCCTGGGACATCCACCCACAGCTTTGAGTAACCATGAAATTCCCGTTAGGGCAGCCTATGTTTGAAGCCTCCCTAATCCCTGCTGTTGGCTCCCAACCCTTGGTAGTGGGCATTCTGTCCCACCCCATTGGAAACTTCTGACCAAAATTTTCATGCCTTCTTAACCTGTAATGATTTTGTTTCTGTGGCTCTGTACTTTCCTGGTGCTTCTTTTGTTTTTCTGATTATTGCTTCTTTCTTCTTCTTCTTTCTGCTTTCTTCTTCTTCCTTCTTCCTCCTCCTCTTCTTCTTTTGTTTCTTCTTCCTTTTTTCTTTCTTCTTCCTTCTTTTTCTTCTTTCTTCTTCTTTTTTTGCTAGCTCTATTACTTCTATTTAGCACAATGTTTCCTCTGGGGTATTTGTTAAAAGTCAGGTTCCTGGACTCTACCCTGACCCTTTAATGTTAAAAAAGCTTCCCAGGAAATGTGAGCATTTTCTCTGGAGCCTGTCTTTAGCCTTCTCTCCTCACTTGACTGCATTTACAATTAGAGCTGCATTTTTCTGACGTGTCCATCATCTCTACTTCCATTCTCAGACTAGCCTGTCGAGAGTTCTGGACAGACATTCTGACTGTAGGACTTCTCCATCTACATGCATCAACTTATGTCTAAAACTTTCTTCAATTAACTAGTCTTCATCCCAAGCTGGCTCTCTTTTCTGACTTACTTTCATTGGTCAGTGGCCTTGTTATTCTTCAGTTCACTGAGACTGAAGTCTTGGGGATTGTGCTTGACTACTCCTTCTTTCTTGTCCCCATGTCTAGTCCTGGTAACTCTAGAATTTCTCTCCCAACTTTCTCTTCATACCTGCTGCCTTCCCTGGAAACCATGCCTCTGTTACCTTCCTCCCAGACTGCTGCATCAGCTTTCTAGCTGTTCCCTCCTGAGTTCTCTTCCTTCCCGTCCATCACATACATCTCTAATGGACTGACCTTTTCAACTTGCGTTGTCATGTTCAGTGGCTTCCACTGCTTACTGAATAAAATCCAAACTCTTCAGCCTGGCTTCAGTCTCCCTTCACAGTGAAATCTCTTGCTTCTCCCCTAGGTATAGGCAGTCTGTGCTGTAGCCTGGGCAGGTAGTGCACAATTCCTCAACCATACATCACCTCTCCTACCACCGTGTTTTGTTCCTGCCACCCCTCTACCTAGATGCCTCCCAGGTTTGCTTACCCCTGGCGCAATCATGACTTACCTTAAGTGCTCCTTATTGCCTCCTCTTCCTTCCTCTCCATGTAACCCTTAAACCCAGAAGTGATCTTTCCCCTTTTTCATCCCCATGACATTGAATCTTTCTTAAGGCAGTTATACATTTGCTTTGATGTTATTTGTGTGTGCCCTATCTCTTCTGCTATGTGGAAAGGTTCTTGGAAGGGGGAGGAAACTAACATTTATTGAATGCCCATGTGTGCCAGGGCTCTGTGTGAGGGCTTGTATATCTCATAATTCCAACCTCACAATAACCCTGCGATGTAAGTGGTCTATAAGAACAGGGATCATGTCCGTTTCTGTTCACTATTGTACCTCCCAACACCTAGCTCAGGGTCTGGTGAAACTTAATTGCTCAGTAAATATTTTTTGAATTAATAGACTGGTTCTTGCTACTCCTTTTTGCTTAAAATCTGCCAGTGGTTCCTTACCGGCATCTAGAATAAAATCAGTTTTCCTTTCCATGGTCTATACATCTCTATTGCTCTGACTCCTGTCTGCTTTTCCAGCCCCACCTTGTGCCACTCTGCTCTTCCTCACTGCTCTTCCCTCAGTTCCTGGTATACATCAGGCTCTGTTCTTGCCTCAAGGCCTTTGCAGATACTCTTCTCTGCCCGGACACCCTTTCCCCTGTTCTTTATGTGGTTGGCTCCTTCTCATGCTTCAGGCTTCAGCTTACATGTCACCTTTGCGAAAAGGACTTTATTCTATTGGAAAGAGGGCTCTTTCTGTTTTATATTTCAGCACCTTGTTTCCTTCTTAGTACTTGTCATAATTTGCAGTTATTTTACCCCCAACTCCCAGCTCCTTAGTTAGAATATAAATTCCATGAAGGCATCTCCCTGTCCATGTCTCTGTTCTATGTCTGGTACTTATCATGGTGCCTGGCATCTATTATTAAGTACTCATTTATATCATTAAATACTTGTCCAGAGTCAAGCCAGTCTTAGCCAAGTGGGACTTAAACCAAGTCAGCCTGAGTTCATCTTTTGCCTGGTAGATAAGAGATTCTTAAATGTTTCTTGAATGACTAATGGAGAAAAATGAAAGATGTGGAGTCCCTCCCTCCCTCCCTTCCTTCCTTCTTTCATTCTCTTTCCTTTTTTTTTTTTTTTTTTTTTTGAGACAGAGTCTCACTCTGTTGCCTAGGCTGGAGTGCAGTGGCGCGATCTCGGCTCACTGCAAGCCCCGCCTCCTGGGTTCACGCCGTTTTCCTGCCTCAGCCTCCCGAGTAGCTGGGACTACAGGTACATGCCACCATGCCCAGCTAAGTTTTTTGTATTTTTAGTAGAGATGGGGTTTCACCGTGTTAACCAAGATGGTCTTGATCTCCTGACCTTGTGATCCGCCCGCCTCGGCCTCCCGAAGTGCAGGGATTACAGGCATGAGCCACCGCGCCTGGCCCTTCTTCTTTTTTTTTTTTTTGAGATGGAGTTTTGCTCTTGTTGCCCAAACTGGAGTACAATGGCATGATCCTGGCTCACTGCAACCTCCACCTCCCAGGTTCAAGCAATTCTCCTGCCTGAGCCTCCCGAGTAGCTGGGATTACAGGCATGAGCCACCACGCCCAGCTAATTTTGTTTTTTTAGTAGAGATGGGGTTTCTCCATGTTGGCCAGACTGGTCTCAAACTCCCAACCTCAGGTGATCCACCTGCCTCGGCCTCCCAAAGTGCTGGGATTACAGGCATGAGCCACCGTGCCCTGTCTGACATGGAGTTATTTCTACCACTTTCTTGCTTGTGTGTTTCATCTTCTCCCCAAGCCCCAGGAAAGTGGCATATGTGCATGATTAAAATTGGAATCTGGATCTGCTGTAGCTTACAGGCCTGGAGGACAGAATAGACAGGCCCAAGGAGGCAGGCAGTGCCAGTCCACATGCTACAGTTGGTTTTTTTGTTTGTTTCAAACGGAGTTTCACTGTTGTTGCCCAGGCTGGAGTGCAATGGCATGATCTTGGCTCACTGCAACCTTCACCTCCCAGGTTCAAGCAATTCTCCTGCCTCAGCCTACTGAGTAGCTGGGATTACAGGCGCCTGCTGCCACACCCGGCAAATTTTTTGTATTTTTAGTAGAGATGGGGTTTTACCATGTTGGCCAGGCTGGTCTTGAACTCCTGACCTCAGGTGATCCACCTGCCTCAGCCTTCGAAAAGTGTGAGCCACCACGCCTGGTCCAGATGCTACAGTTTAATGATTGCAAAATGCCTTTTTCTTGGGAGAAACAGGATACCAGTGAGGCTGAGCCACCAGTTCACTCTGTTTCTGTTTGTATGCTGATTCTGGGGAAGAGAGTATATAAGAACTGGGGGAGAGGTGGTTCTGGTGAGGTTTAGGGAATTCTGCCATCCCAGCTGAGACTTGGAAGCTCTCACTTCTGCCCTGCCAGCCTCCACCTCCCTACTTCTCCCTGGCCACAAACTACTAAAACTAGGAGCATGAGGAAAAAATTTTTTTTTTTTTTGAGATGGAGTTTCGCTCTTGTTGCCCAGGCTGGAATGCAATGGTGTGATCTTGGCTCACCGCAACCTCCACCTCCCGGGTTCAAGCGATTCTCCTGCCTCAGCCTCCCAAGTAGCTGGGATTATAGGCATGCGCCATCACACCTGGCTAATTTTGTATTTTTAGTAGAGACGGGGTTTTTCCATGTTGGTCAGACTGGTCTTGAACTCCCGACCTCAGGTGATCGCCCGCCTCTGCCTCCCAGAGTGCTGGGATTACAGGCGTGAGCCACCACGCCTGGCCGAGGAAAAAATTCTTAAAAGGTATGATAACTGAACTATAGAAGAGAAAACCCTAAGTGACTTACCTCTTGGATCTCATATGCTGTTCCTTCCCTTACTCATACTGCTCCAGGGTACTGGGCTTGGCTGCCCCTCGAACACTTGCTGTATGCTTGTCCTCAGGGCCCTTGCATAGGATGTTATCCCTTGCTTTGAAAGCTCTGTCTACAGATCCATGTGGCTTGCACTGTCTCCTTCAGGTCTTTGCTCAGACTTCACCTTCTTGGAATGGGCTTTCATCCTTTATCCCTGAGAGGTCTCAGAAAATAAAAAATAAAATGGCAACCCCTTCCCTTCCACTGTTGGCCTCCCTATCTCCCTTTCCTGCTTTATTTTTATCTATAGCACATACCTGCTGACATAGCTGTGTATTTTGCTTTTTATTTGTTTATTATCTCTTCACACTAGAATATAAATTTCCTAAGCACAGGAATTTGAGGCTCTTTTATTTACTGTTAAATCCTCAGGATCCAGGATGACCAGCTCATGGTAGTCACTCAATAAATCTTTGTTGAATAAATGAATGAACATGTTGTCTTTCACCTCCAGAGAGAGTAAAAAGAAAATTCAATTGCAGGTAGACTTCTCAGTGGTACTGGGATGGGTTAACCTGGGTACCATTCCATCTTCATTAGCATTTTGAAAGATGAATTTTCTTTCTTGATATAGGCTGGAGAAAAGTGCTTATTGTAGGATGTGACTTTCTATTTTAATATTGTTTTTATTTTTTAAAACATGCACATGTTTCAAAATTCAAAAGTTAAGAAAGGGTATGTAGTATGCAACGAAAAGGCTCCTTACCCACCTGGTTCCCTTCTGTAGAGACAGTCAGTGTCACTAGTTTTTATTTCATTTTTAATTTTTTTTTTTTTTTTTTGAGATGGAGTCTTGCTCTGTCGCCTAGGCTGGAGTGCAATGACGAGATCTCAGCTCATGCAGCCTCTGCCTCCCAGGTTCAAGTGATTCTCCTGCCTCAGCCTCCCGAATAGCTGGGATTACAGGTGTGCACCACCACGTCCGGTTAATTTTTGTATTTTTGGTAGAGACGGGGTTTCACCATGTTGGTCAGGCTAGTCTCAAATTCCTGACCTCAGGTGATCTGCCCACCTCTGCCTCCCAAAGTGCTGGGATTACAGGCGTGAGCCACCACATCCAGCTTTAATTTTTCTTTGAGACAGGGTCTTACTCTGATGCCCAGGCTGCAGTGCAGTGGCGTGATCATGGCTCACTGCAGCCTCTACTTCCAGGACTCAGGTGATCCTCCCACCTCAGCCTTCCAAGTTGCTGGGACTACAGGCCCGCACCACCATGCCCGGCTAATTTTTATATTTTTGGTAGAGGAGGGGTTTCACCATGTTGTCCAGTCTGGTTGCAAACTCCTGGGCTCAGGTGATCCACCCATCTTGGCCTCCCAAAGTGCTAGGATTACAGGCTTGAGCCACCACTGTCTGGCCATGTCACTGGTTTTTAATGTATCCTACCAGAGTTACTCAATGCATATAGAAGCAAATATTTAGTGTGTGCTTTTCTAGCCTATGAGTTGGGAGGAACAGGGCAAGAGGCATAAGGCTTTTACATCAGGAAGGATTTTCTGCCCATCAGATGAAAGGAGTCAGCAAGCAAATTTTGAAATCTCCCTCTCCAAGGAATCTTGTCCTGTTTAAATGGACGATGTTGGCCAGGTCCAGTGGCTCCTACCTGTAATTCCAACACTTTGGGAGGCTGAGGTGGGAGAATTGCTTGAGTCCAGGAGTTCAAGACCAGCCTGCGCAACATAGTGAGACTCTCTATACAAAACATTTTTTTTTTTTTTTTTGAGACAGAGTCTTGCTCTGTCGCCCAGGCTGGAGTGCAGTGGCGCGATCTTGGCTCACTGCAAACTCCGCCTCCCAGGTTCATGCCATTCTCCTGCCTCAGCCTCCTGAGTAGCTGGGACTACAGGCGCCTGCCACCATGCCCAGCTAATTTTCTTTGTATTTTTAGTAGAGACGGGGTTTCACCATGTTAGCCAGGATGGTCTTGATCTCCTGACCTCATGATCTGCCCGCCTTGGCCTCCCAAAGTGCTGGGATTACAGGCGTGAGCCGCCGCGCCCGGCACTACAAAACATTTTTAAAAAAATTAGCTGGGAATGGTAGCACAAGCCTATAGACCCAACTACTGGGGATGCTGAGATGGGAGGATTGCTTGAGCCCAGGAGATTGAGGCTGCAGTGAGCCATGATCATGCCACTGCACTCCAACCTGTGTGACACAGAGAGACCCTGTCTCAAAAGAAAAAAAATCAATCAAAATAAATGGGTGATATCACCAAGATGACTCCTGGAAAGGGCCTGAGACTTAATAGTTTTTTGAAGGAAGCAGAGAAAATAAAAGATAGGACTTAGGTGGTGAAGGGTGGAGGGTTTGTCTGGGTTGGGAAAGCCACCTGGTAGAAGCAGCAAGCACAGTGAGGGCAGACCGGTGGTGCTTTGTGTCTTTAGCCATTGTCTTTCCCTGGATTCCAGAGCAGCTCTCCTACCTGTGTCCTAAGGAGTGCCCTCACATTGTCTTTCAAGCTGTCTCGGGGCCCCTGGCTGCAGCCACTGCCTCCATCCTCACCAATCCCATGGATGTCATACGAACCCGTGTGCAGGTAAGACTGACCACTTCCCTCACCCTCCTCCTGGAGAAGCCATTAGAAGCATGACCTTCAAGCCCTCCAGTGTTGCCCTGACCTCTTTGTGTCCTGGCCCTCTAGTCCAGTCAGTCTTCTCCTGAACATCTAAGCCCCTTCTGTGTGCTTAGCATCTGCAGAAGCCAGCCCACAGCCAGGCACAGTGGCTCACGCCTGTAATCCCAGCATTTTGGGAGGCCGAAGCGGGCAGATCACCTGAGCCCAGGAGTTCGAGACCAGCCTGGCCAACATGGTGAAACCCTGTCTCTACTAAAAATAAAAAATTAGCTGGGTGTGTTGGCATGCGCCTATAGTCCCAGCTACTCGGGAGGCTGAGGCAGGAGAATCACTCGAGCCCAGAGGTGTAGGTTGCATTGAGCCGAGATCACGCCACTGCACTCCAGCCTGGGTGACAGAGTGAGACTTTGTCTCAAAAAAAAATAAATAAATAAAAGAAGCCCGCCCAGCACTTAAAGTACCTGGAATGCTTCTCACTCTGTCTGCTACCTTGCATACCTCTCCTCCATCACATGCCCATGCCTCCAGGAAATCTTACTGGTTTCTTCCAGCCTTTATTGGAGTCCTATTCCATAGCCTATTAGCATAGCCTATCAACGACTCTTTCCTTTACCTTGCAGGTTTGTGGTTATAAGAAATATCGATTTCAGTTAATTCATAAGTCTGTCTGGTTTTTCCAGTAGGCCATAAGTTCTCTGTGGATTATGAGAGTGACTTAAATAGGTTTCACAGATTTTATGGTGTGGATGCAGCAAAACCCTGACAAAGCCCATAGTAATGGTTGTCTTCAGTCAGCTTAAAGACAGTTACACAGCACCTAGACCAGGGAAATAGAATCTGAATGATGATATGTAATATGCAAATAGTAGGTGTTGCCATATAAAGTTTTATGTCTGATTTGAGGTGGAGAATCAAAGTTGTACAAGAGAATGAAGTCACTGGGTTATGGTGAGGGGAGGAGGGAAGGAAGATAACCTTAACAGGTTGGAGATAAAATCAGCTTCCCTAGTACCAGGATGTTGGGAAGCAGATAAGTAACAAATATAGGTATTTTTGTTCCTAGGAAAGAATGCCCCCTCATTTGAAAATGAATACACTGGCATCTGGTTGGTTTGCAAATAATAAAGTGCACAGGGTCAGTCCTCATTCTTTCCTGAGCCTTGTTCTGGGCGTTCTAGGAGGAGATCCAAGGGAAAGGACAGGTCTCTACTTTGAGGAGCTTCCAGGCTGGAAAGACCCAGAGGCATAGGTGAAAAAGTCCTTGACATGGCTGTGGAAAAAGTGGAAGGGTTAGGGAAGCAGAGACGGTCACATGAGAGAGTATTGGAGAGGAAGAAGGGAGTGCGGAGGAGGGTGCTGAAGGAGGTAGGGCGGAAGCGGGGGATGTTCTTAGCCATGGCTGGGATACCTTGTGAAGGTCATATCATATAAAGGGAGGTATGAACAAGGAGTGAGTCTGTCCTGTATTGGCCGAGGGGCTGAGGAGTGGTTTCTAAAGGTGTAGTTTAGGGGTTGGGGAGGGTGTGGGACTGTTGAGAAAGAAGAGAGAAGTGATTTCTGCTTGGCCAGGCTTTCAGTGTGAGAGGGAAGATGCCTATATTTGTTCATGGGGTGTGTGAGAGATGGCAGAGATGGAGAGGAAGGTTCCAGCTCTGGGGCTTCAAGGGATTGAAATGATCAGAATCAAAATCAGACTGGCAGAGCTGCAGAGGGTCTTAGAGAGGATTTAACCCAGCCTCCCTGAGACCAGAGAGCAGCATCTAGTCCGAAGACTCATAGCTACATAGATTATCTCATGATATCAATGATAGCTAACATTTATTGTACACTTAACTATCTGCCACCACTCTTGTTAGTATTTATGAATATTTTTTTTTTCTTGCTCATAACAACCTCGTGGTGCAGGTACTATTATCACTGTTTTATATTTGAGGAAATTGGGGCACAAAGAGTTAAGTAAATTACCCAAGGTTATGTTGTTAGTAGGTTGGGGAGCAGAATTCAAACTCAGGCAGTCAGGCACCAGGGCTCATACTAAATCACTGTGCTGTACCATCCCTCACAAGCAGAATCCACACCTTCCGACGTCGGAGTCTGGTTCTCCCCACTTTAGCCTAAGGCAGAGGGAGATTGAGCAGAGGGGCTCTGACTACAGACAATGGCCCTCCACTGTGTTGACTTTTCCAGGTTGAGGGCAAGAACTCCATCATCCTGACCTTCAGACAGCTGATGGCAGAAGAAGGGCCTTGGGGCCTCATGAAGGGCCTCTCGGCCAGAATCATCTCAGCCACACCTTCCACCATTGTCATTGTGGTGGGCTATGAGAGCCTCAAGAAACTCAGCCTCCGACCTGAGCTGGTGGACTCGAGACACTGGTAACCAGTGGTGGGGAGAGAAGCCTGCTGTTTTCCACACTACCGTGGGTCAGGGGCAGAGTGGAGAGGACAGCACCCTCTCCAGGTGCTCCCACCACACACCCAGCCCTGCCCTGGGCCAAGTGGCCTATCTGGGATAGGGATAGAGACTTTGAACTGCTCTTGCTGAAGAGGCTCCACGCCTGGATCCCTTGCCCCCACTATTTAAAATTCTCTTCTGAGCTGGGCTCCCTCACTCAGTCCCTGTATTTGATACTGGCCTAAAGACCCCACCCCCCACCCTGCCAGCCCTTCTTCTGGCTTCCCCTTCCATCTGTGTCCCTGAGACCCTGAGAAGAGCTGTACATAGAGCTTGCTTACTACCACTGGTTCTTCCTCTTGGGCTTTCAGCCCAGACTCCAAGCAGCTGCTATCAACCCTCTCTCCCTTCATCTCTTAGCCTTGCTTATTTTTATTTTGGGACCGAGCTGCCCACTAGATGACTCTGCTTTTCCCTGCATTTGGGGCTAAGGTGCCAGGTACTTATTTGCACAGGGAGCAGGAGCAGCAAAAAATCTCTGGTTCTCCAGAGCACTCGTCCTCTCTTTGGAGGGGTTATTAGGTTGGGAGAAATGTTGATACTTTTGTTTTGTGTGTGTGTGTGTGTGTGTGTGTGTGTGTGTGTGTGTGTGTGTTTTAACATCTGTGAACCAGGCTATTAGTCCTGCTAAAGCGCCAATCCTGCTGTCAGAGCTCACCCCCTTCCTAAGACAGGTAGAAAAATGTAATGTAGCTTTTTCCACAAGCCACTTCCCTGTCCCTTCAGTCTCAGGAGCCCTAGGAGAGTCTAAGCTGGGGCATCCCCTGGCCCAGAGGACTCCCGTGGTGGGCACAGTTCTAAGTGGATCAGGCTGTCTTGGGTGCACTGGACTTGGAGCACTACCTTGAGAAGTCAGGTTGAGAAAGTAGTTGATCTAGAAGGCAACAAGTGGGCATGTGTTCCCCAGCACATTACCCAGGCCAGCAGAGCCAAACCTAGGAGAGGGCAGTGGGTAGATTCTCTGCCCCAGGCAGCCATGACATACACATAAATACCCCAATCACTCAGACTTACGGCAACAAGTGTTGTCTCACTATGGTGATCTCTAAGATCCACATCACTGGATGCGTAGTCATCCCAGTCATGGTACCCTGTGGAGGAATGCTGGAAGAACATAAAGAGCAGTTCAGAAAGTCACCCAATACCAGGACCACTGCATTTACCAGCCTGATACTGCCAAGATTATCTGATGCTCTCCTCAGGAGCTAGGAGAGGAGTGCTCCTTCCTCCCTACCGCTACTCTCCCCAAGCCTGTGTTGCAGGTAGAGAGGTGCAGCAAATAGAGAAGGCATGTCAAACCCTGCATTTCTACCTGAGACGTGTGACCTGGATGATCCTCCAAACCCTATTGGTCCCACCCCCTGGGAAAGGCCATGGTGCCAGTTTGAAAGGTGCTAGCTACCTGAAGCCTTGATATTTCTTCATGGCTGCCGCACATTCTTCCACCTTGGCCAGAACAGGTTCTGAAAACCACTTCTCTACCTTCACCACCACCACTGCCCATCTTGATCTCTTTGAGGGTTTTCCCATTTCACTTGATCTTATTTTTGTTTATCCCTTCCTGCACTTTGTCAAGAGAGTCCTCCAGTTTCTATCCAGGAATGTTCACATCCAAAGGGTTGGACCCACGGATCATTCTGAATCTTCCTGCCCCTCCTCACTGCTTAACCCTGAGAACCACAAATATAATGGAAGCAGTTCCCCCCACCCTCACCCCATCTCTTTAAGCTCATCCTAGCAAGACCTCTAGAGACCCTAGAGACTCGACTTTAGTCCTTCCCCGCCATGGCACAGTGGGGAAGGTGTCAATGGGGAGTGTCACGGACAGGAGGTAGGATCCTGCCGCTCGCGTCTTAGTGTTTCTCCCTCAAGACTTTCCTTCTGTTTTGTTGTCTTGTGCAGTATTTTACAGCCCCTCTTGTGTTTTTCTTTATTTCTCGTACACACACGCAGTTTTAAGGGTGATGTGTGTATAATTAAAAGGACCCTTGGCCCATACTTTCCTAATTCTTTAGGGACTGGGATTGGGTTTGACTGAAATATGTTTTGGTGGGGATGGGACGGTGGACTTCCATTCTCCCTAAACTGGAGTTTTGGTCGGTAATCAAAACTAAAAGAAACCTCTGGGAGACTGGAAACCTGATTGGAGCACTGAGGAACAAGGGAATGAAAAGGCAGACTCTCTGAACGTTTGATGAAATGGACTCTTGTGAAAATTAACAGTGAATATTCACTGTTGCACTGTACGAAGTCTCTGAAATGTAATTAAAAGTTTTTATTGAGCCCCCGAGCTTTGGCTTGCGCGTATTTTTCCGGTCGCGGACATCCCACCGCGCAGAGCCTCGCCTCCCCGCTGCCCTCAGCCTCCGATGACTTCCCCGCCCCCGCCCTGCTCGGTGACAGACGTTCTACTGCTTCCAATCGGAGGCACCCTTCGCGGGAGCGGCCAATCGGGAGCTCCGGCAGGCGGGGAGGCCGGGCCAGTTAGATTTGGAGGTTCAACTTCAACATGGCCGAAGCAAGTAGCGCCAATCTAGGCAGCGGCTGTGAGGAAAAAAGGCATGAGGGGTCGTCTTCGGAATCTGTGCCACCCGGCACTACCATTTCGAGGGTGAAGCTCCTCGACACCATGGTGGACACTTTTCTTCAGAAGCTGGTCGCCGCCGGCAGGTAAAGTGGACGCAGCCGCGGTGGGAGTGTTTGTTGGCACCGAAGCTCAAATCCCGCGAGGTCAGGACGGCCGCAGGCTGGCGCGCGGTGACGTGGGTCCGCGTTGGGGGCGGGGCAGTCGGACGAGGCGACCCAGTCAAATCCTGAGCCTTAGGAGTCAGGGTATTCACGCACTGATAACCTGTAGCGGACCGGGATAGCTAGCTACTCCTTCCTACAGGAAGCCCCGTTTTCACTAAAATTTCAGGTGGTTGGGAGGAAAGATAGAGCCTTTGCAAATTAGAGCAGGGTTTTTTATTTTTTTATTATCTTTGAGATAGGGCCTTGCGTTGTCGCCCAGGCTGGAGTGCAGTGGCGTGATCACTGCAGACTCGACCTCCTGGGCTCAAGCGATCTTCCTGCCGCAGCTTCCCAAGTAGCCGGGACTACAGGCTCGTGCTCCCGCGCCCGGCTACAGATCAGGGTTTAAGTCGCGGCCCACCACTATGTGAGCAAGACGTAAGCCCCCTCTCCCTCGTCGGCTTCTTGTCAGTCAAGTGACAGCAATAGTACCTTTCTCATAGGGTCGTTTTGAGAATTAAATGAGTAAATACACCTAAGGCGCCTAGGACAGGACCTGACACATAGAAAGATTTGTTAGCTATTATGAGAATATCTTCTTCACTGGGAGATTGCCAGGACTAAATGTGTTACCATGAAAAGAAACATTTTTCCTGTCTCGACTTTTATTTTATTTATTTTTATTTTTATTTTTTGAGACGGAGTCTCGTCCTGTCGCCCAGGCTGGAGCAGTGGCGCGATCTTGGCTCATTGCAACCTCCGTCTCCCGGGTTCAAAGGATTCCCCTGCCTCAGCCTCCCAAGTAGCTGGGATTACAGGTGCACACTACCACACCCGGCTAATTTTTTGTATCTGTACTAGTAGAGACGAGGTTTCACCATGTTGGCCAGGCTGGTCTGGAACTCCTGACCTCGTGATCCACCCACCTCGGCCTCCCAAAGTACCAGGATTACAGGCGTGAGCCACCGCGCCCGGCCTTCACTTTTATATAATTTATATGACTCGAGAGTTTTGCCCATGATCCCACCACCCCAGCACATCAGTGTTGAAACGCTTCCAGGAGTTCGGTGCCCTGACCACAGCCTCTCCTTCTCTAGCCCTCTCTATCCCCACTTCCCTGTTCTTTGGCTTCATCAGGACTCTCATCTGTTCCCAGTCCATTCCTCCTGGGTTCAGCACTTTACCTTTCCTACGCATAATTAATGATTTGTCTTCACTCATGACTCATCAAATATTTGAGTGTCAGCTGGGGATACCATGAGGCAGACAAGGCCTCTTGTCTTTTTGGAGCTTGCATTCAATGCGTAGAGACGCCAACAACATCATCACATAGGCTGGTAAGATAGTAAGGCCATTATTATGTGTCAACAGTGACTCATGCCTGTAATCCCCGTGCTTTGGGAGGCTGAGGCAGGAGGATCATTTGAGCCTGGAAGTTTGAGGCTTCGGTGAGTTATAACAGCCCCATTGCACTCCAGCCTAGGTGACAGAGCAAGACCCTGCCTCTAAAAAAGAAAAAAAAAAAAGATAATGAACAGGTAATGATACCACTAGATAGGATGCTTGGGGCGCCCATTCTGAGATGGCATTTCAGCTGGAACTTGAAGGATGAGAAGGAACCAGATTATTATTATTATTATTATTATTATTTTTTTTTTTTAGGCAGTGTCTAGCTCTGTTGCCCAGGCTGGAGTGCAGTGGCTCGATCTCGGCTCACTGTAGTCTCCACCTGCCGGGTTCAAGTGATTCTCCTCCCTCAGCCTCCCGAGTAGTTGAGATTACAGGTGCCTGCTACCACGGCCAGCTAATTTTTGTATTTTTTAGTAGAGACAGGGTTTCACCATGTTGGCCAGGCTGGTCTCGAACTGAGCTCAAGCGATCCACTCACCTCTGCCTCCCAAAGTGCTGGGATTACAGGCATGAGCCACTGCACCCAGGCGGAACCACCTTTTTGAAGAATTACAGAACGAATGTATAGGAAAAGGGGACAGCCTGTGCAAAGTCCCTGAGGTGATCAGATATTCCAGGAACTGGCAGAGACCTTCTTGGCTACAGCATAGTGATCAGAGTAAAATGAGATGAGGCTGGAGAGGCAGGTAACAGCCTTATCATGCAGGGCCTAGTTTGCCATAATAATGAATTTGATAAAATAATTTGTAATCACTTTTATGAACCAATCATGGCACGTCATCATCATATGTCCTGGCACGGTCCCTCCCCTGTTGTATTTATTTTTCCCTACTCATTCTTGCCCTTGTCTCCCCTCCCATAGTCCCCACTTTCTCTTAGTTATATGTCCCCCCATTTATTTATTTATTTATTTATTTTTATTTCTTTTAGAGATGAGGTCTTGCTGTGTTGCCCAAGCTGATCTCAAGCTCTGAGGCTCAAGTGATCCTCCCACCTCAGCCTCCCAGAGTGCTAGGATTACAGGCATGAGCCACAGTGCCCGTCCCATTTATTTATTTATGAGACAGGGTCTTGCTCTGTTGCTCAGGTTGGAGTGTAATGGCACAATCTAGGCTCACTGCAACCCCTGCCTCTTGGGTTCAAGCGATTCTCCTGTCTCAGCCTCCCGAGTGGCTGGGATTACAGGCATGCACCACCATGCCCAGCTAATTTTCGTATTTTTAGTAGAGATGGGGTTTTGCCATGTTGGCCAGGCTGGTGTTGAACTCCTGACCTCAGGTGATCCGCCTGCCTCGGCCACTTATTTATAACACAAATATTTACTGACCATTGACAGTGTCAATAAATTTGTTCTAGTTCTAGTAGGGTTCTAGTTGCTGGAGATAAGGCAGTGATCAAGATGGACAAGGTTCCAATCTTCTTGGAGTAGACATTCTGGTACCATTAAAAAAAAATAAAATTGAGCCTGGCGCAGTGGCTCACACCTGTAATCCCAGCACTTTGAGAGGCAGAGGCGGGTGGATCACTTGAGGTCAGAAGTTCGAGACCAGCCTGGCCAATGTAGCGAAACCCCATCTCTACTACAAATATAAAAATTAGCCGGGCCTAGTGGCGCATGCCTGTAATCCCAGCTACTCGGGAGGCTGAAGCAGGAGAATCGCTTGAACCTGGGAAGCGGAGGTTTCAGTGAGCCAAGATCCCACCATTGCATTCTAGCCTGGGCAACAGAGTGAGACTCTATCTCAAAAAAATAAATAAAATAAAATAAAATCAGTGTAAAGGAATAGAGAGCAGCTGACACGCTGTCCTCTGGCGACCTGTCGCTGGAGAGGTTGGGACTCTGGATGCGTGCGGGGCTCTGGCCTACCGGTGACCCGGCTAGCCGGCCGTGCTCCTGCTTGAGCCGCCTGCTGGGGCCCGCGGGCCTGCTGATCTCTCGCGCGTCCGAGCGTCCCGACTCCCGGTGCCGGCCCGGGTCCGGGTCTCTGACCCACCCGGGGGCGGCGGGGAAGGCGGCGAGGGCTACCCTGCCCCCGTGCGCTCTCCGCTGCGGGCGCCCGGGGCGGCCGCGACAACCCCACCCCACTGGCTCCGTGCCGTGCGTGTCAGGCGTTCTCGTCTCCGCTGGGTTGTCCGCCGCCCCTTCCCCGGAGTGGGGAGTTGGCCAGGGCCGATCGACTCGCTGGCCGGCCGGCCCGCCTCCGCTCCCGGGGGGCTCTAATGTGGCACATATACACCATGGAATACTATGCAGCCATAAAAAATGATGAGTTAATGTCCTTTGTAGGGACATGGATGAAATTGGAAATCATCATTCTCAGTAAACTATCGCAAGAACAAAAAACCAAACACCGCATATTCTAACTCATAGGTGGGAATTGAACAATGAGATCACATGGACACATGAAGGGGAATATCACACTCTGGGGACTGTGGTGGGGTTGGGGGAGCGGGGAGGGATAGCATTGGGAGATATACCTAAGGCTAGATGACGAGTTAGTGGGTGCAGCGCACCAGCATGGCACATGTATACATATGTAAGTAACCTGCACAATGTGCACATGTACCCTAAAACTTAAAGTATAATAAAAAAAAAAAAGAAAAAAAAAAAAGGAATAGAGAGCAATGGGGAAGAGGGGTCAGGGTGAGGAGGAGGTTAAGGAAGTGGCATTTGACTGTATCCTTGTAAAATATGTTATATTTTTGTCTGTGTATGTTTTAAATTTATATGAATGATATTGTGCTACATATGCCATTTTTTACTCAACAACATTGTTTTCAAGATCTAACCATGTCAGGCCAGGTGTGGTGGCTTACGCTTGTAATCCCAGCACTTTGGGAGGCCGAGGTGGGTGGATCACTTGAGGTCAGGAATTTGAGACCAGCCTGGCCAACACGGTGAAACCCCGTCTCTACTAAAAATACAAAAATTAACCGGGTGTCATAATGCCCACCAGTAATCTCAGCTACTTGGGAGGCTGAGGCAGGAGAATCACTTGAACCCAGGAGGCGGGGAAGTTGCAGTGAGCTGAGATTGCGCCACTGCACTCCAGCCTGGGCAACAGAGCTAGTCTCCAACTCAAAAAAAAAAAAAAAACAAAACTAACCATGCTCTAAAAGTGCACATGCACATGGTTCATAGCTTCTTAGTGCTGCCTGTCAGTCCTTGATATGCATCCACCACTTACCCATTTCCTATCAGCTCCTCATCCATAAATTATTCCAGGGTGAATATCCTTGTACATTTCCACAGGAGCTAGTGCTAGAATTTCTCTGAGACATGTAACTGGGAGAGGGATCACTGGATCCTAGAGTTTACACCTACCTCTGTTCCATCAGATTACTTTCCAGAAAAGCTGTTCTTGTCTGCCACCTTCTCACCGTCACTGGGTTTTTTACCATTCTAATATTTGTCATTCTGCCAGGTGTGAAAGCGGTATCTTGTTTTAATCTGTGTGTCCCTGATTCCTGGCAGGTTTGGGCATTTCTTCATGTACTTAGTCATTTTGGCTTCCTCTTCTGAGAACTGCCTGCTCATTTCCTCCAGCCTTTCATTTTCAGAACTTTTTTAAAAATGGGTTTTTTATCTTGTTGATTTGCTAGAGTTGCTAGTATAGAAGGAAATATCTATTGGGTGATAACTTTGTTGATGATGTCCTTTGAGGAACAGAAGTCTTCAATTAAATAAAAAGCAGCACACATTTCAACTGTTTCCATTTTCCCTTAAGAGGATGACACAGAAGGGAAATGCAGTTATGCCTGCAGACCCTTCATGAACTGCATGGATCCTCCTGACTCCTTTTCTCAGCCTCTTGACTAACTCAAAGAGCCATTTAAAAAAATGCCAGATATAGGCCAGGCGCAGTGCTCATGCTTGTAATCACCAGCACTTTGGGAGGCTGAGGCGGGCAGATCACGAGGTCAAGAGATTGAGACCATCTTGGCCAACATGGTAAAACCCCATCTCTACTAAAAATACAAAAAAATTAGCCAGGCATGGTGGCGCGCACCTGTAGTCCCAGCTACTCGGGAGGCTGAGGCAGGAGAATTGCTTGAACCTGGGAGGCGGAGGTTGCAGTGAGCTGAGATTGCGCCACTGCATTCCAGCCTGGGTGACAGAGCGAGACTCCGTCTCAAAAACAAAAACAAAAACAAAAAAACAGATATTGCCTAATCCGTTTTTTTTTAATCCTAATTTTCATGTAATTACTTCCATTCATTTTTTTTCACCTTATGATTTGTGCTTTTGGGGTCTTGTTTATTTTTTTATTTTTTTTTAATTATTATTTTTTGAGACGGAGTCTCGGTCTGTCCCCCAGGCTGGAGTGCAGTGGCGTGATCTTGGCTCACTGCAGCCTCCTCCCAGGTTCAAGCAATTCTCATGCCTCAGCCTCCCAAGTAGCTGGGACTACAGGTGCACACCACCACACCTGGCTAATTTTTATATTTTTAGTAGAGACCGGGGTTTCACCATTTTGGCCAGGCTGGTCTCAAACTCCTGACCTCAGGTGATTCGCCCGCCTCAGCCTCCCAAAGTGCTGGGATTACAGGTGTGAGCCACCATGCACCAAAAAAGACCTTGGGGTCTTTTTTATAAAGGCTATGCCCACATCTAGGTCACAAAGATAATCTCCAGTGTTTTCTTCTCTTAGCTGTTTCATCGTTTTACTCTTTAAATCTTTAATCTGGCTGGATTAAGGTATAAAGTGATAGTCTCAAGCCAGGCTTATTTTTCTAACTTTCCCAAATACCATCAACTACACAGCTCATCTCCATTGCTTGATGGAGCCCCCTTACCAATGGCCAGCTCCTAGCCCACTATGTCCCTGAGTCTCTCTCCTGCCCCACCGATCTGCCTGTCTCTGCCAGTGCATGTGGGTTGTTAAAACCAGGCCCTTGTAGGAAACCTTATGTTTGGTCCAGCAAGTCCCATCTTTTCTCTTTATTTATTTATTTAGAGACAGGATTTTGCTCTGTTGCCCAGGCTGGAGTGCAGTGGCACAATCATGGCTCATTGTAGTCTCAACCTCCTGGGCTCAAGTGATCCTCCCATCATAGCCTCCCAAGTAGCTGGGACTACAGATGTGTACCACCACACTTGGCTAATTTTTTTTTCTCTTTGAGACAGGGTCATGCTCTGTCGCCCAGACCGGAGTGCAGTGGCATGATCACAGCTCACTGCAACCTCCGCCTCCCTGGCTTAGGTGATCCTTTCACCTCAGCCTCCCGAGTAGCTGGGACTACAGGCACACACTACCACACCCAGCTAATTTTTGTATTTTTTGTAGAAATGGGGTTTTGATATGTTGCCCATGCTGGTCTTTTTTTTTTTTTTGAGATGGAGTCTGGCTCTGTTGCCCAGGCTGGAGTGCAGTGGCGCTGTCTCCGCTCACTGCAAGCTCCACCTCCCGGGTTCACGCCATTCTCCTGCCTCAGCCTCCCGGGTAGCTGGGACTACAGGCACCCGCCACCACGCCCGGCTAATTTTTTTCTATTTTTAGCAGAGACGGGGTTTCACTGTGTTAGCCAGTATGGTCTCGATCTCCTGACCTTGTGATCCATCTGCCTCGGCCTCCCAAAGTGCTGGGATTACAGGCGTGAGCCACCATGCCCGGCCTGCCCATGCTGGTCTTGAACTCCTGGGCACAAGTGATCTTCCTGCCTCAGCGTCCTGAGTAGCTGCCTGAGACTACAGGCATGCACCACCTCACCTGGCCAATTTTTTAATATTTTTGTTTAGATTTTTTTGTAGAAATGGGGTCTTGCTACATTGCCCAGTCTGGTCTCCAACTTCTAGGATCAAGTGATCCTCCCGCCTCAGCCTCCTAAAGGGCCGGGATTACGGGTGTGAGCCACTGCACCCAGCCTGTCTCCAGTTTTTCCTCATCTTGGGGCATTCCGCCACCCTTCCTTTAAAACTACCCCGTTCAACGTAATTAATAACCTCTTTGTTGCTAAATACTTTGGAGATATATACATGTATGTGTGTGTGTGTGTGTTTGTGTGTATATATATTTTATTTTTTTTCAGACGGAGTTTCACTCTTGTTGCCCAGACTGGAGTGCAGTGGCGTGATCTCGGCTCATGGCAACCTCCACCTCCTGGGTTCAAGCAATTCTCCTCAGCCTCCTGAGTAGCCGGGATTATAGGTGCCGCCACCACGCCCAGCTAATTTTTGTATTTTTAGTAGAGATGGGGTTTCACCATGTTAGCCAGGCTGATCTCGAACTCCTAATGTCAGGTAATCCACCTGCCTCGGCCTCCCAAAGTGCTGGGATTACAGGCATGAGCCACCGCGCCCAGCTGGATATATATTTTTAAAATATTTAACGTACTTGCTTTCCTTGTAGGCTTTGACATTGTCAACCACTCCTCTGTTCTTCAGATTTCTCCCTTGGTTTCCGACGTCATTCTCTGCCCCTTTACCTGACTAGCTGCTCCTTCCCGGGGTCCTCTTCTCTTGTCCTTTAAACGTGTGAATGTTGCCCTCTCCTTACTTTCACCCCCTCCTCCCATCTGATGTCTTGCTGCTACTGAAAGCCTTCGGTGACTGTCCATTGCTCCTCACCAGGGCTTCTAGGCCCGGGCTACCTCTTGTGCCCTGCTGCACTCATACTCACTCATACTGACCTCCTCATTGCCTGGAACTTCAAGTGCTTTCCTGCCTTGGCATCTGCACTTGCTGTTTGCTCTGCCAAGAATGGTCTTCCTTCATCTCTTCCCTGACCCGCTCTAAGGCCACCTTGCTCCCCTGGTTATTTGTCATGATAGACACCGGTTATTTATTCCTTCATAGCACATATTGCAGTCTGCTGTTCTGTTGTCTGCTTGTTTACTTATTTGTGGTCAGTCTCCCCTACATAAAACCTAAGGTCCTTGAGGGCAGTATCTTGTCTGTCTTGTTCATCATTCTCTATTCTTCACTCATCACGGTGCCTGGTATACAGGAGGCATTCAGTACATAGTTTTAGATAAATGGGGATTCCCAAGCAATATCTCCCCTGAGTTTCAGACCTCTAACTCCAACAGTCTACTACTACAAATCTCCATTTGGTGTCCCACAGAATCATCAGCTCAGCATGGGAACAGGATTTCTCTTCCACCTCTTCCCTTCCTGTGATCCCTGAGTTGGTTGAAGGAATTACCACTATCCATTCTCTAGGCTAAAGATTTGAGAGTCCTCATTGGCCTGTCCATCCCTTTCACTTCCATTCAACTGCCCACCCCTGTTGGCTTCAGCCTCTCTCGCCTCCGACTCCTCCTTTCCATCCTTGCTGACACTGTCTGAGTTCAGGCCCTGACTGTCTCTCACTGTGACTCTTGCACCTGCCTCCAAACTGGCCCTCCAGCCTCAGTCTTGTGTCCTCCCACCAGTCTACAGCTCAGATTTGATCCCCTTCTCCTGCTTAAAATGTTTAATTGGTTCAGGGTTGCTTCCAGAATGAATGCAAGCTCCTTAGCACAGTGTACAAGGCCATTCCTTCCCATCTCACCAACCCCAAGTCAGGGCCGTGGGAGTACAGCGCATGCACACCTGAGTGCCAGTGCAGACCACACATGGGCACGGAAGCTCTTCTGCACCAAGTGCTGCCCCCCTGCCTTCACCCCTGCCACCTTGTCTTCCCACTGCTGCTTCTCCTCAGTAGAACATCCTTCTCCTCATTTGATTAAATAGGAACTTACTCTCAGCTGGTTTCCAGAGAAAGGGCTCAATAAGTGTCATATATGAATACATACTTTTTTTTTTCTTTTTGAGATGGAGTTTCGCTCTTGTTGCCCAGGCTGGAGTGCAATGGCACGATCTCAGCTTACCTCAACCCCCACCTCCCAGGTTCAAGCGATTCTGCCGCGTCAGCCTCCTGAGTAGCCAGGATTACAGGCATGAGCCACCACGCCCGGCTAATTTTGTATTTGTAGTAGAGATGGGGTTTCTCCATGTTGATCAGGCTGGTCTCAAACTCCTGACCTCAGGTGATCTGCCCGCCTCGGCCTCCCAAAGTTCTGGGACTACAGACATGAGCCACTGCTCCCAGCCGAATACAGACTTTTAAGTAGAGACGGGGTTTCACCATGTTGGCCAGGCTGGTCTCAAACTCCTAACCTCAGGTGATCCGCCCGCCTCAGCCTCCCAAAGTGCTGGGATTACAGGCGTGAGTGTATGGCGACAGTTCTTAAGTTCTTAGATGCCATACTTAGAGATGTCCTTGTGGTTCAGTCTTCTGGCCTGGGATATGCCGCACAGGGTAAGATGTGTAAAGTGACTTAAAGCCTACGTCTGGCAGTGACCAAGAAAAGAAAGCGAATTGCATTTGTAATGAACTAGTGCCAAAGACTGTTGGTGTTCATAGGAAATAGTTCATCACAGGAAAAAGAGTGGTTTAATATATAAACTATTCTGACTATAAATGCCCTGGAAATATCTCACCCTCTTTGAATATGCAGGTGATGCCTGCTATTGGTGGTGTTTTGTTTCTGAAGGGTGGGCATGAGTCATCAAACTGTGGTGTGTGGCTCCAGGCCTGGCATGCTCATACTTTCCCTCCGTATGTTTCCAGACCATCCACCTCTTTCTGTCCCCACTGTTTTTGCCTTGCTCCAGGCTGCTGTTGTCTCAGCTGTGCTTCCTGAAGCCACCCTCACATAGCAGCCAAGTGCATGTCCTAAGGTGTAGATCTGTTCATATCACATCTCTGCTTCAGTCCCTTTTCTAGCTCCTCCGGTCATGATACATCCACACTCCAGACTCTGTGTCTGGCCCTGCATGGAAGCCAACATGGCCAGATGGCCTGGATTGAGTCCCAGCTGGCTCCATCACATGCTGGTTGTGTGACCTTGGGCAAGCTTCTCTCTGCCTCAGCTTCCTCATCTGAAAAATGGGGGTGATGATAATAGAACCCCGCCTCACAGAATCATGGTAAGGATTCAGTGAGTTATGTAGAGTACATAGAACAGGGCCTGGCACTAATCAGTCCTCAGTTTCCTATTATTACTGCATCTTCACACACATGCACATATGTGCACGTGCACACACACACACACACACACACACCCGCCCTTCAGCTACACTGCCTGAACTTAGTCCATGCTGCTCTTCTCCTGTCCTGTGGCCAGCTCCTGCTTCTCTCTCTGACATTGCTTCCTCTAGGGAGCCTTCCCCGAGCCCCTGCTAAGGCCCCATGCTGTCTCATACCCATTTTCCCAAAGGTTGATCTGCAGTCCCTTTGACGGCAGGAATTGTACTGTTTCGTCTTTGGGTTTGTACCACCAAGCTTGGCCTGGTACCTGGTCGGTGCTCAGTAAGTATCTATTAAATGAATACAATTATCCTGCTGGCATTTTTTATCTTCATGCTAATATTTATCAAACCACAAAGTTTCTTCCATCTTTCTCAGGAAAAGTATCCCAATTTCAGATTTTTGAAGTTTTCCCAGCAGTTTTCAAAGGAAGAAGCTAAACAATAAAAGACTAAATTAGTCCAAGAGACCAAATAACCTAAAGATATAATTAGGATTAATTTTAAGTATTTATTTTTAATTGACACATTGTAATTGTACATATTTATAGGGTACATATCTATGTTGTATAATGATCCAATCAGGGTAATTAGCATGTCATCTCATAGATTTATCATTTCTTTGTGGTGAGAACCTTCAAAAGCATCTCTTCTAGCTATTTGGCAATCTGCAATATTTTACGGTTAACCACAGTCACTCTACTGTACAACACCAGAATCCTAATTGTACCTGTCGAAAGGCTAATTTTTAAAGGATAACCTTTTAATACAACGATTCATCTTGAATCACTGGCCTGGAGACTTTCCTCTTATTTTCATTAAGAAACATTTATCAGGCCGGGCGCAGTGGCTCACGCCTGTAATCCCAGCACTTTGGGAGGCTGAGGCGGGCGGATCATGAGGTCAGGAGACCGAGACCACGGTGAAACCCCGTCTCTACTAAAAATACAAACAATTAGCTGGGTGTGGTGACAGGGGCCTGTAGTCCCAGCTACTCGGGAGGCTGAGGCAGGAGAATGGTGTGAACCCCAGAGGCGGAGCTTGTAGTGAGCCGAGATCGCGCCACTGCACTCCAGCCTGGGCGACAGAGTGAGACTCCGTCTCAAAAAAAAAAAGAAAATAAAAAAGAAACATTTATCTCTTTCTTCTTTCCCTCTTTCCTCCTCTCCCTTTCTCAGTCCTGGGGCTTCCCAGTGTACACAGGACCAGAAAGTGGAGAGAGAAAAAGACCAAATGGAGAATTTTTTTTTTTTCCTTTTTGAGTCAGTCTTGCTCTGTTGCCCAGGCTGGAGGGCAGTGGCGCCATCTTGGCTCACTGCAACCTCCGCCTCCCGGGTTAAAGCGATTCTCCTGCCTCAGCCTCCCGAGTAGCTGGGATTACAGGCGCCTGCCACTGCGCCCTGCTAATTTTTGTATTTTTAGTAGAGAGGAGGTTTTGCCATATTGGCCAGGCTGGTCTCGAACTCCTGACCTCAGGTAATCCGCCCACCTCAGCCTCCCAAAGTACTGAGATTACAGGCATGAGCTACCATGCCCTGATGAGAAACATTTCTTAATGAAATGGACAGCCGTATAGTGAATAGGGGATGAAGAGCAAGAATTTCTGTCACTCCAGTCCTCAGCTTTTTTTTTTTTTTTTTTTTTTTTTTAATTTCAGTAGTTTTTTGGGGAACAGGTGGTGTTTGGTTACATGGATAAGTTCTTTAGCGGTGATTTCCGAGATTTTGGTGCACCCATCACCCGAGCAGTGTACACTATACCCAGTATGTAGTCTTTTATCCCTCACCCCCCTCCCACCCTTTCCCCACAGTTGGCAAAGTCCATTGTACCATTCTTCTGCCCTTTGCATCCCCAGCTTCTGTTTGTTTTGTTCTCAGCCTGTTTGTTTTGTTCTCAGCTCTCCACTCCTTCATTGGGACGGAAGTGCTGGTCCCCGCCTGCCCTCTGGTGGACAGTCTGTGAAACAGGCCTTCAGTTGGGCGGCGTGCAGGTTACCACAGGGGAGGAAGGCAAGTCCTGGCTCCTTTTTTGGCTCCCTTAGCACTGTGTACACCGTGATATTGTGTTACCCTCTTTTATCTTTCCATGCTGTCCTGCACAATTTATCTGCATATGTAAACCAACAGATTGACAAATGACCAGAGCCTGATTCTGTGCTTAAATATTTTGAAGTCAAATTTATTTAAATATTTTTATTTATTTGTTATTTTTTTGAGGTGAAGTCTCACTCTGTTGCCCAGGCTGGAGTGCAGTAGCACGATCTCTGCTCACTACAGCCTCCACCTCCCAGGTTCAAGCCATTCTTCTGCCTCAGCCTGCCAAGTAGCTGAGATTACAGGCATGTACCACCACACCTGGTTAATTTTTGTATTTTTAGTAGAGATGGGGTTTCACCATGTTGGCCAGGCTGGTCTCAAGCTCCTGACCTCAAGTGATCCCCCCACTTCGGCCTCCCAAAGCACTGGGATTACAGGTATGAGCCACTGTGCCTGGTTAATGTTTTTATTTTTATTTTAAAAATTTTTTTGTGAAGACAGGGTCTCACTATGTTGCCCAGGCTGATCTTGAACTCCTGGGCTAAGTGATCCTCCTGCGTTGGCCTCCCAAGAAAAAATAACAGGTTAAAATCAGTTAATATAGTCATCTCAGTTTTGAAACTCAGTAAATGTGGTTTTTAAAAGTTACTTTCATTTCTGATAAATTTAGCCTTTTTGAGGCCACAATTTGGCCTTTTCTCTCTAGTGGGGACAAATCCTGACAGCTGGTTCTTACCCCTGCTGGGTTGGTTTCTGCATGTGCAATTGCACACAAGCCTCATTCACTAGCACCTGCCTTCCACCCGGGAGGAGACTTCCCAGCTCTGGGGAGCCAAGTTACTGACTTCTGTACTTCAGAAGGGCAGTGAGGACTGTTATTTTGAGATTAGTAAGAATAATTGTAGCTCACATGAAGCATTTCAATGTGCTGGGCACCGTACTGAGGACTTTATATATTTTACCTCACTTAATCTGCACAGTAATTTTGTGAGGCCTAGATAGTTATTATCCCCATTTGACAGAGGAGGAAATTGAGGTTTATAGAGGTAAAGAAGTAGTCTGAGGTCACTAGTTGATGAGTGGTAGAGATAGGATTTGAATCCAGGGAAAATGACAGGTAGTCTGTCCAGAGAACCAGTAAAGTTACCCAGTATGCATTGGGTAGCTGGGTGACCTCTTATGTACCCTTGGAGGCCAGGGCCAAGAGACCATCCCGTCATGGGGTGAAGAGGGGCCTTGGCAGAGAGGTTGCAGAGGAGGCTCCTGGGGGAGGACTCCTCTTCCCAAGCTTTTCAGGTCCTGGGATCCTGGGGTCCAGGGTGGGCAGCCCAGGCCTTACCTTAGCCCCAGTCACCCAGTCTACAGAGCGTCTTACATGCTGCTGTGCATCTGACATGGTTGTGGGCACCCTGGAGATCCCAGCAGCATTGCAGACGGCATCCTTGTCCACAAGGATATTATAATTTGCGTAAAAAGATAAAATTTGACACTTGGGGCAAATGGTCATGAATTAAAAATTTTTTTTTGGCCAGGCTCAATGGCTCACGCCTGTAATCCCAGCACTTTGGAAGGCCGAGGTGGGTGGATCACCTGAGATTGGGAGTTCAAGACCAGCCTGGCCAACATGGTGAAACCCTGTCTTTACTAAAAATACAAAAATTAGCTGGGCGTGGTGGTAGGCACCTGTAATCCCAGCTACCTGGGAGGCTGAGGCATGAGAATTGCTTGAACCCAGGAGGCGGAGGTTGCAGTGAGCCAAGATTTAAAATTTCTTTTAATTTTTTAAAAAATTTATTTTATTTTATTTTATTTTTTTTTTGAGACAGAGTCTTGCTCTGTCGCCCAGGCTAGAGTATAGTGGTGCGATTTCAGCTCACCGCAATCTCCGCCTCCCGGGTTCAAGCGATTCTCATGCCTCAGCCTCCTGAGTAGCTGGGATTACAGGTGCCTACTACCATGCCTGGCTCATTTTTTATATTTTTAGTAGAGATGGGTTTTCTCCATTTTGGTCAGGCTGGTCTCGAACTCCCGACTTCAAGTGATCCCCCTGCCTTAGCCTCCCAAAGTGCTGGGATAACAGGTGTGAGCCACTGCGCCTGGCCTTAAATTTTTTTTTATTGAGACAGGTTCTTGCTGTGTTGCACAGGCTGGTCTCCAACTCCTGGGCTCAAGTGATCCTCCTGCCTCAGCCTCACAAAATGCTGGGATTACAGGCGTGAGCCACTGCACCTGACTATGATTTTTTTTTTTTTTTTTGAGACGGAGTTTCATTCTTGTTGCCCACACTGGGGTGCAATGGCATGATCTCAGCTCACTGCAACCTCCGCCTCCCGGGTTCAAGTGATTCTCCTGCCTCAGCCTCCGAAGTAGCTGGGATTACAGACATGCGCTACCACACCCAGCTAATTTTTGTATTTTTAGTAAAGATAGGGTTTCATCATGTTAGTCAGGCTGGTCTTGAACTCCTGACCTTAGGTGATCTGCTCCTGACCTCAGGTGATCTGCCCGCCTCGGCCTCCCAAAGTGCTGGGATTACAGGCGTGAGCCACCGCACCTGGCGATTTTTTTTTTTTTTTTTTTTTTTTTTTTTTTTAGTGTATCACTTTCCTGCTTCTCCCTGAGTATATTTTTCAGAAAATCCACAAGGGCATTCAAAACATTCCCAATTCTGCATTGGCTCTCAAGAAAGACATCACCTTCTTCCTGTACTCACTGACACTGGCACCAGTCTGGCTGCCTTTCTCCTTGGTTAAGCCACATTGTCCTGTTAGCATATATTTCATCTTGTGTCTGTGTATGAGTGTGTGTGTTTCTGTGGTCCTTCACTTTCACTGAATTATCATACCATAAAGGAGACCTCAGAACAGGTCACAGCCAGCGCTGGTGGTCAGAATTTGCTTCACCCCTGCCCTGGGCCCTATCCGCTGTCAGCTGCCTGAGCTGAAGAGAGATGCGTCCAGCTCAGACCCTCCGCCTGCTGAGTAGGCTGGGTGGAGGAACAGGATCTCCCATGTCTAAGCCAAACCTGTTTTAAGCCACAATTACCCAGTTTCAATTCCAGCCCTGCTTGGTCAGCATCATGTGTTCCTCCACGTTCCTCCTGGTAGCCACAGACTGCGTGGCTAGTCAGGCCAGCAGCAAAACAAGATATCTGGGAGTCTGCTGAGGGTTGAAGGAATGCCCATCGTCTATTCTGTGTACAGTATTGTTTTTATTTTTGTTTTGTTTTTTGAGACGGAGTCTTGCTGTGTCGCCCAGGCTGGAGTGCAGTGGCGTGATCTCAGCTCACTGCAACCTCCGCCTCCCAGGTTCAAGTGATTCTCCTGCCTCAGCCTCCTGAGTAGCTGGGACTACAGGCATGTGCCACCACGCCCAGCTAATTTTTTGTATTTTTAGTAGAGATGGGGTTTCACCATGTTAGCCAGGATGGTCTCCATCTCCTGACCTCATGATCCGCCCGCCTTGGCCTCCCAAAGTGCTAGGAATACAGGCGTGAGCCACCGCGCCTGGCCTACTGTATTGTTTTTTAGGTACCTAAGCTTAGCTTCCAAGGTGTACTCACATGGAATGTGTATCACTGAAAAGGTGAGAGACCGCCACTCTGACCCAGAAGTGTACTGGTAGTTGCTTACAACCAGCTCTCTGAAAAGAGAGCCCCGGTTTGCAGTGTTTGCCAATTTCCAAGGTGTAGATACTCCTAAGCTACCAACATGGCATCACTAGATACAGTGTTGAGAAGAGCTGGGCAGCAGCTACCTTGATCCAGTATTTCCACCAGACAGAGACAATATATACAAATTACCTCAAGAGCAGAGTAAAAGGTGGTAGAATGATTAGGAAGTGGTATGTTTGGAGTCTTTAGGACCTTTGTTTTGTTTTTGTTTTTTTTTTTGAGATGGAGTGTCGCTCTTGTTGCCCAGGCTGGAGTGCAATGGCGTGATCTCAGCTCACGGCAACCTCTGCTTCCCGGGTTCAAGCAATTCTCCTGCCTCAGCCTCCCGAGTAGCTGGGATTACAGGCGTGCATCACCACGCCCGGCTAATTTTTTGTATTTTTTAGTAGAGACGAGGTTTCTCCATGTTGGTCAGGCTGGTCCCGAACTCCCAACGTCAGGTGATCCACCGGTCTCTGCCTCCCAAAGTGCTGAGATTACAGGCATGAGCCACTGCGCCCAGGACCTTTGCTTTTAAAGTTAATTTATTGTCAGTTTATGTAATTTAATTCTTAATAATGGCTGTGTTTAACACTTGGCCCAGAGTTCCTGGAAATTTGGCAGTTCTCTCTTGCAGGCCACTGTGAGCTGGCTCCAGTATACCACTGCTCTTAGTCTTCACCTGTTTCCAAAAACATTGTTTGGGGGCGGGTTTCGTGAGGAGGCTTAAAGAGCCATGAGAAAGGGAGGACCCAGCAGTGACTCCCTGGCTAGGGGTGGGGCTTTGTGTTGGGCATCAGGGCCCTAATGCCCTGTTTACCCAGTGGCCCGCCAGCCTGATCCTCACAGCCAAGGAGCATCCTGACCTACAGTACAGCATCAGTGTGAGCTTTTGTGTATTTGAAGATCTTCCTTGGTTCAGGCGCTTTCTGCAAGTCACTCGAACACCGCTTCATCTGACCACACCCGCTCCCAATTTAAAGAAGATCGTTGATACACTGTTAGCCCTATAACTCTGGCCTTTTTCTTTTAAACCACTCTCTACAAGAGATGATTATCACTTGCATGTGAGTTTCTGCATTTCTGCCATCTCTCCTTCTCTACTGGAAGCTCTGGGAGGGCCGTGTCAGTCTTATCCACCTCGAATACCCAGTTCCTGGTGGGTGATCAGCATATAGCAGACACTCAGTGAATATTTGTTGAAGGGGAAGGGCCTGAGAGTGGACAGAGAGACACAGGCAAGGGAGAGGGAGGAAACAAAGGGGAGGGAGAAAAACAGCCAAAAGAGTTCATTTAACTTGAGTTTGTCTGTCCAAGAGGAATGAGCCATTGGGAATATACTGGATACCATTGAATACTTCCAGCTGCAAAGGATTTATCAGTGAGGAGCTCTCAGCTGCTAGTGGCAGAGACCTGATTTAAAATCAGGCTTGGCTGGGCATGATGGCTCACCCCTAGACTCCCAGCACTTTGGGAGGCTGAGGCAGGAGGATTGCTTGAGCCCAGGAGTTTTTTGAGACGAGTCTGGGCAATACAGTGAGACCGCGACTCTACAAAAAAATAAAAATAAAAGAATTAGCTGGTCATGGCAGGCACGGTGGCTCATGCCTGTAATGCCAGCACTTTGGGAGGCCGAGATGGGCGGATCACGAGGTCAGGAGATCAAGACCATCCTAGCTAACACGGTGAAACCCCCGTCTCTACTAAAAATACAGAAAAATTAGCTGGGCGTGGTGGTGGGCACCTGTAATCCCAGCTACTCAGGAGGCTGAGGCAGGAGAATGGTGTGAACGCGGGAGGCGGAGCTTGCAGTGAGCCGAGATCGCGCCACTGCACTCCAGCCTGGGCGACAGAGCAAGACTCCATCTCAAAAAAAAAAAAAAAAAAAAAAAAAAAGAATTAGCTGGTCATGATGGTGTGCACCTGTAGTCCTAGCTACTCAGGAGGCTGAGGCAAGAGGATCCCTTGAGCCCAGGAGTTGGAGTTGGAGGTTGCAGTGGGCTCTGATTGTGTCACTGCACTCCAGCCCAGGTGATGGAATGAGATCCTGTCTCAAAAAGAAAAGTAGAAAATCAGGCTTCAGGCTGGATTACACCTGTAATCCTAGCACTTTGGGAGGCTGAGGCGGGTGGATCACCTGAGGTTAGGAGTTCAAGACCAGCCTGGCCAACACGGTGAAACCCCATCTCTACTAAAAATACAAAAATTAGCCAGGCGTGGTGGCGGGTGCCTGTAATCCCAGCTACTTGGGAGGCTGAGGTAGGAGAATCGCTTGAACCCAGGAGGCAGAGGTTGCAATGAACCAAGATCACGCCACTGCACTCCAGCCGGGTGACAGAGCGAGACTGCCTCAAGAAAAAAAAAGGAAAGAAAATCAGGCTCCAACAATAAGAGAAATATATTACCTCATGTAACAAGAAGCCCCAAAGTAGAGTGGCTGCAGGTTGGTGTAAACTCTGCCCTCAGGCCAGGGCCCCCATGGTTGCCAAAGAGCATCACCTGGATATGGTAATGTCCTGCCGAGAGAGCATCAGTTGCTTTCTATGTGGCTCTTTTTAGGAGTAAGCCAATCTCTCCCAGATGTCACATGCCCTGTCCTAATCCAAGTCCCTCAGGGCACTGGAATGACCAGAGGCTCTCAAAGTGTGGTTCCCCAGACCAGCACCATCAGCCTAACCCGAGAGCTTGCTAGAAACTGTGGAAGGAGTGAGGAGTAATCTTCAAGAGATAAACACTTAAACTCACCTGGGGCTCTCCTAAGAAGGAGTGAGGATGCTGATGGGGCATTGATGGGGTTGAACCATCCTCGGTGACTCGTGCTTAGATGAGAGATTTGCATCCACTGGCTTTAACCAGGGCCATGAAGTGGACAGAGCTCAGAGTCCTGTAATGCGAAGCGGAGGTACCCAGGCAGGCTGATGGCCGGCCTCATGCTTGGCCCTCCCCACCTTTGCTTCTCTCCTTCCCGCCAGCTACCAGAGATTCACTGACTGCTATAAGTGCTTCTACCAGTTGCAGCCTGCGATGACACAGCAAATCTATGACAAGTTTATAGCTCAGTTGCAGACATCTATCCGGGTGAGTGGCGGGAAGCCTGGCAGGTGCTGTTGACTTGGGTTCTGTCTCCAGATTGTCAGTCCCCTGAGGGCAGTGGCCCCACCCTCTACACCTCTGTCTCCTCAGCCCCTAGAGCTGTCCTGGGTGCCCAGCAGGCTGCAGCATCCATCGTCACTCCCCTCCAAATGATGCGGGTATCTTAGATGCAGCCTTTGCTCACTGTCCTGTATTGTGATTATGTGTTTTATGTTGCCTGCTCTCTAGACCATGCAAACTCAGCAAAGGCTGATGGGGTCTTTTTTTTTTTTTAAGTCAGGATCTTGCTCTGTCACCCAGGCTTGAGTACAGCGGCATAATCACAGCTCCCTGCAGCCTCAAACTCTGGGCTCAAGCGATCCTCCCACCTTGGCTTCCCAAAGTGCTGGAATTACATGAACTACCAGCCTACAGGCTCTTTTTAAATATTTCCCACTTTAGGCCGGTACAGTGGCCTAAAATTTTAATTTTTTTCTTCCTTTTTTTTTTTTTTTTTTGAGACAGGGTCTGGCTCTGTCACTCAGGCTGGAGTGCAGTGGCGTGATCTCAGCTCACTGCAGCCTCTGCCTCCTAGGCTGAAGCAATCCTCCTACCTCAGATTCCAGAATCACTGGGACTGTAGACGTGCACCCCCACGCCTAGCTAAAAAGATTTTTTAAATAAAAATAAATAAATAAAACATTTTCCCCACTTTATATTTTATTTCCTTAATTATTTTTGTTTGCTTTTTTGAGGCAGAGTCTCATTCTGTTGCCCAGGCTATAGTGCAGTGGCGCAATCTCGGTTCACTACAACCTCCGCCTCCCAGGTTCAAGTGATTCTTGTGCCTCAGCCTCCCGAGTAGCTGGGATGACAGCTGAGTGCCACCACATCCAGCTAATTTTTTTTTTTTTTTTTAGTAGCGACAGGGTTTCACCGTGTTACCAGGCTGGTCTCGAACTCCTGGTCTCAAGTGATCCACCCACCTCGGCCCTCCCAAAGTGCTGGGATTACAGGCGTGAACCACGACGCCCAGCCTATTTTCTTAATTATAAAAGCCACATGTAGAAAAGTTGGAATGTCAGGGAAAGCATAAAGACCTAGAACAGAAATTAGCCAAAATCTTACCAAGTGCTGTCAGCAGTTTAGCATATTTTTGCCATGAGCTCATCTCGTGTCATTACAGCTCTTTCCTCCTTTCTCTTCAGGAGGAAATCTCTGACATCAAAGAGGAGGGGAACCTAGAAGCTGTCTTGAATGCCTTGGATAAAATTGTGGAAGAAGGCAAAGTCCGCAAAGAGCCAGCCTGGTGAGAGTGGGGTGGGGAGGTGAGAAGGTACAGGAAAGAGGCAGCAATTAAGCTTTTTTTTTTTTTTTCTAGAGTCAGGGTCTCACTATGTTGGCCAGGCTGGTCACAAACTCCTGGCCTTAAGCTGTCCTCCCACCTTGACCTCCCAAAGTGCTGGGATTACAAGCTTGAGCCACAATGCCTGGACAGTTCAGCTTCTTGAAGGAGACTTTAAGACTGACCCAAGCAGGGAGTGGTGACTCATGCCTGTAATCCCAGTTATTCAGGGGGCTGAGGTGGGAGGATCACTTGAGACCAGGAGTTCAAGAGTTCAGAACCAGCCTGGGCAATATAGTGAGACCCTGTCTCTAAAAAAAACTTTTAAAAGGCTGACCCTGTGTCCACCATATCCATGAGACTCTGGGCTTGTTGCCCCTGAGAGAGAACCTTTTGACAGGGACAAGTAGAGCAGACAGACACCAAACAGTAAGCGAAAACTGTTGTACCGCATAGTTCCCTTCAGGGGAGGAGAGCCCCAGGTAAGCCATGTTGTTGAGGGGATTAGGGAGGGAAGTAGTTTGAGGCCAGACTGAAGAAGCCTTCCTGAGGGAGCTCATTTTAGGGTCTGTTGGTCCTGTGGGAGAAAGGGTGGGTGGGGGGAGTGGGAGGAGGCAGAATCGTGAGGTTTGGAATCACCATGTACATCTTACAGGTGTAGATGAGGCTGGTGGGGCAACTGGTTTTTATACATTTGTTCATTCAACAGGTTAGGGAGCACCTACTATATGATCGATATTGTTTTTTTTTTCTATTTTTTTTAAGACAGAGTCTTGCTCTGTTGCCCAGGTTGGAGTACAGTGGTGTGATCTTGGCTCATTGCAACCTCCACCTCCTGAGTTCAAGCAATTCTCCTGCCTCAGCCTCTTGAGTAGCTGGAATTACAGGCCCCCACTACCATGCCTGGCTAATTTTTGTATTTTTAGTAGAGATGGGGTTTCACCATGTTGGCCAGGCTGATCTCGAACTCCTGACCTCAGGTGATCCTCCTGCCTCGGCCTCCCAAAGTGCTGGGATTAAAGGTGTGAGCCCTCGCGCCCAGCCTCGATACTGTTTTAGATGCCAGAAACTTAGCAGTGAACAAGACAGACCAAATACCTGCTCTCCTGGAGCTGACATTTCAGCAGCAGCCGGCTACCTGGTACACCAAGTGCAAGGTGGAGAAGTGGGGCCTGGGATGAGCCGTGGAGAGCAGGGGCCAGCAAGACCCCAGCAGCTGAGCCCCTGCCTCCTGCAACCCTCCCTCCCTTAGAATCCTAGGCCAGAGGGAGTAGAAATCTTTTTTGTAATTTCCAATTTTTAAAAATGCTCTGTGACCTTAATACTTAAGAGAATTAAGTTTCACAACTGAAAAAGAATTTTTTTTTTTTTTTGAGATGGAGTCTCACTCATTTGTCCAGGCCAGGCTAGAGTACAGTGGTGCGATCTCAGCTCACTGCAACCTCAGCCTCCCGGGTCCAAGCGATTCTCCTGCCTCAGCCTCCCGAGTAGCTGGGATTACAGCGCCCGCCACCACACCTGGCTAATTTTTGTATTTTTAGTAGAGATGGGGTTTCACCATGTTGGCCAGGCTGGTCCCAAACACCGGACCTCAGGTGATCCACCTGCCTTGGCCTCCCAAAGTGCTGAGATTACAGGCATGAGCCACCGCGCTCAGCCATTGAAAAATAATTTTTTTTTTTTTTTTTTTTTTTTGAGACAGAGTCTCGCTCTGTCTCTCAGGCTGGAGTGCAGTGGCGCGATCTTGGCTCACTGCAAGCTCCGCCTCCTGGGTTCACGCCATTCTCCTGCCTCAGCCTCCCAAGTAGCTGGGACTACAGGCACCCAACACCATGCCCGGCTAATTTTTTGTATTTCTAGTAGAGATGGGGTTTCACCATGTTAGCCAGGATGCTCTCGATCTCCTGACCTCGTGATCTGCCTGCCTTGGCCTCCCAAAGTGCTGGGATTACAGGCGTGAGCCACCACACCTGGCCTGAAAAAGAATTTTTAAAGAACTCACAGTGCTTTCCACCTCTTGTGTAATCTTGCCTCCTCAGACTTGACTTTCCTTATCTTCCCAGATCAGCCAACACTTATGGGGGCCTCCCACAGTCTGGGCCCTCTGTCAGGAGCCACCCCCAACCTCTCAAGCTCACAGTCTGGTGGACTGGATGCACCAGCCGGGCACATGGTCACAAGGACAGAGGCAGGGGCTACAAAGTCACCCTGAAGTGTTCTGGATAGGGGAGTGTGTGTGGAGGAAAGGAGGGGAATGTGGGGTATGGTCGGGAAGGCTAAGATAGGGGCTGAAGTGAGAAGGGGGAGAGGTGGACCCCTAAGCATTGAAACCCAGGGAAAGGAAGTGTGCATTCCTACGAGGAACAGGTCTTGGGAGGTGAGAGGGACCACAGGAGAGACCTGGGAAGCCAGCCCAACTTGGGACAAGGTGGGCATGTCACCGAGTGTGGGCTTGGAAGCTGAACCTTCTTCCACAAGGGCCTTCCGCCTCCTTCATTCCTTGTGCCCCGTGTGGCCCTCCAGGCGCCCCAGCGGGATCCCAGAGAAGGATCTGCACAGTGTTATGGCACCCTACTTCCTGCAGCAACGGGACACCCTGCGGCGCCATGTGCAGAAACAGGAGGCCGAGAACCAGCAGCTGGCAGATGCCGTCCTGGCAGGGCGGAGGCAGGTGGAGGAGCTGCAGCTACAGGTCCAGGCCCAGCAGCAGGCCTGGCAGGTCAGTGTCCCAGCCTGCCTCTTCCTCTTCCTTCTCTAATGGGCCCTCTGAGATCCGCAAATTGGTGGCTTCCTCCATTCCAACACAGGGGACCCCCACAGGGGGTAGGAGAGCTTGCCCCCTGGGGAACAGTCATGAATTACCTCTCCTTGGGCGTGTGCAGTAGCCTCTGCCAGCCTCAGCAGACAGTCTCCCCCAGATCCTCCACCAGGCACAGGCATGTGTTCCCCTGATGGAGCAGGTGAGGACCCAGGCCCAGAGAGGGCAGGTGAGTCACCCAAGGTAACAGCGCCTCCACATCAGATTTGGAGTTAAAACCTGGTGCTGGTTCTACTGCTCCATGTGACCACTGCCCAACATAGATATATATATTCTAAACCCGGTATATGGTAGGGGGATGGGAAGAGAACAAGAACAGAGGATGAGACAGTATTTTTTAAAATTGATACATCATATTTTACATATTTAGGAAGTACATGTGATATTTTGCTACATGCATAGAACGTGCAGTGATCAAGTCAGGGTATTTGAGGTGTTCATCACTTTGAGTATTTATCATTTCTATGTGTTGGGAGCAATTCAAGACCTCTCTTCTAACTACTTTGGTTTTGGTTTTGTTCTGAGATGGGGGTCTCGCTATACTGCCCAGGCCAGTCTCGAACTCCTGGCCTCAAGCAGTCTTCCTGTCTCAGCCTCCTGAATAGCTGGGATTACATGTGCTCATCACTGCACAAGGCTCTTCTTAGCCACTTTGCAATATGGAGTACATTGTTGTTAACTATAGTTGCCTTACACTACTGTTGAACAGAATTTACACCTTTTACCTAACTGTATGTTTATGCCATTAAACTACCTCTCTTCATCCTCCACCCTTTCCCCCAGCCTCTGTTAACTATCATTCTACTCTTTACCTTTATGAGATCAACTTTTCTCTGCATCCTCACCAGCATGTTATTTTTTGTCTTTTTTTTTTTTTTTTTTTAGACAGAGTCTCACTCTGTTGCCCAGGCTGGAGTGCAGTGGCACGATCTCAGCTCACTGCAACCTCCACTTCCCAGGTTCAAGCCATTCTCATGCCTCAGCCTCCTGAGTAGCTGGGATTCCAGGCATGAGCTGCCACACCCAGCTAAATTTTGTATTTTTAATAGAGATGGGGTTTCACCATGTTGGCCAGGCTGGTCTCAAACTCCTGGGCTCAAGCAATTCACCCACCTCAGCCTCACAACGTGCTGGGATTACAGACTTGAGCCACCACACCTGGCCCCAGAAATGTTCTATTTCAACTTTGTTTTTGAGACAGTCTTGCTCTGTTGCCCAGGCTGGAGTGCAGTGACATGATCTTGGTTCACTGCAACCTCCGCTTCCTGGGTTCAAGTGATTCTCCTGCTTCAGCCTCAGCCTCAGTCTCCCGAGTAGCTGGGATTACAGGTACCTGCTGTGACGCCTGGTTAATTTTGTATTTTTAGTAGAGACGGGGTTTCACCATGTTGGCCAGGCTGGTCTTGAACTCCTGGCCCCAGGTGATCCACCTGCCACAGCTTCCCAAAGTGCTGAGATTACCCACTGTTTGTTCTTGACACCTTTGCCGACAATCAGTTGGCCATAAGTATATGGATTTATTTCTGAGTCTGTATTCTGTTATACTATTGGTTATGTGTCTGTTCTTATAACAGTACCATGCTGTTTTGGTTACTAGAGCCTTGTACAATTTGAAGTCAGGTACTGTGATGCCTCCAGCTTTGTTCTTTGTGCTCAGGATTATTTTGACTATCTGCCATTGCCCAATATTTAAATAACGTGTATATTAGAATGACTTGTAGAGCCTTCACACATCTAACACATATCCTCCATGCCACAATTGTGTGTCCTTTGAGGGCGAACTTAACTTTTGAAAGTGGCCCGACATCACTTGGGGCCACATTGGGTGAAGAAAGGAGAAGATGATGATCAAGCTGAATGACACAGTAGCAGCTTGGCTGCACCACAATGAGACAGATTTTCCTATGGGCTCAAAGTGCATTTCCAAGAGAAGCTTTCTAGTAGGGCTCAAGTGGCGGCATCTCTGTCGAACTCTCTCCATCCTTCATGTCAGTATCCAATGTACATCTACTTATAGCCACTTGACAGCCCCCTTCCTGGGGCAAACACTCATATTCCTGAGGGATACAGGTCCCCAAATTTATGGCTCCTGGATCTCCCTGGTCTTCTCTTCCCAATACCAGTTAGCTGTAGCCTGAAGGCCCTGCTGCAGCTTGGGAAGGGCCCCGGCTGGGAGGCAGTGACAAGTGGAAGGCCGGCAGCCGCTCTGCTCCCTACTGTCCCCACTCCCTCTGCTCTCCCCACATCACAGACTGGCCTGGGGGACTGGGCAGCAGGCGCGAAAGTGGTGGTGACAAAGGCCCCCCCCCCAAGCCTGGTGCCATCTTGCAGGGCACAGCTCCGAGTTGTGTCTTGGGCACTCCCAGGGCCCCCTGCTGAGTCCTCAGGCAAGGCGCTGCTCCACTATCGCCACTCAGTCACCATGAGGCCATGGGTCACTCCTGTCTCTGGGTCCTGGCTTCCAAATTGGCTAGATAATGATCCCAGGGCCTCACCAGCTCTGAGATTCAGTGCTATCCTAAGAGGAACAAAGCCCCCTGCTCTTAAAGCCATGCCCCACCCATTCCAGCTACAGACCCTCACGTTGTTTGACATGGGCAATTTCCATGTCTGTAACTCAACTGAAAGTGTACTTAATTCAAGAAAGTTTCTCGCTAGAAAGCTCTGTTGAGGTCAGAGGATTGAAGGGCCACTTTGGGGACCCTTGCTGAAGATGATGGGCTCTGCTCTGGGGATGCCCAGCCTAGGTGGTCACAGAACCCAGCTTGCTATAAATACTTGCCGAATGGTGGGGACTTCCTGATGTGCCTTCATCCTAACATGCTCTGCAGGGCCCATGACTTAGCCACAGACTCCATCCATATTGTCCTGGGGGAAACCCCAGGCCTGGAGTCAGGGACAGTGGAGGGCAAGGATTTGGGTTTTCTTAGATCCCAGTTTGTCTGTTGTCTCCCATTGATTTCAGGCTCTACACAGAGAACAGAGGGAGCTGGTTGCTGTGCTGAGGGAGCCTGAGTGAGGAGACCGCCAGCCCCAGAAGCAGAGGGCAGTCAAGGTCAAGAGCCTGTGGTCCAGCATGCCTGGCCTGGGCGGGCTACCTCTGAGAACGGCTGAAATGGTGCCCAGTCCATCAGCAGTGATGGAATTTGCTGGAGGACTAGGCCAGAGCAAGCCTCACTGCCACTGTGCCTTTGGGGCACCCTTGGGGTTGGACATACACCCCCTTTAGATTCCTCTGTTTCTTCTACCTGGATAATTCTTGGCCATGTTCTCTCTTCTCTAGGTTCAGGTCAGCTCTGCCCCTCCGCCCCCCTCCTGCTGGTTCCCCAGCCCTTTTCCCTGGCCCTGGCTTGGAGAATCTGTTTTCAATCTCCACTGATTGCCCCCTTGCTGGCCAGCCCAGGGGCCTTTACCATGTTCTCTCCACATCCGTAAATAAACTTCCTTCACTACACTGTAATCTGTGAGCATGCTTCCTCTGCCCTGGCCTCTCTTGGGCCAAGACCTGCTCCTGGGCTCCCAAATGCTGGCTCCAGTCAAGGCTTCAGTCGTGGTCCTCTGGGAGCATCCAGGCTGGGGTGGTTTGGCAAGGGGCTTACTAGACCATCATGTGCAGAGAGCAGCAGAGCCCCTTGTACAAAAACCAGGACCCCTGGGTTCCCTGTGGATAGGATGAGCTGCCAAGGAGATGTCACTCTTGGCACCCTCCAAGAATCATTACGGCCGGGTGCAGTGGCTCATGCTTGAAATCCCAGCACTTTGGGAGGCCGAGGCGGGTGAATCACCTGAGGTCAGGAGTTCGAGACCAGCCTGGCCAACATGGTGAAATCCTGTCTCTACTAAAAATACAAAATTAGCCAGGCATGGTGGCATGTGCCTGTAATCCCAGCTACTCGGGAGGCTGAGGCAGGAGAATCACTTGAACCCGGGAGGCGGAGGTTGCAGTCAGCCAAGATTGCGCCACTGTACTCCAGCCTGGGCAACAAGAGTGAAACTCCATCTCAAAAAAAAATACAGAATTAGCCAGGCATGGTGGCGTGTGCCTGTAGTCCCAGCTACTCAAGAGGCTGAGGCAGGAGAATCACTTGAACCTGGGAGGCAGAGGTTGCAGTGAGCCGAGATCGCACCATTGCACTCCTGCCTGGGCGACAGAGCGAGACTCCGTCTCAAAAAAAAAGAACCGCGAGCACTTTGTTTCTCTTGCTTCTTCCACTTCACTCTTCTTCAGCCAGGGCAGCCAAAGGCAGGATGGGTGCTTCCCGGATCCACCAGAGGGGGAAAGGGGTTGGGCGTGTATGGGGGCAGAACTTTTCCCTAGTGAGAGCCTTGGTGAGGTCTGCTGGAGGCACACTGGGGACACAGGCAAGCATCAGGTGGTCCCAACTTCCCACCCCCCTCCCATAAACGGCACTTGGCTCAGTCTCCCTCTGCCCACCTTGTCACCATGGAGCTGTGGCATTCAAGCATCCAAATGCCCTGCTTCTGTCAGGCCTGCCCCGTCGGGTGCTTTGTTTACTTGTCAGGTTGGGCAGATGGTCTCAAGCCCTGGTTGGTGGGTGGGTGAGTGAGGAGACAGGTTAGACAGGGGAAGGTCCCAGGACATGTCTTCCCTCTCTGGGCTGACCTGAGGCAGTGGAGGCTCTCAGGTGTGGGATGGGGTTTTCAGGCTGGGATGTTCTGTACCGTAGAGGATAGGCCTTCCTATTACTTATCGGAGCACTACGGGAGGGCAGGTCCCTCCCCAGGGTGTTTAACACTGGAGGCTGCAGGGTCAGGAGGAGAATCGTGGGGCCAGGAGGGCAGAGGCACACTCCATCTTCGTGCTCCTCACAGGCCCTGCCTCCCTGCCTGCTAAGGACACAGGGAAGGGGGTCCCCACCTCAGTGCCTGCCTCCCTTCCCTGTGCCTGTGTACCTGGCAGTCACAGCCACCTGGCGTGTCCCAGAAACCAACCGGCTGACCTCATCTCCTGCCCGGCCCCACCTCCATTGGCTTTGGCTTTTGGCGTTTGTGCTGCCCGACCCTTTCTCCTGTCCGGATGCGCAGGGCAGGGCCTGAGCCGTCGAGCTGCACCCACAGCAGGCTGCCTTTGGTGACTCACCGGGTGAACGGGGGCATTGCGAGGCATCCCCTCCCTGGGTTTGGCTCCTGCCCACGGGGCTGACAGTAGAAATCACAGGCTGTGAGACAGCTGGAGCCCAGCTCTGCTTGAACCTATTTTAGGTCTCTGATCCCCGCTTCCTCTTTAGACTCCCCTAGAGCTCAGCCAGTGCTCAACCTGAGGCTGGGGGTCTCTGAGGAAGAGTGAGTTGGAGCTGAGGGGTCTGGGGCTGTCCCCTGAGAGAGGGGCCAGAGGCAGTGTCAAGAGCCGGGCAGTCTGATTGTGGCTCACCCTCCATCACTCCCAGGGGCCCCTGGCCCAGCAGCCGCAGCTCCCAACCACAATATCCTTTGGGGTTTGGCCTACGGAGCTGGGGCGGATGACCCCCAAATAGCCCTGGCAGATTCCCCCTAGACCCGCCCGCACCATGGTCAGGCATGCCCCTCCTCATCGCTGGGCACAGCCCAGAGGGTATAAACAGTGCTGGAGGCTGGCGGGGCAGGCCAGCTGAGTCCTGAGCAGCAGCCCAGCGCAGCCACCGAGACACCATGAGAGCCCTCACACTCCTCGCCCTATTGGCCCTGGCCGCACTTTGCATCGCTGGCCAGGCAGGTGAGTGCCCCCACCTCCCCTCAGGCCGCATTGCAGTGGGGGCTGAGAGGAGGAAGCACCATGGCCCACCTCTTCTCACCCCTTTGGCTGGCAGTCCCTTTGCAGTCTAACCACCTTGTTGCAGGCTCAATCCATTTGCCCCAGCTCTGCCCTTGCAGAGGGAGAGGAGGGAAGAGCAAGCTGCCCGAGACGCAGGGGAAGGAGGATGAGGGCCCTGGGGATGAGCTGGGGTGAACCAGGCTCCCTTTCCTTTGCAGGTGCGAAGCCCAGCGGTGCAGAGTCCAGCAAAGGTGCAGGTATGAGGATGGACCTGATGGGTTCCTGGACCCTCCCCTCTCACCCTGGTCCCTCAGTCTCATTCCCCCACTCCTGCCACCTCCTGTCTGGCCATCAGGAAGGCCAGCCTGCTCCCCACCTGATCCTCCCAAACCCAGAGCCACCTGATGCCTGCCCCTCTGCTCCACAGCCTTTGTGTCCAAGCAGGAGGGCAGCGAGGTAGTGAAGAGACCCAGGCGCTACCTGTATCAATGGCTGGGGTGAGAGAAAAGGCAGAGCTGGGCCAAGGCCCTGCCTCTCCGGGATGGTCTGTGGGGGAGCTGCAGCAGGGAGTGGCCTCTCTGGGTTGTGGTGGGGGTACAGGCAGCCTGCCCTGGTGGGCACCCTGGAGCCCCATGTGTAGGGAGAGGAGGGATGGGCATTTTGCACGGGGGCTGATGCCACCACGTCGGGTGTCTCAGAGCCCCAGTCCCCTACCCGGATCCCCTGGAGCCCAGGAGGGAGGTGTGTGAGCTCAATCCGGACTGTGACGAGTTGGCTGACCACATCGGCTTTCAGGAGGCCTATCGGCGCTTCTACGGCCCGGTCTAGGGTGTCGCTCTGCTGGCCTGGCCGGCAACCCCAGTTCTGCTCCTCTCCAGGCACCCTTCTTTCCTCTTCCCCTTGCCCTTGCCCTGACCTCCCAGCCCTATGGATGTGGGGTCCCCATCATCCCAGCTGCTCCCAAATAAACTCCAGAAGAGGAATCTGTGGGCCTGTGAGTCTGTCCAGTTTATGGAGTGTGGGAGGGAGGTGTCAGGAGGATGGGGGTGAGGAGGTTTTACCTTCTTCAGTTCTAGAAAGTGCTTTCCAAAGTTTTATTTTTTTATTTGTACCTGCCTTGTTCCAGAAAACGTTGAAGGTGGCTTCCCAAAGTCTAACTAGGGATACCCCCTCTAGCCTAGGACCCTCCTCCCCACACCTCAATCCACCAAACCATCCATAATGCACCCAGATAGGCCCACCCCCAAAAGCCTGGACACCTTGAGCACACAGTTATGACCAGGACAGACTCATCTCTATAGGCAAATAGCTGCTGGCAAACTGGCATTACCTGGTTTGTGGGGATGGGGGGGCAAGTGTGTGGCCTCTCGGCCTGGTTAGCAAGAAGCATTCAGGGTAGGCCTAGGTTAGTCGTGTTAGTTCTTCCCTGTGCTGAGCAGAGACTTCCAGAAGCACCAGAAACGGAGCCAGATGAAAGGACCCCAACACCTCCCCCCGCCAACCTTTGACAGAATATAGGGGCATCTTCAGCCTGGACACGCATGCATCTCCCCTCTCAGACCCTCAGCACTTCTTCCACTCCCATCAAGAGCCCCCTCACGGTCCCTCTCACACTCTGCCAGTCCCCCTAGACACCCCTCCTCTTCTCTGCCCTCTCTCCTGTGCCCTCTCTCCTCAGCCCCTGTTGGTTCCAGGCTGAGATGCGTCCCCACCTGATTAGGCCCAAATCTGGGCTCCTCGTCAGCACTGGGGCCTGGCCTCTGCCCCCTCCAGGACAGGGTCAGGGATGGGGCCTCACTGTTGTTTGGCCTGGGTACCCCCCTCCAGTGGGCCACCCTGCAGCAGAGGGCATGTACTGGGGGCCCGAAGCAGGGTGGCTGTGAAAGCAGCAATAATGAGTAGGTTCCCAGCTGCAGCCAAGACCAGTGTGGCCACTGTGCCTGCCAGGCCCAGGGCAGGTTCCTGTGTGGCCAGCCAGGCTCTGCGTGATCCCATATCAGCCAGCACTGCCTCCAGCTGGAAGTGGGTGCCCAGCACTGCACAGATGTGGAATAACTGGTGGCTGTGGCCTGTGGAGAGGATGGGCAGGTCAGAGCCACACCTTTCCCAGTGCAAGTCACCCCATCCTCTGGGCCTGCTACTCCCCCATAAATTGAGAATAAGAAACCCTGACTCCCAGAGTGACTGAAAGGAATGAATGAGCATGTGTGCATGTGGCCCCAGCACACATGCTACTAGTTTTGCTACCTGAGAAGTGGCAGGTGGAGGACCCTTCCAGTGATGCTCTCGTTATAGGAAGACAGGGAAGTCCCTCCTATAATTTGCCTCCATCCTGGGGCTGTAATACCCATTTACCCAGTTCATTCTGTGCTCTGGGAAGGCATCTGCCCCTGCCTCTTCCCGGGCCGGGCCAGGCGTGCCCTCACCGATGTAATCAAAGCGTCCTGGTGCCAGCCTTTCAGGCAGGTGGGAGGCGAAGAGGAAGCCAGTGAGCAGCGCGCAGAAGAGATGGTAGCCATGGCTGGTGCTCAGGGCCTCCTGCCCACAGCCGTGGCCCCTGCCCCAGCACAGCCCGAGCTGTCAAAGGAAAACCAAGGCTGCTGGGGAGGGACTCGGGAGCCGAAACATGGGGTGTGTCTGGGATCTGGTGAGGACGCAGAGCGGGCGGGCACAGCTAGGCGGGGTGCTGGACCCCAAGAGAGGCGGCTGGGCTGAGGCAGGGACTGAGGGGGCAGGGCTGGAAGTGGGCACCTTGAGGGTCAGGACAGGAAAGCAGGAGTCTGGGCAGGGGCCCTAGGCCTCCTTACCCGATAAAAGAGTGGGAGGTTGTCGAACAGGAATGGATAGGCGAAGGCTCCTGTGCGGAGGACCTTACTGAGCCCAGGGCTTTCCAGCTCCAGGAAACTGGGAGGCGGGAGGAAAAGGCCGGTCACCATCGCTGTGCTTGGGGTAGGGGTCAGAGAAAGGCAAGAGGACTTGGGCAAAGATGGAATATCAGCACAGCCTGCAGCTAAGAAAACCGTTAGGGCATATGACCTCCTGTGTAAAGGACCACATCTGTATGTGGGGATAAAGGGTCTGACAGAGGAAGTCCTCAGTACATGGTCCCGATGCCTCCAGTGCTGTTCGAGAGCAGTGAGGTGTGTCCTCTCCTGTGCCTCCGCCTTCCCCGTCCCCACTGGAGGGGCCTGGGAACCCACCGGGAGTAGCAGGAGAGGCCGGTGCACAGGAAGGAGTTGAGTGCGGCGGCAGGCACAAAGAACTGGTGCAGGTGGCCGTGCAGCCAGGAGGCCGGCATGGAGTAGGCGGCATAGGGGAAGGCGCAGCCTGCGGTGAGGTGGGGGCGTGCAGCTGAGGCCTGAGGGGCGCGCCCCTATGTCCCGCGTCCCACCCCTCGCCCCGCTCCGGGACGCCCAGACCCCGCGCTCCCGCGCCTGTCCGGCTCACCCAGACTGTAGAGGCTGAGCGCGCCGTAGTCGAGGAAGTAGCAGATGTGGCGCATGCGGGGCGACATGGAGCTGAAGGTGTGCGCGCAGCACGACGCGAAGGGGTAGAGGCAGGCGGGCAGCAGGAAGACCAGCAGCGGCCAGTGGTACGGCTCCGCACGGAAGCCGGGGCCGCCCGCCAGCGCCAGGAGCCGCCACAGGAAGTACCTGCGGCGGGCGCGTGCTCAGGCCGCCGCGGACCCCCGCGACTGCCGCTGCAGCCCGTGGGCCTGGACGGTCCCTGCCCGCCTGGGTACCCCCTCTGAGCTCAAGGCCGCGGCCTGGGGCGGAGCCTCCCCTCACCAGGTGGGCAGGAAGTGAGTCCAGATGTTGACCGTCTCGTTGGTCATCTGGAAGGAGCTGAGGACACAGTCCAAAGCCGAGCTGGTGGGGCGGCGGTAGCCAGACATGATGCCATCTTCCCAGAACACCTAGGGTAGTGGTGGGAGAGGAAGGGCGTCACTGTGCCCGGACCCTTTCCCTCCATCTGAGATCTCTGGAAGCAGGGTCAAAGAGGCTGGGCTGGAGATCAACGTGGCCCCCAAGCCAAACTAAATCTGATCTGATGTTACCACAGGTCCCAGTACCCACAACCCACAAAACAAATAGGAAACCGAAGAGCCAGATTGGGGTGGGATGGGGGTGGAGCGCAGCACACAGGGCGCTCTGGGGAAGGGGACTCCAGATGGAGGGCCACAAGCTTGTTCCTCAGAGAACAGAGGAAGAGTCTCACACTGGAATGGGAGGGTAAGAGTTCGCCTGCAGGAGGGGCTGCCCCAATAGCTAAAAGAGAAGAACGTCAGCCCCTAGTCAGTCCTCTAGGGAATGGGGGTTGGTGGGTCAGTGGGTGGAGCCCCTCACCCGGGGGACCTGGTGGACTTGAAGAAGTTGGGGCAGCTTGAGACTGAGCATGGTGGCCTGGTACCTCCACGTTGACCTAGAGACAGAGTGGGAGGTAGGGGATCAGATAACTGCCCCCATCCACAGGCCCCTTTCACCTGGGTTCAGCCGCAGGATGGGCTGTGCGTGTGGGAGGCAGATGGCACCCTCCCTCCTGGAGCTGCTTCCTTCAGGCCTGGGGAAGCTGGTCCACCTTCCCCAGCCCTTGCACCACTTAACTCCAACCCCTGTTCTCCTTGGGGCATTCAGTCCCCACACTGAGGGGCTTGGCGGCCTCAGCCCAGCAAAGAGTGGCGGGGTCCTCCCAGCCGGGAGGCTGCCTCAAATAGTGATCCAGCCCCGCAGGCCCCAGTTTTTGTCTCAGGAAGAATCCTGACTCCTGGAGGCCAGCACAGAGACAGCCTGAGTACCACTCCCTTTCCCACCAGAATGTGCTTCGCCCACAGCGCCTGAACTGAGCACAGAACACTCTTGGCACTCCGAATCTCTGGAGAAGCCAGATGCCATCAGGTGGGACAAGGAGGTAGGGGGATGCCTGGCTTTTCTCTGAGGACTACACTTGTGCCCCCAGGAGAATTTTGGGGTCCCTGCCCCTCCTGAGCCCAGGTATCCCTCAGCCCCAGACCTGTGCACTGCCTCCGGGTGGCCGCAGCTCTGCTGCCCCGCCCGCCTCTCCCGGCACATTCCTTGGCACAAGTGGAGGGGCTGGGCCAGCTGGGCAGGCGGAGCCGCCCCAGGAGGAGGACTAGGACACTCCCCCCACCTCCCCAGGCCAAAACTTTGCAGCAACTCTATAACTTAGCCCCTCTTCTTGCCACCAGCTCTGCATCCATGTTTTTGCCGCATGCACTTTGGGGCTTGCACCAGCAGTCACTCCCCCAGCCTCTGCCCGAGATGGGTGCTGGAGACCCTGCTGGGCAAAGGCAAACCTGGCCCTAGTCCCTGCACCCCAGCAGAACAAAGATGGATGAGGGCCTCCCAGGGTATCCCTTGCTCGCTCCCACAAGTGGGATGGTCGGGGGTCTCCCCTACCCTGAGTGCTGCCCATCTATCTGGGGGAGGAGTGAGGAATACGCTGGGGTCTAGCTGCCCTCACGGTGCCTTCCCTTAGTAGTAGGGTTTGGAGATCTCTGGAGTGGAGTGTGTGCAGTTGCTATGGAAATGGGGGAGGGGTGGCTGGAGCAAGATGCTTTACCTCTATTTTCCCAGAAGAGCCCCAGAAGGTGAGCTTCCTTACCCAGAGCTTGGTGGGTGCTCCTAAGCTGGTGGGTCAACAGGCCCAGGGCTCCACGGGCGGAGTCCAAGGCTGCTGCCAGCCAGGCTGATGGAGGAAGAGTGGCCAGGCAGGCGGGCCAGGCCTGGGCGGGGAGTGGGGAGACAAAGGGGAGCCAGGGAACAATCCCAGCCTTGTCCAGCCTCCAGGGAGCAGCACGGGGTGGCCCAGCCCCATTAGCAGGCAGCTCACTCGGCCGCCTGCACACAGCCAGCTCCTCCAGCACGACCCAAACTCCCTGTGCTGACTGGCTAGAACAGGGTAGGGGCCCAAGGCAGGATGTGGCCATGGTGCTGTAGAGTCCCCCCGGCGACTCAGAGCAGTGTTCCCGTTCCAGGTTCTCCCAGCAGTTGGGGACAGCTCTGCCTTAGGCTGGCAGAGGAACCCAAATCCCCAAATGCAGAACAGATTTCAGAAGCCATCTCTCACCATGCTTTGCTGCCTCTTAGCACCTGGTGCTGCCTAGGGCTCAGAGCAAACTGCCTTTGGTAAATGTTGGTTCTATCATGGGGGATTCACCAGGCTCACCACCTCCCCCTCCCCCCCCCCCCCCCCCCGAATACAATTTGAGATGCCAATCCTTGCAGGACAGGCACTTGAGGACTCAGAGGCTGGTTTTTTTTTTTTTTTTTTTAAGGTGGAGTCTCGCTCTGTCACCCAAGCTGGAGTGCAGTGGCGCGATATTGGCTCACTGCAAGCTTCGCCTCCCGGGTTCACGCCATTCTCCTGCCTCAGCCTCCCGAGTAGCTGGGACTACAGGCACCCGCCACCATGCCCAGCTAATTTTTTTTTGTATTTTTAGTAGAGATGGGGTTTCACCGTGTTAGCCAGGATGGTCTCGATCTGACCTTGTGATCCACCCGCCTCAGCCTCCCAGTGCTGGGATTACAGGCGTGAGCCACTACGCCTGGCCAGAGGCTGGTTTCAAGGCTCACCTCCCCACCCCCTTGGGGAAGAGGACCCAGCTAGTGACAGCGAACCAACCCCAGGCAGCGATGTTGCTGGCAAGAGATTTTCACTATCACCCCTGCAAAGGCACCGCCTCAGTTTACAGTCAAGGAACTTGACAGTGCCTATCAAACCATCTCCAGGGCCTTCACTCAAATTGCCTGCTTCTTGTTCTGTTCCATCCACTTCAAAGAAGCCTTTCCAAAATGCATTTCAGGATGCCATCTTCAGTGCCCCACCCCCCAATGAAACTTCTGTACAGACAGGCACCAGGAGACAGGGATTGGGCTTGGGGGGTTTATTAAGTGATGCTTTAGTCTCAGTCTCTGCCAGCAACTGGGAGTGGGGTGACTCCACTCACCCCAGGATTTCCCAGACTTGCTATTTTAGAGGAGAGAGGCAGGAAGCCAACTATCCTCTAAGCCACAGCTTGGGAAGCTAGGCTAGTACTGGGGTGGGGGCAGCAGAGCTGAGACCCTCCACCCCGAGCCCCTAGCCTGTGCTATCCTCCCAGCCTGAGGGGGAGGAGCTGAGGCAATCCTGGCTGCAGCCTCCCACACACAGCCCTGCTCTTGGTGCGCCATTCACTGCCCTGAGCTATTCATGATCTCTGCTCCCAGATATTCACCTCAACACTCCAAAAGCCAGCCCCTTCAGGTCTTCAGTCCTGCGGAAGGCAAAAGGAGGGACGGGGGCCTCTGACTGAGCAGCTTCAAGGAGCCTCTCCTTTCTGCTGCCCACTGAATGCCGGCCCCTTGTCTTCAGCCCTCCCTTAGATAGGAAGGGGGGTGGTGGCCTCAGACTGCACCCCCTTTCTTCTCTTCCTGGCATCCCATTCTGTCCCAGCACAGCAGCCAAGAGCACAAAGCACAGCACCTGTGGGGCTGGTGGGCACAGGAGACCGTGCTGGCACAGGCCAGACTGCCTGCAGCCCTAGGTGGGGCCTGCTCCCTGCCCTGGAAGCTAGACAGAGGGAGACACAAAGCAGAAGTGGGGCAATGGGATGTGCAGCCCCTGCAGCAGGAGGAGGAGCACACGAACCCTGACCCTGCTACTCGGTGCAGGCCACTCCAGGCCTTGCTTCTCTAACAGCCCCTGTGGCTGGCTCCAGAGCTGCCTGGTCCCCATAAAGGGGGCTGAAAGGAGGATGGGTGATCCTTGAGGAGGGGAAGGGTCTGCAGAGAATCACTCAGACACCAGGTATTACCCAGCTCTTCCCCCAAGACCTAGAGGGTCCAAACTCCTGGCCCCAACCACCCTGCATCTTGGGTGAGGAAGAAGGGCCTCTTTTGCTGTTCCTTCCCCTCAGAGATCCAAGAACCCATTCCAGTGAAATGCAGGTACCCATGCCTACCACCTGCCCCTGGAGACAGCAGGGGAGCTGAGGCAGGAAGGCTGGCCAGGGGCCCACAAGACTCTCCTAATCCAAGCACTTTCCTCGCTTTCCTAACGTCTTGGCAACAAAGGGACCCCACCCTCCCAGCCGGCTCCTGGGCCCTCCCTGCAGCCTCTGAGCAGCTAGGCCTCCCTCCTGTGTGCGTGCATGAGTCTGCGTGTGGTGGGGTGACTACAGGTGCTGGTCCTGGCTGCCAGGGAGGGCAGGAGAGATCTGGAGTCAGCCCCACTGCAGGGCCTGGGGGTCAGTATCAACCAATTTCCTTCCACTGCTTGTAGAAGTCCAGAACATTCTTGATGTCCACACTGGCGTGGGCAGCGGCCTGCAGGGCTGCCTGTGGAATGGGAGAAGGAAAGATGGAGAGGGTCTGACCTCCTGAACTGAAGAGCAAATTGTTGAGGCGCTGGGGAAGGAGTGATGGAAGAGAAAAAAAGGTAGCTATGTGGAGGGTCTGGGGATGGAGTCTGCTCTGGTACCTCGTCCCTATTCCACACCATCCCCCCACCTCACCCATGACCCACCTGCATGGGGCCTGAAAGCACGCTGGGGTTGTCCAGTGGAAGGCCTGTGATGATGGTCACCATGCCACTCGGATCCTCCTCACCTGCCCCCTGGGCCAGAGTCAGCTGTTTGCAGCTGTCTAGGATCTTATAGAGAGTCCTGGGGATGGGGGGCAGAGGGGAAGATGGGCCAAGACCCAGCATTAGCACAGCCCAAACACCAGGATCTCCAGGGGACAGGGGCAGCTGGGGGCTGGGAGGGCAGTGAGCAGCAGTGGGCCCTGGAAGCTGGCCCTGGAGACATATGGGGAGCAGGCAAAGGTGCATTGAGGGAAAACACCAAGCCTGAGCATCGCAAGGCCCAAAGAGGCTGACCCATCTGCAGAGGAAAAGCTCAGGTGCTGCGGCAACTTCGTACTCCTCGCAAGGTGAGGCCTGCAGGAGGGCCCTGGCAGGCTACGTGTGGAGCCTCAGAATTATCCAGCCCTACCCGTTCTCCCTAGGAATGCTCGTGGAGGAGCAAGGCAGGTGGCCTGAGGTTCTAGGGGTGAGGGCTAAAATGTTACCAGGCATCTGCATCCTGCCTCTTCAGCTTATGCCGCTCAAAGCTCTTTCCCACCTCTTTCTGGCAGCGAATGTACCTGCAGAGGAGATGTGCGAGTGGAGGTCAGGAGCAGGAGACTGGCAGGGTGCCTTACACAAAGCAGTCTGTTGTGGCTCTGGGGGCCTGGTTTTGCAGGCGGGGCTGGGGAACATGTCTCTCCCACCACAGCTCTGGAGCCATTCTTAAGTGGCTTCCTGGCTGCTGGGCCCAGCTCACTTTTCCTCCTGATAACATCAATTATTTGGTTCCTCTCAGGGGAGGAGCTGGGAGGGGAGAAGCAGCAGATGCTTTTCAAGTCAGGGCTTCTGGAGACAAGGTCCGAACAATCAGACCTTGTGCAGCTTCCTGGCCAGCCAGAGCAGATGCAGAGGAGGGGGTGGGCCAGCTAGCAGGGAGAGGGAAGCTTTCTCCTTATTCCCTACACCCTCTGCCTAGTTCTCCTCCAGCCCCAAAGGCCAGAAGGGCAGGCCTGTACCGGCTGAGCATCTGCACATGCTGCCAGCTGCCCCTCCCTGGCTGGCTTCGGTCTTACCACTCCCTCAGCTCAGCAGGGAGGTGGGAAGCCCCTGGGCAGCCTGGATGAGGCCCTCACACTCTGAGAAACCTGATCACCTGTCCCAACCCCAAAGCAGGAGAAATTCCTATAAAGGAGTTCACAGTCTAAAGTTGGGGGAGGGAGGTCTGCTCCCTTCTCCCCAGTGGGTGCTGATCACAGGCTTGCCCCAGAGGAAGGACAGCAGCTCAGTGCTCCCCACAGGGCTCCTGATCCCTTTGGTCACCCTCTATTTCAGCAGCTACAACCTTGACTTCTAATTATCTCTGGTATCACTCCCCAGGCAGTGAGGTGAGCTAACTGTGAGTAGAGACGGGTATGTATGTGTCTTACCCATAGGGAGCAAGGGGCTTTCATAAGCATGTGTTATCCAAAAGACAGACCCAGGGCTCAGCACAGGTCCAGCCAGGCCACACTCACCTGTTTCCTTTTTTAAACTCTGCCTCCAGGTACCGAATCCCATCCCGGGCCCCTGGGTGTTCCTTCTTCAGCAAATCCAGGCCATCGATCACTGGTGGGCAAGGTAGGGAAAGACAAAACAGATAAGCTCAGACTGCTGTGACAAGGGGCTCTGGAGGAAGTATCTGAGCTCACCTCAGTACACTCTTCAGGCAGAGAAGGGACCCTGGCTCCCTAGAGGGCTCCCAAAGTTCTCTGAAAACATGACCTTCTGCCAGCAATATACTTGGCAATTTACCAAGTGCTTTCTCATTATATTCACTTACATTTTCTGTTTCTCCCAACTGTCTTGTAAGGCAGAATAGGGATTATGTCCATTTCACAGATGAAGTGACGGGTTCACAAAGGTAGTAAGACTTGACCAAGGTTACTGCATATAAACTGGGCCCCAAATAAGGTCTCTTAATCCCAAGCCCAGAATCTCTTTTAGTCATACTCTGTCTCCTTACCTCTCCAATGTACTTACCTGTCCTTGGGATGATGACAATGAAGCGGCCACTGGTGGCCAGTTGGCGGATGACAGGGAGATGGTGGCAGAGGGCCTGGGTGTCAGGGACGAGGTAGGGAGACATGGCTGACTGGGCCTTGGGCTGCTGCAGGCTGCCCTCCAGCTGAGACACTTCGAGCTGGTGAGAGAGGGCAAGGTGGGTACAGCTGTGGGGGACCCCTGCAGCCGGGCCGGGGGAAGAGTGGTGCTCAAGGTGGCTCTATGGGGCTCCTCCTGTTGTTAAGGGGATCAGAGGACCCTCTCTACCAATGGCTTTGGGGGAAAAGTAAACAGAAATAAGAGTTAAAGAGGGAGAGACAGAAATGAAGGCAGAAAGGAGGCAAATGGCTGAGTGAAGAGTGAGTAGTAAGGAGGGTCATCTGGGAGAGGCGGAGGGACACAGAGGCAACAGAGCAGGGGGACTACAGCGGAAGGGGGAGACCTGCCAGTAGGGTTGACACAAAAGCTCTACCAAGTGCAGAAGAAGCACTTGGGTCCTGATTTCCTACCTGAAGTCGTAGCTGAGCCATGTCTCTCATGAGCCTGTTCCGACGAGCTTCCTCCTGTGCCTATGAGGGAAAAAATGAGCTGTAAGGAGTTGGGGTGTATTTTCCCTTCTCCAGTGATCAGGAAGACCAAGAGGGTTTCCTGGGGTCTCAGTGTGACCTCATGCAAAGTCACTCTCTAGCACTGCTGCTGAATGAGGGGAGGAGAGGCATGGAAGAAAAAATATTCTTCCACTGCACTCTGAACAACTTCCATTACCAACCCGATGCAGGTCATGATGTTCCAGGCCCTGCAGGGGAGGGGAAGCAGACAGCCATGTGCCGTCACCATGCAGGACATCACCTGGCTGTGCCTCAGGATTCAATCTCTGCTCTTCTCAATCTGGTCTCCCTTCCCAGGAGATCCTACCCATGCACTTCCTCACCTTCTACCCCCATCCACTTGCCAAAATCTTCCAAATCTGCAGATTCAGCCCAGGCCTGACCATCCTGAGCTCCAGACCCACACATACAACTGCCTACTCAGCAGCCCCATCTGCTCCTCAGAACCTGCGTCTCTTCCTCTAGTGTTCCCTAGCCTAGTAAATAAACCAGTCTGCCCAAGTCAGAAAGCTCAGGGTTGGCTTTGAATCTTCCCTTTCTCTCAGCCCCAGAAGTTATCAGGTTCCCTGTCCTGTCAATTGTGCCCCCCTAAACAGCATGCAAATCCTTCCACCTCCACTGTGAAACCCTAGTCTAAGCCAACACCTCTCCTTGACTACTGTAACAACCACCGTACTGGTCTCTGCCTCTAATTCAATCCCTCTTCTCCACCTACAACCAAGGCAATCTTTTAAAAACCATCTGATGCCCATTATAGCCCTGCTTAAAAGTTTTCTGATGCCTTTCCTCTGTATTATGGGTAAAGCCCAAATTCCTTAGTATGGTCTATAAGATGAGGCTAAGGATGGGGACTTTATCCTGTAAGATATGGGGAGCCACTGAAGACTCTTTTTATTATGTTTTTCTTTTCTTTTGAGACAGGGTCTCACTATGTCACTCAGGCTGGAGTGCAGTGCCACAATTCCTGTTCACTGCTACCTCTGCCTCCCGGGCTCAAATGATCCTCCTGCCTCAGCCCCCCAACTAGCTGGGACTACAGGCACATGCCACCATGCCTGGCTAATTTTGGTATTTTTTGTAGAGACTGGGTTTCACCATATTGCCCAGGCTGGTCTCAAACTCCTGAGGCTCAAGCAATCTGCCCGCCTTGGCCTCCCAAAGTGCTGGGATTACTGGTGCGAGCCACAGCGCCCAGCCCACTGAAGACTCTTTGATGACCAAAGTGGCATCATCAAAGTGGTGCTTTAAAATATTAATCTTGGCCAGGCACGGTGGCTCACACCTGTAATCCCAGCACTTTGGGAGGCTAAGGCAGGCGGATCACCTAAGGTCAGGAGTTCGAGAGCAGCCTGGCCAACATGGCAAAACCCCATCTCTACTAAAAATAAAAAAATTAGCTGGGTGTGGTCACGGGCACCTATAATCCCAGCTACTTGGGAGGCTGAGGCAGGGAAAACTGCTTGAACCTGGACAGCAAAGGTTGCAGTGAGCCGAGATAGAGCCACTGTACTACAGCCTGGGTGACAGAGCAAGACTCCGTCTCAAAATAAATAAACAAAATAAAATAAAATAAAATAAAATATTAATCTTGGGGCCAGGCACAGTGGTTCACGCCTGTAATCCCAGCATTTTGGGAGACCGAGGTCAGGAGTTCGAGACCAGCCTGGCCAACATGGTGAAACCCTGCCTCTACTAAAAATACAAAAACTGGGGCCAGACACAGTGGCTCATGCCTGTAATCCCAGCACTTTGGGAGGCTGAGGCGGGTAGATCACGAGGTCAGGAGTTCGAGACCAGCCTGAGCAACATGGTGAAACCCCGTCTCTACTAAAAATATAAAAATTAGCCAGTCGTGGTGGCGAGCACCTGTAATCCCAGCTACTCGGGAGGCTGAGGCAGGAGAATCGCTTGAACCCGGGAGGCAGAGATTGTGGTGAGCCAAGATCACACCATTGCACTCCAGTCTGCACAACAAGAGCAAAACTCCGTCTCAAAGAAAATGAATAAATAAATATACAAAAATAAAAATAAAAATTAAATAAAATATTAATCTTGGGGCCAGGCACAGTAGCTCATGCCTGTAATCCCAGCAATATGGGAGGCCGAGGCAGGAGGACTGCTTGAGTTCTGGAGTTTGGGACCAGCCTCAGCAACATAGCAAGATCACATTTCTACAAAAAAAAGTATATTTTTTTTATTTTAAAAATCAGTCAAGCTTGGTGATGCATGCCTGTAGTCCTAGCTACTCAGGAGGCCGAGGCAGGACAATTGCTTGAGGCCAGGAGTTCAAGGCTGCAGTGAGCTATGGTCATGCCACTGCACTTCAGCCTGGGTCAACAGAGCAAGACCCTGTCTCAAAAAAAGAAAAAAAATTCTCATTCTCATCATGAGACCACATCACACAAACCCAAATTGAGGGACACTATGAAATAACTGACCAGTACTCTTCGAAAGTGTCACATCAGGAAAGAAAAGGAAAAACTGAGAACTGTCAGAGATTGCATGAGACTAAGGATACATGACAGTCAAACATACTGTGGGTCCTGGACTGGATTACAAAGAGAAAACAGACATTAGTGGGAAGACTAGGGAAAGAGGAATAACATCTATAGTTGCAAGATCCACTCCCACCCCCCTGCAGAGTCCTGCACAACAAAGAATTGTCCTGCCCAAGGTGCCAAGAGTGTCCCCTTGAGAAACAATGTAAACAAATGAAAGAATGGAAGCAGAAGGCCAGAGCCTAGGTGAGAGCCATCTTCTCTCTTTTTTTTTTTTTTTTTTTTTTTTGAGGCAGGGTTTCACTGTCACCCAGGTTGGAGGGCAGCGGCAAGATCTTGGCTCACTGCAGCCTCAACCTAACAGCCATTTTCTCACAGGCCCTGTGGGCAAACTGGTAAGCAAGGGAGGCACCATAGACAAACTTTCCCTCTTCCCACTGCAGAAATCAAGCCAATGAGTTGCTTTTAGACTAAAATGGTAATTGTGAAACTCCATATTCAAGAGAGGGGGATGGGGGCACTTGTGTAAAAGCTCCCCCAGAGAACTAGTGTAGGTGAGTGAGATCCGCCTGGACCCAAGAAGATGGAGCTGTGCTAATATGAGGCTCTGACATTACCAACCCAGCATTTCAAACAGATGTAGGCCTACGCGTTCCTCAGAGGGAAAGCCTACCTTCAGAAGTCCCATCAGCAGGTACTACACCCCCCGCAACTCCTAGTGCCCACTTGGCCTACAGAGAAGCTAAGTCTCTAAAGCAGCAGAAAAGAGCCAGGATAAGAAATCCATAGTGTGTCCAACTCCAGAGCCCTGGCTCTACCACCGACTATACTTTCTGATCTTGGGAATGTTCCTTTGTCTTTCTACATTTTCTTTTCTTTTCCTTTTTTTTTTTTTTTTCCAGACAGAGTCTCGCTCTGTCGCTGAGGCTGGAGTGCAGTGGCACGATCTTGACTCACTGCAACATCTGCCTCCCAGGTTCAAGTGATTATTCTGCCTTAGCCTCCCAAGTAGCTGGGACTACAGGCACCTGCCACCATGCCCGGCTATTTTTTGTATTTTTAGTAGAGACGAGGTTTCACCATGTTGGCCAGGCTGGTCTCGAACTCCTGACTTCAAGTGATCCGCCCGCCTTGGCCTCCCAAAGTGCTGAGATTATAGGCGTGAGCCACAGAGCCCAGCCTACTGTTTCTTATCTATAAAATGGAGGATGCAAGCACCTACCTCACTGGGCTGCTGCAAGGGTTAATTGAGATGTCACATGCAAACCAGGCTGTGCACAGAGAAAACTCTTGATAAATGTGATAACGACAACACTCCTCTGGGCTGGGGATAAGCCCTTCGGGGTGGAAGCCTGTGACTCAAGCAGAGGAGGCAGCCCCAGCAAGCAACGTGGCCTGTGTCTATCTTGGCATGTGGAGTCTAGCACCACATGAGAAGGGCTTGCAGGTACTCCCTACCCCCCGACAGGAAGAGTGTCTTCAAGAGCTTTAGGCTAGAGGAAATGCCTGCAAAAACTCCTAACATTTTTTGAAGCTAACTTCCCCATAATTATTTTTGTAACCCCCTCCCCATGTCTTCCCCTATGGACTAGCAATAAAAGCCTTAACAAAGGTTTGTTTTTAACAAAATGTGCTTGTTTTTCAGACAGTAAGGAAGGGAGTTTCTGGGGAGCTTTTGCCCCTTTCCAGCCAAGCAGAATGCCCACAAGAAATGGCACTCAGACAGGGTGTGGAAGCTACTGGCCCTGGGACAGGTGCAAAGGAAGAATGTGGAGGAGGGGATTGGCTTGAGATGAAGAAGAAACCCTGAGGGGTTGCTGAGACACATCATACTTCCTGTGCCAGACACTAACACCCCAATGTTCTGGTGCCACTTAGCTCAGGGTGGTGTGTTGGGAAACATGCCCAAGGCTGTGCAGGCCCCACTGTGAAAACCAGATTGTTGCCCACAAGAGAAAGGACTGTCTTGTTCACTGCTATAACCCCAGTGCCTAGAATACTGTCATGTCTGGCACAAAATGGACTCTCGATAAATATTCGTGGAATGAATTACTGGATGGAAAAGAGGTACCACAGGCCACTTTCCATCCTTTGGGGCCCCTGTGGGATGGGACCATGTCTGGGATGGGAAGGTTCCTTCATGGCCCCTTATATCAGGAGCCCTCCGCTCCCTTCTATTCCTCAGTCTTTATCCCTCTTGAATGAAAGGGAACAGAGGGAGCATTTGCTAGGCACACACATGTGCCATAAGACAATGTGCAAGGCACCTCACACCCACTATCATTCCATCTTCAAAAAACTCCATAAAGTGGATTCTGTTTGTTCCCACATAACTGACAAGGAAACTGGCGTGGTGAGGTTAAGTGACTTGCTCAATTCATAGATTAAAAGGTGACAGAGATGGCCTCAACCCCAGGTCAGTCTGGGTACAGGTCTTGAGCTAGGCAGCCTCTGCTCAAAGCCCCTTTCAGGCCAGGCGTGGTGGCTCATGCCTGTAATCCCAGTACTTTGGGAGGCCAAGGCAGGTGGATCACAAGGGCAAGAGATCGAGACCATCCTGGCCTACATGGTGAAACCCTGTCTCTACTAAAAATACAAAAATTAGCTGGGCGTGGTGGCGTGCGCCTGTAGTCCCAGCTACTCAGGAGGCTGAGGCAGGAGAATCACTTGAACCTGGGAGCCGGAGGTTGCAGTGAGCTGAGATCACGTCACTTGCTCCAGCCTGGCAACAGAGTGGGACTCCATCTCATAAAAAAAAAAAAAACCCCTCTCAGTCCCTGTCTATCAGTCACATCCCTTAGTCCTTCCCAGGCCTCCCTCCCAGCCTCCCCTCCCCTCTCCCTAGGCATCTTACTATGTCCTTCAGGTGGAGACCACCAGAGGGTCTGAGCCTCTTGCCCTGGTTTCTCAGTGAGCCCAATGGGAGCAGAGCTGACGGGGAGGGGAAGGCCTGACTCACCATTCGGAACTGTGCCTGGGCCTGCTGCAGCAGGCTCTCCTGCTCAGACTGGGCAATGCTGACGAAGATGCCAACCTCTGGGTTGAACTGCAGGATGCTGCCTTGCAGGCGGGCGATGAAATGACCAAAGCTGCGGATGCAGCAGATGCGCACCACTGACTGTGGGGAGATACAGGAGCCCAGCGCTGCTGAGCAGGGCCCTCTAGACCCACCCTGCCCTCCAGGACCCTCCACTCCCACCCTCCCACCTCCCTGCTGGCCCAGCCACCTCAGCCAACAAGGGCTCCAGGGGAAGATTTGTGGTCTATGGGGTGGGAAGGAGAAACACTAAGGCCCAGAGCCTCTAACTGCCAGAAAACGAGTAGGTACAGCAAGAAAACTCCTAGGAGGACCAGAAAACCAGGACTTGGGCTAAGAAACAAGAGCAAAGGACACTGGGCTGGAAGTGAGGAGACCTGGGTTCTAATACCATCTCTCTCCTAATGCTTCTCATATGCTCTAGGGGACCAAACTAGATCACATTTTCCAATGTATTATTTTTTTGAGACAGAATCTCGCTTTGTTACCCAGTCTGGAGTGCAGTGGTGTGATTACAGCTCACTGCAGCCTCTACCTCCTGGGCTGAAGTCATCCTCCTGCCTCGGCCCCCAAGTAGCTGGGACTACAGGTGCGCACCACCATGCCCAGCTAATTTTTGTATTTTTTGATAGAAATGGGGTCCTGCCATATTGCCCAGGCTGTTCTTAAACTCCTGAGCTCAAGCGATCCACCTGCCTTGGCCCCCAACCAAGTGCTGGGATTACAAAGGTGAGCCATTGCACCTGGCCCCAACTTATTTTTGTGGTCAGTAAAACCCTTCTTCCCTCTCAAATAAAAATCTTATCTAGAACTCTAAAATATAAAACAGAGCCAAGCAGCTCTGGTTGGAGGGAGCAGCCAGGTGGTTTATGTATGTCAGGACTGGGTGGCCTGTCTGCTTGACTTCCCTCTGCTGCCCCCAGATGGCCCATGTGGTGATGGAGATTTAAGGGTGAAAGCTGCTGGACTAAGCGGGCAGCACATTCCCTTCCAGCTCTAACTTTCTATGATTGTTTGATGTTCAGCTCGGAGCAGGCTGGGCCCAGAGTTAGAAAAGAGACTGATAAAGATTTCGAAGCCCTAATAACTATTTGTTCTGCCCTTTACAGAAGGCAGAGAAAGGAAGGGGGTGGTTGTTCTACAATAGTAGAAACTACCAATGGCAGACCTTTAGAAGGACTGCCAAGGCAGGAAAAAAGCTAAAATGGCTCACTGAATGAAGAAGGAAGCACAGCCTGTAGCCCCAAGGACACTGTCCCTGTCTGAGTGGAAGAGGGCATCCTGCCCCCTCCCTCCCCAGATCTGAACCCATTTGCTGCTGTTTGTGACTGACAAACAGAGCTGTGGCATAAGAAATGCTATCCTTACCTCCTCTAAGGTGCTGAGCAGGGGCCGATCCGTGTCAAAGTTAAAGCGTCTGTGGGCAGCTCGGAGCGGGGGCAGGTTACGAAGAGCCATGTCCTCTGGGAGCAGAAGGCTAGAGGGGAGGTCAGGCAGTTCACAACCTTCAAGAAGATCTTGGACCTCAGGACACAAGGCCAGGCCTGGGCAGAAGAAGGACACATAAGACCATCTGTCCTGTGGGAACTCCCAGTCAGAGAGACATAACCCTTCCCTTTGGGAATTATCAGGCTGATGAGATGATGAGGCAGGACATACCCTAGGACAGTGCGGAGAGATGGAGGGAGTGAAGTAAAGAGAGATGGACACATAAGAGCCAGTCAGGCAGAGCAGAGGGGCTCAGGAAGAACAAGGATGGCTCAGGTCAGGAAGGCTTCCTGACAGCAGGGACAATTACATTGGGATGGAAATGAGAGGAGGCGCTCAGGATGAATGAATAGCCCTTGGCAAGTCTTAGCAGGTAGGAGCAGGTGGAGTTTTCCAGCTGGAAGGTGGTAGGAGATGAGCCAGACAAACAAACTTGGTAGGTCAAAGTCAATTCTCAATGACCACAGGCATCAGTGCAACAGCAGCAGCTAGGTCTGGCTCCCAGGGCCCTCTCACTCTGCCCTTGCATTCCCTAGGGAGCACACTCCCTTGCTGACCAGGCCACCTGCCCACAATACAGCAGTGTTGTGGTGGGAAACCGGAGAGGCCTAGACCACACAATGACTGCTGTGTGCTAGGGAGGCTGGCAGTGAATCCCATTAACCTCCTTACCCCAAGGGCTGGGTTATGGGGAGGGGAGATGGGCTTAGTGGGGACAATGAGAGAGCAAAGAAAGGAGGGTAGTGCCAGGGACCCACTCACCAGACTCCTGGAGTTCACCAGCAGCAGGCAACAGATTCAGCAACACAGACAGGCGGTTCCACAGACTTTGAGAGCTCTGGGGAGAGAGAAGGGAGAGGAGGCCTTCAGCTAGAGACAGTGGTGGAGAACAGCAGTGAGCAAGGAAAGCACCACCCTGAGGGATCTGGCCTATGTTCAGAGGCCTGTGGGGGTTTGATTTTAAAATTAACAAAAGAAGCCTGGACAACAAGGCAAAACCTTGTCTCTACAAAAAACACAAAAATTAGCTGGGCTGGCTGGGCACGGTGGTTCATGCCTATAATCCCAGCACTTTGGAAGGCCAAGGTAGGCGGATCACCTGAGGTCAGGAGTTGGAGACCAGCTTGGCCAACATGGTGAAACCCCATCCCTACTAAAAATACAAAAAAATTAGCCAGGCATGGTGGCAGGTGCCTATAATCCCAGCTACTCGGGAGGCTGAGGCAGGAGAATCGCTTGAACCCAGGAGGCGGAGGCTGCAGTGAGCTGAGACTGTGCCATTGCACTCCAGCCTGGGCAACAAGAATGAAACTCCTTCTCAAAAAAAAAAAAAAAAAAAAAAATAGCCAGGCGTGGTGGCATGCGCTTGTAGCCCCAGCTACTGGGGAGGCTCAGTTGGGAGGATTGCTTGAGCCCAGGAGGTCGAGGCTGCAGTGGAGCTGAGGTATGCCACTGCACTGCAGCCTGGGCAACAGTGAGACCTTGTTTCAAAACAAAACAAAAAAAGCCACATTCGGACTGGCTCATGCCTGTAATCTCAGCACTTTGGGAGGCTGAGGCAGGCAGATCACTTGAGGTCAAGAGTTCCAGACCAGCCTGGCTGAGCTTTTTCACCAGCTGAATGCTTCATGAAAGAAGAAAGCAGGCCGGGCGCGGTGGCTCACGCCTGTAATCCCAGCACTTTGGGAGGCTGAGGCAGGCGGATCAAGACCATCCTGGCTAACATGGTGAAACGCCGTCTCTACTAAAAATACAAAAAATTAGCTGGGTGTGGTGGCGCCTGTAGTCCCAGCTACTCGGGAGGCTGAGGTGGGAGAATGGTATGAACCTAGGAGGCGGAACTTGCAGTGAGCCGAAATCGTGCCACTGCACTCCAGCCTGGGCGACAGAGCCAGACTCCATCTCAGAAAAAAAAAAAAAAAAAAAAAGGAGAAAGCAGCGAAACCACAAGGACTTTCTGGATCTTGGCAGTGGGAAAAGCCAGGGTGTTAAAGGATGTGGCTTCTCTACGTCTAGCAGTAACCTATCCTTCCAGCCCTCCCATGTGCCCATACTGGAACACCTCTCTAGGGATGTGACCCAGCATCTCCATCTTTACCACACCTCCCTCAATGACTAATGACTGAGTAACTAACTGTCATCAGACATAAGCACACACCCAACGGTGCACCTGGCCCTGACCCAAACCGTCTCATCTGGGGACTGGGGCGACCCACAGGGAAGAAAGTCTTCCACAGCAGGGCAGGTATGCCCCTAGAAGAAAACATTGAATAAATGCCTCTGGGAATTAGAAGTTCAAGGCTGACACTCTGAACCTGAGAAGGAAGGGAAAGCTACCATGGCCCCACCCAGCCTCCATGGCAGCCGGCTTGACAAGAGCTCGGTCCTGTGTGACTCTCCTTAAGCTGTTCCCCCTGCCTAGTACATCTTCACAACTCTTGTCAGAAGTTCCCATCTCTTCTGTCACTATCCTCTACTCAATGTTCTCTCCCTTCTCTGGATTCTTTGGTATTTATCAACTTTGGTCCTTGAACACATACTTCTACCGGCATTACTCATAATGGCAGGCATTATGCCCAGCATTGGGGATACAAAGCAAAATAAGCAGCTCGCTAATTGTTCCCTGGCCACAGGCTTTGTGAGGGCCAAGATCATGCCTAATCCTTCCCTGTCAGAGCATAAGGGCCCAGCACAGATAGGTGATTAATTGCTTGGCAATAATTCTTGCCTTGGCCATCAGGGGGGATCCTCAGGCCCCATCCTGGCTCATCCCCTCCTCCAAGACCCTGGGACCTGACAGGGGCAATGGAGTGGACTGACACACCTGCGCACACACGATGATGAGGTCGGGGTTGGTCCGAAGCCAGTCCAGGAAGACTTTCACAGCAGGAAGCAGACCTTCGGCCATCAGGACCTGAAGCTTCTCCTGGATGCTGCGCTCATTCCGACAGGAGCGTCCACTGGACTCACTCCCCTCCGACTCAGAGCCCTCCTCAGAGGCTGGGGGGTGGGTGAATGGAAGAGAAAAAAACTGGGATAAACAACTGACACTTGGGAACAGGCCTCAGCTCTGTGCAGGGAGCATGCTTCCACCTGGCCTGGGCCCTTCCAAGGAATTTGGATATGAAAAATCTGGGGAACCACTTACAGGCCCTTATTCAATTTTTCCAGGCCCACTAACTGTTGTTGTTTTTTAATCTCATCAAATTCATTTTACCAAGGTTGTTTTTAAAATATGGTGCCTTTTAAATATGATTCTTATAGACTCAAGTAATTTGTGACGTTGATCTACAGCTATTCATTCAACTAGGATTTATGAAATGCCTACTCTGTGCTGGAAGGCAGGGCAGACAGTTAGAGGGGAGCTATAAGGGAGGGAGAAAAGCAAGGGGTATGGTTTTAAAAGAGTTACTTTCAGGCCGGGCGTGGTGGCTCACGCCTGTAATCCCTGCACTTTGGGAGGCTGAGGTGGGCGGATCACAAGGTTAGGAGTTCAAGACCAGCCTGGCCAACATGGTGAAACCCTGTCTCTACTAAAAATACAAAAATTAGCTGGGTGTGGTGGTGCATGCCTGTAATCTCAGCTACTCGGGAGGCTGAGGCAGGAGAATTGCTTGAACCCGGGAGGTGGAGGTTGCAGTGAGCCGAGATTGCACCACTGCACTCCAGCCTGGGCAACAGAGCGAGACTCCGTCTCAAAAAAAAAAAAAAAAAAAAAAAAAAGAGTTACTTTTAATTCCTACCTCTTCTACTTTGCAAGTGAGAACACTGGACAGGTCCCTTCACATCTCTGAGCATCCCTCATTTCTGCCATTCACTCAGTCATTCGATAGTTCTTAAGTCCCATCCATGTGCCAGACACTGTGTTAGGTACTAGGGATACAGCAATAAGTAAGAAATATTCTGTCCTGCCCTCAAGCAGTTCAGACTCTAACTGGGGAGACAGACAAATCAACAGTCAACCTCAATAGAGTGGAAAAGGACTGGAGGCTGCAGAGGTGCAGGAGGCCACAAGAAGCAAATCTAACATACCCTTGAAGGAGTCCCAGACCAAGTGACTTTTAAGCTAAAATCTAGTGGGGGCAAGTAAGAATTAGCTAAGTGACAGGCTGGGAGCAAGGGAGGAAAAGCACTTGCCAGACAGACAAAACACTATGTATAAAAGTTTGGAGGGGCTAGGTGTGGCGGCTCACACCTGTAATCCCAGCACTTTGGGAGGCCAAGGTAGGAAGATCACCTAAGGTCAGGAGTTTGAGACCAGCCTGGCCAACATGGCGAAACCCCGTCTCTACTAAAAATACAAAAATTAGCCGGGCATGGTGGTGCGTGCCTCTAGTCCCAGCTACTTGGGAGGCTGAGGCAGAAGAATCACTTCAACCTGGGAGGCAGAAGCTGCAGTGAGCCGAGATCGTGCCACTGCCCTCCAGCCTGGGCAACAGAGTGAGACTCTGTCTCAAAAAAAAAATACACACACACACACACACACACACACACACACACACAAAAGCCGGGCATGGTAGTGCATGCCTGTCATCCCAGCTACTCAGAAGGCTGAGGTAAGAGAATCGTTTGAGCCTGGGAAGCAGTTGGTTGCAGTGAGCCAAGATGGCGCCACTGCACTCCAGTCTGGGGGATAGGTAAGACCCTGTCTTTAAAAAAAAAAAAAAAACTTTGGAAGTAAAAGACAGCCTAGAGTAGGGATGACAACTCTTCTACCACAAGACTGCTATGAAGGTTAAATAAGACAACACCCTAGAATGATGCATAGAGTAGCCTTAACAAACGGTTGCTGCTACTAAATGGGTACTCTGTTTGCAGGGAATATCCTCAGGAGAGAAGTCTCACTCTAATGCACCTGCGCTGGTGGGTACCAGTTTTTCTAGCTTCCAGAAGCCCTGGAGGGACTTGGGATGGCACAGGGAAGGAAGCTGCAGCTGCAATTGTTGTGTAGGGAGGAAAGCCCCAAACCCACAGGACAGGGTGAAGTGCAAAAGAAATAAAACCAACAAATGGGTTGGGAGATGGGAATAAGGAAGTGAGCAGGAGGGTGGACCCTCAGGAAAAAACTCATGGGCTACACCACAGGCAGAGGGCCAAAGGTAAGGGTAGAGACGAGAGGTCATTCACACAGATAGGAAAGCGGCCTCTCTGGTGAGTGTCTATGGCATGGAGGTGCGGACCAGAACAGGATGATGAAGTGGTCCAAATACCTGGCTCTGAAGGCTTGTCTACATCCCCATTGACGCAAGGCCTGTGGCTGGCCGAGGTATGAGGGTTGGTGGTGGGCTGGAGGAGCAGGTTGCTAAAGGTGGGGGCCAGTCGGAAGCAGCGCTTAGTCTGGAACATCTGGGTGGACATGGCTTGTAGATTGCTGGCAATGCTAGCCTCACTGGGGCCCAGTGGGCCATTGAGGGAATCGGGAGCCTCTGATCTGCCCCGAGGGGGCTCCAGGGTTGGTGACCGTGTCCCCTCCTCTTCCTCCATATCTTCCAAGTCTGATCGGGACTCCTGGCTATTCATTTCCGAGTCTGTTTCAGCATCAAAGGCCGTTCCCCCACCTTCAAGACTCTTGTCAGAGCCACTGTCTGAGCCCTCACTGGCCCGGGCTGAGTCATGGCTTGAGTCCGATTCAAAGCCTTCACTCAGGTCACTGTCATCACCAACTTTGGGTGGGTGGCGGCGACGGCGGAGACAGGAGAGGCGAGAGAACTTACGGCTCTTTCTGCCCTCACCCACTTGGGGTGTTACAGGAGGAGGCTCAGGATCTGGCTCCTCCTCTTTCTCCACAGGTTCCTTGGACTCTGGTTCATCTGCGGAAAGAGGAAGGTCAGGTGGAGCCCGAGGAACAGGTGGAGCCTGGAAGCTGGAATGTGCTCTCCAACACCACTTCCCCCGAGTCTGTGTTCCTTTCCTTCATCCCCATGCCCCACACCAACCTTTCCATAGTGATGACCTCCCCGATTCTCCCACCTGTGCCATCACTCTGGAATGCCGGGACGGGATTCTCGCCCTCTTCCAGCTCAGCCTGCAGCCGTATGTTGACATGATTGACGAGGTGGGAAAAGAGGGCCAGGGTGAAGGCAATGGCTGCACTGTACTGCTTGGATCCTGAAGTCAGGAAAGCCAGGCATTAGGGGCCTAGGGCCCTGATGAGGAGTAGGCACCATCAATTCCAACCACATCTCATCTGTTCTCAACTCTTCCAAGGATCCAACTACTTATCAAAGATTCTTTTTTTTTTTTTTTTAACTTTTTAGAGACAAGAGTCTCACTATGTTGCCCAGGCTGGGTCTTGAACTCCTGGGCTCAATCTGCCCGCCTCGGCCTCCCAAAGTGCTGGGATTACAGGCGTGAGGCACTGTACGTGTCCTATTATCCCTTCCATAATCTAGAATTTACCATCTCACCTTGTACTCCTTCAGATAAGCATATCCTTTTGTCCCATCTCATCCTCCCTGGCTCTGAGGTTCCTCCCCATGCCTCAAGAGCCTTCACATCCAGTCCTATCCCTCCTTACCTCCCAATCTTGCTCTACATACACTTCTGCCAGAAAGGCTTCCAGAATTGCCTAAATGCCTCCAACAGAAGGTCTGAAATTCTGTCTGGATGATCACTAAGTACCCTGACCCTTGTGTCTGCACAGGCCCTGGCCAAGGGTGTGCATATTTATGGGAGGCAGTAAGGAGAAGGGGGAAGGAAATGTGCTGTTGCTTGTACTCAATTACCAGGACCTCCTTTAGGGTAGGATCCCTTGGCCCTTACTTGCCCACAGCCAAGCAGTGACACAGGAGTGAAGAGGCTGCTTGTGGAAGGAAGTTTATGAATAAGGAGCTGCAGAAAAGGGGAGTGAGGATCCCCAAAGCCAGTGGAAGAGAAAAGAGGAACATAGGGAAGGTTACCTGCTCTCTCCAAGCTGTGCACACACATAAGGCAGATGATGACCATTTGAAAGATGAGAAGGTCCGGGAGGAAAGCATATCCACTCTCATACTCCTCCTCATCCTCACTGGCCAGGCTGAGGTTGGGTGAGGAGGGCAGGTAGAAGAGGCAGAGGTTGAAGTCCTCCAGGACTGACTGGCAAAGTGAGGTCAGCTCTGAGTCCACGGAGCTACAGAGGGGCAGGAGTAACAGGGGAGGTCAGTGGTGGGGGCTGGGGAAGGAGAAGAGCAGGGAATACAAGATTCAGAGAAAGGACTATGGGATGCTGCAGGGGAGACCTGAGAGCACACCAGGGAAGGGTAGTGCTGGATTGATCTCCATAGCAACTAAAACAGGGGAAGGGATGTGAGTAGGCTTCCCATTCAGCCATTCCCTCTTCAACATCTCCTAAGCACCCATTCTGTGCCATAGGGAGAGCTGCTGGGAGGAGGATGGGCATAGGACCCTTGGGAGAAACAGTGAGGAATGCCAAGAAAGGATGAATTGGTTACGGATGTTCAAACTGAGGGCAGAACTCGACAGTCCACCCTTGTCAAGGTTCCTTCTGTAAAGCATCATGGCTGGGGCTCACAGGATAGTTCAGGTTCATGCTCTCTTCCACTCACCTGCTTTTGGGCTGTAGGAGGCTTTGCAGATACATAAAGTTCACTAGCAACCTTTTAATGTCTTTACATCTGAAATGAGAAGAGCCCAAAGTAAATGCTGAATGGTCCCGCAGTCCCTATGGTCCTACTGCACCAACTGCAGAAAAAACCCGTCCTCCTCACAGGCCCCACTCACCGCTTTTTGCCAGGAGACAGTTTCCGAGTCTCACACTTCTTCAGTTGGTGGTACATTTTGGCTGCCTTGTCATACAGCCGCTTGAGGTTCCCATAGGCTCCCTCAAAGGACACTTCTGACTGGATGCTGTAAGAGATAGAGGTGAGCTACTGAGTCTTGGCAGGGGGAGGATATGTTACTCTGCTGGGGCTTTAGGAAACAATGTTACTAGTAAATACAGGCTGCTCCCAGCCTCAGCTTCCATGTACATACGCAGGGTAAAAGGCTCATGAGCTATCTTTCCCGATAACACACACACACATAACTTCTAGATTAGTCAGAGGAAAAACGATGTCTTACTCTGCTTTGTATCTAGAAAGGAGAATATCAATCCTACCCTGCTACAAACTTAGTTATTACCATCCCTGAAATACACTATCCTTCATCTATTTTTAAACATAGAATACTTTATAATGGATAGCATTTAACAAGCATTTACTATGTGCAAGAATATTTACATGCACTATTTCAGTTAATCCTCCCAACATGCAAACACAAACATGTACTGAGCACCCACTGTGTCAGGCAATGTACCCTAATATTGTCCACATTCACAGATGAGGACACATAGCCTGTGAGAGAACAAGCACACTGACCAAGGTCACACAGCTAACACATGGTAGAGAAAAGTCCCCAATCCAACTCTTTTTTTTTTTTTTTGAAACTGAGTCTCACTCTATCACCCTGGCTGGAGTGCTGTGGCACAATCTCAGCTCACTGCAACATCCGCCTCCCGGGTTCAAGCGATTCTCGTGCCTGAGTCTCCCAAGTAGCTGGGATTACAGGTGCCTGCCACCACGCCAGCTCATTTTTGTATTTTTAGTAGAGACGGGGTTTCACCATGTTGGCCAGACTGGTCTCAAACTCCTGACCTCAGGTGATTCACCTGCCTCAGCCTCCCAAAGTGCTGGGATTATAGGCACGAGCCACTGCGCCCAGCCCCAGCTCATTTTTTAACTTTTCTTTTGTAGAGATGGGGTCTCACTATGTTGACCAGGCTGGCCTTAAACTCCTGGACTCAAGTGACCCTCAACCTCCCAAAGTCCTGGGATTACAAGTGTGAGACACTATGCCCAGCCCTCAACCCTGTCTTACTAAAAACAAACAAACACACACAGCCAGGTGCAGTGGCTCATCTGTACTGGGATCTGTAAACCCAGCACTTTGGGAGGCTGAGGCGGGCGTATCAAGAGGTCAGGAGTTCGAGATGAGCCTGGCCAACATGGTGAAACCCTGTCTCTACTAAAAATACAAAAAATTAGCCAGGCTGGGTGCAGTGGCTCACACCTGTAATCCCAGCACTTTGGGAGGCCAAGGCAGGTGGATCACGAGGTCAGGAGATCGAGACCATCCTGGCTAACACAGTGAGACCCCGTCTCTACTAAAAATACAAAAAATTAGCCGGGCGTGTTGGCAGGCGCCTGTTGTCCCAGCTACTTGGGAGGCTGAGGCAGAAGAATGGCGTGAATCCAGGAGGCGGAGCTTGCAGCGAGCTGAGATCGCGCCACTGCACTCCAGCCTGTGCGACAGTGCGAGACTCCATCTCAAAAAAAGAAAAAAAATTAGCCAGGCATGGTGGCATGCGCCTTTAATCCCAACTACTCAGGAGGCTGAGGCAGGAGAATCGCCTGAACCCAGGAGGTGGAGGTTGCAGTGAGCCGAGATCGCGCCATTGCACACCAGCCTAGGCGACAGAGCAAGACTCTGTCTCAAACAAACAAACAAACAAAAACCCAATGACCTTAACACTCATGACATTTTGTGTCGTTTCTTAAAAACATGTTTTTAATTATAAAAAGTGAGGTATAAAATAGAAGAAACCAATGTCTGTGGTGAATTAAAGATAGCCACAAATTATCTGACACTCCTTCCACTGAGAAATGTGGTCTATATCTCCTCCCCTTAAATCTTGCAGGGGGCTGCGGGAGGAAGGGCTATGACCAATAGAATATTATAGAAGTAACAGCTTCCAAGTCTCCTAAGTCATTGTTCACTGTTGGAGCCTTGAGCCACTACATAAGAAGTTCTTCTACCCTGTGGAAGATACCACGCATGGTCCTAAGACCACACAGAGGAGAGGGGCCAAATGACCCAACCCTCCAGATATATTAGACCTTCCGATCAGCTGAATACCAATGACTAACCCTAAACAATGCCACTAGGAGAAGGCGGATTGCCCAACTGAGCCCTGCCCAAATGTCTAACCCATAAACCATGAGAGAGAATTGTTTTAGCAGAGTCAGGTATGCCCTTAGTGGGCACCTCCCAAACTTGGATATACCTGGCTCTCTTTTGGAACTGACCCACCCTAAATCATGCTTATGAGTATGATGAGGGACTCAGGACAAGTAAAGGGGGGTCATTCTCAGGAAGGCATTTAAGAAATGGGAAAGATACAGCCGGGCACGGTGGCTCACGCCTGTAATCCCAACACTTTGGGAGGCCAAGGCAGGCGGATCACCTGAGGTCGGGAGTTTGAGACCAGCCTGAGCAACATGGAGAAACCCGGTCTCTACTAAAAATACAAAATTAGCCAGGCGTTGTGGTGCATGTCTGTAATCCTAGCTACTCGAGAGGCTGGGGCAGAAGAATCACTTGAACCCGGGAGGCGGAGGTTGCAGTGAGCCGAGATCATGCCATTGCACTCCAGCCTGGGCAACAAGAGTGAAACTCCATCTCAAAAAAAAAAAAAGAAAAAAGAAATGCGAAAGATACACCAGGTTATAAACCTAGTAACGATACTTAAGAATGAATGAATATATCGGTATAGGTATAGAAGGCCAGCCTGAACTGATCTAGATGAGAGGGACCCTCAACAAGCTAAATTTAATACAGCGACTAGGTTACCTTGGCCAGGTGAACCAAAAGTCATGGCACATGGAATTATGACGTACAATTAGTATTTCATTATTTTATACTTTATTATCTGATTACTTTACTATTTGGATATACTTTAGTAGTTGACCACTTAAGCTATGAAGACCACCCTACTCCTTTTGCTTGAAGCCCAAGCTCATTATATAACTTCTTCTGAGAATGATTTTGGCTTCTCAACTTTAGCACTGATTAGGTGACAAAGGTCAATTTTTCTGTTTTCTGGCAGTTTCTCAGTATAACTTAAAAGCATTCCAGGTAAAGTATTCTGGTTTACCTATCAGTCTCATGTGCTCTTGGTTACAGCGACTTGTATGGCGACTCAATACCCTAAGCTTAATCAATTTTGGGTGCCCTGAAGAGGTTTTTTTTTTTTTTTTTTTTTTTTTGAGATGGAGTCTTGCTCTGTTGCCCAGGCTGGAGTGCAGTGGCATGATCTCGGCTCACTGCAACCTCTGCCTCCTGGGTTCAAGTGATTCTCCTGCGTTCAAGTGATTCTCCTGCCTAAGCCTCCCAAGTAGCTAGGATTAGAGGCGCTCACCACCATACCCAGCTGATTTTTGTATTTTTAGTAGAGATGGGGTTTCACCATGTTGGCCAGGCTGGTCCTGAACTCCGAACCTCAGGTGATCTGCCTGCCTTGGCCTCCCAAAGTGCTAGGATTACAGGTATGAGCTACCAGGCCCTGCCAAAAATGTTGTTTTTTATTCTAACAGCTAAGAGTCAGACCCAGGGAAGCAGTGACCCACCCTGCTGGTCCTTCCACGTATATTACCACATTAACACACTCCAGAATTCTCATGCTCTTGCCAGAAGCCACCTTAGTAACATTTTACCAACTGTATCAAATTTATTTCCTTCTTCAAGAAAACAGCAATCTTGTATTTTGCATAAGACAGTAAATAGCTATTTTAGCTGCCCAAGTGCCTACAGATCCAGCGGTTATGTGAAAAGCAGCAGGGCTGTGTCAGAGTCCCCCTGAATGGAGAGACCCTTCAATCTTAGCATTCCCCTATCTCAGCCACAGCTAGAGGAAGGAGGAAGGGAAGACGGAAAACAAAGCCAAAATAATATGCACACAAAAGCAGGGCTGGAAAAAGAGCTGGCAAATACTCACCAGCGCAGGTAGCAATACATGGCTTCCACATTATAGTACTTGCTGCCTGCCAGGGTGCCCAGCTGATTGAAGGGCATTCCTAGGGAGAAAGAGAATTCATGCAGTCTAAGGCCACAATACTCATTCAAAGCTGCCAGGCCCAACCAATGCTAAGCATCAGAGAACCTGTAGGGAGAACAGCTGGGTCTGCAGGCAACACTGGTTGTCTCAGGTGATTAGCAGCTTAATCTTTTTCCTCTAGAGGATTACTGACCTCTTCTTTTTTTTTTTGGAGATGGAGTCTCGCTCTGTCGCCCAGGCTGGAGTGCAGTGGTGTGATCTCGGCTCACTGCAAGCTCCGCCTCCCAGGTTCACGCCATTCTCCTGCCTCAGCCTCTCCCAGTAGCTGGGACTACCACAGGCACCCACCACCATGCCCGGCTAATTTTTTGTATTTTTAGTAGAGACGAGGTTTCACCGTGGTCTCAATCTCCTGACGTCGTGATCTGCCCGCCTCAGCCTCCCAAAGTGCTGGGATTACAAACGTTGAGCCACCGCGCCCGGCCTACTGACCTCTTCTTATATCCATCAGCTTGTTCCCACCTGGTGTGACAGGCGTTACCTGAATTGATGGAGTACCATTCCTCTGGCTTCCAATATGGCTCCTCCAAGGTTGATGGAACTCCATGGAGCCCTCTCCTCTATCTCAGCACTGAATGCTTGTTCCTACATGCAAATCCCCATCTCTCTCTATAATAGTCTTATGCTTTATCTCATTGTGCTTCTCTTTCTACAAGAGACCTCAGGGAGAGGAAAGCCATCTTCTCTTTTCCTTCTACTCTGCCTCACTCCTTAGTTCAAGACCTTCCCATTTATCTTCCCCTTCCACCATTTTCTGAGTGTGTTACAAGAGGGAAAAGGTATAAACAAGGTGAAGTACGAGAGAGCTGAGAATGAAGAGGAGCTGGGGAAAATGAGTATGAACTGCCTGCCATCTCAACAACATCGTCTTCCCTAGGAAAACCCTACTGGATTCAGAGGCCCAAGTTGGGGACAACTTACCAATCTGAGGAGCTACTGACAGGGCTTGGTAGTAAAATCTCTCGGCTAGCAGCTCGGTATCTACGCCAGCTAATTCATTCTGATATCGGGCTGCACAAGAGAGAAAACGAAGGGAAACTCGATGATTTTAAGTTTCAGAAAACCCTCCCCCACATCTGGGAGTCCACTCTGAGAGTGGTAACAAGAGCCTGGAAGGAAGGTACCTGAGCTAGGAAGCAGGTTGCTGGGGTCTCTGGCACAGTCCTAAATCTGCATGACTATGGGCAAATTGTTCAACTCTCTTCCTTGCTGGTAGGTTCAAAATGTAAAGAATATTGTTTGTGAAGTAAATAAGCTCTTCTTTTTTTGTTTTGTTTTCTTTTTTTTTTTTTTTTTTTTTAGAGACGGGGTCTTGCTGTCACCCAGGCTGGTCTCCAACTCCTGGGTTCAAATGATCCTCCTGCCTCAGCCTCCCAAGTAGCTGGGACTACAGATGCGTGCCACCACGCCCAGCCTGAATAGGCTCTTCTTGGTAATCTCTTCCCAATGAAGGGGAGCTGCAGCACACATAAATGCTTGCAAAGACCTCTGATATTTAGTTCTGAAATGCAAATGCTCAATTTCACAGAGAAGACACTACTAATGATACTCTGGTTCATCAAATATCAAACAGCTGACTCTCTGCACACACTGCTCATGAGGGGTCCAGGAGTGGGCTGGGGGCAAGGATAGTAGACCCAGGTCAGTAAGACATAATGCACCCAACAGCCACACACCAGCAGCCTAATGAGAAACCACTGTCTATCAGGACGAGAGGCCCCAGGGGCTATAAAGCAAAAGAGTACTTTTCCATCCTTAGAAACATCTGTTAGGAAGGTAAGTCCTCCTTGATGTCTAATTTCAATCCCTGTGCTGAAGTTTCTATTCATCTAGCAGTCCATAAAGATAAAAGAAACACTCAAAGAAGAAAAATATCAAATTAAAATCTTCCCAACCCACTACTGAAAGAGAATTATTATCTTCATTTGCTCAAAGCTCAAAGAAATTTCCCTTTTTCCTGTATTCACTGATCCTCTCTGACTCATGGAAGGGCAGTGAAAAGAAGGGATCACTGAAACAGATGGGAGGGAAAAAGTTATCAGAAGCCAAACTATCCCTCCTGCTCTCCAACCATGTAATGGGTGTTACCAACAACTGAAGCAGCCTGGGCTCGTCCTGTAACCCAAAACAGAGAAAATGAAAGGTGCAAATTCTTACACAAATCCCCCAGATACACCAGACATCGGTGACATGCCATCTGTGCCCAATCCATCTCCTTCCCTGAGGCAGACACTGGCTTCTTGCATCCTATGAGACAAAGAGAAAGAGATTTGTAGGCCCATTCTTCTGCCTTCCCGCACCTATGAAGAAATACCCCTCCGAGATGTAGAGACTAAGAATCCAGGGCCAGTCTTGGAACATTGTCTTTCAGGGCAGAGACACACTCATCCAGGACACAGGGAGAGACACAGAGGATCACAGGTGGCCATACGCAGGGACTCAGAGACTTATAGGCAGATTCATTCATAGGACAGGAAGGAACTGGAAAAGGAGGGCTAGGGCCCTCAACCTAGGATGGCACCTTGCGGGAAGGTCATCACAGGAAGGCTTCCAAAAAGGAGGAAGGGATGAGCTTCAAGTATGAATAGGGTCATGAATGTCTTGGGTAGAAGTTACACACATAAAGGTGAAAGGTTTGAGGTAAATATGGGAAACTAATTTGCCCAAGAATGAAATGTGAATGACGCCAATTAAAAAAAAAAAAAAAAAAAGCAAAAACAACGACAACAACAAAATTTAAAAAAGAAAAAAAGAAAGACATGTGAATGAGGCTAAGGCAGATGCTCCTAGTGGAGGTCCACAGAGAAGGCAGCCTACTGGAGAGTCTGCCCATGAAGGAGAAAAGTGGGCTTGCCCTGCCTGAGGCTGCTGATGGCCAAAGTCAAATATGCCTGAGCACTCACCTCTCCCTTCCCAAGAAACTGCCTGGTAACTTCAGAGAGCTTGAGATCTTTGGAAGGCAGTTTTCTCATGTGCCAGAAACTTGTCTAAGCATTCTACAGTATTAACTTAATTCTCACAGCAACCCTATGAGGTTACTCTTATTACTCCCATTTTACAGTTGAGGAAATTAGTCACACAGCTGCTAAGCAGCAGAGTTAGGATACAAAAGGCTCCAGAGACTGTCCTCTTATCCATTCCACCTTACTGCCTCACTCAGATGGGTTGCTTCCATTTGGAAAAGCCAGTCCTAATGTTTTATAGACACTTCTCAGTTGGCTGAATGGAGAAAACATCAGTGAACATAAAAACTAAAGTGGTTTGGGGCACTAACCCTTTGAAGTGATCTTTTTTTTAAAGCTGTGGACCCCTCTAGCTATCTGGTAACCTATGGACATGGTCCCAGAATAATCTTGTCTTTTAGATAATGTGGTGGTTTTTTTTTTTTTTTGGAGAGAAGGTCTTGCTGTATTGCCCCGGCTGGAGTTCCAGCGATGAAATCATGGCTCACTGCAGCCTCGAACTCCTGGGCTTCAGCGATCCTCCTGCCTCAGCCTTCCATGTAGCTAGGACAACATGCACGCACCACCATGCCCAGTTAAATTATTTTTTGTAGAGATGATGTAGGATCTCACTATGTTGCCCAGGCTGGTCCTGAATTCCTGGCCTTAAGCAATCCTCCCGCCTTGGCCTCCCAAAGTGCTGAGATTACAGGCATGAGCCACCACGCCTGGTCTAGAGGTTTGGCTTTTTTTTTTTTTTTTTGAGACAGAGTCTCACTCTGTTACCCAGGCTGGAGTGCAGTGGCGTGATCTTGGCTCACTGCAACCTCCACCTGCCGGGTTCAGGCGATTCTCTTGCCTCAGCCTCCTGAGTAGCTGGGATTATAGGTGCACGCCACCATGCCCAGCTAATTTTTATATTTTTAATAGAGATGGAGTTTCACCATGTTGGCTAGGCTGGTCTCAAACTCCTGACCTCAGGTGATCCACCTGCCTCGGCCTCTCAAAGTGCTGGGATTACAGGCATGAGCCACCGTGCCCGGTCTAGATGTTTTTAAATGCATAAAACACAGGTGCTCTGCTTCTGATCACAGAATTCCTCCATGTGGTGACAAGGACACAACCTCCATCTCTGACCCAGAATGTCTGTCTTGGTGATGAAGGGGACAGAGAGAGCAGAGAGAGCTGGGTGAAGGAGCTCTAAAGGATGGCTGAACTGAAGAGAAAACTTACCAACTAGAAAAGGAATTAAAATTATAGCTGCCAGTACCTCAGCTGGTGGAAAAGGAACTTGTACTATGTTGAAAGACTGTCCACAATTTTCCCAACATATCTAAAGATTTCAAAACTTTCATCAAACATTGGGAAATAATCTCTAAAGTCAAAAGAAACAGTGCTGGCCAAATTCAACTGGGAGAAGAAAAGAAATGTATTAATACCACCTTCCAGTGCCAGACCTACTCTAGGTCTTTCTGTCCCTCCTCTGCCTTAGTCCACAATCCCAGGCCTCTCTCTTTCCTTAAGATCTTTACCCTAACTCATATGATTGTCTGGATAAATCCAAACTTCATAAACCATTTGTATGTAGTTCTGCTAGAACTCTCTCTGCCTGGCTGGGTCGCAAGCTACATGAACCCTGAGGGATAAGGCCAGAGGTAGAAGCATGAGAACCTGCTCAAGTCCACCTTTCAGGTTCCACTGACCTATGAGGGGGTCAGTGACATGGGTCCAGTCGATGCAGCACTGCAGTTCCAGCTGGTAGTGGGACTGGATATAGAGAAGGAGATGCTGGTAGAAGCCAATACCAGCAACCAGGTGCGTCCTGTAGGCACATTCCAAAGTGCTCCGGCTGTGGATGTGCTACAGATTGCGAAAGGGAAGGGGCTGGTTAAGCAATAAACTCAGAGTCGCACTCACCCTCCCTTACCCTGTTCATCTCACTTGGCTCTGGAACTTCATCTACATCTACTCTCACTCACAAGTTACTGTCATACTCTTAGCTCTAACTCTCTGATCTTTCCATCTGGGACCAGGCTCCCCTCCTTCTCTAATCCTAATTACATCTGACTCTCTTCCTCCTTCCCTAATCCTAATTACATCTGACTCTCTTCCTCCTTCCTTTCTGCTGTCTTTTTTTTTTTTTTTTTTGAGATGGAGTTTCATTCTTGTTGCCCTGGCTGGAGTACAATGGCGCGATCTCAGCTCATCGCAACCTCTGCCTCCTGGATTCAAGTGATTCTCCTGCCTCAGCCTCCCGAGTAGCTGGGATTACAGGCATGCACCACCACGTCCAGCTAATTTTGTATTTCTAGTAGAGATGGGGTTTCTCCATGTTGGTCAGGCTGGTCTCGAACTCCCAACCTCAGGAGATCTGCCTGCCTCAGCCTCCCAAAGTGCTGGGATTACACGCATGAGCCACCGTGCCCAGCCTCTTACTGCCATGTTTTCTTGGCTCCCCTACCTCCAACCATGTTCTGCGCCCACTTTCCTAGCTGTCTCTTCCTTCCTTGGCTTTCCCTCTTTAGACAAGGACTTCCCCTTACCTTTTTGTTAGTCTTGATAAGCTGGATAACTTCATAGTATACCTTTCTCCACAGCAGCTCCTCAGCCTTTCTCCCATAGTCCACTGGGTGCAGGAACATAAGCTTGACGCAGAGCTCACGCAGCCTGGAGGGTGTAGAGGAGCATGAGAGAGACAGCCCATCCCTTGGAGCAGGGACATAAGAACTGAGGGCAAGGAGTCATGTGCCAACACCCCCACCAACAAATCTCGGTGCTTCCCAAGAGACATGCAGGGTCAATATGACCCAGCACAACAGCAGCCTAGGAAGGCAGTGGGAGCCCCAAAAGACAGAAGCACGAAGCACTAAACATTCTAAGTTTTTCCTCATTTTTTCCCTTTGTACACTTCGCTCTCTTTTTCTCTGCTTTTTTATCCCATTTTTCCCTTCATTATGCAGTATGGCCGACTCCCTTGACTCAAATATATTTTTGGGTTTTTTTTTTTTTTTGAGACAGGGTCTCACTCACTCTGTGGCAGTGGCGGGATCATAGCACCATAAACTTGAACCTCTGGGCTCAAATGATCCTCCCACCTCAGCCTAACTACAGGTGTGCGGGATTACAGGTGTGCAGCACCATACTCAACTGATTTTTTAATTTTTTTGTGGAGACTGGGTCTTGTTATGTTGCCAGGTCTGGTCTCAAACTCCTGGGCTCAAGTGTTCCTCCTGCCTTGGTCTCCCAAGGTGCTGGGATTACAAACGTGAGCCACTGTGCCCTGCCTCGAATGCCATTCTTTTTATTTTATTTTACTCTACTTTTTAGATGTAGAGACTGTGCTACTTTATGGCACCAGTCTATTAGATGTAAAATCTGCAGATGGAGTGAGGGATCCTATCTCCTCTCTTAGGAAGGCCAGAGATTTCAGAGACCATTAAGGTACCATGAGGTCAGGAGGTAAAACAGAGTGCGTGTTTATATATCTGAGAAGGTTTCTGGTAGAGATAGGCAGGGAAACAGTAAGGATCTGTGGTTTAGAGTCTCTAGCTTACTTGTTCCTCAGGCTAATGTTTTCTGGTTTGAATACTTCTTGATAAGCAGTTTTGTTGCAAAGGATGAGGTCAAGTCGATGCACAGCCTCCACCACAGCCCTGTAGGGAAATACAGGCAAATATCCCCTCAGCCATATGCATGGTCCACAGAGGATGACGCTGGGACACGATTCTAGAGGAAAAGCTACAGAATTAGCGGTGAGGGAAAAAGGAGAAGGCTGCAGGCTGAGCTCTGTACAAAACAAGATGAACACAGTCTCCATCTTGTTACAGTAACCCCTGCCCCTCCCCACCCCCCGCCCACCAGGGGACATTTGGCAATGGTAGAAACATTTATTGTCATCACAACTGGGTGGAAAGAGGGTTGCCACTGGCATTTAGTGGGTGCTGTTAAATCTCCTGTAATACACAGGACAGTCCACCACAATAAAGCATTACCCTACCCAAAATGTCAACAGTGTCAAAGTAGAGAAACTGTGATATGGTAAGGCCGACTCTCCCAATGGAAAGAGCACACGCTGTGATGCCAGGCAGAAAATCTAGGGTTTGAACCCTGGCTGTGTCTTACTCTGTGCCTTTGGGCAAATTACCCACCCTTTTAAAGCCTTAGTTACCACATCAATAAAAACGAAGATAATAATAGCTACTTCAGAGAACTGTTGTGAGGATTAAATGAAATAATAATTTATATATAGCTCTGGTATATGGTAAACATTCAATAATGGTGGAATGAATAAATTATTACATAAGGCCTTATTATCCCTGACATAAAGGAAAGACACTTCTAGTATAAAATTCTACTATGGAATTGTGGGGTATGATGGGGAAGTAGAGGGAGCTCCTGGGCTGCTTAGCCGTAAGCAAGATTCTGATAAGCCTAGATTCTGCTGAAGGAATTATTTGTTGAACATAGTGGTTAAGAGTGTAGGCATGAAACCAGACCGCCTGGATTCAAATCTTAGCTCTACTTCTTACCAGCTATGTGGTCCTGGGCAAAATACCTAACTTCCTTACGTCTCACTTCACCCAACCATAAAATGGGAATATTATTACCTACTTTGTGAGGATTAAATTAGCTAATACATAAAGCACCCATAACAGTGACTGGTATATAGTAATCACTCCAAGTGTTAGTCTCCATCCTTCTTGTTCTAAGGCTGAGGGGGAGACTCCAGGCACTAAGAGGTAAGTCTGTCATCACAGCAAAGAAAAAGCCACAGAAACTCTACAATGGACGGCCAAGAAGTCCCAGAGGTAGGTCTCATATCTGGAAGGGTAAAACCCAGAGGACATCAGGCAGGAGCTATAAGAACATGTGAATCAGGCACAACTGTGGACACAAAAGCAACAAAAACAGAGTGAAGATTCCCAAACAAACCAAGACGTGCTCCCGGGCCAGGAAAAGTGGGCCACAACAGTTGGCACCCTGTGGTGGTGGTGGCTCAGGAGGCACACTACTAAGCTGCCCTACACAGGGTGAAGTGACTGCCAGCACCCAGCAGAGTAGGTGGGATGGTAATCGATACCTTCTCACAAGCAATCATGTTTCTTCAAACTGGACAGCCTAGAGATGGATGCCAAGCCCTTTTGGCCAACCTGGCCCTCGATGCCAGGGGCAGCACCAGTGATTTACTTTATACCAGCTCAGTCCCTAGGGCAGGGCTTTTATCTTTGGTGCCATGGAAAGAGCTAATGGGAGTGTATATTTTTATAGACAAGCTCCACAGCTCTCCTTATATCCTTAATCCAAAAGAAGGTAAATAACCACCACTCTAGGAAGTTCTAATTGAAAACGCTTAAATATGAGAGGGCTCACCACTTTTTTCTCATTTTCCATCAGATCATAAGCTCCTCCACTAAACTATAATCTCTCTTAGAACAAAAACTACAAAATCTAGCCGTGTGTTTCATTCACTATTGTACTCTCGGGCCTAGCAAAAACAAAAATGTTTTTAAAAACAAATAACTAATGAATTGGCCTAATTAATTAATTGGTGCTTCCAGGCTCCTTTCTCCTGCTGCCCTTTCTTCTGACTTAAAATATTTCAGAATTTCATATCCGTAAACAGCTAGGTGTGAGAGTTCCCCAAATTTCTGAAGCTCAGAGTGACAAGTCCATAGTCTAACAACACATTTATCTTGAGCAGAGAAATCAGACTTTCCTCCTAGTTCCTTCCACTGATCACCACTGCTATAATAAATTATAAAAACAGTGATTGGCTGCCTCAAATTTCTACCCTGCTCAAAGCCAACAACACAATTACAGGCAGATACCCATGTGCACACAGGTAAGCCACACAGGCAAACACATCAGCTTAGGTTAGTCCTGTGAATGTAGTGGTTTAAGAAAGAACTACATTTGATGACAACTGGAAGGATGACCAGAGCCATCCCCAAAAGCTGGAGACAAGGAATATTGCAGACACTGCCCACGCTCTGTCTGACAGGCAGCACTGACACTCGGCAGCATGATAAGGCACACGTGCCACCCCCAGCCAACTCCTCACCCGCCTGGGGACTGCTTGGGGCAGCCCATAGTGGGAGCCCTGGGGCCGCTAGATTGAATCACTTTTCTATTTTTGGAGCAGCCTATACTCCCCTCTGCCTCTGGCTTACAAAGCCAGAGAAGGCAGGATGCCTACTCAAAGAGAAAAAGACAACATGCTCTTGACTCTTTCACCGCCAAAATGTGGCCAAGGCTCTGAGGGTCGTCTTCTCATGCAAATATCCGTGTTCTATAAAGCCTGAGCTAAATGAAAACCCCAAACTCTACTCTGTAGTAGAAGGCACAAAACTCAGTTTCCACGCTTCATCCTATTTTGACCCAGTTGCGGAGCCCATGTTCCAGTTGACCTACCCAACAAATTCTCCACCTTTGATGGGAAGAGCTCATTCGGGCCTGTTGCCAACAGAGGGCTGAAGGGCTGAAGATGTGACTTGTGGAGCGTGGGTGGCATTATGGAAATCAGAAACCAGGAACGGAAGTTGCCTGGCAAGAGACTACAGTCATGAGGCTGGGAGGAAGGCAGGACTCAGGAGTCCCCAGGTGCCCGGAATTGCCTCCCAAATCCCAAGAACGCTCTGGACACAAAAGTCGTTCGTGACCCTTCCAGGCCAAGACTTTCTCATTCGGACTCCTCAAAATTAGAGCCGTATGGGACTTTAGAGCACATCCAATTCAAATCGTTCTTTTTAAGGATAAGGAAACTGAGGCCCAAGGTCACACCGTGAGAGAGTGGCAAAGGATGGACCTGAACCTAGCTCCACGGACTTCAGTCCAAGACTCTTCCTTGTAAATCCCCCAGGATTCCAAGCACCGTTCCCTTCCGGGTTTTTCTACACCTGTGACCCCACCTTCACCTACCCAACCCTTCCAGCCTTCAATTCCCACCCTATTACCCCAACTCCACCAAGCTTAGTGCCCGCCCCAAGAAAGCTCACTGCAGAGGGGATTCCTCCACGTGCTTCCCTCCAAACCTCCCACCTACCCAATTCCTCCTTTCAGTTCCATCCCGAGTTACTACGGGACCCCGCCCCGCCTCCAAAATTGCACCCTCCTTCCTCACCCGCACCTCACCCCGACACCCGGGCCCCGCCCGCCCGGGAGGCCCCGCCCCTCGCCGTCTCCCCACTTCCCTCGGTGGCTGCTCTCACGCCCTGGCCCCTCTCACCGGTAAAGCCGCTTAGTGTGGAGGACTTTTGCTTCGGGCTCGCTGCTCTCCCCTGTGGGGGGGCCTTGGCTCATGGTGCCCGGGTCCGGGGGCAGCTCCCGGTCACAGGCCCCTGCCACCCACCACTACCGCCAACACTGCCGTCTCCGGCCGTAGCCGCAGCCGCCGCCGCCACCGGCCCTGCTCGGCCGCCATCGCTGTGAGGCGGCTGCCCGCGACAGCTCCTCCTCCGCCTGCCAAATCTCGCGATGGCAGCCGCACAGTTGCGGACCAGTGGCCTGCTGCTACCAAATCTCGCGAAACTCGTTTTCCCTCCCGGGAAGTTGCCAGAACTAACTCTGGGCAGCATGGCGTCTTTCCGGCTTCTCCAAACCCTTGCGAAAAACTTTATTGGCAAAGCTATCAGAGAACGGACAGTGTACCCACTGAGGCGGCCAAAGCTTAACTGGATCAGGGCAGGTGAGCTTACAGCTAGGAGCGTGACTGCTTTGTCCTACAATGGTCATTTGGTCCATCCTTCTGCCCCTTTCCCGCCTCCCCGTTTGAGCCAAGCCTCTTTCAGATTACTGGTTAGAGTGACTCCAGCTTTCCCTTTTCCCCCATAATTTAAACAAACAAAAAGTGCATGTGAAAGTTTCCTTGGAAAGGGCCGAGCATCACATAGGAGTAAAGCCCCGGAAGAAATGACTTGTACAAGCGTCTCGGCCCTTCAGCTCCCCTCCCAAAGATTTCCAGCTTGCATATCTATCTCTTACGAGCCAGTAACATTTATTGAACTGCCATCTTCCAGCCACAGTGCAAGATTCTAGACACACAGAGGTGAGCAAGCTAGACACTATCCCTGCCCTCCCAAAGCTCAAATGATTTTAGGGATAAGGACTCATAGAAATGAGAAGCTAGTCCCTAACGTTTCTATCTCCTAATCCTCACATTGGAAATCAGGGCAGGTGGGCTTACAGCTAGGAGCGTGACTGCTTTGTCTTGTTTTAGCTTAAAACCTAAGTTAAAAAGCAAGGGTGGTTTGTTTTGTTGTTGTTGTTTTTGCCTGTGTATGAATTGTAATGAGAACATAAATTGCCCTTCTACCACTATGCTCCTGGCTGCAGCCACCCACCTTCTTTCTGTTCCTGAAACAGCCTAAGTCTTTCCCATCCATTGGTCTTTCACTTGCTGTTCCTCTGTCTGTAACACTCATACTCCTGATTTCCCATCAGGTTTCAGCTCAAATATTACCTTACCAAAGAGGTCTTTCCTATTAAAATTGTCTAATTGATTTAGTTGCTAGGCTTCTTCATTATGTTACCCCAATAGAACATAAGCTTCTCAAGGGCAGAGACCTCAACTGTCATCTTGTTCTCTTCTGTGTCTGCCTAGCTAATAATTGGTGTCCAGTAAGTATTTACTGAATGAATAAGTGTACAAATTCCATTTCTGGGTATCCCAGCCTACTCCGAGCACCCTTTGTTGCACAAATCCACTTTTCTCCCTCTGCTTTCCTGAGCTGGGAGTTCTTACGCATTCCAGGTGCCTAGAATGTGAACTTACCCCTTTGCCCAGCTGCATCCCAACTTTCAGAAAGGATGACATCCTCCTCTGATGCTTTTTTTTGTCGGCAGATTCAGCAGGGCGGGGCCTGCCCCTTTAAGCTGGGCCCCACCTGCTCTGGTCAGACAGGTTTTGAGACACAGGTAAAGGGAGGGAGACAGAGAGAAATACTTGCAGAGCCAGCAGGTAGCTGGGCAGCTCCTTCCCGGACGGACGGATGGACAGACGCTGGGGACCCTCCACTCCATATGGAAAGTAAGAGGATGTCATGGGTCCAAACTGCAAGGTTTGGAGTGCCCTTGAGATAAAGGAAGGGAATCAGTCCCATCCAGAAGCAATGAGATGGAGGGCAGCAGGGAGGAGAGAAAGACAGGAGAGAAGGCATAGAAAACAGCCATGATCAGACCTAAATATCAGAATAGCAGACCCAGGCCCTGCAGAGATGGATGAGGTGGGCTAGTGAGGAGTTTGGGAACTGACCAAGTACCAGTGAAGGAAGAGGGTGCCTGGAACTGCCAGCTCTTTGGGTCAGATCAGTTGGCAAATCACTGGTCTCACTTGGAATGCAGGAGGGTTCCAAGCAGGGATGTGTAGGGATGGGACAGTGGAGAGGAAGCTTCTCTGTCTACAGCAAGATCCTCAGTGGGAAAGAAACTTGGCAAAGTTCTAGACACCTCTTCTGCCTCCTATTCCTGCATTAGAGTGGCCATGACTCCAGGGGTTTTGGTGGAGGGGCATAGAAGGCGTGGGTGGAGGCTGACTGAGTTCACAGCTGCCAGGGCCTGTGTCCCTTGACTCACCCTCTCCTGTTGGACGGCATTTGATGTCGAAAGGGTGCCTCCATTTCAGCTGCTCACTTCCTTCCCTCCTCCCTCTGTTTCAGTGTCTTCCTCTGTACCACGTTCTCCCTAAGGCTCCAGAAGGGGCCAAAACCCATGAAGCCAGTTGCCCTGGAGAGTATGAGTTCTGTCAACCTGTCCTAATAACTAGAAGACAGGGGTTTCTGACAGAGCTTTCCTCTGTTCCCTGCAGGATGACATGACCTTGTGGTAGATCCCAGAACTGAGGCCCCAGGATGACAGAACAGGAGACCCTGGCCCTACTGGAAGTGAAGAGGTCTGATTCCCCAGAGAAGAGCTCACCCCAGGCCTTGGTTCCCAATGGCCGGCAGCCAGAAGGGGAAGGTGGGGCCGAATCCCCGGGAGCTGAGTCCCTCAGAGTGGGGTCTTCAGCTGGATCTCCCACAGCCATAGAGGGGGCTGAGGATGGTCTAGACAGCACAGTAAGTGAGGCTGCCACCTTGCCCTGGGGGACTGGCCCTCAGCCCAGTGCTCCGTTCCCGGATCCCCCTGGCTGGCGGGACATTGAACCAGAGCCCCCTGAGTCAGAACCACTTACCAAGCTAGAGGAGCTGCCCGAAGACGATGCCAACCTGCTGCCTGAGAAAGCGGCCCGTGCCTTCGTGCCTATTGACCTACAGTGCATTGAGCGGCAGCCCCAAGAAGACCTTATCGTGCGCTGTGAGGCAGGCGAGGGCGAGTGCCGAACCTTCATGCCCCCCCGGGTCACCCACCCCGACCCCACTGAGCGCAAGTGGGCTGAGGCAGTGGTGAGGCCGCCTGGCTGTTCCTGTGGGGGCTGCGGGAGCTGTGGAGACCGTGAGTGGCTAAGGGCTGTGGCCTCCGTGGGAGCCGCACTCATTCTCTTCCCTTGCCTACTATACGGGGCATATGCCTTCCTGCCGTTTGATGTCCCACGGCTGCCCACCATGAGTTCCCGCCTGATCTACACACTGCGCTGCGGGGTCTTTGCCACCTTCCCCATTGTGCTGGGTGAGCCTGTGAGAAGAAAGGGGGCATCGGGAAGTGGACTTGAGGAGGGCAGGGCCTGGCTGGTGTGGGGAGCAGGAGGATTTCCCTTCACTTGACCTGGGCCCCTCAGGGTCTCCCACCCCCTGCCAGTCTGCATGCCCATCTCCTCCCAGGACCACCTCCACCCCACTGTGTAGAGCCCATGCACTGCCCACAGTGAATCTGCCCCCAGCTTACTGCCTCTTGTGCCCTTCCCCTGCCTTTTCTGACCCTACCCTGTTTCCCAACTCCACCCAGGGATCCTGGTGTACGGGCTGAGCCTGTTATGCTTTTCTGCCCTTCGGCCCTTTGGGGAGCCACGGCGGGAGGTGGAGATCCACCGGCGATATGTGGCCCAGTCGGTCCAGCTCTTTATTCTCTACTTCTTCAACCTGGCCGTGCTTTCCACTTACCTGCCCCAGGATACCCTCAAACTGCTCCCTCTGCTCACTGGTCTCTTTGCCGTCTCCCGGTAAGTTGGGGCAGAGGGTGGGGCATGGGAGAGGGGATGGTGCTAGAGAACCTAGGCATCTGAATGTCTGGAGAGCCAGGGTCAGGAGCTTTCCGGATTCTACACTGGCCCAAATGTGTGCCCTGGGGAGATAAGTCCACCTTCTCTCTTGCACCTTACCTCAGCTGGTCAGCAGATGGAAGCCGATTTCAGAGACATATATAACCATATGGAACAAGAAGGCTTTCAGGTGTCATCTAGATCAATGCACCCATTGCAGCCACTCCTGTGGCAATCTGGTCAGGTAGCTGTTTTGGTCTCTGGTTGAACACCCCCTGTAACCAAATGTACAACTTAAAAATAGATATATTTTTTCAAAATAGAGACAAGGCTGGGTGCAGTGGCTCATGCCTGTAATCTCAGCACTTTGAGAGGCCGAGGTGGCAGATCACTTGAGGTCAGGAGTTCGAGACCAGCCTGGCCAATATGGTGAAACCCTGTCTCTACTAAAAATACAAAAATTAGCTGGGCATGGTGGTGCACACCTGTAGTCCCAGCTACTGAGGAGGCTGAGGCAGGAGAATCGCTTGAGTCCAGGAGGTGGAGATTGCAGTGACACAAGATCGTGTCACTGTACTCTAGCCTGGACGACAGAGCTAGACTTCATCTCAAAAAAATAAATAGCCGGGTGTAGTGGCTCACGCCTGTAATCCCAGCACTTTGGGAGGCTGAGGTGGGTGGATCACAATGTCAGGAGCTCGAGACCAGCTTGGCCAACAAGGTGAAACCCCAGGTCTACTAAAAATACAAAAAATTAGCCGGGTGTGGTGGTGGGCATCTGTAATCCCAGCTATTCAGGAGGCGGAGGCAGGAGAATCGCTTGAACCTGGGAGGCGGAGGTTGCAGTGAGCCAAGATCGCGCCATTGCACTCCAGCCTGGGTGACAGAGTGAGACTCCGTCTCAAACAAATAAATAAATAATTAAAATTAAAAAAATATAGAGATGAGGTCTCAAGGTTGGGGGGCCTGGTTGAGGGTACTGTCCTTCTCTTCCTGTTTGTCAATGAGGGGATGGCCCTGGTAGAGGGTACTGTCCTTTTCTTCATACAAACCAAGGATGTGTGAGCTCTCCTCGCAGCCTTCTTACTCTCCACTTTTTTTTTTTTTTTTTTTTTTTTTGAGACAGTGTTTCACTCTTGTTGCCCAGGCTGGAGAGTACAATGGCAGGATCTCAGCTCACTACAATCTCCACCTACTGGGTTCAAGCGATTCTCCTGCCTCAGCCTCCCGCGTAGCTGGGATTACAGGCGCCCACCACCAGGCCCAGCTAACTTTTTGTATTTTTAGTAGAGATAGGGTTTCACCATGTTGGCCAGGCAGTTCTTGAACCCCTAACCTCAGGTGATCTGCCCGCCTCAGCCTCCCAAAGTACTGGGATTACAGGCGTGAGCCACTGCGCCTGGCCCTTACTCTCCTTTCATTCAGACTTTGCCATCACCTAAAATCCTTAGGGGTACTTTGGGAGGCGGAGGCGGGCAGATCATGAGGTCAGGAGATTGAGACCATCCTGGCTAACACGGTGAAACCCCGTCTCTATTAAAAATACAAAAAAATTAGCCGGGTGCGGTGGCGAGCGCCTACAGTCCCAACTACTCGGGAGGCTGAGGCAGGAGAATGGCGTGAACCCGGGAGCCGAGATAGCGCCACTGCAGTCTGGCCTGGGTGAAAGAGTGAGACTCCGTCTCAAAAAAAAAAAAAAAAAAATCCTTAGGGGTATTTTCACATGAACTACTGTTAATCTAGAAGGCACCTTTGAATTTCTTAACCCAAATGCAGGTCTTTTCTTTCCATTTTCCCTAATACATATGCTCTTGTTACTTTTTTTTTCTTTTTTTTTTTTTGAGATGGTGTCTTACTCTGTTACCCAGGCTGGAGTGCAGTGGCGCAATCTTGGCTCACTACAACTTCTGTCTCCAGGCTCAAGCAGTTTTCCTGCCTCAGCCCCCCGAGTAGCTGAGATTACAGGTGTGAGCCACCATGCCCAGCTAATTTTTTTTGTATTTTTAGTAGAGACAGGGTTTCAACATGTTGGCCAGGCTGGTCTCGAACTTCTGACCTCAGATAATCCACCCATCTTGGCCACCCAAAGTGCTGGGATTACAGGCGTGAGCCACCACACCTGGCCTGCTCTTGTTACTTTTGATACAGGATTCCAGGTAGCTCGCTAAAATAAAATATTCTTCCTATTGAGCTAAAATTAGTCTTCCTGTCACTTCTGATTGTGGTCCAGCAGTCAGTTGTCCCACCAGCCTCCTGACCATCATGCAGCCTTGCATTTTCTCCCAATAGGTTTTCCCAAAATAAATATGTTCCTGCTCATGTAACTTAGCCTGCCATCTTAAACTCCTGGGGAATACTGGTTTCAGATAGAAGTTGGCTTAAGCAGTAAAAATCATCAGGGAGCTAAAGGAAGACTCAGTGATTGTCTGGTCCAGGCTTCCCATTTTACAAAGGGAAAATCACAACAGATTAGGGGAAGAGAGTTGCTCAGGTCAGTCGGCAATAGTGGCAGGACTAGAATCCAGGTCCTTTTCCTCTCTTATCCAGGGTCCTTTCTTCTTTACCATGGACAAGTTCATTAAGCAGTTTGTGCCTCAGTTTCATCATCTGTAAAATGAGGTCGTTATGAGGATTAAATGAGTTAATTCATGTAGAGTACTTAAAACAATCTAGTACTTGGTGCCAGGCGTGGTGGCTCACACCTGTAATCCCAGCACTTTGGGAGGCCAAGGCAGGTGGATCATGAGGTCAGGAGATCGAGACCATCCTGGCTAACACGGTAAAACCCCATCTCTAATAAAAATACAAAAAATTAGCCGGGTGTGGTGATGGGCGCCTGTAATCCCAGCACTTTGGGAGGCCAAGGCGGGTGGATCACCAGGTCAGGAGATCGAGACCATCCTGGCTAACACGGTGAAACCACGTCTCTACTAAAAATAAAAATAAAAAATTAGCCGGGCATGGTGGTGGGTACCTGTAGTCCCAGCTACTCAGGAGGCTGAGGCAGGAGAATGGCGTGAACCTGGGAGGCGGAGCTTGCAGTGAGCCGAGATTGGGCCACTGCACTCCAGCCTGGGCGACAGAGCGAGACTCTGTCTCAAAAAATAACAAGAACAACAAAAAAACAATCTGGTACTTGGTTCATTATACTATGCTGCTTCCTAGTGCAGAAGAGAAGCAGCAGTTACTCTTCCCTCCCTTTCACAGGTAAAAAAGAATAGAGGCACATGAATCATGTAATAAGTGGTCCTTCATATATTAAGAAGTGATCCTTCATATATTAAGAGGAAGTTGCTCTCCCCTCCCTCCATTGAGGGGTGTGTATTGAACATATCTTCCACGAAATCTGTGGCTGACCCATCCTCTGGGCTTCAAGCCCTCCTAGAGGTGGCTTCTTTGCTCTCCTCTTTACCTCTGCCCCTCAAATTGGCAGAAGGGAAGGTAATGAACAGGTTTGGGTTCATATCATGGCTTTGCTATTTCCCAGATGTGTGATCTTGGACCAGTCTTACTTAACCCTTGGAATCTTAGTTTCTTCATCTGCAAGAGGATAAATACAATGGAACACACTGCAGCTATAAAAGAATGAGAAAACCATTTTTATATTGATATAAAATGATCTCCAGGATATATTAAATGGGGGAAAAATAAACATGCAGAGACAGTCTATATAGTATGCTGCCATACTTCAGAAAAGGGAAAAATAACTTTTTGCTCATATATGCACTTTTTAAAAAATCACTCAATGTATTATCACACTGGCTCTTCTTCTTCCTTCTTCCTCCTTTCTTTCTTCTTCTTCTTCCTTCTTTCTTCTTTTCTTCTTTCTCCAAGAAAAGCACACTGGTCTTTAAGAAAAAAATAAAAGAAAAAAATCTGCTGGGCATGGTGGCTCACACCTGTAATCTCAGCACTTTGGGAGGCCAAGGCACTTTGGTAGGCTGTGGTGGGAGGACTGCCTGAGCTCAGGAGTTGGGGGCTGCCACTGCACTCCAGCCTGGCTGACAGAGACCCCATCTATAATTTAAAAAAAAAAAAAAATAGGCCAGGCGCGGTGGCTCACGCCTGTAATCCCAGCACTTTGGGAGGCCAAGGCAGGCGGATCATCAGGTCAGGAGATTGAGACCATCTCGGGTGAAACCCCATCTCTACTAAAAATACAAAAAAATAGCCAGGCATGGTGGCGGGCGCCCGTAGTCTCAGCTACTCAGGAGGCTGAGGCAGGAGAATTGCTTGAACCCGGGAGGCGGAGGTTGCAGTGAGCTGAGATCGCACCACTGCACTCCAGCCTGGGTGACAGAGAGAGACTCTGTCTCAAAAATAAAAAAATAATAATAATTTAAAAAATCACTCAGTGCACAAGAAACCATAATATTGATGCCTGGGGTGGGGGTGGGGGAGAATAGGGTGGGAATCGGTAAAGGGAGGAAGATATTTTACTATACTCATTGAATTTGCTCAAACATTTTAAAGTTTGTACAGCCAGGTGTGGTGGCCCGCATCTGTAATCCCAGCTACTCAGGAGTCTGAGGTGAGAGAATCACTCAAGGCCAGAAGTTTGAGCCCAGACTGGCAACATAGCAAGACCATGTCTCTAAAAAAATAAAAATAAATCGAAAAGTAAATAAAAGAGGGAAAGGAATAACATACTCAACTTCATAAAGATGTGGGGAAGTCAAATCAATCACTTATAGTAATTAGCGCTGTGCCTAATACATGTTAAGTGCATAAACTTTGGCTGTATTTGGAAGTACCAGCCATACCCACCAACTGCATCTGCCTCCCCTATCTACTCCCCCCACCGTCAGCCTATTGCCAATCAGCTGACGCGCTTCCCTCGAGAGTAGCCTGACCCTTTTCTTGCCCCCATAGGCTGATCTACTGGCTGACCTTTGCCGTGGGCCGCTCCTTCCGAGGCTTCGGCTACGGCCTGACGTTTCTGCCACTGCTGTCGATGCTGATGTGGAACCTCTACTACATGTTCGTGGTGGAGCCGGAGCGCATGCTCACTGCCACCGAGAGCCGCCTGGACTACCCGGACCACGCCCGCTCGGCCTCCGACTACAGGCCCCGCCCCTGGGGCTGAGCCTCTCCGCCCTCGCCCTCGGAGTAGGGGGTAGCGGCTTGGGTCTGACACATCTTTGAACCTTGTGGCCAGGCCTGGACTTCGCCCCCAGGCCTAGGACCGCGGTGGGTGGAACCCTGCTACTGCCCCAACAGGGACTCCAATCAATCGGAGTTCTCCCCTTGCCGGAGCTGCCCTTCACCTTTGGGGCCCGAGACAGTCATAAGGGATGGACTTAGTTTTCTTGCAGGGAAAAAGGTGGACAGCCGTGTTTCTTAAGGATGCTGAGGGCATGGGGCCAGGACCAGGGGAGAGGCACAGCTCCTTCCTGAGCAGCCTCTCACCACTGCCACAAGGCTCCCTAATGCTGGTCTCTGCTCCACTCCCCGGCTTCCCGTGAGGCAGGAGGCAGAGCCACAGCCAAGGCCCTGACCACTTCTGTGCCAGTTGTCTAAGCAGAGCGCCTCAGGGACGCTGGAAATGCCTTAAGGATAGAGGCTGGGCATCACATCAAATGGGACTGTGGTGTTTGGTGAAAACCTTCCTGAGGATCTGGATTCAGGACCCTCCATGACTGGCCTATTTACTGTTTACAGCTGGCCAGTGCAGAGCTGCTGCTCTTTTACCTTTTTAGGCCCCTGTAACTTCCCACCTTTAAACTGCCCAGAAGGCATGCCTCTCCCACAGGAAGAGGGGAGCAGACAGGGAAATCTGCCTACCAAGAGGGGTGTGTGTGTCTTTGTGCCCACACGTGGTGGCTGGGGAGTGCCTGGATGGTGCGGTGGTTGATGTTAACCTAGTGTGTGTGTGTGTGTGTGTGTGTGTGTGTGTGTGTGTGTGTGTGTAACAATAAATTACTACCAGTCTTTGCTGGCTCTTTTTTCCTGTTTGTCCCCCAGTCTCGAGTGTCCCTTCCCTGTTTAATTCAGATGACGATAGAAACCTCCCAGCTCTACCTGGTGGAGCAGGGCTGGCAGGTTCCTTGGTTCCACAGCAAGGAAATGGAGCCTCAAACAGAAACTTGCCTTCCAAGCCCATCTCTTAGCCCTTCCATTCCCTGGAACCAGCCCAAGACCAGCCCAACAACACTCACACATCAAGAGACTGGAGCCCTGTGAAAAAAAATAAATCTATTTTCTTGCCTTCCAGGGCAGCCAACCAGTCAGAATGCCTCTCATTTAGGCCTGCAAGTCCCATCCAAGGGAAATGTGTGGAGATGCAAGAAGGCAACACCAAGGGGACCTTATCAATAGCCCTGTCCCCTGCCCGCCTCCAAAGTCCCCCAACAAAGTATGAAGGAAGCCCCACCTGGGGGTCTCCAGGAAGTCGAGGCTGGCCTCTGAGGTTCCACAGAAAAGCAAGATGGGGGAGTGAAGGGGCCGGCTGGAACTTGATGCTCCAACCTCCAGAGTTTCGAGGCACAGCAAGACAGGTTCAGTAATGTCCTTCCCTCCAGAGAGCGGGCCTTAATTTATGGACTGGTACTCTGAGTACTTCTTGTGGTGCAGCAGCAGAACCAAGCCGCCCCCTAGCAGCATGAGCCCTGGGGCACCCAGGGCCACTGCCATGATGCCCAGGACTAGTGGGGACAAGCCGTCCACTGGAGGGAAGCCCACACCCAGGAGCATCGACCTAGAGCAAGCAGAGAGAGAGAGGTAAGCGGGCTTAGGAGGAAAGGCTGGGAGGCTCAGCCTTTGTCCACTTCAACTCCCCAAGTCCCCGGCCCAAACCCTGGCTCTCACCAGCTGAGGTAGTGTTGGTCCCAATAGCCAGGGCCTGTGGAAGCCCCGAACGTCAGATTGAAGGCACAGAAGTTATTCTGGGACCCAAAGAAGGCTCGGACAATGGGTGACTGGGGAAGAGAGTATGCTAAGGCAGGATGAAGAGGGGAAGCTTGGCAGGGCAGGGCTGATTCTCGGCCCCCCGGCTTCTGGGAGTAAGCCACTGGTCGCCACTGTGCAAAGCCTGATGGGAGGGAGCCCCACAGTAGCTGGTCCAACTGGGAAGAAAGGCAAACAAGGGAGGGTAAAGAGGACCAACCTGTGCCCGACCCTCTTTTCCTTGCCACTCCCAGCCTTATTCTGTGACTAGCAGCAGGAGTCCTGAGTCCTAGGCAGGGCCTCAATCCCTCCTCTGTAAAAATGGGGAGTTCGACTGGGTGAGGACTGAGTTGTTTTCCAAACCTCCAAGTCTGGACTCAGCCCTCCTCTTGGCCCCTAGCCCCCTTGCAGATCTCCATCTGCCAGAGTGTAAGTCATATTGCACTTTCTGTCTGTCTCCACTGAGGGCAGAGACTGGGTCAGATTCATTAGCACAGTGCCTAGCTCTTAAACGACCCAAAGAAAGTGTTGCTAAATGGCAAATGGTTGAATGAGTTTTAGGTCCCAATGGTGTCCCACCTACATTCCTCACCCATCTGCCTCTCTCCAGGAAGCCTGACCTGGAAGACGGCCGGTGCATATTCATCGTCGATGGAGTGCTGCTCCTGCATTGAGGGGCAGTCAGGGCCCTGGCCCAATGTGGCTACCTCCAGCCCAAACAGGGAACGGTTTCCCCGGGGAGAGGCTCCAATCAGGGCCACCTCTAGCTGACAGGTGTCTGCTGTGTGCAGGAGGCGAGGGGGTTGGGCTGGTCGGCTGGACCTGGAAAAGGCCTGGACCTAGGAAGGAAGAAGCATGGGAGGTGTGGGAAATAGCTGGATGCCTGTGCTTAAGGGCCACCTCCATCATTAAATCCCACCCTCACAAATCAGCCTTTTTGAGCTCTTTCCGATTTCTCACGCCTTACCCTGAAGGCCAGGCTGCCATTGGCAAAAGTCCTGGTAGGGTCGTTCATGGGGTGGCCTTGAAATGTGGCACTCAGGGTGGCAGGATCCAATGAATCAGTGATGTTGTTCCAAGAGAAATCGGCCAAGGAGTATGGAGGATATGGTCTTCCCAAAGGCTTTGCTGCCGTATCGGACACGTTGGTGCTGTCAAACTCAAGCAGCTGGAGGGTGGGGGTAGGGTGGAACTGGGCTTGCCTCAGTTTTTCTCCCGAGACCACACCTCCCACTCACCCCCTACCAAGGCTTTCATATCTGAGTCTATTTCACCCACCCCCAGTCTTTAGTTCCACCCTCTAATTGGGATGAACTCTCTCCTCTGCACTCTTCTCCTTGGTTCTCTCCCAACCTCCTCACCCTGGTAAAAACAAGGGCAGAAGAAAACTGAATGCTGTCCTTAGGGAGCACCATCAGGCCCCCATCGGGCTCAGGGGATAGCAGGAGGCTCCAGTTGACGCTCAGGGTGCTGTGGGGGGTGTTGGTGGCCACCATTACCACTGCCAGAGGCCCCAGGCTGCTCCACACATAGTGCAGTGTGGAATTGGTGCCCACTGCCCGTATATGAAGCAGGTTCTGCAGGGGGCCCAGCCAGTTAGGGATGACCTCCAGAGACACCTGGAACATGGAGTAGTGGAGGGTTGAGGGAACAGGACCAAGGAGAGACACAGGCAAAAGAGAAGCTTGAGGGGAGGGGGGCTTGGAAAGTGCTGGACAAAGGATGGGATTTTGGGGACTAGACAAGAGGAATGTGTGCGGGAGCTGAGGGAACCCTGGGGTAAGGGGCAGTGGGGACAGGATGAAAAGGGGTAGGGTAGAGGGTACAGCCAGGACTCCCCTGACCCTGGTGGGCGGGTCAGGGCACAGGGCTGCGAAGAAGAAAACATTCAACACTTGCCTGGACCTGGGTCACCCAGGGCTGAGTCGGGGTCCAGACATCACCCTCACATTTGCCCTACTCCACAATCCCGTCCCATGACCCATGACCATCTCCCACACCCTCCAGGTTGAAGAACCCTCCTCTTGGCAGCCACCCTCCACCCCTAGCCCCTGGATGCCCGGTTCCAGCCACCCTGCAAGGGTAGCGTTTCCTGAAACTTCTATCGCTGTAGCCCCAGGGCCCTCACCTGGCGGGTCTTCTCCCCCAGCAGGCCAAATGGGGCTGCAAACAGAAGTAGAGTCCAAAGGAGCAGGGGGCTGGGGGCACAGTGCCCCCAACCCCAGGTGCACTCCACAGAGCCGCGCATACGGCCGCAATTCAGCCGACGGAAGAGGTGCCAGAGGGTCACATGACTCGCGTTCAGCTGATCCCTTTCAAGGGCGGAGCCGCCAAACTATTTGCTTTTTAAAAAAATTTCCTTTCGTCAGCACCATTTAATGTATTAAAGAACAGCTTTGTATTCTATCTTAAAACAGGAAACGTCAGTCTCTTACAAGTAATACAATTTAATATGGTCACAAGATTTTAAGTGAAAAAAAAAACATTCATGCTACAAGTTTTCAGTTTTCCTTGGACAATGCCAAAAACACAGTATTCAAACGGCATGTTTTAAGAGGAACGTGAAATCTCATTTTGACACAAAGACAGGTTAAAGAAAATAAACCCAACAGGGAACTACTCCAGTACATTGCCTTAAGTTCCCAACCCTGTCCCATTGTGGAACTCATACACCTTCTTTCTACTCCAGCACATGAAACTCTGTGGTTCTTCTTCCCTGTGGAACAATGTGGTTCTTCTTCCCTGCCTAACATTTCAACAAAAATTGTAAATATTTAGAGATGTGTCACTAAATGACAACAACATACTTCCAAAAAAGCCAACTTATTTGTTAAATGTTGAAAGAAAAGGCCGGGCACGGTGGCTCACACCTGTAATCCCAGCACTTTGGGAGGCTGAGGCAGGTGGATCACAAGGTCAGGAGTTCAAGACCAGCCTGGCCAAGATGGTGAAAGCCCGTCTCTACTAAAAATACAAAAAATTCACTGGGCACGGTGGCAGGGCCCTGTAATCCCGGTGGCAGGCGCCTGTAACCCCAGCTACTCGGGAGGCTGAGGCAGGAGAATCACTTGAATCCGGGTAGTAGAGGTTGCAGTGAGCCAAGATTGTGCCACTGCACTCCAGCCTGGGCGACAAGAGCGAGACTCCGTCTCAAAAAAAAAAAAAAAAAAAAAAAAAAAAAAATATATATATATATATATATATATATATAGAGAGAGAGAGAGAGAGAGAGAGAGAGAGAGAGAAAGAAGGGGCTAGGCCGGGCACAGTGGCTTACGCCTGTAATCCCAACACTCTGAGAGGCCTTGGTGAGTGGATCACTTAAGGTCAGGAGTTAGAGACCAGCCTGACCAACATGGTGAAACCCCGTCTCTACTAAAAATACAAAAATTAGCCAGGTATGGTGGCAGGCGCCTGTAATCCTAGCTATTTGGGAGGCTGAGGCAGGAGAATCGCTTGAACCTAAGAGGCAGAGGTTGCAGTGAGCCGAGATTGCGACATTGCACTCCAGCCTGAGCAACAAGGGGCAAAACTCTATCTCAAAAAAAAAGAAAGAAAGAACGGGCTAAAATTTGGTGAAATTTAAAAGGGTTGTAGAAAACTTTGGAGTGTTTGTTTTCTTCACTTCACTCTGATTTTATTTTATTTATTTATTTTGAGACAGCATCCTGCTCTGTCACCAAGGCTGGAGTGCAGTGGCACAATCATGGCTCACTGCAGCCTCAAACTCTCGAGCTCAAGTGATCCTCCTGCCTTAGCCTCCCAAGTAGCTGGGACTTCATGCACATGCCACCATGCCTGGCTAATTTAAAAAAATTTTTTTTTGTAGCGACAGGGTCACACTATGTTGCCCAGGCTGGTCTTGAACTCCTGTGCTCAACTGATCCTCTCACATGGGCCTCCCAAAGTACTGGGATTATAGGGGTGAGCCACCACACTAGCCATCACTCTGATTTTAGAACACAGGGCTTGTGCACAAAGGTTAGGATAAGGAACTAAAGATGCCAAAAAATACCCCAAACATTAATTGCAAAAGAAAGACTAATGTTTATGAAGAGCTTATAACATGGAAAAATATTTGTTATAAAATTAAATGAAAAAGTAGGATACAAAACTATATAAACAGTAAGATCTCAACTATGTAAAAAAGGATAAAGGAAATAGCTCAAAATGCTAATAGCGGTTGTATTTAAGTAGTGTATCTATAGTGATTTTTTTTTTCCTTTTTCCTTTTCTGTCTCTTCCAAATTTTTCTCTACTGGGGGGATTTTTATTGTTGTTGTTGTTGTTTTTTGTTGTTGTTGTTTGTTGTTGTTTTGAGACGGAGTCTCACCTGTCGCCCAGGCTGGAATGCAATGGCGAGATCTCGACCCACTGCAACCTCTGCCTCCCGGGTTCAAGTGATTCTCCTGCCTCAGCTTCCCGAGTAGCTGGGATTACAGGCACACGCCACCATGCCCAGCTAATTTTTTTTTTTAAATGGAGTCTCGCTCTGTCACCCAGGCTGGAGTGCAGTGGTGTGATCATGGCTCACTGCGACCTCCACCTCCCGGGTGGAAGCGATTCTCCCACCTCAGCCTCCCACGTATCTGGGACTACAGGTGTGCGCCACCATGCCTGGCTAATTTTTATATTTTTAGTAGGGACAGGGTTTCACCATGTTGCCCAGACTGCTATTGAACTCCTGAACACACACACACAAAATTAGCTGGGCATGGCGGCGCCTGTAATCCCAGCTACTCGGGAGGCTGAAGCAGGAGAATCGCTTGAACCTGGGAGGTGGAGGTTGCAGTGAGCCAAGATTGCACCATTGCACTCCAGCCTGGGCAACAAGAGCGAAACTCTGTCTCAAAAAAAAAAAAAATTCTTCAGTCTCTTCTTCCATCCATTAATTTTCTTTTCTCTCTCTCTCTTTTTATTTATTTATTTTTGAGATGGAGTCTTGATCTGTCGCCCAGGCTGGAGTACAGTGGTGCAATCTCAGCTCACTGCAACCTCCACCTCCCGGGTTCAAGCAATTCTCCTGCTTCAGCCTGCTGAGTAGCTGGGATTACAGACATGTGCCACCACGCCCAGCTAATTTTTGTATTTTTTAAGTGGAGACGGGTTTCACTATGTTGGCCAGGCTGGTCTCGAACTCCCGACCTCAAGTGATCTGCCTGCTGCGGCCTCCCAAAGTGCTGGGATTACAGGCGTCAGCCACCGTGCCCAGCCATCCACAGATATTCACTGTGCTCCTGCGTCAGCCGCTCCAGGTCTTTCAATCACATTTGGATGATCTTCCAGATCGTCATAGAGTGATCTGACGATGTCCAGTCTCCTGTAATTCTTGGGCTTGACTAGGCTTCCGACAACCTGGAGGCATTGCTCTTTCAGGGTATACACTGCAGTGTGATGTTGGCAAAAACAGGCTGTCCATTAACATTGGAAGATGGCACAAACAATTCAGTTTGGTTAACCAGAAGCTTATCATGTGTCCTTGCATCTCTGAAGAGCCAAGGGTGGCTTCGGAAGTTGTGGATGCGGAAGTCCCTGCCGGGCAGCAGCGTCAGGTAGGGCAGCAGCTTGCCATAGTAGTTGAGCCACACAGGCAGCACGATTCGTGGGCTGTGATTGCAGATGATGATCCGGGAGAGCTCGCGTGAGTTCACAGAGCGCAGCACAGGCCATGCTGCTCTGGCTGCCATCTCCTCCTCGGCGCCCAACTCTTCCTGGCAGTACTCTTCTGGGCCTGCCTCCTGGGTGCCCGCCTGGGCCTCTAAACCCACCCCGTTCCCCGCTCTCCAGGGCATTACCTCCGAAGCCTTGACAACTTGGGCCTGCCCATACCAGTTCTTAAAGAGACTACTTCCGTTCACCCGGATTTCGGCAAGAGTTACAATGGAATCAGAAAGGCTGGGAGTATATAACCCCCTACCTGGGTGGTAAGCAAGACATCCTAGATCAGACAGACTTACTCCCAGCCTCTCTTACCTAGCCCGTCCCACTGAAGAGCTACCTATAGTGGGAGAGATCCAAATGGGACCCCAATAATACAACTGTGATAGGAAGATCCAGAGAGGAATTTGAGGGTATTCCATGAGATAGCACACCTGAGGGTTCTTTATGTCAATCTAATATTTATTGGACACTTCATGGCCAGGCGCAGTGGTTCACACCTGTAATCCCAACACTTTGGGAGGCCAACGTGGATCACCTGAAGTCGGGGTTCCAGACCAGCCTGGCCAACATGGTGAAAACCTGTCTTCACTAAAAATACAAAAAAATTAGCCGGGCATGGTGGCGCATGCCTGTAATCCCAGCTACTCGGGAGACTGAGGCAGGAGAATTGCTTGAACCTGGGAGGCAGAGGTTGCAGTGAGCCAAGATCACGCCACTGCACTCCAGCCTGGGTGACAGAGCGAGACTCCATCTTATAAACAAACAAAAAATTAGCCAGGCATGGTGGCAGGCGCCTGTAATCCCAGCTACTAGGGAGTCTGAGGCAGGAGAATCGCCTGAACCCGGGAGTTGGAGGTTGCAGTGAGCTGAGATGGAGCCATTGCACTCCAGCCTGGGCAACAAGAGTGAAACTCCATCTCAAAAAAAAAAAAAAAAAAAAAAAAAAAACTGTGGTGAAAAAAAACTGCATCTCAAAAAAGCTGTGGTGGCCCACGCCTGTAATCCCAGCACTTTGGGAGGCCGAGGTAGGAAGATCAGGAGGTCAGGAGATTGAGACCATCCTGGCCAACATGGTGAAACCCCATCTCTACTAAAAATACAAAAATTAGCCGGCTGAGGTGGTGCACGCCTGTAGTCCCAGCTACTCGGGAGGCTGAGGCAGGAGAATCGCTTGAACCTGGGAGGTGGAGGTTGCAGTGAGCCGAGATTGCGCCACTGCACTCCAGCCCGACAAAACAGTGCAAGACTCCATCTCAAAGAATAAAAAAAATTAAAAAAAAAGTGCATCCCACCAGATATCACCTCCCTCTTTTGACAAGTACTTGTATTGCCCCCATATCCTATTTTCTCATATCCTATCTTTTCTCCACAATAAAATTGTGAACTCTTCTTGGACCAGAACCCGAATAACGAAGTGTTCAATAAATATTACGTTTTTTGGTTTGTTTGTATTTGTTTGTTTGTTTTTTCGAGATGTGGTCTAGGTCTGTCACCCAGGCTGGAGTGCAATGGCATGGTCTCGGCTGGTCTCAAAACTCCTGACCTCAAGTGATCTGCCCGCCTTGGCCTCCCAAAGTGCTGGGATTACAGGCACGAGCCACTGCACCTGGCCTACTTTAATCTTATTTTGACTAATAAATGAACATGGTACAAAATCCAAAAGGTACCAAAGGGCTCAGTGTGGTATCTCATGCCTGTAATCCTGGCACTTTGGGAGGCTGAGGTGGAAGGATGTCTTGAGTCCTGGAGTTCAGGACCAGCTTGGGCAACATAGCCTGACCCCATCTCTACAAAATAATACAAAAATTAGCCGGGCATGGTGGTGCATGCTTGTGGTCCCAGCTTCTCCGGAGGCTGAAATGAGAGGATCCCTTGATCCTCCCATTGCACCACTGCACTCCAGCCTGGGCAACAAAGTGAGGATAGCAACAGGAGGCAGACAAACAGACAAATCCTAGGCAGACAGGGGCAGGTTCCTGATGAAACCCCACCTTCAAGCCGAAAACAGTTGAAAGCCAAGCTACAAGTCCTCGGTAAATGCACAGGTGGGATTGAGAACCACTCTTCCCGTTTGTTGCACTTTCCTCTGATTGATCCCCACGCGTCACCTATTTTACATATACCCACCCTTCCCTAATTGGTTACACTGTCATGCCCATCTTTGAGAGGTGCCTTTATTTATTTATTTATTTATTTATTTATTTTTTGAGATGGAGTCTCGCTCTGTGGCCCAGGCTGGAGTGCAGTGGCGTGATCTCGGCTCACTGCAAGCTCTACCTCCTGGGTTCAGCCATTCTCCTGCCTCAGCCTCCTGAGTAGCTGGGACTACAGGCACCCGCCACCACGCCTGGCTAATTTTTTCGTATTTTTAGTAGAGACAAGGTTTCACCGTATTAGCCAGGATGGTCTCCATCTCCTGACCTCGTGATCCGCCCATCTCAGCCTCCCAAAGTGCTGGGATTACAGGCGTGAGCCACCGCGCCCAGCTGAGTGGTGCCTTTGTTTTAGCTTTTTTTTTTTTTCTTTTGCATACACTCAAACCAATCTGCACACACACACCCATTTTGAGCCCATCAAAGCCCCGGACCCAGCCACAAGGGGAGAGAAACCACCTAACTTGGGAGACCACTCTCCTGTCCCTTCTCCATTAAGAGTTGTTTCGTCACTCAATGAAATTCTTTCCGACCCTCTTCACCCTTTGAACTGTCAGCATAACCTCATTCTTCTTGGATGCATGACAAGAACTCGGGAACTGCTGAACGTGGGTACAAGCTGAAACACAGGCAGCCTGGGGCATGCCCCAGCCCAGCCAAGGGCTGAGCCAGTGTGCAAGCCAGGCGTGGCCAGGTGGGCTAAGTGGGCAGGGTACCTCCGGCAGCAGGCCCGGGGCGCGAGGCCTGGGCAGGAGGCATTGCCGGCTGCAGAGGTCCCCGGCTGGCAAAGTGGCTGAGAAAAATCCTGCGTCATGGAGATCTTGTCACAAAAAAAAAAAAAGAAAAAAAAAAGTACCAAAGGGCATCATTCCTATTCACCAGCAAACTGGTCCCTCCCAAGACAACCATCACTACCAGTTTGTTTGTTTTGTTTGCTTGCTTGCTCTGTTGGCCAGGCTGGAGTGCAGTGGCACGATCTTGGCTCACTGCAACCTCCACCTCCTGGGCTCAAGGAATTCTGCCTCAACCTCCCAAGTAGCTGGGATTATAGGCATGTGCCACCACATCTGGCTAATTTTTGTATTTTATAGTAGAGATGGGGTTTCACCATGTTGGCCAGGCTGGTCTCGAACTCCTGACCTCAGGTAATCCGCCCACCTCGGCCTCCCAAAGTGCTGGGATTACACGCATGAGCCACCGCTCCTGGCCCACTACCAGTTTCTTATGTATCCTTCTAAAGATATCCTATACTTAAGAATACAAATATACAGAAATTACATATAAATAATACACAGTGGTACCCAAACACTGTTCTTCAGTTTTTTTTTGTTTTTTTGAGACGCTGTCACACCCAGGCTGGAGTGCAGTGGTGAGATCTTGGCTCACTGCAACCTCCACCTCCTGGGCTCATGCTATTCTGCCTCAGCCACCCAAGTAGCTGGGATTACAGGCGTGCACTTCCAAACCCGGCTAATCTTTGTATTTTTAGTAGAGATGGGGTTTTGCCATGTTGCCTAAGTTGGTCTCGAATTCCTGAGCTCAAATGATCCACCCACCTCGGCCTCCCAAAGTGCTGGGATTACAGGCGTGAGCCACCACACCTGGCCCCAATTTGCATTTTTAACTCATATATTGAGGAATGTTCTGTTATCAATGCACTTGGAGTTATCTCATTCTCCTTGCAGGGGTATGTTCCATGGATCTATTTAACCAGAACCTTGTTGATGTAGTAATATTTTGCTGTGACAAACAATGCTGGAAAGAATATCCCTGTCTGAAATGGACTCAACCAAGGAGAAATACTGAGATCTCAGCATTTCATATTAATAACCAAATTCAGCAGGATACGTACCAAGGAGTGGAATCGTCAGCTCAAACTGCCCTTTATATGAGGTTTACCAATTGACACTCAAACCACATGCTTAGGAGCACATTGCAAGTGTTTACCAAATTATGCTTACATTTCCCTTTGAATAAGGTTAAGCATCTCTTCATGTTTTAGTCAATTTTTGCTCCTCTGGAGCTTTTTAAATCCTTTGCCTATTTTTCTACAGGCCTCTTCTTAATCGTCAAGTTCTAAAAGTATTATGTTGTTGTTGTTAAGACAGGGTCTTGCTGCATCATGCAGGCCGGAGTGCAGTAGTGCAAACATAGCTCAATTGCAGCCTCAAACTCTGGGGCTCAAGTGATTCTCCCACCTTAGCCTCCTTAGTAGCTGGGACTATAGGCATGCACCATCTTGTCCACCCTAAAAGTTCTTTAAGGAAATTAACTTAATGTTGTTGCAACATCTTCTCTCCCTTGTGTTTTTGCAGTGCAAACTTTGTATGGAGTTTCCTACCCACTCACATTTTTTTTTTTTTTTTTTTTGAGATGGAATTTCGCTCTTGTTGCCCAGGCTGGAGTGCAATGGCACGATCTTGGCTCACTGCAACCTCCGCTTCCTAGGTTCAAGTGATTCTCCTGCCTCAGCCTCCCGAGTAGCTGGGATTAAAGGCATGCGCCACCACACCAGGCTAATTTTTTGTATTTTTAGTAGAGACAGAGTTTCTCCATGTTGGTTAGGCTGGTCTTGAACTCCCGACCTCAGGTGATCCGCCCGCCTCGGCCTCCCGAAGTCCCCTCACATATTTTAAACCCCATATTTCTTCTAGTGCTCTTATGGTTATATTTTCTTATATTTACACCTTTCAGCTGCCTGGAACTAACTTTGTTGTAATTTAGTAGGGATCCAATTTCCTGCCTCCCCCACAACCACAAATAGCTACTCCGGAAATAAACTCTCAAAATGTTCTCAGAAACTCATTTTGCTGGAGAAAAAAGGTATAGTTGGCTTGGCCCTCTGTATCTGCTGGCTCCTCATCCACAGATTCAACTGTGGATTGAAAATATTTGAGGAAAAAAGGCCGGGCGCGGTGGCTCACGCCTGTAATCCCAGCACTTTGGGAGGCCGAGGCGGGCAGATCACAAGGTCAAGAGATCGAGACCATCCTGGCCAACATGGTGAAACCTCGTCTCTACTAAAAATACAACCGGGCTGTAATCCCAGCTACTCGGGAGGCTGAGGCAGGAGAATTGCTTGAACCCAGGAGGTGGAGGTTGTAGTGAGCCGAGATTGTGCCGCTGCACTCCAGCCTGGCGATGGAGCAAGACTATCTCAAAAAAAAAAAAAAAAAAAAAAAAGACAGAAAAAGAAAAAGAAAATATTTGGGGAAAAATTTAAAATACTACAAATAAAACAGTATAATAACTATTTACACAGCACTGACATTACATTAAGTTACATAAGTAATCTAGAGATGATTAAAGTATATGAAAGAAGGGCTGGGTGTTGTGGCTCACGCCTGTAATCCCAGCACTTTGGGAGGCCAAGACGGGCGGATCACCTGAGGTCAGGAGTTTGAGAGTAGCCTGGCTAACGTGGTGAAACCCTGTAGCTACTAAAAATACAAAAATTAGCTGGGTGTGGTGGCGGATGCCTGAAATCCCAGCTACCTGGGGGGCTGAGGCAGAATCACTTGAAACTGGGAAGCAGAGGTTGCAGTGAGCTGAGATTGCGCCATTGCACTCCAGCCTGGGTAACAGAGGAAGACTCTATCTCGAAGAAAAAAAAAAAAAAGAAAAAAATTATATGGGAGAATGTACATAGGTTATATGCAAATAGTATGCCATTTAATGTGTCCTGGCTGTGTATGGTGGCTCATGCTTGCAATCCCAGCAATTTGGGAGGCTAAGGCGGGCGGTTCACTTGAAGTCAAGAGTTTGAGACCAGACTGACCAACATGGCAAAACCCCATCTCTATAAAAAATACAAAAATTAGCCAGGCATGTAATCCCAGCTACTCAGGAGGCTGAGACATGAAAATTGCTTCAACCCGGGAGGTGGAGGTTGCAGTGAGCCAAGATTGTGCTGCTGCGTTCCAGGCTGGGTGACAGAGATTCTGTCTCTAATAATAATAATAATAATAATAATAATAATAATAATAATAATAAAATAATAAGCTAGGTGACAGAGATTGTCTTTAATAATAATAATAATGATAATGATGATGTAAGTGTCCTGAACAGCTGCAGATTTTGGTATAGGGGAGTGTCCTGGAACCAATCCCTCACAGATACTGAGAAATGACTGTACGTTTATCTTCTAAGGTATCAACTCTGGAATCTGATAAGGGAGAATAAAAACAAGTCTTGACTGAGTGTAGATGGCTTAAATAGCAGTCAGGAATTCAAACTCCCACACCAGCCCCCAAATTACTGCTTTATGGCAGGGGAGATGGGACTTGACTAAAATGTAGGAATTTGGCAGGGGAAGGATCATCAGCAGAGTCAAGGACATGGGAAAACCACACTCATGGAATCAAATGTTTAGTGAATAGGGTTCACGCAGGGCAGCAAAAGTGGCCTGGGCAGCCTTTCATCACTGTTAAAATTTTTGTTTGGGCTGGGTGCGGTGGCTCACGCCTGTAATCCCAGCACTTTAGGAGGCTGAGGCGGGCCAGGAGTTTGAGACCAGCCTGACCAACATGGAGAAACTCTGTCTCTACTAAAAATACAAAAATAAAAAATTAGCCGGGCGTGGTGATGCATGCCTATAATCCCAGCTACTCGGGAGGCTGAGGCAGGAGAATCATTTGAACCGAGGAGGCAACAAGAGTGAAACTCTGTTTCAAAAAAAAAAAAAAATTTTTTTTAAATAATTTTTTGTAGACAGGATTTTGCTAGGTTGCCCAGGATGGTCTTGAACTTCTGGGCTCAAGTGATCCTTCTGCCTTGGCTTTCCAAAGTGCTGGGATTACAGGCATGAGCTGCCACATATGGCCTATGCTAAATTTGTAAATCACTAAGTTCTAGACAGCAAAGTGGGGCTTTGAAAGCCAAACAGTCCAAAGTGATCTAACATGCCAGAAGGATTTACGCATGTTTAGAAATGGCAAATAAAAACAACTAAAAAAAATAAACAAAAAGGAAAAAGAAAGCAGATATTACAGATGCTTTAAAAAAGAGGTACCAATAGGCCAGTCGCGGTGGCTCATGCCTGTAATCCCAGCACTTTGGGAGGCCGAGGTGGGTGGATCACGAGGTCAGGAGATTGAGACCGTCCTGGCTAACACGGTGAAACCCCATCTCTACTAAAAATACAAAAAATTAGTCGAGCGTGGTGGCAGGCGCCTGTAGCCCCAGCTACTTAGAAGGCTGAGGCAGGAGAATGGCGTGAACCTGGGACGCAGAGCTTGCAGTGAGCTGAGATTGTGCCACTGCACTCCAGCCTGGGTGACAGAGTGAGACTCCATCTCAAAAAAAAAAAAAAAGAGGTACCAATAGGGCCAGGCACAGTGGCTCATGCCTATAACCCCAGCACTTTGGGAGGCCGAGGCGGGCAGATCATGAGGTCAGGAGATGGAGACCATCCTGGCTAACACAAGGTGAAACCTTGTCTCTACTAAAATTATGAAAAATTAGCCAGGCATGGTGGTGTGCGCCTGTAGTCACAGCTACTCCGGAGGCTGAGGCAGAAGAATCACCTGAACCCAGGAGGCGGAGGTTGCAGTGAGCCAAGATCGCGTCACTGCACTCCAGCCTGGGCGACAGAGCGAGACTCTGTCTCAGAAAAAAAAAAGAGGTACCAATAATAGTAAGGAAGACTATGACACTACCCAAGTGCTTAACTATTAGAGCTGAAAACAAAACGAACCTAGACTGAGTAAGGAACAAAGGGGAGGAAAGAATCTACAAGATGTCCAGGCGCGGTGGCTCACGCCTGTAATCCCAGCACTTTGGGAGGCCGAGGCGGGTGGATCACAAGGTCAGGAGTTCGAGACCAGCCTGGCCAAGATGGTGAAACCCCGTCTCTACTACAAATAAAAAATTAGCCGGGTGTGGTGGCAGGTGCCTGTAGTCCCAGCTACCCGGGAGGCTGAGGCAGGAGAATTCCTTGAACCTGGGAGGCGGAGGTTGCAGTGAGCCAAGATCGTGCCACTGCACTCTAGGCTGGGTGACAGAGTGAGACTCCATCTCAAAAAAAAAAAAGAATCTACAAGATGACTAGCTTTCCTAGGACTTTCATCATTTCTCAGGTGTTATGGGCAATATTTCACTATCTTGTTTTACTAATTAAAGAATTAACTCATCGGCAAGGCGTGGTGGCTCACGCCTGTAATTCCAGCACTTTGGGAGGCCGAGGCAGGACGATCACGAGGTTAAGAGATGGAGACCATCCTGGCCAACCAACATGGTGAAACCTCGTCTCTATTAAAAATACAAAAAAATTAGCTGGGCATAGTGGCATACGCCTGTAGTCCCAGCTACTCAGGAGGCTGAGGCAGGAGAATTGCTTGAACCCGGGAGGCAGAGGTTGCAGTGAGCTGAGATCACACCACTGCACTCCAGCCCAGGCGACAGAGCGAGACTCCCGTCTCAAAAAAATAAATAAAAAAAAGAATTAACTTATCATCTCTGAGGAGTTTAAAGCTCCAAGAGAATTAAAACACTGCAAGCAGAGGCAGAGATTTCAGCAAAAGGCAGGTAGGCTTATTTCTGAGTCCCCTGCAGAAGCGTATAGGCAGAGCTTTGGTTGACCTAAGCAGGAAGCTAAAGCCATAGGCATCTCACAAGCCCCTTTCCATCCCACACCTCAGATCAGTCAGGATAGCCAGCTATAAATGCATGGCTTCCTTGGCCGGGCATGGTGGCTCACACCTGTAATCCAAGCACTTTGCAAGGATGAGATGGGTGGATCACCTGAGGTAGGGAGTTTGAGACCACCCTGACCAACACAGAGAAACCCCATCTCTAAAGCATGGCCTCTAGAACCACAGTGCCTACATATGAATTCCAGGTCTGCCACTTACCAGCTTTGTGACCCTTTAACAAGTTACCTATCTATGCATTAGATTTCTCCCTCACAAAATGGGGGATAACATTACCTGTCTTAGAGGGCTGTTGTGAGGATCCATTAGTTAACATTCAAATGACTAGAACACATCTGTTAGACAGTACTTACCATTATTCTACCAAGTATTCAACTTTATGTGACTAGGTCCCATGGTCAGGGAAGAGATAAACAAGGCTAAATGTATGAGTCATAAGGACAGATGGGAGGGTGAAAAGCCCAGTAGACAAGTGGAACACTGAAGAAATCAAAGGCTAGTACCACCTAGCCTCTAGCATCCTGGGACCACTACTCAGATTTTTTTTCTCTCCTTGATAAAAACAAATGGAATTTAAATATTTTGTTTCTGCTAGCAGAAAGGCAGAGAGGTCTGACTGTGACAGGATACTGGCATGAGAAAAGGTCAGCAAGCCAAAATGAAGACTGGAATTGTAAAAACATTGGAAGAGGGCAGAGAAAAATAACTCATGGTAAAGGGAGAATTCTGAAAACTACACCAAAAAAAAAAAAAAAGTTATATGTCCTTTAGGACACATGCCAGAGCCCTAGGATGTACTGGGTGTTCCTCTACATACAACCACATATGGGGAACACCCATGCTTTAGACAGGTTCCTCTTGTTCTTTGGGCAGTGAATGCAAAATGGTGCTTTGTAAGCTTTACAGTATTATCCTTTGAACTCCAAAAGGGTCTTTCCAACCAAAATTTACTGAGAAGTCTGAAGAATACTCCCTCAAGAAGGCAAAAGAGTCTAAATGCCCTCATTCCAGGTCTCCTTTCCCTCCCCAGTAAGGTTTTCTGCCTCCACCTATTTGCCAGGAGATAAGAGAGATGGCCCAAGGTTGAAAAACACATAACAACTTTCTCAAATGACTTAGATTTAATCATCGGAAGCAAACTAAATGGAAACCTTACAATAGAGAAGAATTACATGTCAGTGTCTTTTGGAAAACTGAGCTGGGACAGAAAGGGACTGGGGGCTGCCCCCCAACCTGATCCCTTCTGAACAAAGACGTCCACAGTGTTCCTGGCACTCTGGCTCAGGAAAAGGGGAGACTCTGCTGGTTCTGTGCATTGAAGTAGCCTTGCCTAGCACTCACTCCTGGCCAGCATCAGGAGCCCCGCCTTGCCGGCTCTGGTCATCGCCTTTCTTTTTGTGGCCTGAAACGATGTCATCAATTCGCAGTAGCAGAACTGCCGTCTAGGAGAAAAACCACAGATGCAAAGAGGTCAGCAGAGAAGGAAAGGACACTTTTCTTTCCTTTAGATCTATCACCTAGATGCTACTATGGAACTGCCATTTTGTCTGAAATCTACCTTTTCAGTCTTTTATTTTTTTTTGAGACGCAGTTTCCCTCTTATCACCCAGGCTAGAGTGCAGTAGCATGATGTCGGTTCACTGCAACCTCCGCCTCCCGGGTTCAAGCGATTCTACTACCTCAGCCTCCCAAGCAGCTGGGATTACAGGCCTGCACCACCATGCCTGGCTAATTTTGTATTTTTAGTAGAGATGGGGTTTCCTCATGTTGGTCAGGCTGGTCTTGAACTCCTGACCTCACGTGATCCACCTGCCTTAGCCTCCCAAAGTGCTGGGATTACAGGCGTGACCCACCATGCCCGGCCTTTTCAGTCCTGAATGTAAAATGCAGTTCTCAGCCAGGTGTGGTGGCTCACACCTGTAATCCTAGCACTTTGGTTGGTCAAGGCAGGTGGATCACAAGGTCAGGAGTTCGAGACCAGCCCGGCCAACATGGTAAAACCCCGTCTCTACTAAAAATAGAAAAAATTAGCCGGGTGTGGTGGCAGGCACCTGTAATCCCAGCTACTTGGGAGGCTGAGGCAGGAGAATCACTTGAACCTGGGAGGTGGAGGCTGCAGTGAGCGGAGACCATGCCACTGCACTCCAGCCTGGGCAACGGAGCGATAGTCTGTTTCAAAAAAAAAAAAAAAAAAAAAAAAAAATGCACTTCTCCCTAAGCAAGTGATACAGATTGTGCTATATTATCTTGCTTTTAGTACGAGCTAAAGATAATTAAAGAGATAGAATGCCTTGGAATACCTTAGAGGAATATTCTGCCTTCTTTACCCCTCCCTTCAAGACTAGACCAGGCTGGGCATGGTGGCTCATGCCTGTAACTCCAGCACTTTGGGAGGCCAAGGTGGGTAGATCATCTGAGGTCAGGAGTTCGAGACCAGCCTGAACAACATAGTGAAACCCTATCTCTACTAAAAAATACAAAAATTAGCTGGGAGTGGTGGTGCATGCCTGTAGCCCCAGCTACTTGGGAGGTTGAGGCACAAGAATTGCTTGAACCCGGGAGGCGGAGATTGCAGTGAGCCGAGATCACACCACTGCACTCCAGCCTGGGTGACTGAGACTGCGTCTCAAAAATAAATAAATAGATAAATAAATAAATTAATTAAAACAGCGTGTACATATCTTAGGGTGCCTTACCTCCACTGCTGTCTTATAAGTCTGCAGCTTCACAGCCAATGGCTCCCATATGCCCAGTTCCTTCATGTCCACCAAAGTACCCGTCTCACCATTTACACCCCAGGTCTCACAGTTCTCCTGGGTGTGCTTGGCCTGCAATTGAAGCAAGAAGTAAAGGGGAAAATAAGTTAACAGGAAACATCAGGTAAGAAATGAAGTAAAAAACAATGGACCAGTATGGAAGGGACAGGGAAAAATGGCAATGACAGCAAACAAGTCAAAGACTAAAAGGAGAGAAAGATTTCAAGGAATAGACTATAAAGAGAATTTGGATAGCCAGATAAGAATCTTCCCCTCAGGGCAAACACAGCTTTCCCTGCTCCATCAAGAGAAAAGCTTGGAGAGGAACTCACCCGAAGGGAGGTAAGTAGACGGATGGTGCTGGCCCCACAGTTCTGGATCAGGGTACGAGGAATGACCTCTAGGGCCTGGGCAACAGCCCTGTATGGCCATTGTTCCACACCAGTCATGGCCTTGGATTTTTCTGTCAAGGCATGGGCCACAGCCATCTCGGAGGCCCCACCCCCTGGCACCAGCTGAGGGTCCAGGAGAACATTGCGACACACTTGCATGGCATCCTGGAGGTTGCGTTCTACTTCCTTGGAGAAGCAAACAGACAGTATGAAGCCAAAGCTTGATGACTCATAAAATCGGAGGCACCAAAAGGACTTCCTAACTGCCAAAGTTAGTAAACCACCAAGGAGGGCAACTAGAAAAGGTCCTTGGAACCCCTACTGGGCAGGGCAGATTATTTACCTGAGAATATATAACACACGACTATAATATAGGATGGCGGGGAGTGGTATCTGCAAAGGGTTTGGGGGTGTCACCCAACCATAAAGTTAGGTCTTTGTCCATTATGCTAGATTAAGAGCAATAACCTATTTCATCCCTTGCCAGTTATATGGAAATAAACAGCATGTATCTTGATAGATAAGAGCCATAACCTATTCCACCCCTTCCTAGTTGTATCTTTTAGGAGGTTGCATGGTGTTGTACACTCTCCTACTTACTAGCTATGTGCCTTTGGGAAAGTTACTTAGCCTCAATGAGGAAAAAAAAGTAATATTTATAACTTCAACGTAAAAAATAAGAAAACAGTTGTTGCTAGGGAGTAGGAGATGAGATATCTTGTTTGATGGGTACAGAGTCTCAGTTCTGCAAGATGAAAAAGTTCTGAAGATCTCTTGCACAATAACATGAATATACTTAACATTACTGAACTGTACAATTAAAATGATTAAGATGGTAAATTTTATGCTTACTACAATTTTTAAAATTTTAAATTATTTAATTAAAAAAAGGAAGCAGAAAAGGAATTTGTGGCTATAGGTCCAAATTAAATAGCTATAAATGGACCACAGAATTATTTTAGGCCCTTTGGGAAACTCTCAAGAAGTTCAGTGATCTACTTCATCTGGTCATACATCCAAGGCTGACTCACCGAGAGAATCTCTTTGCTAGCCCCCCGGAGGAGAATGGTGCAGGCCTTGGGGTCTTTGCAGTCAGTGATGAAAGTAAAGTATTCATCTCCAATTTTCTTGATTTCCAACAGGCCTGCTCCTGTTCCAACATCATCTTCTCTCAGTTCCTCTGGTCGGCTGACTATCCGGGCCCCACAGGCTCTAATGGACGGAAGAGGTGGGGAGAATCAGATGATTTCAGATACTTGTACCCATTTCCCTAGTCTCTAGGGTCTGTAGCTAGGGATAAGGGCAAAAGTGGATTGTTGGAAACATCACTTAAGAGGTCTTGCCTGTCCGGTGAAAAAGATTTTCAGGGGGCCAGGCACAGTGGCTCACACTTGTAATCCCAGTACTTTGGGAGGCCAGGCAAAAGGATTGCTTGAGCCCAGAAGTTTGAGACCAGCCCGGGCAACATAACAAGACTCTGTCTCTACAAAAAATAAAAAACTAGCTGGGCACAGTGATGCATACCTGTAGCTCCAGCTACTCAGGAGGGTGAGGTGAGGGATCCCTTGAAACCATGATATCAAGGATGCAGTGAGCTGTGACCATGCCACTGCACTCCAGCCTAGATAACAGAGTGGGACCCTATCTAAAAAAAAACAAACACAAAAACCCCAAAAAACAACAACAAAAAAAACTGAAGCCATCATTGCAGTTACAGCAGCACTGCAGCTATGCCAGCAGCTGTGAAAACCCTGTGCTTTTTGAGAAATATACCTATTAATCTCATATTGAAAATGCAGGTTTTATATAGGTAAGAACAGCATACCTATATACACTAATATGATTTGAAAAAATGTGAAATCATTATGATACCTCATCAGAAAAGGAAGGTGAAAGATCTAAAGCTGGAGAATTTAATGCCAGCAAAGGATGGTTTGATAATTTTAGAAAGAGGTTTGTTTGGCTTTTAAAATGTCAAGATAGCAGGAAACAGCTTCTGCTGACCAAGAAACAGCAGACATGTTCCCAGATACCATTAAGAAAATGATTGAGGGCTGGGCTTGGTGGCTTACGCCTGTAATCCTAACACTTTGGAAGGCCGAGGTGGGTGGATGACTTGAGGTCAGGAGTTCGAGACCAGCCTGGTGAAACCCCGCCTCTACTAAAAATACAAGAAAAAATTAGCCAGGTGTCATGGCACACGCCTGTACTCCCAGCTACTTGGGAGCCTGAGGCAGGAGAATCACTTGAACCCAGGAAGCAGAGGTTGCAGCGAGCTGAGATTTCACCACTGCACTCCAGCCTGGGTGACAGAGTAAGATTCTGTCTCAAAAAAAAAAAGAAAAAAAAAAAAAGAGAGAGAGAGAGAGAGAGAAATCATTGAGGAGAAATGGTATCTGCCTAAATACAATTTTAATGTATATGAAAGCGACCTAATCAGGAAGATTATGCCACAAATGACATTTATTAGTAAGAAAGAGAAGGGAGCACCAGGATTTTGTGCAAAGGAGTTAGCCTGTCCCTTGGGCAGTCAAGTTTATGTCTTGTAGTGTACAACCAGGCCTGGACAACAAGAATACTTTTTCTGGATTACTTCCATCGATGCTTTGTCCTTGAAGTCAGGAAGTACTTTTCCAGAAAGGGACTGCCTTTTAAAGTGCTTCTGATATTGGACAATGCCCCTGGCTACCCAGAGCCCCATGAGTTCAACACTGAAGACATTCAAATACTCTAGACCACACAGTCAGAGAAGGACCTGTAAGGCTTATTACACATGGTACTTCATGTAAAGAACCGTCGGCTGGGCACGGTGGCTCATGCCTGTAATCCCAGCACTTTGGGAGGCCAAGGCGGGCGGATCACGAGGTCAAGAGATTGAGACCATCCTGGCCAACATGGTGAAAACCCGTCTTTCCTAAAAATACAAAAATTAGCTGGGCATGGTGGTGCGCACCTGTAGTCCCAGCTACTCGGGAGGCTGAGGCAGGAGAATCGCTTGAACCAGGAGGCGGAGGGTGCAGTGAGCCAAGATCACACCACTGCACTCCAGCCTGGCAACAGAGCGAGACTCTGTCTCCAAAAAAAAAAAAAAAAAAGTCAACATTATGAAAGAGAACCCCAACAAAGAGAACATGATGAAAATATGAAAGGATTACATTACTGAAGATGCCACAGTTGTTATAGATAAAGCTTATGAAAGCCATCAAGCCCAAAACAATAGATTTCTGCAGGAGCAAACTGTGTCCAGATGTTGTACATGACTTCGTAGGATTTATGACAGAGCCAATCAAGGAAATCATGAAAGAGACTGTGGATGTGGCTAAAAAAACTGGCATAGCGGTGGTGAAGGGTTTCAAGATATGAATCTTGGAGAAACTCAAGAGCTAACAGACATTACATCAGAGGAATTAACACAAGATGACAGGCCAGGTGCAGTGGCTCACGCCTGTAATCCCAGCACTTTGGGAGGCTGAGGTGGGTGGATCACCTGAGGTCGGGAGTTCAAGACCAGCCTGACCAACATGGAGAAACCCCGTCTCTACTAAAAATACAAAATTAGCTGGGCTTGGTGGCTCACGCCTGTAATCCCAGCTACTCGGGAGGCTGAGACAGGAGAATCGTTTGAACCCAGGAGGCGGAGGTTGTGGTGAGCCAAGATTGTGCCACTGCACTCCAGCGTGGGCGACAAGAGCGAAACTCCATCTCAAAAAAATAAAAAATAAAAACAAAAAAAACCAAACAGAAGATGACTTGATGGAGACGACTGCTTCCAAAGCAGTGCCAGACGATGAGGAAGATGATGTAGAAGCAGCAGTGCCAGAAAACAAACTGACATTAGACAATCTGGCAGAAGGCTTCTGATTATTCAAGACTGCTTTTGACTTCTTTTATGATATGGACCCTTCTATGATAGAGGCACTGAAACTGAAGCAGTGGAAGAGGGACTGGTACTATACAGAAATATTTTTAGAGAAACAAAAAAGCAGAAGTCAGACAAATCACGATGTATTTCCATTGAGTTACACTGAGTGTGCCTCCTGCCCATCCTGCCTCCCCTTCTACCACTCTTCTGCCTCTGACACCCAAGACAGAAAGACCAGCCCGTTCTTCCTCCACAGCCTATTCAACATGAAGATGATGATGACCTTTTTGATGATCTACTTCCACTTAAGGCATAGTAAATGTGTTATCTCTTCCTTATGATTTTCTTTTTTTGGAGACGGACTTTCACTCTTGTCGCCCAGGTTGGAGTGCAATGGCACCATCTCAGCTTACTGCAACCTCCGCCTCCTTGGTTCAAGCAATTCTCCTGCCTCAGCCTCCCGAGTAGCTGGGATTACAGGCATGCACCACCACACCTAGCTAATTTTTGTATTATTATTAGAGATGGGGTTTCACCATGTTGGCCAGGCTGGTCTTGAACTCCTCACCTCAGGTGATCCACCTGCCTTGGCCTCCCAAAGTGCTGGGATTACAGGCATGAGCCACCGTGCCCTGCCCTTATGATTTTCTTAATAACATTTTCTCTAGCTTACTTTATTTAAGGGAATACAGTATATAACACATATGATATACAAAATATGTGATAGTTAATTGTGTTATTGGTAAGGGTTCGGGTCAACGGTCAGCTATTAGGAGTGGGGGAGTCAAAAAATTATACATGGATTTTCAACTCCTTGGGGACTGATTCCCCTAACCCCCAAGTTGTTCAAGGGTCAACTGTACACTTAAGGCAACTAGTCATCACTACTATAACCAGATATAGTTGAATTCAAAATATACTTTGTGGTTACTAAAATCTGGACAAATTAGTTCTCATGCATATCTAACATGTACATATTTCAACTAGAGAATTAGAACCTGCAAAAAAGAAAGATAAAAGAAAAAAATTAACATGTCTATACTATATAATGGTAACTTCTAGATATAACCCATCCTGTACTGCCCAGTTGAGTCTCCAGGCGAATAATAAAGACTGTACCAAAGATGCAAAGGTCAAGCAAGGAGGAAGGCGAATAAACATGTAAGTAGAGTTGGCCCTCTATATCCGCAGGTCCCGCATCCAGATTCCACCAACCATGCACTGATAACATGGCAGGGGGGGTGGGGTGGGGGGATGGACAATAATACAACGGCAAAAAATAATATAAATTTTAAAGACAATATAGTATAGCAACTATTTATATAGCATTTATGCTATATTAGGCATTATAAGCAATCTAAAGGTGATTTAAAGTGTATAGAAGGATGTGTATAGGTTATACACAAATACCATACCATTTTATATAAGGGTTAAGCATCCACAAACTTTAGTATTCAAGGGGGCGGGGATCCTAGAACCAATGCCCTGTGGATATCAAGGGATGACTGCATACGTCTGACCGAAGTTTAATGAATGTAGGACTAATTGCTTGTCACTCCCTCCAACTCATGGCCATGTGAAGTCAACTATGTGTATGCATGTTAATACCCTTTGGGGTATAAAAGTATAAAATATGATTTGGATCTGTGATATATTATGTTGGGGTAGATTTGTCAGCTTTTTGATAAATTAAAAATGAATGAACTTTGCTGGGCATGGTGGCGCATGCCAATAGTTTCAGGTACTGGAAAGGCTGACAACAGGATGACTGCTTGAGCCCAGGAGTTTGAGACAGGCCTAGGTAACACAGCAAGACCTTGTCTATTAAAAAGAATGGTCTATGAGCACAGACATCAGTGCAGAAGTAGTGAATGCAATCTAGAATCGCATAAATCGCAGCTAAGGATGTAGCTGAGGAAACTGATGGTTCTGCTATAATCCAGGCCACTTAGGATACTCTGGAAATGTTCATTCAAAAATCATCATAATGACATTAAAGAAAACCTCTTAGATAGGCAGTTATTTAGAAATGTAACGGACACCCACCAAGGTAGCAATTACAAATGTCTAAGCACAAGCTGCTCACTAATGGTTAGGGGCAGTACAGATGAGACTCACGCAGTAAATAACTGTTGGACTAGAGGACTTCTGAAGAGGGCAGGCAGCTAAGCCAAGGTTATTTCTACCTGTTACTATATCCTTTATTAAACCTTTTCAGGTAATGATGACTGTTACGCAACTACAAAAAGGAAACACACGGGAAGAAAAGTCTTGTTTTTACCTGGCCTACTCACCTAGCAATGCGATTATTGTCTGTCTTCCGGACTCTGCGGATGGCTGTGATATTGGCCCGCATAAGGTAGTGCTGAGCTAAATCTACAAATCCAAGAGTAGAGATGTCAAGCTGGGTTCTGAACTGGTTTTATAATCAAAGTACTCTTAACCATGACACTATTACGCCCCTGCCAAACATGAGGGGAGAAAACAAATCACCCACCCTCGTCTACCTCAAAGGTAGGCTGGAAAAAGTAACAAAGTCCCACCTGAGATGCCCTTTTCAGTGATGACCACATCGGGCTTCAGTTGGATAATGTCCTCACAGAGCTGCTGGATGTACTCTTCCTCCATCTGGAGAATTCGGGTGAAGTCCTCCTCTCGTGTAATCTCAATGTCAGTCTGTGTGGTAAAGAAAAGACACTGATTTTAAAATCCCTGGACTGGTGAAGCTCTAAGGGTCATATTATACTCCTTCCACCCACCTCTCCCACGTATCTCAGAGTCAGAATTATGTTAAAGCCATGACCTCAACACCTCTGTAAGCCAATTTAGCTTTAGTTTTGCTTTTTTTTTTTTTTGAGACGGAATCTTGCTCTGTCACCCAGGCTGGAGTGTAATGGCGCGATCTTGGCTCACTGCAAGCTCTGCCTCCTGGGTTCAAGCGATTCTCCTGCCTCAGCCTCCCGAGTAGCTGGGACTACAGGTGCCTGCCACCACCCCCAGCTAACTTTTTTTTTGTATTTTTAGTAGAGACGGGGTTTCACCACGTTAGCCAGGATGGTCTCGATCTTCTGACTTCGTGATCCGCCCGCCTCTGCCTCCCAAAGTGCTGGGATTACAGGCGTGAGCCACCACGCCCGGCCAGCTCCAGTTATATCATTATAAAACAACCAGAACTGAAAGTCACACAGTAATTAGTGTTGAGTTTGGCCTTTCTAAGGTCTCTGACCACCCAGTCCAATCCTACATCTGTCCTGGCAGTGTGCAGGAAAATCCTGGGTCTTAATTCTTCCCACTAATTGATTCTTATTCTTTCCAAATGTGATGGAGCCTTGTGAGCCTCCTGCCCTCTAGAATTTTTTTTTTTTTTTTTTTGAGACAGGGTCTCACTGTTGCTCAGGCTGGAGTTCAGTGGCGTGATCACAGCTCCTTGCACCCTTGACCTTCTGGGTTCAAGCAATCCTCTCACCTCAGCCTCCCAAGTAGTGGGGACTACAGGCACATGCCACCACGCCCAATTAATTTTTTTTAAATAAAGACAGTATTCGACATGTTGCCTAGGCTGGTCTTGAACTCCTGGGCTCGAGCCATCCACCTGCCTTAGCCTCCCAAAGTGCTAGAATTATAGGTGTGAGCCACTGCATTAAGCTGAAATTCTCCTTTAGTACTTCAAAGCTGAATTAACTCCTACCTTATGTTCCCCTGGTGCATTAGGAAAGGCAGCATGATCGTATAAAACAAGCCAAACACAACCAGGTTCAAATCTTGATTTTGGCCAATACTAGCTGTATTCCTCAAGCAATTAACCTAACTTGTTTGAGCTTCAGATCCCTCATCTGTAAAATGAAATCAATACCAACTATTCTAAAGGATTGTTCTAAGAGTCAGTGTACACTATGCACCCAGAAGGCATGCAATAAACATACGTTTTATTTCTGTTGTTCATATTTGCAGTCAGATTCTTGCATCTACTTTAAGGAACAAGGCCAAGAACCTTACCTGGCTTTCTCCTTTCTTGTATTCCAGAGAAGAATCCAGCAGCACAATGCGAGGGTTCTTGATATAGCGCCGCATACGTGGATGGGTCACATCCTTGTTAATCATGACTCCACGCAAGACACAGGAGTCTTCAATGATGCCTCCAGGTATCTGAACAAAAGACAACTGCACTTTAATCCACAATCAAGAGACAATTTCTTAATTTCCTTCCCAGATGTTCATCTTTCCCAAACAGCTAGTGTTTCAGGTTTTTTTTTTTTTTTGAGATGGAGTCTCGCTCTGTCGCTCAGGCTGGAGTGCAGTGGTGCAATCTCGGCTCACTGCAAGCTCCGCCTCCCGGGTTCACGCCATTCTCCTGCCTCAGACTCCCAAGTAGCTGGGACTACAGGCGCCCGCCACCACACCCGGCTAATTTTTTTTTTTGTATTTTACTAGAGATGGGGTTTCACCATGTTAGCCAGGATGGTCTCGATCTCCTGACCTCGTGATCCGCCCGCCTCGGCCTCCCAAAGTGCTGGGATTACAGGCATGAGCCACCACGCCCGGCCCAGTGTTTCAGGTTTCTAAAGTACCTTTCTTTGATGAAGCTCAAAAATATTATTGGAATCACATTTTTTTCCCATTAGGAAATACACCAATTTTAGACCATGACACTCAACTTGAAGGTCTGCTGAGACTCACTGAAATTCAATGACTTGACAAAAGACTTAGAGGGGCTTATGAGCCAGGCACAGTGGTTCACACCTAAAATCCCAGCTACTCAAGAGGCTCAGGCAGGAGGATCCCTTGAGGCCGGGAGTTCGAGACCAGCCTGGGCAACACATTGAGACCCAATTGCTATTTAAATAAATAAATAAGGGCTTAGGTCTCTCCAATTAAAAAAATAAATATATTGCCAGAGAATTTTAGGCTTGGGGCTCCATCTACTGGCCACAAGCTATACTACTAAACTTTTGGATCTTAATGAAATTTAGTGGACAGGAGAGAAAGCTTTCTGGGGCTTACTATTTTAATAGCACTACATAATAGAGCCCTTGTTAAGCTTATATCCTGACCAAATGACTGATGTATGCAAATACACAAACATGGAGACACCAATAAGCCTGTCCCTTGTCCTCATAAACCTTGTGTAGGGATAGCAGTGAAGGTAACAACAAAACTATTTGAAGAAATTCCTACTTGGTAGCCTCTTATAGGTTTTTGTTTCCAGGCAGCAAGTATAGTTCTTCCTAGTTCTAACTAAAGATACCTTGCTTTGGTCAGGCGCAGTGGCTCACCCTATAATCCCAGCACTTTGTGAGGCAAAGGTGGGCAGATCACTGAGGTCAGGAGTTCGAGACCATCCTGGCTAACATGGTGAAACCCCGTCTCTACTTAAAATACAAAAAGAAATTAGCTGGGCGTGGTGGCAGGCATCTGTAATCCCAACTATTTTAAAGGCTGAGGCAGGAGATCACTCGAACCCGGGAGGTGGAGGCTACAGTGAGCCGAGATCGCACCACTGCACTCTAGCCTCTGCGCGACAGAGCAAGACTCCATCTCAAAAAAACAAACAAACAAAAAACATACCTTGCTCTGATTTAAAACTATTTCATTCAAGTAGGGTATGATGGCTTATGCCTATAATCCCAGCACTTTGAGAGCCTGAGGTGGGAAGATCACTTGAGGCCAGGAGTTCAAGACCAGCCTGGGCAACATGAGACCCTCATCTCTACAAAAAGAAAAAAAATTTGCTGGGCACAGTGGCATGTGCCTGTAGTCCTAGCAAATCAGAGGATTTGCTTGAGGCCAGGAGTTTGAGGCTGCAGTGGGCTGTGACTGTGCCACTATACTCCAGCCTAGGCAACAAGGTGAGACTCTGTCTCAAAAACAAAACAAAACAACGGCATGAAAAACAGACTATTTCCTCACAAGTGAGATGACTCATGCTAACATATAATTTGACCCAATGTATACACTTTGAAAGTTTACCTTTTCCACTCTTGCATATTTTTTTATGTCAATCTCTTTCCGACCATTCTCCTCAAACTGTACCATCTTGACAGCATCCAGGGCAATGTTGCAAGCCAAAGATGACCACCGACTGATGGCTTTGGTAGTAATAGAGCTGTTGATGATGTTCAGCATCATATCACTGTCACTGATGTCGACTGGGATACTAGAGAAAAGAAAACCAGACGATATGTGAAGAAGGCATGTTAGATATGTAGAGATGTGCCTTATCTATACCTCAGTGACTATAATAATGGACCAAGAGGCAGAACAAGGGGATTTGTTCCTTTGGAGGAAACTAAAAGGACATTAGGAGGTAACCTTTGTCCATTCCTCTGCCTTTCAGCAAGATTACAACTCATCTGTAGACGGTGCCTTAATTCCCTGAGCAACCCTTTACACTTACATACAAAGATTATAGTAAAATAATTTGTTCCTTATCTTCTGCTTCAACCAAGTAAACTTTTCAACTTTTACAACTCAGGTCAAGACACATTTTTTTTTATGAAACTTTATCCCATAACTAGCCAACTTTAAGAGTTTTATCAAATCATTCATTTGAACAGCAAATTTTATTTTTAGCTCATGGTGTGTCACAGTGGTCAAAGATGACCACCAACTGGTCATCTTTGTGTTTTTATGTTACTGTAAACACATTTTATGTATTTACCATTTTTATATTACTTTCACTCCTCACAAGATATTTTCACATAATGCTAAAATCTCTTTTTTGGCTGTGCACGGTGGCTCACGCCTGTAATCCCAGCACTTTGGGAGGCCAAGGCGGGCAGATCACTTGAGGTCAGGAGTTCGAGACCAGCCTGGCCAATATGGTGAAACCCCATCTCTATTAAAAATACAAAAATTAGCCAGGAGTGGTGGCATGTGCCTGTAGTCCCAGTTACTCCAGAGGCAGAGGTTGCAGTGACCTGAGATCATGTCACTGCACGACAGCCTGGGTGACAGAGTGAGATTCCGTCTCAAAAAAACCCCAAAATAAACAAAATCCCTCTTTTAACAGTGAAAGGCACATAATATACCAATTATTAAATGGTTGAATTATGGACTTTTGGGAAGAAGCAATGACTCCAAAAATGGTATCTAAGATAAAGGGGGCTGGGTGCCATGCTTCACGCCTGTAAACCCAACACTTTGGAAGACTGAGGATAGCTGGAAGCCCAGAGTTAAAAACCAACCTGGGCAACATAGCAAAACCTCATCTCTATGAAAAATTTAGCAGGGCGTGGTGGACATACCTATAGTCCTAGCTACTTGGGAAGCTGGGGCAGGATTGCTTGAGCCCAGGAGCTGGAAGCTGCAGTAAGCTGTGACTGCACCACCGCACTCCAGCTTAGGCAACAGAGTGAGACCATATCTCTAAAAAATAATTTTTTTGGGAGGCCGAGGTGGTAGGATCACCTGAGGTCAGGAGTTTGAGACCAGCTTCACCAATATGGTGAAACCCCATCTCTACTAAAAATACCAAAATTAGCTAGGTGTGGTGGTATGCGCCTGTAGTCCCAGCTACTTGGGAGGCTGAGACAGAATTGCTTGAACCGAAGAGGCGGAGGTTGCAGTGAGCCGAGATCATGCCACTGCACACTCCAGCCTGGAAAACAGAGCGAGACCCCCCGCCACCCCAAAAAAATTTTTTTAATAAGATTAAAGTGTTCTAGGTAGGCAGTTATTACTTGATTAAAAAAAAAAAATATTTCAGGCCAGGCACGGTGGCTCACGCCTGTAATCCCAGCACCTTGGGAGGCCGAGGCAGGCGGATCACCTGAGGTCGGGAGTTTGAGACCAGCCTGACCAATGTGGAGAAAAACTCCGTCTCTACTAAAAATACAAAATTAGCCAGGCGTAGTGGCACATGCCTATAATCCCAGCTACTCGGGAGGCTGAGGCAGGAAAACTGCTTGAAGCCAGGGAGCAGAGGTTGTAGTGAGCTGAGATCCAGCTATTGCATTCCAGCCTGAGCAACAAGAGTGAAACTCCGTCTCAAAAAAAAGGCTTTCTAAGCGTGAAGCTCCACACAATAAAACCTTTGGGTACCTCTACATTCTCACAGAGCTTACTGCATAAAAATAATTAGATCAAACACCTCATTCTTAAGTGTGCCAGACAAAGATATTAATGTACAACTTGTTTAAGAGCAGGCAGTATATGGCCAGGCGCGGTGGCTCACGCCTGTAATCCCAGCACTTCGGGAGGTCAAGGTGGGTGGATCACCTGAGGTTGAAAGTTTGAGACCAGCCTGACCAACATGGAGAAACCCTGTCTCTACTAAAAATACAAAATTAGCCGGATGTGGATGCACATGCCTGTAATCCCAGCTACTCGAGAGTCTGAGGCAGGATAATCACTTGAACCTGGGAGGTGGAGGTTGCAGTGAGCCGAGATCGCGCCATTCATTGCACTCCAGACTGGGCAACAAGTACAAAAACTCCGTCTCAAGAAAAAAAAAAAAGAGCAGGCAGTATAATATAAACCTCACCAAATTACTAAACACTTATGCATCTAGTGACTCAACCATATGAGTAGAATATTTAAATAAAGAAAAAAAAAACTATTTCCAGTTGGGCGTGGAAAAAATATACATTTTTATTTTTATTTATTTATTTTTGAGATGGAGTCTCGCTCTGTCGCCCAGCCTGGAGTGCAGTGGTGCAATCTCTGCTCACTGCAAGCTCTGCCTCCCGGGTTCATGCCATTCTCCTGCCTCAGCCTCCCAAGTAGCTGGGACTATAGGCACCTGCCACCACGCCCGGCTTATTTTTTTGTATTTTTAGTAGAGATGGGGTTTCACCATGTTAGCCAGGATGGTCTCAATCTCCTGACCTCGTGATCCGCCCGCCTCCGCCTCCCAAAGTGCTGGGATTACAGACGTGAGCCACCGCACCCAGCCCTATTTTTATTTTTTTTGAGATGGAGTTTTGTTGTTCGCCCAGGCTGGAGTGCAATGGTGCGATCCTGGCTCACCACAAACTCCGCCTCCCGGGTTCAAGTGATTCTCCTGCTTCAGCCCCCCGAGTAGCTGGGATTACAGGCGCATGCAACCACACCTGGCTAATTTTTGCATTTTTAGTAGAAATGAGGTTTCACCATCTTGGCCAGGCTGGTCTTGAACTCCTGACCTCAGGTGATCCACCCGCCTTGGCCTCCCAAAGTGCTAGGATTACAGGTGTGAGCCACCATGCCCAGCCCAAGTCTTACTTTTTATTTTTTTGAGACAGAGTCTCACTCTGTCACCCAGGCTGGAGTGCAGTGGCACAATCTCGGCTCACTGAAACCTTCGCCTCCCGGGTCCAAGCGATTCTCCTGCCTCAGCCTCCTGAATAGCTGGGATTACAGGCGCCTGCCACCATGCCCAGCTAATTTTCTGTACTTTTAGTAGAGACGAGGTTTCACCATGTTGGCCAGGCTGGTCTCTAACTCCTGACCTCGTGATCCACCCACCTGGGCCAAAGTGATGGGATTACAGGCGTGAGCCACCGAGCCCTGCCAGGTTTTACTTTTTAAACAAAAATTTTTATTCAAGACACTGCTCTACATGACTCTACGTGATGTTAAACCTTAACTAAAATTCCCTGAAGCTAGAGGTAATATATGCTTTTCTTTTTTTTCTTCTGAGATGGGAGTTTCGCTCTTGTTGCTCAGGTTGGAGTGCAGTGGAGAGATCTTGGCTCACTGCAATCTCCGCCCCCTGGTTTCAAGCAATTTTTCTGCCTCATCCTCCTGAGTAGCTGGCATTACAGGTGTGCGCCACCATACCCAGCTGATTTTTTTTGAGACGGAGTCTTGCTCTGTCACCAGGCTGGAGCACAGTGGGGCCATCTCAGCTCACTGCAACCTCTGACTCCCTGGTTCAGGCAATTCTCCTGCCTCAGCCTCCCAAGTAGCTGGGACGACACGCATGCGCCACCATGCCCAACTAATTTTTTGTATTTTTAGTACAGACGAGGTTTCACCATGTTGGCCAGGATGGTTTCCATCTCCTGACCTCAAGATCCACCCGCCTAGGCCTCCCAAAGTGCTGGGATGACAGCCATGAGCCACCACGTCTAGCCAGGCCTCTCATATTTGATACTACCTATTTCTTGCCCCCAAGATACCTTATTTTCTTTAGGGTGCTGATCATATCATCCAATGCCTTGCGGTAAGCACTGATCACCACTGTTGGGTGCATCTGCTGCTCCAGGAAGTGCTCAGCTACAGACAGCATTTCCCCTGCTGAAAAAGATACAAGCACCATAGTAATATTTAAAGCATCTGGATATCAAGGCAAGTAACTTAATTATTCTTCCAAAAAATACTCTCCTAAATCAGACTCTCCCAAAAGGTATGACATTTGGCCATTCATACTATTCCAAATTCTACACATTGTATAAGACGGCAATTTATACAGAAAACATCCTTGTTGCCCAGGCTAGGCATGGTGGCTCATACCTGTAATCCCAGAAATTCAAGATCAGCCTGGGCAACACAGTGAGACCCTGTCTTTACAAAAAAATTTAAAATTTAGCTTAGTGTGGTGGTATGAGCCTGCAGTCCCAGCTACTCAGGAGGCTGAGGTTAAGAGGATCACTTGAGCCCAGGAGGTTGAGGGTGCAATGAGCCATGACCGCACCATTGCACTCCAATCTGGGTGACAGAGTGAGACCCTATCTCAAAAAATAAAATGATGAAAGACTGATTCTAGGGCTTACTTATTCTTTTGATTTTTTTTTTTTTTTTTTGAGAAGCAGTCTCGCTGTGTCGCCCAGGCTGGAGTGCGGTGGCGCAATCTCTGCTCACTGCAACCTCCGCCTCCCAGATTCAAGCGATTTTCCCACCTCGGCCTCCCAAGTAGCTGGGATTACATGCATGCATCACCACACCCAGCTAACTTTTGTACTTTATTAGTAGAGACGGGTTTTACTATGTTGGTTGGCCAGGCTGGTCTCGAACTCGTGACCTCAGGTGATCTGTCCACCTCGGCCACCCAAAGTGCTGGGATTACAGGCGTAAGCTACCACGCCTGGCCTTCTCTTGATCTTTCTAAAAAAAAATTTCCCTGAAGGCTCTAAAATAAAGAAAAATGCACAAAAGAAAAACTGACTTGTTTATTAGTACCTTTATACCTTAGGATGTAGTCAAACTGCTTGAACTAAAAACAAAACACACAAAACCCTACCTCTGAAAGAATATTCAGGGCTGGATGCGGTAGCTCACACCTGTAATCCCAGCACTTTGGGAGGCTAGGGTGAGCAGATCACCTGAGCTCTGGAATTTTTAGACCAGCCTGAGAAACATAGCAAAACCCTGTCTCTACGAAAAAATTCAAAAATTAGCCAGGTATGGTGGCATGTGCCTGTAGCTACTTGGGAACCTGGGCTGGGAGGACTCATTGAGCCCAGAAGGTCAAGGCTGCAGTGAGCCGTGATCACACTATTGCACTCCAGCCTGGGCAATAGAGCAAGATTCTGTTTCAAAAAAATAAAAAATTAAAATTAGAAAATGTGCACAATTAAGGCTGGGTGTGGTGGCTCACATCTGTAATCCTAGCACTTTGGGAGGCCAAGGCAGATGGATTACCTGAGGTCAGGAGTTCATGACCAGCCTGGCCAACATGGTGAAACCATCTCTACTAAAAATACAAAAATTAGCCAGGCATGATGGCACATGCCTGTATTCCTAGCTACTCGGGAGGCTGAGGCAGGAGAATCGCTTGAACCAGGGAGGCGGAGGTTGTGGTGAGCCAAGATCGTGCCATTGCACTCCAGCCTAAGCCACAGAGTGAGACTCCATCTCAAAAAAAAAAAAAAAAAGAAAAAGAAAAAAAAAAGAAAATGTACACAATTTACCCTCTGGATAAGGGATTATTGGTAAAACATCTCCTTCTTTTAAAATTTGTCTTTACTTTCTGGCTGGGAATGGTGGCTCACACCTTGTAATCCCAGCACTTTGGGAAGCCGAGGCAGGCAAATCGCTTGAGACCAGGAGTTTTGAGACTAGCCTGGACAACATGGTGAAACTGTCTCTACCAAAAATACAAAAATTAGCCAGGTGTGTTGGTGGGTGTCTGTAATCCCAGCTAGTTGGGAGGCTGAGGCACAAGAATTGCTTGAACCTGAGAGGCAGAGGTTGCAGTGAGTGGAGACTGTGCCCAGGCACCCCAGCCTGGGTGATAGAGTGAGACTCTGTCTCAAAATAAATAAACAAATAAAATTTGTCTTTACTTTCTAATAGACACACACAAAATAACATATACATAGATGCAAACCCACACACAAAAAAGCTTGTTTCTAGAAAAAGTATAAAGAGAGTATTGTAAATATTCTTTTTGTCAAAAGCCTTTTGCACAAATTGCTTGTACTACCTGCTTACTGGCAGGTAAAATAAGCTTTTAAAAATGTACATAGCCTCTCGCCTCTCCCCTCTCCCCTCTCCCTCTCCACGGTCTCCCTCTCCCTCTCTTTCCACGGTCTCCCTCTGATGCCGAGCTGAAGCTGGACTGTACTACTGCCATCTCGGCTCACTGCAACCTCCCTGCCTGATTCTCCTGCCTCAGCCTGCCGAGTGCCTGCGATTGCAGGCGCGCGCCGCCACGCCTGACTGGTTTTCGTATTTTTTTGGTGGAGACGGGGTTTCGCTGTGTTGGCCGGGCTGGTCTCCAGCTCCTAACCGCGAGTGATCCGCCAGCCCCGGCCTCCCGAGGTGCCGGGATTGCAGACGGAGTCTCGTTCACTCAGTGCTCAATGGTGCCCAGGCTGGAGTGCAGTGGCGTGATCTCGGCTCGCTACAACCACCTCCCAGCCGCCTGCCTTGGCCTCCCAAAGAGCCGAGATTGCAGCCTCTGCCCGGCCGCCACCCCGTCTGGGAAGTGAGGAGCGTCTCTGCCTGGCCGCCCATCGTCTGGGATGTGAGGAGCCCCTCTGCCTGGCTGCCCAGTCTGGAAAGTGAGGAGCTTCTCTGCCCGGCCGCCATCCCATCTAGGAAGTGAGGAGCGTCTCTGCCCGGCCGCCCATCGTCTGGGATGTGGGGAGCACCTCTGCCCCACCGCCCCGTCTGGGATGTGAGGAGCGCCTCTGCCCAGCCGCGACCCCGTCTGGGAGGTGAGGAGACCCTCTGCCTGGCAACCGCCCTGTCTGAGAAGTGAGGAGCCCCTCCGTCCGGCAGCCACCCCGTCCGGGAGGGAGGTGGGGGTCCAGCCGCCCCATCTGGCAGGGAGGTGGGGGGGTCAGCCCCCCGCCCAGCCAGCCGCCCCGTCCGGGAGGTGAGGGGCGCCTCTGCCTGGCCACCCCTACTGGGAAGTGAGGAGCCCCTCTGCCCAGCCAGCCGCCCCGTCCGGGAGGGAGGTGGGGGGGGTCAGTCCCCCCGTCCGGGAGGGAGGTAGGGGGGTCAGCCCCCGGCCCGGCCAGCCGCCCCATCCGGGAGGTGAGGGGCGCTTCTGCCCGGCTGCCCCTACTGGGAAGTGAGGAGCCCCTCTGCCCGGCCACGACCCTGTCTGGGAGGTCTACCCAACAGCTCATTGAGAACGGGCCATGATGACAATGGCGGTTTTGTGGAATAGAAAGGCGGGAAAGGTGGGGAAAAGATTGAGAAATCGGATGGTTGCCGTGTCTGTGTAGAGAGAAGTAGACATGGGAGACTTTTCATTTTGTTCTGTACTAAGAAAAATTCTTCTGCCTTGGGATCCTGTTGATCTGTGACCTTACCCCCAACCCTGTGCTCTCTGAAACATGTGCTGTGTCCACTCAGGGTTAAATGGATTAAGGGCGGTGCAAGATGTGCTTTGTTAAACAGATGCTTGAAGGCAGCATGCTCGTTAAGAGTCATCACCACTCCCTAATCTTAAGTACCCAGGGACACAAACACTGCGGAAGGCAGCAGGGTCCTCTGCCCAGGAAAACCAGAGACCTTTGTTCATTTGTTTATCTGCTGACCTTCCCTCCACTATTGTCCTATGACCCTGCCAAATCCCCCTCTGCGAGAAACACCCAAGAATGATCAATAAAAATAAAAATAAAAAAAAAAAATGTACATGTTATTCATTAGTATGTGCTCCAGTGTTTGAATTCAATATATTTTGTTTCAATTCCAAAGTGTCAATCATGTATATTGAAAGAAAAATAATCAAAAAATACAGTCACGTACCATTTAATGTTTCAGCCAACAATGGACCACATATATGACAGTGGTCCCATAAGATTATAATATCATATTTTTACTGTACCTTTTCTATGTTTAGCTATGCTTATTATACAAATACTTACCACTGTATTATAACTGTATTCAGTACAGTAACATGTTATACAGCTTTGTGGCCTAGAAGCAATAGGCTATACCATACAGCCTAAGTGTATAGTAGGCCGTACCACCCAGGTTTGTAAAGTACACTCCATGAAGTCTGCATAGTAATGAGACTGCCTAATAACGCATTTGTCTCAGAACGTATCCCCATCTTTTTTTTTTTTTTTTTTTTTGAGACGGAATCTTGCTCTGTTGCCAGGCTGGAGTGCAGTGGTGTGATCTGGGCTCACTGCAACCTCCACCTCTCAGGTTCAAGTGATACTCCTGACTCAGCCTCCCGAGTAGCTGGGACTACAGGCACGCGCCACCATGCCCAGCTCATTTTTTGTATTTTTAGCAAAGACAGGGTTTCACCATGTTGGTCAGGATGGTCTCGAATTCCAGACCTCGTGATCTGCCCACCTTGGCCTCCCAAAGTGCTGGGATTACAGGCGTAAGCCACCGCGCCCAGCCCATATCCCCATCATTAAGCAGCATATTATTGCATTTTAAAAGATGGCTGAGTGGCTGGGCATGGTGGCTCACGTCTGTAATCCCAGCACTTTGGGAGGCTGAGGTGGGAGGATCACCTGAAGTCAGGAGTTTGAGACCAGCCTGACCAACATGGTGAAACCCCGTCTCTACTAAAAATACAAAAATTAGCTGGGCATGGTGGCGGGTGCCTGTAACCCCAGCTACTTGGGAGGCTGAGGCAGGAGAATTGCTGGAACCCGGGAGGCAGAGGCTGCAGTGAGCCAAGATCGCGCCAGTGCACTCCAGCCTGGGCGACAGTATGAAACTCTGTCTCGAAAAAAAAAAAAGCAAAAGCCTGAGTAAGATAACTTAGAAAAGGATATACCCTATTAAGAAATTATTAGAACTGTAACAGAAGATTTCTTTAGGGCTGGTCAAGTGTTCTTTTTCACATTCTTAAATCCATCTACATCTAAGATACTTAGACTCATGGATACTTATTCTACCCACTATCTCTAGATGATTCAACTGAAATTATCAGCTAGAAAATTTTCTCTGATATGTAAAGCTCATGTTCTATTACAAAAAATAAAAAATAAAAAAGAGTATGAAATCTTTCCTCCCTCCTCTTTCATCCTTCCAGGTTTTCCCTAAAAGTCCATAACTGGCTATGTTCTGAATCCTCAAAAGAACTGGATCTAAAGATGGACTAGTTGACTGTGACTCTCAAGGACATTTTTATTCAACTCACCATTCTTAAAATGCAGTACAATAGGGCCAGGCGCTATGGCTCACGCCTGTAATCCCAGCACTTTGGGAGGCTGAGGTGGGTGGATGACCTGAGGTTGATAGAGTTTGACACCAGCCTGGCCAACATGGTGAAACCACACCTCTACTAAAAATACAAAAATTAGCTGGGCTTGGTGGCATGCGCCTATAATCCCAGCTACTCAGGAGGCTGAGGCATGAGAATCACGAGCCCAGGAGGCAGAGGTTGCAGTGAGCCAAGATGATGCCACTGCACTTTAGCTTGGGCTACAGAGTGAGACTCTGTCACACAAAAATAAATAAATAAAATTTAAAAATAAAAATAAATAAATAAGGCCAGGCGTGGTGAGACCAGCCTGGCCAACATGGTGAAACCCCATCTCTACTAAAAATTAGCCAGGCACAGTGGCGGGCACCTGTAATCCCAGCTAACAGAAAGGCTGAGACAGGAGAATCACTTGAACCCCAGGGGTGGAGGCTGCAGTGAGCCAAGACTGTGCCACTGCACTCCAGCCTGGGCGACTCTGTCTCAAAGATAAATAAATAAATAAATATAATTTGAAAAATTAGCTAGGCTTAGCCAGGCACGGTGGCTCACAGCCTGTAATCCCAGCACTTTGGGAGGCTGAGGCAGGTGGATCATGAGGTCAGGAGTTCAAGACCAGCCTGGCCAATATGGTGAAATCCCGTCACTATTAAAAATATAAAAATTAGCCGGGCGCGGTGGTGGGCATCTGTAATCCCATCTACTCAGGAGGCTGAGGCAGGAGAATCGCTTGAACCCGGGATCAGAGGCTGCAGTGAGCTGAGATTGCACAACTGTACTCTAGCCTGGGTGACACAGCAAGACTCCATCTCAAAAAGAAAAACACTTTGGGAGGCTGAGGCAGGAGATTGCTTGAGCCCAGGAGTTTGAGGCAAGCCTGGGCAACATGAGACCCCATCTCTACGAAAAATAAATAATAATAATTTTGATTAAGAACTTTATTTTTAGGTATGTGGGCCAACACTATAAATTAGCATCCCTTGGCTGGGCGCAGTGGCTCACACCTGTAATCCCAGTACTTTGGAAGGCCGAGGTTGTCAGATCACCTGAGCTCAGGAGTTCGAGATCAGTCTGGCCAACATGGTGAAACCCTGTCTCTACTAAAAACACAAAAATCAGCCAGGCGTGGTGGCGCATGCCTGTAATCCCAGCTACTAGGGAAGCTGAGGCAGGAGAATCACTTGAACCTGGGAGGTGGAGGTTGCAGTGAACTGAGATTGCGCCAATGCACTGCAGCCTGGGCGACAGAGCAAGACTCTGTCTCAAAAACATAAATAAATAAATAAATAAATAAATAAAATTAGCATCCCTTATTTTAAAATAGTCCCTCTCAGGCCAGGCGTGGTGGCTTACACCTATTATCCCAGCACTTTGGGAGGCAGAGGCGGGCAGATCACCTGAGGTCGGGAGTTCGACACCAGCCTGACCAACATGAAGAAACGCCGTCTCTACTAAAAATACAAATTAGCCAGGCATGGTGGCCCATGCCTGTAATCCCAGCTACTTGGAAGGCTAAGGCAGGAGAATCGCTCGAACCCGAGAGGGGGAGGTTGCGGCGAGCCGAGATTGTGCCATTGCACTCCAGCCTGGGCAACAAGAGTGAGACTCCATCTCAAAAAAAAAAAGAGACATGGTCTTGCTTTGTTGCCCAGGTTGGAGTGCAGTGGCACAAACACGGCTCACTGCAGCCTCAACCTCCTGCCTCACCGACCTCAGCCTCCCCAGTAGCTGGGACTACAGGTGTGTGCCACCACATCCAGCCGATTTTTATTTTTTACAGTGACGCGGTCTCTCCATGTTGCCCAGGCTGGTCTCGAACTCCTGACCTCGTGATCTGCCCACCTTGGCCTCCCAAAGTGCTGGGATTACAGGTGTCAGCCACCACACTTGGTTGCAATCAGATTTTTTAAAACCAGTGTTTCTAGTATAAAAATTTTACTATCATCTTGACATTTACACAATAAAGGCAATAGGCCAAGATTTGAAAAATAATTCTTTATGATCCTATAGGAAGTAGAAAGATTAGTCTTTAAACTTACATAGCCCAGGGTCATTATCCTAAAGATTTCATTTCTTATTATTTGTAACCCCAAAATCAACATTCATGACACTTTCATAGTCATTCATGGAAATTCACAGAATGGCAAAAAATTTGAGTCACCCAATGACATTCCTAGGTGAGGTTAAACAAGGCCTTTAGCTCTCACACTGTAAAAAAAAGTGTCCTTTATGCAGTATATTTAAGGTTATGTTTTTCACATTTTTCTTGATGATTTCGGTATTTATAATGGCTCACAAGTGTAGTGCTTAAGTGCTAGCTAATGCTTCTATGTGCAAGAAGGCTGTGATGTGCCTTACAGAGAAAATACGTTAGGTGAGCTTTGTCCAGGCATGAGTTATATTGCTATGGGCTATGAGTTCAATGCTAATAAATCAACTATATATATTAAATGGGTGTCTTGAAGACAAACACATACAATAAGGTATATATTTATCAGTTGATGAAAGTGTGACCAGAGGCTTATAGGTATCTAACCCTGTATTTCCTATAGAAGCAATGATTTATTATTTGCCAATTCAGTGTTTGTGGTGACTTTATAGGCGTGGTGGCTCACGCCTGTAATCCCAGCACTTTGGGAGGCCAAGGAGGGCGGATCACGAGGTTAAGAGATCGAGACCATCTGGCCAACATGGTGAAACCCTGTCTCTACTAAAAATACAAAAATTAGCTGGGCGTGGTGGCACGTGACTATAGTCCCAGCTACTTGGGAGGCTGAGGCAGGAGAATCGCTTGAACCTGGGAGGCAGAGGTTGCAGTGAGCCAAGATCGCACCACCACACTCCAGCATGGTGACAGAGTGAGACTCTGTCTCAAAAAAAAAAAAAAAAAAGAATATTATAACTTACAGTGAATAAAGAGAATTAACTATTAGTTTATCAGCCAGATTTGCATAGCTCACCCTATTCATATAAATGTTTTATACCCAACTGGAGAGAATACATAGAAAATAACCAATAAGCTATTTAAATATCTGTAATTAGTGGATCTGTAACAGAATTTCCTTCTTAAAATATGACACAGGTGTTACTTCTAATTTTTCCTTATCAACCTCTTATTCTCCTCTTACCAAGAATAATTACTGATGTGGTCCCATCTCCAACCTCTTCATCCTGGGTCCGGCTAATTTCGATCATGGACTTGGCCGCTGGATGCTGGACTTGAATCTAAAAAGGTAGATCACTAGTGAATTCACACTATTCAAAGACCTCTGAACTCATGAAGCTTGGCCCTAACTCTTGGGCTTCTTGCTTCTATACGTACTTACTTTCCCTTTAATGTTTTACCATATCTTGAAAGATTAAAATTGGCACCCCAAATAGCTTAAGTAAACCACTTTCCAAATCCTTTTTGGGAAAAAGTGTATTACATGAACTCAACTATTAAAGCTGCCAGAGGACAGAACGATATCTTTTAGCTTATTTACTGGAAGCACTATTGTGGCTGAATTGTGTTCTTCAGTAAGATACGTTGAAGCCAGCTGGGCATGGTGGCTCACATCTGTAATCTCAGCACTTTGGGAGGCGGAGGCAGGTGGATCGCCTGAGGTCAGGAGTTCGAGACCAGCCTGGCCAACATGGGGAAACCCTGTCTCTACTAAAAGTACAAAAATTAAGCCGGGTGTGGTGGCATGCGCTTGTAATTCCAGCTAATCAGGAGGCTGAGGCAGAAGAATTGCTTGAACCCATGAGGCGGAGGCTGCAGTGAGCCGAGATCACATCACTGTACTCCAGCCTGGGTGACAAGAGCGAGACTCCGTCTCAAAAAAAAAAAAAAAAAAGATATGTTGAAGTCATAACTCCCAGAACCTGTGAATTTTACTTTATTTTAAAATAGGGTTTTTGCAGATGTAACCAAGTTAGATAAGGTCATTCTGAATTAGGGTGGGCTCGAAGACCAATCACCGGTGTCCTTGTGTAAGAGACACACAAGGGGAATAACATGAAGACCAAGGCAGAGACCAAGTTCATGCCAAAGAAAGCCAGCAACCATCAGAAGGGAGAAGCGGAGTTCTTCCCTAGAGACTTCAGAAGGAGCATGGCCCTACTGACGCCTTTATTTCAGACTTCTAGCTTCATTCTATAAGATAATAAATTTCTGTTGTTGAAGCCAACCAGTTTCTGGTAATCTGTTATAGCAGCCCTAAAAAACTAATCAGAGCCTGTATCTTAACAGGTCCTTTATGTTTACAGAACTGTCAGAAAGCAAAAAAACAAAACCAAAAACAAAACACACCTCTCGAAGAATGGCATTGCCATCATTGGTCATCACAATGCCTCCCATTGGGTCCAAAAGCATCTAAGATGAAAGCAAAAGTTATATTTAAAGTGTCCTAGATAACAGGAAGAAAAAAATTGTAGCCTAAGAGTTTTAGGAAGAGATAAGCCTACCTTCATCATGGACTTGGGTCCCAAACATGTTCGGATGATATCTGCAATAGTCTAATGGAAAGGGAACATAAAATACGCAAGCACAAATCAGAGGACAGTGTGAGAAATGTTGGAGTAATAGGGAAAAGGGGCATGAACAACCCACAGAGTCAGTGTTTTATTTTATTTTAATTTTATTTTATTTTTAGATATGGGGTCTCACCATGTTGCTCGGGCTGGTCTCAAACCCCTGGGCCCAAGTGATCCACCTGCCTCAGCCTCCCAAAGTGTTGGGATTAGAGGCGTGAGCCATTCCGCCCAGCCAGAGTCAGTGTTTTTAATGACACCCCTAAAGCATGGTTAGCCATCACTTTAGACATAGCATGCCACTTTAGATATAGGATGTGGCTAGCTCTGTTGTTTTTCTCCCCTTGGGAATGCTTTCAGAATGGATACAGAAATGACTTTTCACAAGAATAAGGGGGAAATGGCTCCCAGAGCTTGTTTCCCAGCAGTCCTAATTACTAGAAGTCCATGTCTTAGTATTTCTTTCCATGACGGTGGCCTCTACACCATCCTAAATCAGATATAAGGCTATTTCACTATTTCATTCAAAAGACATTTACCGAATATCTATCCAAGATCTACGGTGGGCACTAGGAATACAAAAGGGAATAAAGTACTTATGTTCAAGTAACTCAGTTTAGTATGGGAGACAAACACAAATAGAATACTATAAAACAATACACAGCAACAGAATAATGCACAAGTTAATACGAGAAGATTATCAGTCCTAACTCAGAAGGGGAGGGCTTCCTTTCCCCTAACATCATCAGGAAAATGTTCTGAAAGAGGTCAACTTTTCCTCTGCCTATTTGCCTACTCTATAAAGTCTAGATGCACAGGACACATGGCTATGACCAAATACCAGGAAAGATAGCTGGAGGCAAACTACCATAAACACTTAAAAGATTTGTGACCTTGGCAGCATTGATGTTTCCAGATTGAACTTTTCTTCCGGATTCACGCTTTGTGTTCTGGCCTAAAATAGACAAAAACACAAGTCAACAGCCCAGGACTGCCCCATCGTACACAAGCTATTTATTTCCCCGTCTTTGAAAAATAAGAATGCAGGTTTCATGGTATATCCACAGAGCAAAGCTTATCAAACTCTACACTTTAAATAAGTGCAGTTTATTATATGTCAACCATATCTCAAAAAACTGTAAACATATGTCCTTATGGCTGTTAACTTCCTTCTGTATTTCAATCCTTGGTATATTAAGAAATAACTTTGGAATCTTGGTTAATACTTTTCTTCTAACCAAATATTCCTATATTTACAGCAGGGATTCATAACCTGAGATCTATGAATGGGCCTTAGTGGGATAGCGAACTCCCTGAGATTATGTGAGAAAATGAGAGATACTGCAATTTTTTTTTTTTCCGGAAAGAGGATCCACAACTATTATCAGATTCTCAAAGGGCTGGTGACCCTAAGAAATGACCATTCATTGCTTTGCGTAAGCAGGGAAAGAGTTTGGGGATTCACATTTTTCTGCTTGGATAGGGGGATCATACTCTAACAGGTCCAGCATAATTAGTGATAGCGCCCCCACAGCATACTGTTTAGAACACACTCAACAGTTTGCAAGATAAATTATATAGTCACCTCATAATTGGATGTAATAAGAAGGCCTCAGTAACCCATTTACCATCACTAAGAACTGACTACATACTTTAACTGGGAGGCTAATCGGTCACAGCCAACTAATGCCAGAGATTAATGCAGACCTGAAAGGAGCTTTGCAAATACACCACTCACCCCCAGGCCATGTCAGTGGAGACAAGCCAGTGGTTATAACCAAACCAACATAATGTTTATTTCCTTCCTCTCTCTAAATTACCTTCCTTTACAATTTAAGTCTGTAAATCTTTCAATCCAGTCCCATCAAACCAAAACACCCACAATGCTTAGGATTTACATCTATCTCAGGGAGCTGTAACCAAAAACCTGCATGGACCTACAATCCATCAGAAAGAAGGCGGCTTTTTTTTTTCAAAATAGCGTTTTTATTTTATTTTTTTCCTTAAAAGTTATTTCCCAGGTACAGAGATAATGAATAATAACTCTGAAAGGCAGTCAGTATACAGAAGACGGTAAGGGAGGGGAGATGGCTAGCCAGGCTCTGCAGATGAGGTACAGAAGTTACACACAGAATGGAAACATACCAAAGGAAGACAATGGAGGTGGTGCTCATCAGAAAAAAATAAGGGACCGGGCGCGGTGGCTCACGCCTGTAATCTCAGCACTTTGGGAGGCCGAGGTGGGCGGATCACCTGAGCTCATCAGCAGTTGGAGACCAGCCTGGTCAACATGGTGAAACTCCGTCTCTACCAAAAATACAAAAATTAGCCGTGCGTGGTGGCGCGCGCCTGTACTCCCAGCTACTCGGGAGGCTAAGGCAGGAGGATCGCTTGAACCTGGGAGGCAGAGGTTGCAGTGAACAGAGATCGCGCCACTGCAACCCAGCCTGGGTGACAGAGCGAGACTTTGTCTCAAAATATAAAAAGAAAAAAAATAAGGGATCTTCCAAAAGGAAAAGGTGACCAGTCGAGAAATCTGGGAAAACCCAACTGGTTAGTGGGAAAGAGTACAACGCCGGGGACACGGAGGGAACGATTACATCTAAGATCAGTGAGGCAAGTACGGTTACTTCGGGAAAAGGGATTGCTGTTCAAGAGACTGTTACTGAAAATAAATGTAACGTAAAGTGACCAAGGATATTACCTATTTACCAGACCCTCTTTAAGCAGTCTACCGACTTACCTCATTTAATTCTCACAATTCTACTAGGAAATACTGTTAACTCCGTAATACAGATTGAAACATTTAAATTACCGCTACTAAGGGATGGGCCAAGAATATAAAGCTAGACCTAACTGAAAAAAAAACAAAAAAAAACGTTATTCGTGCAGCTACATAGCGACAATCAGGCTAGAAAGGGCGCAGGGGCGGGGGAAGCGTGGGGGCTGAGGGACAGAACGCGGAGTGGGAAAGAGCTTCCCAAGACGAGCACACGTCAAGGAAAGAGGCTCGGCGAGAATAAGGCCAGTTTGAGTTTGTGCAGAGAAGCGAACAGGTTAAGAGAAGAGAGGAAAGCGGGACACTGGGCTTCCAAAATGAAGACGATGATTGGAAGGCTCAGTGGCCCGGTCAGTGGGGGACGGAGCTGGGGCAACACTGAAAAGTATGGACAGAAGAGGGCGAAAAGGGGGTCCATTTCCTGGCATCCCCAGAACTCACTGAGCACGAGCACTGGACGATGGCCCATCATGGCGACGCGATGCAGAGCCGGGTACCCAGAGCTGGGGGAACCGGCAGAACCTTCTGGAGAGAGAGAACCAGACAGAAGCCCAGAAAACGCTGCCTCCTCAGGGCTTACACCTCAACCCGCTACTCTCAAGGTAGTCGCCAATCACCGCACCCATCTCATTGATCGGCACAAAAACAGACCAATTGACAGCCTTAGTCCCGCCCCCTACGCAAGAACGGCCAGACAAGTTAGACAGAGAGCGCACGACGAAGGCACTGGGAGGGCACAGGCGCTTGCGCAGTAGGGTGGCCGCTCCCGGCCGCGTGCAGCGCGAACGTCGGCGCAGGCGCCAAGGCTCTGGCAGTTGGCCAGCACACCACTACGCATGTGTGTCAACTCTAGGGTTGGGTGCTGGGGTTGCGGCTTTCGGTTAACACCGCAGGTGAGGTCGTTAAACTGTGTATTGCGACTCGGCTCCTATCGGACCGTGAAGGCTAAGAAAGGCTTCACAGTTCCCACTCTTTTGGTCTAGCCTTAGCAACAGGTGGACTAGAGAGGCGGGACTCCAGCCAGCACATGGGGGAAAGACCTGCCGGCTTGGCGCAGGGTGAAGTGGGAGTTGTAGTCTTACCGGGCCGGACTGCGCAGCCTTTTTCCGGGCACACTGGGAGTTGTGGTTTATCGCCTCTGGACTAATGGCTGTATGTGGACTTTTCCCTTCTTAGGAAATGCTTTCAGTGAGGCTGTGAGCAGTACCGGAGGGTGATGGCTTGCGTTTCCTTAAGTTATCCTATCTAAAATATTTTCCCAAGTATTTCCGCCGGGCGCTGTGGCTCACGCCTGTAATCCCAGCACTTTGGGAGGCCGAGGCGGGTGGATCACCTGAGGTCAGGAGTTCGAGACCAGCGTGGCCAACATGGCGAAACCCCGTCTCTACTAAAAATACAAAAATTAGCCGGGCGTGGTGGCGCGCGCCTGTAATCCCAGCTACTCAGGAGGCTGAGGCAGGAGAATCGCTTGAACCCTGGAGACGGAGGTTGCAGTGAGCCGACATCGTGTCACTGCACTCCAGCCTGGCGACAGAGCGAGACTCCATCTCAAAAAAAAAAAAAAAAGTATTCCCTGTGGTGCTTTGAGATTTTTTTCCCCCACATCCATCCCTCTCCCGCTGTCCTGAGTCTTAGTTAGAGATGATGGGGAGCCAGAGTTTTAAAATTACCATTCGGGATAGGAGAAGGACTTATCATACCGTGGAAATTAAACATGGTGAGAACACGGAAAGTAACTGCCTGTTCGTCAGAGACGTTTAAGGTTTGGGTTTGGTTAAATTACTATTTTGTCCAGAAAAAAAAGGAAGCACTAAAGGAAAACTGTTTTCCAAACTAGTGAAGGGGCCGTGAGAGCACCAACAGTTCAAGAACAGTCACCTGTTTGGCCATGAAATAGAGTTTCCTACTTTTTCCTCTGCAGATTGGAACAGGCTGAGATCTGCTGGAGACAACTTAGGAAATTATCATAGTGAAAATACTAACATGGATTGTTGATCATCTGATGCTATGATTCTTTCCCAGGCACCACACCTGTTGGTGTTCAGATGGAGCGGCACACTAGTCATCCTAACAGAAAAGGTGTGTGTTGGAGGCCCTGCTTCCCCTCCCTTAAAAAGCAAGACCTCCTTTGCATTCCCCACTAAATGGGAGCATTGCTGTATTCCCAGCACCTAGAACTGGATCTGTTAAATAGTAGATGCTCAGTAATTATTTGTTAAATGAATTTATTATTCTTCCTTTGTATCTCCTCTTAATACTTAGAACAAGACTATGTACAGGATCTTAGAAGACATGGTGTTAACTAGAGTGAAGAGATACTGAGTTGTAGTGGGACAGCCCCATTGGTGGGCCAGGGAAATGCCTGAGGCCTTCTGACTCCAGAGCCTATCCACTTAACTTTAGCTGGATCAGATTATCTGAAAGACCTACCATTCCATAGCCTGGACATAATTTTTTTTTTGTTTAGACGGAGTCTCGCTCTGTCACCCAGGCTGGGGTGCAGAGGCACCATCTCTGCTCACTGCAAGCTCCGTCTCCTGGGTTCACGCCATTCTCCTGCCTCGGCCTCCTGAGTAGCTGGGACTGCAGGCACCTGCCACCATGCCCGGCTAATTTTTTTGTGTTTTTAGTAGAGACGGGGTTTCACCGTGTCAGCCAGGATGGTCTTAATCTCCTGACCTTGTGATCCAACTGCCTTGGACTCCCAAAGTGCTGGGATTACAGGTGTGAGCTACCGCCCCCGGCCTTTTTTTTTTTTTTTTTTTTGAGATAGAGTTTTGCTCTTGTTGCCTAGGCTGGAGTGCAGTGGCACTACCTTGGCTCACCGCAACCTCTGCCTCCCGGGTTCAAGCAATTCTCCTGCCTCAGCTTCCCGAGTAGCTGGGATTGCAGGCGTGCACCCCCACGCCCAGCTAATTTTGTATTTTTAGTAGAGATGGGGTTTCGCCATCTTGGTCAGGCTGGTTTCGAACTCCTGACCTCAGGTGATCCGCCTGCCTCGGCCTCCCGAAGTGCTGGGATTACAGGTGTGAGCCACCGCGCCCAGCCCCAGCTTGGGCATAAATTAACTGGCTCTTTTCACAGAGTATATAGTGCAGTGGTAAAGAGCATGACTTTGGAGTCTACAGGACCAAATTTAATTCCAGCTGCTATTTGCCAGACCCTCTTAAGCAGTTTACCTACTTAGGATCACTGCCACCTCTGTCTCCTTGATTCAAGTGATTCTTGTGCCTCAGCCACCCAAGTAGCTGGGATTACAGGTGTATGCCACCACGCCTGGCTAATTTTTGTATTTTTAGTACAGACTGGGTTACGCCAGGTCTTGAACTCCTGGCCTCAAGTGATCCGCCCACTCTGGCCTCCCAAAGTCCTGGGATTACAGGCGTGAGCCATCGCGCCTGGCCAGTTTACCACTTATTTAATGCTCACGATTCTACTAGAAAATACTATTAACCCCACAACAGATCGAAACATTTAAATTAACTGCTACTAAGGGATGGGCTAAGGGTATAAAGCTAGGCCTAACTAAAAAAACATTATTCATGCAGCCACACATATCAACTGTGGAATCTTGAGCAAATTTCATGACTTAAGTTTCCTCAAGTGAAATGTAGGTAAAGCTACCTACTTTATCTACATTCCTCAGGTCACGTTCCCCAGTGCCACAAGACTCTCATAGCACTTACTGAAATGTAATAGTTTGTGTGCTTGATCACCTAATGACTGTCTACACTGCAAGACTATCAGTTCCAGGAGAGTAGTGACCACATCTGTTTAGCAGACTGTGGTATCCACAATGACCCTACTTTAAGGGTCATTGTGAGAAACATATAAGAGAATGTATGTAAAGCACCTTTTATTATCATATCCTCTGTTCTGCCTCCTTTTGCCTCTCTCCACCCTCATCCTCTGTTATACATTGTCAGAAATACAGCTCCTTTAGTATAGAGTGTGTGTAAAGCAGTCTCTTTCTTTAATTAAAAAACAATTTTTAATTTCTCATGCCACCTTGTGTAAAAATGTGTAAAGCATTCTTCAAACCTTATAACCCAGTATAAAATGCATTCTTGGCCGGGCGCAGTGGCTCACGCTTGTAATCCCAGCACTTTGGAAGGCTGAGGCAGGCAGATCACGAGGTCAGGAGATCGAGACCATCCTGACTAACACGGTGAAACCCGTCTCTACTAAAAATACAAAAAATTAGCCGGGCATTGTAGTGGGCACCTGTAGTCCCAGCTACTTGGGAGGCTGAGGCAGGAGAATGGCATGAACCTGGGAGGCGGAGCTTGCAGTGAGCCGAGATGGCACCACTGCACTCCAGCCTGGGCGACAGAGCAAGACTCCGTCTCCAAAAAAAAAAAAAAAAGAAAGAAAAAAAAATGCATTCTCCTATGTCCAGGAAGGACTCAAATTATTTAAAAGTGCATTTGCATGGAAATTAACACATTTTGCATGGAAATTAACACATTATTGAGAAGAATCTTGAGACCTGAGTTTCAACTTCTGTCTCCTTACCACATTCTGCACAAGCCATCAAGTGACTGATGACTCTGGAGCAGGAGGGAAAAGAAGATGGATGACCTACCAGTAGAGCCTGGAAAATCCACAAACCCAGTAACCCAGTGCAAAAGAAAAAAACCAAAACCAAAAAAACATATTTCCCTCACCAAGAGTGACTGACAGAACAGATTTCAGTTTTCATAGGCTCAGTGACCTTCCAGACAGAAAGCATCTCACCCTGGCACCCACATATAAGCACTTCTTCCTCTTACCAGGCCATTCCTTCTGTTGCCCTCTGAGTAAAGAACAAGAATAAGACATTTTCCTTCATACAACCTACTTTTCACACTTCTGCCCCCAGGCTTGTTTTTTATGAAGAGGCCCTTCTTAATCCTTCAGATCCCAGCTGAGATATTATTTCCTCAGGACATGTTTTCCAGCTCTACAGACTAGGTCAGTTGCTTTCATAGCACTTACTGAAGTGTAATAGCATGTGTGCTTGATCACCTAATGCCTGTCTGCACAGCAAGACTGTCAGTTCCAGGAGAGTAGTGACCACTTCTGTTTAGCAAACTGTGGTATCCACAGCGATGACACATAGGCACTTAGCTATCTCTTATGTGTATGATGAAAATGAATTGTTTTACCATCCTTTCTTGATTTCATTATAACAGTGAATTATTGTCTCCCTACTGTCTTGCCTTTTTAATTCTTACCTAGTTCCAGCTGTCTGACTTTCCATCCATTGCCCTTGTCTACTTTGCCACTTCCTTTTCATCTTCTAGACTCCTGAGGAGGAGTTCCTTGAAGGTTCAGTTTTTCTCTCTCTGTTTTTTGCCTTGGAGAGCTAATGTATTTTTGCAGCTCCTTCATCCCCTTTTTGGGGCTGCCTGGCAGTTTGACCTTTCACTTGAGCTCCGGTGCCAGCTCTCTGGCTGTTTTTCTGGGCACTTCTATTTGGATTTCCTACTCTCACCTCAGATTCAATATGTCCAGATGTGATTATGTTAATATGAGAGTTGAGTTTTACTCAAACTTCTTTAAGTAAAAAAGGCAATTCAGGGACTTGTGCAGTTGGGAGAGATGCTGAAATAGCTCACAGAATAATGGGAAGAAGAGCGGCAAAAACCAGGGCCTCGGGGACTAAAACTGGGGATTTGGTGCCTGTTGGTGTCTGTGTATCCATCTGTCTCTCTCCTATGCTTTTCCTTGTCTCTAGTCTCTTGCTTTTCCACTTCTCATGATATGCTAGCCAAATAGCTTTCACTGGGCCCAACCATACATTTTCTCAGAATAGGAGATCAGAAGAAAGTAAATTTCTTAGACACAGAATCCATATATTGATCCCAGGGAATGACTCTGGCCCAACTTACCTCATGCGCCTAATCCCTTGGCTCAGTCACAGTTGCCAAGGGGGATGGGAATACCATGATTGGCCTGTATTGGGTCACAGGCCAATCCTTGTTAGGGAGAGGGGCTTGATTGTGGTCTCACCAGTATAGCCTGGCTTCTCAAGTTTTTTGTTGTTGTTGTTTCATTTTTTTTGAGAAGGAATCTCACCCTTGTTGCCCAGGCTGGAGTGCAGTGTTGTGATCTCGGCTCGCTGCAATCTCTGCCTCCCGGGTTCAAGTGATTATCCTGCCTCAGCCTCCCAAGTAGCTGGGACTACAAGCGTCTGCCACCACGCCCGGCTAGTTTTGTATTTTTAGTAGAGACGGAGTTTTACCAGGTTGGTCAGGCTAGTCTTGAACTCCTGATCTCAGGTAATCTGCCTGCCTTGGCCTCCCAAAGTGCTGGGATTACAAGCATGAGCCACCGTGCCCAGCCGCTTCTCAAGTTTTTAAGGTTCAGTAAATATCCTCTACCTGAAAGGAGGTAGAGTTCTCTCGCTACTCATATTGATCTCTTCTCCCTTTTAAGAAACATTCATTTTTACCTTTAATCACATAGTATAACTAACAGATAAAAGGCTTTTATTTTCACCCCAGACTCAGACTCATTGTTTATGTCCTCATGTTGTTAGATCACTGTTTCACCTGTGTCTGATTTGTCTTCCTAACTAGATACTAAGCATCTAAGAAACCATGTCTTAACACATCTTATGTATACCCTAGGATTTAGTACAGTCGCAAGCATGTAGTGTATATCAGTAAGAACTTGTAAACAAATTAGATTTTGGCTTATCCCACTCCTGCTTGGTTTCTCTTAATCCTATTATGATTTCTTTTTTGTCTTATGTATCTTTCTGATATGTAACATATTCACGGCAGGGCCTGGGCACCTGCTTTCATGGACCAGGTGCAGGGATCTAATTAGAAAGGCTGTCCCTTGTTGGAATGAGCTCTGATTTAGTTATCTCTGATTTAGTTCCAGCCAAAGAGGAAGCTAATGCTGTGCCTCTCTGTAGAGCAAAACCCTCCCCCAGCTATATTAATCTTCAAGCAAGTTCCCCACCAGCCACTTTTCTGAACATCCAGACAACAAAGCTGCCCTCGGGTAAGGATGTAGGGAGGGTTTTCTAATGGACTCAACAGGGGGAAGGGTTGCATGGAGGAGGTGGCTTGAGCTGTCGCCTATTGATCAAGAGCCAAATCTATGTTAGGCATCTATAGATCTTTCCGTGATAGCTTGTTGATTATTTAGTTTCATTGATATCATTATCATCCCAGTTCTACCAACTTGTATTGTTTCCTTGCTTGTTAGCACTTTTGCTAGACTAGGCAGGAGTGAAGTGAACCTCTCATTGCTTACTGGTAATGTTAGTTAAAAGATGGCCAGGTTTACCCCTGTTCACTTGGGAAGGTAAAATTTTAAAAAACGGTGGCTAGAGAAGGAAACTATTAGCTCAGTCTCAGGGTCTTTGAATTTTCATCATTCATCTTCCCTTGGGGAGGTCAGTGGGTATTTGGCATAGCTATGGGGAACCCAACAGGGCACTAACTAGACAGTCATAACCCCTGTTTTTGAGGACCTCAGAGTCCAACAAAGAAGTCAAGACTGATAAAAATACAAACAGCAGATAATATAATTACCAAGGTTAACTGGCTGTGTAAAATATTAGAAAAAGTGGCTGGGCACGGTAGCTCATCCCTGTAATCCCAGCACTTTGGGAGGCCAAGGCAGGTGGATTGTCTGAGGTCAGGAGCTTCAGACCAGCCTGACCGACATGGTGAAACCCTGTCTCTACTAAAAATACAAAAATAAGCTGGGCGTGGTGGCAGGTGCCTGTAATCTCAGCTGCTTAGGAGGCCGAGGCAGGAGAATTGCTTGAACCTGGGAGGCGGAGGTTGCAGTGAGCCAAGACTGGGCCATTGCACTCCAGCCTGGGCAACAAGAGTGAAACTCCATCTCAAAACAAACAAAAGAATGGACTGGCAGGGCTCGGTGGCTCATGCCTGTAATCCCAGCACTTTGGGAGGCCAAAGCGGGCGGATTACCTGAGGTCAGGAGTTTGAGACCAGCCTCACCAACATGGTGAAACCCCATCTCTACTAAAAATACAAAAATTAGCTGGGCATGGTGGCACCTGCCTGTAATCCCAGCTACTTGGGAGACTGAGGCAGGAGAATTGCTTAAACTGGGAGGTGGAGGTTGCAGTGAGCCAGGATTGTGCCGCTGCACTGCATCCTGGGAGACAGAGCAAGGCTCCATTGAAAAAAAAAAAAAGAAAAAAGAAAAATATTAGAAAAAGAATGGACTGGCCAGGTGCAGTGGCTCACACTTGTAATACCAGCACTTTGGAAGGCCAAGGCAGGTGGATCACCTGAGGTCAGGAGTTCGAGACCAGCCTGGGCAACGTGGTGAAACCTCGTCTCTACTAATGATACAAAACTTAGCCAGGCATGGTGGCACATGACTGTAATCCCAGCTACTCAGGAAGTTGAGGCAGGAGAATTGCTTGAACCCAGGAGGTGGAGGTTGCAGTGAGCTGAGATCGTACCATTGTACTCTAGCCTGGGTGACAAGTGAAACTCCGTCTCCAAAAAAAAAAAAAAAAAAGAAAAAGAAAAAAAACAATGGACCAATGTAGCAAGAATGGTTGAAGTTAGGGAACTTCAGGTCACTGCTAATGATACACTATGTCAAGTAACAGAGGAGGCTGAGGTATCCCCTGAGCTCTAGGGAAGGTAGGCCTCCCTCCCAGACCATTTCATTCACTCATCAAATATTTGTTATATGCTGGGCATTTTTCTAGGTGCTAGGGTTAAAGTAGTGAACAAATCAGATAAAAATCCTTGCCTTCCTGGAGCTTACGTTCTAGAAGGGGGACTTAGACAAAAATTAAGTAATTATAAAATATGCCATATGACCATAAATATTATGGGAAAAGTGAAACAAGGGAGGGGGTAATAAGTTCCAGTGATTGATTTCAAATTAAAATAGGATAGCCAGGTATGCCTCACTGGGAGGTGACAGCTGGGCAAAGGTATGTCTGGGTTGGGTTGTGCCTGGAAAGATTGGAGAGGTCATTTTATTAGGGTCCTTCCAACCTCAGTACAATTACCAAATCTCTCTCCTTTGTTCCCTTGCACCTCCGTTGCTTTTCCTTCTGGAGTTGATCACAAGCCCAAGGAATGCCTAGGACTCCTGGAATGTATGTATGCAAACCTCCAGCTTCAGACCCAGCTCGCCCAACAACAGATGGCTGTTTTGGAACATTTACAGGCATCTGTGACACAACTGGCTCCTGGGAGGGGAAGCAATAACTCTTCTCTCCCAGCCTTATCTCCTAATCCATTGTTAAATCACCTGCCCCAATTCAGTAAATGAATTGTGGAACAAAGTTATTGTGTTGTTTTCCTCTCTCTTCCCAGTAAACCCTTGTTGGAATCTGGGTATATGTATTCTACATATGGTTAGTTTGTTCACAGGTTCATAATAAGTGCTCACTGAGTGCAAAGCGTTGTACAAGGCACTTGGGGTTACATATTACAAAAGGAGTTTGCAGGGATTACTGTCTAACAAAGCAGACAATTCATTGCAAAATGTAGTGGTATTCTGAAAGAGGATGGAGGTTAAGAACTAACACTGGAGGTTACTAGGATACAACTGGACCAATTTTAGAATCTTGCTGGAGAAAGTGGCTTCATGATGCCACTTGAAGAAGGGAGGGGTTGGATGGCATGGACAGATGAAGTCAGGTAGTTCCATATCAGTTGGGAAGCTTGGACAAAGACCTAGAGGTAGACGTATTAGTCCATTCTTGCATTGCTATAAAGAAATACCTAAAGTTGGGTGATTTGTAGAGAAAATATGTTTATTTTGGCTCATGGTTTGGTTCTGCAGGCTGTGTGTGCCACATCTGCTTCTGATGAGAGCCTCAGGGAGCTCTGCATCACCATGGAAGGCAAAGATGAGCAGCGTGTCACATGGCAAGAGAGGGAGCAAGAGAGTGAGGGAGAAAAAGAGAAGGGAAGTACCACACACTTTTAACCAGGCAGATCTTATGTGAACTTAGAACAAGAGCTCACTCATCGCCAAGGGGATGGTGCTAAGACATTGATAAGGGATCCGTCCCCATGATCCAAACACCTCCCGCCAGGCCCTGCCTCTAACACTGGAGATTACATTTCAACATGAGATTTGGGGGGGACAAACATCCAAACCATATCAGTAGGAGAATAAGTCATCACAAATAAGGGGAAGAGTTTTTCCCCTCCAGAATATAGAGTGTGAAATAGAATGTAAAGGAGCTGAGGCAAGTCAGCTTTCCCTGCAGAATTATTCTGATGGCAGCTTTTAGAAGGTCTGGAAAGGGGCTGGGCACGGTGGCTCACACCTGTAATCCCAGCACTTTGGGAGGCTGAGGCAGGCAGATCACTTGAGGTCAGGAGTTACAGACAAGCCTGGCCAACATGGTGAAACCCTGTCTCTACTAAAAAATACAAAAATTATCCAGGCGTGGTGGCACGCACTTGTAGTCCTAGCTACTCTGGAGGCTAAGGACTAAGGCAGGAAAATCGCTTGAACCCAGGACGGGGAGGCTACAGTGAGCTGAGATTGTGCCACTGCATTCCAGCCTGGGCGACAGAGCGAGACTCCCTCTCAAAAAAAAAAAAAAAAAAAAAAGTCTGGAAAGCCATTGTCAGCTTCCAGATAGTGATGAGACACATGTAAGATAGTAGAAACACTACGGGCAAAACATTTTGATGTGGAGGGAGAATGAAAGTTGAGAGGACTGATGCTACCCAACTTCAAGACTTAATATAAAGCTACACTAATCAAGACAGTGTGGTACTGGTGAAAGAATAGACATATACCAATGGAACAGAATAGACAGCTCTTGAAAAAATTCACACAAATATGGTCAACTGATTTTTGACAAAGGAGCAAAGACAATCCAAAGGAGAAGGGATAGTCTTTTCAACAAATAGTATTGGAACAATTGGACATCACATGCAAAAAAATTAGACCCTGCCTACACCTTTCCCAAAAAGTAATGCTCACTGAAAAGGCCTTGAAACAGTGATTAACTTGGTAGCAACAATACCCCTAGCACCCAGATTATAGTCACTAAATACCACTTTTTTCAAGAAAGGAAGGAAGAATCCTGAAGAAATGACTGTTTTCAGGTCTCAGGCAGGAAAAAAAATACAACATAAGCCTAGAATATCTTACCCTATTTGGTAGAAAGAGGCTATCAAATCTTGCTAGAATTGCATTAAAAAAAAAAAACTCTCAGGAGTCAGTCTGATTAGAGACATACTTTAAAAACATTTAGGCAAAAGTAAATGGATGGAAAAAGATATAGTAGGCCAAAGGTAATCAGAGGATGACTGGAATGGCTATATTAATATCAGAGAATGTAAAGTAAACTTTAAGACAAACTGTACTGTCACAAATAGAGACATTTCATAATGATAAAAAGGTTAGAATAAACTGTTACATTCATGCAATTGAACACTACTTAGAAATAAAATAGAACAAACTACTCATAAATGCAACAGTATGAAAATATCTCAAAAACATTACATTGAGTGAAAGGAGTATTACACAAAAGAATACACACCGACTGGGTGCAAACTGGCCAGGCGCAAATTGGCCAGGCGCGGTGGCTCATGCCTATAATCCCAGCACTTTGGGAGGCTGAGGTGGGTGGATCAGGAGTTCGAGACCAGCCTGGCTAACGTGGTGAAACCCCGTCCCTACTAAAAATACAAAAATTAGCTGGGTGTGGTGGCAGGCGCCTGTAATCCCAGCTGCTCAGGAGGCTGAGGCAGGAGAATTGCTTGAACCCAGGAGGCAGAGGTTGCAGTGAGCCGAGATTGTGCCATTGCCCTCCAGCCTGGGGGACAAGAGCGAGACTTCATCTCAAAAAAAAAAAAAAAAAAAGAATACACATTGTACCATTACATTTATTTGAAGCTCTACTACAGGCAATATTAATATATGGTAGATAAAACTAAAAATAGTGGTTGCCACTGGGGGAGGAGTTGGAATAGGGATTGACAGAAGGGGCATAGGAAACTATAGGTTGATGGTTTTATATTTTGATATAGTGGCTTGGGTTACACAAGTTTATGCATTTATCAAAATTCATCAAACGGTACCCTTAAGATTTGTGCATTTCACTGGATATAACATTTATTTTTGAGACAAGGTCTCACTCTGTCATCCAGGCTGGAGCACAGTGGTGCAATCTCCACTCACTGCAACGTCTGCTTCCCGGGTTCAAGCAATTCTCATGCCTCAGCCACCTGAGTAGCTGGGATTACAGGTGCCCTCCACCATGCCTAATTTTTGTATTTTCAGTAGAGACGAGTTTTGCCACGTTGGCCAGGCTAGTCTCGAACTCCTGGCCTCATGTGATCCTCCTGCCTCAGCCTCCCAAAGTGTTGGGATTACAGATGTGAGCCACTGCGCCAGGCCTACTGGATATAAATTTTACCTTAAAAAACTGTAAATAAATACTGAACTGTACTTAATGCTATGCATACAGAAGGTTTTAGGGTTGAAGTATACTGACGTCTGCAATTCACTCTGAAATGCGTACAAAAATAAAATGGATTAATGGATAGATGTATAGTTATGTAAAAAAGCAAGTAGAATAAAATGTTACTGTGGAATGTAGTTAGTGGATATTTATGGGTTTTCACTGGAAAAAATTATTTCACCTTTTACGTATGTTTGAAAATGTTTGTAATAAAATGTTGAAAAAGTGTTGAAAATAAGAGTCCTTATGTTTGGAGATAGATACAGAAACATACACAGATGATGTCAGAGGTTTGCCTTAAAATAACCCAGGTGGAGGGGATTGGGTTGGGATGTGGGTGAAATAAAATTGGTCATATACGGTTAATTGTTCTGAGTGATAGGCATATTGGGTTCATTACACTATTCTCTATTTTGTGTATATTTGAAATTTTTCATAATACAAAGATTTTTTTTAATTGCAGATATTTAAAAAGTTTAAAACCATGCAGAAGGTATAAAATAAAAAAGCGGCCGGAGGTAGTGGCTCATGCCTGTAATCCCAGCACTTTGGGAGGCCAAGGTGGGCAGATGATGAGGTCAAGAGATCGAGACCATCCTGGCCAACATGGTGAAACCCCGTCTCTACTAAAAATACAAAAATTAGCTGGGCGTGGTGGCGCATGCCTGTAGTCCCAGCTACTTGGGGGGCTGAGGCAGGAGAATTGCTTGAACCCAGGTGGTGGAGGTTGCGGTGAGCCGAGATCACACCACTGCACTCCAGCCTGGCGACAGAGCAAGACCCCGTCTCAATAAATAAATAAAGCAAAAGAGCAAAACTCTCCCCCAGGACCCTAGGCCCTCCCCACAAAGAAAACCACTGTTGACCACTTTCTGCATATTCCAGAAGACAATTTATCTATACTAGCAGGTAGATGTGAACTGAATATATGTTTTTTTAATATTATTTTCTAATTTACACAGTGGTGGTATATTAGTTTCCTATTGCTGCTATAACAAATTACCACAAACCTAGTGTCACAACACAAATTTATTCTCTCTTATAGTTCTGTAGATCCGAAGTCTGAACAGATCAGGTATCACTGGGCTAAAATCAGGAGGTCCTTTTTTGGAGGTTCTAGAGGAGACCCGGTTTCCTTCTCTTCTCCGGTTTCTATAGGCACCACTTCCTGCATTTTTAGAACCACAAAATTGCATCTCTGTGCATTCTCCTGCAGTCACATCTCCTCTTCCACTTTTAAGGACCCTTGTGATTATATTGAGCCCACCCTGGTAATCTGGGATAATCTCCCATTTTAAAGTTATTTAATTGGCCACCTTAATTCCATCTGCAATCTTAATTACCCTTTACCATGTAATTTTTAATTGATGGGTTCTGCGGATTAGCACATTGTCATCTTCGGGGGAAGGGGTCATTATTCTACCTATGGTTGCAGAGGCGTGACTGATAGTAGAAGGAGATGAGATCAGAAAGGTAGTGAGGATACCAGATCATGTGTAGGGCATTGCAGGATATTTTAAAGACTTTGGCTTTTACTCTGAGTGAAATGGGAAGCTATTTTAACATTAGAGGATTGTTAAAAAAAAAAAAAGTCATGTGGGCCAGGTGCAGTAGCTCATGCCTATAATCTCAGCACTTTGGAGGCCGAGGCAGGTGGATCACTTGAACCCAGGAGTTTAAGACCAGCCTGAGCAACATAGCAAGACCTCGTCTCTACAAAAACAAAAATTAGCCAGGCATGGTGGCACATGCCTGTAGTCCCAGCTACTCAGGAGGCTGAGGTGGGAGAACTGCTTGAACCTGGGAGGCAGAGTTTGCAGTGAGCTGAGATCACACTGATGCATTCCAGCCTGGGCGGCAGAGTGAGACCTTGTCTCAAATAAATACATAAATAAAAAGAAATAGAAACAGGTTTTCGCTATGTTGTCCAGGCTGGTCTTGAACTCTTGGCCTCAAGTGATCCACCCATCTTGGCCTCCCAAAGTGCTAGGATTACAGGTGTGAGCCACTGCGCCCAGCCTGGACCCCTAAAAACTTCTTCAATGTGTCAGACACCTGATTCTTCTAATCTTACTAAAGTACTTGCCACTTCCTGATCATCAAGTCCAATTAGTAAGATGTCATTAATATAGTGGACTGGCATGATGTTGAGCAGAATAAGATAGCTGAATTCCCTGCAGACTATATTGGGTTAGAGAATAGGAGAGTTAACATGATCTGTGGCACAGTGATTGTGTGCTCTTGTCCTTCCCATATAAAGGCAAATTGCTCTTACTCATTCTTTTTTTTTTTTTTTTTTTTTGAGAAGTCTTGCTCTTATCCCCAGGCTGGAGTGCAGTGGCGTGATCTTGGCTCACTGCAACCTCCGCCTCCTGGGTTCAAACGATTCTCCTGTCTCTGCCTCCCAAGTAGCTGGGATTAAGTCGCCTGCCACCACGCCCAGCTAATTTTTTTGCACATTTTAGTAGAGATGGGGTTTCACACCATGTTGGCCAGGCTGGTTTCGAACTCCTGACCGCAAGTGATCCACCCGCTTCGGCCTCCTAAAGTGCTGAGATTACAGGCGTGAGCCACTGCGCCCGGCCGCTCTTGCTCATTCTTACCAATGAGTATGGAGAACACATTTGCCAGGCCAACAGTCACATACTAGTTGCCAGAAGCTGTCCAGTAAAGAGACCACATTCAGTGTAGCAGCTGAGATTGGGGCTACCATGTGGTTAAAGTTATGATGATCCTTTATCATTGACTCCAATCATTTGGCTTCTGCAGGGGTCATACAAGTGAACTGAATACTATATGAACTTGTATGTATCCCTCACTTAGTCCCAGCAAAACCACCATCCCAGTATTTGATGGTGGTGCTAATCTCTACAATTTTTCCAAAGACAGGTACTGCTTTTGATTTACTATCTTGTCCAGGGATGGGTGGGGTTGGTGGGGGTGGGGGGGCAGTTTCTAGAACATCTTGGCCTTTCCTTTTTTAATTTTTAAAATTATTATTATTATTTTTGAGATAGGGTCTTTCTCTGTTGCCCAGGCTGGAGTGCAGGGGCACTATCATAGCTCACTGTGGCCTTGAACTCCTGGGCTCAAGAGATCCTCACCTCAGCCTCCAGAATAGCTGGGATTACAAGAGCGTGCCACCATGTCTGGCTTGGCCCTTCCTATATAATAGCTCTTAGTATATACTAAACTACTTAGTATATACTTAGCTACTAAGTATATTTTTCTGCATTATATCCTCAGCAACTGGTGAGAAAACCACAGGGTGGATCCATGAACCCATTGGATACACTGTAAGGCAGATTGGGCCAGAATTCCACTCACCACCTGGAATCCATAGCTCCCGTTCTAACCAGACAACCATGAATGACATTTCAGGTCCTTTGGTATCAGCATTGGCTCAAACTTCATGTATAATAAATCCCAAAAGGTCTGGACATTCCCCACTTGGCTAGTGCACAGTTATCCTAGCCAATAGATGCAGGTTCCTTTGGGGAAGGATCAAGGAAAATTTATCATAAATACTTGTGATGATGTTTGCAGGGTCTTTTCTCAGAGGAACTTAGTCTCCACTCCAATTGATGGACTTTGGATCTGTCAAATGATGTCGATCTGGAAGGCCCGCCAAATCTGATGTAGATTTGGGAGGCCCGCCTCAGTCTCCCAAAGTGCTGGGATTATAGGCGTGAGCCACCATGCCCATCCAATTTTTTGTATTTTAGTAGAGATGGGGTTTCACCATGTCAGCCAGGCTGGTCTCGAACTCCTGGCCTCAAGTGATCTGGCCACCTTGGCCTCCCAAAGTGCTGGGATTACAGGTGTGAGCCACTGCACCCGGCCTAGTTCTGGCATTTTTATCGCACCTACTGTAGTGTGTCATTGAGTCCAAGTTTCAAGGAGCCATCTCCTTGATTAGTACTGGCTCCAGGTGTCCTTGCCAGGACATTGAACCCCTAAATATATATGAATGCTTCATGTCAATACATTTTGCCCTATCCATCATGTTCCACAGCCTCCCCCTTATTCCAGACTCACTCCATGTGTTCTCCCAGCTCCAACTGGTTCATATTAGCCAGGTCACAGAATTTTTTTGATATGTAACAATTTCCTCCTGGAACTGCATACCTCTGCTTGTATTGTGTTGTGTTGAGGCGTAATTCTAGTTATCTCCCTGGAGATTAAAAAAAATAAGACTGAGAGAGGTGGTACTTGGTAAAGACAAGTAGTATACTTGAGATATCTTTCTTGTGCAAAGTCTTTGCAGGGTCTGTATGCAAGAGGAGGCTGCTTTCCTTTAGCAAGGGGAGAGGGTTGCTTCTGCTGGCCTGGAATGTTAAGAAGAATCTGGAGGTTCCAGATTATCAGGTTCTCATGTACCCAAATGTTTCCTCCCAGGTCTTTTGGTCTTACTCTTCCTATTAGGGTCTTTGATATAGGAGACCTATTGGCACTGTGCATTCAGTCTCCTTTGCAGTTCTGCCACGTATCAATGAGATCCCATATCTGATTTTCAGTGCAGTCTGCCTTGCAACTGAGATGAGAGTCTCCTTAGAGACTCTTGCCATATAGGCTCTCTGGATTTACAGCACACCTTGAGTTGATAGCTGGCTGATGTGAATCTATAATTTTCTTTTTTAAAAGGCTTCCAAAGCAATTAACAAAAGCCAGAAGACTCTGGCTTTTGATGGGGACCAAATGTGCTCCCCCTCCCATCCAAGGCCCCCCTTCTCCAGATCAAGCAGCCCAGTTCCTTTAACACTCTCCTGCAGTTTTCATGAAAACTTGCCTGTTTATTGCCCATCTCAGATGCGACACTGCTAACTGAGTCCTGAGATCCAGGTGTATTCAGTGTTTGGGAGAAATGGAATTTGGAAGGGGAGATTCAGGAAGCTGGCAGGGGTTCTCCAGGCATGCTCCAGGGAGCATCTTCCGGAAGACATCCTGTTGGGTCCTGCTCCAACACCTAGCCTGTCTCTTCCCTTCCTGGAAACATGATCTGGGATTTTTCTTTCTTCTTTTCCTTTTTTTCTTTTTGAGACAAAGTTTTGCTCTTGTTGCCTGGGCTGAAGTGCAATGGCACAATCTCGGCTCGCTGCAACCTCCACCTCCCAGTTTCAAGCAATTCTCCTACCTCAGCCTCCCAAGTAGCTGGGATTACAGGCACCCGCCACCGTGCCCAGATAGTTTTTGTATTTTTAGTAGAGACGGGGTTTCACCATGTTGGCCAGGCTGGTCTCAAACTCCTGACCTCAGGTGATCCATCCTCCTCAGCCCCCCAAAGTGCTGGGATTATAGGCGTGAGCCACTGCGCCCAGCCTTTTTTTGTTTTTTTTTGTTTTTTGTTTTTTTGAGATGGAGTCTCGCTCTGTCACCCAGGCTGGGGTGCAGTGGCATGATCTCGGCTCACTGCAAGCTCCGCCTCCTGGGTTCACGCCATTCTCCTGCCTCAGCCACCCAAACAGCTGGGACCACAGGCGCCCGCCACCACGCCCGGCTAATTTTTTTGTATTTTTAGTAGAGGCGGGGTTTCACCATGTTAGCCAGGATGGTCTCAATCTCCTGACCTCATGATCTGCCCACCACAGCCTCCCAAAGTGCTGGGATTACAGGTGTGAGCCACTACGCCCGGCCCCCACCCCCGCCTTTTTTTTTTTTTTAAGCATATGGAACTCAGGCGATGGGATTTTTCTTTTCTTTCTTTCCTTCCCTCCTTCTTTCCTTTCTTCCTTCCTTCCTTCCTTCTATCTTTCTTTCTTTCTCTCTTTCCTTTCTTTCTTTCTTTTTGACAGAGTCTTGCTCTGTCGCCCAGGCTGGAGTGCAGTGGTGTGATCTTGGCTCACTGCAACCTCTGCCTCCTGGATTCAAGTGATTCTCCTGCCTCAGCCTCGCAAGTAGCTGGGATTACAGGTGTGTGCCACCATGCCCAGCTAAATTTTGTATTTTTTAGTAAAGATGGGGTTTCACCATGTTGGCCAGGCCGGTCTTGAACTCCTGACCTCATGATCCGCCCGCCTCAGCCGCCCAAAGTGCTGGGATTACAGGCAGGAGCCACCACGCCCTGCCGTATTTTTCATCTTCTAACATTTGTGAACCACTTGGTAGGAGTTTGGTGTAAAGTCAAATCACCAGTTTCAAGTAGTAACACATTTTAAAACAATACACTTTTTTTAAAGTTTCACAATAGTGAAAAAAAAATCAGTGTTTCCCCCCCGTTCTTGACAGTTTTTTTCCATTGCTGTATGCACAGAACAGTGCCTGTCACATAGCTGTCACTCTAAGTATTTGCTACCTATTTGACTAATAAAATTAAATACATACATATTTGAGACAGTGTCTCACTCTGTCACCCAGGCTGGAGTGCAGTGGTGCGTTCATAGCTCACTTCAGCCTCAGTCTCCTGGGCTCAAGTGATTCTCCAGCTTCAGCCTTCTGAGTAGCTGGGACTAAAGGCACGCCCCCACTATGCTCGGCTAATTTTTTTCATTTTTTTGTAGAGACGGGATCTCCCTATGTTGCCCAGGCTGGTCTTAAACTCTTGGCCTCAAGTGATCCTCCCAACTTGGCCTCCCACAGTGTGGGGTTACAGGCATGAGCCACCTTGCTTGCCCAAAATTAAATATTGAAATAGATAAATACTTATTGAATGGATAAGTGGGAATGATAATATTGTTTACAAATTAATCCGGCTGAGAAGAAAGGCAAGTGAAGAGAAAACAATCAGCCAGGGAGCACAGCCCAGCCAAGAGAGTGGGGGGCACCCCTTCCCGTCGGCCACCAGGGGAGTTGGAGAGGGAGGACGTACCCTTCCCCACCCTGCTCCCTCCCCCAGCTCACAAGCTGTGGGCTGATGCGGCCGCTGGTCCCTGCTCTCAATACCTGAATGAACTATTTGGCTGAAAGCCTAGGGTGAGGTGTTCGGGGGACGGAGAGCAGGGCGTGGACTTCGCTCCGCCGCTAGGTGGCGGGCTGGCTCAGGACAGGTGAGCCCGGCAGAGAGTGCCGGAGGGGGAGGAGCCCAGCAGGGAAGGGCAGAGGGGCACCCTGGCGGTGGGAGGGGATCTGCGTAGGACCTCAGCAACGTTGGGGGACATTTCCCTTGGGTGGAGTCAAGGATGCGACATCGTTCAAGAAAATATTTCATTCAGGAGTTGGGAGCAGAGACCATGCTATGCCCAGTATGAGGGGAAGGGGTGAGGGAGTGTCACCTCAAGGCACCCCCCGTCCAGAGAAAGGGGTGGAAGTATAAATCCCAGTGGGGTGCCCTGTGCTCTAATTAGGGGAGAAAATGCAGCAAGGAGTCCAAAGGCAGGGGTAGTTTCCTAAGGAATCATATTTGAGGTGCGCCTTGCAGGCGGAGTTCTGTTTTAACAGAAGCAGCATGTGGGTAACAGCCTGAACAAGTACAGAGCCTGGAAAATGACTCTTTCAACCCGGAGGGAGGAACAGGCTGCGTTGGGGAGGGGTCTTCTCAGTTCCCCGCTGGAGATGGGCCTGCCTTCTTCTGTCAGAAGGGTTTGGTGGCTGGAGGAGAGCGAGGTGTTGGGGGGTGTGGGGTTGTGTGTGGCGTGTGTCTGAATTGCAAAGAGGAGTGAAGGCTTCCAGCGACACCTTGACCACAGGCTGGCTCTCCAGCATCTGGAGGAATCAGAAGGAGAAGGGACGTTCTAAAATGATCATGGAGGGCCGGGCGTGTTGGTTCACGCCTGTAATCACAGCACTTTGGGAGGCCAAGGCAGATGGATTACTCGAAGTCAGGGGTTCGAGACCAACCTGGCCGACATGGTGAAACAACGTCTCTACTAAAAATACAAAAAAAAATTAGCTGGGTATGGTGGTGGGCACCTGTAATCCCAGCTACTTGGGAGGCTGAGGCCGGAGAATGGCTTGAATCTGGGAGGTGGAGGTTGCAGTGAGCCGAGTTCATGCCATTGCACTCCAGCCTGGGTGACAGAGCAAGACACAGTCTCTAAATAAATAAATAAATAAAATGATCATGGAAGAACTGGGGACCTGATTGTGTGGTTCTGCACCCCCCACCTGTTGCTTCATTTATGCATGTAATCTACAGATACTCCCTGAGCACCTATTCCATCTGGCATTGTGCTGGGCACCAGATAGAGGTCAATGAGACAGGGCCCTTGCCCTTGAGAGGTTCATAGTCTACCCAAAAAGATACATAAACAATTCATTACAATACTACATAATAATAAAGTGACAATAGCTCTTCACTGTTTATTCTGTCCTGGGTACTTGATACACAGCATCTTAGAGTCACAACCACCTGGTCAACCTCGTAGTGGCATCCCCATTTTAATAAACAGAGAGATTGAGGCCCAGAGAGGTTAAGTAATTAGTTCAAGGTCATCCAGTTTGCTTGAGCAGAAGCGAGATTGAAATCCAGATCTGTTTGACTCCAAAACTGTGCTCTTTCCACTGTACCATGAGCTCCTACTTAAGGAGTCTATACCCAGAGAGAGGGCATAGGAGTGGGTGTCGGGGGAAGGTTCCCCAAGGTGGGCAGGAGACTTGGAGAATGTGTTGGAGGCAAGTGGAAAAAGGGGATGCCAAGCCAAGGGAAATACATCAGAGGCCAAGTGCCCTGTGTTTCAGGAAGAGTGAAAAGCCTCAGCTGTCCAGGGCCAGGCTGGACCCTCAGCCCTTCAATCTAGTGGTCTCCATGACAACAGGCTCACCCAGGTCTTTAGAAGTGCATTTTCCTGGAATTGGCACAGTAGAGGCATGGCCCATCTCTTTGTCTCTGACTGGTGAGCTGGCTGTTTCCCAGGCTTCCCCCTCTCCCAGATTGCTCACTTTCTGCTCAGGCTGTCTCTTCTCCCAAGAGCAGCAAGAGGCTCACTTATCTTTGCAATTTCTTTCTATTTGGAAGTTACTTTCCTCTTTAGCTGCTTGTATGCATGCTTCAAGAAACAGAAATATTTTCTGAGTATTTTCAGTTGCACTGCATCTTCCTACATGGTATGTTATAAGGATCCTTTAAGATTAGGAGAAGCTGTGGGAGATTTAAGCCATTGCTACTTTACTCCCAAATTCATCACCAGGATTTAAAGATTTTAAGCTCATAACTCATGTTGCCATATGTGAACTGCTCAGAAAATGTTTTCCTAGAGCACTTCTGCAGAGCCATCTTTATTATTCTCATCTGTTTGGTAAGTAGGTTTGTGAATAATAGTTTTGATAAATTCTACCAGCATTTTACCAGTTCAAAAGCACCTTTTTTTTTTTTTTTTTGAGACAGCGTCTTGATGCGTCATCTAGGGTGGAGTGCCATCATGGTGCATCCACAGCTCACTGCAGCCTAGACCTCCCAGCTCAATTGATCCTCCCACTTCAGCCTCTCAAGTAGATGGGACCTCAGGTGCATACCACCACACCCAGCTAACTTTTAAAAATTATTATGATTTTTAGTAGAGACAAAGTCTCATGCCCAGGCTGGTTTTGAACTCCTGGGCGGCCCAAGTGATCCTCCCATCCTGGCCTCTCAAAGTGCTGTCAGCCATTGCACCTGGGCCAAAAGCACTTCTTGGCTATGTTCCACGTGATGGCAAAAAACACAGCAACCGGTCCACTACACTATACTTTTCATTCTATTTTTTTTTTTTTTACATCTGATTTCATTCAGGACTAGTTGTAGTTCTCTTAGTCCATTAGCTAATTGCTAAAATATCTCCCATCACTGAAAAAAGAAAAAAATTCTTTGACTCCTCATTCCCTTCCATCTACTGCCCCATTTCTCCATTCCCTGTAGAGCAGAACTCCTCAGAAGAGATGACTGAGCTCACTGTTTCCCCTTCTCTCCTCCCATTCTGTCTTGAGCCCACTTCCATGAGGCTTTTATTACCACCAGCCCACAGCTCTTGCCAAGGTGTCCGGTGTCCAGACCCAGCACCTCATCGAATCCAGTGGGCCGTTCTCAGCCCTCACTCTAAGTGACTGATCATCCCCTTCTTGAAATCCTTGTCTCACATGGGCTTCCAACGCCCTCTCCTGGTTTACTTCCTACCTCACGGGCTGCTCCTTCTCCGTCTCCTTTGCTGGGCCCTCCTCTCTTCCTGATCTCTAAGTGTTGGGATCCCCCTCTTTTCCTGTCCCTCTCTCTCTACTTGCTTTCAAGCCACCCTCACCCAGAAGCATGACTAAATGCCAGCTCCACACTGATGATGCACACATTTCTACATTTCTTTTCTTTTCTTTTTTTCAGATACAGTCTTGCTCTGTTGCCCAGGCTGGAGTGCAGTGGTGTGATCTTGGCTCACTGCAACCTCTGCCTCCCAGGTTTGAGCGACGCTCCTGCCTCAGCCCTGCTAGTAGCTGGGATTACAGGCACGTGCCACCATGCCCAGCTAATTTTTGTGTTTTTAGTAGAAACGGGGTTTCGCCATGTTGGCCAGGCTGGTCTCAAACTCCTGACCTCAGGTGATCCACCCACTTTGGCCTCCCGAAGTGCTGGGATTACAGGCACGAGCCACTGCGCCCGGCCTTGACAACACCCACATTTCTATCCCTACCCTGGACCTCTCTCCTGAACTCTGGACTCATGTATCTGATGCCTCCTGATATCTCAAATGGAAAACCCGATGGCCCTCAGACCTGCTCTTCTCTCAGTGCTCCCCAGCTTGGCACATGGTACCACCATTCTACCAGTGGCTCAGGCCAAACACCTGGGTACCATCGCTGACTCCTCCGATAGTCAGCTTGGGCTGCCATAACGAAGTACGGTCATGCTTTGTTTAATGATGAGGATACATTCTGAGAAATGTGTCATTAGGCAATTTCGTTGTTGTGTGAACATCATAGAGTGTACTTACACAAACCTAGATGGCATGGCCTACTACACACCCAGGCTGTTGCTCCTGGGCTACAAACCTGTACAGCATGTTACTGTACCTAATACTGTAGGCAATTGTAACACAATGGTATTTGTGTATCTAAACATAGAAAAGATACAATAACAACAATATAATATAAAAGATAAAAAATGGCACACCTGCAGGGTGCTGTGGCTTATGCCTGTAATTCCAGCACTTTGGGAGGCCGAGGTGGGCAGACTGTTTGAACCCAGGAGTTTGAGACCATCCTGGGCAACATGGCAAAACCCTGTCTTAACAAAAATTAACTGGGCATGGTGGTGAACCCCTGAACACCCCTGTAGTCCCAGCTACTTGGGGGCTGAGGTGGCAGGATCACCAGAGCCCAGGAGGTCAAGGCTGCAGTGAGCCGAGATCGCACCACTACACTCCAGCCTGAGTGAGACAGGGTCTAAAAAAGAAAAAAGAAAAAAAATAATGTATACCTGCATAGGGCACTTACCATGAATGGAGCTTGCAGTGCTGGAAGTTGTTTTGTATGAGTCAGTGAGTAAGTGGTGTATAATATGAAGGCCTAGAGTGTTAACACTACTGTAGACTTTATAAACACTACATTTAGGCTACACTAAATTTATTTAAAAACTTTTTTTTGTCTAACCCTACTGGAAACAAAAAAATTTTTTTTTGATTTATTTCTTTAATAATAAATTAAACTTAGCTTATGGTAACTTTTTACTTTATAGCCTTAAATATTTTTAACTTTTTTTTTTTGAGATAGGGTCTCACTCTGTCACCCAGGCTGGAATGTAGAATGGCGTGATCATGGCTTGCTGAATCCTTGACCTCCTGGGCTCAAGTGATCATTTCACCTGAGTAGCTGAGACTACAGGCGTGCACCACCATGCTTCGCTAATTTTTTTTTTTCCCGGCTAATTTTTAAAAAAATTTTTTTAGAGACTGGGTTTCGCACTGTTGCCTAGGCTGGTCTCTAACTCCTGGGCTCAAGCAATCCTCCTGTCTCAGCCTCCCAAATTGCTGGGATTACAGGCATGAGCCACTGCGCCCGGCCTAAATTTTTTTTTTTTTTTTTTTTTTTTTGAGACGGAGCCTTGCTCTGTCACCCAGGCTGGAGTGCAGTGGTGCAATCTTGGCTCACTGCAAGCTCTGCCTCCCAGGTTCACGCCATTCTCCTGCCTCAGCCTCCCAAGTAGCTGGGACTACAGGCGCCCACCACCACACCCGGTCTATTTTTTTTGTATTTTTAGTAGAGACGGGGTTTCACTGTGTTAGCCAGGATGGTCTCGATCTCCTGACCTTGTGATCCGCCCGCCTTGGCTTCCCAAAGTGCTGGGATTACAGGTGTGAGCTACCGCACCCAGCTATTTTTTTAACTTTTAAAAACTTTTTATATATATTTTTTGAGACAGGGTCTTGCTCTGCCACCCAGGCTGGAGTGCAGTAGTGCAATCATGGCTCACTGCAGCCTCGACCTCCCAAGCTTGGGTGATCCTCCCACCTCAGCCTCCTGAGTAGCTGGGGCCACTGGGGTGTACCACCATGCCTGGCTATTTTACATTTTTTGTAGTGACTGAGTTTCCCTGTTTTGTCCAGGCTGGTCTTGAATTCCTGGGCTTGAGAGATCCTCCTGCCTCAGCTTCCCAAAGCTCTGGGATTACAGGCATGAGCCACTGCACCTGGCACATTTTAAAAAAATTTTTGACTCTTTTTTTTTTTTGAGGTGGAGTCTGGCTCTTTTGCCAGGCTGGAGTGCAGTGGCACGATCTTGGCTCACTGCAACCTCTGCCTCCCGGGTTCAAGCGATTCTCCTGCCTCAGACTATCGAGTAGCTGGGACTACAGACGTGCGCCACCACACCCAGCTAATTTTTGTATTTTTAGTAGAGACGGGGTTTCACCATGTTGGCCAGGATGGTTTCGATCTCTTGACCTCGTGATCTGCCCGCCTCGGCCTCCCAAAGTGCTGGGATTACAGGCATGAGCCACTGCGCCCTGCCTTTTTTGATTCTTTTGTAATAACACTTAGCTTAAAACACAAACACATTGTATAGCTGCACAAAATATTTTTTCTTTATATCCTCATTCTATGCTTTTTCCTACTTATTTTTTTAATTTAAAAAACTTTTTTGTTAAAAAAGACACAAACACACACATTAACCTAGGTCTGCACAGAGTCAGGATTGTCAATATCACTGTCTTCCACCTCCACATTTTTTTTTTTTTTTAAGATGGAGTTTCGCTCTTGTTGCCCAGGCTGGAGTGCAACGTCATGATCTTGACTCACTGCAACCTCTGCCTCTTGGGTTCAAGTGATTCTCCTGTCTCAGCCTCCTGAGTAGCTGGGATTACAGGCACTTGCTACCACACCTGGCTAATTTGTTTGTTTGTTTGTTTGTTTTTGTTTGTTTTTTGAGACGGAGTCTCACTGTGTCGCCCAGGCTGGAGTGCAGTGGTGTGATCTCGGCTCACTGCAAGCTCTGCCTCCCGGGTTCACACCATTCTCCTGCCTCAGCCTCCCAAGTAGCTGGGACTACAGGTGCCCGCCACCATGCCTGGCTAATTTTTTGTATTTTTTAGTAGAGACAGGGTTTCACCGTGTTAGCCAGGATGGTCTCGATCTCCTGACCTCATGATCCGCCTGCCTCAGCCTCCCAAAGTGCTGGGATTACAGGTGTGAGCCACCGCGCCTGGCCAAATTTTTGTATTTTTAGTAGAGATGAGGTTTCGCCATGTTGGCCAGGCTGCCCCCTCCACATCTTGTCACACTGGAAGGTCTTCAGGGACAGTAACACACATGGAGCTCTCATCTCCTATGATAACAATGCCTCCTTCTGGATACCTCCTGAAGGACCTGTCTGAGCCTATTTTACAGTTAACCTTTTTTTTAAATAAGTAGAAGAAACATACTCTAAGAGAATGATAAGAAGTATAATAGGGTAAATGCCAGGTGTAGGAATTTTTCAGTTTCATTACAATCTTATGGGACCACTGTTGTATATAATAGTTTCTTGTTGGACAGAATATCATTATGCAGTGCATGACTGTACCGTAGGCTGGGGGGCTTAAACAACATAAATTTATTTTCTCACAGTTCTGGAGGCTGGAAGTCCAAGATCGGAGTGCCTACATGGTCAGCCAGGATGGTTCTGCTGAGGGCCCTCTTCCTAGCTTGTACACAGCCACCTTCTTGCTGTGTCCTCACATGGCAGAGAGAGACAGAGATAGAGAATGAGGTGGAGTGGAGAGGGAGGGAGGGAGAGCGAGTGTGCACAAGCTCTCTGGTGTCTCTTCTTATAAGGGCACTAATCCCATCACGAGAGCCAGCCTTGGGACCTCATCTAAACCTAATCACCTCCCAAAGGCCCCATCTCCAGTTACCATCATATTGGGGTTAGAGCTTCAACATGAACTTTGGAGAGACACAGTCTGGTCCACAGCACTCCTTTCTCTCTCACCCTCATACCTAAACCTTCAGTAAATCCAACAGGATGTACCATCTACCTTCCAAATACATCCGGAACCTGAATACTTCTCCTCTTCGCCACTGTTACCATGACCATCTGCTCTTGCCTGGGTTATTGCAGTGACCTCTTGACTGGTCACCTGCTTCCACTGGCTCCTACAGCCCATGATCCCCAGGCAGCCAGGACTTTAACATAACAAATCGGATCATATGACTTCTCTGCTGTTGACCCCTTAGTTGCTCCCCATAGTCCTCACTGTGAAGTCCCTGCTCCTCACTGCGCCCTGGGTGCACTGGCCCAACTGCCCCTCCTCCCGGCATGCCCCTCTCACGGCTCGTATACCAGCCACAAGCTGCTCAGAGCCAACAGCTCTTGCCAGACCTTGAGGACTCATCATCTCCATCCTGTCTCTTCCTACCCTGTGTGTGCTATCTGGCACACAGTAGGTGCTCACTCAACACATGTTTGTTAAATGAAGGAAGGCTTTGTCTTCCTCCAAATCTCCTCTGTTCAAGAGTTGTTATGGACTGGACACATAATTGCAGCACTTGGGGAGGCTAAAATAGGAGGATCATTTGAGCTCATGAGTTCAAGTCCAGCCTGGGCAACATGGAAAAACCCCATCTCTACAAAAAAATACAAAAATTAGCCCAGCAGGTGGCTTGCGCCTGTAGTCCCAGCTACTCGCTTGGGAGGCTGAAAGTGAGAGGATCACTTGAGCCCAGGACATTGAGGCCGCAGTAAGCCAAGCTGTGATCGCACCACTGCACTTCAGCCTGGGTGACAGAGTGACACCCAGTCTCAAAAAAAAAAAAAGGTATTATGTCACTGGGGCTGCTGGTCTGATGGTCCTTCCTGAATGTGTCTATCCTAGGCCCCCAGCCCCTGCTGCCACCTCCCTCCAGTCAATGACAGGAGAATGCATCAAGACTCTGCCTGCCCCCTCCATCTGTTCCTATCCTCAGAGACACTATCACCCTGTAGTGTATAGGAGCCAGCCACCCATTTGCCCTTCCTGCTCAGCCAATCAGAACAAGAATAATCAGCACATCTGCTGAATGCTTACAAAAATGCCAGTGATCTACCTCAATTATTTGGAATCCTTATACTTCCACAAAAGAACTATGTTATTACTCCTACAGATAAGAAAAATGAGACTCAAAGAGGGCTCAATTACTTGCCCAAGGTCATACAGTAAAGATGTTGGATGGATGGGTGGATGGATGAATGAATGAATGGATGGATGAACAAGAGCCTTATTGACTCTGGTGCTTTGCTGTTTTTCTCTCTTTCCAACATAAACACTGGGGGTGGCTCCATGCAACTAAAGGAGCCAAGTGGCTTTGGGGATTCCTGAGCCAAGAGAGCAGGAGGTTGGGAGGAGTTGACCCTGGTAGAAATCAGCTCTGAGCAGCCCCAAGTTACTCAGTAACCTCAAATACTTGGTCCCCAGGGACAAACTGGCCAATCTTGGCCAGGGCAGGCAGCAGACACTGGTTCCCCTTGGCCACCCTTCTGTTGCTCAGCTGGTCACAGCTGGAATCTGGAGATGGAAGGTCAAAGATGGGACAGACCTCAGGCCAGGCAGAATGAGAGCTGATGGTGGGGTCAGGGGCTTCTCAGAGGAGGCCTGGAGTGGAAGGAGGAGTGAGAGATGAAGCCCTCACCATTCCTTCAGAGCTACCAGGGCCAGAGGAGGCAGGGGAAGGACCAAGGGCCTTGACATCACTTCACAATCCAAAAGGAAACCATGGACTAAGCCTCTCCATAGTGTTTGGTAGGTGGTGGTCCAGGGGGCCCTCTAAGATCCTCTCAGGTGGCAGCCTGGCAGGGGAGTCCTCAGACAGGTGGGAGCCAGGGAGGGGACCCTCAGAAGGGGAGGGCTGCCTGGGTCTTGCTCTCTGCTGGACCAGGGCTGATACCAGCTCAGCTGGTGCTCACTGGCTGTTGAAATACCAAGATTATCCCATTCAAGTTGGCAAGTAGCTGTTGCCCAAAGGTCTCTAAGTTTACCCTCCAGAGACTGGCCCAGCTCTCCTGGGCCAGGGGGATTCCTTTAGATCTCCCCATAATCCAGCAATGAAGAGGTTAACACCTGCCAGGCAGGGGGCCCCAGGACCGAGCCCTGTTTTATAACTTGACTAGAACCTGTGGTTGTAGCCCCAGACCTGGCCCAGGATTGGTGCTAAATGAGTATTTGTTGAGTGAATGAATGAGCAACAGAGGAGAGAGAATCAGAGACCCAGAGGAATTAAAAGAGACTAAGGGCCACAACAGGTGACAAAGAGATAGAGGAGGCTGGAATCAGGGAGGCAGTTCCCAGAAGATGCTGGGAAGGCCCAGCCTACTCCTCCTTGTTTTCCCTGGTTTGCAGCTTTTGAAGGCTCTTCCCATCCCAGGGCCTGTCCAGTCCCTGATTGGACAGCCCTGAGCAACCCCCCACTCCCAAACAGGACTTAGGCAGTGTCTTGGGGCAGAAGGCTGGGCCTGGGTGGATCCTCCAGATGCTGAATCATTATACAAAGGATTCTGACCTGATATACCTTTTGCCCCAGGAAGGGCTAGAAAGCAAGCTTCCTGCTGAGCAAGTAGGGACAGAGAGTCTCTCTGGGACAGAGGCCACTGAGGGTCAGAAAGCCCGCCTGGCCAGCCGGGCGCAGTGCTACCAGAGTCTGCCACCCAGAGTCGGACCCCTGGCTGGCACCTGAGTTAGGGAAACTGGATACCTAGAATCCAACTGTCCTCCAGAGCCCACTGTGTGTCAGAGGCTGGAGCCCCTGAGGGGAGGTAGAAGTGAGCTGGGGAAGGGGCAGGAGGAAAGAAAAGGAAGAGGTTAGGGGCTCTACTCTTGACCCCATCCCTGCCCATTCCTGAGAAGCAGCCCTACCCTGCATCTGTTCTGGGGGGAGGTTGTCCCCTGGGGACCTAGGCCATACTCATGGGAGTGGCAGCTTTTCCTTTGGACTGGGGTTTGTGACACCATTACAGACACTCACGGGTTCCTTCCACACTATGACTCCCTCAGACAGGCGGGCCTGGGATGGGCTGCCGCTGCAGCGTAGACAGAGAGCCTCCCCTCCCACCAGCCCCATGGAATACTTGCCTTCACCCTGTGGAGGTGTCAGGTGTCAGAACCAATAGTGCCAGGGTTCCACACCTATTTAGAACCCTTCAGTGGCCCAGAACCCACTGAGTAGAGGCCCTGTGCCTTAGCAGGGCCTTCAGGGCCTTCCCAGCACCACCCCCAGCCTCCCCCAACCTGAGTTCCTGAACACACGGGATGCTTACACTGCCAGGCTCGGTCTATGTTGGTCCCACTTCTTATAATGTCTCCTCTTCCTTCTTCACTTGTCCAATTCATAGATTGTCCTTCCAGATCACCTTCATACATTCATTACCTTCTCAGGAAGCAATTCTCCATCTCAGTCCCCTCCCTTACCCCTATCCCTGGGGCCTCTGCGGCCCCTCCTCCTGGACCCCTGCAGTCTCTGTTCTTCTCTGGGTTGGTCGCTTATCCCACTGGTAATCAAATTTCCTCCTAAGTGTCTGTCTCCACACCAGACAGTGGTTCCTGGAGGAAGGGGCTATCTGGTTCATCTCCAAAGCCTGCCTCACAGTAAGTGTTCAATAAATGTCTGTCTCCTCCATGTCTGTCTACCGGGCCCCCAGTGGATGCCAATCTTGCTTGGGTAATGAGGAACTCTGGACTTGGAATTGAGAAGCCCTCCTTGCATTCAGCCTCCCTCCGCTCCAGCTGCAGAGGCAGCCCAGGCTCTCTCACATCCACAGTGGGCACACAGGGAACCTGGGTGTCAGTGTGGCCCCTGCCCAGCCTGCTTCCCTGTGGTGTGGTACAGATTGGGGGTAGGAAGGGGGAGAGTCCCTTACCTTACACCGCTTGGAGCGGTGTAAGGGACTCCACTGCAGAGGCCCAGACGCCCCAGCCTGGTTAATCATCAGTGCCTGGAGAGCACTATTTATCTCTGTTTTCCATCTCTGCTTTTTCAGTAGGGAAAAAGATTAAGTAAACCCTAACTCTCTCTTGTGTTAACCCTAGAGGGGCCAGACCAGAGTTTTGTTTGTTTGTTTGTTTGTTTTCTGACAGAGTCTTGCTCTGTTGCCCACTCTGGAGCGCAGTGGCACGATCTTGCTCACTGCAACCTCTGCCTTCTGGATTCAAGCGATCCTCCTGCCTCAGCCTCCCAAGTAGCTGGGACTACAGGTGTACCACCACCACGCCCAGCTAATTTTTTTTTCTTGTATTTTTAGTAGAGACAGGGTTTCACTATGTTGGCCTGGCTGGTCTGGAATTCCTGACCTCAAGTGATCCACCCACCCCGGCCTCCTAAAGTGCTGGGATTACACGCGTGAGCCACCATACCCAGCCCAGACCGGGGTCTTTAAGGGCCATTTATTCTTTGGGAGACACTCTAAAGTAACATCATGTATGAGGGTGCGGGTTCTCCCACCCCCAGGTCCCACAGCTGTGCCCTATCAGGGCAGAACACATGGCGCCTTTCCAGGGTCGCGTCCAAGGACCTGGCACCGTAACAGTGCCAGGATCAGCGCCAGGACTGTGCGACTCCCTTCCCCAAGTCTTGGCCCTACCTTGGGCCGAGGGTCCAGGACCCCCCGACGCCCCGCTCCTGGTCCCCGGGGCCCTGGGCCTGCGGCAGGTGAGGGCGGGGCCTCCGTGAGCAGGGCCTCTGTGGGCGGGGCTCCGTGAAACCTGCCCTGCCGCCGGGAATTGTCTGCCAAAGCCTGCGAGCGCCAGCCGAGATCGCAGCCCAACCCATGGCCGGGTCTCCTAGCCGCGCCGCGGGCCGGCGACTGCAGCTTCCCCTGCTGTGCCTCTTCCTCCAGGGCGCCACTGCCGTCCTCTTTGCTGTCTTTGTCCGCTACAACCACAAAACCGACGCTGCCCTCTGGCACCGGAGCAACCACAGTAACGCGGACAATGAATTTTACTTTCGCTACCCAAGTGAGTGCGGGGTGAGGGCGCGCGGGAAGCAAAGACCCCAAGATTTGCAAAGACCCTCCGGTGTCTTGGGAGGGAGCATTTGGGTGCCCGCATTTAGCTGGGCAGCCGTCTCGCTCTGAGGTGGAGGGGCTCTGGGTTTAAAATCTCACCCTTTCACTAGTGCCTGCTATGATCCAGGGTACCGTGCTGATACATATGCCTTATCTCACTTAGTCTATGAGTTAGACAAAGGTGGGGAAACTGAGGCTTGGTTAAGTGGCTGATTCAGGGTCACACAGTCACAAGTCAGGGAGTTGGGATTGGAAGCCAGATCTAGAGCCCCAGCTTTAACCATCCTCTTGTCCCACATCTCAGTTGGCCTAATTGGGCTTTGCTGGGCTGTTCCAGAGACTGCCTTTCCTAGGGGCTCCACCCTGAGCATGGGAAAGAGAATCCTGCTGGGCAGGGAAGGTAAGAGTGGGGTTGTGAGCGGTCATAATGGCAGGTGTTAGGTATGAATCGCCCACACGTGTAGGCAGCCAAGACCAGTTGGGATCAGGCATTTCTTCCCTAGTCCCTCAAAGCTGGTCCTTTCAGAGACAAAGAGAAAATGAGGCAACTGGCCAGTCGTGGTGGCTCACACCTGTAATCCCAGCATTTTGGGAGGCAGGCGGTTCACCTGAGGTCAGGAGTTCAAGGCCAGCCTGGCCAACATGGTGAAACCCCATCTTTATTAAAAATACAAAAATTAGGCCGGGCGCGGTGCCTCATGCCTGTAATCCCAGCACTTTGGGAGGCCAAGGTGGGTGGATCACGAGGTCAGGAGTTTGAGACCAGCCTAGCCAACATAGTGAAACTCCCGTCTCTACTAAAAATACAAAAAATTAGCTGGGTGTGGTGGTGGGTGTCTGTAGTCCCAGCTACTTGGGAGGCTGAGGCAGGAGAATCTCTTGAACCCAGGAGGCAGAGGTTGTAGTGAGTCAGGATCACGCCACTGCACTTCAGCATGGGTGACAGAGCGAGACTCCATCTCGAGAAAAAAAAAAATTAGCCGAGCGTGGTGGCAGGCGCCTGTAATCGCTGCTACTTGGGAGGCTGAGGCAGGAGAATTGCTTGAACCCAGGAAGTGGAGGTTGCAGTGAGCCGAGATTGCACCACTGCACTCCAGACTGGGCAATGACAGAGTGAGACTCTGTCTCAAAAAAAAAAAAAAAAAAAAAAAAAAGAAAGAAAATGAAGCACCATCTACCTGCTAATCACAGAGCAGCAGCCCCCAGACTTGGCAGGAAGCATGGCAGCGTCATTAGTCCATTTCACAGAAGGAGAAGCTGAGTCTCAGAGGGGTTGTGAGTTGTTCACGATCACCCATCATGTGAGTGGCAGAGCTGGAACTAGAACTCAGGCATCCTAAACTTTTTGCCCCACAAGTCACCTGCCTGCTGACAAGTTTCAATAAAGACAGAGTTAACCTCCCACCCCCACCCTCAGCCCCATGGGAATAGAGCCTCACCTTCAAAGGTTGGGGACCCTGCCTTGCAATTCAGGCCCTAGGCAGCTGGGACCAAGAGCACCAGATCTCCCAGAATTTATCACAAGTGCTTGGGCAGGTCATCTCCAAGCCTCAGTTTTTCCCCATCTGAGCAAGGGGAAAAAGGATGCCTCAGTTTAAAGGAGATACATTCAAACAAGGCCTAGAGTGTGAGAGTCTCCTATTAAAAATTTCCAGCTCTCATTACCTTATTTTCTTTCTTTTTTTTTTTTTTTAGAAGAGTCTCACTCTGTTGCCCAGGCTGGAGTGCAACGGCGCAATCTCGGCTCACTGCAACCTTCACCTCCCAGGTTCAAGCGATTCACCCGCCTCAGCCTCCCGAGAAGCTGGGATTACAGGCACCCACCAAAACACCTAGATAAGTTTTGTATTTTTAGTAGAGATGAGGTTTCGCCATGTTGGCCAGGCTGGTCTTGAATTCCTGACCTCAGGTGATCCACCCACCTCGGCCTCCCAATGTGCTGGGATTACAGGTGTGAGCCACTGCACCTGGCCCTATTACCCTACTTTCTGTATGCAGAGCTCATCAGCAGGCTATCCCCACCTCACCCTGTTCTAGACCCAACAAAATGAAGCTCAAAATGCTAAGGATATAGAGAGTGAGGTGGAAACTTGGACTTGGGTGTGAAGCACCAGAGCCCCCACCCACCCTAGGCAGAAGGGGCTACAGCTCCTCCCTCCCCATATTTCATCCACAGCCCTGGCTAGAAAAGAAGGATAGAGAGTTGGGAGGGAACAGTCCAGAGTCTGACAGAACTAAGCTGTTGCGTAAGGGTCTGACCTGGCTGCTTGCCATGAACCCCTGACTTGCTTCTCCTCGAAGCCTCCTTATTACAAAGCTTTCCCTGGAGTCCAGCCTCTTGCCCCTGTGCTGCAATGGTAGGCTCTCCTTGGACATACAGCATTTCATCCCTGAATTGCAATAAGAGAGATATAAAAGGTGGGATTCCTACTTCTTTTTCTGCCCTAGGTTTCCATTCCTGTGGACTTGGATACTGTTGTGGGGGAAGGTTGGGGAGGCGGGAGGTGCAAGGTCCCTAGAGCCTGGGGCTTTGATGAGCCGGGTCCTCACCTGTCCTTGTGCCCAAGGGAAGGGGTCAGGGCCAGAGGGAGGTGCAGCCACTGCCCTTTGATTCGGGAGATGAAAGGGAGTTGTGTGACTGTTGTTGAGCTCCAGGACTGGCCAATGCCAAGACATGGCTAGTCTGAGGGTCCGTCTGTTTTCTCTGCTGGAAGGACGCTGAGAGCCCATCTGGTTCACCCACTCAGATGCTGAGAGTGAGTCAGAGAGGTCATGTGACCTGGCCAAGTCACACAGCAAGTTACAGAAGGAGCCAGGCTAGAACCAGGTCTCTTGATTGCCCATCTGTGGCCTTCCCCCTACACTACAAGCCTCTTCTTCCAGAAAGCAAGTGATGGAAAAATAACAAAGAAGGGGAAAGAGCCAGGGCTAAAGGGCCACAGAAGCAAACATGAGAAAGGGTTCTGAAAAAATATGGACAGGTTCTTTTTTCATACATCTCATAGACCTTACTTGCAGAGAGAGGGATTTAGGATAGATGGAATCAGGATCTTCTTGGAAGAGGTGGGGGATGAAGGATGTGACCAGGACCAGAGTGGCTTGTGATCTCTTCTAGGAGAGAGAATACAGCTCCACTGTCCCCTAGAGGCAGGCGGGATGGATGGTGGGGAAGTTGGGGGAGATGGCCCCCTCAGCTCCCCCTGCTTCTTCTTGATTATCATATTTAATATCCATACTTTACAGATGAGAAAACAGGCTCAGAGGGTTGTCCAAGGTCATAAAATCAGAAGGAGGTGGGGAGACATGGAATTAACTGATTCATTGAAACAGGGTCTCACTCTGTCATCCAGGCTGGAGTGCAGTGGCATGATCACAGTTCATTGTAGCCTCCACATCCCAGGCTCAAGCAATTCTCCTGCCTCAGCCTCCCAAAGTGCTTGGATTACAGGCATGAGCCACCACGCCCGGCCAGACTTAGAATTTAAATCGAGCTCTGCTAGATGCAAAAGCCCCAGCTTTAACAGCTGTCTTCTCCCATAATCTTGTCTGGTCCAGGAGTTATCTAGCTGGGTTGCAGAGGGGCAGCAAGGGAAGGAGGGAGAGTAACAGGTGGCTTTGGAGAGCTTTATCTTCTCTCCAATCAAAGGTGCTTGGGGCTGGGCACCATGGTTCATGCTGTTATCCCAGCACTTTGGGAAGCTGAGGTGAGAGGACTGCTTGAAGCCAGGAGTTTGAGGCCAGCCTGGGCAACAAACAAAGTGAGACCTCGTCTCTATAAAAAATAAAAAAATTAGCCCAGTATGGTAATAAGCTCCTGTGGTCCTAGCTACTCTAGAGGCTGAGGAGGGAAGATTGCTTGAGCCCAGGAGGTTGAGGCTGCAGTGAGCTGTAATGGCACCACTGCACTCAAGCCTGGGCAACAGAGCAAGAACTGTCGCAAAAAAATAAAAAAGTGTATGGATTTGGTGGGGGTGGGGTGGGGTGGGCATCAGACTCCATCCCACCCGCACAGGCATCCTCTAAAGGGGATGTTGAGAGGTTGCCTTATTTCTTCCTCCACCTCCAGCTGGAACATCCCCTCACCTCTCAGAGCCCAAAAAGAATTTCTCATTGTGGAATGTTCCCAGAGAAGGAGATTTCTTGATGTTTAGACTCCAGTTGAAAGGCCAGAGCCTTGAGTTTTGATTCCAAACAAACCTGGGGTGGGAGATGTAAACATTTATACCACACAAGTTCTGGACTGGTTTTGGCATGTAATGGTCAGGAGCCCTTGGACCCAACACCCTTCCTTATCTTGCTGTCCTTGAGCACAAGAATAGACATGGATTCTCTTTACTGTTTGCACAAGGAGAAAAGCAGCCAGGCAGTGAGGCTAAAAGAACTTAGGGTGCAGGCTGAGTTTTAAGTGATGCCTCTCCCTTTCTGTTTTTTTCCCCCATCATCTCAAATGTTTATCATTTATTTGTGTTGGGAACATTCAGTATCCTCCTCCTGTTTGAGATGATATAATATATTATTGTTAACTATAGTCACTCTACAGTGCTATAGGGTCCTCAACCCCTAGGCTGGTTAGGATGGGGGCCGCACAGCAGGAGGTGAGTGAATGTTACTGCCTGAGCTCCACCTCCTGTTAGATTATGGCTGCATTAGACTCTTATAGGAGCGCGAACCCTATTGCGAACTGTGCATGTGAGGGATCTAGATTGTGCACTCCTTATGAGAATCTAATGCCTGATTATCTGAGATGGAACAGTATCAATCCAAAACCATCCCCCACCCCCCAACCATTTGTCCAGGAAACTGGTGCCTGGTGCCAAAAAGGTTGGGGATCGCTAGGTATAGATCACTAGAACTTATTCCTTCTATCTTAGATGTAATTAACTGTAATTTTGTATCCTATAACAATCTCTCCCTATTCCCCCTTCCCCCACTCTTCTGTCTTTATTATCCTTTGTTCTACTTTTTACTTCTAATGAGAGCAACTTTTTTTTAGCTTCCACATATGAGTGAGAACATGCGGTGTTTAACTTTCCATTCCTGGCTTATTTCACTTATAATGTCCTCCAGTTCCATCCATGTTGCCACGAATGACAGGATTCCATTTTTTTTTTTTTTTTTAGATGGAGTTTCGCTCTTGTTGCCCAGGCTGGAGTGCAATGGCACAATCTCGGCTCACCACAACCTCTGCCTCCCGGGTTCAAGCGATTCTCCTGCCTCAGTCTCCTGAGTAGCTGGGATTACAGGTACCCGCCACCACACCTGGCTTATTTTGTATTTTTAGTAGAGACAGGGTTTTTCCATGTTGGTCAGGCTGGTCTTGAACTCCCGACCTCAGGTGATCTGCCTGCCTCGGCCTCCCAAAGTGCTGGGATTACAGGCATGAGCCACTTCACCTGGCCAGAATTCCATTCTTTTTTTATGGCTGAATAGTATTCCACTGTGTATATGTACCACATTTTCTTTATCCATTCATCTGTTACTGTTTTAGGATCTGGGTGATTTGGGGAGTGGGTAGGTCTGGAGAAGCAGTGCAGAGTTGGGGACATTTAGTGTCCCAACCCTAGGGCTGGCAGCTGCAGACCTCTAATTTCTTTTTTTTTTTGAGACAGAGTTTCGCTCTTGTTGCCCAGGCTGGAGTACAATGGCACTATCTTAGCTCACTGTAACCTCCACCTCCCGGGTCAAGCGATTCTACTGCCTCAGCCTTCCTAGTAGCTGGGGGATTACAGCTGTGCACCACCACACCTGGCTAATTTTTGTTTTATTAGTAGAGACGGGGTTTCGCCATATTGGCCAGGCTGGTCTTGAACTCTTGACCTCAGGTGATCCACCCACCCTGGCCTCCCAAAGTGCTGGGATTACAGGCGTGAGCCACTGCGCCCAGCCTCAGACCTCTAATTTCAGTACATATCCAGCCCTTGTCCAGGGCCTTGCTAACTCATTTCCTATCTGCCCATGCATATGGCACAAAAAAAAAAAAAAAAGCATAAAAGCATGCTTCTGTCAAAGTTACTGATTGCATTCTAAAGTTCAGTAATTGAGCCAGGTGTGGTGGCTCATGCCTGCAATCCCAGCTACTCATGAGGCTGAGGTGAGATGATTGCTTGAGGCCAGGAGTTTGAGAGCAGCCTGGGCAGCAACATAGCAAGACTGACATCTCTACAAAAATAAATAAAATTCAATAATTATTTTCTGACTTGTTGGTGTGCCTCATCAGATTCCACAAAATAAAGGGGAGCATAATTTTTGTTTTCTTTTTCTTTTTTTTTTTTGACACGGAATCTCACTCTGTTGCCAGGCTGGAGTGCAATGGCGCTATCTCGGCTCACTGCAACCTCCACCTCCTGGGTTCAAGTGATTCTCCTGTCTCAGCCTCCCGAGTAGCTGGGACTACAGGCACATGCCACCATGCCAAGCTGATTATTATTATTGTTTTATATAAATGGAGGGGGGTCCACTATGTTACCCAGGCTAGTCTTAATCTACTGACCTCAAGCAGTCTTCCCTACTCAGCCTTTAAAGCACTGGGATTACAGGTGTGAGCCACTGTACCCAGCCTTATATATTATTTTTATCGGTTTAGCTTTTTATTCAGAGTGGTACAGAATAGAAACCAAACAGAAAAGGCCGCAAATCTTCCTGCCCATAAACCTCACTGACTCTTTAAAAATTTCAAGTAATTCATCTATAAAGTTAAAATATTCAAACTATAGAAAGAAACTAAAAAGTAAAATCATCCTTCCCAGAGTCACCATGTTGCACAACTCCAGGGGGCATCATTTGCATTGAAGTTGTGCAACACAGCAGCCTTGTCTCCTTCTTCCTTCAATTCCTTTTCTCTGAGGTCATCTCTGTTAACAGTTTAAAGCTATTTCCTAAATTTTTTTTTTTTTTTGAGACAGACTCTTGCTCTGTCACCCAGGCTGGAGTGCAGAGGTATGATCTTGGCTTACTGCAGCGTCTGCCTCCTGGGTTCAGGCAATTTTTGTCCCTCAACCTCCCAAGCAGCTGGCATTACAGGTGCGTGCCACCATGCCTAGCTAATTTTTGTATCTTTTGTAGAGACCGGGTTTCGCCATGTTGGCCAGGCTGGTCTTGAACTCCTGGCCTCAAGCAGTCCACCCGCCTTGGCCTCCCAAAGTGCTGGGATTACAGGTGTGAGTTACTGTGCCCAACCTCCTTAAAATTTTTAAAAAAATAACCGGGCACAGTGGGCCTCACCTGTAGTCCCAGCAACTTAGGAGGCCAAAGTGGGAGGACTGGCTGAGTACAGGAGTTTGAGGCTGCAGTGAGCTATGATCATGCCGCTGCACTCTTCCCTGGGTGACAGAGCGAGACATCTAGTAATAATAATAACTTAAAAATCCTCAAAAGGAAGAGGTATAGTCTCTGAAGTATGAGGGATGAAGGGTAGATGTCAAGAAGGACTTTCTAGCAGAGGAAATGTTGAAGTCTGTAGTGGGGAGAATTTTGAGCATGGAGAGAGTCAGCAGCAGAAAAGAGCACAGGTTGGACTTCCAGCCAGTCTGTTGTAAGAGACCCAGGGATGGGGCAAATGAATAGAGCAGAAGGCTTTACTCCCTTGCTCTGACACGAGGACAGCAGGGATGTCGGGGTCCCACTGCTCCAAGCTGGCCAGCTCTGCGCAGGTGGCTCAGGGCTGGGAGCCCCTGACATGCCTGGGGAGTTTTATAGGCTCGGCTCAAGGCAGCCCTGGCTGGTGAGAGCCAGGGGCACTGGCAGGGTAGCTGACTGGATTGTGGGCTATGGCTAGAGCAGCCCCCAAGTGCCCCGCCTGTCCCTGCCCGCTGCAGGCTTCCAGGACGTGCATGCCATGGTCTTCGTGGGCTTTGGCTTCCTCATGGTCTTCCTGCAGCGTTACGGCTTCAGCAGCGTGGGCTTCACCTTCCTCCTGGCCGCCTTTGCCCTGCAGTGGTCCACACTGGTCCAGGGCTTTCTCCACTCCTTCCACGGTGGCCACATCCATGTTGGCGTGGAGAGGTGGGCAGCCGCCACCCACCCAGCTCCCCAAGGTTCACTCGGGAGGCCCCTGCCCATGGGCCCCGGATCTAGCCCTGTCCTTCAAGTCTGCTTCCTGACTCACGATTCTGGGCGTCACTTGGTTTCTCTAGGTGTCCTGCCTGTCCTTATTGCCTGACTTCCTCTCCCATCCTTGACCCTCACACTCAGCTCCACCTCCTCAGTCTTTAGGGCCCTTGTTCCCCAAGAGCTGTGGAAGGGTAGACAGCTCTGGTTCTTCCACCTATTGTGGGCTTTGTCAGATGAGTCACAGAACCTCCTTGAGACTCGACTTCCTCATCTACAAACAGGGCCAGGTGATCCCTTCCAACTCCAGGGAGGAGCTTGAGCTCCTTGTCTTCTCTCCAGAACTCCAACCCCACCCCACCCACCACATCATGCTGTCCTGGCTTCATGCCAGGCAGGAACCCCGAGGCCAGCCTCTCTGACCCCTCTTGTGCTCCCACTTCTGCCCCATCCCCAGCATGATCAATGCTGACTTTTGTGCGGGGGCCGTGCTCATCTCCTTTGGTGCCGTCCTGGGCAAGACCGGGCCTACCCAGCTGCTGCTCATGGCCCTGCTGGAGGTGGTGCTGTTTGGCATCAATGAGTTTGTGCTCCTTCATCTCCTGGGGGTGAGAGTCTGGGGAGGGATGGAGTCGGGGGTGGGGGGTGGTCAAGGTCAGCCTCTGAGCCAGGAGCGTGGGGGTGGGGGCGGGGTGCTGCCTCTCACCCCACCTCCCCAGGTGAGAGATGCCGGAGGCTCCATGACTATCCACACCTTTGGTGCCTACTTCGGGCTCGTCCTTTCGCGGGTTCTGTACAGGCCCCAGCTGGAGAAGAGCAAGCACCGCCAGGGCTCCGTCTACCATTCAGACCTCTTCGCCATGATTGGTGAGGCCTTCGAGGTGCGGTAGCAGGGCAGGGGGCTGGTCTGGAGGCCTCATCTGGGCCAGAGGTGACTGTCTCTCGGGGTGCTGACTGCAGTCCTGGGGTTGTGGGCATTCACTTCCCATTTGGATTCTGCTGTGAGAGCTCTGGGACCTGCCTGCACTTATCATTCTCAACAGTTTTATGACAAGTTCAGCCTGGGGAATGCATATGCCCTGGGTCCTTTCTAAATCCACCTCCATCCTACTTAAAACCTTCCAGGGCTCCCACCAGCCACAGGTTAGAAAGTGGCCTCCTCAGCTGCCACGTCAGCCCCTCCTCCTCCCTCCTCGCTGGCTCAGGCTCCAGCCAGACTCAGCTTTTGCCTGCCCTCACCTCCAGGCCTTTGCCTGTCTGGTTCCCGGCAAACAGGCAATCTCTGCCGGCCCCTGGTGCTGCCTTCCGCCTCCTAAGGATATTTCCTCCCGGGAGATTCCTGATGCCTGGAAGCCCCTGCACTCTCAGGCAGGGATAAGGAGAGGAAGGGTGTTGGGTCACCCCAGGGACCCATAGGAGCTAGGAGCCCTGTCATCTGTCATCACCACCTGCTGCTTCTTCTTCTTTTTTTTTTTTTTTTGAGACAGAGTCTTGCTCTGTTGCCCAGGTTGGAGTGCAGTGGTGCGATCTCAGCTCACCACAACCTCTGCCTCCTGGGTTCAAGCAATTCTCCTGCCTCATCCTCCCGAGTAGCTGGGATTACAGGCGCGTGCCACCACACCCAGCTAATTTTTTATATTTTTGGTAGAGACAGGGTTTCACCATGTTGGCCAGGCTGGTCTCGAACTCCTGACCTCAGGTGATCCACCCACCTCGGCCTCCCAAAGTGCTGGGATTACAGGCGTGAGCCACTACGCCCGGCTACCACCACCTGCTTCTAAGCATGTGCCTCCACCTCAGCTTCTGTTCCTCTATTTTCATAACTGCAGACAGAAGGCAAATCTGTATTTTTAATTTTTTTTTCATAGAAGGTATTGAATAGGGACTGAAGTACCTATTCCTATATGAAACAGAGAGGCTGGCTTAGGATTGCTCAGCACTGCTGGGTCAGAGTACAAAGAACCCCAGGCCAGCTGAGGCCTCCTTGCCCTTTGAGACCCAGATAAGTTTGCCTTGAATTCCAAAGGCTTCCCCAAGTTTTCCAGGCATTCCCAGGAGACTTACATTCTCAGCTGTCTGCCTCCCAGCTCCTGGATTTTAGTGTCACCCAGACAGGAATGAGGCCCCTTCCTGGATTCTCCCACAAACGCTCCACCTACAGGATGCAAATGTGAGTGTGGGAGATTTTACTCCAGATTGCCGGGCTGCTGGGAGAAGCCACACCCAACAGACTACTCAGGACACGGTGGTCCCTAAGCCTCCCACCTTGCTGGCTTACACCACAGGGTCCCCAGCCTTCTCCTTCACCTTGTTGTTTGGGTCCTTCTGTCTCTCCCTCCAGGATGGACCTGGGAACCTCATGCAGGAAGGCAGGGTAAATGGGCTTCCAGTTCTTTCCCAAAATGCACAGGCCCAGCCCATTCAGTACTCAGCAAACAGAGGCCTCTCCCAAACACTGAAGGGTCCACCCTCTCTAGGAGAGATTGAGGTTATCATTGTTTTCCTGATATGTGTATCAAGTACCCAGCATAGTCCCTGACATGCAGTGGCCTTTGCCTTTTTTCCTTTCCTTTCTTTTTCTTTTTTTTTTTTTTTTGAGATGGAGTCTTGCTCTGTCTCCCAGGCTGGAGTGCAGTGGCATGATCTTGGCTCACTGCAACCTCCACCTCCCAGGTTCAAGCAATTCTCCTGCCTCAGCCTCCTGAGGAGCTGGGATTACAGGAGTGTGCCACCATGCCTGGCTAATTTTAGTAGAGACAGGTTTTCACCATGTTGGTTAGGCTGGTCTCGAACCCCGAACCTTGTGATCCGCCTGCCTCGAGCCTCCCAAAGTGCTGGGATTATAGGCATGACCCACTGTGCCCGGCCTTCTTTACCTTTTTTGATACTTAAAAAATGCCAGTGTTCTGGCCGGATGCAGTGGCTCACACCTGTAATCTCAGCACTTTGGGAGGCTGAGGTGGGCGGATCACCTAAGGTCAGGAGTTCGAGACCAAACTGGCCAACATGGTGAAACCCCTTCATCTCTACTAAAAATACAAAAATTACCTGGGTGTGGTGGTGGGCGCCTGAAGTCCCAGCTACTCAGGAGGCTGAGGCAGGAGAATCACTTGAACCTGGGAGGCAGAGATTGCAGTGAGCTGGGATCATGCCACTGCACTCCAGCCTGGGTGGTAGAGTGAGACCTTGTCTCAAAAAAAAAAAAAAAAAAAAAAAAATTCAACGTTACGTGGTTTTCAACAAAGTAGTTTCTTTTTGGGCCAGTGCCCTTCAATAGCTGCCATTTGCTGGGCATTTTGTGCCTGCTAGGCCATGGGCTATGCATTTATGTGCATTGCCTCATTTAATTACCACTTGATGAGGTGGTATTATTATTATTATTATTGAGATAGGGTCTGGCTCTGCAGCCCAGGCTGGAGTATAGTGGCACGATCTCAGCTCACTGCAACCTCTGCCTCCCAGTCTCAAGCGATCCTCCTGCCTCAGCCCCCCAAGTAGCTGGAACTACAGGCATGTGCTACCATGCCCAGCTAATTCCTTTGTATTTTTGGTAGAGATGGGATTTCACTATGTTGTCCAGGCTGGTCTCAAACTCCTGAGCTCAAGTGATCTGCCTGCCTCGGCCTCCCAAAGTGCTGGGATTACAGGCGTGAGCCACCGTGCCCAGCCCAAGGTGGTATTATTATCAATCCCACTGAACATATGAGGAAACTGAGGCTGCTGAGGGTAGGTGATTTGCCTGCAGTTATACAACTTGTACCTTGCGTGGGAGTCACTTCCTTCTTCTCACTCTGCCTGTCTGTCCACCATCTAGGGACCATCTTCCTGTGGATCTTCTGGCCTAGCTTCAATGCTGCACTCACAGCGCTGGGGGCTGGGCAGCATCGGACGGCCCTCAACACATACTACTCCCTGGCTGCCAGCACCCTTGGCACCTTTGCCTTGTCAGCCCTTGTAGGGGAAGATGGGAGGCTTGACATGGTATGGGGAAGAGGACTTCAGAGAGGCAGAGGGGGTGGCCTGGGCAGGGGAGGAGAGGTCTGAGACCCTCAAGAAAGATTCTCCCGGGGAACAGATAAGGGCACAGGCATAGGGGCTCCATCTGTGCTGGTGGCTATGGGATCAGAATGGGAGGCGATATGGTAGCAGGACAATGAGAGGTTAGATGGCAGAGGGACTTCCAGAAGCAGTAGGTGTCACTGTGGTGTGTAGGGTTGGGTTGCTGTGGGTGTGACAATCTGAAAGGGCCTCCAACACCTTGCTCTTCCCTTAGGTCCACATCCAAAATGCAGCGCTGGCTGGAGGGGTTGTGGTGGGGACCTCAAGTGAAATGATGCTGACACCCTTTGGGGCTCTGGCAGCTGGCTTCTTGGCTGGGACTGTCTCCACGCTGGGGTACAAGTTCTTCACGGTATAGATGCCTCTTGGAGCCTGGGCAGAACATGGAGTCTTTGGTACCTTTCCTCCCGCCTCTCCAACAGGATGAGGTGGTGGGGAGTGGGCACAGGAGACTCATGATCTGTCTTGCCCTCCAGCCCATCCTTGAATCAAAATTCAAAGTCCAAGACACATGTGGAGTCCACAACCTCCATGGGATGCCGGGGGTCCTGGGGGCCCTCCTGGGGGTCCTTGTGGCTGGACTTGCCACCCATGAAGCTTACGGAGATGGGTGAGTTTCCTCCCAACCCGTACTGCAGTCGTCATCCATCTGGAATGACCTCTGTCATTCTCTTTCACTGTGTGTGACCAAGAAAAAAGAATGAATTCATTCATTCATCCATATTCTGGGAGCAAAGGAAATTGGAGTTAACAAAACCAACCCAGAAACTGCCTTCCTGGTCCTCTATCAAGTGCAGCAGAAGGTCATGGAACAAATGACTTCAAGAGTGTTACTTGTTACTGAAGGGTCAGTAAGAGATAATGACCTTTAGGATCTATTTTTGCACATCAAGGGTGGGCAAAAGCAACCCGCAAATGGAGTCTTAAAAGGTGCCTAGGTGTCTGCTGGCCTACAAGGGTGGGAAGGTGTTCCAGGCTGTGGGCCTGGCTTGAGCAGTGGCCTGGAGGTGAGACTCAGCCTGGCATGCACCCTCGAGACCCTCTTGGCCACTTCCTGTTCCCCAGTGTGAGTTCCAGTGCCATGAGCAGCCCTGGCCCCGGGCTGCATCCCTCTCTCTCCCTACCCCTGCCTTTCCTCTATCTGGTCTCCCTGCAGCCTGGAGAGTGTGTTTCCACTCATAGCCGAGGGCCAGCGCAGTGCCACGTCACAGGCCATGCACCAGCTCTTCGGGCTGTTTGTCACACTGATGTTTGCCTCTGTGGGCGGGGGCCTTGGAGGTGAGTAACCTTGGATTTTCTAGAGGAAGGGGCATGGGATCCTATAAGCCTGACATGAATTCATTCACTCATAGATATTTATGGAGCATCTACTTTGTGCCATAAAGTAGGGATTGGGTTGTGGGTTAAGGGGTAACCAACCTCCTGCAGGCACAGAGGTGCATGCAGGTGCTTGCTCCTTTCTGGTGCCGAGGGCAGCTGGGGAGTCCGCGAGGGGTGAGCGAGGCCCTCTCTTATGGGTCTATGCTTGCCTGTGCTGCTCCCTCTGCCCACTAGAGGGAAGCCCAACCTCAGGCTGAGGCCTAGAAGGGGATGGCTGCGCCATGTGGGGCAGGGACAAGGAGGGGAGGAGATGGCCTGCCACTTCCAGACCCCAGTGCGAAAACCTTCCACAGAGGCACACTGTCCATGGCCCTGGGTCAGGCAGTCGCTCTTCATGTTTGGCCTTAGTCTTTTTGGCCTTCAAAATAAAACCTGATTCAGCATCCCCTCTGTCTCCCGGGTTCAAGCCATTCTCCTGCCTCAGCCTCCGAGTAGCTGGGACTACAGGTGCCTGCCACCATACCTGGCTAATTTTTGTATTTTTAGTAGAGACGGGGTTTCGCCATGTTGGCCAGGCTGGTCTCAGACTCCTGACCTTAGGTGATCCGCCCGCCTCGGCCTCCCAAAGTGCTGGGATTACAGGCGTGAGCCACCGTGCCTGGCCTAGAATCTACACTCTTTTAAAAAGAGATTCCCAGGTGATTTGATTGCATGTTAACGTCTGCAAAGCACTAGGTTAGATGTGAATACAGGCACCCGCCACCATGCTGGGCTTATTATTATTATTTTGTATTTTTAGTAGAGATGGGGATTCACTGTGTTAGCCAGGATGGTCTCAATCTCCTGACCTCGTGATCCGCCCGCCTCGGCCTCCCAAAGTGCTGGGATTACAGGCGTGAGCCACTGCGCCCGGCCTATTTTTTTTTTTTTTTTTTTTTTGAGACGGAGTTTCGCTCTTGTAGCCCAGGCTGGAGTGCAATGGCATGATCTCAGCTCACTTCAACCTCCACCTCCCGGGTTCAAGCGATTCTCCTGCCTCAGCCTCCCAAGTATCTGGGATTACAGGCGACCCCCACCACACCCGGCTAATTTTTGTATTTTTAGTAGAGATGGGGTTTCACCATGTTGGCCAGGCTGGTCTTGAACTCCTGACCTTAAGTGACCCATCTGCCTCAGCCTCCCAAAGTGCTGGGATTATAGGCGTGAGCCACTGCGCCCGGCCACAATAAGCATTTCCTGTGCCCCTCCTGTGTGGGAGGCCATAGAAAGCTCAGCAGCTGTGGTTCATGATGGAATCAGGAACTGGTCTATTACCAACTGCACACACTTGAGCAAATTATTTAACTTCTCTGAGTCTTGTTTCTTTGTTTGTAATACAGGAATAATATTGGCCTTGCAGGGTTGTTGTGATTACTCAGGAAAGCAAGACTAGTCAAGCACTTTGCACAGGGCCTGGCACATAGTAGATGCTCAACAAATACTGCTGTGTTTTGCCTGCACAGGCATCATATTGGTCTTATGCCTCCTAGACCCCTGTGCCCTGTGGCACTGGGTGGCACCCTCCTCCATGGTGGGGGGCAGAGAAGCCTCACAGATCCTCCCCTACCACCACCAGGGCTCCTGCTGAAGCTACCCTTTCTGGACTCCCCCCCAGACTCCCAGCACTACGAGGACCAAGTTCACTGGCAGGTGAGACATTGCTGGGCTCTCACACCCTCTGAGTCTCCCTTCCCTGCCTCGCCTCCTGTGGCCCAAGTTGCCTTCTTCCTTCCTTGCTGCTCCTTCTCCTCTGGGGTACACCCCTGAACTGTGGCTTCCAGGCTCCTGGAGCTACCCTTTCACCTCTACCCACTCCTGCCTTCCAGGTGCCTGGCGAGCATGAGGATAAAGCCCAGAGACCTCTGAGGGTGGAGGAGGCAGACACTCAGGCCTAACCCACTGCCAGCCCCTGAGAGGACACGCTCCTTTTCGAAGATGCTGACTGGCTGCTACTAGGAAGTTCTTTTTGAGCTCCCATTCCTCCAGCTGCAAGAAGGGAGCCATGAGCCAGAAGGAGGCCCCTTTCCACAGGCAGCGTCTCCACAGGGAGAGGGGCAACAGGAGGCTGGGAAATGGTGGGGAGTGGGGCCGTAACTGGGTACAATAGGGGGAACCTCACCAGATGCCCAACCCGACTGCCCTACCAGCCTGCACATGGGTAGAAGAGGCCAAATTGAGGCACCCAAGTGATCCACTGGCCCCACGTCACACAGTTACAGTGAAGCCCAAGCCAGGCCTGGTTGAGGGTGATAAACGCCACTGTCTCTAAGGGTTCTGACTCTTTGTCTTTGTGCCCTGAGAACATAAGAAGTTTCTCTTACCTTCTAACTCACAATGGTAGAACCTCCTGGAGAGGCAGGAAAGGGGTTTAGTGCTGACAAATTCCTGATTCCTGATCTGTAGAAGTCCCTCTGGAGTGCCATGTCCTGCCAGTGCCCCGCCTAGGCTTGCCTGTCTCCAGGCACAGGGAGTTCATTCTCTCCCAGAAAACAGGATTTTTTGTTACAGGATATCTTGGGCTGCGGGAGAGAGTTCTTCCCATTCCAGAACTGCTGCTACTCTGACCTTCAACTTGGGCAGCCTCTGAGCAGAGAAGGAAGAGGGTGCCCACAGGGCCCAAGGGAGACATAAGCTGTTTGCCACCAACCCTAATAAGCTAGCAGCAGCCCGCACCTAGTTGCCACTTATGTCCCTGTCCTGAGTCTGAGGAGCGGGGAATAGCAAGGGCATCATTGTGTGGATTAGGCCTGTGGCAGAGAAGGTTGAAGACCACCCCCCGCCGCGACCCCCACCCAAGGGCCTCTGTTGTCCTGAAGTCATTTGACCACCAGAGGGCGCACCAAACCCAGAAGAGGAAGATGCCGCTTTTATGCCCTTCCTTGGTCCTCTATGAAGAATGAAGCTCCTTCCTGCAGCCTAACCCCCTTCCTGTCTGCGTCAGCTCTGGTCCTCATGCATTCATGCCACAAGCCTTTTTTGAGCTCCTATCCACCACTACATGTCAGACGGATGCCAGGGGTTTCAGATCTCTCATCCAGCAGAAATCCATCCCTCCAAGTAGACTGGAGCCCCCTTTCCAACACTGAAGGACTGGGACCCCCTCCGCCTTCTCCTGCCCTTCCCCTAGGCTTCTGACTACAGCTATCTCTCCCCTAAAACCAAGACCAATCAGACTTAGGAACCCAAGGAGGAAGTGGAAAGATTCCTGGGACCTAGCCCTGGAATGAGGACAAAAGGTGACCCCATCAGGCTCCATGCTCACCGTAGCTGGAGGGACTGACCTGGGCTGGTTGGAGAGGCCAAGCCCTGAGGTGAGGAGAAGGAGGTTGAGGGACAAGGCTTCCGTGGAGCCATCCCAGCTCATGTGGCCCAGTCTCTTCAGTTCCCCTCCTTCCTCCACAGCCCCCCATGCCCATTGTTGGCTGTGGTAGGTGTATTGGGAGGAGACCCTTGAGTGGAGGCAGAAGGATGACTGCTGGGATCACACAAAGGTTCCTGATCACTGTCAGCCCTTGCTAAGAGGAAGGGAGGAAGTTTGGGAGAGCTGAGGCCCCACCCCCCATTCTACCTACGGGGCCTCAGTTCCCAGCTCTGTTCTGCATGGGCCCAGATACAGCCAGCTGGCCTGTTCTCCCCGAGTCCTCAGAGATCTGAAAGAAGACTTTCAGGAAAGGGGGATTCAAGGATAGGGTGAGACCTCTCCCTGCCCCAGCCCATTCTGGGTGAGGAAAGCTACAGATCTTCATTTATTCATGGCACTAGCTGGATGAGGTGGCTCACACCTTTAATTCCAGCACTTTGGGAGGCTGAGGCAGGAGGATTGCTTGAGCCCAGGAGTTTGAGACCATCGTGGGCAACATAGTGGGACCCCATCTGTACAAAAAAATGAGCCAGGTGTGGTGGTCTGCAGCTGTAGTCCCCACTAATCAGGAGGCTGAGGCAGAAGGATCGCTTGAGCCCAGCAGTTCATTGCAGTGAGCCATGATCGCTCTACTGTACTCCAGCCTAGGTGAGAGAGACCCTAGCTCAAAAAAAACAAACAAAAATTCATGGCACTAGCATTTTACAACCTGACCCTTTCCCTCTGCTGGCTGATTCCTTCCCGACTACCACTGAATCTTTTCCAGGCCTGAAAAAATGGGCAGCTCTAGCCCAGACTGGTCATTGCTGGGGAGAGCGGCCCATCTCAATCCAGAGAGGCTTCCTGGAAAAGGAACAACTGAGCCCTCTTTAGGAGAAGGCAGTTGCCCAGCCAGGTTCCACAGGACAAAAGGGTATAGGTCTCATCATAGCCTGACAAGATGTCCTGAGAAAGGGGCAGGGAGAGAGCTAACCCATAAGAGGTGGCCCTGTGTGCCCCGTAGACAGATAGTTCCAAGCTCTATCACCTCCATGAAGCCTCCCATAGCCCAGGCAATGATGCTGATCCCTGCCTCAAGCCCCTGCACCCTGATCGCATTCTTATTCAGGGGACTGTCTGCCCAGGACTGAACTTTCCTAAGCTAGGCCCTTGGTTTTTCACTCTATTTCCTCCTCTCCCTCCCACTACTTTACCTTGAGTGCTGGGATCGTCTCATCATGGGCCCTCCAGACCTTGTTCCACTTCATAGGACTGAGCCATTCTTTGTGGTCTGGGTGTGGGTGATTATCCCGCCACTGATTTCAGTCAGGGAGCACAGAGGGCAGGAAAGACAGGTACCCTTAGCGCCCCTGCTCAAATGCGACCAAGCCCTTCCCTCCCCTGAAGTCCCTGCCTCAGCAGCATTGTCCCCCACATGGTGGCCCATCTATTCAGGCTGGGTCAACAGGGGGACAACTAGTAGGTCAAGGAGGTGGTAGGGACAGAGGCCAAGGGGGCTCCTTCCTCACCCCTTCAGGACAATGAGGCCTCTGCCCCTCAGGGACAGCCCCTCTGATCAGCACCATTATTTCTGTCAGTGCAGGACAATCGGACACTTGCCCGCTCATGAACTCTGTCTATCCAACCCCAATGCCTGATCTCTGGGGACAATGATGGACGAGGACACGGCCCCTGCCTGCCTCCCAGAGAAGACTGTTGCGGGGAGACAGGCTGCGCTGGGGTCAGGGTGGAAGCCCGCGGGGCCAGCGGCGTTGAGGGAAGGTTCTCCGGAAGCAGCCGCTGTTCTGGCTTGGCGCAAGTGCGTGTGGACGACAGCAGGATTTCCTGCCCAGGGACATCTGGATAAGAGGCCCAAGGTCCCCAGGAGCCCCCAGGTGCTTCTGCCCTGTGTGGCCAGAGCCCCCTCGGCCAGGAGTTAGAAGCTGCTCCTCTGACCTCTGGAGGACCCGGCACTCCGAACCCCGCGCAGCCTGGGAAAGGCCTGAGATTCCCCGCTATTGGGATTCACATCACGACGCGGCGGCCCCAACTCGGGGAGGAATTAGACACGGCGTGAGTGTCCCAAGTGCGGGGCGGTGGCCGTCCCGGGGCAGACGAGCGCGGCTGCCGCGTCCCCCCACCTCACCCCGATATTCCGCTCCCACCGTCGGGAACTCCCCCACCGCCGCCTCCGGCCCTGCGCGCCCCTTCTCCTTTGTCTGGCCCGCCCACTCCCAGCCGGTCCGCCGCGCCGCCCCGCGCGCCCCGGCCCGTGCGCCCGCCGCCGCCGCCCAGGAACAATGCGGGCCAATGTCTCCGGGCGGGCGAGCCGGCTATGCAAATGCCCAACGGCCTGTGAGAATCCCCTTCGCCGCCGCCTGGGCTTCCACGGCCTGAAAAGGGCTGGCGGCCGGGCCTGGGTGGGGGAGGCGGCCACTGCATAGGGATGAGCTGTTGTCCCGGAGCGCCCGGGACAGAGCGCCATTGTCTGTGCTGCAGTCGTCTGATAGCCAGTGGAGTCAGCCAGCCCGGGAGGAAGGCGGAGGGTGACCGGAACTAGGCCTTGGGGCGCAGAGAGGTGGTCATCTGTCCCCTCCACCCATACCTACTCCTCTCCCCGAAGAGCCTTGACTTTGGGACCTGGCCATGGTGGCCCCCATTTTGGCTGCCCCATCACTAGCTTGCGGGCCTGCACAAGTCTGAACCTGTGTCTCTTGGGGTTTAAAGCTGGTCATCGTTGGTGCTTTTCTTACCCTCCCTCCCTCTTAACCCCCTCCCGGCAAACTCCATCCATTTATACACATCATATTGACCCAAAAGATTTTGACAGGTGTCTCTGAGGCCAATTCTTTCCAGAGCCCTGAGAGAAATACTTGTGGTGTCCCCAAAGCAAAAGAGATTACTGGGCAGAGATGCCCCAAGGCCGAGTCCAGGCCTTCTTTCTTTCTTTTCTCTGCCATCCACCACCAGGTAAGGAGCCCCAACTTTTTACTGGGAGAAAGGCCAGCTATGGCAGGATGAAAATAAACTTCTCCAATGACGCAGAGGTGGGGGCTTGTCACACAAAGTCCCTCCCACAAGCAAAAGAAGTGCATCCCTCTACCCCAGCACAGAAGACTGTACCCATCTAACAGAACGCACCGGTCAAATGCTTGAGAATACCCGGGCAGCGGGCAGGGGAGCTCTTTGCTCAGAGCAAAGCCTGTTCCGGCTGGGAACTTGGCACTATGGACTTGAGCGCTTCCAGGCTGAGCTCCAGTGAATGGGCTGGAGTCTTTGCAAGGCACAGGACCTGAGTTCACCTTTTCTAAACCCACGCTGAGACTCAGGAGCAAGGGCTTCTGCCACTCAAGTGAGATGCTGTTTTTGAGATGGTGCTTGGGCCCTTGAAGCAGTGATGCTTCCAGGACTCATAATGGCTTTAGGGGCAACACCAAAATGAGGACTGTCCCAGGATCTCCAGGTCTTCAGTGGCAGGAAGGCGGGAGAGGCTGAATGAGGGGACGAGGGAGGAGGGTAGGAGGGCAGGCAGTCTTCTGGAAGGCAGGGCCCCACCGCTGGGCTCAGAGGCCTGTTCCTTTGTGCTCTGGCCCAGCCTTCCACCTGAGATGCAGCTCTTCCCCTCTGTCCCCCTGCCCTCTATAAAGATCCAGGTGCAGCATGCATGCCAGCCATTCCGGGGTGAGGCAGTGGGGCCTGGCTTCTGGAATAGTATTTGGAGGACTATTAGATGAGAGGAAGGTTGGGAGCAGGGACCAGGCCTAGGAGCTGAGGCATTTTGTGGGTGGAGGAGGCAGCCAGAGCTCTGTTCACCTCTACTTGGGGTAGTGGGCCTTTCTGCAGCTCCTCATCCAGCCACTCTCCTATCCAGGGCACTGCTGGTCCAACCTGGAATCCCTGCACAGCATTCTGACCTGGGGCTGCACAGCCTCATGGAAACTCCTCCAGAGACCCCAAAAGCCACCTCTGAAAGAAGGTGATCCAGCATCCCCACCCCTCTCCTCTGCCCACCCGAGCCCCAGAGCACACGCGTCCCTTCCATTGCCCTCCATCTCCAAGGCATTAGCAGATGGTCACCCTTGCTTTAGGCAGGCCCCAGAGCTCCCTGCCTCAAAGTGTCCCTTTCCCTTTTGCCTGGATTTCCAGGGATCTCTGGGCTGGTCTGTGGGGCCCCAGGCAGGCACCAAGTAGGCCCATCTTGGCTCTGAGGCTGAGAGAGGAAGTGGGCTTTGTTGTGCCTGGGCATCGTCTGGATTTTCCCACCCTGCTCTTCTTGGCAGGAGAGCCCTCAGCTGGAGAAGCTGCCTCCGCCCCACACCAGCGTCCCCTCCTTCCCAGCTCAGCACCATCCATCTCCGTCTCCCTAGAGCAAGGAATGTGCTCCAGGACACTGTGGGGCTTGTTCCCAATCCCCTTCTAGCTCATTTCACTCGGGCTTTTATAGATTTGCCTCCATCCCATGGGCTGCTGTCTGGGTTCTGGCTCTGAAGACACAGACAGAGGTTTCCCCCTCCTCCCTGCAATTCCTCACACTTCATTTTGTCCCAACAGCATCTGAGGAGGCTGCACTGTGGGGAGTCAAGGCACCCTGGTGTGGGAGGCGATGGGGGTTGGGTGGTGGAGGGTGGGTCCCCTTCCCCATCTTTCCAGCCCCTGGCCCTGCTGGCCTCAGCTCTGGCACTGCCCACAGCGGCTGCATTATTCCCCGTGCTGCAGCCATCCATCCCCTCACCCGCCCTTCCTGTCCACGCCCCACAAGCCTCGATTATTGGTGAAATTAGCACCGGGCTTCTTGTTGGCGGTTGCTAATTAAGACCATTAATAAACGTGATTATTAATGCTGTAGCAGGCAGCAGCCCAGGCATCTAATCACCACACCGCTGGCAAGCGCTGGGCTGCCGGCTTCCACCCGGCTCCATCTTGGGAAGGACCTGCTCCCTTTCCCCGGCCAGCTCACCTCAGGCCCTGCCAGGGGAGGGTGGGTGGAGACAAAGGCACCACGGGGGGTTCACTGAGCCTTGCAGAGAAAAGGAGGGACAACCTGCACTCCAGGGAGCCCCCAAACTGGGCAGGCCGAGGCCAGGATGTGTGCCTGTAAGAGGCCTATGAACCCACCTGATGCCGGTACGCAGGGTGGACCGGGTGGTGAGTGCGAAGGCTCTGGAGAGAGCGTGGGTGGGCGCCTGCACCAGCAGCCCTGCTCTCTGGCAGCCCACAGCTCACGTGCCCTCCTGAGTCCCCCTTTGCCCGCCGCCCTGCAAACCAGGCTGTGGAGTGTGGCCCCTCCTGCGGGGGTTTCACAGTGGTTAGGGGCCATCTCAGCGAGACAGTGAGGTGCTCTCTGTGAGAAAGTAGAAGACACCTCTGACCAGAATGTTTCCCTCAGTTACTGGGTGCCCACCATGCGTCAGGCCAGAGGGTACTGTCATAAACAAAAGGCAGTCTCCTCCTGGGAACTGCCCCATCACATTAGACTACATGAGGTCTGTCCCTGAATGTCTCCCTCACCCCTTCCCTCACCCCTTTACATGGCGTCCCACCTCACACTGCCTGTAATGAGCTGTCTGTTTATCTGTTCACACCAACGGGGCTGTGCTGTGCGCGATGACAGGGGCTGTGTGTCCCTGAGGACAGTGGAAGCCCACTCTGGCTTTGGTGATGAAGCCTTTCCTGCCCCTGTCTCCAGGCCACCCTCCTTCCACGCCCTTCCCTGCTTCGCTGTCCCCTGCCTGACCTCCAGCCTCGGGCTACCAGAGCAGGAGGGGTTGCAAGGAGCCCTCTGGTCCAGTTTGCCCCACTTGGACCCCGTCAGGGCAGGAGAGCCTGCCTGCTCTCAGCTGGGACTCGAGGAGGTAGGATGTGGCCTGCCAGGCAGGGCGGGCCCTGGGGGCCTTTCCAGGAGCTGTCTGCTGCCCAGGCTTCCCCTCTAGTCCAGCCTGGCCTCTGCACCCCCTTCTGCCATCCACTTACACCCCAAGAAGTGATCCACGGCAGCTGAGGAGAGCTTGGGAAGGAACCTCCCCCACACACCTGCTTCCCCCCATTTTTCTCCACCCCAACTTCAATGTCTTGACTTTTTCCTACAGCTTTTGAAGGAAGAATCCACCAAGACTTTAGTCTCTCCCAACCCAGGGAATAAGAAGAGAAAAAAAGTCCTGAAAACAAAAACCCGACAACAACCTTAAAGTAGGAGAGATTGGTTGGAAGGCTTTTAATCCCTTAATCCCTCTCAGATGGGCCTTGAGACGCTAATGATTTTCCTAATTATTCCCTCCGATTTTCCCATCGCTCTGTAAGGACCTTCGAGAAGAGCGAAATTCCGAGTGAGCGGGTGTGGGATGAATGGCAGGCCCACCTCCCCCACATCGGACCCAGAGTCCAGGCGGCTGGAGAGGTGGGGGAAGGGCCAGGAGTGCCCCAGCTGGGGGCTTGGGCTTCTCCGCCACTGACACCAGTGTGCAGGGCGGGCCTGGGACAATGGGGCGGTTGGGGGCTGCCTGAGAGGGCCAGGTGTGGGGCTGGGGTCCCCTCAGTGTGAATGGCCCATTATCCTGCCTTGAGGATGGGAGTTGAGGGTCTCTTTGTGTCCCCCAGGAAAGGCCTCTCTGGCGATAATCACCCTGAGAGGGCGGTGGAGGTGGTGAGGAGGATCTTTAAAGGGGGCCAAACCTCCCCAGAGAACAGTTGGCCATTCAGGCCTCCAGCCCCTCTCTTGTCTCCAGCAGCCTGGGATTCAGTGGCCCATCTATGGGGGGTGGGGCGAGGGCTAGGCCAACACACATGGCCAAGCTTGGGCTTAGGCCCCCTCCCCATCAGTGTGGCCTGCCAGACTGAGCCCAGGGGTGGCTTCTCCAGGAAACCACCCCAGCCTCCCTCTCAACCCCCACCTAATGTTGGGTGCCCTGGGGCTTTGTCTCATTTCCCCTGAGACACTGAGTTTCTCTGGGGGCCAGATCTGCCTGGGAGCAGACATTGACCTTTGACCCTGCCATGTCCTCTTTTATGAAACATGGGGATTCTCATTCCACTCCTACAAATTCCCTATGGGATGAGGGCATTAGCCCCATTTCACAGATGACAAACTGAGCACTTAGCAGACTTGTCTAAGGTTACACATCAAGTTAGGGGCAAATTAGATTAGAGCTGGATCCTTCTTTTTTTGTTTGTTTGTTTGTTTTTTGAAAGCCCTGATACTGTACCAGGTACAAGGCTTTTGTACAGGCTGTCCCTCTGACCGAAATGCTCACCTCCCAAACAACCCGAGGGCTGATTCTGCGCCTCCCTTGGTCTTTGCTTGAATCACATCCTTCATGGAAGGAGATGTCTGGGATTTGCTTCAAAATAACACGGGAAGTGGGGGAAAAGGAGGTGGGAGTGCAGATGAAACAAGATTGGCAGATGTTGAAGCTAGACGAGGGATAGGTGGGGTCTCATTATACTATTCTGTTTATTTTATATCTATTTTTAAATTTCCACAAGAAAAAGTGGAACAAAACCTGGTTTTCCCTAAGCACCTTATTTTATTTTTGAGGCAGAGTCTCGCTGTTGCCCAGGCTGTAGTGCAGTGGTGCGATCTCAGCTCACTGCAACCTCTGCCTCCTGGGTTCAAGTGACTCTTGTGCCTCAGCCTCCCGAGTAGCTGGGATTGCAGGTGCCCACCACCACGCCCAGCTAATTTTTGTATTTTTACAAAAAATTTTCATCGTGTTTTACCATGTTAGCGAGGCTGGAGGCACCTTATTTTAAATTGCAATTCACCATCCCCAGCCCAGCCTTGCCTCGTACCCTTTCCTTGTTTTTCTCCAGATCACTTATTATGGTGTGAAACTCTTAAGTATTTTACCCATTTGTTTTGATTCTTGCCAATGGGCTACACTAGGTTAAAGGTCATGGGGTCAGAGGTCTTGGGGTTCATTTGTGCAGGCCGGTTGGCCAGTGCCCCAGCAAGAAGAGCAGCGCCTGGCACCGGGATGCCTTTGATCCTGTGAGTCAAGGTCTGGGTGACGCGGTGTCCAGAGGCTCTTGGCCCAGTTGCCAAGGAAAGGGACGGCCTGTCAGTTGTGTTTTGGGCCTGTCGGGTCCTTCAGCACCTGGAGCCACAGCCGGAGGGTTCCTTCCCAGCACTCCCAGCCTGGGATAAGCCCCTAAGTGTCCCATTATGTACCATTCACTCTTACTTTGTCGGCCCCATCCACAGCCGCTGCGTCCTTTTGTCAGAGGGGCCTGGGAGGGCGAGGGGCTATTACCACAAGGCCTCATTATTCCCAGCCAGAGTAGTAATGAGGAGTCCCTTCCCCAGACTAGTACATTTTGCAGGGCCCCTCCCATTTAATAACTATAATAAAGGCCACCATTTATGAGTCCTCTCCTACACCAAACACTTTACATACATTATCTCATTTAATTCCCCCGACAGCTCTGGGAAATAGCTACTATTTGTATCCCCATTTTTCAGATGAGAAAGCTAAGACAGAGACTACAATTTCTTTCTCCTCGGCTCAGCTGTACAGGCAAGGGTAGGGCAGGGACACAACAATGTCCCAGTAGGGACAACTGAGGTTCGGAGAGGGGACGTGGCCTGGGGAAGAGCACACTGCAGATTAACAACAGGGCAGCGAGATCCCCTTCACTGTGTGCGGGGAAGGGCAAGTGGAAGCTCTCAGTTCTCCAGGTGACGTCTCACTCCTATCCCCCAGCTGCAGTAGGGGAGTGGCCATCACTGTCTCACCCCTCACGGGCAGGTGCTTCAGTGACTTACTCATGTGTACACAACTAGTGAGAATCCAGGTGCTCTGTCCACGATACCAACTGGGGGACGGCAGGTGAGAAGGGAATCATCCTGAGAGGCTCCTGAAGGATGAGGCTGAGTGTGGGCCACCATGAGTGGGCCCAGCTGGCCCAGCAGGAGGCAGGGGTAGAGTGATGGAAGGGGAAGGCAAAGAGAAGGGACTGAAATGCCACTGGTTCCTCTTTTTTTTTTTTTTTTTGAGATGGAGTTTTGCTCTTGTCGGCCAGGCTAGAGTGCAGTGGCGCTGTCTCGGCTCACTGCAACTTCCACCTCCCGGGTTCAAGCGATCCTGCCTCAGCCTCCTGAGTAGCTGGGATTACAGGCGCCTGCCACCATGCCTGGCTAATTTTTGTATTTTTAGTAGAGACGAGGGTTCACCACGTTGGCCAGGCTGGTCTCGAACTCCTGAACTTAGGTGATTCTCCTGCCTCAGCCTCTCAAAGTGTTGGGATAACAGGCATGAGCCACTGTGCCCAGCCAGAGGTTCTCTTATGCTCTGGCCTTTGGGGTCAAACACTGTCCTTCCAGCCTAAAAAAAAAAAAAATTGTTTCTAAATAAATAATTTCTTCACGTGTAATAAAACTTTTAAGGTGCAGCGGCTGGGCGTGGTGGCTCACACCTGTAATCCCAGCACTTTGGGAGGCCGAGGCGAGCAGATCACGAGGTCAGGAGATCGAGACCATTCTGGCTAACACGGTGAAACCCTGTCTCTACTAAAAATACAAAAAATTAGCCGGGCGTGGTGGCGGGCGCCTGTAGTCCCAGCTACTCAGGAGGCTGAGGCAGGAGAATGGTGTGAACCTGGGAGGCGGAGCTTGCAGTGAGCTGGGAGGCGGAGCTTGCAGTGAGCTGAGATCACGCCACCGCACTCCAGCCTGGACGACAGAGTGAGACTACGTCTCAAAAAAACAAACAACAACAACAAACTTTTGAGGTGCAAAAGAGTATACTATACTGTAGGAGGTCTCCTGTCCGCTGGGTCTCTGCTACCCAGTTCCCATCCCAGAGACAACCCACGCGCCTGGTTCCCGGTTGTCCTCCCAGAGCTACCCTGTTTCAGGCCTTTCATTTATAAAGGTGAATGCCCACCCCTCACCAGGCCATTCATTCATTTGTGTCCTGAATAAGTAGTGAGCACCCTCTCAGCCTGGCTCTGGGTTGCCAGAGATAACTGACCCTCAAATCTGAGGGGAGCCCAGGGATGGAGGGGAAAGGAAGACCCCCCCAGTAGCGCCATGTGGGTGGAAGTTCACAGGTAACAGTGAGCAGAAGGGATGGCTTCCCAAGGAGAGGGAACAGCATGTGCAAAAGCTCAGTGGTACGACACCACTGTGCGTCCAGGTTCACAGGGTGCTTTCTGTATGTATGTATGTATTTATTTATTTATTGTGACAGAGTCTTGCTCTGTTGTCCAGGCTGAAGTGCAGTGGCCAGATCAGCTCACTGCACCCTCCACCCCTGAGCTCAAGCAATCCTCCCACCTCAGCCTCCTGAGCAGCTGGGATTACAGCCCCATGCCACCATGCCCGACTAATTTCTTTTTTTTGAGATGGAGTCTCACTCTGTCGCCCAGCCTGGAATGCAGTGGCGCGATCTGGGTTCACTGCAAGCTCCGCCTCCTGGGTTCACGCCATTCTCCTGCCTCAGCCTCCTAAATAGCTGGGACTACAGGCGCCTGCCACCACGCCCAGCTAATTTTTTTGTATTTTTAGTAGAGACGGGGTTTCACCATGTTAGCCAGGATGGTCTCGATCTCCTGACCTCGTGATCCACCCACCTCAGCCTCCCAAAGTGCTGGGATTACGGGCACGAGTCACCGCGCCCGGCCCATGCCTGGCTAATTTTTTAAACTTTTTTTTGTAGAGATAGGGTTTCGCCATGTTTTCCAGGCTGGTCTTGAACTCCTGGGCCCCAGTGATCTGCCTGCCTCGGCCTTTCAAAGTGCTGAGATTATAGGCGTGAGCCACCAAGCCTGGGCCCACGGTCTGCTTTTTGCATGAGAGGCAAGAGAGCAGCCTGCACAAACTGGGTGAGGCTGGACTCCCATAGCCGGAGGTCTTTGGGCTGCAAGCTGCACACTCTTGACCTCCAGCCTGTAGACTCTCAGAGTCTAGAGAGGGTTTGACTATCTGACCCATCCCAGGAAGAAGGAAGGGCCTGAAAATGGCCATCCCTGGTCTTTGGGACCCTTGACGTCTATTTAGGTCGGGGAGCGTGTCTCCTCCTCAGTCTTTTTTTTTTTTTTTTTTTTTTGAGATGGAGTCTCACTCTTGTCCCCCAGGCTGGAGGGCAAAGGCATGATCTTGGCTCACTGCAACCTCCGCCTCCCAGGTTCAAGCAATTCTCCTGCCTCAGCCTCCCGAGTAGCTGGGATTACAGGAACCTGCCACCACGCCCGGCTAATTTTTGTATTTTCAGTAGAGACGGGGTTTCACCATGTTGCCCAGGCTGGTCTTGAACTCCTGACCTCAGGTGATCCTCCCGCCTTGGCCTCCCAAAATGCTGGAATTACAGGCATGAGCCACCACGCCCGGCCCTTCTCAGTCTTTACTGTGTGGTTGTGAGGGTTAAGTCAGTTTGTCAAGTGCTCAGTACAGTGCCTGACACAGACTACATTTTCAGTTGTACTCTGTGTGGGATATAATAAATTCCTCTTCAAAGGTTTTAGCTCGTTAACTTCCTTTAAAATTCAAGAGGGAGAAAATTGTTAAGTACAATGAGTTCTGAGTCCCTCTCCAAAGAACCAATGTATCAGTATGTTCAGCTCCCCTGTTCTTTCTTCTCCATTTTATTTATTTATATTTATTTATTTATTTTGAGACGGAGTCTCACTCTGTTGCCCAGGCTGGAGTGCAGTGGTACGATCTCGGCTCACTGCAAGCAGTGAACCCTCCCAGGTTCACGCCATTCTCCTGCCTCAGCCTCCCGAGTAGCTGGGACTACAGGCGCCCGCCACCACGCCCGGCTAATTTTTTGTATTTTTAGTAGAGACAGGGTTTCACCGTGTTAGCCAGGATGGTCTCGATCTCCTGACCTGGTGATCCGCCTGCCTCAGCCTCCCAAAGTGCTGGGATTACAGGCGTGAGCCACTGCACCTGGCTTATTTATTTTTTGAGACGGAGTTTTGCTCTTGTTACCCAGGCTGAAGTGCAATAGCGCCATCTCTGCTCACTGCAATCTCCACCTCCTGGGTTCAAGCGATTCTCATGCCTCAGCCTCCTGAGTAGCTGGGATTACAGGCGTGTTCCACCACACCTGGCTAATTTTGTATATTTAGTAGAGATGGGGTTTCTCCATGTTGGTCAGGCTGGTCTGGAACTCCCCACATCAGGTGATCTTCCCGCCTTGGCCTCCCAAAGTGCTGGGATTACAGGCGTGAGCCACAGCACCCGGCCTTGTTCTCCATTTTAAAGTTTAACTTCCTCATTCTTTGTCTCCTTGCCCCTAGTCTCAGTAAACAACTCCCTCCTAGCCTCTATCACCTGCTCTGTCCTTAGTAACCTGCTTTGTCCTTAGTCATCCTTAGTCACCTGCTCTGTCCTTAGTCATCCTTAGTCACCTGCTCTGTAACCGTCCTTCCCGCCAAAACTACTCACCCCACCACTCCGGCTCCTACCCTCGCTCTCTTTTTTTTTTTTTTTTTTTTTTTTTTTTTTTTTTTTTTTTGTGAGACGGAGTCTCGCTCTGTCGCCCAGGCCGGACTGCAGACTGCAGTGGCGCAATCTCGGCTCACTGCAAGCTCCGCCTCCCGGGTTCACGCCATTCTCCTGCCTCAGCCTCCCGAGTAGCTGGGACTACAGGCACCCGCCACCGCGCCCGGCTAATTTTTTGTATTTTTAGTAGAGACGGGGTTTCACCTTGTTAGCCAGGATGGTCTCGATCTCCTGACCTCACGATCCACCCGCCTCGGCCTCCCAAAGTGCTGGGATTACAGGCGTGAGCCACCGCGCCCGGCCACTCTCGCTCTCTTTAAAATAGCCAATCGGAATTAGCTTAGACTATGCGGTCCAACCTTAGCCAATAGGGAAAAGACATAGCAGTAGGGACTAGCTGCATTAGGGATAAGACCCCCTTCTCCTCCCTTGTCTGGTGTGCTCTCACCATTGCTCCATCCACTAGACACACCCTGCTATAGAAGTAAATTGCCTTGTTGAGAAAACTTTTGCCTGAGTGCTATTTTCATTTTGCGGCACCGAGCATTTACTTCCAACATCTGTTATAATTATTCCAAGGAGAGCCTCTCTTTCCCGTAACCATCCCGTGTCTCAGTGTCCTCTCTCTGTGGGGATCTAAGCACCCTCTTTGTTCACGCCCAGCTCCCAGAAGTCTTCTCCAGGCCTCCCATGACTCCGTAGGCTGCAGGCTTCATCTTGGTTTTCCAGGGAGGCCATTAAAGGAAGGACTGGCCAGAGCATGTGAGCATGTGCGCTGAGGGCTCAAAGTGAAGAAAAAGACTTTCCCTCCTGGCCCTTCAGCTCCGCCTCTCCTCTTCCACCTCCCTTAAAAAAACACCCGACTCATTACAGAGCCCCAGCAGCCAGGCCCTGGCTGAAGCCCTGGTGAAGCAGCAATTAGATCATTAGCACCCGCCCCAACCCACCTGCTTGGAGCCCCTCAAACACCTTTTAATTATAATCCCTTAATCTCCCTCAGATGGCGGGGCTGGCTCTAGGGTTTTTGCCCTGCACAGCCCCTTTCCTTCTCTCTCTTTCCCCAATTAAGGGGTTCTCTTGGTAGAGAGCCCCTTTCCCAGCTAAAGGCCTCTCAGTCCCGGGAAGAGCAAGATCTGTTGCTCTGTCTCTTTCTCCATGGGCAGTGGCCTCAGATATCCGTGCTGGTCCACCTGGAGGCTCCCCTGCAAGCAGGGCTGAAATCCCCACAGTGTGCCTCCTGGCCTGGGGACAATTGTTGAGATGCCTGAAGACCCTTTGTCTTCTCCCTTGGTCTCCTCTTGTCCTGGTTTCTTTGTGTTTTCTGGGAAGCATCTCCCACTGGCCCTTTTACAATGACTTCTATTTCCCTCTCAGCCCACTCGGGCCACCCTGTCTGGGCCAGTGGCCTCTTTGGCATCTCCTTCCAGGAGCCACCAGGTTCTGTCACAGGTGGAATTGAGGCCAGAGCCCTGGCAGAATGTCTCCTGGTGACAGCCCTATTTTGACCTCCAGCTGACCTCAGTAGAGCTCAGCCTTTCCCTCCCACCCCCCCAGGCCCACTCAGGACCCTGGCACCCTCAGCCACATAGGGGCTGGCAGAACATCGGGTCGGTCTGTATCCCTGGAGCTTCGAGCAGGGCAGAGGCAGGAGGAGGGACAAGATGACCCAGCGTGTGGCCCTGTCTGAAGCTGAGCCTGGATGAACCTCTTTCCTGGGAAAGTTCTGTCACTAATTGACTTGCAAATGCCTTGTTTGTCCCCAGATTCATAATTAGTGCTAAGTATTTCTAGGGCCCCATCCTGGAGGGGCTTTTTTTGGGGGCAGCCTGTTCCTCTCCCCCTCTCTGAGGTTGGCCAGGCTGGGGGTGGGCAAAGCCGGGCACCGGTGCCCAGCTGCCGTCCAGCGTTCCCACGGCTATGGTGCCAGCGTGTGAAAGGCGAGGTGCGGGGGGCGCGGGGGCTGGGGCTCCCCGCCATCCTTCAGCCGGGACCACGGCCAAGCCCCGAGGCTCCAGGAAACGACAGAGCTGGGGAGCGGGCTGTGGCAGCGGGTGGGGGCTGGCTGGCACCCCCAGGAAGGATAGCCCAGCCGGTGCCGGGGGCTGGCATCAGCCGAGCCTCCGGCACTATGAATGGGCCAACAAGGGGCCTCTCTTCCCCACAGCTTCTCCACAAAGGCTTTGGCTGCACCACTGGATGTGGGGGGCCAGGGGCCACTGGAGGAAGAGGAGAGGCTATTCTCAGAGACCCCTCCACTCCTGGCCTCTGCACTCCTAGGAAGGGGCTGGGGACCCAGGAGCCAGAGTTTAGGCCCAGCTTCTACTTGGATCTGCTGACTGAGGGGGCAACTGTTTTAACCTCTCTGGGTCTCAGTTTCCCCCACTGGATCATCCCTGGCATCTTTCCCAGCCATGATGGTACCCTCTTGGTTGCAGCCCACCCAAGTTCCCCCAGTAGCCTCCCCTGGAACTGCACTGGCAATTCTCAACCCTCTGCAGGCCCTACCTTGGCTGAGACCCAACTGGACCTCCCCTCAGGGTGTATCAGGCCCCTGCTCCAGGCACAGCTCTCCAACCCCTAGTGCCCCTCCTCTCCCCTCAGGTAGGAAGAGCTGTTCAGTGTCTGCCAGGAAGCAGTGGGAAGGGTCTAAGCTGTGGCTGCCTGCCGTAAAGTCGGACAGGCCAGGGCCTTGCCACTTGCAAACCGTGTGATGTGGGTGAGTCTCTCTGCTTCTGTAGGCCTCCTCTGCAAAAGGCCTCACAGGGTTATCACTGGGATCCAGTGAGACTGAGTGGAAGGCATCCTGTGCGGGGCTCAGCAGAGAGTGGCTGCTCAGTCGCGGCTCCTTTTCTCCTCTTCCCCAGCCTCCCTCTCAAAGCTTTCTGTGAGTTTGCCTGTGTTTTCCTGTGGCTGAGATGTCCTTTCATTGTGCACCCCTATCTTTTTTACCTGGCCCTCTCAGCAGCCTCTCTATATTCCCTATTTCATCTCCAGTTCCTTTCCCAGAACTAGCCATTTTTTTTTGGTAAGTCCTTCCTGAAGTCTAACCTTCTATTGCAGGTTGCCTCTCCCTGGGCCTGGACTCTTCCCAGGCTGCCCTGCAGCTGGAGCCCAGAGGGAAGGGGAGGAGGTGGGCTCTATGGTAACCCTGAGAAGAGAATGCCCTCTCTCCTCATCTGCATACAGACGGGCTCATTTGCATACAGACAGGCCTCATCTGCATATGCTCAGTGGGACTCTGAGAGCGCACATTCCAAAGTGTCCTGCCTGGGTCCTCCCACCCCAGTCCTGACATCTCTGTCCAGGGAGGGGTCCTTCCCCGCCCCTTCTGCCCCTGTCTGGGTCTGGGTCATTCTGTTTCCAAAAGGCTGTCCACCCTCTGGGGCCCTCTCCTGCTTTTCTTTCCTGTGCTCAGAGGAGTCCTTTCCACCCACCTCCTCCTTCCTGCCCCAGCTCCCCCGCCGGGAGCCTCCCCTCCAAGCCAGAGGCCAGGAGAGGAGGCAGAGGACTAGCCACAGTGGCCAGCTGCCTCTCCCTGCTCAGGCCCCCCAGCACCATGGTAAGGTGACCACGAAGACTGATGCTCAGGTTGTGGGGTACAAACAAAAGCAGGGGGAGGAGTGGGCAGACCTGGGAAGCTTCTTCCATACCAATGGACCCCAAGCCAGATCCTGCCTCCATTCACCCCACCTCCCCAGGGCCACAGTGGGTCCTGGCAAGGCTAGGAGTGGGAGGGCCCCAAAATGAAGGCTGGAACCTCAGAAGCACTGATGAGCGCCCAGACGTGGTGAGACTGAGCTCAGCCCCTTAGATATGCCAGACTGTGATGCAAAGGAAATTGCCTCCTCCTCCCAGCAGCATCCCCGGTCTCAGTCAGCCCTCCAAATCCCAGTTTTGGGGCTCCTGGACATATAGGTCAGGGAGAGCCTGGGATTCTTCTCCTGATGGGCCCCCACCACGCTGAGGACCCTGGACATAGCCCTTCTCCTCTCTGGCCTCAGTTTCCTCTATGAAATGAGGAACTGAGCTAGAGCAGGTGGCTCATTACGTGAGCCCTCCTCCTGGAAATAGTGCCCAGGCGCCTGGCCAGCATTCTGCATGCAATTTTAGTATTTGCAATCATCCCCTGAGGTCCAGATTGACCTCAGGCTAAGAGTCCTGGTCTAGAAGGGCTGAAAAGGCTGCAGTCAGTGTTTAAATGGAAAGGAGGAATTTATACACATGTGCTTGGATGTCTACGGAGTAACCCGGGGAGGACACAGGTACCAGTTGTTTCCTCTTGGGAGAGGAGGTGGGTGGCTGGGGACAGGGGTAGGAAGGAGATGTAATTTCTCTTTTGTGCTGTTAGAATTGTGTCATGTGTGTTATCTTAAGTTTTTTCATTTAGAAAATTTCCAGGATTCAAAGTTTAGTTCCATGGAGGGATTATGGAAGGGAGGAAGGACTTTCTGGAAGGTGATGGAGAGCTTAAATGGTGCTGCTAGTCTGGGCTCTGTTAACATCATCCAGCAAGGCTCTCTAGAGATGAGAAGGGGCCTATCTTTTGGGGGCGCATGTTGGATACAGATGTGTTATGAAGAAAATGGGGTCAAGAGCACAGTCTTAGTTTTTTGCTATGGCTTTCCTGCCCCCTCAAGTTCCCCCTCAGGCCTTGTTATTGTTGGGAAGTCCTACTTGCTGTCTAATCTGAATCCCTCTTTTTTTTTTGAGACGGAGTCTCGCTCTGTCACCAGGCTGGAGTGTAGTGGCGCGATCTCGGCTCGCTGCAACCTCCGCCTCTCGGGTTCAAGCAATTCTCCTGTCTCAGCCTCCTGAGTAGCTGGGACTACAGGCGCCTGCCACCACACCCGGCTAATTTTTTGTATTTTTAGTTGAGACGGGGTTTCACTGTGTTAGCCAGGATGGTCTCAATCTCTTGACCTTGTGATCCGCCCACCTTGGCCTCCCAAAGTGCTGGGATTATAGGCGTGAGCCACCGTGCCCGGCCTGAATCCCTTTTAATAATCATATTCTTTCCCTTATGTTTCTACTGAGGGTGGACAGAGAAGAAGCAGGAATGGAAGACCCTTTGGGGCAGGAGTGCTCCCTCTATGTGGTCTGTTCAAACCCAGGAGGACATTTATGAGAGTCCTTTTGTGGAGGAGACAGAAGGCCACCCAGTGACCTCCTGCACAGGCACTCTAGGGGAGCATCACCACCCTCTCCCATTCTCTTGGTCCCTAGTAGGGCACCTAGGTGCTTCCTTGGATGGAAGCATTAGCCCATGACTTGGATTTGGGACTGACCGGATCACGGATGGAGTTCTGGCCTTGGGGTGGCTGAGGGCGGTGGAAGCAGCCAAGATGTTCACTCACCGCCCCACCCCCTACCAGGTAGGAGTTCTGGTATTAGAGGCTCCCCCGCTTCTGCTGCAAGGTTGGCTTCTGTATCACAGATCTCTGTTGAAAGGAGCCCAGTATTGCCCCCTCTCTTGCAGCCCCTCCCCTTCCAACCCTGTCCAGGTATATCCACTACCACTATTAATGTGATTCAATATTCAAGAGTCTTTATTGAAGACTTGAGATGGGACTTCCAACTCAGAGGATGTGGGAATCCCAGCTCAAATGATACAGGATAAACTGGGATGGGCTAGGATGGACAGGCTGTGGATATGGGAGTCATGGGTCAAAGTCTTATCCCAGATGGCTCCAGGTACAGTGGGCTTCCTGGGCTGGAAGCTGGGTCCTCCCCACTTCATTCTGCTCAAAGCTTCTTGAAGGAGCTGGTTTGACTTCAACTTGCTAGAGCCTAGCCTCATCTTTCAGTCAACTGGGAAGGCTTATCAGAGGGAATCCAGCCCAACCAGATGAAGTACATTCTTCTTTTTGGTCTGAAAAGAAAAATTGTCAAGCGTAAAGAAAAATACTTCTTTTTTTTGAGATGGAATCTCACTCTGTCACCCAGGCTGGAGTGCAGTGGCATGATCTCGGCTCACTGCAACCTCTGCCTCCTAGGTTCAAGCAATTCTCGTACCTCAGCCTCTGAGTAGCTGGGATTACAGGCGCATGCCATCACACCTGGCTAAATTTTGTATTTTTAGAAGACACGGGGTTTCGCCATGTTGGCCAGGCTGGTCTCGAACTCCTGACCTCAAGTGATCCACCTGCCTCGGCCTCCCAGAGTGTTGGAATTACAGGCGTGAGCCACCACGTCCAGCCAAAAAATACACTTCGGATGGAGACTTTAGGAGGAGGCAGAGGACAAACTTCCAGCCATCTTGGAAGGAGCTCACTTCCATCAGGCAAGGTGAGGAGCTAGGGAAGGGGTCATCACAAAGGGATCCACCATGACAGTGGCTTGAGTCTAGGCACCTCTTCCACCTCTTCCAGGTGCTCCATCCAAGGCAATGGGGGGTGAGGGAAATGCCTAAGGCGTAAACTCAGATCCCAAGAACGGGAGAGATTAGGCAGAGAGCCCAGGGGACTTGCTTCAGGAAGGCAGGGTGCAGGATGCACTTGGGCTAAGGACCAGCCTGGAAGACTTTGGTCGCTTCCACAGCTCCCATGGCCTCTTCCCCAATCCTGTCTTCAACCTGCAAGATGTTTATCATCCCTCAGACTTTACCCCTACACTGGAGAACATGCCAAGAATTCCACCTGCCTATCTGGTCCTCTCTTCTCTCGGTCCCTCCATTTGTGTTTCAGAAGTCAGCACAGGGGAGGAAGGGGACATATGCTTTGGGGTCTACGAAGACCCACTTGAAGCCCAGCCCAATTTACCAGTCCTGTGACTCTGGGAAAGTGTCTTAGCCTTCCTGAGGCTTTGATTCCTCCTTCATAAAGTGGGGACAATATCACCCGGTTTTCAGGGCTGTTGGGAAGATTAGCTGAGATAATGGCTATGAAAGGGCTTACACAACCAAATGGGCACAAATCAGGGTCAGCTCCTTCCTTCCTGGGCTGGGGAAGCTATGTCCAGGAAAGGCAAATAAACCCAGTAGGGGCTGCACAGGAATCAGGTGTCAGGCACAGCTGTGGGCACAGCCTTCCTTTCCTGTCCCATCCAGGGTTGGGAGCCAGCCGCTTTGGAAACCCCCAAAGTTCACCTCCCTTGACTTCTCCAAGAGCCTTAAGATCTGAGAAGAGTTTCAGAAAGAGGAGGGGATCTCGGCCACGGCCCTGCATGGCCCAGCTCCACTCAGACGAGTGTGGCCTTTCTTCTTCCTAGACTCTTCGCAGCCTCTCCCAGCTCACATCCCTCCTCCCTTCCCCAGCTCCTCCTCCCCCTACCTTTGCCAGCTCTCCAACCTGGATCTTGACAGTATGGAGGAGTGGGGATGAGAAGTCTGCCTTGCCCATCATATCAGGAGCCCCTCAAATGTAACGACCCTGTCTTCTCCAAACCTGATCTCTGCCAGGCCTGTTTCCCTGACCCCCTCTGGCCCTCTTCCTGACCCGGGCTGGCTGCCAGGACTCAAGGTGGGCTGTCTGTTCCTCAGTGCCCCTCTAAGTCTGCCAGTGTGTCTCCTTCCATGCTCTCTTGCCCATTCCTTGCTCTAGATCCTCAGCCCAACTGGGAGTCCTGCTATCCCTTGAGTGGCTAGATTTGGGGGAACGACAGAAGAGACTGGTGTCTGTCAGGGCCTGGGAAGGGGTGGTGGATGCAGCTCCATGCGGTGCCCTCCCCTGGGTGGGGGAGGAGGAGTGCAGATGGAACAGCCTCCCGCTTGTTACACCCTCCCAGCCCCAGACAGAGCCAGGCTCTCCTAGCAACGGTACAGTAGCAGAGGGCTGGGAAGTAAGTGCGGCGGGGGAGCAATGATATCATAAATTATCCCTGGCCCCTCCCTCCCAGCCCACCCTTCCTCAGTTGAGAATGGCCTCCTTTTTCTCTCCACCTGCTCCTCATTCAGGATTTCCTCAGCAAATCTGGCCTCTGCTTAGTGCCCCTTATAGATGCCCCTCGAGGTCAAAGTGACCATTCTCTGCCTTCCAGTTGGGCTCCAGAAGGAGGGGACCCTCATTATCCCAGGATGTCTCTGAGACCCTGTTGGAACGTTCCCCCCAGGGCAGGAGCTGGGAGACTGGCTTCCAAAGGGGGAGCCCAGAGGGCCTGAGAGACTATTGCTATTCCATGGTCTCCGGCTCCTCTTTCTGGGGTGCTGATGGGGCACAGAAGGGGAATTTCAAAGCATTCTGTGGCATTTACTCCTCTTCTGTAAACAAAAGGTTTGGGTGGGGGCTCCCAAGTCTTTAAGGGGCACTCAGACCTCTCACCAAGCTAGACAAGTCTCAGTTTTCCTATTCTAATAGCTGGAGTCCAGGAACCTTTATGAAGTAACTAAAGCTAGGTGGCATTCCTTCCTTACCTCCCAACTTAGCCATGCCAAGCCAAGAGCCAAAGAGCTGGTGCTATAGCCATATAGATCTTGGTTAGACATGGAGAAGGACTTCCCAAGACAGGAATAAGCAAGATCATGGAATTTCCTGGTTGGAGAGAGGAAAAGTCTGTCGTAGTAGCAGGAAACTGGATGGGAACCTCTTGAATTCTATCTCATTAATTCTTTCTTAGCCACATTAAATAACATGTAGAGAGTGTCTGGCACAGAGCCTGACACATAGTAATCCTCCACTTAGGCTATTAAAAAATCATATGTTATTATGAATTTTTATTGGATAGATATCAGGGGAAAGGGATAAATCCCTGGAGACCCATCTCCCACCCTCTAGGAACCCCGCGGGAAAATCCAGATAGGAGCTAGTGCTCTGAGGTACAATATGGCAGCCAATTGCCATGGCAACAGCAGAAGGAGGAGTCTGGTTGGTTGTGGGGGCGGTGCTGGGAAGCCAGCTGGTGCCAGATGGACAAACCCAGCAGAAGGCATCCCCAGCCGGGTGAAGCTGATGCCCCGTGCCCAGGGCTCAACCTCCATATGCCAGCCGCAGCCTGGTCCTTCCTTCCAGGCCTAAAGGCCCCATTGCTGTCTGTGGGGGATGATGCCAAAACCATTCCTCCTCCTGACTCTTGCTTGTATAACAGGGAATGACTGCTTGGAGACAAAAGACTGTCCTGCTCAAGGTCCCCCTGGTCCGTGGGCTGACGGATCTAAATAGGTCTGAATTACGCTCACTCCTGATCATGCTGAGGAGCCATCACATCGGGGACTTGAGAGGTCCTGAGTGGCAGGACGCAGAGGCACCGTTCTGTACACCTGGTGGAGATTCCACAATGGCTTGTGCTGCCTGGAGGACGAGGAGATGAAGGCTGCAGGGAGGGAGCAGGGCAGGTTAGGGGCAATGTGGCAGAGCTGCACCCTACCTGTCCCCTCCTCCTGGTATGTTGGGTGGCATTCACACCTGGCCAGTGGATAAAAGAGGCTGCCGTTGTGGAGTTCACCACCTAATTGTTAACAACGGGTCCCTCTCGAAACAGCCTCAGCAAGATGCTCACCTCCTTCAGACCACAAAAGCCCCAGCCATGGAGCCCAGCCCCATTTCTCAGTCAGGCCTCCGTTATGGACTGCACCCGGTGATCCATGGCCCTCACAACCCAGGAGGCCTTCCTTGATTGCCCCCACCTACCTCAATGGCCCCATAACTGTGTCCCTCTGCACTTAGCATTTAACACTAAACATCTGCATACAGCCTTAGAAAACATTCATTCCCATCACCCCATTTGATCTTCAGGATAACCAAGGAAGGCAGTTAGGGTCCAAAGACATGAAGGGACTTGCCTAAGGTCACCTAGCTAGTAAGTGGGGGAAGCCAGAATTTGTATCCTGACCAGCCTGTCCAATTCCAGAGTCAAAAACCAAAAGCTCCTTCTTTTCCTGTCCTTCCTGTGGACAAAGCCCCACTGACTATCAAACCCAGAGCAGCCTGCAAGCTGAGGTGGTGTCCGCCAGCATTCTGCTGCTTCGTGTACCCTGAACCCAAACATTCACTAGAAGGGCCAGCGCAGTCCACGCACAGTGGCTCACACCTGTAATCCCAGCACTTTGGGAGGCCAAGGTGGGCAGATCACTTGAGGTCAGGAGTTCGAGACCAGCCTGGCCAACATGGCAAAACCCTGTCTCTACTAAAATTACAAAAATTAGCCGGGCATGGTGGCAGGCACCTGTAATCCCAGCTACTCTGGAGGCTGAGGCAGGAGAATCTCTTGAACCTGGGAGGCAGAGGTTGCAGTGAGCTGAGATCGCGCCACTGCACTCCAGCCTGGGTGACAGAGCAAGACTCCGTCTCCAAAAAATAAAAATAAAAAGCCAGTGTGCAGTGTGCTCAACAAGGGCTTGGTGGTGGGGAGATGGGAGAAAGGTCTCTACACATCGATGATTAGCAGTAAGTGACACTGAGGCCAGGCCAGGAGAGGAGCCTCTCCTGGGGAAGGCAAGAGTGGGTGTGGAGACTGGGGTGGCCTTGGGACTCCTTTTTAGTTCTGGTCAATCTTGTGTCTCTACCCTCTCAACACAGCCCTCCCTGGAGCAGGAGCACTGTGCAGGAGATGGAAGGAGACCCCATGCTGGGAAGATGAGAGAAGCTCAAGCAGGGTCAGTCCCAAGAGCAGGGTCAGTTCCAAGAGTGTCAGGAGACAGCATGTATGAGCAGGGGATGGAAGGCTGGAGAGGCCTGGCAGGATCAGGAGTTATAGCTGGGAAGACATGGGGAGAAGGCAGGGGCAGGTGAGGGCCTTGGTGCTGGGGCCCTGGGTCTCTGGTTGGATGATGGAGAGGAGCCCATCCTGGGGACAGCTGGACCAGACCATGAACGGCCTCACTGTGAGACCCCGGCCTGGTTTCAGCTTCTCTCTCCTTCCTGCCCAGACCTGGTTAAAGCCTGAGGCCACCTCTCAGCCCTCCCTTCCTCCAGCCCCATTCCACCCCACTCCCTGGGAGCTAAGCCCCCTCACCTGACAGGGCCACTTCCATGGCCACTCACAGAGAAGTCTTTGTGCACAAGCCGGGCCTGGGGGATGGGCGGTGGTGGGCACCCCCACTTACATTCCGCCCAGCAGCCAGCAGCAGCCTCACCATCTTCCCAACTGCCTCTCCAGCCTCTCATCCGCTTTCTTGAGGAAGAATTCCCTCGGAGCCTTGGCCCTGGCTACTACCTCACCCCCAACTCCCTCCCTCAGGAGGGTTCCAGGACTGTGCCCCTTCTTTGCTGCTTTGCTGTAGCCCCCTGTGTCACACAGCCCTGACCACTGAACCTTTCTTTTTTCTTTTTCTTTCTTTCTTTTTTTTTTTTTTGAGACAGAGTCTTGCTCTGCTGCCCAGACTGGAGGGCATTGGCCTGATTTCAGCTCACTGCAACCTCTGCCTCCCAGGTTCAAGTGATTCTCCTGCCTCAGCCTCCTGAATAGCTGGGATTACAGGCATGGGCCATCATGCCTGGCTAATTTTTGTATTTTTAGTAGAGATAGGGTTTCACCATGTTGGCCAGGCTGGTCTTGAACTCCTGACCTCAGGCGATCCACCTGCCTTGGCCTCCCAAAGTGCTGAGATTACAGGCTTGGGCCACTGCGCCCGGCCGGCCCTCCCTCCCTCCCTTCCTTTTTTTTTCATAAGAGAGCTCAGAGACTAGCTTGTTGCCCCACAAAGTCAGAGCCAGTATCCCTGTCCCCCAACCCCCAGCAGCCCATCCCCCTGCCCCGACATCAGGGTGCTCATTGTGCTGAGGGACACCAACTTCTGCTTCTCCACATCTCTCCCCAGAAAGCTCCCATAAGCTTGCTGCCCCCGCATGTCGTGGGGGAAGGAGGGATTCTGAAGGTGGGTGGTAGAGACATCCCTTCCTCAAGTGGCTTCCAGGTCTTTCATATGTCCTTCATTTGTTTGGAACTAGCTGAGAGCCAGTTAAATGTCTGGCTGGTCTCAATGGACAGCCAGATGCAGGAGTCCCCATCCCTCCTAGGAGTGGTTATGTGTTGCTTTCCAGCCATGCCCTACACCTGGCACCTCTGAGGCTGTCAGCTAACTGCCCCAGCCTCCCTGGTATAGCACATAAGGCGCTTTACAGGGGAATTCCTACCTCTGTTTCCCTTCTCCTCCCAGCAGACTCCCTGCGATGGCCATGCTAGTCCCCAAACATACCCTGCTCTTCCTTACCTACTTGCCTTCTCGAATGCTGTGGACTGTCCACCACCTACTTCCCCAGACTGTAGACTGCCAAATGCCTGTTTATCTTGTATCGCTTATCTCTTGGCGTCCTCCAGGAAGCCTTCCTGAGCTCCCCGAGGTGGCCCCCGGCTCCCTTCCCCATGCCTCCACAGCACTTTGTGCAGGTCTGCAGGACAATGCTTTCCAGACCGTCTTCTAATCATTCATGTGTCTGCCTCACCCAGTAGACTGCCAGTTCCTCAGAGCAGCGTTGTATTCCACACTCCCCTTGAGCATAGCTCCTGGCACACAGGAGACCCTCAGTGCCTGCTGAATGAATGTGCTGACATGGAGGCAGGGGTACCAGAGGGAAGGGAATGGATGAGAGGTGCTACACAGGAAGAAGTGATGGGTTTTGATGTGGCTGATTTGGATGTGGGGACAAGTCCAGGAAAATGTTCAGGAGTTGAACCTGGGGGCCTAGGAGTTTAATGAGGCCACCGATAGAGGTAAGGCAGCAGAAGCACAATGCGGAGGGAGCATCCGAACTGCCTGGGGACTGGACCACCTCCTGGGTTTTGGTGGGAGGTTGTACTTCTATGCTACTACAGAAGCTAAAAACACAGGTACTTTCTGGGCTCTCCTTGCAGCTAGAGCCTAGGCATGTGATCCAGGCTTGGTCAAGCAGATGTACCATTCCAATCTGATCTGGGGACAAATGGCAGGACCACAGGTGGTAGTTGGCAGTTGGGGGTGCGAATTTGGAGTTTAAAAGAGGTCAAGACTAGGCCCGGCGCGGTGGCTCATGCCTGTAATCCCAGTACTTTGGGGGGCCGAGGCGGGCGGATCACAAGGTCAAGAGATTGAGACCATCCTGGCTAACACTGTGAAACCCTGTCTCTACTAAAAATACAAACAATTAGCTGGGCGTGGTGGCGGGTGCCTGTAGTCCCAGCTACTCAGGAGGCTGAGGCAGAAGAATTGCTTGAACCCGGGCGGCAGAGGTTGCAGTGAGCTGAGATTGCGCCACTGCACTCCAGCCTGGGTGAGAGAGCAAGACTCTCAAAAAAAAAAAAAAAAAAAAAAGAAAGAAGAAAGAGAGAGAGAGAGAAAGAAAGAGAAGAGAAAAGAAAAGAAAAATGAAACACAGGAGAATTTATAACTTCAGGTGATGGTTAAAGTGATAAAAGTGGAGTGAGAAGAGTGAGAAGGAAGAGAAAACAAGCTACCAGCAGAACCTGGGGACCACTTCTAGTTAAGGAACTGGTCCATCCGGAGGACTGAATGAATGGAACCAAGAACAGATGATCATGGATGTAACAGAAGAACAGAAGGCCAAAGGAAAAGACTGAGAAAATGGCATAACATTTTCCATACAGGTCAAGGAGGACTGGGCTTGGGAAGGGCCAGTGGTCTTTGTTGAGGGGGCTGTGAGTGGCCTCTGAGAGGATGCAGTTTCACCAGAGTGCTGGGCTGAGGAGAGAAGGTGGAGCATCACCTCAAGTACACAGTCACCTTTCACAGGCCCCAGAGAGACCCTCAAACTAGCAGATGATACTGCCTGGCCACATCTTACTCTCTCTCTCCTCATGCTGATATTCCCCCATTCTGATTCCTCCAGTACTTTTCTTATTACCCACAGTCCTCTAAGTAGTCTGGGAACTAAGCCCAGTGCTGAGGCCTCTCTACCACCCCTGCTCCTGTGCTCAACCTTACATCTCTTCTGGGGGCCGCCATTCATGGTCTCTCCCTCCTTCCTTCTCTCTCCATCCTCTCTTCCTAATTCCATTAACAGGAAGATTCAACAGTATTTCTGGTCAGCCAGGAAGTCCTTCTTATGGCCTCAGTCTGTTCCATGTCCACCAACCAGGGTAGGCTTTCAGTGCACACCTGGTCAGGCAGCCATCTTACAGGCGCCAGTTACCTAAGATGGCGGCCTCCCTCACCCTCCGCTTCCGTTCCCACAGCCTTGCCTCCTACCCCTGCCTCTTTCTTTCTGAAGCCTCAGCCCAACAAGGTGGGGGGCCAGGCTGGGGAGCCAAGGCCGGAGGAAGCAAGACAAAAAAGGACAGAAAAGCTGGCCCCTTGGCATCTCTCTTTGGCATTTGAGTCCAGCTCAGGGAGGGAGGGCAGAAAGGAAGAAAGAAAGTAGTGTAAGTTTTTATTTCTGTCCTCTTCCTGCCACCTCCCCCTAGTCCCTCCCCCAACACTTTGATGAAAACAAAATCTCTCCCCCTTTTTCTCTTCTCCAGCCCCCCTCCCCTTTTTTCCTGGCTTCTACCATGAGCCTCCTGGAATGTAAATGAACTGTATTATGCAAATGCATGCAAATCAGGCTTAACGAGCGGAAGGAGGGGGCAGAATGCCTAATGAGTAATGGCGGAGGGTGCAGATGGAGGGTGGCAGGAATGGCCCCCTCCTCTTCTCTGTTCCCACAGCCTGGAGGTTTGCTGGAGGTAGCCGGGTGTCCCTCACTTCTGGGAAAGAGTAGAAGGTCAAGGCCCCATCGCTTCAGCTGAGAAGGCCTGGGATGTCCTTGGCTGTGGTAGGTGAGGGGCAGGCGAGCTTGGGAAGAGAGGGGGTTAAGTATAAGGGGCTGGTACTCACTTGCATAACCTTGCCCAGAGACACTGCATGCACCAGCTTCCTTGCCTATGTGGCCTGCCGCTGTCAAAACCCTCAGCTTCCAGTGCTGAAAAGAGGGTGACGCTTATGCATGCCATGGCTTGTGCATCAGAAAGGAGGATTCTCAAGGGAAGATTCCCAGCCAGACCCAGGTTCTTCCTGGGGGTAGGGGTGAAAGCTGCCTCTCTTTGTACTTTGGGGGTGGGGGGGCGGTTGCCATAGCAACATAGCATAGAACACCCACCTCCCCAACATCCAGCCTCAGAGGACCTAGGAGTTGGGGGGGATAATGGATTGACACCCCCGATGCCCCCACCACCTGGCACTGCCAGCCGGAGATGGCAGCATCAAATCCTAGAGAGAATGGCCCCTTTGTTTCTAGGCTCACGGTGTTGGGGAGGCAGGCCTGGGCACACAGAAGGGCCTTTCCCAGGCCCCGTTCCAGTTTGCATGACTCCCACTGGCCTCTGGAGACTCCTTGTGGCCATCCCCTGGCCTCTGTGCCCTGGCAGATGGTTGCCCCCTTGCCTTTTCTCCCATGGGCTTGCCAGCTACTGCTAGGTATGCCCTGTCCCTGAGGCCTTCCCTCCAAACCACTTCAGACAGAGGTAGCAGTCTGTTCCACCTTTTCCTGGTTTTCCTGAACACCTTACATGCCAGTCATGCATCCTGTCCTTTTTTGCATAGGGGCAACCTGCAAACTCCCCCAACCAGCAGCAGGCCCGCTCCACACAACGCAGGCAGAGAGACTCGTAAAGGAGGTATCAGACAGATAGAAAGGGCCAGGCTGAAATTCAGGAGCCTGGATCTTGGCATTTCCGCTAACCAGCTGGGCAACCTGCTCACACCTCTTCTACTCCCATGGGATCTGTAAAATGAGGAATATAGGAATGATGATATCTAAGGCTCATTTCAGCTCTACCTGATCTATACCCTCCGTATCTTACATGACCTAGGTTAAATCATTCTTGAAATATAACCTTCATTCTTCCTACTACTGGGGCAGCCCTTCTCATTCAGACTCCCCAACATGAAGACAAACCCAATTGCCCGGAGAGAAGAATGCCAACTTCCCTCAGCCTTTGCCTCTCCCTGAGACTCCAAAGCTGACTGCAAACAATTCCCACAGATTCAAAAATTTAGAATCTTTGATAGCTAACTGTACAGACAGGAGGGTCCCTCCTAACCCTCTCAAAGGGGGTCAGCACGGCCATTTCACTCACCGCCCGGGAGCTGTCCGTGGTGCTGGATGTGGCTCTATCGTCCACACGGAGGAAGGAGGGTGGGAGGGTGGTGCAGAACCCACCCGCCCCAGGTGAGAAGCTAAAGGGAAGAGAAGAAGCAAAAACATTTGGAAACAGTAAGAAAAGGGAAAGATGATACCTGAAGAATGTTTCTCCTCTCTGAAGACCTCCAAATTGCCAATATTACTTTGAGGAAGGAAGAGCACAAAAGTCATTGAATCTCTGATAATTTAGCTCAGTCTTCCTCTAGATCCTATTTGGACATCCACAGGGAGATGGAATCATAGTCCCTCCCCTTGGGGAAGAGCTCAGATTGAGGTGGGAGATAAAGTACAGACCTCTAAATTCCATTCTAAATGCTAAGGCTCCTACAAGGAATTTAGTAATAATAATTTAGAAGACATACAACCTGTCTGATAGTATTATAGATATCAGGAGTTTGGGAGGAGAGGCGGGGAAAGGCCGGGGTGTGTTTGTGTGTGCACGTGTACACATCCACAGGCATGTGGGTACATGCATACGTGTGTGTATGTGTTTCCCAGGTGGAGAGGTGAGCCTACATCAGTGGTTCATAACCTCAGGTGCACATTAAATAATAATGATGCCTAGGCATCATTTCCACATACTCTGATTTCATGGATCTGGGGCTGGGCCCAAACATCAACATTTTTAAAAAAGCTCCCCAGGTGATTCAGTGCATAACCAAGTTGAGAATCACTGACCTAGAAGAAAGCAGGTCAGAAAAGGTGCAGGGGTGAAGCCTGATTAGCTGGAGGAAGAGGCAAAGCAAAGATCCCTAAAGAAGAAGGGAATGAATAAAAAGGAGAAAGACAAGCATGTAAATCCTCTTTCCTGGGAGCTCCTGGATGGCCCCTAGGCCTGGCCTGGAGAAGAGACTGGCTCAGGTGTTGGCTTGTCTCCTCTGTGCTGTAGAAGCTCAAACCACCCCAAGGCAATGAGACAAACTGTCTCCCCACCGCAGTCCCTTGTGCAGGAAATGGGTGCAATGACCCTAAGGGGGTGCTGCTGCTCCCCTTTACCCAGAGGGTCCCCAGGGAGGCGGCTGTAGAAGGTAAACAGCAACAATGGTCCCTTTCAGTGTCCAGACTCCAACCCTTCAGTCCAATTAGCAGACACAGCAAACAGCAATTCAGCAGCCTTCAGCCCCTGTCATAACAAACTCAGAGCTGCCTTAATGGGGGGATTAGGGCAGGAGGAGGAGGGGGTGTCACTTTGGCCCTGGGAGAGCCTGGGTGGCAAGGAGGGGGTTCCCCCTTTCCCCTTCTCTCTCCTATCTAAATATGCACCCACCCACCCTTCCTTCCATAACTCTGCTCCTCATTCTCCTCAAAGCCCCAAGAATGTTTTTATAGTTTTGTCTGCTTCTCCAGTGATTTTAAAGCATTAACCTAAACTCATGATCTCCTAGGGAAGTCAGCACACCCTGTCTCTGGATGAGACATACTCACCCCTCAAGACCTCTGAGGTCCCAATAGCAAAGGAAGGGAGGTGGGAAGGTCAATCCATACCCAGAACATTGGAGTGAAGGAAGGTGAAAAAATAAATAACCAGATTCCAACTTTCAAACCTTGAACATGCAGACTTCAAGAAAGACTTTCAGACATAGGGGCCTGTGTGACTCTGGTGGGTTACCAACCTTAGGAATCGCACTGGGGACTGGGGGGATGTTGGTTTGTGAGGCGAAGGGAGAGAAGACATCCCTTCTTAAAGTCACTCAATTATGAAGACAAGTCTACATGCTGATAGGCAGGTCTCTATAGGATTTGTTAATTATAGCCACTACCTAACTTGTCCTTTAATTTAATAAACTGTGTTTTTAGTTACTTAGAATCCAGGAGCTTAATGGCATAAACTTGAAATTATCATTTACACATTCTGTATTTATCTATGTAAGTCAGTTTACCCATCCTAAGTGCTGTTACCAATAAGTCTTAATATCCATTAAGGAGAAAGAAAACAACGGCCATTCTGCCACGCGGACTCCAACCTCTTCCCTTTATCAGGCTTCCCAAGGACTGTGCCTCCTCTCCCAAGTCTTCAGATACTTCCTACCTAGGTCCCCAGGAGTCTCACCTTGACTCCCAAAGCTGGAAAAGGAGGAAGTTCCTCAAGTTAAATGTTATGAGATCCTCAGTCAGGAACATGCCAGAGAGCTGCCCTTTTTACATTCTGAAACAAATCATATGCTATCAGTCTTTCCAAACTGTAGCCTTTAACCTTTCTGCAATCTAAGAATTACCGTTTAACCATGAGTGTCATAACATAGTATACGATCTTTTATATAGAATTCTTCATTTTCTGCACACAATAATCCTAAGGGTTTCTTATCCTGATTATACAAATATCTGAATTGAGGCTCAGAGATTTGTGTGCTTGATAAATGAAAACACCCAAACATGGACCTTGGTTTGGTCAAATTTGCTGTTTCTATTTCTGTCTCTCCCACGGCTTGCTGACTAGGATGATTCCTGTGACTGTAAGAACTTATCAACAAAACCCTTTCCATGCCTGGAATTGGGTGGGAGGAGAATTTGTCCAAGAGTGAGGGTGTGGCTGATAATGCAACACTTGGGTCAAATATTTGAGAGAAAATTGCCTTTGGCTTTCTGGACCTAGAATTCAATAGGAGGGTATTAAAATGAGGGGCTGAGGAGAGAAATGAATAAAGAAACCAGCTTACAATTTGGTTTCCAGTAAAAATAGTAGATGTAGCAGTATCTAAAGAATAGAACTGAAAATTCTTAGACACAGGCAGAGGTGTGATTATACAAGAGAGGAAATTTCCTAACTGGTAACTCTGGTGAGGCCTTTCTGAGCCCCTTTTAACACGGCTTCCCTGCACCCCAGTCCCACAGTTCTCCTGTGGGGTTCAGTTGGAGGAGATGCGATCTGGTACAGAGGGGGTGGGGAGAACTCAGCAGTGTCACCGTGATGTCTGCATTTGGTAACCTTCCAAATCCAAGAGTGTCTGTTCCTAGAGTGGATTTATACTTATATGTAGCCAGGTGTCCCTAATATCACGACCGAGCTTCCCACACACCATGGAAGCACATACATCCAACCTCACACCAGGTCACACACCACTCAGTTTCTCACCCTCATAAAGCAGACACACACAGCTCACAAACACAGTCACCCATCACTCTCCTGACAACCCCACCCACACACCCACATGCACACACCATATGCTCACATAAGGCAGACACAAACCCTCACCCCCACATCCCTCCTGGGCTCTATTCCTCCTTTCCACTGAGGTGCTGGCGTTGTAGGGTGTCAGTTCTCAACCCCTCACTTCCCTCTGTTCTCCTTTGGATATCCTGAGGTAGGTCAAATGCACTAATAGGAGACAACAATAATAATGTAAACCCATTGTGGTTACTGATACAGGTTCTAAGTCTCATGTGAATGAGCCTCAGTGGATCCCAAATACACATTTCCAACAAGCTACATGAAAGGCTTTCGTTATTGTTGTTTTTTTGTTTTTAAAGGAATCCTATCTTTCTTGGTGCTTCTTCTCTCATCCCAGCTCCCAGCCCCTGCTCACAGGCAGGGCTTTTCTCTTGGTGCACCCTCCCCCTCCCGTGCCCCATGCCTTCCTTTCTCAGCTCAACCCCATCTTACCCTCCCTGTTTCACTGTCTCTCCAGTTGTTCCCACAGGCAAGTTCAGTAGAAAAAGCACTGGGTTGGGTTAGGCCGGCCAGGGTGGCTCATGCCTGTAAACCCAGCATTTTGGGAGGCCGAGGCGGGCAGATCAAGAGATCAAGAGATCAAGACCATACTGGCCAACATGGTGAAACCCCATCTCTACTAAAAAAAAAAATACAAAAATTAGCTGGGCATGGTGGTACGCGCGCTTGTAGTCCCAGCTACTCGGGAGGCAGAGGCAGGAGAATCACTTGAACCCAGGAGGGGGAGGTTGCAGTGCGCCGAGATTGCATCACTGCACTCCAGCCTGGCAACAGAGTGAGACTCAATCTCAAAAAAAAAAAAAAGGAAAAAGCACTGGATTGGAAACCACTGAGTAACATTAGCAACTCATTTGAGTCCGTGGTTCCTCATCAGTAAAATGGGGTTAATAATGACTATCTCACAGTGTTGAAAGATAAGAGAAAGGGATGCAGGCCCAGCGCCCAGGAAGTAGTGTTAGGAATTATTAGTCCTCGCCTAAAACCTGCTCCCTTTCTCCCTAATCCAGTCTCCACCTGCCCCTCCCCCAGAAAACCCAAATTCCAAATGGCTGAGAAAGTAAGAGGCTACTAATCTCGCCTTCCTCTAAATCTCTAAAGGAAGAAGACATATGTATTCTAGGCTCCCTGAAGCACAATTTTTTTGAGTTTGGATTCTCCAATATTTCTCCCACATAATATATAATTGAATCATTATCTTCTAGCTATAAAATCAGGTCCTGGGAGGAAATGTTAAATTTACACAGGAAACTGGAGTCAGTCAAGGTCATTTTGTCCAGTTCTTCCACCCCCTTATTACTCCTTCCTGCCCCGTGTCTGGGAAGGCCAGGTGCCGGCGTATGGGATGCAGACTTGTAGTAAATGCAGACAGAGCTACTTCTAGCTTTGGCTACATTGACTTCTATTCCACAAAGTGACTCTAGACTATACTACTTTCAACGCACCTAAACACTCTTTCACTTAAAATATTTAGGTCAAGCCAGATAAATGGATTCTTTTAGGAAAGGCCCTGATTAATCTCTCTAATTCTTTGCTTTCTCTGGGCAGCATAGATACTAAGCTACAAATTCCTTTGTGTTTGAGATCCTCAGAGCTTCTTGAGGCCATTTGTTCTTGGAGATGATTTCCAAGACTGAAGATGGGGTGGGAAGGTTGGGTGTCCTAAAAGGCCCCAACTCAGCCCCTCTGGTCAGTAATGACAAAGCAGCATAAGGATCTTTTAAAGAGATTGGCCTCAGGTCCTGGGTCGGAAGGAGGAATGTGAATGGAAATGGAACCGAGATTGCCCTGCACTCCACTGCCCCAGAACCCAGACTGGGCAAAAGGTTCTTCTGCCACCCTGTTTACATTTTTGAGCAACCCTCCCACCCTTGGCACCTTCAATTCTATTTCCTATTTTCACGTAGACACCCTCATCTTCCAACCAAGCTGGATAGCCCTACATGGCTTTAAGGAGCCGACTTAAGCAAAGACCAGTGTTCTCAGGTGACTTCCTCCAAACTCCCCCACCCAGCCATAGCTGTGGACAGCCTGTGGGAAAGTGTTCACCAGCTCCCGCTGGAGGGAGAGGCCTGGGCCGGGAGGCGGAATAACCCTGCAGCTAGATTTCAACTGATTTCTCCCTTAGATCAGCTTCCCAAGCAGTGACCCAGACTGCCAGAAAAGGCCCCATCCTGAGCGGGGACCACCAGAGGGCACCACAATGAGGCTTCCTTGCTCCCCCTCAACTCTGCTGGGGGAAAAATATGGCACCTGGCTGAAGTGAAATGGGACTGTGACTCCTACCTGTGCCGACTGGGGTGCTGGGGGGGTGAAATGTCGCCCGAACCAGTGAGGTCTCTCTCCTCCTCTTGTATCCTCTGGTGCTGGTCAGTCCTCGCGGCTCTAGCCCCTCGCTCAAGCCTCTCCCTCCCGCCCGTGAGGCCGGCTTTCCCCGGGCCCCTCTGCGCAGTGTATGGGGTTATTTTTACTTTCGGTTATCTAGCTTTATGAAGACTCCACACCACTCATACAGCTAGATAACCAAAGATAACAACCAACCCCGCCTCCTGGCTGCTGTCGCCGCCTCTTCCACGCAGCCTCCCGGCCGCCGCCGCCGCCAGCACCTCCGCAGCTTCCCGGTCGCCCGTCAGCGGGAGTAGGAGGGAAGGGACACGAGTGGAGTTGAGGGGGAGGGTGAAGAGAGAAATGAAGTCCGAGACAAAACAACAACAAAAACCTCAGACACGGAGATACAGACACGACAGAGACCGAAAAAGGCGTGGAAAGGACGCGATGACCCGTGGCGTCGAAGTCGGGGAGTTGACCCCGATCCAGACCCAAAAAGTTTCTGGTGCCCCATTTCCCGCTCTCCCATTCGGGCCAGGAGCAGGAGTTCCGCTGGTCCCAGGTGGAAGGGACGCGCGGGCTTTTCGTGCCACCCGGGAAGACCGCAGCGACCCAGGCAGAGGCCTCCCCAGCCTCGCCGGGTCTCCACTGCCCTTCTCTGGAAGATCGAGGGCGCATCCGACAGCCAGAGCCCTGCCTTCGGCGGAGCCCGAGCCTGGCGCGGGATGGAAATGGGGAGCCGCGGTGCCGGCCCGGCCACGTCGCCAACTCAGAAAGGCGTTGGAAGCGAAGCGGAGCCCTTGTGGGGGAAAGAGCCGGATTCAAGAGGCCGACTAAAAGGGGAAATGGGCAGCCAAACCCCGGAGGTAAAAACCCCAGAGATGTCCTAATAGGAAGCAGGGAAATCCCGGCGACCCAAAGAGAGAGGAAAGGCTGTGGGGGGCGGGTGGGGGCGACCCAGAGACTCCCAAGCGAGTCTCTCAAGGAGAGAAGGAAACAGCAGAGACCCCACCCGGGAAGAGATCCGGGAGAGTACCCATGAGAGGGGCGGAGGGGAGGAAAGCAGAGGGCGACAGGGCAGGTGACCAGAGTCCCAGGCCCTGCAGAGCCCCGGATAAACGGCTTTGTTCAAAGAGGACCAGAGATCACCCAGGGTTGTGAAAATGGCCGGGGGTTCGAGGCGAGCGGTGCTCTAGGGGTGGGAAAGGGGTGCGATCAGGAACGGGAAACCGCAGCCCCGAAGAGGGTGGGGGCTCGGCCGGCCCCTCGTGGCGGACGCGCGGGCACGCCGGATTCCGAGGCGCTCGCCCACCTCGTGCTCCACGCTGGCCAGGCCACTTACATCGAGCCCAGGGTGCCCATCCGTGCTCTCCCGCGCGGTCCTCCCGGCCAGTTCCCGCCCCTGGAGCGCCAGGGCCCTGAGTTCCAGATGCCGGGGCTCAGCGGGCGCCGGGCAGAGGAGGCTGCCCTGCTCTTAGCCTCCGCCGAGCCTAGGCGAGCAGGGTGGAGCGGGTCTCACCTCCTAGCTCCCTCCTCTGCCTCTGCCGCGGCTCTGGCCCCGGCGCGCTCCGGCTCCGGACTTTTCATTCATCCTTTCACACTCCCTCCCCAGGCCATCCTCTGATTGGCTCTACCGCGTCTGACGTCACCAGCTCGTTCCCCGCCGGCCCCGCCCCTCCCCCTTCCCGGGCCGGCCGGGGAGCGCAATTGGGGCGCCCCTCCCCACTGGAGAATAGGGATCGGGGGACTACTACGTCTCTGTGCTGATTCTCAGCCTCTTGCTGCCTCACTCACCCCCGAGACCCGCCTGCCACCTCCAATCCATTGCCATTTGTGGTTTTGATCTCCAACCTCACTCATTTTGTAGGTTCTACATTTTCCATTTTGGCCCTAGGTATGCTGCACCAACACCAGGGCACAAAGATGGAAAAGAGGTCAGGTGAAAGCCCCTCAGAAAGAACCAGATGACTGCAGACTCTACTCCTATCGCCTCCTCCCATCAGAATATTCTTTGTGCTTCTCGGGTTCTGATCCTTAGCAGACTGTGATCCTAACCTTTTAGAATGGGCAGGAACCTGTCTTGCTGGTTTTCAACCCAAAACAATGAGGGAAAGATCCTGGAAGTTTGGGATTCCTACAGGGAGATGCGGGGGTTGAGCGGTGCTGAGCCTCCTTTTCCGCCTTGCAGAAACTGGAATATCTCTTGAATGTGTTCGCAGCACCAAAGTTACAGGTAGGGGAGGCTGGGGTGAGGATTCCAGCTGGCATCAGCCGGGACAAGACCCACAGATTTTCATCCAGCCATGGAGGCCCTTGCTAGCGCCTTCTTGCCCTTCCTCAACATGGTGAGACTCTGACCTCTAGCCCATGGTCCAGCTCCAGGTGTCTGGAGAGCTGGGGTTATGGGAGGAGGATCGCCCTCCAGCAAGGTTCCGTCTGGGACTTTACCGACCTGGCTCCTTATCTGGCCCAGCGCGACATTCCTGGCTCGGCCTCTGCGCTGGGAATCAGGGCTGAATAATGCCTAGTCTCAACCTTGAGAGGTAGATACTCGGCGGCAGGCAGGATCCGAATCCCGCTGCCCAGTAGAGCTGGAAGAACGAGCTGTGGGCCCCTACCTGAGCTCTGCCAGGGAGCAGTTCCAATTCCTGGTCCCAAGCCACCCCACCCTTCTACCCACTCTACTCTCCACTGCCTTACTAAAAAAAAACTATGACTCAGATACCTGGAGTCTGTCAGCCAGATTAACCTGGGCCAGCTCCTATAACCAGGGATCCTTGAACACTAGGCCACCAGGGCCGTGCTCCAGGGGATGACCAGTTTCGTCATCAGGCCCCATCGGATTGTTTTATCTGCCTGTCTGCACAGCCCAGGACAAAGCCAAGCCTGAAAGCTGTTCTTGGCTAGATGCAAGCCTGTGGGCAGTGGGTTTAATTCGGTGCTTCCCCCAAAGATTGGAGAATATCTGAATAATCGCTTCCACTGATGTTGGCAACACGACTGCAGGGTGGGGGGCAGTTTGGAATAAGATAAAGCCTGTGAGCCGGGTGTTTCCCTACCAGGATGATAATATGGTGCTGAAGAAAACATCTAATTTCCCAGGTCTCAGGGTGCTCACAAGGCTAGACTTGGCATAGCTTTTTCCTTCTGTCAGTCGCCACAGGGTCTCAAGGCCCTCACCCAAGGGAAAGGCTTTCTAGACGCTTCCACAATGTCAATTTTTTCACCCTCCAGAACAGGGAACACACCAGCCAATGATGAGGAGGGAAGGAAAGAGACAGAGATGGTGTCCCCTCCCTATTTTGCTTCCTCCTGCCCCCTCCCAGGTGCTCATACAGCTTAGAATGAAGCACTCAGGGAGCAGAGCACTGGGGTCCTTGTCTCTGCAGTAGAGTTGCGAAAAAACCCAGAACCCCTCTCAAATATTCTCACAGATAGACTCACCTCCTGATGTGCCGCTAAAGGCATTCCCTAAATGCATACCCCATCAGCCCCTGAAAACTATAGGCTTTCCAGCCATTCCCCTCCGTGACTATAAATCCCCTCAAAGATTTCTCATGAAACCACACCATACCCATTTCTAGGATCCCCAGTACCCTCCAGACATTCCAGCAATTCTAGCTAGGGCCTATGCTTCTCCAAACATACTACCAACTCCCCCTACAAATATCTCCCCATTTGCCCTCCCACAAGATCCCTTAAAAGCACCTTAAGCAAAGCTTCCTCCCTATCCGTCCTCCCCTCACCAGCACCTGGGAGGCTGGGGCCGGTGAGGAAGAGTGGGCTGTTCTGCTAGCTAAAACTCTCCCCTTTCTCCTCTGTTACCAATTTCCAACCAAGTCCTCTGCCCTCTGTGGGGCCCAAGCTTATCACCACAACCCCTTATCCTGGCCTGGGCTGACCAAACAGTGCCGCAAGAGGCAACTGGAATCAGCATGAACCTCCCTTCTCTTTCGGCCACTGCTGTATTTTTATTGGAGTGGGGAGATAACAGAGAGGTGTGGTTTTTTTGGCCATTGGAGGCTCCCCCTCTCCACCTCTATTGGTCAAATTCAGACTCAGCTGGACTTTCTAAAAAACCAAGGTCAAGAGGGAAATGGGTATATTTAGATGTCTTCTGAAAATATGTCTAAATTTCTCCAAATAGCTTGATAAAGAGCAAGATCGCTCTGCCTCTTAATGAGGCTTTGGGTTCTTCATAGTTAATTCAGCCTAAAAGAGTGTCCAAATAAAATGAGGAGAGACCCCCAACAAAGGAAAACAGTGATTAGTCTAAATTGTCCTGGCAGTACCCACATAGAATCCCCATTTCTGTCAAGGTTGCTAATGAAGTAATTTTTTGTTTGGTTTTGTCTGGGTGTGGTTGACAACCCAGTCTCCCACCACCCCTGCTCAAGGATAAAGGTGAGTAGGGCATCTGTCTTTATTCCAATGGAGAAAGAGCTATCAGCCATGAAAGAAGCAGAAAACTCCCCACCATCATGTTAACTGGGACTGGTTTGTATACCATTGTTCCAGTTTCAAAAAAGAAACTACTTGGAGGGTGGAAAATGAGACAGTCTCTCCAGAGCAGGGGCAATTTCACACATATTCTTGTCCATGGTAGCTAACACTATGCCTAAAGCATAGTGGGTGCCCAGTAATTGATCAATTAATAGAGATCTGTGTACCGTGAGTATGTCTGCAAGTCTGCATTTACCATCAGGTAGATTGAGGGCATTACGGATGGGGAGTGAGGGTCTTGGTAAGTTGTATGTTCTGTGGGATCTGTGGGGGAGGCAGAGGGGAGAGTTGTGTCTATTGTGTTGTGGGTCCGTGACTATTTGATCGCTCCTTTGACCAGAGGAGACCCTTCTACTAATTAGATACAGCAGGCCTATAGGAGCATAACAGCTGGAGTAAAATGGGTGCATTAGGTGCCCTTTGGGCTTGGCCCACCAGCTTCAGTATCCCTAAGAAGGTCTCAGTTGGAGTAGTCCCCTGATTCCAGCATACCGCACAGTCAGCTGGAGTGTTCTATAGAGCGATGGACTGCAGACCCCACCCTGAGTTCTTCCAGGGAATTTCTAGGGGGCTGTGGGGAGAGCACATCGATTCCCTGGTGCTGGTGTGAGTCCGCAAGTGTCTTGATTAACCTAGGAGCCCACATTTTTTGCCAGTGCCCGTCCCCACCCCCATCCCTTATAGCCCTGATGCCCGCCTATTGTCTGTGTGCCTGAAGAGGCCCATGTAGAGAAAAACATGGCCCGAATTATGCTCTCTGGATGCAGCTCTTGGATGGATCTTTATAATTCAGATTCCAGAATACATTTTGGCAGTCAAGCACTTTCTTGAAATAATCAGGTAATTAAATAAAAAGCATATATTTTTTCTATGTTCCAATTACCAGATTAATTTGCCTTGAAGACACAGATGAAAGCTGCATTTGGGAAAGGGTGGATTCAGATATTTATTTGTCTTATAAGTGCATCATTATGAACAATATCATACATTTTTTGCTATAGAAATCTGCATTGTCTATGGGATAGTCACAAATAAAAGCAAGAATTAGCAATAAAAAATACTGAGGCTGTGTGAAAAAAATATATATATACAAAATATCTATTCATGTGGGCAGAAAAGGTAGGAGGTATGGAGAAATAATCTGGAGGATATCGTCCCTAAGGATGTCACACTTCTTCCCCACGAGAGAGTGGTATGTTCCTCCTATTGAGGGGCCAGCTTGAGAATTCCTTGGGCTTGTGTAAGTACTGCCTTCCTTGCCTGCTCCCAGTTCTATTCTTGAGCCCACACATTGCTCACTTGCCTGAGAACCTTATGTGTCTGGGAGGTAAGAACAAGGTGGCAGAGATGGTAGAGGGTTGGCTGGTTCGTCCAGACTGAGTCCTTTCTACAAGACCCTCAACCATCAGCAAATGGCCTCCTTAAGGGGCATAAGCATGAGTATGCAAGGGTGCTGCGCATCACACACACACACACGCACACACACACATGCACACACATACACATACACACACGCACACACATACACGCGTGCGCACACACACACACATGCACACATACTCAAACTTATCAACTCAGACCAATGCAATGACAAATCCACTGATACTCCCAGCAGTACCACCTCCCAGTGCTTGCAGTTGTATACCCTGGCATACATACCCACTCACAGTTATTTAAGCTCCTTGGGTCCCCATTTACCATACCCCATGCTCCTCTTCTTTCTCACCTCTGTCACCCAGGTACAAGTATCTCTGTTCCCTTCTCCAACCAATCATCTCCCCCAAGGTCAATTGGCCTCCAACTTTGCCCTCAGGAGCCCATTGGAGAAGGGGAAAGAGTTCCCTGTATCCCCAATGCCTTTCCTCTCTATCACAGAACTGGAAGCAGGGTGGCCTATCATTGACTATGTAGGTCTTTCTACAATTGGAGTAGACCAAAATCAGGGGCCGAAAGCTGGAAGAGACAGGGAGAGGGGTAGAGGGGTACAGAGAACAGGAGAAAACATAAGTGAGACAGGGCCAGTTTTCCTTTTCTTCCCCCACCCACTCCACCATCAGAAACAATAAATAAGAAAATAAATACCCCAAAAGCCATAGGTGGCCACCTACGATGACACCAGAAAACAAATGAGGCTGCTTCTTCTTGGATGCCCAGCTCCTGTCAAGGAGGAGAATGCAAAGGTTAAAGTCCTTTGAGAAGTCCAGCCTTCTTTCCCTGACGACCCCCAGCCTTCCTATCACTCTCTCAGCCACTCCTTTTCTCCTAGTCCTGCATCTTCAGGACCTGGATAGTCTATGTTCCCCTCTTCAATCGCCAGGCTTGAGGCTGCACAGGGGGATAATGAGAAAAGCCTAGACACGCAGGCATGGCCTCCGGCCTGGGCCTCTCAGCTCCATCTCGCCTGGGCAACTCTAACCCAGCCTTATCCTCACAACCTCTCTCATCTCCATCCAAAACCTTTGGGCCCAGGGATTTGGCCCTGTTCAAACAGCCTGTGGAGATCTTAGACTTAAATCCAAGGAAGTAATCTCCTGCCCAATGGACATTATCTCCTTGCAGATTCCTGCTGCCTGGGGTCTATGGGAGAGCATGCTCAGGATAGAATGAAGGAGCTGAGGTTAGGGATATATTTTTGTCTGTCTAGATCTAACGCAGTGTAAACTGTAAAGTGTTATGCACATTTATGATATTCTCAATCATGTTATCTCTCTTGCTTTCTCCACTCATCTCTGTCGTGACCTATCTACTTATCACCTATCCAAGTATATCTCTCAGGATCCTGTAGTGATCAATTTTCTCCCTCTCTTTTTCATACACACAAAAGGTGTGAAGACAAAGCATTTATTTTTTATTAGTGTTGGGTATGAACCCAGTCTCAGCACTTTATAGTCTTATCTTCCCAGAATTTGGCTTTCAGGTTAAATTATGATTTGGGGGAGTGGCATGTATACCGCAGGTGACCTAGCTTCTAAAATACTGTGATAAGTATTTTTACACTTATATGTGTATGTGTGTTTGTGTGTGGGTTGGGGTAAGCTGGTGAATTCTTCCATCTCAAACTCAATTCCACAACTAATTTTTTTAAGTCAGGAAGATAACCTACCTAAACGTAGGAAATCAGAAAAAAGGGGGGCTGGGGAGCAAGGACAAGCCTTACATCCAAGCCTGATTTCTAGGAGGGGTGCTTTGAATGCCCCCTCCCCACTTCTAACACTCACAAATACTCACTTGACTCCCAGCCTCAGCTCTGCCAGCCCATCCATTTCATAAAGGGATGTCTCAGTCTGAAATTATCTTCAAACCAAAGAAGGGGCTACCCCCACCCCACACCAATTTGCTGACATGCTAGAAAACAGACATAAGGACAGTTAGGGGGCCTCTGGCTCCTCCCTCCACCCTAATCAATGAGAGTTCTGGGGTCCCTGGGGCAGTTATCCCCCTCATCACTGATCTCTGCCCTGCCACCCCCCGACAAAGCATACACAATGCCTAGGGGAGCATGTTGATGAAGAACACAGCCCAGCAGGCATGGAACATGTGTGTGCACGTATGATGGCTGGCAGCCTTAGCCTCGCCCAGCAATCTGGCCTCTGGGGTTCCGGGAATAGTCTGCTCCGCTCCAGCCTCCACTACCCCACAATGGCCCCAATCTTGTCTCCCAGAAAGCACAGTGTGGGTGGGGGACTAGGGGCAGGAAAAGTGCTGTCTTTATATATCTCCTGGCCTTCCGTAGGAAAACACACACACACACACACACACACACACAAACACACACACACACACACACAAACCCTCCATTAGATGGGTGTGAAGAGGGCTGGGGTAGGGTTCTCTCCCCTTCGAGAACCTAAGCATTTTCCCTGACACCTCACTTGCCTTTAGGTTCCACTCAGCCCCTTTCCCACCTGCCAGCTCATAGGAAAGGGGGGAAAGGGGAATTAAATTAATCTAAATCCTATAAAATGTTTTTGGATTTTTCCCAATTTTGGTCTCCACCTTTCTTTCATCTGGGGACATCTGGCTCCTTTCCCCCCATGCCCAAGTCCCTCAGACTTTGTCCTCCCCTAAAAGCTGAAGTCTCTAGGTCAGAAAGGAATAAGAGCCAGATGGAGGAAACAAGGTCAGGAGTCCAAATACAGAACCATTTTTTCCCTTCCTTCCCATCTCCACTACAGTTTCCTTCCTGCCTCTCCTCTGGTGCAAGCATTAAGATGTTGGCCATGTCTGGTGGAGAGAAGGGAGGGGCAGATTAATAGGATCAGTAGCACCGTGACCCTAAAGCCCCCCCACAATCCCATTGACAAACTTAGTGAGCTGTCTCCAGCCTGCATGGGCTGGGGGAAGGAGGGGAACCAGGAGACACTCTGGGGCGGGTGGGCAGAGCCACTGCCTTGGGCTCAGCGATAGGTGCCCAGGAGGCTGGAGGTGAGAGCCTTGCTGCCAACTCCACCTCTACACACATGCCTCATCCATTTTGGGGACCCCCCTAAATCTTTTATCAGCCTTTTCTTTCTGTGATGATTTTGCACCAGCCTCCATTAGCCAGTAGGTAAAGTAGGAAGGTTAGGGCGTCCTGACTGATTTTAGGGGATCTCTTCCCACTCCCAGCCTAGATGTCTGAGGGGGCTGGGATCCTCCCTGGACCCGAATGGGCACTTACCAGGCTTCTGTGAGGAGGAGAGACTGTTCGGGTGGCCCCTGCGGCTGGACTGCCTCTCTCCCCCCAGCTCCTAGCCTCTTGTGGAGTGGAGGATGCAGCTCCGATGACGTAGCATCTGTCTATCCATTCAGGAATTTCGCTTGCCTCTCTCTTTCTTTCTCTTGCTGCTCTCCCTGGAAAGGCAGCAAAAAGGGGGTGCTGCCCCTCTCTGGAGACACTACCACCACCACCACCACCAAAATAACAGCCCACTCTGACGAAGCCCCTCCTTCTTCCTTCCAATGCCTGTGTGGGCAGGGGTCTTTGTCACCTCCACTCTGCTTGCCACCTCCCCTGCTGCCTTTTCTAACCTGAGGCAGGAAGAAGGGGCTAAGGGAAGCTATTGTTCCTCCAGGCCACCCTCGTCCCCAAGGGAAGCAAGAGAAAGGGTGTGATGGAAAGACTCGGTCCCTAGTCTCCGAGTTTTAATTCGCTTTGGAACTTGATAGAGTGATTAAGTGGTGTGTGGAGGGTGAGGCGCTGAGCTGATAAGGAGTCATGAGAAGGTGACACAGTTTGCCATTTGAAGGCTTAGGGCATTCCAGGCCCCCCTTCCCAGGCCTCCCCTCAACTCCTATCCCGGTCAGCTTAACTAATCACAAATCCAGATCTTACTTGTGAAGGAGACAGTGACAGTAGGAAGATGAAGGCTGAGAGTTGGAGGGGGCGCATCTTGCGGGGAGATGAAGGCCAGCACTTGGAAGTCTAGACAAGAGAAGAGAAGGGGTGGGACCACAGAGTCAAAGTGGGAGATAAATTATCTTTTTCCTAGAGGAGGGAGAGCAATTTGGGGGTTGGTTTCCAGGGCTGGGGTCCCGATATTTGGTGGAAGCTGGGGCCCAGAATGGTACAACGGTCGGGTCTCTTTTCTCTCTCTAACCCCCATCCTCAGCCCCTCCCTTTTTCTCCCTCCCACTCTTCCTGGTCTGCATGGGAACTCGGTCTGAGCTCGACGTGACAGACAGCAGGCCTGCATGCTAATGAAGTTTGTCTCAAGTTCATTGTCAAAGCCCCCCCTTCCCCACGGCCCCCTTCCCTCCTCTCTCATACACAAATCTCCCTCCAACTTTTGTCCCACAGACCTGGAGGCCACTTGAGTCTCTGCTGGCTCCCCTCTCTCACCCTCCCCCACTGCTTTCAGTCTCCCCTCTCTTCACCACCTCCCTCAACTGGGGGCGGGAGGCTGTCTTCTCCCTGGTGCCTTCCCAGCCACCTTCTGGCCTGGCGATCCCTAAGCTCTGAATGAGGGATTCTGAGGGCTAAGGTCAGAGTCTATAGACCGGGTCCTTCTTTCCCCACCTCAAAGCAGGGAGACTTCAGAGGGGTGAGAGAAGGCAACAGACTCTCCCCACTCAATGTTCTCTGCCCCCCAATTCTCAGTCCTGTCCTGGCCCAGTCCCCCAATTCCAGCCCCGCTTCCCCTCCCCCATTCCTCCCATTATGATTATTTTGCTCTCCCCTTGATTACATCTGCTTCACTAGCTCAGAAATAAAGATCCTTTGAGACTAATTTTGCACCCCCCCATCTCCCCACCCCTTCCCTCCCCCTTCTCTCTAGACCAGGGCTCCCGTTAGCTCCTTTCTCACCGGCTGGAAGACATTGAGTTCCTTGTCTAGGGAGCTGGGGGGTTGATGGGAGGGGGGTGCCAGTGGAATGGGGGGGGGGCTCTGTCCAACTCTGGGACGTGTCCAGCAATCCAAACCTGTCCTTCTTTTGTTCCTGCAAATCTCTTCATACTGTCACCACCCTCTGGAGTCTGCCTTTCTCCCAGTAACCAGGGGATAAGGGAGGAAGGGGAGGAGGATCCTGAACTCACCCCACCCCTCAATTCCAGGGAAAGGAGGAAGGGGGAGAAAAGGGAGAAAAAAATTTAAATCCCCCCCCTCATTAGCCAGAAAGGAAGCGAAAGGGGATAATTATAATTAAAAGCAGACAGCTGTGGATTGCATCTTTTATGTTCCTCCAAGCTTCCTCCCCACTTCTGCCACCATCACCCAAAAATTTGCACAGCCCCCTGTGTATCTTCCCCCTGGTTTCCTTCGAGTGGTGAGTGTGCCAGGAGACTGAGGCATGAGGAGCAGGTTTGGGGAAGAGGACTCCACTTCCTCTCCCGCAGGCAGCGCCTTCTGAAACATCTCAGCAGGCCTAAGAGATGGGGGCTTCCTGTTCCTACCCACCAGCCTGTACCCCAAGGTGCAGGATTGTAGGAGGTGGGGGAATCCAGATGATAATAACTAATTCAATAATTTGGGGAAGTCTGATTTTCCGAAAAATAGCCATAATATTGATAATGAAATTAATACTAAGAATTAAGTAAAACCTAGAATGTTTTCTCATTCAGGCATGTCTTCCCGCCTCCAAAGTAGCTTCAAAACACAAGAGGGGTAGCTGAACGTCTGAAGAGCTGGGATCTGTAAGGGAGTGTGTTCTAACAAAGAGAGGCTCATAGGTTTAGAGTGTACATAAAATGCGCACATATACATACATATACTCCATGATTTTGGGGGTGGTGTTGCTAGGCCTAGCTCTGCTATCCTATGTATTTATAGAACTTGATCATAGGCCAGAACAGCAGGGTAATTATAGCGTTATTAGCATATATGCAAATCAGGTAACCTATATACGCTGAATGGAGACAGATTATTATTTATTTCTCTCCCCCTTTCTCCTTCCCTGGTATCAGCTCTGGCTCCTCAGAGCCGCACACCAGCAATTATCTGACATTATAAGAGGGGGTTGTAGCCCTGGAGGAGGGGGCTGAGGGGAGTAGGACAGAAAAAAAAACCTAGGGGCGGGAGGGTTTTATCTCATTTTACTCAATGTTATTCTGGGAAGAGTGGGGAGGAGCTCAGTGAGAAGCCTTTGAATTAACAAAGGCTAATTCCAGTCGGGGGCGGGGGGGCGGGCAGGAGGGGACAGACAGAGACCTGAAAACAGAGACAGATGAAGCCAGAAAAGCTTCGAAGCAATGACAGAGACAAGAGGGACAGAACTGCAGCTCACAGAGAGTAGGGGAACCAGAGATAGAGTCACAAACTCACATAGAGCACATAGAGTGAGGCACAGAGAATTCAGATCTGGCAAGAAAACAAGGAGCTGTTTATTTGGAGTTGGAAGGGATGAGCTCTCCAGGTTTATTCGGCACGGGGCCAGGATGGGGGCCACCCCATGTTGGTTTAGAGGCTGAGTCTGAGTCTTAATCCAGAGCCCATTCCATATTATCAAATCCTTTCTCCTTTTCCCACCACCTAGTAAATGGCCATGGGACCCCAAGCAGTGGCTTTTGGTGTGTTCATGCATTCATTCCAACCAACACATGACGAGCAGAAACCACGTGGACATGGTCCGACTCTGGACCCTCCTTTCTCCCACCAGGATTGAGCCGCAAGCCCCTCCTCTTCCTTCCAGGTTAAGCTACCTTCTGTAGGTTCATTCTTAGGCTCCGCAGCCGGATCGCCACAGGGTGCCTCCGTATCTAAGGAGTCGCTTCACTGCCTACCTTTTCGTACTCCAACCCTCTCTTACTCAGACATTATTTATACCAGGTCCGTGGTTGGGAAGCTAGGACCTTCACAGTTTTCCTTCTATATTGTCCTAGGGACTTGCTTCCACTGAGTTGGGTACCTTTTCCTCTGCCTGGCTGGGTGGTTCTGCTGGCCCTTGGCACCAATGAGGCACTGGGGTTCCAGCACTCCACCATATCCTTCTGTCACTCCACTCCCCAGGTGGATTAACGGTGTATGTATGTCTGTTTGACTGACCCCAAAACTAGATAGATGCTGGAGATAGCAGCATCTCCATCAAGTTTCAAATGTCTCTCTCCACATCCCTGCTTGCAACGCAGCTATCTAGCTACCGCCTTCTCAGAAAAGCCTTTGCCCATCTGAGCCAAACTTCAAAGAAGGCAATACTGGGGAGAGGTAGGATTATTGAAACTGTAGCAGTGTCCAGGGACTCTGAGTGGCGTAATGAAGAAGGGTCCCAGAAAGAAATAAAGAGATAGACACCCAAAGAGGCAGTGGCTAAAAGACTAAAAGGAAACAACCTTCAAGTCTATACTTGGATTTTTATGCAAAAATGGAAATTTGCTGTCATGTATATCTATATAGACCAGCAAGATGGATGGGCTTTATCACTAATGACATCTGCATCTATGACGTGCTTTTGTATTTATATTTGCTCCTAGGTCTGACTGCTTCTTGTTCTTTCTGGCCATGTCTCACAGAATAGTAAAAGAGCTGAAGAGATAGGGAGAGAAAGACAAATTGAGCACAGAAAGAAACTGAGAGGGGCAGAGACTTAGAGTCAGAGACCTGTAAGAGTGAAAGAGAAAGGTGCTGACAGTCATCAGAAACCTGGTCAAGGATAGGGCAGACAAAGAGACTGACAGCCAACCCCAGGGGCCAAGCTTTCCACTCTCCGTCCCATGTTAGAGACCTGGTATATGGCCCTCCCTCCTGCCTGCTTCTCCCCCAGGCTCTGCCAAGAAATTGGCAAATATATTTGCAACTTCACCAGGCACATTTCTCTGCAAGTGTCATAGTATAATACTCTGGAGTCATTTGGACAATGGATGGGCTCCTCCCTGGGCTGCGCCATAGAGACCTCTCTCCACTCATCCTGGCCTTCTAGGATGAGGCTCACCCAGCATTTCTCTTTTGACCTATGTACTTTCCTACTTCTGCAGCTCTCCTGTATAAAAATTAAGCTCCAATCCTATGGAACTCTGTGTGTGCACAAAAATATCTCTTACCCTTATATTTTCTCCTACAAAATTCATCTCCCTGGCAATCCAGTTGGACATCTGTGGCCACACACTGTCTGCGTCTTGCCGGGCTTGGTTGTTGGGACCTATCTGTGTGTACCACAAACAGGTTTGTGTTTTTACCCAGCATAGTCTGTGCATACAGATACCTGCCTGCAGACAGGCTCCATCATCCGCCATGCAGGCCTGGCCACCACTTTTACTGCTGCTGTGGCTGAAAGCATCTTCCAGAAATTCTGAGGACACAGCCCAGACAGCCGTTTACCACGGGGTTCCCCTTTAAAGCTACCCAAATCCCCCTTTTTGGTGGCTTGATTACCTTTCAGGTACATATAGTTCTCCCATAATCCAGCCTCACCACAATGTTCTCATGGCACCAAATGACTCCCTCTGCCCTGGAACGGAGACCAGACCTTACCACAGACACATAGGCTAGTGTTCCAGCTTGATAACGGTACCCATGAGCTGGAAAGAGATTTTCAACTTTACATCTCCTTAGGTGTAGATTGGTATCTGTATTTGTACACATGTGACGTTTATTCCTAGAACCATATACATCTCTTCTGCTTGTTTTCACATAAATAACGGTCTCTATGTGGGTACTGGCCAAATCCTAGCACCGCGTACGATGCATGTGGCACGGAACACATACTGGCACATGTATGGCATGTCTGCTTCATACTCTGTACCCTGGTGCCATTTCTTGGTGCAGTACTGGTATCTGCTTCAAATAGGGTTCTGTAGGTCTGATGCTCATTTCTGGGGCTCAGGCTCTTAGATTTTGGCTGCATCCCTCAGCTAAACAAGCAGCCAGTGTGGGAGCCTCGGCAACCTCAGTCCAGGCAGAGGTACTGAACTCTGGGGGGCTGTATTTATAGTTGCTAGGTTACTGCTGTGCCCGCTGGTGAGACCAGGCAGGTCCCCTTCCAGCTGCCCGACACTGGCCTAAGAGTCACCACCTTGATGGACTGAGTTGGGCTTAAAACACCCCGCGGTGGCAGAGTGTTGGCAAGTAGGCTTACGTGTCTGTGTGTGGTGTCTATCTGCAATGTGCAGTCATATGTATGCTGTTCTCGTGTATGTGTCCCGTGATCATGTGTATGTCCACACTCTGTGTTTTGTATGTGTGTGGTTTGGGGCTGCGTGTGTGTGTGTGTGTGTGTGTGTGTGTGTGTGATATTTGTTATGCGTGTGTTTGTCAGTGCGTGCTGGGTGTGCCTGCGCCCTTGAGTTGGCGGTGAGGCTCACGGGTAACTCGGTGGGTGTCTGTGTGGTTCGTGCACGATGGCCTGCAGGCCCCTGAGTCTCAGTGAGCGTGGGCCTGCGGCCTCCGTGGGGACTGCAGGTCTGGGTCCTCTGTGTGCCCCGGGGCCAGGCCAAAACCAGGCTGGAACCCGCCGGCAGGGCCCCCGAGGCGCCTCTGCCTGCTCTCTCCGTTCTTGCCGGCGGCAGCGATTCGGACTCCCGCTTTCGACAAAGTCTCAGCTCCGCAGCAGCACCCGGCGCGGACTCGCTGGGCGCGCGGACTGAGCTCCGGGTGGAACCAGGACCCTCGCGCCCTCGCCCTCGCCCTCGCCCTCGCCCTCGCCCGAGCTGGACCACCGCGAGCACCGCCGACGCCAGCCGCAGAGCCGCGGGTGCGCGGGGAAGAGGAAACGAAAGCGCGGGCTCCGGAGCTGAGGTGAGAAGTGAGCAGAAAGTGAAAAGAGAATCCATCGGAAACAGATAAAAAAGGAAAAACAAAACCCACTCGAAAAGAAAGAAAACGTTACAACAAAAAGGATAAAGTAACGCTAAATGAAATAAAAAGGAGACATACTAAAAACGTTAAAGTTGTTAAACTAAGTGATAGAAAAGGCGAAGAAACAACAGGGCTAGGAAAGGGCTCCGAGGCGCCCGCAGGGAAGGGGGCCCTAGACGGGGCGATGAGGCTTTTGGGAGCCTCCGGCCGCGGGCGCGGCGGGGTCCGGCGGGTGCGCAGCGGCCGGGGCTCCTCCGCGCGCTGCCCGCCGCCGGCACCCGGCTCGGGCGAAGAGCCGGCTGGACGGTCAGCCAGCCCCACCCACAGAGAGTCGCGGGAGCCCGAGGGCCGGGAGCTGCGGGACTCCTTCGCCCCCACCTCTGCCGCCCGCCGAACCCGACCCCGGGAAATCCTCCTAGCCGCCGCCTCCCAGCGCCGGGTCTCCCCGAGCGTGTGCTCTCGGCTGCGAGGCCCTGCATGCGCAGTGTCTGGGTTCGCGGCGTCAAGCGGAGCCTCGGTCCAGCCTGGGCAGCCGAGAGCGCGGGGACTGCTGAACGCGGTCCGCTCCCCGCCAGCCGTTCGGGACCCCAGCCTGGGGGAAAGCCGACAGCGTCCCTCTCCGCGCAAACTCCACGCGGCAGCCTGGACTGGGATGTGGGGCCAGGGGGCTGAATAATTAACAACCAGGAGAAGCCGGGGAGAGCGGGAAGCCTGGCAAGCCAGGGAAAGGGAAGATGAGACAGAGAGACATAGAGAGACAGGGACAGAGGGAGACAGAGAGGGGGCTAAGAGCGACGCGGGCGAGAGAGGAAGAAAGGCTGGGGAGAAGGAAAAATGAGATAAATAAAGGAAAAAAGAGAAGCGAAGGGCGGTGGGAGAGGCAGCCGGGCCTCTCTGGGAGCTTAGCCAGAGGCGCCCGTACCCCCCTCCCCTGCGCGTTTGCTGGGAGCCGCTCCCTTTCCCTTTTCTTTCCAAGCTGCCGAATTCTGTCCCTAGACGCTACGTTCCCAGTAGAGGGTAGGGCCAGGATCCAAAGATGCCGACCGTGGCCGTGGCTCTCTGGAAGCAGGCAAATGGGATGGAGAATCTGTGGGCTATAGAGAAGCTGTGACATTGTAGGGCACAGAAAAAAGGCCTCCGAGAAGGGTCCAGCCAGCAGACCCCCACCCCCCAACCCCCGGATCCAGGGCCGCTTCTGGAATCACATTAGGGAGAGGCTGGCCTGGTTCAGAGCTCGCCCATCCTAAACAAGATAAATAAATAATTCCCCGCTGGCCTCAGTGTGGGAGGAATCAAAGAACCAGAACAAATACCTCCCACAGCCTCCCTGCCCACCCTCCACCCCATCCCCGGACAGGTGGGGAAAGGGCTGCTATGACCAGCTTTGTGGCCTTGGTCAAGTCACTTCCTCCATCCCTTTTTGCCTTTATAAACGGAGAGCCTTGGGCTGGAAGCCATGGAAGTCGCTCCAGTGGAAAGACGGTCAGAGCTGGGAATGAATGGGACGTAGGAGTCACTCCAAATGAGACCAACCCAGATTTGGTGGGTCAGTTAAGCTCATCCCAGAACATTTTGGACCTCGTAGGTAAACATATTGTGTATTAATGCGTGGCTGGGTGTGGGCCAATCTGAAAGAAAGCAATCGGCTGAGTGGGTGGGAGGCGAGGAGTGGGCTGCTTCTGTGAGAGAAGCCCAGGAGAACAGGGAGCAAGAGGGCTTCCCAGGAGGGTCCCCGACATGAGATCAATGACCAGACAGGGTGCTGCGGCAGAAGAGGATGGCATAAAGGCCAGACAGCTTGGTGGAGGGTGCTGGTGCTGGGAAGAGCACAGTTTGAGGCTGGCCGTGTGACTCCAAGCCAATTAAACTCTCCGACCTCCTTCTGAACAGGCAAAATGGAGGAGCGGAAACCAATTTCCCTGGGTTGTGGTAATAAGAACTGAATAAATTAATATACCTGCTTGGCTCTTCATGGATAAGAAATCGGTGTGTGTGTGTGTGTGTGTGTGTGTGTGTGTGTGTGTGTATTTCCAGTTCAGGAATGTCACGTTCATATTGTTATATCTTCTTGTTTGGGGTGGTGCTGAGTGGAGGACGTGTGAGGAATGGCTGTATTTTGCTGCCTGTCACTCTTGCCTTCCTGTTTTAACCAGTCTCTGAATCCCTGTGTCAGACTCAAATTATTGCAGATAATTAAATATATAATATGAAGCGTTGCTCTTTTTAAAAAGACACTGAAATAAAATAAAACATCCCTCAATTCATTGAAATAGCCGCAATAAAACACTGTGGAAGTCAAATGTTTCCTGGAGCCTCCACCAGTTACCTGCTGCATCTTTTACAGTTAAAGTTAACACACTCAAAAGGGATTGTATTTCTATCTGGAATTGAGTAATTGGTACTGCCTTTCTGTCTGTCCAACCCCACCCCCACTTTCCTTATTTCTGTGCTTTATTTTCAGAGAATTAAGGAGATTCTATGTATGGAAAATGCATATTTTGACTGTTTTGGTTTTAATAGCCCAAGTTAAACCTATAAATTTAATACAATTCCAATAAAATGCCTGTTCAAGGATAGATACGTAACAATGAAGTTTTGGAAGTGACTTGAATGCTGAAAAGAATAAACAAGATGTTGTGCAGGAAAGGAAAAATTTAGACATTTATGAACATGAATAGATGTCACAGCGTAATGTTGAGTGAAAAAGTTAGAAGTTAATGAGAGAAGTAGCACTATTCTATTTATGCAGATAAAAAAAATACGAAATACACATATAGTATTCGTAGTATGTTTGCATATTTGGGAGAGACAGTCAAGGAAAGAAAATGCGTGTGTGACCACAGGAAATGAAAGCGTAGGCAAGAGGAAACGTAAGTCTTTGTGATGGAAGATGATAGACTGAAGAAAGGAAAAAACTGTGAACTAAGAGTCAAAAATAGTCAAGTTTCAGTCCTGGCTCTGTCACTTACTAAACTGGGTGAACTTAGGCATGTCACTGACCCTGTTTTCCAGTCTTTTGAATGCCCTTCTCATTCAGTTGTTGTGAGATCTAAATGAAATTCTATTCATCAAAGTTTCTTTATAATCTACAAGTGCTTTATGAATGCACGATATCATATGTACTGCAAATAACTTATGTGACCCAAACTACATCAATGCGTCCTACCACACCACGCCTCATACTGAATGGGCCTCCCATATGCCCCATCTCTGCGGCTGGGATCTCCAGATGGAGGGGATCCGAGGCCTGGAGGCGCCTGGGCTGTGGGGGATGGAGGTGAGGTGAGAGTGTGGAGGGTTGGGCAGCATGGTTCATTATCACCTTATCTCCCTTTTCACATGTTTCAGCCCTCACCCACCAGCAGTTTGCCCCTTCCCCCTACTTGGCGCTTTCTCTGCCTGGACTTGACATACATGGTGAGTGGAAGAGTCCTCCTGGGCTGTGGGCTGTAGCATTGGAGGACAGGGGGTGAGAAATGGACTGAGATTACAATGGAAGGGATATTATTGGGATTCTAAGAAGAATTCTGACCTTCCAAGGCAAGAGACCCAGTAATATTCTCTCCCCAGAGAAAAGTCCCCTAACACCCTGGGAATGCAAAGGCCTGGGGCAGGGGGTGGTAGAGAAGACACCCCAGCACACCCGAAAGAGGGGGAGGGGGAAAGGAGAAAAAAGAGGCTTGAGAGGGCACAGGGAGAATTCTTATTTCTGTGCTCTCTCAAGAGGAGAGGGGCTTGCATTGCGAAGCTAACGAACTTCTTCCCAAATTCTCTGTGCGGGATTTGGCTGCTCCCAGAGGGGGGTCCTTTCTAACAAGGTGCCCCCGGGCCCTGCCCCTCCCTCCCCAGGAGCTGAAGCCGCCAAAGGTTCGTGGAATATAATGGATCATTTTCCAATTTACCAGGGTCTTAGAGATTACGCCGCTAATCCCATCAAAGACCATCTGCTTACATTGTCCCTCCTGAGCCAAAATAAATAGATCCTTTACTCCCTCCACTTCAACTCCTCTGGGGTATTGTAGCAGGAGAAAGTTCGACAAGGCCCATCCCATTTCCCCCTCCCTCCCGCTGAGGGCTGGACAGAAAAGGAGAAAACAAACTTAGCTTGTCTGAGGTGTGAAAGGTCACTTACGATCCTGACCTGCATTCTTCTCGGGAGCCTGCGACGATGGGAATTGGGGAGAGGGGCGGGCCCCGGGGCTCTGGAGGTCTCTCAGGATCAGCCCCCTGCGGAGGTGTGGGACAGGCTGTTCCGTGCCCCACCATCCTGCTGTCTCTGCTCTGAGGCCACCTTAGCCCCAGCCCATTTTTGGTCCCTTTCGAGTCTTTCTGAGTTTCTTCCACCTATGACTGTTGGGAAATAATTATTAAAATCTAATTTTCATCCCTCCCTTGCCAGAACTGTGGGAAAAAGGACACGAAAATCCACATAAACACTAATTTGATTCCATCTAAGAGTCATTTGTTCTATAGGCTTTCCACATTTCTTCTCTTATTTCTTATTACTCTGTTGCAGAAAGGGGCTTCGTAAATGGGGAAGAGAGGAGCTTGGGGGAGTGCCTTCTAGCCCAAGGTCTCGGGGAAGTTGAGGACTAGAACCAGGAGTGTGTATGTGCAAACTGGGCTTCAGAAATTAGATTATGCACATTATATATTAAAAGGTGATAACCGCTATGGACGACAAATGAAATGTAAAACAGCATAAGGGGATGGGGTGGGGCCTCATTGAGAAGTCGGCATTGGAGCAAAGACTTAGAGGAGATAAGAGAGTTATTCGCGAGGAAATCAGGAAAAAGTTCCACACACAAAGAACATCCAGTCTCTTCTCACTGTTTCCTTCCATCTTGGCTGCCTCTACCCCATTTTGTTCTTCAGTCATCATTGTTAGCAGCTGTTTTCTAACCTGTTCACGAACTAAAGGGGCTTCCAGCAACCGTCTTATCCTTTGCAGGACAATCTGCAGGGGCAGGTCTCCCAAACTCTGGCAAACATGCCTGTTGGGGATGACTCTGCCCTAGACTCATCTGGTCTCCCATAAAGACACGTTTTACTTTAGAAAAGCAGCGTAGGGTGGCAGAAACAACATAGGCATCGGAGTCAGGAAGATCTCATTTTGAATGAAGCCCAGCTCTGCTACTTATGAGCGATGTGATCCTGGGTATGGCTCCTGGACTCTCTGGCTCTCCATTTCCTCATTGTAAAACAAGTATCATGCCTACCTCATCAGGCTGCTGGGGAAATGTACAGTTCCTGGTGGGTGCTCTGCACACAGCACTGTGTGAGATAGAGCAGAGAATGGGCCCCAAACCATAGAGAAGTTAGAATTTGCTTAAGAAATTCAACAGGGATATGTAAAGCACTGCATTTAGAGACAAAATATAAATTTTCTAGTTACAAGATTTGTTCATTTGACAAGTGTTTGCTGGATGACTCTATGGACCAGGCACTAAGGGACATAAGGGGAAGGAGACATCTGCCCTAATTAAAGATCACAAATTATTGCTCAGAAAATATAGATAGAAATTCTATGGAGAGAGAAAGAGATCCTGTTCAATGGGGGTAATGTAGAATCGGGAAAGGTTTCACCAAAGAGTTGGGCATGAGCTGGGTGGTCTTTGAAGGAAGGATAGGACCCAAACATTGAGACAGTAGGACAAAGCAGTGCATGTGAGAGACCAGGCTTGACAATGATGCATATCGGAAAGACCTGAACATTTAGGTAACCATAAGCTCAGTATGAGCCAGTAACGTGATGGAACTGCTAAGAGCTAATGTGGTCTTTGGCTCTGGGAAGAAGAATCACATTCCAGTCAAGAAAGCTGAAGAGTGTTACTGTACTTGTAACTGACTCCATCTGAAGCAAGATACTGACATGTAAGAGAGCACTGAGAAGAGGATTAACCAAATGTCCAAGGGGCTCTGCCATATATAAGGGATGTGGCCGTGGGCAGGTTACTTCTTCTCTCTCATCTTCATTTGCCTTATCAATAAAATCAGAATGAAGTTTATTGCGCAGGGTTCATAGTGAGGGTTAAATGAGATTGTATGAGAATACCTACTAAAGTGCCTGGCACATGGGAAATACTTCAAATGATTCTTGAAAAAGAAGTCTTCATTAAGTGAAGAATTACGAACAAACTGATCTTGGAGCTGTGGTACCTGTCTTTAACTATTTAATGGGCAATCCGCATAGAAGAGGGGCAGACTTATTGAATCGTACAGGAAAAGAATCAGTGAGTGGAAATGAAAAGGAACCGCATTAGGGTTTGGCATAAAGAAGAATGTACAAATGGTCAGAAAAGACCAAATACAGAGAATGTTTAGTCAAGAACAGCCACCAATTCTTGGTGATTTTAGACCAAGATATAGAAGAATGAATTTCTGTTTTGAGTAAGTGATTGAACTACCTGATTTCTTAGCGGTATGCGCCGGTAGTCCCAGCTACGCTGGAGGCTGAGGTGAGAGGGTCGCTTGAGCTTGGGTGGTTAAGGCTTCAATGAGCTGAGATCACACCACTGCACTCTAGCCTGGATGACAGAGCAAGACCCTATCTCTAAATAAATAAGTAAATAAAATAAAAAATAAAATTTGAACTAGCTGATTTCTAACATTCTTTCCAATGTCAAAGTTCTAACACAAAGCAGTGAATATGTCAACTTACATTAAAAATTTTAAGCTTCCTCAAAGTTTCACGAAGGCAGGGATCATGGCCATGTGGTCCATTTCTCCATCAATGGCCCAGAAGAGTACTGGGCATATAACATGCATTTGATAAATATTTGTTTAATGAATAAATGAATGGAATAAATAATGCATGTCAAAGTTCTTGTACACTGGAAAATACTGCAGATAGTTATAAGTAGCCATGATAATCACTGGCTTTTTTTTCTTTTTCTTTTTTTTTTTTTTGAGACAGAGTCTTGCTCTGTCACCCAGGCTGGAGTGCAGTGGCGCGATCTCGGCTCCCTGCAACTTCCGCCTCCCAGGTTTAACCGATTCTTCTGCCTCAGCCTCCCGAGTAGCTGGGATTACAGGCGTGTGCCACCGCATCCGGCTAATTTTTGTATTTTTAGTAGAGATGGGGTTTCACCAGGTTGGCCAGGCTGGTCTCGAACTCCTGACCTCAGGTGATCTGCCCGCCTCAGCCTCCCAAAGTGCTGGGATTACAGGTGTGAGCCACTGTGCCTGGCTGATAATCACTGACTTTTTTTAGTGTTCTGTTACAAGTGCTTTATATGCATTATTATAAAGACAGTGTTACAGGAGCTCGGTGTAAAAAGCACAATGCTCACTACTTCTCCTCCCCTACCACGGGAAGAAGGGAGATCTGGAGGAAACAGGAAAGACTAGGAAATTACCATCCACAGAAAAGAGGACAGAGGGTAAGACGGTGGTCTTGGTTCCATTGTGCTAAAGGCAACTGGGAGGGGCATGGCTGGGCTGCATATCCACTGATGCCTGCTAAAATAGGACGCTGAACAGAACAACTTTAGGAATGGAGATGATACAGAGAAGCGATTTTGTCTTAGAGTTACAAACCCAAGCAGAGTGAAGCTAAGAAGGTGGCATCTTTCCACTGGCGCTATGTTCATGACTCAGAAGTCTTGCATTATGGTGGCGAAGGCATAATCAACTCCCTGTAGCCGTCTACTACCTCAGTAAATTTTTAGGGTTTCCTGACTGAGACAGAATTTATTCAAAGGCCCTTGGCTTTTGGCAGTGCTTTCTCTCCTGTATCAAAGAACCAATACTTGGTCAAAAAATACAATGAAGAGTTTCCAGTAGTTAAACAGCCTGATTTCTGCTTTGCTTTTACTTTGCTGAGAAGGGCTATAGTCACAGTCTCTCTCTCTCTCTCTCAATAAATGGGAGGAGAGGGGTCTGTGGTGTCCTGAGGAAGAAATGGGTGAGGCAGTAACTTCCCCAGGGTACTATTACTCAATTAAAAAAAAAAATCTAGACCAGGCGTGGTGGCTCGCTCCTGTAATCTCGGCACTTTGGGAGGCTGAGGTGGGGAAAATCACCTGAGGTCAGGAGTTTGAGACTGGCCTTGCCAACATGGTGAAACCCCGTCTCTACTAAAAATACAAAAATTAGCGGGGCATGGTGGTGTGCACCTATAATCCCAGCTACTCAGGAGGCCGAGGCAGGAGAATCGCTTGAACCCAGGAGGCAGAGGTTGCAGTGAGCCGAGTTCGCGCAACTGCACTCCAGCCTGGGCGACAGCAAGACTCCGTCTAAAAAAAAAACAAAAACAAAAAACAAAAAAACAAAACAAAAAAAAAAGAAAAAAAGAAAAAGAAAAAATAAATTCTGTCATCAGATCTTTCCCCAATCAGTGTAGATTGGGTAATCCTATCTAAATGCCTTCTCACCCTAATCCAGATTTCTCATGCAATGTTCCCATTTTTTTTCCTTTCTTATGCCCTTTTTGGAGCCAGAGAACTCTAATTCCACGGGCTATCTGAAAAGAAGAAACCCTAGGTAATATGTATTTGGCTCCCCCAGGTTTTCTCTTCCTTGCCTGCTTCAATGTCTTTATCACTGAAGAGAGTGCATCATTTGAAAAGACAGATATAGAAGGGGAAAGGGTGCTTAAAGTCTGGGGAATACAGAGGAGGTGCCCCTCCTGGGCAGCCCCTGGATTGGAAGAAGTTCTGGTCTCTTGGTTTGTTGCCTTGTGCCGCCACCTAGTGTCCCAAGACCTTAAAATATCATACCTATATTTCATTCATTCAGTTTCATTTATTCACTGATTCTTTCCATCTTTCAGCAAAATATATTAAACCTTCCCTCTAGCCAACTATGGAGGCAAGTTGCCCTACCCCTCCAGTTGTTTCTAGGAATTCCTGTTGTCATTCTGTTCTAGACAGTTCCCTTGCTGTCCTTTGCTTTTTGTGAAAAGAGACTTTAACCTTTCTCTGAATATTCCAGGTAAATTTAATTCTAGTACTTCTTGCTATGGTTCAGACTCATTCCCTTCTGTTAGTGTAAGTGGAGACTAGGTGCTCTGTAATCCCTTCCTAACAATCCATTTCCAGTCAAGGCTCTGGGTGGATGAGAGTGTCCACTGAAGACAGCAGGAGGGAGAAATGACACAGTGTGAGGTTAGACAATGCTGTCACCTATTTGACACTTTATAAAGAGGGTCTGTATATGTCAGGATATTTCATTTTTACAGCACCCTACTGAGGTTCACAGGGCATGTATTAGCATTCCCATTTCACAGGTGAGGAAACAGGCTAAAGAAAGTCAATAGCTGGGCGTGGTGGCATGTGCCTGTGGTCCCAGCTACTTGGGAGACTGCGGTGGGAGGATCACCTGAGCCCAGGAGGTTGAGGTTGTGGTGAGCTGAGTTTGGGCCACTGCACTCCAGCCTGGACAACTAGAGTGAGACCCTGTGTCAAAAAAAAAAAAAAAAAGAAAAAAAGAAAAAGAAAAGAAAAGAAACAAAAAGAAAGTCAAGCAGTTGATTGACAGGGATGTAATGGAAAAGCTGAGCAAGTAACAGGTCTCCTGGCTCTCATTCAGGGTATACGTCTTTTTTTTTTTTTTTTTTTTTTTTTTTTTTTTTTTTTGATGGAGTCTCGCTCTGTCACCCAGGCTGGAGTGTGGTGGCATGATCTCGGCTCACTGCAACCTCCGCCTCCCGGGTTCGAGCGATTCTCCTGCCTCAGCCTCCCAAGTAGCAGGGATTACAGGCGCGCACCACCATGCCCAGTTAACTTTTTGTATTTTTAGTAGAGACAGGGTTTCACCACGATGGATGGCCAAGCTGGTTTTGAACTCCTGACCTCAAGTGATCTGCCGGCCTCGGCCTCCCACAATGCTAGGATTACAGGCGTGAGCCACCGCGCCCGGCCGAGGGTGTATGTCTTTACATCGGGCTGTCCAAAATAAGAATGGAAACCTAGAATAGAAAGCTCCTCCCAGGCCGGGAAGAGAAGACAGGCAGAGGGCAGCGGTGTCACAACAAGCCGTGCTCCAGAGGGGAGTGGATATGGCCTGGAGAGCGAGGAGGGCTTTTTCCTGCCTGAGAGGTGAGTGAGACTCCTTCTGTGGCACAAATGCTCCTCCTGGTGGCCGCACCAGGCTATGGCAGGGAAGAGGAAACGAAGGAGGCGGGCTGGAGGGGCTGAGCTGGGTTGGGAAGAAAGTCCCGGAAGTAGCATCATTTAATCGACATTGATGTGAATTTCCAGAAAGGCCGACATATTCATACTCAAATGTAAACAGATAAAATCCAGTTTGAATGTATTTTATTTATTCCCATGATTACTATTCCTATTATTAAGCTCTTAATCTTTACTAGGCACCTTTCTAAGTGTTTTACTTGCATCTTATTTAATCCTCACAACTCCATGAGAGGTTAAGCAATGGGCACTGAATCACACAAGCAGAAAGTGGTGGAGGCAGGACTTGAACCCAGATCTGCATGACTTCAAAGCCCAGAACACGGCTTCCCTCTTCCCAACATTCAGGACAGAACTGACTGTCAAAGTAGGCAAAATTTATTTATGTCAGAATCCAATGGAAAAAAATAGTCTCTCGTTTTAGGGGTATCCCTGATGTATTCCAGCTTCCAAGTACTGATTCCCTCCTAAAAGGCAATTCAGGTCAGACATACAGCACAACAGCTCACCTGACAGAACCTGGAATGCAGAAGTGGAAGGATTAGCAAGAATGGACCAAATGTTTGATTAATTTGAATCAGTCAAACTAAAATTGGTACATTGTACATGCCTACTCTGGACACTGCTTAGTGGGGGAGATAATGTTCGAGATACAGAGATGGCTAAGAAATAGTCCATATCCTCTGAGAACATAAAAGAGTAGAGGGGGAGACAAACATTTACAAAAGTATCTCTGAGATGAGGAAAAATATGGTTTAAAAAAAGGCAAAAATACTAAGAGTGGGAGTTGGAAGAGGTAGACCTAAATGACTCCTTGGAAGATTTGAAAGGGTTTTCTGGCCAGGTGTGGTGGTTCAAGCCTATAATCCCAGTACTTTTGAAGGCTGAGGAGGGAGGATCGCTTGGGCCCAGGAGTTCGAGGTTGCAATGAGCTATGATTGCGCCAGTGCATTCCAGCCTTGGTGACCGAGTGAGACCCTGTCTCAAAATTTAATTAATTAATTATTATTATTATTATTTGAGGTGGAGTTTCGCTCTTGTTGTCCAGGACGGAGTGCAGTGGTGCGATCTTGGCTCACCGCAACCTCTGCCTCCCGGGTTCAAGCAATTCTCCTGCCTCAGCCTCCCGAGTAGCTGGGATTACAGGCATGTGCCACCACACATGGCTAATTTTCTATTTTTAGTAGAGATGGAGTTTCTCCATGTTGGTCAGGCTGGTCTCGAACTCCCAACCTCAGGTGATCCATCCACCTTGGCTTCCCAAAGTGCTGGGATTACAGGTGTGAGCCACCGCGCCCGGCAATTAATTTTTAAAAAGAAAGGGTTTTCTGTGGAGGTGGCAGCTGAACTGGACTTTAAGTATTGATAGGATTTCAACAGACACATATGAGAAGGGGGGTTAGATAGGGAAGAAAGGGAATTACAGAGAGAAGCAATAGCAAGAACAAAGACTTGGGTCATGGGGGGAAGTGCAGGGCATGCTGAAAACTTGTGTTCTTGGCTAGATGGAATATAAGGTTCACCAAGGGCATAGGCAGGAGATAAGGCTGGCATTAGAGGGTAGAGAGCCTTGGACACCAGGCTAAAGGGTTAGAACCCCACTCGGCAATAGGAATCATTTAGGATTTTCACTTGTAAGGAGTAATGTTTAAAAGTATGCTTTATAATGACATCTGTCAGTGATAGTTGAAGAAGGTTTGCTAATTTCCAGGCAAAAGAACACTGAGGCCAGGTGCAGTGGTCTCATGCCTGTAATCCTAACACTTTGGGAGGCCAAGCAGGAGAATGGTTTAAGGCCAGGAGTTTGAGACCAGCCTGGTCAACAGAGCAAGATGCTGTCTCTACCAAAAAAAAAAAAAAAAAAAAAAAAAAAAAAAAAAAAAAAAAAGAGAGAGAGAGAGAGAGAAAGGAACAGTGAGGCTGGCCTAAGGAGTTGGTGGTGGGCAGATAAAGAGAGGGCAGATGTACTATACAGTGAACATGGGGGACCTGGAAACTGGCTGGATATGGTACTGAGGAGCAGGGAGAGATTATGTGGTGAAACTCCACACAGAGGCGTGGGCACTAACTAAACTTATTGAATATCACCACTTTCTGGTAGTTTCCTTATCTCTAAAAATGGACATAGTAAATCAGCCTTACACGGTTATTGTGGAAAGACTGGATTTGATTCTGCATGTAAGGTACCTGGCAAATAAAGCAGGCACTCAGTATGTGGCAGCTATTATTTTTATGGGTTTGAGCATGATGACTAAAAGTTTGATGATGACATTGACCAAAGTAGGAAACACAGTGGGAGGAGCGGGTTTTTCTCTTTGTCTGTGTGTGGCAGTGGGGATGGTGGGGGAAACTGGCTAACAAATTCAGTTTGAGATCTGTGGAATTTGAGGAATCGCATCCAGGTAGAGCTGTCTAGGAGGCAACTACATAATTTGGGTCTGGAATTCCATTTGGGCTATGAATCAGCAAGATAAAGGAGAAAACTGAAGCCACAGGATCAGGTGAGAAAACCCAGAGGGAGGGAAGAGCTAGGAGAGTGATGGTTGAGACACATGAACATGGCCTGCAGGCCTGCGGGATCCCAGCCCTCACTGAGAGAGGAGAATCAGGAAAGGGCGAACCATGCAGCCGGGAGAAGACAGCCTCAGGCGGAAGGGCAGGGACCTGCACCCCAGGCTACCACGAGGTGAAGAAAAGGCTTTTGATAGGGCTTTAAAGTTGCCTAAGACCCCGAAGACTGCCATTTCAGGAGTGAGGAGCTGGACCCCAGAATTCAAGATGCTGAGAGGTACATGAGAGTCAATAGACACTTCTCAGCACTCTAAAGTCTGATGGGGACTGGGCGTGGTGGCTCACGCCTGTAATCTCAACACTTTGGGAGGCTGAGGTGGGCAGATCACCTGAGGTCAGAGTTCGAGACCAGCCTGGCCAACATGGTGAAACCCCATCTCTACTAAAAATACAAAAAAAATTAGCCGGGCGTGGTGGCGGGCGCCTGTAATCCCAGCAACTCTGGGGGCTGAGGCAGGAGAATCACTTGAACCTGGGAGGTAGAGGTTGCAGTGAGCCAAGATTGTGCCACTGCGCCCCAACCTGGGCAACAGAGCAAGACTTCGTCTCAAAAAAAAAAAAAAATAATGGTGAAGGAAGGAGAAAAGAATATGGTAGTTTGAGGATAATGGAATTCTTTTTCTTTTTTCTTGTGTAGAAGAGATTTAAGTATGTTTTTGGCAGAGGGAAGAAATTACTACTCTATTAATGGGAGGCAGCAATGGCATAATGCAAAGGTTAGGGGAGGAAAGAAGGACAAAGTGCTTTTGAAAGGTCATTCTCAACAAGGAGGGGGAAAATAATCTCTCAGAGACAGGAATTTAGGAAGAGAGGGAGATAGAGGAAGATACTAAAGAGTTACAAAAAAATTACTTTGGAAGCTTGCGCAGGTTGGCCTAGAAACCTCTATGAACAAGAGCAGCAACAGTGGGGTTAGAGGAAAGTGGAGAAGATTGGGAATTATCCCTATGGGAAATTGGTCCCTCTCTGCCTTTCAATTAAGTTGTGTGCCCCAGGGGAGTTGTGAGGGTACTTGGAAGGGAATGATGAAGGATTTAGGGAAAAGGTGGAGCTGAGAGTTGGAGGGTCAGATATAATCTATTACAATGGCAACAATTAAAATGATAATATCCAATATTGGCAAGGATGTTATCATATACTGAGGTATAATTTTTCTGGAAGGCCAATTTGGCAAAATGTATTAAAATCTTTTCAAATGCGTATACTTCGTGGCCCTCTATTTGCAGTTCTAAGTATTCAATCTAAGGAAATAAAAGATATGTACAGATATGTTCAGTGCTCTTTATTTATTTGAAACAGAGTCTCACTCTGTTGCCCAGGCTGGAGAACAGTGGTGCGATCATGGTTCACTGAAGCCTTGACCTCCCAGGCTCATATGATCCTCCCACCTCAGCCTCCTGAATAGGTGGGACCACAGGCATTCTCTACCACTCTCGGCTAATTGTTTTATTTTTTGTAGAGACAGGGTCTCCTTATGTTGCCCAGGCTGGTCTTACTCTTGGGATCATATAATCCTCCCACCTCAGCCTCCCAAAGTGTTGGGATTACAAGCACAGGCCACCACACCTGGACTCACTCGGTACTATTCCTGATAGCTAAAAAAAAAAAAAAAAAAAAAAAAAAGAGGAAACAATCAAATTTTCAACAAGGCAGTAGAATACAGTACATGGTTAGAAGATAATACTTATCAGGCACTAAAAATGTCGAAAAGTATTTATTGGCATGATCAAATGATCATGACATTAGTAAGTGTAAAAGAAAACATAATACATAAAATATAAGTATATTCCTATTCTTTTAAATACCTACCTGTCTACATACACAGATACATGCATACACATATTTAGAGAGAGGGAGGGAAGGAGAGAGAGAGGTATCTGGCTTGAGCAGCTAGGGAAGTAGTGTGACCATTAGCTAGGACAAAGAATTTAGGAGAAATTAGCAGTGTCGGTGCAGAAAATACAGAGTTCCTGTTAGGTTTAACCTGTGAAATATCCTGGGGATATGCCACAAGCGTGGCTGCACACATAGGTCTGAAGCTCAAGAGAGAGATTTCAGCTATAGACATCAGGAGCCATCAGCCTTTAGAGGTTGCTTAAAACTTAGGAGTAGATGATACTACCCTGAAAAGGAGTAAAGAAGAGAGGGCAGCCGAAGACAGACCGCCTCCCCCCATCCTCAGCAATTAAACAATACTATTTACAGGGTGGGCAAAAGGAGTAGAGCCTGCAAAGAATAGTCTCTAAATTGCTAGCAATCTATAGTTCTACTACCCCAGCCGAGTACTGGAAACATGTAACCTTGTTTCCACTTTATTGATAAAATGCACAGGAGCTCTCCTCCATCACCTTTCCTCACTCAAGGGTCTGTGTATAATTCTGACTCATGCCTTTAACCCTTCTGCCTAATTCAGAGGCGACTTCTCACCTCCTTGTAAAGGCCAACCAATTCCTTGAATCCGCTAACTTCTCAATTGTCTCCCTCTGATGGTGTACTCTGAGATGTTCTCTTTATCAAACATTTTCAGCATCCCCTGTGCCACTAGCTTTGTTTCCTTTACTTACAAATACGCCAGGATTTTCTCGATCCTGAGAACTCTAACTGGCATGATTGTCTCCAATATTTCCTGCTGTTTCCTCCCTATAGTGCCAAACTTCTCCAATGCATGGTCTACACTCACTCCACAGCCCTCTTCCTTATAAACCACGGCAATGTCAAGCAACTCCCTAAACTGAAACTGCCCCCTCAAAAGTTACTGGTAATCTCCTTATCTTAAAATCCAGTGGGTTTCATTTGGCCATCACAGTCTTTGATCCTTCTGCAAATTTGATGACGCTGACCATCTTTCTTTCTTGAAAACTCTTTCCATTTTGGTTCAATTAACACTTACCGGTTCCCCTTTGGTTCAATAAACATTGACTGAACACCTCTTAGGTGCTAAAATAAAAAAGATACAATACTTGATATCGGAGTGTGAGAAGTTTTAACCTAGTTGGGAAGTGTCAATGAATTTCACAACAGAGATCTTTGCCCTGTTGAGAAAGGCTGAAGTGGTAGATGCAAACTCTGTGAGTTGAGGAGTTCAGCCAACTTACAATGGGAAGAGAGGGAGAGGAAATAGCAAACGTAATTGATATTGTCAAGAAATTTACTGGAGAAGAGAAAAAGAAAACTTTCTAGAAAATGCCTATAAGTGGCTATAGGACAATGGAGCAGTGTTTTCAGAATGTGGAGAGGCTTCAGCATGTTCTTAGAATGAAGAGAAGTGCAAGTAGACAAGAAGAAGTTGAAAACAGAGGAGAGAGAGAAGATAATGGATGGGGCAAAGTCCTGGAAGTACCAGGAAGTGTTGGGATGCATATCACAGAGCTGCTATGAACAGAGGGAGGGCGCTCTTCCACTACATCGTACTGAAGCATGTATGATTTGAGGGTGAAAAAGAGTTCCTCCTTTGGTACTATACTGGAGAGGTTATAGATAGGTGGCCCAAATACTTGGCCTAAAGATGTGGTTTTTTTTTTTGATCTGCAAAGAATTTTAAAGTAATTGGAACTTGTTGCTAACACTTACAGATCATGAGATTTCAAATAAAAATCTGTATTACCAGCTTCTTAAAAACTAGGCCAGGGGTAGTGGCTCATGTCTGTAATCCCAGCACTTTGGGAAGCCAAGGCAGGTGGATCATCTGAGACCAGGAGTTCGAGACCAGCCTGGCCAACATGGTGAAACCCGTCTCTACTAAAAACACAAAAATTAGCCAGGTGTGGTGGTGTGCGCCTGTAATCCCAGCTGCTCGGGAGGCTGAGGCAGGAGAATTGTTTGAACCCAGGAGGTGAAGGTTGCAGTGAGGCGAGATCACGCCACTGTACTCCAGCCTGGTGACAGCCAGTCTGTCGCAAAAAAACAAAAAACAAAAACAACAATAACAAACAAACAAAAACCTGGAAGATGTGGCAACACTCACATTGGTAACATGACACAGCTGACTTTAGATGGGCCATGGCCTCTCCAGTCTCCACAACTCCCTAACGCTTACCACTGGACCACTTCACTCATTTGCATGATAGTCCTCTAGGCATCTGATTCTGTCACTCCTTCTATTATTATCTCCCCTGCTTTTCAGACTGACTCTTCCATGTTACTTTCAGTGGCTTCTCTCTCTCGTATTGGATAGCTAGATGTTACTTCTGTTCTCAATCTTTTCCCACATGTTTTTCCTCTGATAACTTGTTCAGCTATCATTTCCATGTAGATCACTTGCAACTCGGTATTATAAAATCATTTAATATTGAAGTTGAAAAAGAATTTAGAAATCAAATAATTCAATCTTCTCAATCTCTGAAACCTTGTTGGGTAACAGAATTCTGTAACTCAAAAGAACTTTAGAAATTAATCAGCAGTTTAATTTACAAATAAGGAAATTGAGGTCTCGGAGAGATTAAGCAATACTTTCTACCTCACCACACAATTCTGAGCAATTCAGTACACATTTTCTGGGCTCCTACTTTCTGCAAGGCACTGTGGGGGAATATAAAGTTGAACAAGGCAGAATTCCTTCCCTCAAGAAAGCCACTTCTGTTGGAGCAGACAGACATGCACTGTGGTCTGTCCTGTAATGTGGTAAGTCCTATAATGGAGAAATGAACATAATATTATGGGACAACAGAGGGAAGCAAAGTTTCTTTTCTTTTCTTTCTTTTTTTTTTTGAGACGCACCCTCGCTCTGTCGCCAGGCTGGAGTGCAGTGGCGCCATCTCGGCTCACTGCAACCTCCACCTCCCAGGTTCAAGTGATTACCCTGGCTCAGCCTCCCAAGTAGCTGGGACTGCAGGCGCATGCCACCATGCCCGACTAATTTTTTGTATTTTAGTAGAGACGGGGTTTCACCATGTCGGTCAGGCTTGTCTCGAACTCCTGACCTCGTGATCCGCCCGCCTCGGCCTCCCAAAGTGCTGGGATTAGAGGCACGAGCCACTGCACGCGGCCCGAGAAGCCAAGTTTTAATACTGGATATCTGTTTTTTTAACTAGATGAGTAGGATCTTAAGAAGGGGATGGGCACGTTCTTCCTTATAGCTATCGTTGCACGTATGTATCTTTACTATATGAGGGAATAGACTTATGCAAATGAAGGGATTTGTCCAAGATGACACTGTTAATTAAAGACAAGGTTAGGTCTAGAAATCAGGTCTCCTAACTCCAACTCCAGTGCTCTTTCCCTTATATCTCAGTGTGACATATCACCCCTTATCTCTCTTGAGCACTATCCCATATTGTTAATTGCCTGTTAGGCATTTCTTCCAGTTAGGGTGGATCAAAAATCCTGTGGCCACATACAACACACAACAATATACATAACCATAACAACATACTTCATATCTATTTTGGCAATAAGTCCTGTTAACTTGTCCTTCCAAATGTTTTTTGGGGGTGAGATGCAGTGGCTCACGCCTGTAATCCCAACACTTTGGGAGGTTGAGGAGGGAGGATCACTTGAAACCAAGAGTCCAAGACCAGCCTGGGGAACATGACAAGACTCTGTTCTACAAAATTTAAAAATTAGCCAGATACAGTGGTGTGCACCTGTAGTCTCAACTACTTGGGAGGCTGAGACGGGAAGATCGCTCGAGCCCAGGAGTTCAAGGCTGCAGTGAGCTATGATCATGCTCGCTGCACTCCAGCCTAGGTGACAAAGTGAGACTCTGTCTCAAAAAAAAAAAAGTCTTTTTAATCTAGGCCTTTCTTTGGCAACCACTTCTACGACCCTAGTGGAAGTGGACAAACTTATTATCTTAATACGGTTTTGCCTTCAGCCTCTGAAAGACTCATAGAGCCTTATAGTTGAAAAGAACCTCAGAGGTTATCTATATCCAAACTTCAGCTGAAGACAGAATTGTTTCTATATTACTTCTGATCCTGACAATGGTCAGCCAGCTGCTGTGCAGGGCACTCCCTACCTTCAGAGGCAGCTCATTTCACTAGCAGACACCAGGGTAATTACAAAGTTCTGTCACTCACCTATGAAACATGTTTACTAACATGCCAGACACAGTGCTTGGGACACTGGATATATAGCTGCACAGGGTCCCCATTGGCCTTAAGTAACTTTCAGTTACTTGAGTCTCTTCATCTCTAACATGGAGATTATTGAAGCCTTCTTGTGAGAATCACCTGGTATAAAGTGTGTAGAAATGCTCTTTAACTAAGGGCAATACATGTAAGGCTTTCCCCTCCAGCTCCCTCCTCTTTTTTTTTTTTTTTTTTTTTTTTTTGATTGAAGACTGGGTCTTGCTCTGTCCCCCAGGCTGGAGTGTAGTGGTGTGATCTCGGCTCACTACAGCCTAGACCTCCTGGGCTCGAGCAATCCTCCCACCTCAGCCTCCCAAGTAGCTGGGACTACAGGTGCACGCCACTGTGCCCGGCTAATTTTTGTATCTTTAGTAGAGATGGGGTTTCACCATGTTGCCCAGGCTGGTCTCGAACTCCTGGACTCAAGTGATCCACCCGCCTCAGCCTCCCAAAGGCAAGGGATTACCGGCATTAGCCACCACGCCCGGCCAGCTTTCCCTCTCTTCAACTATGTAATGTACTGGGGTGGGAGGCTGTGATTCCATTATCATCTTTTAAATTACATTTTATACATACAAAAGAATAATTATAATGTATACATGTGTTATATACTTAATTAGGTTAATACCCATAAACCTACCTTTTATCCCAAAAACTGCACCATTACCAATGGCATCCACCTGTGTGTTTTTTCTCCTCCCATCCCCAATCTCTCTACGGTAACTATTAATACATTTTGTGCTTATCATTCCTTGCTTTTCCCAAAGTTTTATCATATATGTAAACACAATATTGCTTAATTTTGCTTGTTTTGGAACTCCTGGGCTCAGGTGATCTTCCCGCCCTGGCCTCACAGAGTGCTGGGATTACAGGCGTGAGCCACTGAGCCTGGCCTGTTCCTAAGATTGATCCACTCCGATTATGTACTTTGTACCTATTTTCCAAGCCTCATCTTCTTCACGCAGCCTTCAGATCACAGGAGCACAAAGTGATCTTTCCCGTTTCTGAACGCCTCTAGCACTCATTTTCTATTAAAAAAAAAGAAAAAGAAAAAAAAAAGAAAGACTGAAACTGCCTTTTTCTTGATCTTATGTGCCGTTAGGCCAACTAAACACAAGCTTCTTGGAGAGCAAGGAAACTGCTTATCATGGTAGAAGAGCACTGAATGGGGCCAGGAGCAGTGGCTCACGCCTGTAATCCCAGCACTTTGGGAGGCCGAGGCGGGCGGATCACCTGAGGTCAGGAGTTCGAGACCAGCCTGGCCAACATGGTGAAACCCTGTCTCTACTAAAAATACAAAAAAATTAGCCGGGCGTGGCGGCGGGCGCCTGTAATCCCAGCTACTCGGGAGGCTGAAGCAGGAGAATCGCTTGAACCCGGGAGGCGGAGGTTGTAGTGAGCCGAAATCGCGCCACTGCACTCCAACCTGGGCGACAGAGCAAGACCTTGTCTCAAAAAACAAACAAAATAAAAACAAAGAGCACTGAATGGGGAGTTGGGTCGCCAGGGTTCCAGGCCATTTCACCTTGACCGGCAGTGTCCTTGGACTCGTCCCCTTCACCTTCCTGAGCGTCAGCTTCTTTACTTGACAACCTGTTTTTTGTTTTGTTTTGTTTTGTTTTTTTGTGAGGAACTTCTGAGACAATGGATATAACTCACTTCGTAAACTGCGAAGCATCCTCCTCAAATCAATGTTCGTGCCATCGTTGGTTCCCCGCTCCTAGAGGGGCCTCTGCACAAAGACCCAGGCCAGTGACTCGCTGTGTTTGGGGACGGTCGTGTCGCCCCCAAGGCAGGGGCCAAGATGCTTCCTTTCTTCTGGATCTCCCAGGCAGCGCCAGGTCCCGAGGCAGTATTGACTGAGGTTAGGAGTTCAGGAAAACGGCCAGGAGGACAGAGGGCGCTGTCCCCTCTAGAACTGAGCAGGGCGTTAGATTTAGAGGAGGTGTTCGATTTACGCATGCGCACCCTCTCCGGGAAGACCTGGCAAGACCTGGCAAGACCCAGCCAAAATTGGCTCTCTCGGCTCGGTTTTTCCCCATCTAGGGCTACATCTTCTGGGTGCGCATGCGTCCTGCCCGGGTGCGGTTGGCTGATGATTCCGTCTGCCACTGGCAGAGCCAGCGCAGTGAGGCTGAGGCCCCGCTTCCCGCCCATTGGCAGGGGCGCGGAGAGTGGACTGGGGTCTTTGGCCGCACCCACTGCAGTGTTAGACGAGCGGATTGAGGACACTTCCCGGCCGCGGGCCGCAGGCTTGGAAGCGTTGGTTGGCCGAACCCATTGTCTCATTTGCCTTGTCACAGCAGGGAGGACGCCGGGGGAGAGGGGTGAGGGGACTGCTGCGTAGGGCGGCGGGACTGGCGCTGCATCCGAGCAGGGTCCGATGGCCAGTTGCCAATCAGCCATTTATTGAGCGTCTTCTGTGTGCCATACACTTAGGACTATGTGATTTCTGCCTTCGGGGATTTTACAGCATAGAGGAGATTAAACAAGTGACTTTATTGCCTTCCCTCGACCTCCCTTCTACCCCTTCGCCTTAGATGGAGATTTTCTCTTTCTGAACCCGGAACCGCTCCCTCCTCCCCGCCCGGCTATAGCTGGCAGGACAGGGATTGGATGCCACGGCCGGTGCGAGCCTTCGCTCTCCGCCGAGGGTAGTGACACAGGCGAGGACGGGCCCCGCAGGTCACATGAGGGCGGGGCCTGGCGGGCTCGTGACCTTCCCGTAGGCGGGGTCCCTCCCCTCCCAGCTCGGGCCGACAGCGTCGTCACCAGCTTTTATGGGGCACGTGGCGGCTGATGCACAGTAAATAGAAGTGACTCTCCCCTACGAAGGCGGGGACCGCACTTTATGAGACCAAACAAACTGCCCGAGCGAAGCCCTTGGAGCTCTAAATACTTGGCAGCAAGTACAAAGCAAAGGTGGCGGGGTGGAGGGGGTGACGGGGGGCGGGGGATTGTCAAATGTAAATCAGTCCGACTGGAAGCACTAACTCCTGAGCGCCCCCTCCCAGGCTGATCTGAACTAGACCTAGCAGGGAGAAGTGCAGGAGGCTGTAGGAGCTTCCTACTGCCTCCTTTTCCTCTTGGGCCTCTGGTTTACCAAGTGTGAAATAGGGCAGGGGAATGGACTTTGGATAGTGACACAGTGATTTAAGACAGCAAACAGAGTGCCAGGCGCCGTGGCTCACGCCTGTAATCCCAACACTTTGGGAGGCCAAGGAGGGCAGATCACGAGGTCAGGAGTTCGAGACCAGCCTGACCAACATGGTGAAACCCCGTCTCTACTAAAAATACAAAAATTAGCCAAGTGTGGTGGCACGCGCCTGTAATCCTAGCTACTCAGGAGGCTGAGGCAGGAGACTCGCTTGAACCCAGGAGGCAGAGGTTGCAGTGAGCCAAGATCGCACCACTGCACTCCAGCCTGGGTGACAGAGCGAGACTCTCAAAAAAAAAAAAAAAAAAAAAAAAAAGACTGCAAACAGATACGAGGGGCTGATATGAGGGGGCTGTATTGGCTCCAGTAGAAGTGAGCCATTCTGGGACCTGGGGTGGGGTCGCCCAAGTGTCCCTTTCACATATGCTGTTCTGAAACAAGTTTCCACAATCACAAGGCTGGAAAAGTTACTCAGCCCATAGGACTGAGGGGTGTGAGTCAGAAGAACATGAGCTACAGAGAAGTGGTCTGGCCTTCTTGGCTGGAACAAATACCACCCTTTGCCTCCTGCCTACCAAGAGCCACCTCTTTGGATACAGGAGCCCAGTGGGTGCTAATTCTTCTGTGCACCGATATCTGAGTCCAGAAAACTGGGACCCTAAGGATCTGTGCTGCTTCAGGAGCTGATCTTGCAGCTGAAAAGTAAAGGAGAAGCTGCAAAAAGTTATATGCTCTTGAGTATTATTTTAAAAAATCTATAGGGTTTGTAGTACTCCACAGTTTACAGAGTGCACTTTCACATGCATTATTTCATTTTAGCCCCACTGAACACATACTGTGTGCCAGGCATGGGGACAGATACAAACATGGACAAGGCAGTGCATTTTTTCTTTTTTTTTCCCCCAAGACAGAGTCTTGCTCTGTCACCCATGCTGGAGTGCAGTGGCACGATCTTGGCTTACTGCACCCTCTGCCTGCCGAGTTCAAGCTGTTCTCCTGCCTCAGCCTCCCGAGTAGCTGGGATTACAGGTGCGCACCACCACACCCGGCTAATTTTTGTTTTTTTTTTTTTTTTGAGGAGTCTTGCTCTGCTGCCTAGGCTGGAGTGCAGTGGCACGATCTCGGCTCACTGCAACCTCTGCCTCCCAGGTTAAAGCGATTCCCCTACCTCAGCCTCCCGAGTAGCTGGGACTACAGGCGCCCGCCACCACACCCGGCTAATTTTTTGTATTTTTAGTAGAGATGGGCTTTCACCACGTTGGTCAGGCTGGTCTTGAACTCCTGACCTCGTGATCAGCCCAGCTTGGCCTCCCAAAGTGTTGGGATTACAGGCTTGAGCCACTGCGCCTGGCCTAATTTTTGTATATTTAGTAGAGACGGGGTTTCACCATGTTAGCCAGGCTGGTCTTGAACTATGACCTCAGGTGATCCACCTGCCTCGGCCTCCCAAAGTGCTGGGATTACAGCTGTGAGCCACCGTGCCTGGCTGGCAGTGCATTTTTAAAAGGAGCTTCACTACGGTTGTAGAGAGAAAACAGAAACTGGTACCTACATTTCCAGGTAAAATGAGGTAGGTGCTATAAAGAAGGGTTAGATTCCTGGCCGGGTGCGGTGGCTCATTCCTGTAATCCCAGCACTTTGGGAGGCCGAGGAGGGCACATCACGAGGTCAGCAGATCGAGACCATCCTGGCTAACATGGTGAAACCCTGTCTCTACTAAAAATAGGAAAAATCAGCCGGGCGTGGGGGCGGGCGCCTATAGTCCCAGCTACTCGGGAGGCTGAGGTAGGGGAATCGCTTGAACCTGCGAGGCGGAGCTTGCAGTGAGCCTAGATCATGCCACTGCACTCCAGCCCGGGTGATACAGCGAGACTCCATCTTAAAAAAAAAAAAAAAAAGAGGGGGGCAGATTCCTGAGACACTTCATTGGAGGATACCACAGCCAGCTGGGCAGGACAAGGGAGGGAGAGAAATCAGGAAAAGTTTCATGATGGGAAAATTGTAGGAGTAAAACCTTAAAGATAGGAAGGGTTGCGAAAATAGAAATAGGCGTGGTAGAGCAGTTTTTTGCTAGACCTCTTCTTACCTAAACCAAGTAAATTCATTTATTTTCACGTCTTTGACTAGTAGCAGTAGTAAGTATTCTCTTCAGTATCTACAAAACTCATTTTTTCTCCATCCTTCTGTCTACGACTTCCTTGGGTGTAGGCTCTCACTATTTCTACTTGTAGAGCATCCTGACAGGCCACTTGCCTCCAATGCGGCATTCCTTTCCAGTTGATTTTCAGCATTACTGTCAGAGGGGAACTTTTACTGGCAGGAGCTTTCTGAAATGCAAGTTTGGTCAAATCCCTCCTCTACTTAAAATCTTTTGATGACCAAACATCTTCTGCAGAATAAAGTCCAAGTCTTGGCAATCAAGGCCCTTCATAACGGGGCCTCTGCCTACCTCTTCGGTTCTATGTGCTGTTCCTTTGACCTGCACCACAGTATTTGATTTCCTGAAGCCACCATAGTCTCTCCATACCTTATGTGTTATTCCTGCCATAAGGAATGTCTTCCTTACTCTCATTTGCCCAGGCGACTCCTATATGTCTTCAAAATCCAGCTCAAGCACCTCCTCTGAGAAGCCTCCTCTCATTTTCATTAGTTTGGATTTGGGTGTACCACATCTCTGATCCCAAAAGCCCACTTACATTCTTTCTATGTGACATTTAACACAGACTTAAGTATAAACTGTTGGTTAACTTATCTCTTGTGGCCATTAGACTGTGAATTGCCTAGAGGTAGGAGCTATCTCATTCCTGTGTCCCCAGTGCCTAACACAAGGTTTCACACAGTATGTTTGTTGGATTTCAGACAGATTATGGCGTGAGCCATACCACAAAGGATCTGTCAGGGAACTGATAGGGCTGTCTGGTCTGCCTAGAGTTCAAGGGATGCAGAGGGAGCCATAGGGACTAAGCCTGGAAAAGAGGTTGTGCTGGCTCTTTGAAGGCCTTGGGAGCAAGGCCAAGGAGTTAGGACTTTAGATGGTGGGCAGTGGAGAACCATGACATGTTAGATTATCAGAGCTGGGCCAAAGATGGGGAGGATGGATTGGAAACGGGGAAGGTGGGGGGTGAGAGAAAACAAGCAGCTATTAGCTCTGTTTTATAGAAACAGAGGCTTAAGAAGAATGTGACTACCCAAGACCACACAGCTGGTAAGGGGCAGAACTAGGAGTTGAACCAGTTAGTTCTGGACTATGCCAAGTTCAGAGATCCTTGTGCCACACTAACAAGGAGTATACAGTAGATCAGGCTTCAAGGTTGTCCAAGTGTGAGAGGGATACTTTATCAGTCAGGATAGGTTATATTGCAGACACAGTACTCAAAATCACTGTAGTTTAACAAAACAGAGTTACTATCTATTCACACAAAGTCCACTCGTGCTGGACAAAACCTTAGGGCAGCTTAGCCGTCTAGGCTGCTTTGATCTGCTAGCACTCCTCAACACGTGCTTCTGCAATTCCCACAACAGGGAAAGAGTGTTTGAAGAATCAGGCACTAGCTGCATTTCAGAAGGGACACACATTACTTCCCATTATAGGCTACTGCCCAGAACTAGCCCAATAACCCCACTTGACTATACAGGGACTGGGATGCACGGCCTTTTGTGTGTCCAGGAAGGGAAGAGAACAGGAAATATGTGTGGGCGAAACTAATGCCTACCCAAGACATCATGGAATGATGCCTATAAGGAAGGAGGTACAGGCCAGGCCAGTCTGAGGAACCAACAGCAGATGTGCAGAAGAGAGTGGTCCTCTCTTCATGGCTGTGGCTGAGCTACAGTGTACATTGTACCAGTGGGTTCTCACCTGTACCAATGTCTGCAGAATTTTGGGAACTACAAGGACAGAGGAGAGGATGGCCTCACTCAGATGGTGGTTGGCAAAAGGCCTCAGTTCTTTGCCATGTGGGCCTTTCCATAGAGCTGCTTAAGTGTCCCACAGTATGGGATCTGGCTTTCTCCAGGGCAAATGAGAGACAGAGAGAGGGAGAGAGAGAGAGAGACCATGACTTAGCGAGAGACAGAGAGTAGAGCCATGACTTAGCCTTGGAAGTCACATGCCATCACTCTGCCTTTTTTAATTGGACACACATACCAACCATGATTCACTGAGGGAGGGGACCACACAAGGGCATGAATACCAGGGAGGGATAATTGGAGGTCATCTTGGAAGCTGCTACAGGGGAGCAGGTAACCAACAGGGAGCCTCCTCTAGAGGGTGGTATCCTCTTAACCCCTTCCTGCTCAGCTCATCGTTCCTCTCTGCCTCTACTGAGGGAGAAGTGAGGGGAAGACTGCAATGACCGTATGAGGGAAGCAGGACCAGTACAGATGGTCATCGGCATTTTGCAGATGAGGAAACCCAAGGCATGAAGCCTGACTCCTGTGTGCTCCCACAACTAAGGCTAGCACCCACAGCCTTAACCATGCTTCATGGATTTTAGGCGTTCATAGGCCTGTCTCTGCCATCGTATATGGCCCCTCACACTCCGCGTTCGCCTCTGCAGCACCTGGGCTAGGTACAGAGAAGCAGCCACACCCTGTTCGGAGGAAGCCAAGCCGGATCTGCTTTCCTCCACAGCCGCTCCATCTGCCCCAGGGCACGGCTGTGCCAGGTATGAGGGAGGAGGCAGGGTTTTTTTTTTTTTTTTGAGACGGAGTTTCACTCCTGTTGCCTAGGCTGGAGTGCAATAGCACCATCTCGGCTCACCGCAACCTCCGCCTCCCAGGTTCAAGCAATTCTCCTGCCTCAGCCTCCCTAGTAGCCGGGATTATAGGCATGTGCCACCACGCCCGGCTAATTTTGTATTTTTAGTAGAGACGGGGTTTCTCCATGTTGGTCAGGTTGGTCTCGAACTCCCGACCTCAGGTGATCCCGAGGCCCGCCTTGGCCTCCCAAAGTGCTGGGATTACAGGCGTGAGACACCGCGCCCGGCCTTTTTTTTTTTTTTTTTTTTTTTTTGAGATGGAGTCTTGCTCTGTTACCCAGGCTGGAGTGCAATGGCATAATCTCGGCTCACTGCAACTTCTGCCTCCTGGGTTCAAGCGATTTTCCTGCCCCAGCCTCCCAGGTAGCGGGATTACAGATGCATGCCACCACGCCCAGCTAATTTGTGTATTTTTAGTAGAGATGGGGTTTCGCCGTGTTGGCCAAGCTGGTCTCAAACTCCTGACTTCAGGTGATCTGCCTGCTTCAGCCTCCCAAAGTGCTAGGATTACAGGCGTGAGCCACCGTGCCCGGCCAAGGAGGCAAGTTTAAGAGAAGACGACCCTGGCTGGAAGGCATGGCGGAGTGGGGTGGGGTGGTCCTGTGGGGTGTGTCAGGTGGGGAGAAAGAGGCTCCTTGGCACTGTTAAAGCACTTTGAAAGGGCAAGAGCGGCTTCCTCTGCTGGAGGGAAGCATGCTGTGAGGAGCACGAGGGTGGAATCCACCTGTGCCTAACATAGTGCCCGGGCAAGTCTCTGCTGAGGAAGGCTTTCAGCAGTCAAAGGTCCTCACCGTGCCAACTCCCACCCCCAACACCATTCTGGTTTGAACTCAACCTTGGGTGGCATTTCTATTTTTGTGTCCCAGAATCCCTCCTGAGGCTTCTAGCTGGGCAATCCCTCCTTAGTGTGGGCTGGGGCTGCCTCCTTCTGACAGAACACTTAGAAGAAATTCTCACCTGAAAACCCCACCTGAGACATGTGGAAGTGCCCCGCCCTGAAGGCCGCCCCCCATTCTTCCCTGCTGAGATGAAGCACTGCCTCTCACCCTGATGGGGCCACACCAGTCCTTCCTTCCCATCCTCGCGGCACCAAAGAAACCAAAACCCACGCCGAAGTATCAGAAACGTGTATTCTTTTTCTTTTAATAGTAAACCTCTTTACAACAAATATAGTGAAAGAGTTTTCAAACAAAACTCATAAGAATCTCGAGGACTTTGTCTTTTCTTATTGTGTAGAATACTAAGAAAGCATCACCATACAGCACGAAAAGAAATATTGAAAACAAATCAACAGCCTCACACTTGGACTCGCCCTGCCCCAGGACCCAGGAAGAGCCCCAGGAGTGTGGGTGATTGTCAGGTGTGGGGGTGGGGCACCTCCATGGCCCATCCTGCCCCTCCCTTCCTCTTCCTCACCACCTCCCTCCCTCTGGAGAATGGGGAAGAGGAGAGAATCCAGATTCTCCATTCCAGCCTCCCTCCCCCCATACAAATACCATTCCTTCTACCAACTGCTTTAAGGGGTGGGGAGAGGCAGCAGAGGGGAGAACAAGGAGTTCCCAGGCTCCATGTCTCCTCCCCTCCGCGAAAGCCTAAACTTACCCCTCACCCCACCCCAGGGGATTCCAAAGAGTCAGTTAAAAATATATAGAGATATAGATATTTCTAGATACACTTTTACATTTCTGTCTCTCCAAACAAATAAATAATCAGCAAGAGAAGGTGCATTACTTCCTTCCTGTCCAAGGTAGGGAGGGCTGGGAGGGGGTCAGGGGTCAGTCTTGCTGCACTGAGTGTGCTGTTGAGGGGGGGAGAATGGTGTGTTCCACTGAGGTGGTGGGGGGGGGTGTCCTCTTGCCCACTGTCCCTGAAAGCTGTGGGAAACCTGGGGAGGGGGAGGGCCATTAGATGACTCCAGTGGTTACTTTGGCAAATGCCCAGTTCTTCAGAGGGAGTGGGTGGAGGCGAATTTGGCTTGAGAGGAAGAAGACATTAAGTCCTCATCTGAGGTCTGGGTTCCCAGGGACCCATTCATCTGGCCGCCCAGGAGCCCCTACCCCCAAGAGAAACCTTCGGATACTGAACTGCAGAAATGTCACATATTCACAGACCACCCCATCCCCAGGGACAGAGAAGAAAGGACACTGAAACATCCACACATGGTAATCAAAAGCCAGGTTTGCCTTTATGAGGCAGAGGGCAAAACTGGTGAATATTGCACCGTGAATTGCAGGGGCCCTCACCCCCACCCCGTGTTTAATGGTGGCCAAGCCCAGCCTAGAAAGGTGGGCAGACTAATGGTGGGAATAGCCTGAGAAGGGAAGGCCATTCATTCATTTATTGAGCACCTATCATTCAACTATTCACCCATTCAGCATTTATTGAGTGCCTACTATGTGCCAGGCACTGGGCGAGGCTCTGGGGACGCATGCATGAACAAGATTACACCCTGGCTTCTTTCAAGCCCTGGATCGAGGCTCATCAGTTTTTGAAACTCCGTCTAGAAGCCTGCAGGAGAGGTGGGAAGGCTGGACGTGCTGTCCCCACCCAGTCAGCGGATTGGGGTTAAGAGTGAGTAAGTGATCACTGCTCAGCTGAGGGAGAAGCTTCACGGAGGAAGAGGGACTTGAGTTTTGCTCTGAAAGCAGGTCTGGGGTTGGGGGAAGAGGGTACTCCAGGAACTGTGTCAAGTGTGGGTGACTAAGTGGACATATGTGGGTGGAAGCAGAGGTCCCTGGAGGGAGAGACCTTGGCAGAGGTAGGGCTGCAGGGAGAAGCACAGAGGGCTAACTGCCAATCCCCCCAACTGCAGTTCAATGTGTCAGAGCTGAGGGTGAACACAGGGAAAGGAGCAGGGAAGACAGGAGTTGGGGTCCCAGGGCTGTGGAGCTGGAGCAGCCAACTCTCCCTTTGTAAACACACACCAGGCACACTCAGACACAGAGATGCCCCTAGAGCTCCAGTCACACAGATTTGCACACACACCCAGCCAGGGTCAGAGACACACAGAGGCACACCCGTGCAACCACACACACACATAAATACAAAAGTACACCCGTGCAATCAGACATACACACACACACACACATAAATACAAAGCTACACTCAGACACATAAACACCAGATGCCCTCATGAACACACTCAGGTACACGTGTGTACCTGCGTAGAGGCCCCTCTGCTTCTGGTTCCTTCCCTGCATCAAGTATGGGAATACTGCAAGAGGCTGGGTCATAGAGGTGGGCAAAGACGGTCGGCTAACACAAAACTGGGCCTTGTCTTAACTCTACTCTCCAACTGGGAGGAAACCCCAAGGGGGCGCCGCACCCCTTGGGCAGAGGAGCTGGGCTTGTGTGAAGGAGTGGGGCAGACAGTCTGCCTGGCCACGTCACCCCAGGCCAGGCCCCTTAGGGCGGGGGGTGATCCTAGAGAGCAGGCTGGGGGCCTGCCCCCTCTGGTTTGATCTCCAATCCTGCCTGAGGTCTCAGGACCCCGTGCTTCGGCTGCCCCTGGGCCCCTTGCCCACTGCCCCACTGAGGAGGCAGCAGGGAGGGGCGGACTCAGAGGAGGGGAGGGGAGCAAGAACAACAGCAGAAGAATCTCGTCTGTACAGTACGGGCCGTTTGAGTCATTATTATTACAATATACTTTGACAAAAATAGAATCTCATTTCATATCAATACAACAACAACAAAAAAAAACAGTTTCCTGGACTGTTACACCGCTAACGTTTTCCAAAGGTCGCTATTTACAATTACAGTAGCCAAGAGGGAAGGTGGGATGCAGCCTGGAGGTGGTGGGACAAGGAGGTAGCCAGAGACAATAGGGGCGCCAAGAGCAAGGAGGTGGGGTCAGGAGCAGAAGGAGCTAACAGGAGAAGCTAGGGAGAGGGGCCAAGGAGGAATGAGGGAGGTGGGACCTCTACGGACCCATCCGTAGGCCCTCCCACCCCACAGACCATCCCAGTGTTGACTCCCCCAGGTAGTGTGCGTGCAAGACCAAGGACGTCCCCTCACCACACTCGCCCCAATGAAAGAGCTCTGGCCTGGAGCACCCCAGGGAAGTCCAGGCCGACTCTCGCCCCAGCCACCTCACTGAAGACCCTCTCCCCATTCTCCCTGCACACTGTGGCCAGCTTTACAGGGCTGGCGTCAACTGAGGGGTGGGGAGCTATTGCACTGTATATCTTAGAGAAAAACTGGGGAAGGGAGGGGCTCAATTTGCCCCCTGCCTAGCCCTTCTGCCCTCCTCAGCCCTCTCCTCATGGCTCTCTTGTCTTTCCCTCCAAATGTGCTTCCAGAGAGGCCCCCACCTCAAACCCCTGTCTCCAGCCTCAGATTCCCAGGCTGCCTTCCCGGCCCAAAGCTCAGCCAGCACCCACACACCTTGGGGGTGCAGCACACACAAGAATCAGCGCAGGTGTGGCACGTGTGTGTGCAGGGGCATTTGGGGGCCAGGCTTAAGTATTCTGCTCCATGTGCCTATGGCTACATGAACACAAAAACAGAGACCCTTTTCAGAACCTCTGCCTCACTTTCCCCTTGAAACACAAACCCACCCATCAAGCCCACTTTGGGGTTTCAGTCTAGAGTGTGGGTTTCTGTTGTTTGGTAGTTTTTTGGTTATTTCCCTCTATCTGGGGGTGGGGTGGGAGGGCTCCACATGCAGGGCTCGGCACCTGTCCTTTCCCAAAGGCCTTATTGGGCCCCCCACCCCCTTCCTGCAGCATATGTGTACAACGTGCAAAGTGTCCCCCCTTCCCGCGAAAAAGAGAGCCCCCCAGCCAGTGAAAATGGTGGGGGGTACAGAAAGAGGGGATGAGAGCATCCCCCTCTCCAAAGCGAGAATCCAAATTAAAAAAAATATAATAATAATAATAATAATATAATAATTATACACAAATGTAACCGTCAACAGGACACGAAGCACAAGAAAGGAAGTGGGGGTCGAGCGGGAGGAGCCCGGGGCAGGGAAGGGCGGGCGGTGAGATTGTCAACTCTTCATCAGGGAGGCTGAGAGGAGGGGAGTGGGAATCGTCACTTTAATGTCTGTGAAGAGAGGAGATGGAGAAGGGGGTGTGAGGGGGTGGCCCAGGCTTTGGGTATGCACCCCCCACTCCCCTCTCCCCATAGGGCCAGGATTCTAGTGGCAGGGCCAGCTGTGAGGGGAAGAAGTCATCGAGCAGAAGGACTGATGCTGGAGGGAGGGAGAAGATGGGCCTTTGGCAGGGGTGAAGGGGTGTTGGTGCTGCCCTAGAAGGGCTGGCGGAAGGGGTAGCCGGCCACAAGGCCTCTTGGGTGGGAAATAAAACAGGTTAGGGGGCACGCGGGGCAGTCCCTGGGTGTAGCAGACACTGGCAGACAGGAGAGGTGATGCTACAGTACCCAGGTATCAAGCCGCATCCTCTTCACAGCTGAGCCCTCAGCCTCAGGCTCTGGGGCTGGGCGCAGCAGGCCCAGTGTGGGCCCGAAGTCCCCCCGTCCGTCATCCCGGTCTCCCGTCTCATAGGATCCCCCGGCTGGGCTGCTGAGACCATCGCCAGGCTCAGGGCGGGCAGCTGGGAACACAGCTGGAGGGGGAGGCGCAGGGCTGCGCTCACGGCTTGGGGACACCGGTTCTGACTTGATGCTGATGTGGGGGTGGGTGGTGACTGTGAGGGCAGCACCCACGTGGGGCAGGGGGCTGCCCGGGCTGGAGGCAGGCAATGGAAATGGGGTACAAGGGATAAAAACAGAGGGGGTGAGTGACAGAACAAGTGATAGGACACCAGACAGAAAGTGAGAGAGAACAAGAGGATGAGAATATGGGGGATGGGGTGTTGGGGAGAGGCAATTGGATGGAGAGTGATCAGAAGAGGGTCGAATGAAGGGAAGAGAAGGGAAATAAGAAATATTAGTTCTCTTTCCATCCCATGTCATCTTCTGCAACACAGGGCCCCCCACCTCCCACCCCCTACCCTGGGGCTGGCTCTCAGAAGGGGTTCAGGGTGAGCCTCTTGGGTCTGTACAAGAGAGCCCAGGGGTGCCACTGTTGCCTAACAGACTGTGCAGTGCACAGCCTCATAGGATGTCCACTAGAACCCTGCAGGGAACCCAGCTCCCAAGAGGTCCCTCCTCTTCCCGTTCAATTCTCCCTTCCCACACACTCACATGCAGTCTCCCCAGGACTCACATGAGGTTGCTGAGAGATACAGGGACCAGGTGGGACTGTTGCTGAGGTGGCTGTTGCGGCTGCTGAGGCTGCTGTGGCTGTGGCTGCTGTGGCTGCGGTGGCTGCTGCTGTGGAGGCTGTGGCTGCTGCGGCTGCTGGGGCTGCTGTGGCTGTTGCCAGGCAGTGACATTGCCTAGCGACAGCCCCCCAGGTGAACTAAAGGCTGGTAAGGAGGAGAGCTCTGCACTGGTCAACTGGTAATCTGCATGGAGGAAAAGTGAGGATGAACCTGGAGTTGGGGAGAGCACACAGGCTCCTATGAGGGAGCTGCCTCCAGGAGGACTGTGGGGATGAGGGGACAGGGAGTGTGTAATGACAGATGTAAGGAATTCAAGAAGACCACAAAAATTCAGTGAAGACGGTACTCAGAGTTAAAGAAACCTAAGTCATAATAACCATGAGGTGCTGTGTTTTAACAGGATGAAAAGATGTGGTTTTTGTTTTGTTTTGTTTTTTTGAGATGGAGTCTCACTCTATTGCCCAGGCTGGAGTGCAGTGGTGTGATCTTGGCTCACTACAACCTCTGCCTCCCACGTTCAAGCAAATCTCCTGCCTCGGCCTCCTAAATGGCTGGGATTACAGGCACATGCCACCACGCCCAGCTAATTTTTGTATTTTTAGTAGAGATGGGGTTTTGCTATGCTGGCAAGGCTGGTCTCAAACTCCTGACCTCAAGTGATTCGCCCACCTCGGCCTCCCAAAGTGCTGGGATTACAGGCATGAGCCACCGCATCCGACCAAGAGGTGGTTTTTAAAAATAGTGTTGAACTTAAAAAAAAAAAAAAAAACAGCTGGGCGAGTGGCTCATGTCTATAATCCCAGCACTTTGAGAGGTCAAGGCAGAAGGACCACTTGAGCCCAGAGTTTGAGACCAGACTGGGCAACATAAGGAGACTCCATCTCTACAAATAGCTTAAAAATTAGCTAGGGTGGTGGGGTGCACTGTAGTTCCAGTTATTCAGGGGGCTGAGGCAGGAGACTTGCTTGAACCTGGGAGGTTGAGGCTGCAGTGAGCTATGATCATGCCACTGCACTCCAGCCTGTGGGATCTTGTCTCAAAAAGAAAAAAAAAATCATGTGTAGGTATCACTTTCATAACAATTTAAAAAAATAAAAAGATGGAAACAGATAAGTAGAGAAGGTCTATGTCTTGGCCTCATGCCCAAGGGGCAGAGGGGCTGCAAGGGTACCATGCCGGGAGCACAGCTGGCCAAGGTTCCAGCAGATCTCCCCATGAGGGGGTGTTCATTACGTCATAAAATGTCTACCTTAAAGAAGAAACTGATGGTTGCACTGTCACAGAATAAATAGAATCACTGAATGTTTCATGATTTACACAGCACTATTGTTTCATGCTGTATCCTGTTTGGGACAGTTTAGAAAATGTCCTCCCTAGTTCAAGATTAGCCTGGCCAACATGGTGAAACCCCATCTCTATTAAAAATACAAAAAATTAGCCAGGCGGTGGCGCGCACCTGTAATCCCAGCTACTAGGGAGGTTGAGGCAGGAGAATTGCTTGAACCTGGGAGGTGGAGGCTGCAATGAGTGGAGATCGCACCACTGCACTCCAGCCTGGGCAACAGAGCGAGACTCTGTTTCAAAAAAAAAAAAAAGAAAGAAAGAAAGAAAGAAAATGTCCTCCCTGAGGCTGTACTGTGGTAGTGGGAGTGCTGTGATAGGGAACGCACCCCTCAATCATCCCAATACCCCACCAGTATGCTATTACTCAGGGAGTCATTTGCTCCAGCCCTTTGTTTTTATGCAGGGAAGACAGTATTATCTCTGCAATATAGCAATAAGGTTAAAGGCATGAGCTATGAGGTCAAACTTCCAGGCTACCTCCACTTAGGCCATGTGACCTTGGGTAAGTTACTTACTCTGCCTATAAACTGGAGGTAATAATCCTACCTACATCACACAGCTGTTGTGAGGACTGAGCAAGTTAATACACAAAAAGCATGTAGAACAGTATCTGGTTCATAGAAAATAATCAAAAGATTTATCTATTATTACTTTACAAATGAGGCAACTGCAGCCTCAAGTTTGAGGAACAGGCTCCAAGTCATGGAGAAAGCCAGCGGCAGAGCTAAGACAGGACCCCAGGACTCTATTACCTTTAAATCTCTCTAGAGGGGGATCTGTGCTTGGCTCTAGTCTCCTAACGTTGGTCAGGAGTTTTGAAATGCTTATTAAAAAAGCAGAGCAAGGGCAGAAACGGGCCCTAGGATCAACTATTTCTTTTCTTTTCTTTTTTGAGACAGAGTCTCGCTCTGTTGCCCAGACTGGAGTGCAGTGGTGCGATCTCCACTCATTGCAGCCTCCACCTCCCAGGTTCAAGCAATTCTCCTGCCTCAACCTCCTGAGTAGCTGGCGTGATCTCGGCTCACCGCAACCTCTGCCTCCCAGGTTCAAGCGCTTTTCCTACCTCAGCTTCCCGAGTAGCTGGGATTATAGGCGCACACCATCACGCCCAGCTAATTTTTGTATTTTTAGTAGAGACGGGGTTTTACCACGTTGGTCAGGCTGGTCTTGAACTCCTGACCTCGTGATCTGCCCACCCTGGCCTCCCAATATGCTGGGATTACAGGTGTGAGCCACCGCGCCCGGCCAGAATCAACTATTTCTAACACTTGTACAAACTAGGAAGCCAAGCCCAGAACAGTACAGTGCCTTGCCCAAGGCCCCTCAGTGAGTGAGTGATGGAGACTAGCTCCCAGCCCTGCACTGTTCCACCAGATTCCAGCCCTATCTACTACTGGGAGGCTTGGCTCCCCAAGGAGGACCATGGCCCAAGGCCACCTGGCAGCCTACTGGTCTGCTCCCAGAGCCACCACAGCCAGGCCTCTGCGGCCAGTGTCAACAAGGGGCCAGGCCCTCACATGAGGCATTACCATAGCCCGATTACCCCCAGCCGGAACTTGAACTGCAGCCAAGGACTGTAAACAGTGAACAACTAAACAGCAATGTGTTCACTGGGGTTTTGTTTACACACCTAGGGTCACCTGAAAACACCTGCTGTTTAAACTGAGATCTGCTTAGCTGCTCCTGTAACAAGAGGAAAGGGAGCCTGTGGTCTCTGAGAGGAGATGAGAAATCTCACACACTTCCCAGCAGGGCTCCAAGGGCGGCCCAGGGGCAGAAACTGCTTTCATGCCAGAGTGACAGATGAGAATCTTTAAGTCTAGCCTTCCTGAGTGCCTGTCCCAGGTTGGCTGACACCAACTAACTTTCCTCCTGCTTCACAAAAGACTGTGGGCCCAACAAGATGGCAGAAAAACAGAAAACCACCCTCACAGAGTACCTGATAAACAGCTCCAGAAAAGTGGTCTAAAAAGTGGTCTGAGCTGCCCTCCGCCAACTGTCCCTGTCCCCAGGCCACCCCACCCTCAGGGCTGGTTTTTCTGGTTGGGCCCCAGAGGCCCAGTGGCAGGGCTGGAAAAGCCTCATAGACCTCCTGTCTACCCACTCCTCTTACAGATGGGGAGACGGGCCCACAGCGTGTGTCTTCTGAAGCAGCCATCTGTGAAGTTGCCAGGACATCGTAGCCTGGGGCTGGGCACACACATGGGTGCACATGCAAGGGAGAAGGGGCTCAAAGACACCTGGGTGGTAACTACACACAGACACACAAGCCAGAGTCTGGTCCCTCAACATGAGGCGGTCCCTCCAGCTCTCTTAACCTGCCACGAGGGGCTTTCCTACACAGAGGGCTGGGTTCTGGATTTTTCTTTTTTTTCCCTTTTTTTGAGACAAAAGTCTCGCTCTGTTGCCCAGGCTGGAGTGCAGTGGTGCAACCTCGGCTCACCGCAACCTCCACCTCCCAGGTTCAAGCAATTCTCCTGCCTCAGCCTCCCAAGTAGCTGGGACTACAGGCGTGTGCCACCACGCCCGGCTAATTTTTTTTTTTTTTGAGATGGAGTCTCACTGTTGCCCAGGCTGGAGTGCAGTGGCGTGATCTTGGCTCACTGCAACCTCTGCCTCCCAAGTTCAAGTGATTCTCCTGCCTCAGCCTCCCGAGTAGCTGGGATTACAGGCACATGCCACTACATCCCGCTTAATTTTCTGTATTTTTAGTAGAGACAGGGTTTCACTGTGTTAGCCAGGATGGTCTCGATCTCCTGACCTCGTGATCCGCCTGCCTCGGCCTCCCAAAGTGCTGAGATTACAGGCGTGAGCCATTGCGCCCAGCCTTTTTATGTTTGAACTTTTTTTTTTTTGAGAGGGAGTCTCGCTCTGTCACCAGGCTGAAGTGCAGTGGTGCAATCTCGGCTCATGGCAACCTCTGCCTCCCGGATTCAAGTGATTCTCCTGCCTCTGCCTCCAGAGCAGCTGGGACTACAGGTACGTGCCACTACACCCAGTTGATTTTTGTATTTTTAGTAGAGATGGGGTTTCACCATGTGGCTAGGATGGTCTCGATCTCTTGACCTCGTGATCCTCCTGCCTCAGCCTCCCAAAGTGCTGGGATTACAGATGTGAGCCACCACGCCTGGCCTGGGTTCTGGATTTTTACATGTGGGGAGGAGGTGGGATTTTGTGGTTATTTGCACTGGTGGCTGGTTCAACTCTGGGAGGCTTGGGGAAGGGGGAGAAGTTTATGAGTCTTTTGGTCCAGACTAAACTCATCAAAGGAACTGGCCTGACATAACCATTCACATGTGAGAGAACCTGAGGAAGGCAGAGGTCTCTAGCTGGAAATAGCCCAGGTTCCCCAGCCACATGAATGCTCTGAAACAAGGGGACAAGGCGTTTCCTTACTGGCAAGTCCTTCTTGACACAGTGGCTTAGCATACAGGCAAGGATGGCTGAGAGTATCACAGACTGTTCCTGCGCAGGTGTGAGTGGGTGGGTGACACAGGCCAGGATGGCCCTAGGGACCCAGGACAGCCCGCGCACTGGGTGTCCTATCTGAATTCTTCTATCCAGAGACCTTTCTCATGTCCTTAAGTGGCTCTTTACCTTCAGATCCCCTCTCTAACCTTCTTCCCTCTTCTTCCTTCCCCAATCATCATTCCACCACCATGCCAAAACTAGAGGAGAGACGCTGTTCTTCCCCCTCCGCCTTGCCCTGGAGCCCCCATTTGGCTTTCCCAGGAAGCTAGCAAACTGACCCTGACTGTGCTTTCTCTCTGGCCTCCTCAGCCTCCTTGTCTCTTTTCTCTTATTCCTTCATTCTCTTCCAGGAAGCTTTTCTGAACTGACCACGTCCCCCTCACCACTCCCCATACCTGCAGCCTAGAGATTGGTCAGCCTGAATGATCTGCAGACCTGCCTCTGTCCTGTCTCGTCCTCAGGCTGCAGGCTTTCTGAGGACAGGGGCTCCCTCCTCCATTAAGTACTTTTTAAAAAATAAACAATGCTGGCCAGGCACAGTGGCTCATGCCTGTAATCCCAGCACTTTGGTGGATCACTTGAACTCAGGAGTTTGAGACCAGCCCAGGCAACATGGCAAAAACCTATCTCTACTAAAGATACAAAAATTAGCTGGGCATGGTGGCGCATGCCTGTAATCCCAGCTACTCAGGAGGCTGAGGCATGAGAATCACCTGAACCCAGGAAGAAGAGGTTGCAGTGAGCCAAGGTCATAACACTGCACTCCAACCTAGGTGACAAGAGTGAGACTACCTCAAAAAAACAAAAACAACAAAAACCAATGCCTAGTTAAATTTGAATTTCAGATGAAACAATACATAATTTGTTAGCATGAGTATGTCTTTGGTGCTGGGCACAGTCGGTAACACAGCACTTTGGGAGACTGAGGCAGGAGGACTGCTTGAGACCAGGAATTTGAGACTAGCCTGGGCAACAGAGAGACCTTGTCTGTACAAAAAAAATGTAAAAAGAGCCAGGCATGAAGGCATGTGCCTGTAGTCCCAGCTACTCAGGAGGCTGAGGCAGGAGGATCACTTGAGCCCAGGAGTTCAAGGCTGTAGTGAGCTAGGATGGCACCACTGTACTCCAGTCTGGGTGACAGAGTGAAACCCTGTTCCAAAAAAGAAAAAAAAAACAAACCCAAAAATAAAATATGTCTTTGGGACATACATTAGCAGAAGAATGTCTTTGGGACATATCTGTACTAAAAAACTACTTGTTTTATCTGAAATTCAAATTTAAAAGCATTCTGTGCTTTTATTTGCTAAACCTGTTAACCATAAGTAGGTGGGGGTTCCCCCAAATCAGTAGCCCTCCTCAGATGTGGCCTGTCCAGGGGATAACTAGCATTTCTGTCTGGTCACTTGCCTGCCCCAAGCCCAAGTGCACACATGCACATGTCACATGAACACTCACCTGTGTTGTAGGCAGTGGGCATGGAAGAGAAGGGGAGGCCCTGGCTGAGTAAACTCGGCGTTGCCACAGAAACCACTGGGGTGGTGAGCGAATGAGTAGACTGGGAGACCCCAAGGCGCTGGGCATTGTTCTGTAGGAGAAAACTGTCCGTCAGGAGGTGGCTGACAGGTGGGCAGCTTTATGTTGGCCCTCCATCCCAAGGCCAAGGTGGGGTTCCTGAATCCCAAAGCCAAGGCGGGGTGCCTTAGCACGGAGGCCCCCACAGATATACAAACACACGTTGGTGCATTCACAGAGACACTCAGATCCATGGAGGGAAACATGCACACACAGATTCACTGACACCAACACACGTGCAAAGATGAAGGCACGTGTACTGGCCCTGTGGCCCCAGCACCAACACTCGCCCAGCCTCCCAGTGCAGAGTGAGGGAAGGGAGACATCGTCCATCCCCTGTCTCTCTGGAGCCCACTCTCCATCCATCACACTGCAGCACACGCCCCGGCAGAGGCGTGCTGGCATCTGCGAGGGGAATGTGGGGCCTGGCGTGGCGTGTGCCTGCGCGTATGCACACACGTGTGTGGGGCTGTCAGCTCCATCTGCCGCTGAGTCACTTGTTTATTCCAACTCCATGCTGGGGCCGAAACTGCCGCCGTGTTGGCCGCCAAAGCCTGCCTGCCTTTTCCAGCCTCTCTGGCCTCCCGTCAGGGAGTTAGGGAGGGAGGAGCCCCCGCCCCACTCCTGGCTGGGGGTGAGTATGTAAGTGTGTGAGACAGAGGAGGAAAATGAGCAGCTGTGCATGCCTCTGAGTGCCCGTGTCATGGACTTAAGTTCAGGAGGGAGCACAGGGAGACAGGGGAGGTGGGAAGCTGCCACCAAGAAGGACAAGTCCAGCCTGGGCCTGGGCCTTGGCTTCCCCTGAAACACCAGCTTCTCCTTCCAGCTGACCTCCCTCCTAAGAAGGATCCTGTCCTGGATCCCAAGAATGCAGTGTGGGCCTGAGTGGAGTCAGAGGACTAGTGGGATCCAGCCCCCTAGTCCAGGGCCTAGTCCAGGCATCAGGGTGGGACCTCTGAGCCCTGGGCTGGCCCACTCCCCCTCGCACACGTACATACAGAGAAAGGTGTGTCTGAATGAACATAATACCACATGCAGACATTCATGTACACACAGGCACACACACACACGTCTGACCTCTCACCCCCACCCCATTCACCTTTGAATCCCACTTGGCACCTAAGCACAGCTCCTGGCAACTAAGCAAAGAAACAGCAACAGTTCACGCACAGGCGAGAGGCCAAGGACGCACACGTACTTCATGCTGGGGGACCGCAGAGCAATACCCAGAATTCAAAGCCACAGCAAAGAGCTCACAGCCTCACTTACCAGATCTAAATGGTCCTCAGTCTGAGAGCAGAAATAAAACCAAGGGGATGTTCAGTCTCTGGCCGCTGCCCTCCCCCACACCTCTGTCCCCACAGCTGTTCCAGTCACCTCTCTGCATAAGAGTAGGGTGGCTCTACCCAGCCTACAAAGGCAGAGCTCTCCACCGTCCTGACTCATTTCCAGAGATGCTCCATCCCAATCTCCACCAGTGAGGAAATGCTCACCATCTAATCCCCATCCCTCCTGCTATAGTGGCAAATCCTTTCTATGATCCTCCCCACCACTTCTCTCTCACCTCCTGCCCCTTTTTACTGCCTTAGGCTGGTACTTCTTGTGCTGCAACCTCTTAAAAGGCCCTCTGGGAAGAAAAATCTCATAAAAAGCCATGGTTCCAAGATTTATCTTGGGAAGTCCTAACTGCTGGCTAGCCTTCATCTCTCCTGCTAGAGGTCTGCTCTTTCCCCTGTCCCTACTCTTCCATTCCCCAGCCCCCACCCTTGGCCCAGACACCCACTTACCAAGTGATGCATTAACCCCTTTCCTGCCTGGGAAGTGATGACTCGCAGGTCGGGCTTGCGGCTGGGGGCTCCAAGCTGGGTGCTGTGGGTAGGTGGGGGTGGAGACTTGGCAGGGATGACCTTGTTTAGGCTGTTGCCATTGGCCACAGGGAGGAGGCCAGGGGAAGCCCGAGCACTGACGTAGCCATTCCCTGGAGAAGTGACAACAAGAGGGTAAAAGGAAAAACATGGGCCTATCCTTCAGCCCTATTAACTTCCCCACACCAATACTCCTGTTACCCGGAACCTCTCAAAGCCATGCTTAGGCTTTGAGTGGGGGCTGAGCTATCTGATATTCCCTGAACACTTCATGTCTTGAGAATAATGGGAGGCAAGTACCCCTTACTCCTGAATCTTTAGGTTCGTTCCCCTAACTCCAAGCTACATGTGATAGGGCTTGGTGATGGGACTCTGAAGTCAGTGGGAAGAACTGGAAAGCAGCCATTGCCTCTAGGCTCTGCGACGGCCAAGAGGTTCTTCTGTACCCAAGCCTCTCCCTGTCTTCTCTCTACTTTAGTCTCCACAGACAGGAAGTCCAGCATTTTTAGGTCCCACAGTCTACCCCGGACAGGACCCACCATGACCAGGATGTGGAAGGGGTGGCAGCCTGGAATCCGGGCCTCACTGAGAAGCCTGGTCACCATGACAAACCAACAACCACTCAGACTGCTCCATTTGCCGTGAGCTGGGGGTGGATGATGTGATTTGGATCAACATGTGACAAGTTGCCCACAGCTTGGGAGAAACAAGCCATTCACTGTTGGTGATGGTGTTATTGGCACTGGGAGACACATAACACAGCCACCACCATAATTAGCCTGGTAATAACAAATGTAATAACTATCTTTTATATCTGCTCCATATTCTACAATCCACACAGGCCTTTCACACATGTATTATCTTATTTAATCCTCACATTAACTCTGCAAGACAGACAGGACATTAGCCCTGTTCACAGAAGAGGAAACTAGAGCCTGCTTGGGAGAAGTGTAATGACCTGCCCAGGGCCACACAGCTGGCTGGAGGCCAAGTGAGGGCTCTCTCCCACTTTCCACATGCTGGACTCAAGGGCCTCTATGGATCACTGCTCACTTGAGGTCTACAAGCATTTCTCTGGCCTTCTCCTTGAAGAGGGTGACATATTCACCCACCCCTTTAATTTCCTGACCCTGTGACATAATTATCACCAGGGAGGTATTATACAGTGCCCCAAAACTGAGCTGGGGGATGCTGAGGTCCAAGGATGTGAGAGTGACCACAGTCAGAAATGCTTCCTTGCTCTGTCCCCTAAGAGCATGCTGTTGCCCTGGAAGTGTGTGCCTGCCTCCATCCCAATTCCCGGACCACTCTGGGAATGGCAGGAATGTCAGGGTGACGTCAATCGTGACATTCGAAGTCACAGTCACCCAGCCAGACAATGGCACAGGGTAGGAGGGGCTGTCCGCTGCCAGGGGTTGGGGGGCAGCCTTTCTTCTGTGGCTTATTTTTTTATTTTTTGAGACGGAGTTTCGCTCCTGTTGCCCGGGCTGGAGTGCAATGGCATGATCTCAGTTCACCACAACCTCTGCCTCCTGAGTTTAAGCGATTCTCCTGCCTCAGCCTCCTGAGTAGCTGGGACTACAGGCATGAGCCACCACACCCGGCTAATTTTGTATTTTTAGTAGAGATGGGGTTTCTCCATGTTTGTCAGGCTGGTCTCAAACTCCCGACCTCAGGTGATCCGCCCATCTCAGCCTCCCAAAGTGCTGGGTTTACAGGCGTGAGCCACCATGCCCGGCCTCTTCTGTGGCTTATGTATGTGTGCTCACAAATGCACATCTAACATCTGGATACTTCTGTAAGAGGGAGAATGCACTTATGTGTGTTGAGTGCCTGCGTGAGTGTCTATGTGAGTCTGTCCCTGTTGTTTGTCTAGGGAACGCCCGGCATTCTCATCCTCCAGATCCCAACCACACTCAACTGCAAAAACTTGGGTCTTCCCTTCCAACTAGAAATGCTGGCCCATTCTCACAGTTTGCCCAGAATTCCCTGAGCCTCCATCTCTGCTGATCATCTACACCAATCATTGCTACAGAAAACAAAATCCAGGGGCTTAAAAATCTCTGACTGACTCTTCATCCAGTCCTGGCCCTGGGATCTTCCTCTCCTCTCATCTAGGTCGTTCCTGATCCTTGGACCCCCTGAGGCCACTGAGCGGGCACCCCTCCCCACCTCCAGGTAGAAGGATGACTGCACTCACCAACAGGGCTGGGGCAGGCTCCGTTAGCACTGTTCAGGTCACCCCCCAGCATGGCCCCTGGAGGAAAAACAGAACCAGGATGAGCTGACAACACTCCCGCTTCAAGAGTGAGTCTTGGGGACTGAACATGAAGAGGGGACCCCAGGAGGAAGAGTCATACTCCCTTCCCTCAGGAGCCATACAAATGGCGGAATGCTGTGGTGGGTGAAGAGAAATACTTGCTGTTGAAAATGGAATCCCAAAGTCCCCATCACATCTCATTTCCACCTCACCTACCCACCTGCCAGCCCACTCACCCGCACTAGCTGGCCGCTGGGGCAGGCCAGGAGACACACTGTTCCTCTGTAGTGCTGGCTGCTGGGGGGACAGGAGCCGCGGGTCCGTGAGGGATGATGTCACCAGGGAAGGGGTGACCAGGGAGCCGCTGGGATTGCTGAACTGCAGTGAGCTCTGATTGGACACGGGCACCGTGACAGGCATGGCAAAGTTGGGGGCCGGGACAGTTGACTAGACAGAAAGATGGAGGGGCAGGATCAGGCCAGGTTGACCCCTTCCATGGAGTCCACTTTTCCTGGGAGGGCAGGCAAGGGTTCTTCTCATTTCTGGGCTACGCATCCTAGGGCCAGCAGTTCAAGCTCCCTGCCCTGTGCCCTTGTGGAGTCCTGCCTGCCAGTCCCACCAAGGAAGAACTTTGGGGAGAAACTCTGGGTCCATACTCTGGGTCCATTTCTGGCCCACAGAATGAGAACAAGGCTCTGCTCACTGCAGACAGGACCAGGGACACCCCCTAGTGGAGGTGGGTTAGTCCTCAGCCAGGCAGGACACACGGGGAGCAGGTTAGAGGCCCTGATAACAGACTCAAATTCACACACGGCTGTTAAAGGCTTGCACCACGGGTAGGGACATCATTTCACTTGCAGTCTCCACCCATCTGGCCTGCTGCAGAGAGAGCTCACCCCCACCTCGCTGCCTTCCCCTTCAGCAGTTCTGCTTTCCCTACACAAGGCTGAGTGTCTCTGGTTGGGCTATCAGAGCAAGCCCAAGCAGGCCTCTCCCCCCAAAAAAACATCTGGACAAAGAGCACACTCCACTTTGCTGTCCTCTAAGGATCTCATGTCATCTACACACTTCTTGCTGGAGAGGGGGACACTCCAGGCCTCTCCAACTTATGCTCCATCCCAGTAGAGTCTCAGCAGGGATGCGGGTTTATCATGACCAAGGTCAGAGGTTCCTCAGTGGTCACTAAGAACCCGAGCATGGCTCAGAGCGGAGCACCCATCAGGGCAGCCGAGAGCCAGGGCGCGAAGCCACACCATGCACCACAGGGAGGCTCTGCTCCATGCGACTACTCACGGCCAGTCTATAACTCTGCATCATTTTATCAAACTCCTCGTCTATCTTTTTATATTTCTCTTCCGTCTGGGGGGTCAGGGCAAACACCTCGTCCACCTCAGGGCTCTCACATTCCCTGTGCTTCTTGTGCAGCGCCTGGGGGGAAGGGGCCGGAAGGGGGGGCCAACAGAGACAGAGTGAGTGGGGCTCACCCCATAGCGCCGGAAGAGCCCGTCGAGCTCCTCGCTGGCGCGTCGGTACTTGTCCTCCAGCAGGGGGCTCTGTTCCAGCGAGTCCTCCCCGTCGGGCTCGGGGCTGTCGCAGCCGTTGAAGCCCTTCTTCCTCAGGGTCTGTAACCGCACCACTGCCATCAGCTGGGTGAGAGTCCTTCCCGCCCGCCTCGCTGGAGTTCCTTCCAGCCCCTCCCTAAGGGCCCCCTACTCTTCCCCGACCTCCTTCTTCAGGGTTCCCAGCATCTCCCTGGCCCCTCCCCACTGACAGTGCCTCCTGGGGCATCGTGTGAAGATCTGAAGATGGGCTTGGTGGGAGCTGTCGGAACACAGAGAACAAGGCTGGAAGGTGAGCCTAACCTGGGGGTGCACTTGGCAGGGAGACATGTACTTCCAAAGTGACAGGCAGGGAAGGGGCTTCCAGGGGATGGGGCCTCCAGGGGATGGGCTAAGGAGCTGGTGCCATGGATCAGTCCCTGCCCGACCACCCTGTGGTAAGCCCTGACCAGAAGGCACTGAGTTCTCCAGGGGGAGGTAGGCAGGGGGGCTCTGCTCCCAGTCCCTGGGCTCTGCTTAGGAGAATAGGAGGAAGAGAGAAATAGAGATGGAGACAGAGAGAGCGGGGAATGGGATGTGGAAAAGGAAAGGGGGATGAACACTGACTGAGTCCCTACTGTGACCACCCTACATTCTAGTGGAGGCACATCTGGGGGATCTGCAGTAGACCCCAAAGCTGCCCTCTTCATGCTCAAAATAGCTTTACAGATACTTGCTTTGTCTTTAAAATGAATGCAAATTTTACCTTCTAGTCTAGAGTAAATCTGTCTTCTCTAACATAAAAATAAGGGACTTTCCTCCAAATCTCTGAGTAGGCCTGTGGCTTCCCGGGCACCCTCTTCGTCAGCACAAGTTCTGTATCCCCAAGGTGCACGCACCTCAGTGTGAGAAGCAGGGACATTCAATTCACACAGCACCCTTCAAAGCAGGCACTGACCCCATTTTGTGGAGGTGGGCACCAAGGCTCGGGAAAGCCTAAGCACCTGCCCAAGGCCATGTGGCCGGTAAAGGTCAGAACTGAATTCCAAAGCTCATGTCCTTCAACAGTTCACAATGTTGGCTCTCTTTGAAACAGAAAATAGAACTACCGGGCCCACAAACAGACAGAGACAGCAGGAGAGATGGAAACAAAGAGGGAGATTTAAAAAAGGAAGAGGCAGGTGCAGGAGCACACCAGAAGATGGAGAAGCGGGGAAAGAGAGACAAAGAGAAAGACAGGATGCAAGAAGGCAGGATAGAGATGTTACATCACACTGGACGACAGCAGACTCTTGGAGAGGGCAGGGTGGGTGTGGGCTGGCAGCCTGGCACTGGCCTGTTCACTTGAACTGCCCTTCCTTCCTCCTCAGACCCTGGGTTTGTATGACAGAAGGAGGGTTTGCATGTGTGTGCGCACAGGTGAGGGGCTACAAGGGGCATGTATACCAGTGTGTGTGCATAGGCAGGTCTGCGTGTACATGCAACGTGGGCACGTGTCCATGTGGATGCAGGCGGGGGTATATCCTGGTGCCTGTGTGTATGGGCCCACCTCGATGATGTCGGCGTTGGTGCGGCTCTCGTGTGGCTCATTGTACTCCGTGTACTTGAGCAGCACCTTGTCCATGTCGGTGCTGGCGTACTGGAACAGCTTGTTGGAGTGGTTGAAGATGATGAGTGCGATCTCGCAGTCACATAGCACGCTCAGCTCATACGCCTTCTTCATCAGGCCAAACTTCCGCTTGGTGAAAGTCACCTGCAGAGAAGGATGGGTGGGCGGCCAGATCTGGCTCAGTTAAGGCCTGATTGGGAGTCCCAGCCTACAGATGGCTGGACATAGCCCCTGCCCTCAGGAGCCCCCATTCTCAGTGTGACACAGCCCCTGGTCTCAGGAGTCCCTGGTTTGGGGAAGGACCAGGCTAGTGCCTGTAGGCCAACACACAGCTTAGATACAGCCCAGAGCCCACTCACTGAAGGGGCAGGATTCAGGTGGACAGAACTCCACACCTCTGTGCTGGAGGCTATGAAGAGGTCAGTGGAGAAGAAGAGGGAGAGGATTCCTGTTGGGAAAGGAGGAGTGCCTGGGGGTATGACCTAAGGCTTGCAAATGGCTCTGGGATGGGAACATGGGCTCATCTAGCTGTGGCAGCAGAAGAGTCCTGGAGTCCAGGGACGCAGAGCTCCAAGAGCTGCGAAGAGGTTGGGGTTCCTCTTCTCCCAATCTCCCTTCCCCTTCTGTAATAGCTTATAGTTTCCCCTCTTCCACAAAGCCCTCTTGGAATGCCTGAAGGGAGTAGAGGCAGAGGCCTGCTCCCTGCCCTCACCCACTTCGTACGGCTCTAGGACTTCCCTACCTGTCGGTTCCGCTCGTCGGTGATTCGCTGGATCTGAATCTTTTTCCTCCCCATCTTCTCCGGGGGTCCTCAGTGCTACGGAGGGGAGGGGCTCGCTGGGTGGTGGGTCTCGGCACACCTTACACTGTGCTCATGAACGGTCTGGGAACAGTGCTCAGTTCATGGTCTGCAGGATACCTTCTGCACAGCCTCCTGGAAAGGGAGGGTCATGAGAGGTCTCTGAGCCCCCAAAACCCCCAGCCCTGCTCCCTGGGCACACAGGCCAGACTCACAGCGCCCCTGTGAGAGGCTGGCAGCATCTGAGCTCCACCCTCAACATGAGGCAATGCTGTCTGCCTGAGGCAATGGTATGCCACAGCCAGGCACAAGCTGGAGCTCACACCAAGGCCCAGACTCTTTCCCCTCGGTCACTGCTGTCCTCAGGCTCCAGGACAGAGTAAATGGACCTCCTGGCTTCCAAGGTCTGGGTCTCAGAGAATATCCCATGGCCCATTCTTCTCTCTAGAACCTGCTTGTACTATAGACACCTGGGTGCTCCAGCTGCTCCTCTGGCCTAGAACTATGGTTCCCATTCTGAAGCTTGGAGAAGAGACAACGCTGAGAGGACATCTGCCCAGTCAGTGAACAACAAGCATGGTATACCTGGTGCCAGGATGGGATGTCTCTGGTGCCCCTGGCTCAAGAACATACCAGAGCAGGTCTAGAGCAGTGGGCCTCATACCGACTCATGGAACTCTGGGGCCTGGAGTCCTGTAGTGGGGCTTGGGGTTGTAGCACCCACATCTCCCTTCAACTAGAGTTCCTCCACACTAATCTGTTTTACTCAGTGAGCTTAAGCCTAAGGTTTCTTTTTATTTTTATAAGCCTAGTCAAGTGCAGTAGTGAGAAGAGAAGAAAGAGTAGAACAAGGAGTTCGATCTGTAACTGACTGTGAACAATCAATTGAGCTAACTCACTACCTTTGGACATGCCCAGCCTAAGATTTTTGTTTGAGGAAAGAGTTGTGCTGCTTAAAACAATGAAACCATTCCTCTAGACCAGGAGATGGAAATTTTTGGGCCAGATAGTAATATTTCAGGCTTTGCAGACCATACAGTCTCTGTTGTAACTACTCAACTCTGTCACTGTACCATGAAAGCAACAGACAGCAACACATAAACGAATGAGTGTAAGCATGGCTGTGATCCAATACAACTATATTTACAAAAATGGGCATGGGCCAGATTTGGTCCACGGGCCATAGTTTGCTGATTCCTGCCCTAGAGGTATGGACCACATCTAGAACCCAAGCTCAGTCTAAGAGTAGTGCTTCCCAACCTTGTACATCTTGAAGCAGACAGAGAAAATACAGGAACAAATGACATACACTGGGGAGGCCACTGGCAGCCAGGCGGATGCAGGCACCAGGCAGAGAACCTGCTGTCTCAGGACACCTGTAACCCCCTCACAGCCCACTAGTTGAACAGCTCCATGCTAAAGCCAGGATGAGAAACAGCCCCTGCACTGAACAACTCCAGGAGGCACCATAGGATAAGAGGGGGCTCAAGGATGGCAGCACAGCCTGGGCCAGAAAAGGCGCATTCTCTCCGGTATGGGCAGTGCCTACATAGGCTGGGTGAGTCCTTGGGGACTGGAAGGGCCCAAGATGGGACGGAGGCACGGAATGACTTCAGGGCCCCCTCTAGCTCTGATTCCAGGAGTCCTTGCATCAAAAGTGGAGCTTTCTGGAAGATGTTGGAAGAGGATAGTGAACTGGGGCCCATGCTTTCTAAAGCCACTCTATTTGGGTCCTGGGAGGAGCCTGGACCAGAGAAGGCCCGCCCTCCCCTCCAGAGCTCCCCTTCCATAGAGCCCCATGCCCAGAGACCCTACTGTAGAGTCTAGGGATGTAGACCCCCAGCCACTGTCTGATCCTCTGCACCCACTGCACACTACCTGGGGAGAGGTGTTTGATGACAGAGAACAACTCTTACCCCTACCCCCCAGCTCCCACTGCCAATGGCTGCTGAGTTTCCCTGGAGCCTTTCCAGCCCAACTCTACATGGCCCCTACGGTACCACAGTAGATGCTAAAGTTCAGCCTTGGTCTCTTGCTCATGAGGGAAGGAGGAGAGGGAAGGCAAGGAATCTATCAATTTGGGAGGAGCTGGGATACTGGCCCCATCCCATTACCAAGACTGCTCCCCAGCCTAGCTGGAGAGCTTCTGCTTTGCCTGGATATCTACAGAAAACAATGCAGATAAATGCATTGCGCTTCAAACGACTCCCTACCCTTCTCCTTCTTCTTTTTTTTTTTTTTTTTTGGTGGTGGTTGTTGTTTTTTAAGATAGGGTCTTGCTCTGTTGTCCAGGCTGGAGTGTACAAATCACAGCTCACTGCAGCTTCAACCTTCCAGCCTCAGCCTCCCAAGTAGATGAGAATACAGGTGTATGCCACCACACCCAGGTAATTTATTAATAATTTCTTTTTTTTTTTTTTGGTAGATACAGGGTGTTGCTTTGTTGCTTAGGCTGGTTCAAACTCCTGGGCTTAAGTGATCCTCCTACCTCGGCCTTCCAAGTAGCTGGGACCATGAGTGTGTACCACCATGCCAAGCTAATTTTTTTGACTTTTTTTTTCTTTTTTTTTGTGAGACAGAGTCTCACTCTGTCACCCAGGCTGGAGTGCAGTGGCGTGATCTTGGCTCACCGCAACCTCTGCCTCCCGGGTTCAAGCGATTCTCCTGCCTCGGCCTCCCAAGTAGCTGGGATTACAGGTGTCTGCCACCACACCTGGCTAACTTTTGTATTTTCAGTACAGACAGGATTTCACCATGTTGGACAGGTTGGTCTCGAACTCCTGACCTTGTGATCCACCCACCTCGACCTCGTGCTCCATGGGCCCTGGGCCTCCTACTGGTACCCTGGGACAAGAGCAACACCAGCCCAGCCAGCCCTGAGTGGCCCAGCAGACACCTGAGCCCCAAACCAGCTCCAGACACCCCATTCCTCACCTGTGACCCCAGTGTCTGCCAAGTTCCCATTGCAAAGGCTCCAGCCCAGGGATTTCAGCTCCCCTGCTTCCCAGTGCAATCCAAAGACTGTGCTTTCTAGAGCTACAGTGGTGTGGGCTTTGGCAGGGAAGGTAGGGGAGGGCACACAGAGGGCAAGGGGAGGGGGCTACAAATAGTTGGCTTTTTAAATGGGATTCTCTGGCCTAGTCTTGAAAACCCAATCTAGACTGTTAAATGCAGGAACTGCTGAGCTCCTCTGGCTTACAGCATCTACCCTCCCTCTCTCCCCTTTACTATCTCCCTCTCACCACCTTTAGTTCATAACCGAATTCTTGCAGAGATGTAACCTCTGTCAGCTGATGACCAATACTGCCTCTTCCTCCAAACTGGAAGAGAAGCCTCTCTTTGTTCTCATGACCCTCAGAAAAGTCATTCTTGCAGTCTTTCTAGCATTTATCACAATTGTGAATAACTATGATTCTGTGCTTCTATTTAACGCCTGGCTCCTCTATGAGACTAAAGTTTCATGAGGGCAGGAATCACATCTGTCTTTTTCACTACTCTATCTCCTATAAGAAGGGAGCTGAGAAAATGTCTGTTGAAAAGAAGAAAATACTATTTCATTGTTGTGGTGCTGTGAGAAGTCCTTCTTGCAGTCTAACCTCCAACAGTCTTGCTGCAGTACCAGTTCCTCTCACTCTATCCTCTATGGAGCTAGAACCCTTGCTCTCCCAACTGCCCCTGAAGATTTGGACACCACCTACCCTCCAACCACCCCTGGTATCCCAGTCCTCAACCCTCCCCACCCTCAGGTTGGTTGGTGCAGAGGGTGAGACTCTAAAGTCTTCTAAGGAGCAGCCCTGAGCACATGGAGATGGAGAGGATGGGGTTGCTTAGGCAACTGTCGCCTGGCAACCAGCTCCCTGGCTGATCTCCTACACCGCCCCCCCCACCCCCGCCTCATGCTGGGGGAGCTGGGACGAGAGAGGGATCAGGGCTGAGAAGGCAGGGAAGCAACAGAGATTCACTGAGCATCGTCTGACAGAGAGAAGTCAGGGTTAAAAAGACTAGGCCCCATCTATCCCCACTCCCTACCAAGGTAGCCCAAAGCACTTTTTATAATTCCATGCTTCCCAGGCCCCTTTCCCCACTGCTGCTCCCACTTCTGTGCCAACACTGCCAGAGGAGGAGATGCCCCTGTCTTAGGCAGTCCTTCCTCCCATCTAACCACAAACCCCTCTACAAAGCAGATGCAGTCTATACTGACCTTTTTTCCTTCTGCTATCCATTCCACATTGCTGCAGGGTCTTTGAAAGCCCTGAGGCAAGAACATGAACTCAACCCTGATTTTGGAAGAAGGGGTAGCTGGGGCCTAGGCAGGCACAAAATACCCTAACCTGACCCTATCCAAGGTTTGGAGGCCTATCCTAGCTAAACTTCCCTCCTACCCAATTAGGGAGGTTTTAATGAACACCTGGACCTCCTTAATTAGCCCTCTGCCTAATTACCTAACCAACTGGCAGGAGCCAGAGGCCTGGGCATCTGTTCTCCAGATGTGAGTCTCTCCTCTCCAGCCTCACCTGGCCCCATTCTTCTCCTGTCTGGTCTACTCCTCCTCTAGGAAGCCCTCGCAGATGATCCGGCCCTTGGCTGCTTCTCTTCTAACCATCTCTCCTTCACCCTGCCTAGTATCTGGAGCCCAGGGCTTGGGAGGACTTGGGCTACCAAAGAGACAGGGGGTTGGCCAGGATGGCCTTCCTGTTCTGATGGCCCCAGGGCCTGCCCAATCCTGACCTCAGGCCACAACTATGACTCCTCGGGCTGACAGTATCTATGTCACCAAAAGTTCCCCTTCAAAGGCTCTCAAGGCTCTGGCTGATTGACTCTGATTCACCTGACTCCGTGGACAGGACAAGGGTGGGGCGGAGTGAACCTTGTGGGTGGCAGGGGGTTGGGACAGGCAGAGGCAGGGCCTTCCTGGTGGACATGGGAGAAGCAAAGATGGGCAGGACATTTGGCAATGCCCACCCATATCTGTTCCCATCCTAGTGGTCCCAAGGCTCAAAGAAACTACAGGGCATCTGCTTTCAAAGCTCCCATACCAGCACAGGTCAAAAGGGAGCAGATGCCCAGAGAGGGAAACAGGCACAAACTCACCAACTGTGGAGAAGGGTGGCTGAGGAGAAGCCTTCACAAATGGACAGCAGGGAGGATGCAGGGCAGGAGGCCCCTCTGACAACACCCTTGACAAAGAGAGCTGAGGGGACCAGGGGGAATCAAGAAGGACCCCACTGATAGCCATTTTTCCAATCCCAGGTACCGACCCAATTAGAACTTGTGGGTTGTGTTTACATGCAAATGAGCTACACATGATGTGCAAAATGTACCGTAAAGGAGGACTGGTTTGGAGGGGGCATGGGAGAAGAAACAGGTCCCTGCCTCCCCCAATGCAACACCTCTGGGTACCTGAGCAATATTCAAACCATTCTCGGGTTTCAGAATGATGCTATCTCAGTTCCTGTGTGAAGGTGGCCTGGGGCCAGTGGGGAGAGCGGTGAAGGGGAGAGGTCAGGGTAGCCTCCTTGCAGCTGCAGCAGGGCTGAGCAGGGCTGTCCTTCCCATGGAGCTGCAGGGGAATTCCTTTCCGATAGCCAGCCTCTATCCTCTCTTTCTTGCTCTTGGCAGGGGAGTACCTACCTGTCCTTCTCCCCTACACCCTTCCACCCATATCTGTTCCCATCCTAGTGGTCCCAAGGCTCAAAGAAACTACAGGGCATCTGCTTCCAGAGCTCCCATACCAGCACAGGTCAAAAGGGAGCAGATGCCCAGAGAAGCTGAGTGAGCAGCCTCGCATCACAGAGCAGTGGGCCTCAACCTGCTCTTCCTCATGGTGAGAAAGGGAGCTCTCATTAGGCAGGCCCTTCATCTCTTCCTCCCAGGCTGCTCCGGGCTGCAGGCTGAGGACTGGAGGGGAAGGCAGGAGGCGCTGGAGACAGCTGTCATCCCTCCTCCCGCCCCTTCCCTGTGGCTGGGCTGCAGGGCATGAAATAAGCAGCAGGCGCTGGGGGAGGGGGTGACAATCCAATCCACCTGTCACCCCCACAGTCAGGCAGCCTCAAGCAGCCTGCTCACTAACGAGGGAGGAGGCGTGGGTGAGGCAGACACAGAAGAGGGTGGCAGAGGGGGGACAGACACACAGACACAGGAAAGATGACAGAGAAAAAGAGGCAGCGAGGCCAGAAGGCATTATGGGGCAGAGGCAGAGACAGATAAGGAGAGGGCTAGAGGAGAGGGAGAGGCAGGAGACCACAGAGACAAAGATTCAGAGAGAAGCAGGTAGAGAACAAGAGACAGGTTCAACAACGGCTTCCAGGACTGACTCCTGGCCCAGCGCTGGGGGAATAACTCAACAGGACACCATCCCTGCCCTCTGAGAACTTGCAGTGCAGCCAAGAGACAGACAAGGGAGGGGCAGGTCCCACCCAGGGCAAGGGCAGGGAGAGGCAAGGGGGCCCTTGGGGGCCTGGACTGGACCCAGACACAGCCCCAGAAGGAGCATCCCAGAGCAGGCAGGCCGGCCCTGAGAGGCAGCAGAGGTGAGGACCGAGGACCAAGGACGACAGCTGCCCAGCTGAATCCCCAGGCCCTGCCTTATTACCCAGTCTACCCTCAGGTTCACAACCTTCCTAGTCATTCTCTCTTCCAACTTCAGCCCTGGGACCTCCTCCCTAGTACAGAGACACAGGCTAAGGAGCTCTGGGAGACAGGGCAGGAAGGTGAAGCCGGTGATGCCCCCAAACACCCAGGCAAGATGGTCCAGGATCATTCTGTGGTTCACACAGTGAGCTCTTCCTTCACAAAAGAAGTGGGGGGCATTACCCCTCCGAAGTCTGAGCCAAGGCAGGAGCCTCACATTGTCCCTCTCCCCATCCCACACACAGCCCAATTCTCACAACCCCTCCTGCGAGGCCTGCTCCCCACGCCCCTACTCCTGGGCCCCTCTCGGGTCTCCTTCTCATGCTCCGTTCCCTCTGCCCCCTCTCTGTCCCCGCCCCCTCCCACAGCAGCCTCTTTTCTTCACCCCAGAAGTGCTTCTAGGGTCTGATCTCAAAGGCAGAGACCCAGCCCCAACCCTTCAAAGTTCTGTCTGGCAGGCTCACTACCCAAATCCCTGGTTCCCACCGTCTTTCCCTCCCTCGGGGACTCCCCTCCCCCAGTCCAGCAGCCTCAGGGCTGGGCAGGGGCTATTTTTAGCCTGGGCACTGAGCTAATTTTAACTCACCGACTGGGGACCTGGGGGCGGGCTGTTGGTTTGTGGGGGCAGGCAGTCCAGGAAAGCTGGGCCTAGGGCAGGGGTGGTCTCAGGCCCCAGGCACCCTAAGAACTCAAATGGGGGGCAGGCCCTGCAGTCTCAGCTTAAGGGACAGGAACCGACTTGCCAAGGGGAGCACACGGTATGGAGAGCAGGGCTGAGCCCTCCCCCTAGCTTCCGCTGGACAACTCTCCCGAGCCCCACCCTAGCCTTCCCGCCCTCTTCTCCCTGGCAAGTCTCCTGGGATGGGGTCATCCTGTTCTCTGCCCAGGAGATGCCTCTCCAGTGAGGGTCTGTCTCCTGAGCCTCCTCCATGTCTTCCTCACCCCAGCTTGTTCTTCCTGTAGTCTAGCTCTCATCCTTCCTGTAGCAGCTGTGAGGCCATTTGGCTCTCTACAAGGCAGCAGCCTGTCCGCCAGGGTCCAGCACTTCCCACTGCAGCTCTGACCTTCCCCTTATGGCCTCTGGGCTGGCTCCTAGGTAACCACCCCGCACCCCCACAAAACAAGCTCCTAGAGCTAGCCAGACTGTTCTCAGAAGTATTTGGGGGCAACAGGAGATTGAGTCCCAGTAGAGAAGGGATGGGTGAGGTAGGGCAATGAACAGCTTAGGGAAATATGGGGTCTCTAAGCTGGGATTCTGGATACCTGGGTTCTAGTCCCTGCTCTGGTCTAAGATGTGATCCTGAGTAAGTCACTGCCTTCTACAGGCTTCACCCCACTGGCCAGTATTATGGGTAGCTGGGTGGACTAGGTACCCAAATGCCCTTCTGGCCCAAACACATGGCTCCTGTGCTCTCTGGGGAGGCCCAAAGGGAAGGGAGATCAGAATTGTGTAAGTCACGGAGAGGAACTGAAGAGATGGCCTGGCTGGGTCTGTCATCCTCCTGCTGGGGAGGAAAGGCAATGAGGGCGCTAGAAGACAGTCAGGATGGGGCTGGTGAAGGGGCAGGTGCCTTCTAAACAGTAACCCCCCAACAGATGGCCAAGGGTTCACAAAGGCTCTGGTCAGCCAGAACAAGTACCAAGTGGGGCACACAAGGCCCTTGTGGCAGAGGCTCAGTCATCCCAATCCCCTCACACACTGGGAATGCCTATCAGACCCACCTGCTTGTGGTTACTGAGCAGCAACTAGCCCAAGGTCACTGTTTGGTCCCTGGTGGGACCAGCTCTAGAACCCAAGCCTAAGGCTGTCTTCATACTCCATCCCAGCAGGCCGAGCTGCAATGACTCACCACCACTCATTTGCATGAGGATTTGCATAGCGTCTCTGACCTTATTCCTTCAGGCTCAACTTCCCATTCCAGGACCTGGGTCACCCCCACCCAGGATCCGTAGGCACTTGCGGACACCAAGTGGAGTTCTTGGCACCTCAGGCCTTTGTTCCCATCTTTCCCCTCCAGAAAGCATTCTTGGATTTATAGTAACTCCCAGTGATACAGTATAGAGCTCTCAGTCCAACTGGGTCCCCTACTCTTGTCTAGGCAGAGATGGGGAAGGGGTGTGAAATCACGAGGAATAAGCAAGCATGGCAGCTACAGGAGTTTGGTAAGATTCACAGGGTGAAGTGTGGCTCTGTCACTGCCTTGGGGCGTCACAGGAGAAGAATCCCATTCCCCTCTTTAGTGCTAAGGTTGGGGCGGCAGCAGCAGGAGGGAGGTGAGCTGTCCTTTACTTCCATTTCTAGCTCCATTTCCAAAACGCATCCACAGTGCAGGGTGGGAGTAAATGGCCCAGGACAGCAGGTAGGACAGATATAAGACTACAGAAAGAACTTCTCAGGGCTGAGTCCTTGGACTCAAAGTAGTCTCTGGGGCTCAAACTTGCTTTGTCAGAAGCCCTCCAACCAAGCATGCGAGGCTGGTGACACGTGGGAGGGCATGGAGGCCCCAGCATTGTATGCCAACCAATGGGAGCTGCAGACAACCAATCTCCTACCTACCTTTAAGTCTGACCTACATTTGTCCAGAGTATCTACACCTCTCCCATATCTTCTGAAACAATGAAGCCCAGCAGTGGTCTCCAATCCTAGGAAGTCCTTCCTGCTATCTAACGGCCATCCCTCCCACCGCAGCCAATCTTCCACTGTTACCTAACCCAATTTGGTCATCTAAACAAGAGCAATGGACAGGGGCCCTTGGCTATCAGAAGCCCTGGCTGAGGAGAGGTGGGGGCGGTTGGGACGGTTAGTGTGTCACCTTCCACCTCCCCAACACAACTTCCCTCTGGGGTCTCAGGAGACAGAAGTGAAAGTGGCAGCTGGGGCCTTGGGGGCGGGTCAGCTTGAGAGCCGTTGGAATGAGCATAATGCCACCAGTGCTGGGTCTGGGCTGCCTGCCATTGCAGCGGGTGGGCTAATGGTTAGATCAGGGGAGGGACTTCCCATGGAAATAAGTGCATGGGGTAATGAGGAGTGTGGGCCCCTGGCCAAAGGAAGAGCAGGCTGAAGAGATAAAAATGGAGAGAGGCAGGCAGCAGACAGTCTCAGAAGGGCATTCTCTTCCTGGGCAGTGTTTGTCCCCTTTTTTAAAGCAGCAAGATCCTTTCTTCTCACCCACAGCACTGAGACAGGGCTGCTCTGGCTGAAGCAGATGAAGGGGGTCTGAGCCCTGATTGCTGGGACATGAGAGCTAAGAGAGAGGGGAAAGAGTCCAAGGCCTGGGCCCTCAGACTGGACAGCACCAATTATGAGGAAAGGGGAGGTGGAAAACATGAAGGGTTCACCTACGATGATGACAGGGGACCCGAAAGAGGCCAATCCAATCAGGGAAAGCAAATCCTCCTAGAGACATCATGACCTCGAGAAGCCACTGAGGATTTAAAGGGGCCGTTCAGGGCAATAGCTGGGTCTCCTTCTAACTCGAAGGACAGTCCTCTAAGCCCCTGGCAGCGGAGGGAGGGCGGGCATTGTGGCTGCGTGGGCCTGCTGAGGCGGCCAGCCAGGCAGCTCTTACAGGATTAGCTTGCTGCTTTCAGGAAAGGTGCCAGGTGAGGCTAAGATGCCCAGCCAGATGGAGGGGGGCCCAGAAGGAAGGGGGTGGGGAGAGCAGTACCTGCACAAGGCTATGCAGATACATGTCGCCAAATCCGTGCTCCTTACCAATACCTGGCTTCTCACCCTTTCATGAGGATGCCGTGCAGGGACCCCTCAGATTTTTGCCAGCAAGGACCTCTGCCTACCAAGTTTTCCTTGCCATTACTATGATCTGGAGTTATCCTTCCTCTGAGGGGAAGTCCTGCCTGTTGTCTACTCTTGACTCCCCTGCTACAGTTTACAACCAGGGCCCCACCCCTCAGAACAGGTGAGGGGCTAAGCAGTTCCCCTAACTCCCCTCCTTCTTAGCTCCCCACCCCCAGGCTGACAGGTGGGGGAGATAAGAGGGAGCAGCTGGGCTAGGACACCTGTCCCCACCCAGCCATCATGGGCCCCAGAGGCCTGCATAAGGAGACTCAGCATAGAGGAGGCAGTGGTGGTGGCTGGAGGAAAGGGCCCATAGGTTAAGGAGAGAGGTGACAGGAAAGTCTGAGAAACCCACTTTCAGATCATCCCATCCTCCTGGTCTACCCCAACCATCATCCCTCACCAAAAGCACAATACACACATGCTTTAAAGGGAAAATCTCAAGGTTTGAGGTCATCCCTCAAACCCCTTGCTCTATTCCCTTGTTACTTGATCCAACTGGAGTGGGAAGACCCCAGGAAAAGAGACCAAGCCCCACTCTCCTCACTCCACCCGCCTGCCGTGCATTTCTACTTGAAACTCAGGGATGGGCTCTCCCCGTATTCTTTGTTCTCTCAACCCTCAACCCTAGGTATTTGCTGGTGGGCTGAGGATGAGAGAATCACGAGGGATAAGCAAGCATGCAGCCAGAGGGATCTGGCAAGACTCGTGGGGCTAAGTGTGGAGGAGGCAGGTTCTGAGACAAGGAGACGGCTGGATGGGGAGGGGAGGGCTGGGCTCAGCTTCCCAACCCATCCCAGGGCCAAACGGAGCCCTAGGCCAGGAGGAACCCTCAAGGCCTCCTCAATCCCTACCCTGGACACCAAAGGCATTCCTTGCCCCCACCCCTGCTTCTGGGTAGCTGCCTTAGCAGGCCAGTCCTGGGCCAGGCTGGGGCTGAAGGTCTGAGAGAAAAGATGCAACCATCACACTTTTTCTGGCGGAAACTCCTTCCCTTCCCATGTGAGGCAGGTAGCACCACCTCCCTTTCACAGGTATGGAAACTCACACAGAGATGGGCAGGGACTTCCTCAAGGTCACCAGAAATAAGGGGCAGAGGCAGACTGACTGTTGGGCACAGGGCTTCTGCTTACAACCTGGATGGGAGTGGGAGGGAGTCTCCCTCCACCGGGGAGTTCTAGCACATTCCTTCCAGGGCCCATTCCCCAGGTCTGGGCCTGGGAGGCTCACATTGGCCTTGTGTCTGCCTTGAGACAAGCCCAGCCTCTTGTGGTCCAAGCCTTCCCACTCTAGTGTCTCTTCTCATTCATCCCATGCGGCAGCTCACAGGGACAGCAGGAGGGGTCTCGGAGTGTCATTTGTTCCTGCCCTCACACCCTTGCTTTGGGGGCTTTCTCCATGACACTCAAGTCAAAACAATACCCTCCTCACCTTGCCACCAAAGGCTGATTCTCTGCCCTCTGCTGAGGAATCCTGGTTTTCTCTTCCCTTCAATTTCTCCTCCTCCTCTCAGGTCTCCGTGGGCCTCCTTTCCATTGCCCCGTCCTGCAGGGCAGGATCTCTCCTTTAATCTCAGACAAAAGCCCTTTATACTTCATAACTAGGAAAGCTTAAAAGTCACTTACATCTCTGAGACTCAGTTTCCCAATTCAAAAAAACAGTTTTAGAGAGAAACAGTCTTCTTATATTCCCATGCTCAGTACAAAGCTTGGCACACAGGAACATAAGAAATGGAAGTTTCCTTCCTCCCTTTTGAGAACCCATCACCTCTCTTCATTGGGATCTCAAAAGTTTTGGTTTTTGGGCGGGGCACGATGGCTCACACCTGGAGTCCCAGCTACCTGGAAGGCTGAGGCCGGAGGATCGCTTGAATGGGAGGCTGCAGTGAGCCATGATGGCACCACTGCACTCGAGCCTGGACAACAGAGCAAGATCCTACCTCAAAAAAAATTAAAAAGTTGTGGTTTTTGGTCTTCAAAGTATACTGGAAAGTTGGGCAAGAGGGGTAATGCTGAGGGTAAAGCTCCTTTGACCAGGGGGCAAAAAAAAAAAAAAAAGCTCCCTCTGCATGGTTTCCTCGTCTGCTCAGCTCCTAGGAGAGTGGCCACAGCATCCAGCCAGAGGCACCAAGCCAAGGTCAGTGACCAGGCCTAGAGCCCAGAGCCTCCTGGGAGGGTAAGTTTAAATGAGTAAATATGGTCCCACCTGGGTGTGGCCAGCGACAGGCCAGAGCTTCGGACATGTCCCTCCCCTCCCAGCCTACAGCAGAAAGAAAAGAAGTCAGACAGGCACAAGTGCCTCCCGCCCCCTTGGCTATCAGGGTCCTGTGCAGAATCAATGAATGCATTCCCCTGTCTCCACACCAGCCAGGACTAACCAGAAGCATAACTTGGCTCTCAGGAAAGAGAGGCTTGTAGCCTCAGCCTCAGGAAAAGGAAAATGTCAGATGAAGAGGGCCTTGGGGATCACCTAGGCCAAGGATCTACCCCCAGATGCCTGATGGCTTAGATGTAGTCTTGATGCCTCACAGTGGCCTTGCTCATCAGGGTGAGCGGGGAGGGCAACAGAGACCAGCGACAAACCACCAAAACACCCAGGTGTTAATCACCGAAAGGCGAAACTCTGTACATCTGGAAAGCTGGGGCCCAAGAGGAGGGACCCGGGGACACACGGTCAGTGTGAGGGGCAGAGGCAGGCTGTGCCAGGAACACAGAGAGGGGCACGTGGGGGAGGGGTAAGGGGCAGGGATGGAAGTCAGCCAAGGCTCCTTGACTCACAAGCCATGCTCTTTATTTTGCAGACAGGGCTCTGCCTGCCCATCTGTGGTCTAACCTTAATCCCTCCTGCTCCAGTCAGCCCTTCTCTCTTCAAAGTTCTTGCTATGCCCTTCGCCTTCTTGCCTCCGGTCCCCTCAACCCCATCCCAACTCTCCAATCCTTTAATCATCTTTGCCATTCACTACCCCCCACCTCCCGCAGTGCAGCAGCTGCTCTGTGGGTGTCTACATACCAGTGTGTATGTGTTGCACACTTTCCTGCATGTGTACCACTAAATGCTGTGGACTGCATTGGGCATGCCTGTCTACATGAGACCCTTATCTAGCTCCCACTACTGGGGGAAAGGGGCCTAATGGCTATTTCTCCCACAGCTCCAGGACAAACGCCTCAGAATACTTTCAGCCATAAGCAGGGAGAGGAAAAAGAAGATAAATATTCCGAGATCCAAATAGCACCGACCCCACCAAGCCAAAGGTCAAGGCCTTTCCTTTCGGGAGAGCCACTGGAAAAGAAAGTGCTTTGAGTTCCCCTCCTTTCCTATGCAAAATTAGAGCCATCTCTCTCCCCCCCAGCTTCCCCACTGGGAAGTTCTTCCTGAAGTCTAAGCTCCATCCTACCTGCTGTGATCATGGATAGACAGAGTGACATCGACCACAATACAGTCAGACGTCCAGCTTCTAGAACACAGCTTCTAGTACCTAACCGCCCCTCCCTCCATGAGTAAGTCACCAAACTGGGACAGAAGGACAGACAGTTGGCCGGACTCCGGCCCCATGACTGGCTCATAAAAGCCACCAGCAATTACAGTGATGCTGAGGTTGTGCCGGCCTGCCACCATTTCCTCCTTCTCTATAAAAAAGAGATAGTTGCCTCAAACCAGCTGGCCTGAGAGAGCCTCGAGAGTCCCAGCCATGGTCCCGTGGGATGGGGAGAATCCCAGCACCACAGTGCCATGAGACTCAGAACCTGACCCTTGATGATGGGTTCCAGGCTCACATCGGATCCTCATACCCACTTATAGAACCTGATGAACACCAACGATGACCTGTGTCCAAGAGGTCAAGGCCTGTATTAAGTCAAGGCCCTCAACTCCTCTTTTCCAGTAAGGCCACCACTCTCTCGACTAGAGGGGCAAAGAAGCAGGGGGCCTGACTCAAATAGAACTAGGGAAATGTTGGGCCCACCCACTTGCTCCTGGACTTCCCTTGTCCCCATAAAGGTACTCAGGTGTGTGGCAAAGTGTCCAACCAAGGGCCCACACCAGGCCAGCGTAAGTCCTGAGATTCTGGATCCAGTGCCAACCAGGGAGAGCAGGGGGCCCAGCTGGTCAGGAAGAGAAAGTTGACAAAATGGGGAGAGGTCCAGGCCTCTCTGGGGGTATAAGAGCCAGGGACGACCACAGCAGAGGGACCCTCTGAGGGCACGGTAGAGGAGAAGGGTCTGAGGGGCTGGGCCATAATCAATGAGGGCCTATCCCCAAGGCCTCCTCGGGGGCCAAGGCACCTCCCACTCCAAGCTTCCTTACTACTGCTCCTTTAGCTCCCCCCAACCTGAAGAGTCTCCCTCTGGCTTCTCTTCCCTATCACATCTCCCAGGAAAGATTAAAAAAAAAAAAAAAAAAAAAAAAAACCCTGCTACAGAGAGATTATATAACAGCAGCCAGAAAGACTATCATATCTCCCAGCCTATGAGAAGAACCAGGAGCCAAGGGGGCAGAGCCAGGATGCCCAGGCCCTCCAGCCCAGGGGCACCAAGCACAGAGTGGGGTGGACACGGACAGCACCTGCCACCCCTCCAAGTCCTCCACCAATCTTTCAGGCATTGAGTACAGCAGACAGAAGCTCTAGCCAATTCCCCATGCCCATCCCCCAACACAAGGATCATGAGGCTCTCTGGGTCCTGCTTCTTCCCTTGGACTGGGGCTTCCATGAACACGGACTGTATGTCTCCCTTCCCAGAATCCCTCCCTACTATGAAGTTGTGCCTAAAAGAGTGGAAAGACGAAAGCTCTGACACAGATTTGCTGTGTGATCTCAGGTAAAAAACTCAACCTTTTGGGTCCCTACAGGGGTGAGTAAAAGCTCCTCCCTTCCTCCCTTCCCCCCTCCCCCCCTTCCCCCCAGAGAGACCAGAGACCTCTCCCTTTACAAATGTACATGCACACACATACATATACACACATATGCAAACATACAGGGTGTGTTGGCGGGGGCAGGGGAGTTACAACAAAGAGAATATAATCACTGAGACCCAAAGGTCCAAATGCCTATGCTGGGGCAAGTGGGGAAGGAGCTCCATATAAGCTCCAGTGTCCCCCAATCACCCCGTATAAAGAGGTCCTCAGCCACTCCCACAATAGTCCTACCCCACCCCCATCTCCTGCCCAACACACTGGGAAACCACAGGAAGGAAATTCATTCCCAGGCAGGGCCGTGGGAGCTGGGACAGCCAGACTAAGTCCTGGGGCGGGTGTGACCCCGTGGCCACAAGCGGGTGGACATCTGTGAACACTGACATGTGCCTTTTCAATGCTCTCCTCAGCTACTGAGACCTTCCTGTTGGGGTTGGGAGAGGAGTGGGAGGTGGACAGCTCCCAAACGCCAAAACACCCAATCTCAGGCTGACCTGCGCTCCCCTCCTATCTCCAGGCCAGAGCAGCCCAAGGTCACCGCCCCAGACGGCAAACTTCCCATAGTCTAGGCTGGACCCTGAATTGCTGCGGAGACCCACTGAAGGGATAGGAGGAGGAGTGGATAAGGGCCACCTCCACCCCAAAGCAAAGAAACCAGGACTCTGAGGAAAACTCAAATGGGGGTTGGGCACAGCAAAGAGGGACACAGGATCCCCCCCAACCCGCTATACCCTCCCCCAACCCATCAACAATGCACCAAGCAATGGGAGGCAGAGGGAGGCTCCCATTCAGAAGGGCAAACCTGGGATAACCCGGTCGGTGGCTTCTAGAGTGCCTTCCTTTCAGGAGGAGTCCTCGGAAGGCTGCTGAGAGGACAGCGTGATTCACTAGGGGGAGGGGGCCCCTTTCCCCATCCCCCTAAGACCCGAACCTGGTAGGAGAGAAGCTGGCATTGGAGTGGGGGACTAAAAGCATTTTGGTCTCCTTGGCCCATCCTCCCAAAAGCCCCCCCAAACTCCCTAAACCCCCGCTCGCAGCCCAGCTCCGCCTGCCATAGGTGGAAAGGACTAGAGAACTCTTGCCCAGATGTTGAACAGCTGCAAACTTCTGGCCAGGGAGTTCTCCAGTTGGGGTTACTGACAAACCACATCAGGGGTCTCGGAAGCGGGGCTAGGAGGTCTCAAGGAAGGGTCCTGCGTGCCCACCTCGTGGCGACTCCGCGTCCCAACTCCACAGGCACCCGGCAAACACGGGCCCCGGAGACACACACACTCACACACCCCAACCCACTACCCCGGTGTCATCTGAACAACATCCCCCCTCCCTCCCCCGCTTCCCAAACAGCTGCGGCTCCCCCCGCCTCCACCCTCCCGCCGCCCTCCCAGGCCCCCTTCTGCACCATTTCGGGCCAAGGAGGAGGGAACAGGCGGCGAGAGGAGGGAGAGGGAGGGAGGGCCGGCTGTTAAAATGTCAGTCGCTCCCGACTGTCACCGGAGACCCCCTCGGAGGATGGCGCCCCGTCCCAGACCGCTCGGAGGCCGTCGTAAACCCCCTACACGAACAGGCGGGCGCGCCCCCAATCCGCCCGTCCCCACCCCGTACTCCCAACACCCAAGGGAATTGCAGCCCACTCCACTTGTCCCCCACGACAGACTCCCTGACACAAACAGTCCCCTAGGTAATCCCCGCCAACGCCACACGAAAACACGGCCCGCTTCGCGAGTTCCTCCCGGCCCGGGGGCTGCCCCATCCCACCCCTCAGGGGGACGGTCTAGACCACCCTCCACCCCAACCCCTGGACCGGGTGGGGGAGGGGGCCTCTTAAAGTGGCAGGCGCATTATTTTTCTCTACTCACCAGCCCGGCTGGGGGAACGGTGTTGTCACGGCAAAGAGCGGGTAGCCCTCGCCCCTGGTCCGGGGGATCTTCAACACCGGGAAGCCGCAGCTCCGGGCGGGGAGAATAATAAATGAGGCCGGCGTCCGCGCGGGCCCTGGGCGGCGCCGTGAGGCCTGGGCCCCCGTCGTGGGCGCGGGGGCCAGCAGGCGGGCGGCAGGCAAGCGGGGAACCGGGGCCGAGCGCCTGAGCCGCCTCGGCTGTTGTTGATATTTTGCTTCCTTCCTCCTTTCGGGCTCCAAAGGTAACTCCTCCAGCCCCCGGGAGTCGAGGCCGACGTAGGCACAGCTCAGCCTAGCTTGAGGGGTGGGGGGAAAGGGGTGACGGACAGGCGTGGGGGCCAATGGGAGGCACCTGTGGGGGTGGCGGGGCGGAGCCGGGGCTGGGGCGGTCCCGAGGACGCGGCCCCGCCCCTCGCTTCCCCAGGGCTGGCCGGGCCAGGCCGGGTCGGCCCCCACCCCACCGCCCTCCCAAGCTAGGCTGCGGCGCTGGGAGCGGCGGATCCCTCCGCCTGCCGGGAGGGAGGGAGGAAGGGACGAAGCGAGGCAAAGTAGGGAGGCGAGACCCAGAGGCCTTTAAAGGGATCGGTCCGCTCCCACGGTGCCCCTCGGAGCACGCCGGCCGCCCGCCCGCCCGCCTGGCGCTGCTGCCACCGCGTGCTCCAGGAGGTCCTTTCCGGGGAGGCCGTGCGAGCTGCACGCACACTCTCAACACGCGCCACCTCGGCACCTCCTCGCGGCCCCGGGCCCCAGGAGAGTTGGGAGGTGGGAGTCTAAGTAGATAAATTAAGGGGAGACTGGAAGTGGTGAAAAGCTCCCATCTCCCCCACTTGGTGTGTGACAAAGCCCCACTCACGGGCGACATTCTTGGGGTTGGGGGGTGTTACCTAGGGAGCTCAGTTGCTCCCTCTACCTGTGACAGGCCCCCTCCGGTCCCAGGGCCCGGCTCGGCAGACGCCCAGCAATTTAAAGCGACAGCTCATAGTTCTTGGGTGACCTAATCTCCAGTGCTTGCGGGGCCCCACAGCACTTACTGCCGAGGGGGCAATTTAAAGGGGCGGGACCCTAATTCCTCCCCACCTCCCGCCGCACAGTAAACACCCAGAAATGTCTTATTAAAGAAGCAGTAGTAGCTCTTTAAAATTTTTTATTTTTATATTCCTGGTTGCTCCAGGGTGTGGTGAATATTTACGTGCCCTACAACAGGAGTGTGGGTGCCATGCCTACTGGACAACTGACCCGTCAGGCTTCAGCATCCCTGTTACTTCCAAGTCCTGCTGCTTTCTCCCAAGAGCGTAAGGAAATGATGGCATCTGGCTTAGATCTCAAAGAACCTTGCAGAACAGAAGGGCACTCACTCAGTTCTTCACACACCCCGAATTTTTTTTTTTTTTTTTTTGAGACGGAGTCTTTCTTCGTCGCCCAGGCTGGAGTGCAGTGGCGCGATCTTGGCTCACTGCAACTTCCGCCTCCCAGGTTCAAGCGATTCTCCTGCCTCGCCTCCCCTCCCGCCTCCCGAATAGCTGGGACGACAGGCGCACGCCCCCACGCCCGGCTAATTTTTTGTGTTTTAGTGGAGATGGGATTTCACCGTGTTACCCAGGCTGGTCTCGAACTCCTGAGCTCAAGCAATCCGCCCGCCTCGGCCTTCCAAAGTGCTAGGATTACAGGCGTGAGCCACCGCGCCCAGACACACACCCTGATTTCTGGCTGGATCTGATTTACCGGACAAAGACTCCAATATATAGAGAGAGGCAACATGTCATTGTGGTTAGAAATGTCAACTTTGCCGTCAAGCTGTCCTGGTTCAGATCCTCACTCCACCATTCATTAGCTGTGAACACAGGCATATTATTTAACTTTCCCCTACCTCATGGTGACCATGACTAGAGATGGTGATAATAGTAGCTAACTCAGAAATTTAGTGTGAAGATTAAATTAGTTCTTCTAAGCAGATTGCTTAGTACAGTGTCTTATGCTGTATAATAACCCAAACCAGACCATTGGGCCAAGGGCTGGTCTGCAAAGAACCCTCTAGGCCTCCATTGGCTCATGCAAGCCTTAAAGGAGGTGAGTTCAGTGGAATTGCTCTGCAAATAGGTTGGAGACTTATCTTGTGTGTCCTAAGACAGGAAGCCAGCAAGCTCCTACTTCCTTGGCCTCAGTTTCCAACCCTTCTACCTGACCCCCCCCTTTCAGGAAACAGTGTCCCACCGTGTCCCCAAATACAGCTTCTCAGTTCCTCATTGGATCTGGGAGGCTGGGGCCCCAACACCAGAAGATGTGAGTTACCCCTGCCAGGCAGGGCTAGTTTGCCCAAAAGACTTCAGGGTAGGCAGGGGGAGCCCATCTGCCTCTTCCCCCAAGGACAGAGAAGAACAGAGCCCTGTGCCAGGCTTGAGGCTGTGGCAGTAGCAGGATGGGAAAGTGCCAACCCCCCTCAAGTGGGGAACCTCCCCTCACTTGTGGCCTCTATTTTTAGTGCTTCCCTAGGCTCTAGCTGGAGAAACCGTTTAGTCATCAGGGTGTTTATTTTCCGGCTGTTTCCGACGTCAGGAAAGCAGAATGTTGAGACTGAAGAGATCCAAGGCTGCTGGAAAAGACTTCTTAGGATCAGGCCTGGGAATTCAGCCGTCAGACCCCTGGGTCCCAGATCACACACACACACAAAAGAAAGTGGGCAGGGGTCAGCCAAGCCCCCAGGAGACCAAGAGAGCTGGGTTCTCAGCCACCTCCAGTTTCGAGGCTCTCCAAGCCGAAGAACCCTCTGGCTCCAGCTCTACTTGAAGGAGTCTCTACAAAAACTAACCAACCCGAGAACAAATTCTTGCCCAGGGCCGATTCCCAGAAACCCCCTCCCCAACATCCTTTATACCAGCGTGGTGAGCCTCCCGCCAACCACAGTTCCAACCAATCTCAAGCCTGAGGTAGGCTTGCCAGGGCTATGATTGGCTGATTGATCCTCCCAGTCTTGGAATGTTGGGTCCTTAACAAAGGAATGAGGAAGGAAGGTGAGTCACCTGGGGAGGGTTTTAAAGGGCCAGGAGCAGGAGGGAAAAGGGAAAGGAGGGAAGAGCTCAGTGGGTGAGATGCAGTGTGCTGGACCCCGAAGATGCTGCCATAATTCCCTAGAGAACAGAGTAGGAAAGACAGACACTACAAGTGGGATAGAATTTAGAATATAGAGAAAACTAAATGGGAGAGCAAAAGTAACAAACACAGGGCCTTAATTCCCATGGAAGGGTAATAAAGGGTCTAGGGAATAATGTTGTTGGAAGTTAGATTGAAATAAGGACTTCCTGAAAGTGACTCACTGAATCTTTTTCTTCTGGCCCCTGTATTTCCCATTCCAGAATCCCCTGGGTAGGAAATACCTGAGCGAGTTCAGATGCCTCGGTCTCATTTTTCCTCCTCCCACTCTGGCTACCCATCCATCTTTCCTAGAGAAAAGTTACCTAACAGGCCAAAGCTGCTATAAAATCCTTTAGGAATCAAACACTTACATGCTCATTGAAGTCTTTTAAAAGTGTGTGTAAACTCCTCTCCACCATATCATCTTTGTAAGTTTATATGGCAAAGGGACATAGACAACTCCTTTTGTTCACCCCTTCCCAAGCATACCTAATCCAACTTAATTTGTAAAAGTCTTCCTCATCCTCATGCCCCAAGGGCCGTTTCTCTGCCTGCCTGTCCCATAGCCCCGGGAAGCCATTACTGCTGCTCCAGCCTCTAATCTGTCTGGCAGCTTGGTTGGCCCCCTCTCACCTTCCCTACAGCCATCTGGACAATCTCCAGCCCCCTATGTCCATCCACCTCATCCCTTCCATTAGCTGATAATTTTTCCCCCAGTTTTCAATTGATCCCGGCAGTCCCTTCATCTGCCACCTTGTCTTGTGAGAGGAAAGGCCATCAGCAGGTATACAGCAGTTCTGTGTATACATGCTCTGTGTGGACTTGGGTATTATTCTGCACCTGCTTGTGTAGTGCACTCTACTCTGTGTATCTGCCTCCTCTGTACACACTCCTCACCAGATCCTGGGCCCCTTGAGGGCAGCAATCTAACTCTACTTTGAGTCTTCAGGGCCTTGCAGGACCTGGCATAGAATGCGCTCAGCAAATGTGTTAACACGAATCTGTATTTGTGTGTGCGTGTGTGTGTGCAGCTATGCATCTGAGTTCAGATTATAAAAACGTTTATTGAACATCTCATTTGTCCATTGATAACTGTGCTAGCCTGAGGATGGGGCTGTGGTCTGGCCTGTCCCACCACCCCGCACAAGTCCCACTTCAGGCCAGAATTGAGGGGAAAGGGCAGAGTCAGGCAGAGAGGTGTCAGGCTGAACCGGCAGAGTTGTGCCCCAAGCTCAGGGCCAGGGTGCCTGGGGCCAGGCCTGGGGCAAAGGGCAGACGGCCCACCCTGGAGCTGAAGCGGGCAGGGAGGGGGTGCCAAAGCCGGGTCCTCGGTCAGTGCATCACCCCCACAGAAGCTCCCTGCCCCCGGCTGGGCAGGATGTGGTGGCAGCTGCAGGAGAGTGGGCAGGATGTGGGGGTGGGGGCAGCTGAAACACAGCCTGACAGTCGTCTCCCCACCAGCTCCTCCCTCCTTCTCTCTTGCCCCCCCCACATCCGCCCCCTCCCGGTCACGTGCTCCCAGCCAGGGCACCGACGGACTATTTCCCCCTTTCCGCGGAAGGACATAATTGTCATCGCAAACTCTAGTCGCCGCCGACTTCAGCTGTACCACGCCTTTTTCTTGCCCCATAACCCAGGACAGAAAGTTTGCCGAATACGCATTTCTTTAAAGCCCTGATCGCTAACGAGGGAGTGGCCCCTTTAAATGCAAATTAACCGCCTTCTCTCTCGCCCCCCCACCCCCATCCCAACTTCGCTCCTCGTGCCCAGACTCCACCAGCTGCCATTGACGTCACGCGTGCGTCAGCGTCGCCAGCCCAACCAGACGGCACATGGGGGGAAGAAGGCAGACTTAAAGGGCCAGACGCTCGCGGCCTGCCAGGTTTTGGCTATGAGACTTGGCTTGGGAGGAACGAAATGGGATGTGGGGAAATGTCTTGGAGCAGAAAGGAATGCAGGGTAGAGCCGGGCGCGGTGGCTCACGCCTGCAATCCCATCACTTTGGGAGGCCGAGGCGGGCGGATCACGAGGTCAGGAGTTCGAGACCAGTCTGGCCAATATGGTGAATCCCCGTCTCTACTAAAAATACAAAAATTAGCCTGGCGTGGTGGCGCGCGCCTGTAGTCCTAGCTACTCGGGAGGCTGAGGCAGAAGGATCGCTTGAGCCCGGGAGGCAGAGGTTGCAGTGAGCCGAGATTGTGCCACTGCACCCCAGCCTGGGCGACAGGGCGAGACTCCATCTCAAAAACAAGAAAAAGGAAATGCAGGGTAGACGTTTAGAAGGACTTCCCAGAGTAGGAGAGTATATTTGCTCATGGGAGAGAAACCCAGGAGCAGGAGGAGCAGAACCACTGTGAAAGTGGAGGCTTGGCATTTAAGACTCGCCCAGTCATAATTTCAGCCTTTCCCTTATCCCTGCCCCGCATGTGCATAAGCACAAGGACTTCGTTCACTTCTGTGTTGCCAGCACCTAGAACGCAGCATGTAGTAGGGACTCAATTTAAGTCCAGTCCTTCCTCCTTACCTGATGGGGTATTGGTTCCGGGACATCTCCCATAGGAAAATCTGCTGAATCTGTGAGATAGTGTAACATTTGCATGTGACCTATGCGCCACCTCCGATACACTTTAAATCATCTCTAGATAACTTATAGTATCTAATACAATGTAAATGCTATGAAAATAGTTGTTATACCATATTGCTTAAGGAACAATGACAAGAAAAAAGGTCTGTTCAGATGCAATTTTTTTTCTGAATATTGACCATCCAAGGTTGGTTGAATCCACGGATGCACAGTATTTGTAGAATGAATGAACTGATCCATTGAGTCCAATGCAAAGCCACCTCCTTTAGGAGGCTTTCCCTGATTGCTCCACCCAGCATGCATAGCACAAACACGCTCAGCTAAAGACAATTGAACTGTCTTTTGAACGCTCACAGCAAATAATAAACCTGTTGCTTCCTTCCATGCATTAGAGACCATGAGAGCAGTTGTTAAGAGCACAGAACTAGGAATAATATAAACTTGGGTTCCAATTCCATTAATACTGTTTACTAGTTGAGTGACCTTAGACAAGTCTCTTCATCTTAGTTGTAATAACTGTCCTTTGGGGTTAATGCTACTTAGACCTAGACTTGCTGTTTGAATTAAATGCAACCATTTCTGTGAAGTTCTAGTATGGTACCTGTTGCATAGTAAGCATTCAATAATTGTGGGGGGTAGGTTTTAACATGGCCCTCTCCCCTACTAAAGTGTGAGCTTCTTGAGAACAAGGACCTTGCCATCCTGAATTACTCCCCAGCATCAAGCTGGGGGATAAAGGCTTATAATTGGTGCTTTAAAAATGTTTTTGGCCAGGTGCAGTGGCTCACACTTGTAATCCCAACACTTTGGAAAGCCAAGATGGGAGGATCACTTGAGGCCAGGAGTTCAAGACCAGCTTGGTCAACATAGTGAGAAATTGTCTCTATTTAAAAAAAAAAAAAAAAAGGCCGGGTGCGGTGGCTCACACCTGTAATTCCAGCACTTTGGGAGGCTGAGGCGGGCGGATCACGAGATCAGGAGATCAAGACCATCCTGACCAACATGGTGAAACCCCGTATCTACTAAAATACAAAAAAATTAACCAGGTGTGGTGGCCCGCGCCTGTAGTCCCAGCTACTCAGGAGGCTGAGGCAGGGGAATTTCTTGAACTGGGGAGGCGGAGGTTGCAGTGAGCCGAGATCACGCCACTGCACTCCAGCCTGGCGACACAGCGAGACACCGTCTCAAGGAGAAAAAAAAAGTTTCTAAAATGAATAAAAATGACAGAGTGAAGCCGGGCAGGGTGGCTTTCATTTGTCATCCCAGGTTCTCAGGGGCAGAGGCAGGAAGATCCCTTGAGCCCAGGAGTTTGAGACCAGCCTGGGTAACATAGCGAGACATCATCTCTTAAATAAAAATTTAAAACATTAAATGAATATGTGAACAATTTCAGTATTCCCTGAAATTTGACCTCCAAACTCAAATCTGAAGTTGTTATCCAAAGGAAGAAAACATTATAAATACCCCCTTACCACCTGTTGTGCCCCTCTGTGCCCCAGGTTTTAAGGCTCTGTGGTAGAACCTCAAGGTAGAGTTGAGGTTAATCTCTGCAGTTGAACTAAAAGTACTGTATTATGCAAACAAGTCACAGAGGATTGGTCTGCGATGAAGACCTGGGTGGGAAAGGGGGCTTCTGACCTCTCCTCATCCCCGGCTTAGCTACTGAAACCCTGTCCCAAGAAACCCAGGCTGGGCTTCTGCCAAGGACAGCGGACACTAAAAGAGAGCTGGAAAAGGGGAGCTTTTCATCCAAACACTAACCCACCTTTGAGCTTTTCTTCTCTGGAGCCTCATCTTACTCCTCGACCCCGAGCCAGTTCCTCTCCTGTCCCTAGCTCTGGCTCCCACTCCCCACCCCAACCTTCATTCCCTCCACAGCTCCCCAGTGGTTATAGTGGAGGGGGGACGAGACCTCCTATCACCTGGTTCCGGCTCCTTGGCCAGAGGAGCAGTAGCCACCTTGTCCTTGTTCAGCCTGTCTTGCAGCTGCTTATCGATCTGATTTTCAATATCTGTCACCATCTCAGAAGTAGAAGGCCTGACAGGCAACAGGAGGGACTTCCTGCCAGGGGAATAGCTATGATCAGAAGGCAGTGAGAGCCCTCTCTTTCCTTGAGGAGGAGGAAGAAATGGTGAGACCCTCCTCTGGCTGAGAGCAACCTCCTCAACACAAGGAACCCTGGGGGTGTGGGTGGGTTTCCCCCCACAGGAATCTCCCATCAGCCTTGATGTTAGCTCCGCCCCCCTGCAGGGGTGGGGTGACACCCAGGAGCACTGTGTTCCAGAAAACCCCAAAATAACCTGCTTTCACTGTCCGGCTGCTATTTCTGTCCATCTTGTTTAATTATTCAAACCTAAGTTGGGGAGTGAACTATAAAAAGCTCTCCTACTTGGGGACCCAGGAGAGCTGGGAGGCTCGCCAGGTTGCAATAGCAGCAGACCACAGTGTTTGGGTGAGGTCACTTGGTCCGGCCTCCGGCCTAAAAGTTCCTTCTGCTGTTTCGCTGCTTCCTCTGCTAGAAGGCAGAACCCAGGCCTCCCTCCCAAAGTTCCCTTGTGCCCTCACTTCAGCACCCCTCCAGCCCCTATCCTGCCTGGGAGCTGTCCTCCACCCCACCCCACTTGACTCTGGCCATACTTATTCTCAGCTGTCCCTTTGCCAACCTGCTCCCTAGTTCAGGATTCTTAACCCACAGATAATATCATTAGACCCAAACATCAGCAGTGGAGGGAGGTGGGATGGCAGAGGACTAGTTTAGTGGACACAGAGATGGCACCAGGCCCTTGGGTGGCATCACCATCAGCTGGGGGTGGAGAACACTGTTCTGGGTGGGGCAGTTCTTGGCTGTCACGGGTGCTGAGCCTCTTCAGGAGCTTCTCTTTGGAACTCTGACATGGTAGCCGAAGGGATGGAGGTAAGGCAGTCCTTCTTTTCTTTTCTGGGCCTGGTCCTCTTCTAATTGGACTAGGCTGAAGTCCAATGTCAGTTTCCATTGAAACAGAAGCACAGGGCAGGCTAAGTGAGAAAGGCAGGTCTCCCTGAGGGCCACTTCTGTGACCCTCCTACCACAGGCCTTTCCTAAAAAGGTAGTAACAAAGGATTATAGTCATGGTGGCTCTAGCAATGTGGGGTTGTCACAATAAGCAGCCCTTGAGGGTGGGAATGAGGGGATTCTTGCTAGTGAGGGAGAGACTGGCAGTTACACAGCTTGAGCAGGAAGAAGGGCAAGAGAGACTGTGGCAGCCACAGAGACCCAGAGACCCACACATGGACAGGAGTTATAGGATGGGCAGAAGGACAAGGGGCAGCAAAAGTGACACTTGAGCCCCAAGAGAGGGAGAGACCCCAGGAGCAGACCCAGAGACCCACGGCAGACAGAGGGGCAGACAGCCGAGAGCACAGAAGTGGAGTAAGAGGCCCAGTGTGGGAGGGAGACGCAGCAGCCTGGCAGAAGCTGGGGACAGGGGAGCATGGCAGGGCTTTCCAAGAGTCAGTGTGGGACCTGAGTATTTAAAAAAGCCTTGGGTTTCACACTCAGGCCTATTTTGGGGCTTGTTCCCACACATCTCCGTCAGCAGCAGTGGCAGCTCCTGCGAGGTCCAGCCCAGCTCTCCCTTTCACAGCTGCTCCTTGCGCTGCTGGGGGAGGTTGCTGAGGTATGGGGAAGAGGTACGCTGTCGCTAAGCAACAAGAGGCTGTGCACCTGGAGGTCCTAGGAGGAGACCCTGGCACCATCGGTATGGGGGAGGCAGGGAGACAGTAAAGGGTTGATCAAGCTCAAGGCTCCCTCTCCCATCCTCCCCAAGACAGTTACAGAGGAGGGATGTACCCATCGCTCAAGAAGCCTGTTGAATTGGCTCACAATCCTCCAGAAGGCTGCGATTGTGCATGCAAACCTGTGTGACATTCCATAGACTGAGAGTTGGAGAGGGCAGGGGCTAGGGCATGAAAGACAAGGGTGAGCATCTTTCACATCAATCTTGGAGGAAGGTCGAGGACTTGCCTGTCTGCTAAAAGGTAGGAACTTCCATGGAAGTGTAAAGGTCTGAGGGCGGAAACTTAGTAGGGAGGCGACAGAATGGGAAGGGAAGCCGGTTGGACCCTGGGGCAGCCTCCCAGTCACAGAGGCTACCAAGGAGCCTACACAGAAGGGAGGTGGCAGGGCAGCAGGGGCCCCACACCCATCAGCCATCTGCTGGAATTCTCAGTGTCCTCAAAGCTGAAGTGCTGCACTGTATGCCGTTATTTTTCTTCTCTTTTATTATTGTTTTTTGGTGGACTGGAGTTTGAATGAGGTAACGATCAAGAGGGAAAGACTCGTCGATTGACCCTGTCACCCGCCTCACTGCATCTCTAACAGGCCTGTAGCCCTGTAAACGTGAGGAGCAGCTCAGGGTTGACAGAGGGCCATTGCCTCCCTTTTTCTGTCACTTCCTCCATTGCCTCAACCCCTGTCCAGAAGAGCGCACCTTCATTCAACAAGCATGGATCAAGCACTCGTGACGTGCCAGCCAGGGCGCTGGGGAAATGATGAGGGTTGGGTTCCGTGGTGGCCGACACCCAGCCCCTCCTCCACAGTGCCTGTCTCCTTGCTGGTATCTTGGCAGGCTCCCGTTCTCCCATCAGACGCTACACTCACACATGCTGCACATACTGGTGAATAGCTTCTTGCAGTCCATCCTGGCACGGTCCCCAAATTCCGCAGGGAACAGGGTGTGCTTCAGCCCTCTCCCTCTCTCACTAAGGGCTAGGAAGTTTTGAGTCTTCCATCTCACACACCCCAGAGGCTGCGTTGCCGAGAAGACACAGGGGCAATGTGAGGCCTTCTTATTCCTGACCCACGAGAACGATGCCAAGTTGGGGACAAGAAGGGTAGAGGCTTGTTTTGCTTTCATTCCTGCTTTATGCCAGGCACTCTGAAAGGCATTGTGTACACTATTTTCATCATCAGACAATAGCCCATAATACTTTGTCTGACATCTGACAAAGAACGATCAGCCTCATTTTACAGATGGTGAAACTGAAGGAGCATGTTCATGTTCATACAGCACAAAGTGGCTCTGGGATTTCAACCCATAGAGGAGTGTTAGAATAATACCCTCACAAATTCAATGTTGAAAGTGCTAATGAAGTCCGGGCGCGGTGCCTCATGCCTGTAATCCCAGCACTTTGGGAGGCCAAGGCGGGCAGATCACCTGAGGTCAAGAGTTTGAGACCAGCCTGACCAACATGGAGAAACCCCGTCTCTACTAAAAATACAAAATTATCCGGGCGTGGTAGCACATGCCTGTAGTCCCAGCTACTTGGGAGGCTGAGGCAGGAGAATTGCTTGAACTTGGGAGGTGGAGGTTGCAGTGAGCTGAGATTGCGCCACTGCACTCCAGCCTGGGCGACAGAGCGAGACTCCATCTCAAAAAATAAATAAATAAATAATAAATAAATAAAATAAAAAAAGTGCTAATGAGACAGAAAAGGGCACTGAAAGATCCGGTCACCCAGGGACCTCTCAATTGCTCAGATTTGGAGAAGGTGGGGAGAGAAGATTGCGTCAAACAGACCTGAGATCCGATCCCAGCTCAGTCATTTCCAGCTGTGTGACCTTGGGTGAGTCACTCGCTTTTTCTGAATCTCGGTTTTCTCAATGATGATGTGACAGCAATGTTCATGAGGTGCTGCCAAAATTACAATAGATCATGTAAACTATGTGCAATGTACTTCGTTGCCTTGCAGCAATGGATGGCGCCTCTCCTTCCATCCTCTACAGAAGGAGGAAGAGGTAAGCAAGAACAAATTCAAGAGGGTGCAAATCTGCTGGTATAGTATCAGGAAGCCCAAAGCCTGGCAGAGGTTTGTAGAACAGGCAAAGGATAGCAAAAGGCTCTCTCTCAAGGGGGCGTGGGGGTGGGGGGTGGAAGGAGGGCACTGGGGTGGGGAGTCATTTTTGGAGCAAGAGTTTCAAGAAAAGCCAAAAAAGGGACCTCTGCTGGAGCAGGTAGAGTAATGGTGACAGATGACAGAGTGAATAGAACTCCCAACTCCTATTTTCTTCCCATTTCTCTCCTAAGACAGATGTTTAAAGTGGAAATAAGAGAATTGGAGTTCTGAAAATGTGAGAATCAAATCTACAGCCCCATTTGTTCAGTGACTTCCTATCTCCACCCCGTGAAGTTCACCAGAGGCACCGAGGGAACTTGCCCAGATGGTTGTGGTGGCATTGTCCCTGGTGTGTGAGGAATTTTGGAGAATACAAGAGGTGTAAAACTACTGTAGATGAAAATAGGAGGTTCTAATCTTTAAGAAGAGGGAAAGATATTTTCAAAATTCTGGGGTTTCATTACCACAACTGTTGTGGAAGGTTAGAGAAAAAAAGAGGGACCATCAGGAGCTAGATGGGGTTCACTAATTAATCCCCGACTACTCAAGTGAGAATGGGCATCACCTGGGAGACTGTCAGAACGTCAAGAGGATCCCACTCCACTCCGCACCTGTGAATCACAGTTTGCACTTAACAAGAGGCATAGATGAGTCAAATGTACATTCAAGACCAAGATGCACACCATAACCTGTTCGTTTTTGTTTGTTTGTTTGTTTGTTTTTGAGACGGTCTTGCTCTGTCACCCAGGCTGGAGTGCAATGGCGCGATCTCAGCTCACTGCAACCTCTGTCTCCCGGGTTCAAGCGATTGTCCTGCCTCCACTTCGTGAGTAACTGGAATTACAGGGGTGCATCACCATGCCTGGCTAATTTTTGTATTTTTAGTAGAGACAAGATTTCACCATGTTGAGGCTAGTCCCGAACTCCTGAGCTCGTGATCTGCCCTCCTCAGCCTCCCAAAGGGCTGGGATTACAGGTGTGAGCCACTGTGCCCAGCCCGTAACCTGTTCTTCAACCCTATAAGTAGGTGAGTGATTGTAAAGGTGCCATGGAAAGCTAAAAGTTCCTTCAGGAACCTCTTCCTCCAGGAGAGGATTGGAGGGGCACTGTGCAGGGCGGGGTTCTGCCTCCTTTGCCCCATGGTTTCGTTCACTTGTTTTACACAGTGGGCTTCCAACTAAACTTTCCTTTGAAGAGCCGGGCCACAGCCAAAGATGTTTGAAAATCGTCTGTGCTGTGTTATGGAACATCTGTGCTATGGAATGTTGCACAGCCTTACGAGGCATGAACTGGATCTGGGCCCACTGACAGAATGGTCCCAGAGACAAATTGTTTAGTGAAAAAAGCAAGTCTCAGGCCGGGCATGGTGGCTCACATCTGTAATCCCAGTGCTTTGGGAGGCCAAGGCGGGCAGGTCACCTGAAGTCAGGAGTTCGAGACGAGCCTGGCCAACATGGTGAAACCCTGTCTCTACTAAAAATACAAAAATTAGTTGAGTGTGGTGGCAGGTGCCTCTAATTCCAGCTACTTGGATGGCTGAGACACAAGAATCGCTTGAACCAGGAAGGTGGAGGTTGCAGTGAGCCGAGATCACACCACTGCACTCTAGCCTGGGTGACAGAGTGAGACTCCATCTCAAAAAAAAAAAAAAAGAAAAAAAAGAAAGAAAGCAAAAAGCAAAAAGCAGCCGCCAGGCACAGTGGCTCACGCCTATAATCTCAGCACTTTGGGAGGTCAAGTCGGGTGGATTACCTGAGGTCGGAAGTTCAAGACCAGCCCAACCAACATGGAGAAACCCCGTTTCTACTAAAAATACAAAATTAGGACCGGGCGTGGTGGTTCACGCCTGTAATCCCAGCACTTTGGGAGGCTGAGGTGGGTGGATCACCTGAGGTCAGGAGTTCGAGACCAGCCTGACCAACATGGTGAAACCCTGTCTCTACTAAAAAAAAAAAAAAAAAAAAAAAAAATTAGTTGGGCATGGTGGCAGGCACCTGTAATCCCAGCTACTCGGGAGGCTGAGGCAGGAGAATTGCTTGAGCCCAGGAGGCAGAGGTTGCAGTGAGCAGAGATCGAGCCACTGCACTCCAGCCTGGGCAACAGAGCAAGACTTCGTCTTAAAAAAAAAAAACAACAGAAAAACAAAAACAAAATTAGCTGGGCATGGTGGCAGGCACCTGTAATCCCAGCTACTCAGGAGGCTGAGGCAGGAGACTGGCTTGGACCCCGGAGGCGGAGATTGCGGTGAGCTGAGATTGCGCCACTGCACTTCAGCCTGGGCAACAAGAGCGAAACTCCGTCTCAAAAAAAAGAAAAAAAAAAAAAAGGCCAGGCGCGGTGGCTCATGCCTGTAATCCTAGCACATTGGGAGGCCAAGGCGGGCAGATCAGAGGTCAGGAGATCGAGACCATCCTGGCTAACACGGTGAAACCCCGTCTCTACTAAAAAATACAAAAAATTAGCTGCGCGTGGTGGCGGGCGCCTGTAGTCCCAGCTACTCAGGAGGCCGAGACAGGAGAATGGCGTGAACCCGGGAGGCAGAGCTTGCAGTGAGCCGAGTTCGTGCCACTGCACTCCAGCCCGGGTGACAGGGCGAGACTCTGTCTCAGAAAAAAAAAGAAAAAAGAAAAAAGTAATTCTCAGTGCAATCTATAGAATAGGCTATTTATGTAAATAAGCATGTATAGGTATGTGTGTATTCATCAACTATCTATACTAAGTGACTTAAAACAGCAATGACTGCTTTTGGTTTTGGGGATTGACTGGGTTCCACCAGGTGATTTTCCCTCAGAGTCTCATGCTGTTGCAGTCTGACAGGGTTTGGATCGGGGGTCTCAAAGTCTTCTTCACATGTCTGCCACCGAGGCTGGGAACACTCAAGCAGGTGGAGTCCAGAACAGCTACAGTCTCTTTCTCTCTCTGGTCTCTCCTTGTGGTCCTTGTGGTCTCTCCAGCACGGTGGTTCAGGGTAGTCAGCCTTCTTACAAGGAGGACTAGGGCTCCAAGGACATTATTCTGAGATAGAGAGCTAAGGGGAATCAATATTGCTTTTTATGACCTAGCCTTGGGTGTCACCCAGCATCACTGTCATACATTAGTGGAGGCAGTCACAGAGGCCTGCTCATGTTCTAGGGTAGAGGACAGAGCCTTCCACCTCATGGAGAGGCTCCAAACCTCAGGGTTTTCGAAGAGCCCATGGAATGGGAAATGTCGTGGCCATATTTGGAAAATACATTCTGCCAGAATATGAACATATATATGAGGGCAAATGTATAGAAAGAAGGCCTGGAAGGATCTATACCAAATTATCAATAAGGCTTATTTTTGGGGAAGATGCAGATATATTTTACCTTACTTTGTACATATGACTTGAATCTTTTACATTGAGATGATATATACATTATTTCATTTGTTTAATGAGAAGGGAACTCAGAAAAAAATTGCTGTAGGCTTTTTATAATAAAAGGGTTTAATAGATGGTATTTCTGAGGAGTGTTGCATAATGCATCTGAATTTTATGAAAGCATTTCATTAGGTTGATTATATTATCTTTTTAAAAAGATGCAGGAACATGGACAGCATTACTCATTCGTTTAACAAATAGTCAGTGAATGCCTACTGTGTGTTAATGGAACAGCTATACCCAGAAAATCTTGTTAATAAATCTGCGTCAGCTTGGAGAGATATCACTGCTAGCTCCATCCATTGCCCTGTCCTGGTTAGCACTTTTGTCTGGAAAGAGAAAAGTCAGATTTGGCAAGAAGGTGGCTTATTGGCGCAAAAACACTTGAATATATTAGATTAAAACAGTGTCAAATGTTCAGCTCCACTCTTCCATTTATCTATTGCTGTGTAACAGACCACCTTAAAACTTAGAGGCTTAAAACAACATTCTTTCATTATTATTATGGTCCTGGGCTCTACTGGGCTAAACTAGGCAGTTGTTGCTTGTCAGGTCTCTTATGTGGTTGCAGACAGCAGCTGGAGTCATCTCAAAGGCTTCCTCATGTGTCTGGTTGTCAGCTAGGACCTCAGTTGGGAAGGTCAACAGGAACGTCATATAGATGTTGACTTCTCCATGTGGCCTCAACTTCCTCACAGCGTGGCAGTAGGGTTCCCAGAGCAAATGGCCCATAGGACCAGGTGGAAGCCATAAGTCACATAACCTCACTTTCACTGTAGTTAGAGGCCTTCCCAGATTCAAAGGGAGGGACTGTGGATGCCCCCTCTCAATGGGATGACGGATAATGCCCCTATAAGAAGAGCATGAAGGAGCGGAGATTTTGTTATGGACATCTTAGAAAATAAAACCTGCTGGGCCGGGCGCAGTGGCTCATGCCTGTAATCCCAGCAGTTTGGGAGGCCGAGGTGGGTGGATCATGGATCCTTTGAGGTCAGGAGTTCAAGACCAGCCTGGCCAACGTGGTGAAACCTGGCTCTACTAAAAATACAAAAATTAGCCAGGCATGGTGGCCTGTGCCTGTAGCCCCAGCTACTCAGGAGGCTGAGGCAGGAGAATCGCTTGAACCCGAGAGGCAGAGGTTGCAGTGAGCCGAGATTGTGCCACTGCACTCCAGCCTGGGGCACAGAGCGATACTTCATCTCAAAAAAAAGGAAAAGAAAAGAAAAGAAAACCTGCTGCATTCACTAATTATCAAATAAATAAAAACTAATCAATGATGCTTCCCCTTCTTCAAAGAAACAGTTGACTCAGTTAACACAGAGTAAAAAATTCAAGCTCTTCTGTATTAGGCCAGATGGGCTAAGTTATGCTGTAGTGGTAACCATCCCCCAAGTCTCAGTAGCTTAACGTAATAAGTCTCAGTGGCAGATAGTGGCTGTCTTTCTTTCCGGGTTGCTACCAGCTGGTGATAGCTCATGACACATGTCACACTCAGGTTAGTAGGGGAGGCTCTGCTCCACATAGTCACTCAAGGACCCAGGCTGATAGAGGCTCTACCATCTTCTAGCTCCACCATCTGGAACACAGATACCATATCTGGGAAAGAAAGATATGAGAATCGCATATGGGATTTTTATACTTTTTATTTCTTTTTCTTTTTTTTGAGACGGAGTTTCACTCTTGTTGCCCAGGCTGGAGTGCAATGGCACGATCTTGGCTACTGCAACCTCCGCCTTCTGGGTTCAAGTGATTCTCCTTCCTCAGCCTCCCAAGTAGCTGGGATTATAGGCGCCTGCCACCATGCCCAGCTAATTTTTGTGTTTTTAGTAGAGATGGGGTTTCACCATGTTGGCCAGGCTGGTCTCAAACTCCAGACCTCAGGTGATCCACCTGCCTCAGCCTTCCAAAGTGCTGAGATTACAGATGTGAGGCACCACACCCAGCCTTTTTATACTTTTAAAATTTTTATTTTTCTTAAAAAAAAAAAAAAAGTCCAGGTGTGGTTGCTCATGCCTGTAATCCCAGCACTTTAGGAGGCCGAGGTGGGGGATCCATTCAGTCCTGGGCAACATAGGGAGATCCTGTCCTTACCCGCCCCACAAAAAAAAAATTCAGCTGAATGTGGCGACACATGCCTATGGTCCTAGCTACTTGGGAGGCTGAGGTGGGAGGATTGTTTGCTTGGACCTAGGAGGTTGAGGCTGTAGTGAGTCCTGATCATGCCACTGCACTCTAGCCTGGGCAACAGACCGAAAGCCTCTTAAAAAAAAAAAAACCAACAAACATGTGATGGGGTTTGCTATGTTGCTCAGGCTGGCCTCAAACTCCTGGGCTCAAGCGATCCTCCCACCTCGGCCTTCCAAAGTGTTGGGATTACACGTGTGAGTCACTGTGCCTGGACTTATATGGGATTTTTATTGCCTAAGCATGGAAATGGTACACTGTGCTTCAGTCACCTTTCATTGGCCTAAACTAGTCATATAGTTCTCCCTAACTGCAAGGAGATTGGGAAATGTAGCAGAGTAAATGGAGTTATTGGTGAGTGTTTGATGGTATCTGCCACACCTTGTTACAGCCTACAAGGTTATGTCAGATCTGTCCTTCCAGCTTACTTTTTAGACCTTGTCTCCAGGCATTCACACATAGCTCACCTTTTAGCTTCTTCAAGTCATTGCTGAGTTGTCTTCTCAAGGAAGCCTCTCCTGATCACCCTATTTAAAATTGCAACCCATCCCTCACTCCTCTCCTCCACCCTTGAAGTCCCTTACCCTGTTTTTCCTTTTTCCTAGGCACTTATTACTTTTTTTTTTTTGAGACAGAGTCTTGCTCTGTCACCCAGGTGGGAGTGTAGTGGCGTGATCTTGGCTCACAGCAACCTCCGCCTCCCAGGTTCAAGTGATCCTCCTGCCTCAGCCTCTGGAGTGGCTGGAATTACAGGAGCGCACTACCATGCCCAGATAATTTTTGTATTTTTAGTAGAGACGGGGTTTCACCGTGTTGACCTGGCTGGTCTCAAACTCCTGACCTTAAGTGATCTGTCTACCTTGGCTTCCCAAAGTGCTGGGATTACTGGTGTGAGACACTGTGCCCAGCCACAAGGCACTTATTTCTTCTAACATACTAAAATATCTGTCTTTCTCTGCTGCAACGTCAGCTCCACTAGGTCATTGATCTATGTCTGCTTTGTTCAATGATGCCCAAGTACCTAGGGCAGTGTCTGGCACACAGAGGGCACTTAATAAATATTTGTTGAAGGATTAAATTTTTAAAAAAATATTTGCTGCTACCAAGGGTGTGGTTACACTAACACTTCCACACACTTTTAGTGGGACTCTACATTGGCGCAATACATTTTTTAAACAAAACTTTAAATTTTGTACTAATTTTAGATTTATGGAAAAGTTGCAAAGATAGTACAGTGAGTTCCTGTGTACCCCATACTGAGTTTACCCTAAGGTTAACATCTTACATTACTGTGGTACATTTCTCAAACTAAGAAACCACTATGAACATATTACTGTTAAATAAACTCTAGAATTTATTTAATTTCACCAGTTTTCTATTAATGTCCCTTTTTCTTCTGTGCCAGGATCCAGTTCAGGTTACCAAATTGTATTTGACAGCACATATTTTTTAAATGTCCATGTTTCTTGCAGAGAAAGGGGCCCTCTTACCTACACTAGTAGAAAGGCAACTGAGAGGTTTCATAAGCCCCAGCAGAGACAGATTTGTGTTGATTTGCAGCAAAGTCAGTCTGGGCTTCTTTCTGACCCTGGACTACTGGCCCCAGCAGTGTAGACCATTTTCTCTCACTTTCTGTCCCTTCTTTCTTTCTGTGAATTGGTACAGATTTTCTGTAGACATTAGGCCACATGTAAAAAGATCCTTTATAAAGTGCCCCAAGCATCTTCTCATCTAGACATGTAGTCCAATACAGCATTATTTTGTTTTATTTTTTATTTTTTTAATTTTGAGATGGAGTCTCGCTCGGTCCCCAGACTGGAGTGCAGTGGCGTGATATTGGCTCACTGCAACCTCCACCTCCCAGGTTCAAGCAATTCTCCTGCCTCAGCCTTCCTAGTAGCTGGGATTACAGGTGCACGTCACTGGGCACAGGTAATTTTTGTAGTTTTAGTAGAAACGGGGTTTCACCATGTTGGCCAGGCTGGTCTCAAACTCCTGGCCTCAAGTGATCTGCCTGCCTCGGCCTCCCAAAGTTCTGGAATTACAGGCGTGAGCCACCACGCCCAGGCAATACAGCATTAATTTATATACTAAAACTTAAACAATCTAGTTATTTTATAGTGGATGGATTAAGTAGATTATGTTATATCCCATTTAATATGGGAGAATGTTTATAATGATACGTGGAAAAAGCAGGTTACAAGAGAAGATACATAGTGTGGCTCTAATTACAAATATTATTGGAAGAAAATATATCAAAATGTTACAAGTGGTCACCACTTGTTATGGTATCATGAATTATTTTCACCTTTTTTGTTTTTTTATATTTTCTAAATTTCCCACAAAAAATATGTATTATAGTCAGGAAAAAACCTATAACTTTTAAAAAAGTGTATACTCTTTGAACTACCTTCTGTTCTAGTATTCTATTCTAAGGAGTTAATTAGAAATGTAACAAAGGACCCAGTGCAGTGGCTCACGCCTGTAATCCCAGCATTTTGGGAGGCTGAGGCGGGAGGATCACTTAAGTCCAGGAGTTTGAGACCAGCCTAGGAAACATGGTGAATACCCTGTCTTTACAAAAAATAAAACATAAGCTGGGCATAGTGGTACACGCCTGTAGTCCCAGCTACTTGGTAGGCTGAGGTGGGAAGATCCCTTGAGGCCAGGAATTGGAGGTGGCAGTGAGCCGTGATGGTGTTACTCCCTCCAGCCCAGGCAACAGAGTGAGACCCTGTCTAACAAAAAGAAAGAAAAAGATGTAACAAATATTTTGTCTACAAAGATATCCATTACATAATTACTTATACTAGTGAAAATGGAAAACAATTCAACATTGTAGGAATGTTAAATACATATGGGCTATATTATAGGCATTAATAATATTTTTGAAGAAATTTTAAAGACAAAGGAAAATATTTTTCATGGCTAAGTGAATAAAGCAGAATCTAAAATTGCATATACAATATGATCTCAGCTACTCTCAACTCGTCTCTTTATTTTTTATTGTAAATTGACAAATTATAATGCTATATAAGTCTCTCTAGTTTGATTCAACAGAGATAATGCATTCTTATATCACATTATTAAAGTATGCCCTCTAGAACAGTTCTCAAACTGTCTGTAGTGAAGGATGCATTTTTAAAAATTTCCAATCTTTTATGGACTGATACTTTTGTGAAGTGCAAGAAATACTAGTTACTAGAAAACTGAAATAAAAAAGACCTATTAAATACAAGCCTCAATTTTTAAAATTATTACATTCAGATGAAAAATTACTGGCAGTTCCTGTAAGCTTCTAAATGTTTGCTCTCAATTATTGCATTTATCTAGTTGTGGACCAGTAACAGCTTGTGGAGCCCACTTTTAGAAGCACTGCTCTAGCAGAAGCAGCATGCCACTCTGTCATGTTGCTCACATCTGGGCAACAGAGGGAGATCCCATCTCTAAATTAAAAAAAAAAAAGAGCAATATAAGCTTATCGTAATAATAGTACAAGAAGAGCCTTCTTCTCATCTCTACTCTCCAAAGGTGACCACTGCCAAGCTTCTTGTGTATCAGTCCAAAATGACAGCTTTCTACATTGGCACACACAGATCCACCTCATTTTTTTTTTTAAGAGACAGGGTCTCACTGTGCTGCCCAGGCTGGTCTTTTTTTTTTAAATTTAATTAATTAATTAATTATTTTTGAGACAGAGTTTCGCTCTTTTCACCCAGGCTGGAGTGCAATGGCGTGATCTCAGCTCACCGCAACCTCTGCCTCCTGGGTTCAAGCGATTCTCCTGCCTCAGCCTCCTGAGTAGCTGGGATTACAGGCATGTGCCACCATGCCCGGCTAATTTTGTATTTTTAGCAGAGATGGGGTTTCTCCATGTTGGTCAGACTGGTCTTGAACTCCCGACCTCAGGTGATCCACCCGCCTCAGCCTCCCAAAGCGCTGGGATTACAGGCGTGAGCCACCACGCCTGGCTTTTTTTTTTTTTTTTTTTTGCCTGTTGTCCAGGCTGGAGTGCAGTGGCGCAACCTCAGCTCACAGCAACCTCCGCCTCACAGGTTCAAGCGATTCTCCTGCCTCAACCTCCCGAGTAGCTGGGATCACAGGCACGTGCCATCACACCTGGCTAATTTTTTGTATTTTTAGTAGAGACAGGGTTTCACCATGTTGGCCAGCCTAGTCTTGAACTCCTGACCTCAGGTGATCTGGCCGCCTCAGCCTCCCAAAGTGCTGAGATTACAGGCGTAAGCCACCACACCTGGCCTTCCCAGGCTGGTCTTGAATTCCTGGGTTCAAGTGATCCTCTGTCCTTGGCCTCCCAACTGCTGGGAATACAAGCGTGATCCACCATACCCAGCTTCCAGCTGATAATTTTTATTGGCTGCTTAATGTTCCATTGTGTGACTACCCTACTGAGTTTATTGCCAATACGAACAATACTGCAACAAATCCTCCAGAGCTCTTTGCCCACATATCCAGGTATATCCACAGGAAAAAGTCCTTGCTGGGTATGTGCACTTATACTAAGAAAAACAAGCTTTATTGAAATATAATTCACAGACCATACAATTCACCTTTTTAAAGTATATAATTGTGTGATATTTTATTATACTCAGCATTGTGCAGCTATCACCACTAATTACAGAACATTTTTGTCACCCCTGAAAGAAAGCCCATACCCATTAGCAGTCACTCTCTGTTCTCCCCTTTTCCCGGGCCTTTGCAATCACTGATCTACTTTCTGTTCCTATGGATCTGACTATTCTGGACATTTCACATAAATAAAAGTATACAGTATGTGGCATTTTGTGTCTGGCTTCTTTCACTTAGCAGCACATTTTCAAGTTCATCCATGTTGTAGCATGTGTCACTATTTCATTCCTTCTGATAGGTGAATAATATTCCATTGTATGGAGATACTACTTTTGTTTATCTACTCATCAGTTGATGGACATTTGGATTGCTTCCATTTTTTGGCTATTATGAAGAGTGCTGCTATAGATATCCATGTGCAGATATCTGGGTGGACATATGCTTTCAATTTTGTTGGATATATACCTAGGAGAGGAATTGTTAGGTCACATGATAACTCTATGTTTAACATTTTGAGGAGTGGCCAAATTGTTTATCAAAGTGGCTCCACTATTTTAACCCTTCCAGCAATGTATGAGAGTTATTTCTCCACATCCTCACCAACACTGATCATTGTGTCTGCTTTATTTTAGCCATCCTAATGGGAGTAAAATGGGATCTCATAGTGATTTTGATTTGCATTTCTCTAATGGCTAGTGATGGCCAGGCCCAGTGACCCTGGCCTGTAATCCCAGCACTTTGGGAGGCCAATGAGAGCAGATCACTTGAGCCCAGGAGTTCAAGACCAGCCTGGGCAGCATGGCGAATACTTTGTCTCTACAAAAAACACAAAAATTAGCTGGGAATGGTGGCGAATGCCTGTAGTCCTAGCTATTTGGGAGGCTGAGGCGGGAGATCACCTAAGCCTGGGGAGATCAAGGCTTCAGTGAGCCATGATCACGCCACTGCACTCCAGTGTGGGTGACAGGGTGAGACTTCGTTTCAAAAGAAGAAAGGCCATTTGTATATGTTCTTTTGGGAGAAATGTGAATTCAAATCCTTTGCCTATTTCTTAATTAGGTTGTCTTTCTATTGTGATGAGTTCTTTATATAGTCTGGATATAAATCCCTTATTACATATATGATTAGCAAATATTTTCTCCCACTCTGCGGGTTTTTTAATTTTTTTTTGTTTTATTTTTATTTTATTTTTTGAGATGGAGTCTTGCTCTGTCACCCAGGCTGGATTGCAGTGGTGTGATCTTGGCTCACTGCAACCTCCACCTCCGGGTTCAAGTGATTCTCCTGCCTTAGCCTCCCAAGTAGCTGGGATTACAGGCACACACCACCACGCCTAGCTAATTTTTGTATTTTTAGTAGAGACGGGGTTTCTCCATGTTGGTCAGGCTGGTCTTGAACTCCCGACCTCAGGTGATCCACCCACCTAGGCCTCCGAAAGTGCTGGGATTACAGGCATGAGGCACCACGCCTGGCTTAAAATACATATATTTTTTAGAGATGGGAGTCTCACTATGTTGCCCAGGATGGTCTTGAACTCCCTGGACTCAAGCAATCCTCCCATCTTGGCCACACAAAGTGCTGGGATTACAGGTGTGAGCCACCATGTCTGGCCTTTTTTAAAGAGTTTTATAGTTTTATCTCCTACAGTTAGGTCTGTGGTTCATTTTGAGTTTATTTTTGTATCTGGTGTGGGGTAGGGGTACGACTTCCTCCTTTTACATGTGGATTTCCAGTTGTCCTGACACCATTTGTTGAAAAGACTACTTTCTGTTGAATTATCCTGGTACCCTGCACTTAATTTTTTTCATGCCACCTTGTCTAAGAAGCACTTATATTTTTTATATTTCCAAATTGTCCTCCAAAGAGGTTACACTGGCATATAGTCCCATTCATAGGAGCTAAGAAACTGTATCTCAGATTGGGCATTGAAGGTTAGCAAGGACACTAATGAGCTCAAGCTTATCAGGGACCCACAGCAGAGTGGAGTGTTGGGGGAGCTTGAGAGTGTCACAAAAGGGGAGGTTGAAGGAAGTAAAAATGTTTCTCAGAGAAGAGAAAAAATGCTGGGGAATGTATATCTGGTGGGCCTGAGTTTAAAGCCCTGTTCTGCTCCTTTCCAGCTGAATAGCCTTGGGTAGTTATCAGATCCAACTCGGAACCTCAGTTTCATCATGTTAAACCAAGATGAAGACCACAACAACCTTTGTAGGGTTGTTGTGAGGAGTAAATGTATGTAAATATCCCAGCCCACGACAGACTCTCAGTAACGGTAGCTATTGTGACATTTCTATATGTGGTATATGTGGCTGAGATCATGTGATTGTGGGGGAGCATTGCAGCCATTTGGTGAGTATGAGATTTTTAATGATGGCTGATCACATGTAGAAACTTGGATCTACTGGTAAATGTCACTGTCACCCAGAGCAAGGCAGTACTTGAAGTCTTTGCTGTGACATGTTAAGGGGGGGGAGAGGCTGTGACTGAGATTGGATGTGACAGCAAGACAGATCCTGAGTGACAGAATGGAACGGAGTGGAGGGAGGCAGACTGCACCAGGCAAAGGTGTGTCCCCAACAGGAGCTGCCTGGGAGTTCAGATGTCAGGGCAGGTGTCTGTCTCTACTGTCCCCTCCCCAACAGACTTCCCTCCCTACTTTCTGAAAGCAAGGAGGAAAGGAGGGAGCTTTCCCTTCAGAAAGGAGATTTTGATCAGAGTGTAGAATCTACAATACCTAAGGAGTTATGGCTTAAGCACCTTTGATATCACCACCCAAGGCTCAGGAAAAGAACCTGCAGGAACTGTGTGTAAAACGGGTGGGGTAGAAATTAGAGTGGCTTCTCTTCTCAGCTTTAGTCTTCAGAGTGGCCGATAAAAACAGAATAGAAACCTAAGCATTCCTTCCTCCTCTCTGTCCCCCGGGGGAAGGAAGAGAGAATAAATGCCACATCTCATTAAGCTTTTACGATCTCAGGCAGGCAGAGTAGGACCACACCGGAGGCAGGCAGAGGGCTGGGGGAGGCTGCAGGAAGGATTCCCCAGTTCTCTCAGGGAGCTGTGTTCCAGAACTTAAAGGCCGGCTCTACAGAAAATGAAATAAGGGTTAACAACAGATGTGGGAGTAACAGCTGCTTTTATTAACATCAGAAGGGCAACAGTACAGGAAGTTGGGTAGATGTGGGGACAACAGAGAGACTGTGGCAGAGGCAGGACTGCAGATCTATGGAAATTGCCTGGAAGAGTCAGCTGTAAGGGATGAGAATCCTGAGGGTAAAAGAGAAAAGGGAAAGACTCCTCTTTGATCTTATGAAGCTGAAATAACAAGATCTTAAACATGAGTGAGAATCTGTTGCCCCAACCTAAGGTGACTTTAAATCCAAGGTAAAAAACACGGCATGGGTATTAGTTTGAATAGGGAAAATGAGAACTCTCTTTGAGCTCAAAAAAAAAAAAAAAAAAAAAAAAATGAAAGCGTTAAAACCCTGATTAAGTCTGCACAATGATCCAGAGTGTAAGGATGGGAGAAAGAATAAATACCCTAGTGACCCACATATTAAACAGACCACAGACAAGAGAACAAGACTTGAAGCTAATGGAAGGTCATCTTGCCCATGCCGCCATGGGGGGCAACAGTGCCACAATGCCACATGGGCACTAACACACACTGCATCCCCCCAGTCCCTGCCCAGGTTGGAGGGTGTGCAGATCACAGCAGCAGAGCTGCCTAGACTCAGGAAGGGCAGGAACACCCACTGCTGATGCAGTGGGAGGTAGGGATGGGGAGCCTGGCCCTGGCTTTGTGGGAGTGCAGAGAGAAGGAAGGCAGAGGGGAAATCAAGCCGCTGGGGCAGTGCTTGTAATATTGGGGTGACTGTGGGAGGGCAGTAGCAGACACAAGAGTAATGGCTTTCCCAGGTCAAGGTCCATGTCCTACCATCTGGCAGGAAAGCCAGGGGTTTGTCATGCATGATAAAAGCCACACAGCTGGACTCTGGGCAAGGCCCACTTTAGCCAATTAGAAGATACACTGTCTGTGGCCAGGCAGGCAAGCTCCTCCCAGCTGGGGAAGGGGTGAGAATCCCTGGGCCTTGCCCAGTCCTGAGCTCTAGGTGTCTGCAGGGAAGCACAGTGGTGAGTTAGTGTTAAAGAAAGCATCCAGAGAGGTAAGAGGGGCTTGGGTAGCACCCTTTGCCTCTGTCACTTCCGCAAAAACTTCTTGTTGAGGAGGAAGATGAGAAGGTTGACATTGACTTTGGCCTTGTTGAAGAGTTTCATGACAGCCACACCCTCATACTGGAGCTGCAGGAGATCCTAGGAGGGAAGAGGCAGGGAGGGGAGTTTAAGGGCTTCTGAATGTGGTCCAGTCAGATGGTGTACAAAACACTCACATCATGGGGCCTTCTGCAGTCACCAGTGGCACTGGCCACTGAAGTAGGGCATTGAAATCCCACTTCACAAATGAGGAAACTGAGGCAAGAGAGGTACAGTGACTTGATCAAATGTCAACTCAAGCAGAACCAGGGCTTGAAATTGTTTTTCTTATTTTATTTATTTATTTTTTTGAGACGGAGTCTCACTCGGTCTCCCAGGCTACAGTGCAGTGGCGCGATCTCGGATCGCTGCAATCTCCGCCTCCCAGGTTCAAGCGATTTTCCTGCTTCAGCCTCCTGAGTAGCTGGGATTACAGGCAGGTGCCACCACGCCAGGCTAATTTTTGTATTTTTAGTAGAGACAGGGTTTCACTATATTGGCCAGGCTGGTCTTGAACTGCTGACCTCGTGATCCGCCCGCCTCGGCCTCCCAAAGTGCTGGGATTACAGGCGTGAGCCACTGCACCCGGCCAAAATCATTTTTCTTACTCAAAAGGTAAAACATCAGAGCAAAAAGATTTGGATTAAAAACTACTGCTCGGCTGGGCATGGTGACTCATGCCTGTAAATCCCAGCATTTTGGGAGGCTGAGGCGGGCGGATCACAAGGTCAGCAGTTCAAGACCAGCCTGACCAACATGGTGAAACCCCATCTCTACTAAAAATACACAAAAAGCCGGTGTGGTGGCGCACGCCTGTAATCCCAGCTACTCAGGAAGCTGAGGCAGGAGAATCGCTTGAACCCAGGAGGCAGAGGTTGCAGTGAGCTGAGATTGCGCCATTGCACTCCAGCCTGGGTGACGGAGTAAGGCTCCGTCTCAAGAAAACAAACAAACAAAAACCCAAAAAAGCAACAACAACAACCACAACCAAAAACACCGTTGCTTCACTCCTTTCCTGAACACTGGCCTATGACTTAGCCAGCTTCTTAACCTTTTAGCCTAGAGCCTGTAAAATAGGGATAATACTTCAGAGCTGTGGAGAGGATTAAAGGAGGTAACATGTAAAGTCCCTGACATGTGATAGGGCTTCAAATATTAATCCTGCTTCTGACACCAGTAGCCCACTCCACTCTCCCTGATGCTTGCCAGTGGGGTCTGTGTCAGGGCATGGGGAAAGGGGGGCTTGGGCTGCACAGACCCCCACCCTTCTCTTCAGGAACAGACGATACTGATTGGGTGAAAAACTGAGCTGGTGTCATCTGAGGACTAGGAAAGTGAGGCCAGCTGCTCTCTTCAGGCCAGCACCTAAAGCCCAGCAGATGTCCTGCAGGCTCATGGGACTGTCCCCTCACCTGATAGTGAAGCTGAAATCGCTCCATGTCCACACCCAGGAACTTGGCATTTACTTCAAACTTTCCTGCCTCATCTCCCGGCGTGATGTCAAAGATGACGTTTCTGAAGCTGTCAGGAACAGGATTCAAAACAGGAACCCACTGCCTCTTTCCAGGGCTACAGCCACATTCTTGCACCCACTGCTCCTCATCCTGGGCAGCGGTGTCATCCAGAACCAGTTTTCCCTCTGTCACTCCCAGAGGGCCCAGCTCGCTGTCTTCTCCATTTTACTTCTGCTCCCCACACCATCTCTTTATCTGCCCCGCCCTACGCAGCTGTTCTCACCTCTGGAAAGCTTTCCCAGTACCCTCTGCCTCAGGGCATCTAGAACTGTGCTAGACCATGTCCACAGCCCTTCACTTTCTGTCTGGGCATGCTCTGTCTCCACCATCATTCTAGCAGCTCCTTCAAGATCGGGACCATGCTTCTTCTCTTCCACCCGGTGCCCAGCCCAGAGCTCCACCCCCAGGTTAGAGGACAGGAAGGGGCTGACATCCTGCCCTCCAAAGACACATACTGAGAGGCGGGAAGATCTTCAATTTCCACCAAGACACCCTTTTCCAGGAGCTGAGCAGCAGTGTAATGAAGAGAAGGCTGCTTCTTCCCCTTCCCAGAACTCCTGATTAAAAGAAGGCCCCAGAGAATTCATCCAATAAACACTTTACCACCAAAGAAACTTGTTTTCTGTGGCTGGAAAGGAAATGAGACCCCGAGGAAGACTTCTCACTGATGGAAGACAGAGGAGGGGGGCTGCACTTGAGCCCAAGACTTTGTAAATGAGGCTCAAAGACCAGACTTAGGAAGGGACTGTGCTGTGCTGGGTGAGATTCCCCTTTCAAAGCTGGGAGATAGCAGGGCAAAGGTGACATGGGCAGGGGTGAGAAGTCACTCGTAACCTTCCAAGTACGGGAAAGCAGCACCTACTTGGAGTCGGGGGCCAGGTGGTCCAGGCAGGCCCGGATGTACTGGCTGTAGTAGTCACCCTGCTCCTCATAGAAGGTGGTCTTAGTGCTCAGGCCCTGTAATGTGGCCTGCAGCTTCACCAGCTCTGCCTTCCGCCTGTGCCTGTGTCTGTGCTGGTTGCGGATGTCCTGGGGTTGGGGAACAGATGGAGGGATGAGTGGTCCTTCCTGGCAGGAGAGCCTTAGGGCCTGACACAGGCCCAAGAGCTACACACTGTGAGGCTCTTCGGAAGAACAGGCTTCAAGGCTGTTTTCCTAGAAGGAAAATCTCAAGGATGGTATTCCAAATCCTCAAGGCATGTCCTCAGGGCCTCTGCCCGTTGAGGACTAACTGGTTTCAAGGCTGTTTGTTTTTTAGTAAAAGAAAGTTGCAAGGATACTTTTGTAGGTCATAAGCTGAGGATTGGGTTTTCATGCTCTTGTGTGAGATATGCTTCTCTCAAACCTTCTGACCTGGGCACATTACCCAGCTAATGTGGGGAAGAAAAAAAAAAAGAGAGTTGCAAGAACACCTTCCTCTCTAACTAATTTCAAGATCTTTCCTTCAGGCTAGGAGTGGTGATTCACACCTGTAATCCCAGCACTTTGTGAGAGCCTAAGGTGGGCAGATTACTTGAGGTCAGGAGTTTGAGACCAGCCTGGCCAACATGGTGAAACCCTGTCTCTACTAAAAATACAAAAATTTGGCTGGGTGCAGTGGCTCACACCTGTAATCCCAGCATTTTGGGAGGCCAAGATGGGCGGACCCTGAGGTCAGGAGTTCGAAACCAGCCAGGCCAACATGGCCTGAAACCGTGTCTCTACTAAAAATACAAAAATTAGCCGGGCATGGCAGCGCGCACCTGTAATCCCAGCTACTTGGGAGGCTGAGGCAGGAGAATCACTTGAACCCAGGAGGTGAAGGTTGCAGTGAGCCAGGATCACACCACTGCTCTCCAGCCTGGATGAGAGTGAGACTGTCTCAAAAAAAAAAAAAAAAAAGAAAAAAAAATCTTTCCTTCAAAAAGGACCCTCAGCCTTCCTCTGGCTGGTGACAATTTTGGGTGAGGACTCATCAGGAGGGGCCCACCAACACTATGGATTAACATGTATATGCACGCACACACACACACGTACACACAGGCACACGGAGCCCAGGCCCAGGTTGTTACCTTGGCCAGCTCGTCCACTAGCCCCTGGTAGCCATTTCTGGCGCTGACCAACCCCAGGGCTTCAAGTCGGCGTAGGTTCCGCAGGACGCGCCGCTGCTTCTCTGCCAGTGGCAGGAGGGAGTGAGCTGTCAGTGAGCGGTGTCGTCGCAGTGGCTCCGGTGTCTGGGCTGTACAGGCCTGGCGTCGGCTCATCAGCTGCTTGTGGGCTGCTTCCTGGGGACACACAGACGCTGGAGGGGTCTACCAGGTCCTACCATTCTGCTCCCACACCAGTGAAGGTCCCATGGGCACCAGCAACAAAGGGAGGCCTGAGCATTTTTCTGCATATCATTAAGAAAGTGCCCCAGAGCCCAGCCTCTGCAGGATATGGCTGGGGCAGGGCATCGCTTATGAAGAATATCAAGGTATAACACCATAATGCATGGTGTCACACATGGGAGGGCCTCATAGATCACCACAGGGGAAGAGTGGCCCAAAGGAGAACCAAACCCAGGCCATGGCATAAAGGATTCCGGACAGACACTAGCTGTGACTTCCCAACAATGGATCTTTCTGACGGCACAGGATGTTTGGGGGCATTTACCTGTCTGTTCTGTTTTGGGACATACCTCTACTGGCCATCCCCACCTTTTCTTTGGGAAGACCCTGGTTCAGTCTTCACTCCAGCGGGCCCAACCTGCCCCTGGCCCCCCACCTGCCTACTACCTTCTCCTGCCTCCAGGCATTCTAGCAGACCACTCTTCTGAGTGCAGGCCTTCCAGGGGAGCATTCCCAGACGGTCTCTCAGTGCCCCCCATAGCCCTAGTGTTGGTGCTTGTTTCAGTGTGTGAAGTGGGGAGAGGGGTGGGGCCCCATGACTCTGTAGCCCGAGGCTTCCCAAGGCTAAAGCTGTATCCCTCATCCTGTAGGCCTCCAGAGTTCTCATTACTGGTGAGCACAGGTGTCTGCTTCTGGCTGATGTGGGTGAGGTTCAGAGGAGGGAAACAGCAGCGGTGCAGGTGGGATGAGGTGGGGGATGAATGAGACAGAACCTGTGGGCCAGCCCGGCTACTCACTTGCTCTCTGGAAGCCGAGAGGGACAGGATCTCCTTGAGGGTGTCCCCAGGATGGAACTGTATGATATCGGCCAACAGCTGCTTGGTGCTGCACAAGGAGGACAGTGACAGAGGAGAGGTAAGGGGCAGGGGAAGGGCCTGGACATGGGACTGGCCAGAGGTCTGAGAGTAAGTGGACCGTGCTCTATAGCATGGCTGCTAGGATATAAGGAGAGAGAGCGAGGGATAGGGGATGTCGTTGCCTGGAATACCTTCCCAACAAACTATCTGCCTTTGAGTCCTTCAGCTGAGCACACATGTCCTTCCCACCCAGCCATCCCTTCTCCTTAGCTCTCAATGCATCTGACACCCACCACCCTCTTGGTGGTGCTCTGTGTTCAGCCCTAGCCCGATCCTGCTCTCAGCCCTTTGATGGCAGGACAAAGATGATACTCAGCTCACTTGTTTTTTTTTTTTTTTTTTGAGATAGAGTTTCACTCCTGTCACCCAGGCTGGAGTGCAATGGCATGATCTCGGCTCACTGCAACCTCTGCCTCCCAGGTTCAAGTGATTCTCCTGCCTCAGCCTCTCAAGTAGCTGGGATTACAGGTGCCTGCCACCACACCCAGCTAATTTGTGTATTTTCAGTAGAGATGGGGTTTCACCATGTTGGCCAGGCTGGTCTCGAACTCCTGACCTCAGGTGATCCACCTGCCTCGGCCTCCCAAAGTGCTGAGATTACAGACATGAGCCACCGCACCTGGCCAGCTCACTTGTTTATTGAGTGAATGAGTGGGTGCAAGGGGTTGCCTTGTTGGCAGGAGCTTGAGCTGGCACTTTGGCTCCTCTTCTGCCCAGATGACCAGCTCACCCCTACTGGGAGTCCTCCCTCACTTTTGTAGAACTGGGGAAGAAGAGCTCCATGCCCATCTCCTGACCATCACACTCAACAAGAATGCGGAATTAGGCTGGGCGCAGTGGCTCACGCCTGTAATCCCAGCACTTTGGGAGGCCAAGGCAGGCAGATCACTTGAGGTCAGGAGTTCAAAATCAGGCTGGCCAACATGGTGAAACCCCATCTCTACTAAAAATACAAAAATTGGCCGGACATGATGGCGAGCACCTGTAGTCCCAGCTACTCAGGAGGCTGAGGCAGGAGAATCGCTTGAACCCAGAAGGCGGAGGTTGCAGTGAACTGAGTTCGTGTCACTGCACTCCAGCCTGGATGACAGAATGAGACTCCATCTCAAAAAAAAAAAAAAAAAAAAAGTGGAATTAGAACATGAGCTCTACAACCCACTGGCTGTGGAACTTTGGATAAATCACATAACTACTGAGTCTTTCCTCAACTATGAAGAGGGGAAGCCACCATCTACCTCATAGCTTGTTTCTAAGAATAAACGATAACTTATTAAAAAAGCATTTGGGCCAGGCGCAGTGGGTCAATCCTGTAATCCTAGCACTTTGGGAGGCTGAGCCAGGTGGATGGCTTTGAGGCCAGGAGTTTGAGGCCAGCTTGGGCAACATGGCGAGACTCTGTCTCTACTTGAAAAAAAAGAAAAAAGCATTTGGTAAACAGCACGATATGCAAACACCTGCTGTTGCCAATATCTTCACCATTCCTTTACTTTCAGTACAACACAGAGCAAAAAGCTGAGGATACCAGATGGAAAAGAGCCAAGGCTGCAGCGAGGGGAATAAAGGTAGGCTTCAGGGAGAACTTCCTGAAGGATAAGGGAGCCCAGGAAGAAGGTGGAATGGGCGCCTCAGAATAAGGCCATTTTACTGGCCTCAGGGCTGGGGAGCTCAGGTATGCAGGGGCAGAGGCTGGCATCACCCACCTCAGAAGCAGGCTACGGGTGTTGGAGTCATCAGCATCTGCCTCTAGTCCTTCAAACTTGTTGGTCAGCGTCAGGGACACTTCTAGCTTGCTCAGGTCCGTGTGCCCATCTGCAGCGATGCTCTCACCTGAGGTGTGGTGAGGAATGAGAGGGAGACAGGCATACACACACACATGCGCACACACACATACACACACACACATGCACCGATGGGGTCACATTAAATCAGCTGCTCCACATGCCCCTCTTCCAGGAAGTTTTCCCACACTGGCCTGCAGAACTACCCTGTGTCCCCAACCCTTAGCACCGATGGAAGGGCTGTTACCCACAGAGCATACCCTTGTGTTACTGGGGCTGTGCCACCCCCACACCCTCAGCCCTGGGTGCCCTGAGGGTAGAGGAGCTGTGCCTCCCTGAGCCTGCAGCTCCTGGTTCTCTCCAATCACCATCTTCATTCTGTCCTTCCTCCCAGTAAGTTGGCTTCCTCCTATTCCATGGCCCGGAAACCCCTCCTTCTCAGAGAAACCTAATGAGGCCCTGATCCCTGTGCCTCTTTCAGATCATTTCATTGACCGTTTTCCATGATGATCGTGGGTCCCTCTACTGTCTGTCTACCTTCTCCACATCAATCTGTGTCCCTGTGCCCATGTCAGGACCAGAGGGAGAGTATGGAACTAGCCGCCTGGCACAAGACCTAGGCTGCATGGGCACGCTCACATGCCCTGCCTGCCTGCCTGTCCCTCCCTCCATGCAGGTCCCCTAGCTGGCCTCAGCTGCTAAGGAGGGCACGTACCAATAAGGTCAGGGATGGTGGGCAGCTCCCCAAGATCCTCCAGGAGCTCATGCAGGGGGTCTTGGTGATCAGGGGCAATGCAGTCCTGGTGCTCCAGCAACAGCTGCAGGACGGAGAAAGAAAAGGAGATGCAGGGTCTGAGCCAGGTCTTCCCTCTGGGGCCAGCCCACTACCCCATCACAGGCTACCAAACCCTTGCCCACCCAGCCAACACCCTCCAGATCTCAGCCCCTCACCCTGTGCGTGTTGACCAGCTCCCCCACGGTGATGTACACCATGGGTTTGGCCACAGCCACCATGTCTGAGTACTCGTCCACTGCAAAACGCTCCTCTGGCTCTGGCACCTGGCAGGCTCTATGGATGAACTTCCTGTCCAGAGGGCGGGCATGTGAGAGAGCGGGGAGGGCCAGCACCCCACACATCTTCTGTCCCCATCATTTCCCCAGCCTTCTCCAGTGATTGCTCAGGCCAATTTGGACTCTCCAGTCTCAGCTTCTGCCCTCTGTCCTGCCCTACCTCTGTCCCAGTGACCCCTCAAGACAATCTCTCTTAATAGTCTCCTTTTCTCTCCACTGGGGAGTCCTTCCAACAACCTATCCTCCACCCCGCTCATTATGCTCATCCCTTCTATTTATGCCTCTTGTCCTCATGGATTCTGGAGGGGACAAGTGGGATGTCAAAGGTGAGAAGAGGGAAGAAAGGGGACAGAGAGGAAAGGGACCCAAGACCTGAACTTGAGGTGTGTTTCCTCCAGATAGTCATTCAGGACCCGTAGGTGCTGGCTCTGCCCAGAGAAGGCCTTGCCAGCCGCAGCGTGCTGTAGGAGCTGAGCCACAGCCCCCAGGGCATGGCGCTGGGGGGCAGCCAGGGCTCCACCAGCTGCCATGGCCACAATGTCGAAGGCGTCAGGAGCCACCACAGCTGGGTTCAGGAAGCGGTAGTACAGGAGGTTCCCGACCACCTGAGGGCAAAGGAGACTCTCCCAGAAGTGTCCAGGGGCCGCCTTGACTGGTGCGGCCCCACATTCTCAGCTTGCTTGGCTGGAAGGGACACCTGGGCCAACCCCCTCACTTCAAAGAAAACAGGCCCAGAGCAGGCAGACAACTTGCTTAAGGCCACACAGCAAACCTGAGCAAGAGCTGGGACTTGAACCCAGATCTCCTGACAAGAAGCCAGTGTTGCCCACTCTGTTCGCTCACACCCCAGCATGAGCCATCTGCCACCTGAAGCCCTGCGGGTGAGCCAGGCTCCATTTATAGGGGGCAGCATATTTCCCTCCTTGGATTTTTATGGCATAGGATTTTTTGTGTTTTTGTCTCAGTCTGGGGATTGCAGGTACCAGCAAAGCAAAGGAGGGATTGGGAGGTGGGGGTGGGGAGACAACACTTGCCTTATAGACCTCGCTGTCTGTGGCGTCAGGGAATTTCTCTGCCAGAGTTGCCTTCAGGACTTTGGCCACATATCGCATCCCATACCTGGGGACAAAGAAACAGGTGCGCGTGGCTGTGCCTCTGCCCATCTCTCTCTGCCAGAGATAAGAGCTTGAGTGCCTGGCTGTCTCTTCTCCCCCAGGCTCAGCCACTCCAGAGTAGAGCTCAAGCACTGTCCCTCCACTAGCCATAGCCAGCTCCCTGCTGCCTTCCTCCAAACGTCTCTGGGCCTTGTCCCTTCCTCCTGCCTTATGTCAGTAGTCAGGACCAGGGCCCTATCATCTACTAAATCTCTCACACAGCCTCCAACCTGGCTCGAGAACCTCTTCTTTGAGACTCTCTGGGTCCCCTGCAGAGCACCCCAGCTCACCATAGCCATCCCCCATCCCCCAGAGGCACCATTAACCTAAAGCTTGGGTATCTGACACTCACAGCCAAAACCCTGTCCTAGGACAGCCTAGGTGGCTCCGAGGTAGTCAACCTTGTCAGCTGTCACAGAGCATCTGTGAGTGGCCTAGTCTGGGCTAGAGGTAGGGCCCCAAGGAGATCAGTGAGCCGGGAGGAGAAGCTCCAGTTTGGACTCCACCACCAACCAGAGATATTATCTTAGACTATTTCCTTCTCCTTTGTAAGTCTGTCCCCTGGTCTAGAAAATGGGAATGATCATTCTTGCCTTCTCTTCTCACAGGGCTTTTTGAGGATCAAGTGAAATTATGTCTGCGAGAGTAACGTATAATGGTAGAGTACTATTCAAATGTGCTAGACTGTATTATCATTATTATTCCTATTATGGATGTGCCACCTACAAATGTAATTAAATTCATTTAAAAGCAATTTCCACTCCTAGGGTACCAGAGACAGAAGTTTACAGCTCATTGTGTACTTTACTTTCTTAAGCCTAGAACAATCTTTTCTTACTCCTAATTGTAAACTCTTAATCCGGTTCTCCAGGTTTGGGGAGCAGGGTTATAAACTCTGTGGGTTCCCCCTTTCAACATCCTCATCTTGCCCTGGGCATTCCAGCCTGGGCAATGGAGTGAGACCCTGTCTTAAAAATAATAATAATAAAAAATAAAGAAAAACAAACAAAAAAAGAATGAAAGCCTGTCATTTTCGACAACATAGATGAACGTAGAGGTTCGTGTTAAGTGACATACATAAGCCAAACACAGAAGGACAAATACTGCATAATCTCACTCATATGTGGAATCTTAAAAAGGTGATTTCACAGGAGTAGAGAGTAGAATGGTGGTTACCGGAGTCTGGGGAGGGTAGGAGAAGGGGAGAGAGGATGGGGAGAGGTTGGTCAATGGGTACAAAGTTACATCCAGGTAGAAAGAATAAGTTCTGGTGCTCTATTGCACAGAAGGTGACTATAGTTGATAATAATGTGTTGTATATCTCAAAATAGCTAGAAGGATTTTGAATGTTCTCACCAAAAAGAAATAAATGTTTGAGGTAATAGATATGCTAATTACCCTGATTTGATCATTCATTGCACAATGTATACACGTATCAAAACATCACACTATACCCTATGAATATGTACAATTATCATGTGTCAAAAATAAATGTAGAAAACCAAACGTATTGACTAAATTTTAAGAAAAGAGAGAACTATAAAGTACTTTATGGGCTTAAAATATTTATTTTTGATATTGGGAACTGAAGAGTCCCATTTTCTCCTCATTTGCTCTTAGCTAATAAAGTGTCCCTGAGATCATTTTAGGGTCCCTCCTCTGGTTCCACTGACATCCTACCAGGCCACACACAGACTTGCACGCCGTCTCTCAGCTCAGCTCTCTAGCAGGAGCTTCGAGCATTCCCCACATCTCTTCAGGAACCCCTCTGAGTACCCCTGGCTCCATCTCCCTCCCTGCCTTCCTCCCTGCAGGACTATCACCCTGCTCTGCTCCCCATGGTGGCCTGGCCCTCTTGAAATCCCATGCGTAGGCTGGGGTGGGGCTGTTGCACATACGGAATTTGGTCCACAGATGAGGTGATGGCTAAAAGGAACTTATCAGTCATGGCGAGGAGGTTGCGTAGGGCGATGTCCAGTCGTCTCTGGACCTCGGGGTGGCTCAAGGCCTGCTCCGGGGTGACATCATATGGGAGATGGCTATGAGCAGAGAGAGACAAGGTGTAAGCAGGAGCCCCCTCCAATGGCCTCCTTCCCCAAGGCCCTATTCCTTAAACGCTTGTCTAACAACAAGATCTCATACAGATGTGCTAAGGACAGCTCAGCATGCTAAAGGAGAAAGGGCCAGAATGAGAGAAAGGACTGGAGAAATGCAGTCGGGAGGTAAAGAAGAGTTGGAGTATCTACAGGGAAGCTGGAAGAATGTAGGAAGGAACAGAGAACGTGGAATCTAGGGACCCTTCTAAGGGGAACAGATGACAAGCAGGCGGCTGCGCTGCAAATAGTCTTTGGGAGTTTGGAATAATGGAGAGGCTGGGCCAGAGCCTTATAGTTCCCTCACCTAAAGCCTCCTGTGCCATCCAGAGCAGCCACCAGGATTGCCTGCTCGCCTCTGTGGCTAGGTTTCCCTAGCACCTAGGGACCTGAGTAATGACCCCAGGCTATAAGGGCAACCTATCTCTCCCACTATCTCATTTGCCTATTCATCTGTAAATAGAAATATTCTTCTATACCCCTATCAATAGGAGTCCATATCCTAACTCCCAGCAAATTTTTTTTTTTTTTTTTGCGGGGGGACAGAGTCTCACTCTGTTGCCTAGAGCTGGAGTGCAGTGGTGCAATCTCGGCTCACCGCAACCTCCCAGGTTCAAGTGATTCTCTTGCCTCAGCCTCCCGAGTAGCTGGGACTGCAGGAGTGCGCCACAACACCCGGCGAATTTTTGTATTTTTTATTTTTGAGACAGAGTCTCGCTCTGTCGCCCAGCCTGGAGTGCAGTGGCACGATCTCGGCTCACTGCAAGCTCTGCCTCCCAGATTCATGACATTCTCCTGCTTCAGCCTCCCGAGTAGCTAGGACTACAGGTGCCTGCCACCACGCCCGGCTAATTTTTTGTATTTTTAGTAGAGATGGGGTTTCACCATGTTAGCCAGGATAGTCTCGATCTCCTGACCTCGTGATCCGCCTGCCTCGGTCTCCCAAAGTGCTGGGATTACAGGCGTGAGCCACCACGCCTGACCTACATTTTTAGTAGAGATAGAGTTTCACCATGTTGGCCAGGCTGGTCTCAAACTCCTGACCTCAGGTGATCTGCCCACCTTGAGCCCCCCAAAGTGCTGGGATTACAGGCGTGAGCCACTATGTCCGGCCCTACTACCACCAAATTTGACACATCATTTGCAAGCACTGACATAGCAATTAAGCACATTTGCATATTCATCTGTACTCATTTTATGTTAAGCCCACCAGGTCTGAAGTCATTTACATCAGTTTCATGTTAATTATCAGAGGGGGTCTAAAAGACTACCTTATTCATGCCTACAAAGCTGGTGTCATATTTGCATAGATCAGCATGCCCATTTATATGCCACCTTCAAAGTACACCCAAGCTTCCCCAGTAGGGTCCAAGACACAGCTGATCAAGACACAGCTGATCAAAGAGAGCTCCTCCCTCTGCCCATGTGCTCACCTGCGCTGCCCTGTCTGGGCCTCAGTCTGGTTGATCCAGTTCTTATAGAGGTGGACAGGGTCTGTGTGGACGCTGAGCACTTTGTCTTCTAGCACATCCTGGATAACCTTGCCCAGAATCTCCTGCAGGGCACTCTGTCCCCGCCCATTACGGTAGAATCTCACCACCAGCCTCACCACTGTTGGGTTGCCTGTCACCACGTCCTGGGGCTGCTCCACCTTTGACCTGTGGTTTAAGAGGTCATTGAAACCAGTCTTCTGCCTCTGTGTAGGACATACCGTTGCTTTTCCTTTTTGAGATTTTGGCTCTCAAAGCCTGCCCTGGTGTCCCCGCTCTTAAGGAATGTCTTGATATCTCTCTCATCCTTTGTGTTAGCATGTCAGCCCATATCCTCCCACTGTGCTGTCCCAGATGTTTTACGGTTTCTCCACAGGAGGTAGAGAAAAGAGGTCTTCTGATTCCATTTCTACCCTTAGGCCTCAACAAGTTGTCACCTTGTGAAGGAGCCAACAGGGGGATCTCTTAACCCATTCTCTCCCCATTCCTTTGTGTCTGGAGAGCCTACTTGATTTCCTCCTGGAGTGCTGTCTTGAACAGCTGGAGCAGGAGATAGGCCTCTCGGCGGCTGGAGGCATAGTTGTACAGGCTGAAAATCACTGCCTCCATGAACTTGGTGGTTTTGTTCTGTGGCATCTGAAAGATCAGCTTGGCCAGGTAGATGGGCTGAGTCTGCAAGCAAGAGGGGAGACAGGAATGGCTGACCATGCACTTCAAGGACCAGTGATAGGATAAGGAAAGGCTTTCCCCTGATGGAAATCTGGAATGGAGAAAGCACTACCACACTTTCTCCAGGTGCTAGTAACATTCCAGACAAACAGGGGAAGAGGTAGTCTCCTTTCCTGGGGATAAGGAATTAAGATTATGGGAAAGGACACCTTGCATGGTGCCAAACGCACAGACAAGAAGGCCTTGAAGTCTCAGACCCTCAGGAGACGGGAGAGACTTCTCCTTGGAAAGTCCTCTGCTAACCTGGAGCAGGTAGAAGAGGTGTTGGTATGCTTCTAGTTTCTGCCGTTTCTCTTTGCTCAGCGACTTTAAACCCTTCTGCTTGTCCAGAACCATCATATCTGACAGCTGTTCCTTATTCCTCTTGGTCAGCTTCTTGCAGTGGGAGACCACTTCCTGCAGGGGTGGAGGAGCGGGTGATACAACTAGCCTAGGCCATCCCAGGGCACAGAACATACGGTCTAGAATCAGTGCCTTGAAGAGCCAGGGCTTTCTGCTGTTCAAGGAACAGGCATAAGCTGGGGGACAGAAGCAGTTCTAGGGTGAGGAAGGGCCCCTCCAAGTGCCCTGAGACTCCATCTGTTTCCTCTCCTGTCATGGGAGTGAGTCCCCAAAGAGAACTGGTTTGCCAGGCTGAGGAATTGTGTCTATTTGGCTTTTGCTATCTCTTCTTATTAGACTGCTACACACATTTGAGGTGGAGCTATCACTATATCACTATTACCCTGTCACTGCATATTTATATGGTAATTTATGATTTAAACAGCTTTCATATCTGTCTCTATATTTGGCCTGGAGAGGTGGACATTCTCATTATTCTCAGTTTGCTAATGAGAAAACAGACTTAGAAGTGAAATGAGCACCCACAGCCCCATCCCTGGGAATCAGCAGAGCCAGGCATTCTGATTCTAGGTTTCATGCTCTTTCTACTCTGTCATGGGTCCCCCAAAATGATTTATTAGAATGGCAGAGGGCCACTGGAACAAGGACCTGAGTCAGGTGACAAAATCCACAACATTTTGAAAAAAATTGATTAGCAAGCAGAGAATGGTCAGCATCACATCTCCAGAGGCAGGCAGATCTCGGGGAGGGGAGGACTGGTGGGCCCCATACCTGCAGAGTGATCCGGTTCTTCACCAGCAGGCCAATCTTGATGTCCATGATGTTGAGGTCCTGCTCCAGCTGCTGATTGGATCGGATCTTCCTAACTACCTCTTCCTGGAGCTTCAGCAGCTCTGCCTCAGCCAAGAAGTCTTGCTGGCTTTGATTCAAGAGATGGGCAAATCTGCGTACCACACTGAGAGGAGGGTGGGGTGCATGCACTGGGAGGAAGGGAGGAGGCATCAGGATTAGCCATGCCTCATCAGAGGCCTCCTCACCAGCCCCTGCCCGAGTCAGCCCACCCCAGTCCCCGTTCTGCTTGGGATCAGCAGGTCCCCAACCCCAGTCCTCTTCTAACTGGTTCTGCTTGCACTTGGAGGGCAGTGGGTAGCCTTCTAGCCAGGCCTGTCCCTGAGCTTCCTGTCTTATAACTGGAGATGACATAATAGCTGCTCTTCCCATGCCTCTGATTCACCCCAGCCTGGGTCTATCCCAGGGACCTCTGACACCAAAGCCAGAGCCACAGCTCCCTCTGATTATCCTCCCAGACCTCCCTAGTCTACCCCAATCTACCACTCACTTCTGCTGGGCCAACCTGCTCCTCCTCCTCCTCCTACCTGCCAGCCACCACTCAGCCCTGCTTGCTCCCACAGTGCTCCTCTGTCAGGAATGTCTGTACACACCGGGAAGGACAGGTAGACGGGATGGACAGTGGGCTTTATAATTTAGGGGAGGTCAGAGCTAGCTGGTGATTCTCCTTGAATCACCTTTGGAATTGGCATTTGAGCAAAAAAGAAAGAAGCCTCTGAGCTAATTTATTGGAAATAACAACAAAACAACTAATACATAGAATGTTTACTATGAGACAGAACCTGTTCTAAGTACTTTACGTACTTAAGACCACCTGTGAGGTCAGTACACTATAACTATCCTCTCTTACCGATAATAACTCTGAGACTCAGAGAAGGTAAGCAACTTGCCCTATGTTACACAGTTAGTAATAAATGAAGGAGTCAGATTTGGAAGATGAATAAAACTAGTCCCTGTCCCTAAAGGCAGTCTAGTAGGGGAACTAGACAAATAAACCACAATTCACTGCAGTGTAGTTAGCACTTTGAGAGGAGCAAGCATGGGGATCTTTGGGAAAACAAAAGTGGGTTGCCCAACCCCACCTGGGGAGTGAAGAGACACTGCAAGGAGGAGGTGAGACACCCCAGATGTCGGTGAAAAGGAGGCAGAGAGGGTGAATGTGGGGAGTGCTGGAAGTCCACTGTATCTGGAACACAGTGCAGAAGGTGTAGGTGGTGAGGGGCAGGTCAGTGAAGTTAGAGGTGTAGGGAAAGGCTGGATCACAAAAAGCCCCAAAGCTGTGATTAGGAGGTTGGACTTTATCCTCAAGGCAACAGGGCATCATGATAAGTCTTAAGGAGGTGAGTGACATGATCACATGTACAGGTTTAATGGATTAATCTGGCTACAGTAGGGGAACAAATCTTTTTTTATTTTTATTTTTAGACAGAGTCTCGCTCTGTTGTCCAGGTTGGAATTCAGTGGCATGATCTCAGCGACTTGCAACCTCTGCTTCCTGGGCTCAAGAGATTGTCCTGCCTCAGCCTCCCAAGTAGCTGGGATTACAGGTACCTGTCACCATGTCTGGCTAATTTTTGTATCTTTAGTAGAGACAGGGTTTCACCATGTTGGCCACGCTGGTCTTAAACTCCTGACCTCAGGTGATTCTCCTGCCTCAGCCTCCCAAAGTGCTGGGATTACAGGTGTGAGCCACCAGGCCCGGCCTGGGGACAAATCTTTGAGGAGTGAAGAAGGGTAGAGGCCAAGACAATTCATGGCATCTTGGATTCGATGAAATACAGCATATTAACTCCTCAAAACAACCCTACAAGATAGGTATTAGCATTATGTCCAGTTTATAAAGGAGAAAAGTGGGCAAGAAGGAAGTTAATTGGCTGGGTGTGGTGGTTCATGACTGTAATCCCAGAACTTTGGGCAGCCAAGGTGAGTGGATCACTTGAGCCCAGGAGTTTGAGACCAGTCTGGGCAAAATGGGGAGACCCCCATCTCTACAAAAAATCAAAAAGTTAGCCAGTTGTGGTGGTGTACGCCTCCAGTCCCAGCTACTCAGGAGGCTGAGATGGGAGGATCGCTTGAGCCTGGAAGGTTGAGGCTGCAGTGAGCCGTGATCATGCCACTGCACTCCAGCCAGGGTGACAGAGCGAGACTCTGTCCTAAATAAACAAATAAATAAATAATCAATTAAAAAAAAAAAGGAAGTTAAGTAACTTGCCAAGGGCCACACAGCTAGTAAATGGTAGAGCTCTGAGTAAAGTCTGGGGGCCAGTGAAGTCAGGAGACAGCACTAGGGAAAAGCAAGTTCTTCCAGAAAAACCATAAACTGAAGAGAAGAAAAAGAAGATAAAGAATGGCCAGGACAATGGTGTTAGTGTAACCACAGAGACAAAATAGAATGGGCTAGGCTGGGGATAGGGAAGGAGAGAAAGAAGCTTGTTGACAGGAAGCAGATGGCCTGAGTGTGCATGGCCAGAGAAGGGACAGGCAAAGCCCCTGTGGGCAGGACAGGGGCGAAGAAGGACTGAGGAGGTGAAGGAGAGGATTCCTGAACAGGACATCTCACCAGAAGCCCAAGAGTGCAGCCTCAAGGCCAGGAAGGAAAGGGGCCTACTGCTTCAGGAACCCAGGGGCTAGAGGTGAATGTAGAAATGGACTACTTGTCAATTTCACAAAAAGGAAGGGGATGCCATTTGCTGGGCTTCTGAACTTGAAGAACAAGAGCCAGAAAGGATCTCTTTAAAGCTTTAAATGAGCACCCAACTAATGGGGAATATGGAGCAGGAAGATGGCACTCCCTTGGGTGCTTCTCACATTCTCCACACCACGGAATAGATGTACTCTGTGTGCCTCACCAGGCCTTGTTTGTGCTGGGCCACAGAGGACTGGAGAGGAGAAGGTTGAACCCTAAGAAAAGAAGCAAGATCCTTTTCTTTCTGCTTTGGTGGTAGCAATAGGCAGATAATCTAAGCCTGTTCCAAAAAGAGCCTGGTTAGAAGAACTTTCACGTGACAAGGCTATCTGTGATTGGGATGAGCAGGGGGGCTTTTGTTACAACTCCTGTTCCATGCTCCTGCACAGACAACTTGTGACTACCTTCCCCTTACCTGCTGTGCAGTCGCAGAAGGATGTCTAGACCTGCCTGGCTCTGTGGGGTCCTCTCCCTCCCAACAGCTGGGGAGGGTGGATCAGGCAGCTCACCTAATATCCTGTAGTCATCTTGGGCTTTCCTGGCTCGGAAAAATGCCTGGATCTTCACAATGGAGTTAACCTGCCACAAACACAGATTGGAAAAGGGTTGCTGGCTGTCCTTGCTCTAGTCTCATGGGCAAAGGTTGGGTATGTGGGCAGGGGGAACAAGGTGACACTCACATTCTTCTGGAAGTAGTGCAGACGCCTCAGGTATTGCCTCCGAGCTGCCCACATCCGGGCCCAGGCCTGGATCTGGGAGAAGAAACACACTGCCTCAGCTCCAGCTTGGGGCCCACCCTCACTCAGTCTCAGGCCAATTCAGCTAAATCTAGAGGTCACAAGAAGGTGACAAGACTACAAGATTGTTCTCAGACGGTCCTTTGAGAGAAAGGAGCCTGCCAAAACCACCGTAGCTACCTTGATTATGGCATCCAGGTTTGCTTTAAAATACTGCAACCACTCCAGGTAAATCTTCCGCTGCCTATAACCCCGCCAATGAGCCTGCACATCAGGAGAGAAAGGGAAGTAACTCAAGCAGGTCTCCTTTGGCCAGAAAGGCTTTTAAGAAAATCTTTGTCCTGGGCCCTCCAGGGAATGGAAGGGGGCAGTTAAATAGAGGGGGAAGGGGAAAGTGGCCCTGTTCTCAAAGAACTTCCAACTTCATGGGGAAGACCAAATGGCTTCACATAGCCAACAATGCCCTCTGCCATACTCCCTGGTCCCAGAACAAACACCCACATACCCACACCCACACACCTCTAACCAACACCTCTTCACAGAAACTCAACTATAAGATACAGTCCTAAAAGATAATAAAGCATACACCTACTCATCAACTTCACCAAAGTATGTACCATATCAGCCTAAAATATACTCATACACCCATATGCAGACCACCCACACACTATCACACACTCCACCCTCCCTCATGTGCACAGAAAGTGGGCAGAGAGCAGTCTGGAAATGCATGCAGTTGTGTGGATGAGAAGTGTGTACAGGCACAGAGCCGTGTGCTCACCATCTCTGCCCGCGGCCACCTGGGCAGCAGGTCACTAATGCTCTCATAACTCACATTCTCTTTAAAACACAATCCAGCTCCTGACCCTAGTTCTCAGCAAATCTTCCCACCAAGGTCCCCAGTAACTCAGCTGTCAGGCTGATGGCCTCTCCCCTAGCTGATCTGCTGCAAAGGGCCCAACCGACGTCTGCACAAATCATGCCTCCTTTGGTCTCTAAAATCTCAAGGCCCTCTTCCAATCCAGTCTCCTTCCTAGGAGACTTTTCCCTTTCCCTCCAAGCTTGTGTGGGATTAATTTTCCTAAAGTACCTCTTAGACTATAGACTATCCCAGCCTGTTTCCAGAAGTTCTCAACCATCTGACCCAACACTCCCTATTTGACTTGCCACTGGTCCCCACCTTCTTAAGGATCCTAGATGCATCAGACTTTTCACTTTCTTGTAAACATGCCTTATGGTTTTCTGTCCCTGAACCTTTTATACTCACCTTTGTTCCCACTGAAATACTTCCTGTCTTTTTTTTTTTTTTGAGACAGGGTCTTTCTCTGTCACCCAGGTTGGAGTGCAGTGGTGCTGTCATGGCTCACTGCAGCGTCAACCTCCTGGGCTCAAGTGATCCTCCTGCCTCAGCCTCCTAAGTAGCTGGAATCACAGGTGTGTGTCACCATGCCTGATTACTTTTTTATGTTTTGTAGAGATGGGGTCTTACTATATTGCTCAGGCCAGTCTTGAACTCCTCGGCTCAAGCAATCCTCCCACCTCGGCCTCCCAAAGTTCTGAGGTTACAGGCGTGAGCCACCATGCTTGGCCCTTCCTGTCTTTTAGGCCCCATGTCCAGCATCTCCCAGTGCACAGGCCCTGGGAGATACTCTACCACTGACATTGTCTCAGTTTGGTAAGACTTGGGAGCAACTCCTTTCATTCAGTTGCCCTTAGCCCTTCCTAAAGCCAGTTCTGCCAGCTTTCCCTCAAGGCTTACACGGCCCCTCTGTTGGGATAGGATGTAAAAGAGGATAGCTTGGTCCATGATGCCAGCTGTCCATGTTGGAGCCTAGAGGTCAGGAAGGCCCATTTCCAAGCCTGCCCTCAGGACTCTTTCCTTTCCTCCTCCAGGTACTGACTGGAAAGTTGCTGTGGGAAAAGGCAGAGTGGTCTGCTCTCTGCTCTTACTCACTACCCAACCTCCACCAGGCTCCTTAAGGCCTCTGAATTGGTCAGAATTCAGGATCCTGGATGGGGTTCTGGCCAGGGTCAGAGCTTTCAGGAGATAAAGTCTCAGCACACCCAGGAAGCCTCATTTTGGATTTTCCTTTCCCCGGGCAAGAGGCTCAAGGCTCTGGGCTACCCCTCTCTTTCTCTGTCTCCCAGGACCCAGGCCAGAGCCCACACAGCTTTGGTACTAGTGACAAATGTTCCCTCTGACTCCATCTTCTCTCCCACTGTTGGTGTGGTTTTTCATCGCCTTAGTGTGAAATTCCAGACTGGGCTCAGGAGGGAGAAATCCCTATGATTCAGACCACTAAATACAGATCACTAAAGTTCTGTATTGAGTTCTGGGACCAATGCCCTGAAAACAAAATCTCATAATGGCTCCCATCAACGGAGCACTTACCATGCTAAGTGCTACATGTAATTTTCCTACTGAATCCTCCTAATCAACATATGAGGTGAGTACCATCATTATGAATGAGGAAACCGAGTGCTAGAGAGGGCATAAGTAAGGTGCCCAATGTCATATGACCCAGAAGTGGTAGGACCAGGAGGCAAACTCTACCTTCTGACCCCAAAGCCTGAGCTCTCAATTACCCCCCAACACCCTCAGTCATAATCAAGGGCCATTTGCCAGTCCTGATCTGCACATCTGTCTCCCTTGGTGTCCTCTGGTGTTGTCTTCATGTCCCTCCTATCACAATGTCTGACATCAAGTGTACTCCAATTTCTGTGAGGGGAGAGAAGTGATTACTCACCCGTGGGCCTTGCACCCATCTCCCACCCTTGCTTAGTGCCAAGTGGCATGCTCTTGGCATTCAAAGAAGTTTGTGAAAGCATCTTACATTGCCAGCACCTCCACGAGGCCCTCCAGATCACATCTGCCTGGGAAGGTATCTGCTCAATTGCCATCATTCCTGGCTTGCTTGCACAGTGTCTCTGGCTATCTTCCCTACCAGCCTCATGTCTCAATTACTTATGGGTCAGTCTCAGAGGCCACACTGGACCATCCACGGGTTGGAAGAATAAAAATGGGAAGGGCTGGTAGGAGAGGAAAGGTAGAAGGCTATTCTCTTCCTAAAGGATATTCCACCCCTTTTCTGTTTAACCACCACCACTTCTTCGAGCCCTCCTAGTGTCCTAGCCTTGATGTCTTACTAAACACACAGACACACAGACACAGACACACAGACACACACACACACACACACACACACACACACACACAGACACACACACATTTTTAGAGACAGGGTCTCGCTCTGTTGCCCATGCTGGAGTGCAGTGGTGTCATTATAGCTCATTTCAGCCAGTACACTGCCCTCTAGCCTGGGTGACAGAGTGAGACCCTGTCATGCAATCCTCCCACCTCAGCCTTCTGAGTGGCTGGAATCACAGGCATGAGCCACTGCGCCCAGCTAAATCTTATTTCACTCTTCCCTTGGGGAAGCTAAGAAGCAGCTCTCACTCTCTGGATAGTGACGATAATGATATAAATAGCATGGTAACTTCTAACATGTTCTTACCTACCTCCCAGGCACAATTTATAAACACTTGAGATATTACCTAACTTAATCCTCATAACAACTCTATAAGGTAGGTGCTATCGTTATCCCCATTTTCAGATGAAAAGACTGAGGGACCAGTGAGGAAACTGAGGGAGAGAGGGTAAGTAACTTGCCAGGGTCACACAGCTAAGAGGTGGTAGAGCTGGGATTCAAACATACATGGTCTGGCTCCAGAACCTATGCTTTTAACCACTACTATTCAGAGGCCGAAAGGTCATTCCCATGTCAGTAAAAAGGAAGCAGCGTGGATACCCTGGAGCCCAGATAAGCCCAGGCCCTGAAGACTGAGAAAGCCAGAGCCTGCCACCTGGATCTTGATGACTGCTGGGAGCCAGGTCCTCAGAAAGTGGGAATGCTCAGCAAACTTCTGCCGAACTAGGAAGCCACGGAGGCGGGCCTGGAGCTGGATAACAAAGCCGACGTTGGCTTTCCAGAGCTGTTGGCGGTCATAGGCAGCAGTGACCTTGGTGACAGCTGACTGTGGAGGCAGGAGAGAGACGCTGTGGTCTTTTGGGGAGTGGGAGCCTCTTCTTCAGGACATTCCTATCCAAGATCCCCTACCCTTGCAGGGGCTCTGCCAACCTGGATCTCCTCCCGGGTCAGGTGAGAGGTGTTGAGGGGGCAGCCAGGAGGTTGCTCCCAGATCCCCTGGAAGGTCTGCAGATGGAAGTAGTAGGCAGTGCCATCCTTCATGTCATGTTGAACCCAGAAAGCTGTGTCTGCTAAGCAGAAACCAAGCAAGCAGAAAAGGTTCAGAGCAGGCAAGGGGTGGCTGGGGCAGGCAGCGAAGAGGAGGGTCAGGTTGGGGCCATTACCTGGACGCTGTTTCTTTGCCATGGCACTTTCCAGGGCTCGCTGGTAGCCGTTGGCACAGTCGGGAACTACCCCTCGAAGGGCCACTGCGGGGTTCCTCAACACCCGCTCAGTCTGGGCTGCCTTGCCCTCCTTGATGGCTTGATTGATGGCAGCCACACCAAGAGCCACTGACAGGGGCATCAGGAGAGAGCAGTCAATCCTTCCCCCGAGTCCCTCCCATGGGCCTTGGCCAGTCCACTAGGGACAGATTCCATGAAAGAGGACACAAAATCACCCTTCTGAAGGAGTAGACGGGAACATCCCAGGATGGACAGAGACACATGCATGAAAAGCAGCAGCATGCAACTGTGCTTGGAGGGAAAGGCAGCAGCAGTCAATGAAGCACTCCTGAGGGAGGCAGCGTGGGGCTAGGCTGAGTTGGGGCTTGATAAAAGGAAAATCAGCTTGAACAGAAGCATAAAGGCCCAGAGCAGTGGCTCCTGCCTGTAATCCCAACACTTTGGGAGGCTGAGGCAGGCAGATCACTTGAGCCCAGGAGTTTGAGACTAGCCTGGCCAACATGGCGAAACCCCATCTCTATAAAAAAATACAAAAATTGGCCAGGCACTGTGGCTCACGCCTGTAATCCCAGCTCTTTGGGAGGCTTAGGCGGGCAGATCACCTGAGGTCAGGAGTTTGAGACCAGCCTGGCCAATATGGTGAATTATATGTATTATATGTGCCTACTAATAATACAAAAATTAGCCAGCTGTGGTGGTGGGCGCCTATAATCCCAACTACTCGGGAGGCTGAGGCCCAAGAATCGCTTGAACCTGGGAGGTAGAGGTTGCAGTGAGCCAAGATTATACCACTGCACTCCAGCCTTGGTGACAGAGCAACACTCTGTCTCAAAAAAAAAAAAAAAAAGAAAAAAAAAATTAGCCAGGTATGGTAGCGCATGCCTGTCCTCCCAGCTACTCAGGAATCCGAGGTGGGAGGATTGCTTCAGAGGTTGCAGTGAATGGAGATCACAGTACACTGCCCTCTAGCCTGGGTGACAGAGTAAGACCCTGTCTTAAAAAAGAAGCACTTTATGCAGGATATGGGCAGAGGACCCTGGGACAGTTTCTTAGAAGAGAGCCTAAGAGGTGGGAATGGCTGCTGTAGCATCTGCCTTCCACTCACTAGCAGACAGACAGATGGACAGGGAGACCCCAGCCACTGAGAACTAACACCACCAGCACCAAACATCAGCACACCCCTGTCTATTTGCACTGAGTCTGCCTGTTTTCCTCAAACTCCTGCCAATTCCTCTTCTCTCATTCCAAGTCTAAACATTTTCTAGCCAGAGCTGATTGACTGTTGGAACCCAAACTCAAGCTACCAGCAGAAATGGGATTTCTGACTACCGCATGATCTCACATGCCCACATTACAGGGAAAGTGTTCACAGGAAGGCATAGAGGGAGGCAGCAGGTGAACTATGGATTCTCACCTCCTGAGAATGTCCTGCCCTGCTGACTGCCAGGAAATCCATCCTGCAGTCTGAACAGCAGCCCTCCTGCTCTGACTCTGGCCTGCCTCCCCACAGAGGTTGAAGGGAGAGGGTGGTGACCAGGGAGGCTGCCTGATTATCTGGGCTGCTGCTGAGCCCACATCACCATCCCTCCCCTCCCAGGGTCCCCCAACCAGTCCATTTACTTCTCTGAGCTGTATTAGTGTCCTGGTTGGCTCTGACCACTCCCTGGCGGATCTCCTCAAGCCACAGCACAGCTCCAGGATCCCCTGTCACCTGGCAGATTGAGGGAGAAAAAAAAGATGTGACCCCAAGCTAGTCTCTCTAGGTTCCCAGGCCAAGATGCCCAAGGGAACCAAACTGCAGGCAGGCATTGGGAGCCACAGGGACAGTGATCTCCACTCAGCTCTCTGCCCTGTGTGTGGGCATGTGTGGCATGTGGTTCCCTGGGACGCGGCCAGGCTCAGAAGGCTCTCTTATCCTATTGGGCTTTCAGGTCTACTCGGCTTGGCCACAGCACCTCCAGAACCACAGAGGCTCTGCATAGCTCCTCAAACCCTCAGCATCCACCACCTTCTCAACAGCTCAATTCCCTGCTCTTATGCCTCAGCCATGTCCAGGGATAGCCTACGCTGGAGGCTCCAACTACCTGCCCCCACGCCCCACTCCCCTATGCCTCATTGCACACCTTCTCAGGCCAATCCTGACCCTGACCCTTACCTTCTCTTTCCTTTTCTTGCTCCACACTCCTCTACCCGACAAGGTAGTGGGAAGATTACATGAGCCCACAGGTCAAGTAAGCCTATGCCTGCCACACTGTCAGACTGATAAAGGCTTGAACCCTTCCTTGCCTCACACAACCCCAGATTCTACTCCTTCCCAACTCTCCTCAATAATAATAGACTTTGTAAACTAACATTTTATTGAGTACTGACTATGTGCCAGGCAGTATTCTAAAGCACTTTCTTATGCATTAATACTTGTAAAGCACATAAAATGATGCTTGGCACAGAGTAAGGACTCAATAAATGTTAGCCAGTACTACTGTCATATTATCTCACTTACACCCCATAACTATGAGATACACTCTTTACTGCCACAAGCTTCTAGGTGATGAAACAGAGGCACAGAGAGGTTAAGTAACACGTGCAGGGTCAGGCCGCCAGGATGTAGGCTCCAGTAGTCTGGCCCAGGAGTCTGAGCTCTCAACCACTCTCTACTGCAACATACTCAGGGTGTTTCAGGTTCAGAACCCTGCCCCATTTGTCAATTCATTTGATTTTCACCCTCATTCTGGGAGCTGGGTAGGACCAGCGTAGGCAGTACTTTACAGATGAGTAAATAGAGCTCAGAGATATCAAGGGATTTGCTCAAGGTCACATGGTCACTAAGGGTCAGAGTGGGAAATCCAGCCTGTTTCTCTGGCTCCCAGGCCTGTGCTTTTCCCATGGACTGCCCACTGCCCTGGCAACAGGGCCATCCTTCTTTACCAGATTGGAACACCCCCCTCACCCCCACCCAGAAGCCATTGTGTCCATCAGAATAGAGCTCTGCCAGACTGGGTACAGTGCAACCCACAGAGAATGTTCTTCCTGCTCTGATGACCAACCCAACCAGCCCTAACTTCACCTGGGCCTTCTGCCTTTTGGCTGCCACAAGGAGGAGATGGTACCGAGGGGCGACAGGGAGGCTGACATCATCTAGGCCAGCTGCAGGAAGCAGTAGGGCAGACAGAGTCTTCTCAGGGCTGCCTTTGTCCAGAGCCTCATTGATGAGGCTGACTGCAAGGACCCCTAAGAAAGAGAGATCTAGGTGGGCAGGGGGCCCCTAGACTTAATGGCTAAGGGACAGGACTGCCTAAGTTGGGCCATCTCCACCCAGCTCCAGACTATACTTACGGTCAGTCTCTTCCTGGGTCTGTGCATTGACCTGGCTCACGGTGGCCTGCAGGTCATTCCAGCTCAGGAAGTCCTCACCCATCCCACGCTCCTGTCGCAATTTCAGCAGGGCATCGAAGTAACTGGCAGTGGGGTGAAGGGCAGAGAGGTGAGTAGCATGTGAATCATCAGCCAGAAGTCAGGGGAAACAGTTGAACGATTTTCTTCACTTGACCTCCAGGACACCACACTCTTTTAGTTCTCTTCTTGCCTCACAGGCTATTCTTTCTGAGACACCTCTGCTGGTTCCTCCCTGACATCTAAACATGGGAGCATCCCAATCTTCAGTCTTCAGACCTCTTCTCTCTCCATACTTACATTGTAGATGATCTCACCCAATCTCATGACTTTAACACCATATGCTCCCGAAAGCACACCTCCAGCCCATTCATTTATCCCAGCCAGCTCCTTGTGATTTCCAAGTGAATGTCTAACAAGCACCTCAAACCCAACAGCTCACATCTGAACTGGTTCCCCTGCTTAACCTGCATGTCCCACCGTCTCTCCCATCTTGCCCCAAATCTTGGAGTCATACCTAATTCTGTTCTCTCTTCTACCCCATATCTATTATATGACCAAATCCTGTCAGTTTGCTTTCAAAATGTATCCAAAATCTGACTCCTTTTTCCCATCTCCGCTACCGCCCAAGGCCAAGCCCCCATCATCTCTTGCCTGGATTACTCCAATAGCTGTCTAACAGGTCTCCCTGCTTTCCCCTTGTACTCCTGCAGTCAGTTCTCAGCACAGCAGCCAGAAAGATCCCATTAAGTAGATCAGATCGCTGGGCACGGTGGCTCATGCCTGTAATTCCAACACTTTGGGAGGCCAAGATGGGAGGACAGTTTGAGCCCAGGAGTTCAAGACCAGCCTGGGCAACGTACAGAGATCCTATCTCTACAAAAAATTAAAAAATTAGCCAGGCATGGTGGCATGTGCCTGTAGTCCTAGCTACTTGGGAGGCTGAGTTGGGAGGATCACTTGAGCCCAGGAGTTCAGGGATGCAGTGAGCCATGATTGCACCACTGCACTCCAGCCTGGGTGACAGAGCAAGGCCCTGAGCTGTGATTGCATCACTGCACTCCAGCCTGGGTGACAGAACCAGACCCTGAGCTGTGATTGCACCACTGCACTCCAGCCTGGGTGGCAGAGCAAGACCCTGTCTCTAAAAATAAAAAAAAAAGAAGTAGGTCAGATCAACTCCCTCCCGGCTCAAAACCCTCCCGTGGCTTCCTTCCTCACTCAGAGTAAAAACCAGAGTCCTACGTGGTCTGGCCTCGGCTACTTGGTCTTCATCTCCCACTCCTCTTTCTTCCTTACTTCACTCCACCACACTGGCTTCCTGATGTTCTTTGAACACACCATGCACATTGCTTTCTTAAGGCCTCTGCCCCAGATAGCCTCATGGCAATCATTTATGCCCTTTAGGTCTCTTTCAAAATGACCTCCTCAGCAAAGAGATCTACATTATGTAAAACAGAAAAACTGTCCCTACTATGTCTCTACCCATTACCCACTTTGCCCTATTTTATTTTTCTCTATGTCTTTTCTTCTTTTCTTTTCTTTCTTTCTTTTTTTTTTTTTTTTTTGAGATGGAGTTTCGCTCTTGTTGCCCAGGCTGGAGTGCAATGGTGCGATCTCGGCTCAACACAACCTCCACCTCCCAGGTTCAAGTCATTCTCCTGCCTTAGCTCCCAGAGTAGCTAGGATTAGAGGCATGTGCCACCACGCCCGGCTAATTTTGTATTTTTAGTAGAGATGGGGTTTCTCTACATTGGTTAGGCTGGTCCCAAACTCCCGACGTCAAGTGATCCTCCCGCCTTGGCCTCCCAAAGTGCTGGGATTACAGGCGTGAGCCACTGCACCCAGCCACCTCATCTTCTTTTCTCATCATCTGTCTCCCTTTACTAGCATGTAAGTTTGACAAGAGCAGAAAGTGTTTTGTTCACTGCTGTTTCCCAGCACCTAGAGTAATATCTGGCACATGGGTCAGTACTCAAACATCTGCTAGGAAAGAATGAATCAATGAAGAAAAAAGGAATGACTGTGATCCCATCCACTCCCAGGAAGAAACACAGGCCAAGGAACTGTGAACAGACCCAGAGGGTGGGCCTGGGCCCAAGAATGGGACATCGTACACAAGGCAAGTCTCCAACAGAAGAGTGCTGAGTCTTGGCTGCATTCCCCCATCCCTCACTCCCAATGTGTGGCTAAGCCTTTCTCACCGCTGGGCATTTTCTCCTTCCACCTCAGCCAGGCCTGTGGCAGGGTTCACCAGGCTGCTCCAGAAGCCACTGGCATCCCGGGCCTCCAGGGCCCGGTTAATCAGGACCACAGCTGAGAGCATCTCCACAGCCACGAAGAGCTCCTCCTGGCCAAGCTCCTACAATGGGTGGGAGGGCCAATTCCCAAGTGGGCAGGTGAAGGGTCTAAAGGCCTATTCACCATCCTGCCCCCAAGGTTCTTGAATATCCCAGAGTCTCTATCCCAAAACCCCAGTGGCCTGATTCACTCACTAATAATCATCATACAAAACACCTGATAATACTTACTATGTGCTCAATTATAAGTACTTCACACACATTATCATTTAATTTTCATAATAAGCCGACAATAGAACCATAGTACCATTAACATCCCCATTTCATGGATGAGCCCACGACCAATAATGTAAGTCAAAACTAGCTGTCTGATTTCAAAGCCCACACTTAACAAGTAAGCTCTACCAGCTCCCATTGGTCCCTACTGCATATCAAGAACTGTATTAGCCGGGTGCAGTGGCTCACACCTGTAATCCTAGCACTTTGGAGGCCAAGGTGGACAGATCGCTTGAGCTCAGGAGTTTGAGACCAGCTTGGCCAACATGGCAAAATCCTGTCTCTACTAAAAATACAAAAATTAGCTGAGCATGGTGGTGCGTACCTGTCATCCCAGCTACTCAGGAGACTGAGGCAGGAGGATCGCTTAAACCCAGGTGGAGGTTGCAATGAGCCGAGATCATGCCACTGCACTCTAGCCTGGGTGACAGAGCCAGACCGTCTTAAAATAAAAAAAAAAATTGAACTGCACTAGGCCCTGGGTATACAGAGATGAAGATGGAGTGGTCGCCTCCACACTGCACTGCACCGCACACCCAAGAAGCTCCGGCCCCATTTCCCTGCCCTGTCCTTCTTCTGCTTTTCAAACATCTGCTTATGCCGTGCCCTTTGTCTAGAGCACCCTTCCTATTTTCTTCTCTGTTTTTTTGAGATAGAGTCTCACTCTGTGGCCCAGGCTGGAGTGCAGTGGCACAATCTTGGCTCTCCCGGGTTCAAGTGATCTCTGAGCCTCAGCCTCTGGAGTAGCTGGGATTTCAGGCATGTGCCACCACCACACCTGGCTAATTTTTGTATTTTCAGTAGAGATGGGGTTTCGCCATGTTGGCCAGGCTGGTCTCAAACTCCTGGCCTCAAGTGATCTGCCTGCCTGGACCTCCCAAAGTGCTGGGATTATAGGCATGAACCCCCACACCCAGCCCCCTTCCTATTTTCTCCTAACAGAATGTTGTGAATATCAACAACAATAATATTAATAGCTAAAGTTTACTTTCTTCTCTAAGGTTCTTACTTTCTTCTCTTAGGTTCTTCTCTAAGCAAATATGTTCCCTTATTTAATCCTATAGCCTGAGGTAAATATATTATTGTTCCCATTTTATATTCAAAGAAATTGAGCAGCAGAGAAAGTAATTAACTTGCCCAATGTCACATAGCTAAGAAGTAGCAGAGCCAGATTTGAACTCACGCAGCCTGGCTCAAAAGTCCACAACTTTAGTCACAATGCTTTACTTCTTAGTACTTATTTTATGCTTCCTTGTACATAGTCATTCCTATGTTGAGACTGTGCCTTTCCTGAGGGCTGTGCCTGTATCCAAGTCATGCTGGGAGTAGATGCTCTATAAACACCTGCTGTGGGTGTAGTTCTCTATTGATTCTCTTCCAGGAAGACTTCCCGGCTCTGCTTCCTCCATTTCCTTGGTCTGAAGACTTCTTCCACTTATGTCATCTGCTCTTCTCTCCCTGTGTGTCTCTATTTGGACCTTCAGGTGTATTCTAACTCCTCCAACAGACAGAAAGTCCCTAAGTGAGGGCCCTGTCGTTTCACTGTCAGAGAAGAACTATGGATTGGGATGAGGTGGGACAGTGAAGTGCTTCAAAGCATGGGCTTCTGCATCCACTCCCAGCACTGGCACTCACAGCTGTGTTGGGCAAGTGACTTAACTCTGCATCTCAGTTTCCCCATCTCTAAAATAGAATGCCTCCCTCATAGGGTCCTTTTAAGGATTAAATGAGTATGTAAAGCAGTGTTTGCTCAAGGTATTGGCTATTAAAATACGCTCAGTAAGGCAGGGATGGTAGCTCTTTCCCCATCCTAATCTCGTGCCAGCATCTCATATCGCACTCACAAGAGGGTGGCCTGGGCTGCCTGTCCTGATCCCTCCAGCTGCATGGAGACTGCAGAGCTAGACCCACATTTCTGGGGCTTACCCCCTGCTGCTGCTGGAGCACTGCCAGCTCCAGCTGGTACATAGACGATGCAACAGGGTACACTGGAGGCAGCTGGGCCTCAGGGCACATCAGCTCCTTCACAGTGTCAGCCGCCACTCTCCTCCGGATGGCTTTGTTGATCCGCTGCACAGCGTGGAGCACTGCAAGGCAGGAGAGCAACAGGTTGTACTGGCCGGGCATTCAGTGGCATCTCCACTCTCCTCACCAACTAGGCTCCGCCGGGGGATCTTGGTGGGGAAATGGCTTTCCAACTGCTCTCAAAAATCTGCTAGGTTTAAAATGCATTTCTAAGTGTTCAGGAAGAAAAGGGGCTGGGTTGCTTTAACAAGAGGCTCTGTAAGAAGCAATTTGTCAGGCCTAGAAATTGAGTAGCTCAGCCTCTGCCCCGCCGCCCTGTCTGGGATGTGAGGAGCACCTCTGCTGGGCCGCAACCCTGTCTGGGATGTGAGGAGTGCCTCTGCCCGGCCGCCCCGTCTGAGAAGTGAGGAAACCCTCTGCCTGGCAACCGCCCCGTCTGAGAAGTGAGGAGCCCCTCCGTCCGGCAGCCACCCCGTCTGGGAAGTGAGGAGCGTCTCCGCCCGGCAGCCACCCCGTCCGGGAGGGAGGTGGCGGGGGGGTCAGCCCCACGCCCGGCCAGCCGCCCCGTCCGGGAGGTGAGGGGCTCCTCTGCCCGGCCGCCCCTACTGGGAAGTGAGGAGCCCCTCTGCCCGGCCAGCCGCCCCGTCCGGGAGGGAGGTGGGGGGTCAGCCCCCCGCCCGGCCAGCCGCCCAGTCCGGGAGGGAGGTGGGGGGTCAGCCCCCCACCCGGCCAGCCGCCCCGTCCGGGAGGGAGGTGGGGGGGTCAGCCCCCCGCCCGGCCAGCCGCCCCGTCCGGGAGGGAGGTGGGGGGGGTCAGCCCCCCGCCTGGCCAGCCACCCCGTCCGGGAGGTGAGGGGCGCCTCTGCCCGGCTGCCCCTACTGGGAAGTGAGGACCCCTCTGCCCGGCCAGCCGCCCCGTCCGGGAGGGAGGTGGGGGGGTCAGCCCCCCGCCCGGCCAGCCGCCCCATCCGGGAGGGAGGTGGGGGGGTCAGCCCCCCGCCCGGCCAGCCGCCCCGTCCGGGAGGGAGGTGGGGGGGGTCAGCCCCCCGCCCGGCCAGCCGCCCTGTCCGGGAGGGAGGCGCGGGGGGGGGTCGGCCAGCCGCCCCGTCCGGGAGGGAGGTGGGGGGGTCAGCCCCCCGCCCGGCCAGCCGCCCAGTCCGGGAGGGAGGTGGGGGGATCAGCCCCCCGCCTGGCCAGCCACCCCGTCCGGGAGGTGAGGGGCGCCTCTGCCCGGCCGCCCCTACTGGGAAGTGAGGAGCCCCTCTGCCCGGCCAGCCGCCCCGTCCGGGAGGGAGGTGGGGGGGTCAGCCCCCCGCCCAGCCAGCCGCCCCATCCGGGAGGGAGGTGGGGGGGTCAGCCCCCCGCCCGGCCAGCCGCCCCGTCCGGGAGGGAGGTGGGGGGGGTCAGCCCCCCGCCCGGCCAGCCGCCCCGTCCGGGAGGGAGGTGGGGGGATCAGCCCCCCGCCTGGCCAGCCACCCCGTCCGGGAGGTGAGGGGCGCCTCTGCCCGGCCGCCCCTACTGGGAAGTGAGGAGCCCCTCTGCCCGGCCAGCCGCCCCGTCCGGGAGGGAGGCGCGGGGGGGGGGCCGGCCAGCCGCCCTGTCCGGGAGGGAGGTGGGGGGGTCAGCCCCCCGCCCGGCCGGCCGCCCCGTCCGGGAGGTGAGGGGCGCCTCTGCCCGGCCGCCCCTACTGGGAAGTGAGGAGCCCCTCTGCCTGGCGAGCCGCCCCGTCCGGGAGGGTGGTGGGGGGGTCAGCCCCCCGCCCGGCCAGCCGCCCTATCCAGGAGGTGAGGGGCGCCTCTGCCCGGCCGCCCCTACTGGGAAGTGAGGAGCCCCTCTGCCTGGCCAGCCGCCCCGTCCGGGAGGGTGGTGGGGGGGTCAGCCCCCCGCCCGGCCAGCCGCCCCACCCGGGAGGTGAGGGGCGCTTCTGCCCGGCCGCCCCTACTGGGAAGTGAGGAGCCCCTCTGCCCGGCCACGACCCCGTCTGGGAGGTGTGCCCAGCGGCTCATTGGGGATGGGCCATGATGACAATGGCGGTTTTGTGGAATAGAAAGGCGGGAAGGGTGGGGAAAAAATTGAGAAATCAGATGGTTGCCGGGTCTGTGTGGATAGAAGTAGACATGGGAGACTTTTCATTTTGTTCTGTACTAAGAAAAATTCTTCTGCCTTGGGATCCTGTTGATCTGTGACCTTATCCCCAACCCTGTGCTCTCTGAAACATGTGCTGTGTCCACTCAGGGTTAAATGGATTAAGGGCGGTGCAAGATGTGCTTTGTTAAACAGATGCTTGAAGGCAGCATGCTCGTTAAGAGTCATCACCACTCCCTAATCTTAAGTACCCAGGGACACAAACACTGCGGAAGGCCGCAGGGTCCTCTGCCTAGGAAAACCAGAGACCTTTGTTCACTTGTTTATCTGCTGACCTTCCCTCCACTATTGTCCTATGACCCTGCCAAATCCCCCTCTGCGAGAAACACCCAAGAATGATCAATAAAAAAAAAAAAAAAAAAAAAAAAAGAAATTGAGTAGCTCAGCATGTAACACAGAGTGGCTGTCATAGCAGAGGGTGAGTTCCTAAGGTGGTGAGCACAAGATTGACAGGTGGCTATGGAACGTAACTAAGATGAGGTTAGTCAGGGGGCTCTAGGGACCAAGGCTTGATGACAGCACAGAGGAATAAGGAACCAGCTCCAAGGTGGAGCCGTTTGCTGCAAAGGGCAGTAGTAAGCTTAAAAGGGGCTGTGGTGCCTCAATGTAGTCTGAGTTTACAAACTCTGTGGCTTACAAAATGCTTAGCAGATACGGGCACTGACATCAAGGAGAGCACAATCTACTGGGAAGAACTAAGGATACCAAAGTACCTACAGTGCACTGCTGTCAATGTCATGTTAGAAGTCCACCTCCCGCCACCCCCACACAATGCTATGGCAGAGCAGGGGAGGAGGGATTCTGCCTGGGAGAGAGCAGAAGACTTCACAGAGGAGGAAGCCTTGGAGACAGCTCTGGAGAATGTTTTCACCCGCTCATCAACAGGTGAGAATGTGGGAGAAATGTAACCCACAGGACCAGAAGCCCGGTGATGGGAAAGGCTGGAGGGCAATCTAGGGAGAATAGATTGTTTGCTCGGCTGAATTGGATGGAATGTGAACAGAAGAGCTGGGGATGAACTCTGGAAAGGTCTTATCTGCCAGGACAAGGAGATAGGACTAAAGTGTGGGCTAAATAATGGAAGAACCCATGAAGGTCTGAAGATGTTCAACAAGGGAGATAAGATCAGATCTGTGCTTCAGAGATTACTCTGGCAGCAGCAATCGGGAATGAACTGAGTGGATTAGGAAAGCAGCCAGTCAGGAGTGGCCCGGGGGCTACTGAAAGCTAGTGAATGTCGGAAAGCTCTGTTAGACAAAGGTAAATGGTTACTGAGCAACCTCTAAACCTGACAGCAAGTCCAGACTAAGGCAAGCAACTGTAACAGGCCTAGTGTCCACAGGCTACTGCATTTTGCCTCAGCACTGTTTCTCTTCATACTTGCAGTGCAGATAGATCTCTTGGAGGAAGACAATTACTAACTCACATTCTTGTAATAAATAATTATATTTGTGGCCGGTCACAGTGACTCATACCTGTAATCCCCAGCACTTTGGGAGGCCAAGGTAGGCAGATCACTTGAGGCCAGGAGTTTGAGACCCACCTGGCCAACACGAAGAACCCTACCTCTACTAAAAATACCAAAATTAGTCTGCCATGGTGGCAGGTGCCTGTCAACCCAGCTACTCGGGAGGCTGAGGCAAGAGAATCATTTGAACCCAGGAGGTGGAGGTTGCAGTGAGCCGAGATTGTGCCACTGCACTCCAGCCTGGGCAACAGAGTGAGCCTCTGTCTCAAACAAAAACAAAAACAAACAAAAAAGAATTACATTTGTATATAATGTTTTTAAGGGAAACTGAGAAGATGAGTTTTTTGCTCATATTCTGGAAAATTACTACATTTCCGAAGCCAAAGGAATTCAAGCAGGTTGAAACTGTCAAAATTACAGGCAAACTGCCTGGAAGAAAACTGCCTGCCCCAGGAGAACAGCCCAGTGCAGTATTGGCATGTCATTATCTCTAAGGCCTTAATGAACTTATCTGTAGTGTCCCCCCAGGCAGCAGGAATAAAGCAGATTATGTGAGGGGAGAAGTTCCTAGCCAGGCTGGAAACAGCAGCAGTGTGTACTGCCCAATACAGAAGCCAGCAAAGAGGTGGGATACTCTTCTAAGAGTCAGAGATACGCACAGAGCAGGCCTCAGACCTGCAGATGACTTACTGGCTTGTTCCTGATCACCCTTTGTGTTGGCTGCAGCCACACCAGCCTGGACTTCCTCCTTTTCCAGAAGCTCCACCAGGCCCAGCTCCTAAGAGAGGGAAGAGATACAGTAGAATGGAGTCCTTCCGGGGCCATGACCATGCTTTACGAGTTGCCAGCATGAGCTCCCAGGTCTACCCAGCCACCTACCCTCAATCCTACCTCTCTCCGTTAGGCTGGCTCACTCATCCCTATTAACCGTTTTTTTTTTTTTAAGATGGAGTCTTGCTCTGTCTCCCAGGCTGGAGTGCAGTGGCACAATCTCGGCTCACGGCAACCTCTGCCTCCCGGGTTCAAGCGATTCTCTGCCGAAGCCTTCCAAGTAGCTGGGATTACAAGCGTGTGCCACCACACCAGCTAATTTTTGTATTTTTAGTAGAGACAGGGTTTCACTATATTGGCCAGGCTGGTCTCAAACTCCTGACCTCAAGTGATCCACCCACATCAGCCTCCCAAAGTGCTGGGATTACAGGCGTGAGCCACAGTGCCCAGCCCTATTAACTCATCTTTAATCTTTCTTGCTCAGCAAGCATCTAAAATAACAACATAGACAACACGAATGTGTCAGGGGAAAAGTCAACTACTTTAAAAACAAGATTGCTAAGTGGAGGCACCAGTTCAACAATGGGGGAGCACATTACTGCCTATGGGACTGTCCTTGGGTTCCTCTTGGTCAGCCTGGGGGACTCTCAGGGACAGAAGCTGATCAATCTGGTCTACTAGGCCTTGGGGTGATTTAACCATTTAAACACGTAGTCAGCACTTACAGAATACAAAGGACCAACAGTGGTGATCTTTGAGTAAGAGGCCCTCTCCTATCCTATAGTCACATACAGGGGGTGGCAGGTAATAGACAGAGGCTAACCTGTGCCTTCTGCTCTCTGTCTGAGTTCAGCTGCTCCAGGTACCAGTCAGCAAAGTCTCTCCTCACCCCTCGCAGGGCCAGGGCAGGGTCTTGAAGGGCCTTGAGCAAGGCTTCAGGGCTCTGTCTTTCCAGGGCATCATCAACAACTTCTAGAGCCCCATGGACTGAAAAAAAATGACTCCATAATGGACAGTGTGAGAAAGCCACCTCTCATAATCCCCTAGTCCAGCCCTAGGAATCTACCCTCTTCTTGCCTGCCCGGAATTACCCCCACCCTTTCCCCCTTGGTTCCTGGGCCCATTTGGTTCAGCCCAAATTCTTCAGCTTGGTCTTCACAGCCTTCTCACTTCGCCGCCCCAGACCCCAAGGATATCCTCACCCAAATAGGCAAATGCCCACCCATCCTGAGCCTTCACACGGCTCCTACCCAGATCCCCCCATCCTCATGTATTCTCCACATTGCCCCTCTCGAAGGACCCCAGTCCAACTGCCCCCCCGGCATCAAGAGCTGCTCCTCTCTATGGTTCTCCAGTCAGACAGAAGCTTCCCGGACATGGACTACTTCTCTAGACACCGATGGCCAGAAAGCAGTGCACATACTCCTTGGACTCTGATCTTTCTCCGAGGCAAGAGTTGGCCCAAATGAGACCATAGGGCTTTCTGGCTTGAGAAAAGCTATCCCCAAACCTCCCAGTGCAGGGGCTTACCCTGAGGTCACCCCCAAACCACTCCTGCTCGAGGTCTCTTACCGTTGACATGGTTGATATTGCCCTGGATTTCAGCCTGAGTTAGGTAGTGGTCATAGATGTCCTGGCTTTCTCTGTCATCCTGCAAAAACTCCATTGAAAGGGAACCTGGGAAACCCAATTTAATCTCCTTGTCCTGCTCTTCCCTGCCTGGCTACACTTATTTCTTCTTCTGGGGACCTTCCCAAGGCCAAAGTTCAGTCTGCTCAGAATTCAGGAATTGTGGGGTCTAAAACACTTGGCACTGACATAATTAAGCCAAACCAACCTTTGGAACCTCCAGTCCAATCTCATTCTGTTCTACATTCCAGCACCCCTCTCAGGCTTCCCTGAAGATCATCCCCCAAGAACCTCTTCTCCAGTCTTCTCTTCGGAATTCTCATCATTCTTCCAAGTTCCTTTCCTATTTCTCTAAAATCACTGATAAATTATGGTTTCTCTAAGAAGCAATTTTGGATACTAGAGACATGACAGATAGGAGTCCCGGTTTCACTTGAGACTTTCCAGCCACTCAACTTTTCGGTCCCTGCAACCCAAGACTACTCCTTACATGGTTCCTGGCATTGGCTGCCTTCTCCATCTTGGCCTGGGCCAGCATCTCTTGGTAGACGGCTGCCAGAGGCTCTCGGAGATTCTCCAGAAGAGCACTGGGATTCTGCAAGGCAGCCAGGGTGTCCTCCACCACCCCTCGCTCCACTGCTTCATTGATGGCAAGAACAGCTGCATGGACTGGGAGAGGGCATGGAAACAAGGTCAGGAGGCCAGAGTGAATCCCAGATTGGAGCGCAACCAGTAGCAGCCCACTCTAATGTCATCCTTTTTCCCACCCTCAAGGGCCAGACAAACCAGGTAGCCTGATGGCCCTATCTGTGGATGAGAGCTGGCCAGAACCCATCCAATGGCTGTGAGGCTTGGAGCCCTCCCATACGCATTGAGCCTACTCCTGGCAGGGCAGAGCCTAGTCCTTACCTGCAGCCTCATCCACCGAGAGCTCATTGGCCAAGATGCCCCCGATCTTGCTGAAGGCAGGCAGCTGGAGGCCATATTTGGCCAGTTCGGACGCCATGTTGCTGAGTTCCTCAGCTGCAATGATGCCACAGGTGCCCTTCATCAGGCCCAGAACCCCCAAGACCCTGCCCAGGCTGTGGTGGTCAGGGAAGGAGCTGGGCTTACCTGTGAATTTCACTTTCCCGTATAGATCATGTATCTGAGGGGCCAATCCCAGCCGGAAGAGGAAGAGACTAGGAAAAAACGGAAGGCATTGGAAGGCACTGGGGCCTATTCATTTTGACACTCTGCCCACGATGGGTTTGAAGGGGATACTATGGGGACCTAGAGATGAAGACCACTCAGCACCTGCCCTCAAGTCATCCCCAACCCACATAAAGAAATATGACCATAAATCAGCCCAAGGAAAGTGCTGCAGAAGGTAAATAAGATGGTGTTGGGGGTCTGAGGGGATTAGGAAGGCTTCACAGAGAAGGCCACATTGCAGTAGCAGGTCACTCAATGGAGAGAGAGGACAGGAAGGGCGCAGCAAGCAGATACCTGCTGAGCTAAGGCACAGGGGCACAAAGGGACATGGGAAGTGGTCAGAAAGAGATGGCATGGTAAACACAAGGAACCGGTCGGTCACTTGCTGTGATTTAGCCAACTGGTTGCTGATGGCTGGCTGTAAGTAGGACCAAAGAGCCTACACCATCCATACTAAGTGTCTTGCCTGTGTTGCTCTCAATAGGTCCTGTTCTGATTCCTTTATACCCAGTTACAAACTGAAGGCCCTACCCTGCTACTTTCCTATCTCTGGTACCCTGCCTGCCCTTCCCCTTCACCCACACAGGCCATACATAAATGTGCCCACAGACATGCACAAAAATCTAAACACAACTCTGTAAATCTGAAACCTCACTCTCCTGAGCAGTGCTCCCTGTGGTCTACCCTTCATCCTTCTTTCTTGCTGAGTTTGTTGTTGTTGATTGTTGGTCGCATCCACCTAGAGGAACCTGGATGATAAAATTTGAGGTCTCTCACCTGAGAGCATGGATGCAGTAGACTACCCGGGGCATGTTCTTTTTGTCATAGATGTCCGTGGTCTCTGGGAAGAAGGTCTAGAGGAGAAACCAGCCAGTTACTGCCATTGGGAACCTTTAAGCACCACCAAATGCGGAGAGGGGGTGCCGAGGAATGGGTCTTCCTCTCCAACCTGAGGTGTGTGTTCCCTTGTTACCTGGGGTGTCTAGGTCAGTCTCCCCCAACCATTTCTAGTCAGCCTAGTATAAAAGAAATTCACTGAGGATGCATACTAAGCCAAGGCTCAGCCACAGACACATAGTCCTAGGGTGCCCTGGATTAACCAAACACCAGATAAGGCCATCAAGGCTACAGGATATAAGCCATATCCTCCAAAAACAATAACAGCAACAACAACAAAAAACCAGGCCCCCAGTTGTCTTCCAGATGTCTATAGTGAGCCTGCATGCCTCACCTTAGACCCTTGCCAGAGATGTGGTATGCTGGAGAGCTGGCCTACTCCCATGCAGGGCCCAATGAAGCATATATTGCCAAGGACCACAAAAGTGTCAGGCTGTTATCCCTGTCTCCAAGCCAGCGGCTTCTGATCAATGAGAGCCCTTCTAAGAACCGAGTGGCACCAGGTATGGCTTCTCAATGCCACCTGACAACTGTAATGAGGCCTAACCTCAATATATCTTGGTTATATTTAGATTCACAATAAAAGACCAAATTTAGAGACCTAGAGTGTTCCAGTCCCACTGAAGACACATGACCTCTATTGCTTCTGCCTCCCATCGAAGTGTCTTTACTGCTGTTTCCTGTCTTATAGTGCCTTTCTACAGGGAAGAAAAACAAAGCAGAAAGAAACCATACATTGTAGAATCCTATCATGCCTTCATTTGTATAGCTCTTCACAGTTCACAAAGGGAGTTCACACAGACCATGTGATCTTCCTGACAACACTGTAAGGTAGACAGGGCAGGGCTCACTATCCCCATTTTACAGATGAGTAACAAATTGAGGTTCAAAGAGTGAAATCATGTGTCCAGTTGGGGTTTTGGACCTAGGCTTCTAACTCAAAGTCTGCCACCTAGGGATGTGTATACCCTTGCTTCACACTGTGAAATTTGGTGGAGACAAGGCTGGCCAATACGAGCATGACATAGCAGCCTCCCACCCCCTGCATAATGGGAACCGTGCCACTCAGGCCAGGGAAACTTCACCTCCTTTCATCCACAGGGAAGAGGAGGCAGAGAAAAAAATAACCTGGTTCAAAGACACACAGCTGCAAGGAACTGTTCTCTTAGATTAAGTTAGTTTAGAAGACACATGGAAATAGGGCTAAAGGGTCCAGGGAGATAAAGCATGGGATTGTGGGAGGTGGCTGGTAAGGAGTAAAGATGAATACCAATCTTCAGGCCCAGTATTACCGAAGGCAGACCGATGTGGGCTATTGCAGATAGCCAAAAGTTGATGTTGTCTGTGTGACGGAAATGTAAGCCAGTTGCCTGAAAGGGAAGGAAAAAGAAAATCTATTTCCACAGTTCTCAGCACTCCCTATGGGTAAAGCCCAGACTACAGCTTAAAGATTCAGGAGAGATGGGCAGAGGGGAACCAGAGGACCACATCCTGTGGATTTTCCATCCCTACCAGGACAGAGAAACATAGATTAATAACACTCCCTTTTATCCAGATTTGGACAATAAGTTATATGGTCACTCTACCCTCACAGCTTTGAGGAGAAAGCATAGTTTGAGGGGACGAAGGTAGAAGGTGGGGTCCAATCCTCCCACCTGGTACCGCAGCTGCTCCACATCGTAGATCTTCTTCAAGGGAACCACGGAGGGTGCAAAACAGTGGCCTAGCTTGGCCAGCAGCACTCCATTCCGAAGGCTCTCCTCCAGCTCCACCGGGGAAGGAAGCTCCTCCTTCAGGCAGGCCTCCATCCAGCTATGAACATGAGAACACCTTCTCACGCACTCTGGCAGACCACAGTGATTTATTCTAACAACAGGAACTTCCCTCTGTCCCTCCTTTTAAGTGGCCCCTGACCCTCCTCTGCTTCCTGTTCCTGCTCTACCTCCAACTCCCTTCTCTGCCCATTGCCTGGCTGTTCCCACCTTCTCCTAGGTTGCCCCAAATATCTGGACTGGCCAACCCTCAGCCCCACCCACCCCAGCAAATCTTCCTTGACAGATCCTGAACCTGCCCATCTTCAGTGAGGCTTAACTGTTACATAGCTTCTCACTCAGTCTAGTTACATGCTTTTTTTTTTTTTTTTTTTTTTGAAATGGCGTCTCGCTCTTGTTGCCCAGGCTAGAGTGCAATGGTGCGATCTTGGCTCACTGCAACCTCCGCCTCCCAGGTTCAAGTGATTCTCCTGCCTTCAGCCTCCCGAGTAGTTGGGATTACAGGCACACCCCACCACGCCCAGCTAATTTTGTATTTTTAGTAGAGATAGGGTTTCTCCATGTTGGTCAGGCTGGTCTCAAACTCCCGACCTCAGGTGATCCGCCCGCCTTGGCCTCCCAAAGTGCTGGGATTACAGGCATGAGCCACCGCGCCCGGCCCTAGTTACATCTTTGACTGCTAAACAAAATAGAACGTGCTCACTTCTTTCATTCTGGGTTGTTCTCTGAGAACCTGGGTGCAGAAAGGTCATGTCTGCCTGAATGATCTACATGGCTCATAACCCAGCTTTGATGATGATGAGAGTAGTGGGGCTGGTGGAAGGGGAGCAGCACAAAGGGACAGAACGACCACAGCTCTTGGAGTCCGAAGGCCCCCTTTCCAACCATCTTCCCTACTTCACCTCTGTGAGCCTCAGTTGCACAATTTGCAAAATGAGGATAATGCCACCTGTATTTCCTTCAGTGGGCAGCTGCCAGGATCAAATGAGCTAATGAATGTGAAAACACTTTGAATATAAAGTATTATTATTACTGATGGTTGTATGAGGGAGAGATTAAAGTCTACTCAGATGGAATCTCCAAACTTCCCTACATATTGGGGTCTAATTGGAAAGTATCTGTTTCCAAAAAGAGAGCCAGTTACACATTGTTCCATGTCTTCCCTGCCTTAGACACCTGATTTTTCCTGATTGCCCCATCCTCCTGACTCCTTTAAGAACATTAAAAGAATCCTGTTGATTAAAAGCAAAGAATTAAGTACGTATCCTGCTTTTCCTGTACAGATTGACTTTTAGAGTAACCGAATAGTCCTAAGATGATGAGGGAATGTTCTTTAGGATTTCAGCTAGTAAATATGGAAGAAATGACAGAACTAGAAAATAGTCATTTTACACCCTTGATAAAATAATAAATTCTGATGTAGACCAACAATGAATGAAGGCATTAGATGAAAGTTAATGGGAAATTTTATGATGTGTAAATCAGGTTGGTTTCACCTAAACTCCCAGATTGAACTTAGCATCACTAAAAGTGGAACAAGCAGACATTGTATTCTTTCTATAAGATGTGATATGGAACATGTATCTTACATATGTTAAATATCACATATTTTAGATATATGTATTGCAGTATATAAGGGGTAAAAGGATCTGAGTGGGGGAAAAAAAACCACCAACACTAATGAAGTCTTCTTGTCAAAAATGGCTTTTTGTTTTTGTTTTTTTTTGAGACAGAGTCTCACTCTTTCACCCAGGCTGGAGTGCAATGGCATGATCTTGGCTCACTGCAACATCTGCCTCCTGGGTTCAAGCGATTCTCCTGCCTCAGCCTCCTGAGTAGCTGGGATTACAGGCATGCACCACTGCGACCAGCTAATTTTTGTATTTTTTTTGTAGAGACAGGATTTCACCATGTCAGCCAGGCTGGTCTCAAACTCCTGGCCCCAGGTGATCTGCCCGCCTTGGCCTCCCAAAGTGCTGGGATTACAGGCGTGAGCCACAGCGCCCATCCAGGTTTTTCTGTTTGTTTTTGGAGACACAGTCTCACTTTGTCATCCAGGATGGAGTGCAGTGGTGCCATCTTGGCTCACTGTGGCCTCCTCGACCTCCCAGGTTCAAGCAATCCTCCTTCCTCAGCCCCCCAAGTAGCTGGGACTATGGGCACACGCCACCATGCCTGGCTAATATTTGTATTTTTTGTAAAGATGGGGTTTCGCCATGTTGCTTGTCAAAAATGTTGAACCCAAATCTAATTAAGCCAACATTCATTTATAGGAAATACAGGGTATACAGGAATAAGCTGAATGACACAAGAAAGCAAATAGACACCCATCTCTAAAAAACAGAAGGAAAGAAAGAAAAGAAATAGAGACAAAATGTAGGATGTACTTCAGGAAAATGACCCAGTTTTCTTCAGCAAGTCAATAAGATAATGAACTGAAAAAAGGAGATGGGCTGCTCTGGATTAAAGAAGACATACAAGCAGATGTAATTAGTGAGCTTTTTGGATCCTTATTTGAATAAGATAACTGTAAAAACAGATTTTTTTTTTAAGACAAGCAGGAAAATTTGAAAATGGCTTGGGTATTGATCTTCCAAGGATTTAAAATAATTTAGTTGGATATTATAATGGCATTGTGGCTATATAAGCGAACGTCCACATATTTTGGAGATACATATTGCGGTATATAGTGGGTAAAAGGATGTGACTGGGATTTGCTTCAAAAAAAAAAAATTAAAAAGCTATTTCAACTCGCCCTTTCCCACAGGATGGACTCTCGATCTGTTGCATTTGCTTTAGCGGCAGATGCCTAGGGTGGGGTGGTAGAAAGGGAGAGCAGAAAGAGTCCATCTTCCTGGACTCCGCTCACCGCTTGGCCTCCTCCAGCCGGCACAGGTACTGATAGGCAACATTCTGCCGCCTCTGCTCATCCATCTCCTCAGCTGTGAGGCGTTCATCTGAGGAGTTAAACGGGATAAGGTCAATGAAGAGAGCATTAGAGGTGCCTTAGCACTGAAGGGTCTTTTTTTTTTTTTTTTTTTTTTTTGAGACGCCCAGGCTGGAGTGCAGTGGCCCAATCTTGGCTCACTGCAAGCTCCGCCTCCCGGGTTCATGCCATTCTCCTGCGTCAGCCTCCCGAGTAGCTGGGACTACAGGCGCCCGCCACCACGCCTGGCTAATTTTTTATATTTTTTAGTAGAGACAGGGTTTCACCATGTTAGCCAGGATGGTCTTGATCTCCTGACCTCGTGATCCGCCCGCCTTGGCCTCCCAAAGTGCTGGCATTACAGGCTTGAGCCGCCACCATGCCCAGCCGAAACATCTTCTCAACAGACTTGTTTAGGCAACCCTGCTCAGAGACCTGAAACATCTCCCATGTGTCCCTCCTTCTCTTCCCAGGATACCCTTTAATAGGCAGCCTCCTCCTGTGCTGGAGGCATTACTTCTCTTTCCTCTGTAGCCATCTTCCTGTCCTCTTCCTCCTCAAGTCTACTCATGGAACTTCCCTCAGTACCTCCCAGCTGGGACATCCAGAGCCTTCCTTGGCTTGAAACTTAACTCCTTTTCTTATCCCTAATTAGACTGAGTTCTCCAAGAACTGGACCTGTGTCATCCTCGTTGGTTACTCTCTCAGAGGTGAGGTAATAGAACCAACCAGAATTCATCATTCACTCATTCATTCATTCATCAATACCTCCTTTATGCCAGGCACTGGACTAGCAGACCCCTACTCTTAAGAAATGCAGAGATAAAGGCCTGCATGGTGGCTCATGCCTATAATCCCAGTACTTCTGGATGCTGAGGTAGGTGGATCGCTTGAGCCCAGAAGTTTGAGACCAGCCTGGGCAACATGGTGAGACCCTGTCTTGACAAAAAATACACAAATTAGCCTGGTGTGATGGTGCAAACCTGTACTCCCAGCTACTGGGCCTAGACCTGAGCCCAGGAGGTCTAGGCTGCGGTTAGCCATGATCGTGCCACTGCACTCCATCCTGGACAACAGAGATATTGGTGGGTTTGTTTTGTTTTTGAAACAGGGTGTCACTCTGTCACCCAGGCTGGAGTGCAGTAGTGCAGCCTTGACCTCCTGGGCTCAGGTGATCTTCCCACCTCAGCCCCCCCACCACCAAATAGCTGGGACCACAGGTGCGCACCACCATGTCTGGCTAATTCTTGCGTTTTTTGTTGAGACTGGTTCTCACCATGTTGCCCAGGCTGGTCTTGGACTCCTGGGCTCAAGTGATCCTCCCGCCTTGGCCTCCCAAAGTGCTGGGATTACAGGCGTGAACCACAGCGCCCAAAGATTATTATCAGAAGAGAAAAACATCTGAATAAATTAATCTAACATGATAAGTATGATTATAGCCCATGCATAAAATCTATGGGAGCAGCAGAGGAAGCAAAGGATTCTAGCTATGAACTAGATCTTAAGGAATAAATAGGCGGAACACAGGGAAAGGCAGTCCAACAGAGGGAAACATGCCACTCACTTGGGATTAAGTGGAAGGACAAAGAAAATTTTAAAAGATCACAAAGGTATCTTCACTATCCTTTTTGGTATAGGTCACCCGAGGAGGAAAAGAATCTTCAAGCTAAATAAAATACAGAGTACTGATTCCAAAACTCAAGAATAGAGAATCCCTCAAGTGAGACAGCAATCATAATTTGCCTTAGTTACAGTCTCCCTTAATCCTTCTCCCTTCTCTCCCCTCTCTCTATTCTCCTTAGAAACACAATACAAAATCAAACAGAAAGAGTAAGAGAAAGCTACACACACAGTAAGAAAATAAACTCAGAGAGCTTGAAAAAAGGCAGAGCTTAGCCAATCTGTCTTTGACTCAGCACTTAATGTCATTCCCGGTTGTTATCCTATTTCCTTATATTGCATATTCTGCAATGATTCAGGGAAGGGCAGAGCTTATATGAATGAGCAGTTAAGTAAATTAAAACACATGCGTGCACACACACACACACCCCTCCAAATACAGATTTGAAAACACTGGCCAACCACAGGAAAGCCATCAGTTCCTCCAAGGGGGTGTACAAGGAACAAGTGTTGGTTGTTAAGCATGGAAAATAAACCAGTAAGTGAATGACATCATCTCAGAGTTATGAACTGAGGACTGTGGGCGATGGGAGGGATTTTGTACATACACATGCTGTCTCAAAAAAATAAAAAACCGAAAAACAGTTTTCCTGTCCTTCTCAGGTCTGGAACTAGTTTTCCTTTAACAGAAGACTGGACATGGACTTTGCTCTTTGAATCCTAATAGAAAGGAAGGGAGTGGTGGAAGGAGCAGGTTTTCCTTTCATTCAGAAAATCAGATAGAACCTTTCTGCCCCACCCATCCTTCCAGCTCCAGTCTCTCTCTCTAAAACAGTGTCTTTGAAAATGTGGCCCAGGGACTACCTTCCTCACAATCACCTGGGGTGAGGGAAGAAGCACAGCAGTGCTTGTTATAAATGCAGATTATGGGCCCCAAACCAGACCTTCTGGAACTGAAGCTCTGGGACAGGTCCCAGGAATCTGCATCTCAAACAAGCTTCCCGGGTAATTTCACCCCCTGTTTGACAGGCATTGTCTGAAAGCGGCATCTCAAAGCCTAAGAGTCCCCCAGATCCCTTGAGGCGTCTTGTCCGGTGGCATCGCTGGGCAAGTTTGGTAGCCAGCAGTAACTGCTGAATTTCAAGGAGCCATTAGGATCACCTACATTCTCCCGACTCCGGAACCCCAGAACTTGGAAATAGGAAGAAAGTTCTTTGTAAGCTTTAAAGCGCAGCACATTAGTCAGGGGACAATGCGCCGCTCACAGTTCCACTCGGGCCCACGGCGCCCGGGCTGAGGATTCCCGTCCCACTGAGCAGTCCCACCGCCCTCGCCCCTCAGGCTTCACGCCCGACACACGCCCCAATCTCTCCCGGGACAGCCAAGCCCCCGACCAGCGGCACCACTGCGAGACCCTTCTCTGACCCTCTCCGCACTCACAGGCTGCCCAGCCTGGGCCCGCTGCTCTCCTCTCCATGTTCCTCCTTCTTCCAGGTTTGAATCTCCCGCCGTTGGGCCACCGCCCCTCACCGTCGGCACCGCCAGACAGGACACTTCCCGTCCACACCGCTGAGAATCCTGGGATTTGTAGTTCCCGGCCGCGGAGCCGGGCCGCCCAGGTGCTGGGAGAAGAGGCGCCCCAGGCCGGGGCAGTACCGCTCCCCTTACAGCAGTTCCTCGTCTTGTTCCTTCCAGGCTCCTTTTCTGCTTAACAGTCTTATTCTAGCTGCTGCCCCTGCCATTGCCTCTGTCATCTCCACCTAGTATTCCCATTAACCCCTACTCTGCTTCCTATGTGTTCCCGAGTCCGGCTAACTTGTGGGCCTACTTGGCGCTATGCACTAAGCTAGGTGATGCGAATGCAGAGATGTATGAGGGCAGTGAATGCTCTAAAAGAGTTTGCTGTTCTGGCACAAGTGATAGACATATAGTCAAATAAATTAGAGGTCGGTGATGCACAGAGGGAGGGGGTCATTGCTGTGAATAAGAGCAGCGAATGACAGGGAAGACGTCCTGGTGGAAGTGACAGCTGATTTGGGTTGAGAAGTGAAAGAGAATTCATCAGATTGAAGAAGAGAGGCAGTGCAGTCAGTGGAGACAGCATGTGCAAGAACGAGGAGGTGAGTTCGGGAACTTAAACTTGGTTCAGTTTTAGAGGAGAACAAAGCTCAGCCAGGGAGAGGCCAGAAGGGATCCTGGAGGCACAGGGCCAGGTCCAGTAGCACCTTGGGCACCATGCTAGGGCCCTGGCATGGGGTCTGGTGAGCAGTCACCAGCCAAGGAACACTTTAGACATAGGTCAGAGCCAGATTTGTCCTTTAAAAAGAGCCATCTTATAGCAGGGGATTGGAAGGGGGTGAGGCTAGGGGCAGAGACCAGTTGGAAGGCTACTGCAGTAGCACAGAAGAGAGATAATAAGAGCCTGAACTAGGCCAGGCACGGTGGTTCACACCTGTAATCCCAGCACTTTGGGAGGCGGAGGCGGGCAGATTAACTGAGGTCAGGAGTTCAAGACCAGACAGGCCAACATGGTGAAACCCCATCTCTAGTAAAAATACAAATATTAGCCAGGCGTGGTGGGGTATGCCTGTAATCCCAGGTACTCCGGAGGCTGAGGCAGGAGAATCGCTTGAACCCAGGAGGCAGAGGTTGCAGTGAGCTGAGACTGTGCCACTGCACTCCAGCCTGGGCGACAGAGTGAGACGCCGTCTCAAAAAAAAAAAAAAAAAAAAAAAAAAGAGCCTGAACTAATAAAAAATAATTATGACACCAACAACTATGCTGAAAAAATATTATCTGATAGGTTTCCCCATCTTGTATTTCTCCTTTTACCCTTTCCCCACACTCCATCCAAACAACCAAGCAGCCTAGGCTTATAGCTTGGGCAGGTAGGAGAGGAGAATGTGAAAGAACAGAAAACAGAAATCCATACCTAGAGCCTTCAGAGGAACAGAGGAGACTCAGGGGCTGAGACAAAACTGGGAAAAGTGTAATTTGAAGAGTGGATGCCCCCCTGAAGATCTGAGGGATTCCCCTTACCTCTCACCAGCTGGGGGAGACAGAATCTAGATGTTGGTGGCTCCTGGCAACTGGGGTCCCATTCTCTGCTTCCTGGAAAGGACCCTAGGTGTACAGGACCCTGAGAAAGAACAGTTATATAATTAGCCAGGCAGACAATAGACAGCTTTGCAGAAATTCCTGACCTAGACAGAAAGGAAGTATCCGAATGAATTACTCCCCTCTTCTGCTTGGACCCTGGGCTTGAAAGGGCCAGGCAGATGAGAAGAAAGAAGGTGTCAGTGGACACCTTTGTGAATAGACGGCTGAGGACCAGATGAGCCTCATCTTGGCCTCATATACCTCCCCCTACTTAGACTCCACCCTGGGGAAAAGGAGGGGGCAAATCCCCAGACTTGTTCACATTGTTTCCATCATCCCAGTGGAATCAGGGCTTGAAACAGAAGTTGAGTAGAGATTAATTTCTTCCACACCAGAGTTATGGACCAACACACCTATAGTGTTTACTATAGGATGGGTACTATATTTAGCATGATCTTACAATAACTATCTTATTTAATCTTTACAATACAGATTAGAAACTGAGACTTAGAAAGGTCACACAGCTAATAACTGGTAGAGACTAGAGCTAAATGCAGATAGTCGCACTCCAAGCTTGAGTTCTTTTTTTTTTTTTTTTGAGACGGAGTCTTGCTCTGTCACCCAGGCTGGAGTACAGTGGCGCGATCTCGGCTCACTGCAAGCTCCACCTCCCAGGTTCACGCCATTCTCCTGCCGCAGCCTCTCGAGTAGCTGGGACTACAGATGCCTGCCACTACCCCAGCTAATTTTTCTTTTTTGTATTTTTTAGTAGAGTTGGAGTTTCACCGTGTTAGCCAGAATGGTCTCGACCTCCTGACCTCATGATCTGCCCACCTCAGCCTCCCAAAGTGCTGGGATTACAGGCATGAGCCACCGCGCCTGGCCTTATTTTTTATTTTATTTTTTATTTTTTTGAGACAAAGTCTCACTCTGCTACCCAGGCTGGAGTGCATTGGCACGATTTTGGCTCACTGCAACTTCCACCTCCTGGGTTCAAGTAATTCTCCTGCCTCAGTCTCCCAAGTAGCTGCGATTACAGGTGCCCACTACCACGCCTGGCTAATTTTTTTATATTTCTAGTAGAGATGGGGTTTCACCATGTTGGCCAGGCTGGTCTCAAACTCCTGACCTCAGGTGATCTGCCCGCCTCAGCCTCCCAAAGTGTTGGGGTTATAGGCGTGAGCCACCACGCCCGGCCCCAAGCTTGAGTTTTTAACCACTATATACTATACCACCTCCAAGGCATGAGACTGCAGTACAAAGGGTATACTAGAGGAGGATTTCAAAGGTAGAATCAACAGGCTGAGATTGAGAGCCAGAGAAGGAGTCAAGAATGGCTCCTCGGTTTCTGGTTTAGAGACTGGGTTGTTGGTCTACTATTAACACTGAGAACGCTGGAAGGGTAGAGTTAGGGAAATGTGAGTTTCCCTTGGACAAGTTACATCTATAGGTACACATTTAGAAATTATGAGTCTGTCAGTGGTGTTAAAACCACAGGAGTCAGTGAAATGTTCTTAGAAGAGTATATAAAGTAAGAAGAGAAAATAGCAAAGGGCAGCATGTTGGGGGACATTAGCATTTAAGAGGTAGACAGAGGGTCCAGCAAAAGAGATGGAAATGGAATTTTCAGAGAAGGACAGAGAGAGCCAGGAGACAGAACGTTATGGAAGCCAAGTGAAAAGAGAGTGCAAGGATGTGGTGGGTACAGAAAGGAATCAAACAAGAAAATGATTCAGAAATGATCACTGGATAATTGGGAGGTCATTGGAGCCTTGGTGAGAACAGTTTCAGTCCCTGCCCTCTCCCTAAATCATCCTCCCTTCTTAAGGGAAGCCTGCTGAGTGAAGGACAAACTGAGCTGCATATTTGGCCCTGACCAGGCTGTGGTAGCACCTTAAAAGCCCAGCTGTCTGCAGAAGCTGCAGACAGCTGGGTTAGCCTGCCTTGGGCATGGGACTCAGGACACACCACCCCAAAATATGACTGTAGGAAACTAGAATATGCCACCTCAAAATATACTTCTTTGGCATATTTTGAGCAGGTTATTCTGAGAAACTGCAGACACAGGAGTAGCGCTGAAAAGTTGTCCTTTCGTAAAAGAAATTTATATCTGTAAAGGAAATCTACATTAGTAAAGTACCTGTATCAGGAAGAGGGCTGCTCTGAGATAACTTCTGTTTGTCCTAGCTGGACAACCTCTGTTCACCATGCACTTGCTCCCCTCACCCTCCAATAACTTGGATCAGCACCACCCCCGAGATGCCCCAACCCCTATTCCTTTCTGTAGCTGGGGATGCTGTATAAACGTCAATCGTCTGACTTTTCTTTGAGTCTCATGTGTTACGGGACTCCTGTGTATATGCACATATGTCATGAGCCTCATAACAACGTTTTGGTCAACAACAAATCGCATATACAATGGTGATGCCATAAGATTATAATAGACCTAAAATATTCCTATCACCTAGTGATGTTGTAGCCACCCTAACACCTTAGTACAACGCGTCACTCACATGTTTGTGGTGATGCTGGTGTAAACAGACCTACCATGCTGCCAGTCATATATACATGTATAGTAATGTCCTAGGCTGGATGTGGTGGCTCATGCCTGTAATCCTAGCACTTTGGAGGCTGATGCAGGAGGATTACTTGAGCCCAGGAGTTCAAGGTCAGCCTGGGCAACATAGCGAGATCCTGTCTCTACAAAAAAAAAATTTTTAAGTTAGCTGGGCATGGTGGCACACACCTATAGTCCCAGCTAGTCAGGAGGCTAAGTTGGGAGGATTACTTGAGCCCGGGAGGTCAAGGCTGCAGTGAGTTGTGATTTCACCACTGCACTCCAGCCTGAGTGACAGACAGAGACTCTGTCTCAAAAAACAAAAACATAAACAAAAAACAGTAATGTCCTAGGCCTTCACATTCACTCACCACTCACTCACTAACTTGCCCAGAGCAACTTCCAGTTCTGCAAGCTCCATTCATGGTGACTGCCCTATGCAGGTGTACCATTTTAAATCTCCCTTTTTTTTTTTTTTTTTTTTTGAGACAGGGTCTCCCTTTGTCACCCAGGCTGGAGTGCAGTGGTGTGATCTCAGCTCCCTGCAACCTCCGCCTCATGGGTTCAAGCAATTCTCCTGCCTCAACCTCCCGAGTAGCTGGGATTACAGGTGCGCGCCACCACGTGCAGCTAATTTTTAGTAGAGACAGGGTTACACCATGTTGGCCAGGCTGGTTTCCAACTCCTGGCCTCAAGTGATCCACCCACCTCAGTCTCCCAAAGTTGTGGGATTACAGGTGTGAGCCACCGCACCCCACTTAAATCTCTTATACCATATACTTAGGGTACTTTGTTTAGATATGTTTAGATACACAAATACCATTGAATGACATTTGGTGACAGTATTCAGGAGAGTAACATGCTGTCCAGCTTTGTGGCCTAGAAGCAATAGGCTATACCAGAGAGCCTGGGTGTGTAGTAGGCTACACCATCTAAGTTTGTGTAAGTAAACACCATCTATGATGTTTGCACAATGACAAAATCACCTAATGATGCATTTCTCAGAACATATCCCTGTTGCTAAGCGAAGCATGACTGTAATTAAAATGGTTTTTCTCCTGCTAATCTGTCTTATGTCAATTTAATTTGTAGCCCAGCCAAAGAATCTAGAAGGGTAGGGAGAAGCCATTTTTTCACTCTGCCACAGCACCATCTGTAGCACCCAGCACTATGCCTGCACATAGCAGGCATTTAGCAAAGGCTGCAGGCCAAACGCAGGTGAGCCCCGTCACTTCATAATTTTTGTTTCTGGCAAAGGCCTCTTTACTTAAAAGAGGCCTTTCCCTAGGCAATGAGGACATTTTCTTTCTGATGCAGGCCACCCTTGGTGAGTTGGGGCATTATATTCCCTTCGTCCTGGGGCCTGCTGTCCTCTCATTAAGCAGAAACTGTAGGTCACAGATCAGTGGAGTTGGAAAAAGGAGTCTTGGGGGAGTCTCTTCTGATCTCCAGGCCTTTCCTGACTATCAATCTTTCACCCTGTTCCCAAATGTGAAACCACCACACAGAAGCACAGTATGTAAGAGAGAGAGAGAGAGAGAGAGAGAGAGTGTGTGTGTGTGTGTGTGTGTGTGCGCGTGCGTGTGCGTGTGAGAGAGAGAGAGAGAGAGAGAGAAAGGGTTCACTTCCAGGACAGCTCAAGCCCCATTAAAGCTTGCTATCACAGGTCATGCCGGGTGCAGTCTGTAATCCCAACACTTCGGGAAGCCAAGGCAGGAGAATCATTTGAGCTCAGGAGTTTGAGACCATCCTGGGCAACATATCAAAACCCCATCTCTATAATAATAATAATAATAATAATAATAATAATAATAATTATTATTATTATTATTATTAGCCAGGTGTGGTGGCACATGCCTGTGGTCCCAGCTACTTGGGAGGCTGAGGTGGGAAGATCGCTTGAGCCCAGGAGGTAGAGGCTGCAGTGAGCTGTGATCATCTAGGCACTTCAGCCTAGATGACAGAGCAAGATTCTGTCTCAAAAACAAACACACAAACAAAAAAAACAACTTGCAATCACACAGTGTAGTGGAAGGGACCCTAGGCTACTCACCTTGAATCAAAAAACCTAGAGTTGGCTGGGCGTGGTGGCTCATGCCTGTAATCCTAGCACTTTGGGAGGCAGAGGCAGGCAGATCACCTGAGGTCAGGAGTTCAAGACCAGCCTGGCCAACATGGGGAAACCCAGTCTATACAAAAATACAAAAATTAGCCAGGTGTGATGGCAGGCACCTGTAATCCCAGCTACTCAGGAGGCTGAGGCAGGAGAACGGCTTGAACCCAGGAGGCAGAGGTTGCAGTGAGCTGAGATTGCACCACTGCACTCCAGCCTAGGCAACACAGCAAGATTCCGTCTCAAAAAAAAAAAAAAAAAAAAAAGACGGGGTGCAGTGGCTCACACCTGTAATCCTAGCACTTTGGGAGGCCAAGGCAGCCAGATCACTTGAGGTCAGGAGTTCGAGACCAGCCTGGCCAACATGGTGAAACCCCTTCTCTACTAAAAATACAAAAATGAGCTGGTTGTGGTGGCGTGCACCTGTAATCCCAGCTCCTCAGGAGGCTGAGGCAGGAGAATCACTTGATCACTTGAGCCCGGGAGGCAGCGGTTGCAGTGAGCCGAGATGGCGCCACTGCACTCCAGCCTGGGTGATAGAGTGAGACTCCATCTCAAAAAAAAACATAGAGTCTAACCCCAGCTACGTGACTGCTCTGTGACCTTAGTTAAGTCACATCTGCTGTCTGAGGCTTGGTCCCTTCCTCTGTGAAATGAGGGGATGAAGTAGATGATTTCTGAGGGTGTAACTAGTAAGCGCCCCTCTGATGCCTTGATTCATTTCTTGAAGTGAGGGACTTGAGGGGGTGTGTCTGCAGCACTACCGAGGTTTAGCACTAAGATACGGCTTCAGAGCTGTCACTCAAATAATTCCCTACGACTGGAGGGTGGTACCTGGTTGTCTAGTAACCTCTAGGGCTTTGAGCTAACAGCTTGGGAGGTAACCCAAGCCAGAGGGGCCATTCCAGAGAGCCAGCTGCGGAGAAGACCCAAGGAGGTAAGGTGTCCTGCAGTGGGGATCCCCACACTGGATGGGGGTGGTCAGGAATGCCCTGGAGTGGAAGGCCTTGAAAAGGCAGGATTTCTGGGTGTTCTTAGAAGCAGGGGGAATTTCTTTTAAAAGAGACTGCTTTTCCTCTGCCTGCCCCTCCTAAAAAAGGGGAAAAAAAGGATAAAATGGGAGGGGTCAAGAGCCCAGGGCCTGGGTCTTTTCCACTCTTTTTCCCATCTCCTGGGAGGAGAGTTCATAAAAAGCTTTTGCCCTTCAAGGGGAAAAATACAAACAGGATATACAAGCTGCTGAGATGCTTGTATTCAGGTTTAAGAGGGCTCTGGAGACCAGAGCAGGAGGCTGGGGGCCTAGAACCAGCCAGCAGACAGAAAGCGGAAGAAATGGAGAGAGAGCTTCCCCTTGAGCTAGGGAAGGGGCAGTAAATGCATGTTCTGTCCCACACCACACTCCTTTTCAGAAAATCCTTCTCTCCTGGAGGTTCGCTCCTTGCCAATTCAGGAGCCTCCTCACCCTAGGGTCCCCAGTGCCTAGTGTGGTTCCTAGCACATAGCAGGGGCTCACTGAGTGCTTGTTGAACTGACCTGAACTACGTCTTGAGATTAGATAGCAGGAGTACCTAGATGATGAGTGAGGGGGGTGTCTGTGGAGGCACAGTGTGAAGGAAGTTATGGAGGAGAGGCCCTGCATATGCGGTTCCTTCATCTATTTATTTGCAGCTTTTTTTGAGACAGAGTTTCTCTGTCACCCAGGCTGGAGTGCAATGGCGCGATCTCAGCTCACTGCAACCTCCACCTCCCGGGTTCAAGCAATTCTCCTGCCTCAGCCTCCCGAGTAGCTGGGATTACAGGCGCCCGCCACCACGCCCGGCTAATTTTTGTATTTTTAGTAGAGACGGGGTTTTACCATGTTGGCCAGGCTGGTCTCTATCTCTTGACCTCGTGATCTGCCCACCTCAGCCTCCCAAAATGCTGGGATTACTGGTGTGAGCCATCGCACCTGGCCTATTTGTTCAATCCAAAAACACTCGTATGGTGGTAACATATACATAACATACAATTTACCATTTTAACCATTTTAAAATGTGCAGTTCAGTGGCATTAAGTACACTCACATTATTGTGCAATTAACACCACTATCCATCTCCAGAACTTTTTCATCTCCTTTCATAAACATTTATTGAGAATCTACTGTGTGCCAGACCCTGCAAGTTGCTCCAAATCTAGTAGTGGGGGGAAGACAATAAAGTCATCAGCTCTGACCCAGTGTGATAAATGCTATAAAAGACATAGGCATCAAGTGCTATGGGACCACAGGAGTACCCAGTTGGTTGAGAAGAAGGTGCGTTCTGAAGTAAGCTGTTACTTGACTTGAGTCTTGAAGGAGGACTAAGAATTAGTCAGGAAGTTAGAGTGAGAGTGGATATGGTGCCCAATGGGACAGAAGAAACAAAGTGAGAGATCAGAGAGCAATCCTTGAAACCCTGAGGGTCATGCTAGGGCAGGGGTAGAGCTGAATTGCCCTAAGGGGGTCCTGCTATCTAGAGGAAGCCAAGGCTGACATACTGAGCCCTCTGTTCCCCTTTGTCAGCCCTATGTCTTCCCCCAACCCTGAGGATGTGCCCCGGAGGCCAGAACCTGAGCCCTCAAGCTCCAATAAGAAAAAGAAGAAAAGAAAGTGGCTGCGGCAAGAAGCCAGCATCCAAGCCCTCACCAGGGCTGGCCATGGGGCCCTTCAGGCTGGCCAGAACCATGAAGCCTTGAACAACTTCCAGAGGGCCTTCCTTCTGGCCTCCAAGGCCCCACAAACCAGGGATACCCCTGTGCTCCAGGCCTGCGCCTTCAACCTGGGGGCTGCCTATGTGGAGACTGGGGACCCAGCCAGAGGCCTTGAGCTACTCCTGCGAGCCCACCCTGAAGAGAAGGCACAGGGCAGGCGACACGGCGACCAATGTTTCAATGTGGCTTTGGCCTACCATGCCCTCGGCGAGCTGCCTCAAGCTTTGGCCTGGTACCACAGGGCCCTGGGCCACTACCAGCCACAGGGTGACCAGGGAGAAGCCTGGGCAAAAATGGGAGCCTGCTACCAGGCTCTGGGACAGCCTGAGCTAGCAGCCCACTGCCTGCAGGAAGCAAGCCAGGCCTATGCTCAAGAGAGACAGCTGCGGGCCGCAGCCCTGGCACTGGGGGCTGCGGCAGGATGTATGCTGAAGAGTGGGCGGCATCGGGTGGGGGAAGTTGTGCAGGTGCTGGAGAAAAGCCGGAGGCTTGCCGAGAGGAGCACTGAGAGGCGACTGCTGGGTGAGACCTTCGGGCAGGGAAGGCATGGGATCTGGGGAGACACAGAGCCTGATGATACTCAGAGGGCTGGGTTTGGGGAACCCTGGAGGAGTCGATAGGGGCTGTACCAGCCTCATTTATATCTGGTCTGGCTACCAGTGACCCTGGCTATTCCCTCTAGGGCACCTCTATAACGATCTAGGCCTGGGCTACTCCCAGCTCCAGCTGTTCCCGCTGGCCGTGGAGGCCTTCCTGCAGGCCCTGCCCCTGTGCTGGGTGCCAGGAGAGCAGGCCACAGTGCTAAGAAACCTCGGGATGGCCCACAATGCCCTCGGCAACTATCAGGAAGCTCGGGAGTTTCACCAGAAGGCTGCTGACCTACACGGTGGGTGCCTGGGGCCGGGGAATGGGACTGGGACTAAGACACTAAGAAGGGGTTCCAAAAGGGGCCCAAGGCTTAAGGGTGGATGGCCCTTTGGGACCACTTATGGAGCCTGAAAATCCAGAACCAGTGGGGGAGAGCTGGAAGTGCAGGAGATGGGACAGCCAGACAGGACAGAGGGTTGTGGGCCCAGAGGCCGAGGCCTCAGGGTTGGGAAGGCAGCAGTGGGCAGGGGGAAGGGTACTGGCTGCGAGAGGAGGCCTGAAGCGGAGTCCAGCCCCTCTGCTGATTGTTTGTGTGACATTGAGGAACCACTTTCACTCTCCGAGCTTCAGTTTCCACATTTTTAAAAACGGGGCCATTAACACCTGCCTTGCCTGCATCACAGGGTTGTTGCCTGACTCAAACTAGCCAGGTGGAGGCACTCACACCAGAACTCAGGATGGGGCCAGGCTGGGTGTGGAGGGTTCAGGCCTCTCGGATGCATCTGGAGTGTTCTGGGGCTGGGCACCAGGCCTCCTGGGAGGTCTGTCTTGGTTGCTGGAGGGTGGGGTCCTGATGTCCCAGCAGCCAGAGTCCCCTCTGAGGATGGGGTGGGCTCTGTCCTCAGGCTCTGTGGGGCAGCGGTGGGAGCAGGGCCGGAGCTTTGGCAGCCTGGCCTTTGCATTGAGCCAGCTGGGGGACCACAAGGCTGCCAGAGACAACTACCTGCATGCCCTGCAGGCTGCCCGGGACTCTGGTAAGCGTGAGAGGGTTGGGATGTGACTGGGACAGTGGGGAGGCTGAGGGTCCTAGGGGCTGGCGGGGAGGCAGATGGGGGGAACTGAGGGTAGGGAGTGCCTCTGAGGGGGTGGATCAGTGGGGTAGGAAGTCATGAAAGGACCTTCCAGGCTCTCTTTCTCTCAGGGGACATGAAGGGACAGTGGCAGGCCTGTGAGGGTCTGGGGGCTGCTGCAGCCAGGCTGGGGCAGTATGACCAGGCCTTGAAGTACTATAAGGAAGCACTGGCCCAGTGTCAGGTGAGACCCCGCACACCGGAATCCACCTCTCCCCTGCTATCCCTCTTCTGGCTGACATTCCTGCCTTCACTCCTTGTCTTCTCCCCATCACTCACTCAATCAGCAAACATGCACTGGACACACTGTGTGCTAGGTCTTGGGATACTATTGTGAGGAAGAGTTCATCGCTGTCCACAATTCTGGGCAGGTGGTGGCAGGACCCTGGGAAAGGCATGGGGATGGGGTAGAAGAGAGGGGAAACAAAGCCCCCCTCCCCCCTCCCTTTCCTGTTTCCTTCTTCCCCAACCCCCAGAGGACCATAAGGTCCAGGCATTCCCCATTACCCTATTATCCACCCTCTTCCCAGAAGGAGCCAGATTCTGTGCGAGAACGGCTGGTGGCCAAGCTGGCAGACACCGTGAGGACGCGCTTGGCCCAGGTGGGGCTGGTCCAGACTCACACCCTGGTGAGATGACACCTGAGACAAGGAGATGGGGGTGGAGAGAGGTTACCCAGAGAAGGGGTTGGTGGTAAGCAGAGACGCTGTTCCCTGGGATGCTGCGCGCTTGGCCGCTCATCTGTGTTCATCCGCCTTGAGCCTGCGCATGAGATATATCACTTTCCAAGGGTGGGAGGTGGGTGGGGGACTGTGGCACGTCTCCAACACAAGGGCTGATATGTAGGTGATTAAAAATAAAGAAATAAATTTAAAAGAATCGGTAGGCCATGTGTGCAAGGAGGTAGAAAGTTTCAAGTCCTTGACTGCAGTTCCCTAAATGGCCACAGGATGGAGATGTGCTCCAAGGAAGTCCCTCTCTCCCGTCTTTAAGTCTCTGGAGGTCATTTCTCTGTGGGTCTCCACCGTGTTCCTCCTTCCAAGTCTCTGCTTTAACCTGTTTCTACCTCCGGGTCTCTCTGTACGATTCGTTGGCTCTCCAACCGCCTCCTCCTTCACATTTTCAGACAACCCCAGAAAACCTCTTCCCGCTCCAGGAATTGAAATGATACTTTAATATTTATATGTATTTAATAGGTTTTATGCCCTTGCATTTTAAAGACCATATTTAAAGACACCATATTTTAAATCTGCAAGCAAAATTAAATTAGCCTGGTACAGGCAGAGGATTGGATTGAGGGGTCAGAATACCTGGGTCCCAGCCAATGTCTGCCACCTATTTTCTGTGACTTTACGGTATCAGGCCCCAGAAGGGATGGGGTGGTCATCAGGCGCTGGCCAGGTCTGCTAGTCCCTAAATCTGAATTCAAGCCTGAGAGTTACTAGCAGGGACCTTAATAGAACAAAGAGCCTCACCCCAGAATTGTATTCTCCGAGACAAGCGGCAGAGCCCGAATTGTCTCTATCACATAAGTCTCTGGAGGGAGCACACACGTAGCTGGGATGGCCGTTTTTCTCAGACCTATTCCCTTTACTCCACTTCATTCCCAGACTTCGGCTCCGGGAAGACTCCAGGCTCCAGGTGGGGCCAGCCAGGCGGAGGGGACCCCAGCAAAGGCAGGAAGCAGCACAGCAGGTGTCCAGCACAGGTGAGGGTGGGAATGGTGCAGCAGAGATGCATGCGCCCTCTGCAGGGTGTTGGGGGCTGTCGCAGTGGGGTAGGACCCCATGTGTATCCCCAGGAAGGAGGGGACTGGTGTCGCTCTGCCAAGCTGTGCCCTGGTTCCTTGCCCCTACAGATCTTCCAGTGGGTGGGAAGATGAAGAGTTTGAGGAGGGCCACCAGAAGAAAAAAGAGGAGAGGTCGGCAAACGTTCCGGTGAGGGCTGGGCCGGGAAGACCAGAGCGTGAGTTGATGTAGAGTATTCCTGGCGGTGCCTCTCCTTACTGCAAATATGGCACTCCCACCCCCACCCGCCTGCCTCCGCTTCTTATGCCCATCCCACCATCCCGCCTTCCTGTTGTCATTTCTTTGAGGCCTGGCACAACCTCGCGCCACCCCTGACCCTGGCTGTCCCAGTTCGCAAGTCCCCAACAGCCCTCCCATGATTTCTGCTTGTCTCTCAAGGCCCTGGACCATTTTCCCTGAACCCTTCTAGAACTCCCTCTTCCTTCCTGCTCTCATGGCTTTCCTAACTTCTAGAACTTTGCATCTTGGACCCCAGGGTTTTGCTGAAAGCCTACTCTGTGCCCAACACAGCGCTGGGTGCTGTTGGTAAACCCCAGCTCACTACTCAATAGCATCTCCCACAAAGACTTGCAACTCAGGGAGCAGAGTTCTTTGCTACTTGTTGAGCTGACCTGAATTTACCGATGTCTCCTTTTCAGTGTGTTTCCTTCCAGGCACAGTGAATCATTCGCACCATCTAGCTTCTAGTTGCCCCACGTTTACCAAGCACACGCCCTGCAGAGGGACAGTCCTCGGCAAAGCCTCCATCTATAGTGAGCAGTGCATCCCCTGACACCGCCCCAACTCGTGGTTCTTCTCTCAGAGCTTTTTTCCACCATGATAGTTCTTGGTGCAGAGAGGCACGTGATGAATGTGTCTGTCCTTCTCCATCTAGGTCCAGGACCCAGGGCCCATCTTCCATTTGTAGGTCCAGGCCCTCCCAGAGCGGAGTACCCTAGCATCTTGGTACCCAATGGCCCTCAAGCCAATAGGTGGGTCCTTGGGGGAAAGAAGGAGGCCTGGAGAATAGCAAAAAAAGTAGAATGTGTGGCTTGGGATGATTTTAATGAAACACGACTGCTGTTGAAGTTGGGGGAAGCTGGGATCTCATGCTTGGGATATAGGGCCCCGAGCCCCACTTTGTCTTTGCCCTTTAGCAATGTGAACAACCCTCACCCGGCTCTGGAAGCCCAGGGTATGCCCTGCTTCCTAAATGGCCTGATGGTAGGCCTCAGTGAAAGACAGGGTGCTGCAGGATGGGGGGATATGAAGCTTAAGCCAACTCCCTCCTTCTCTGGAGCCCACCAGCAGAGGTAAGGGCCAAATAGGGCAGAGGGAAGCTGAGGCCAAGGCAGGCTGCCTCCTGCTGTCTCCCCAGTCACCCCCACTGGCAAGCCCCTCCCTGCCTCTTTCAGGTCATCCAGGTGGCCCAGGGAAAGCCTCAGCAGGAGCCGCCAGAGGAGACCCATGGAGTCGGGCATCTGCACTATTGTGTGACCTCCCCCTGCCAGCCTCAGCCCTCATCCCTGAAGCACCTGTCCAACACGCACACACTAGGGGGTCCTGGGGACCAAGCCTCTTCCCAGTTGCTCAGCCCTGCAGGGATGTGGAACACAGTGCAGCCAGTGGACTCCTGAGGAGGCTGGCCAAGGGCTTTGCAGGCTCGGCCCTGAGAGGTTCTGTTTGTTCCTCCTTGGGATTTTTGGACTCAGTAGGTAAAAGAAAAAAGGAAAATGGATGGCAAATTCCCTGTCTTTCTGAATCCAAATCTTACGATTGCTAGGGGCCTGGCAGTTCTAAAAACTGACTTCGTGGTCAAGTAGCTTTGGAGTCACTGACTGTCTCCAGACGTCCATTTTTGCACATGAGAAATGAGGATATAATACTACAGAAGAGGCATCTTACCCAACCAATGCACCTTACTTCTCTGTGAAACACAGGGGATGCTGGGCGCAGGCCTAGGCTGTGGCCTGTAGCCTGTAGGACAGCTCCTGCCAGCAGCCACAGGAACAGTGATGTGATGTAACATTTCCCAAGTACTTAGCTCATGCCCCACCCTATTCTAGGTGCTTAGCTCAGGCCCCACCCTATTCTAGGTGCTTAGCTCAGGCCCCACCCTATTCTAGGTGCTTAGCTCATGCCCCACCCTATTCTAGGTGCTTAGCTCATGCCCCACCCTATTCTAGGTGCTTCACAAGTGTATTCTCCTCTAATCCTCACAACAAATATATGAGGTGCTATTATCCCCTTTCGCAAATGAGGAAAATAAGGCACAAAGCTTCAGTAATCTGAATTCCCAGGTCACATAACTAGTATGTAGAGAAGCTGGGAATCAAACCCAGGCAGTGAGCACTTTCTAGAATGCTGTGCAGTTCCACTTCCCCAGCTAAGCCCTTGCTTACCCAGAGTCCATTGTGATTTAATATCAAGTGTGTCTATGCCCGTTGTATGTGTTATTGTAATTCATAATGTAATTAAATACTATACACATTGATGAACAGGCCAGGTGAGATGGCTCACCCTTGTAATCCTAGCACTTTGCGAGGCCAAGGTGGGAGGATTGCTTGAGCCCAGGAGTTTGAGACCACCCTGGGCAACATAGTGAGACCCCATGTCAATGTAAAAGAAAATTTATCTTTAAAAAAAAATAAATTGATGAACTGAGAGTGGGAAAAGCAGCACTGTTTCTATAAAAACTAAGTTGGATCCTTAGAAGACTCGACTAAGGTAAGTTACTTTTTCTTTATTATTCTTATGCTTTATCTTCCAGTGATGGAGGAAAGAGTGAGTTTATTTATTTATTGAGACAGGGTCTTGCTCTGTTGCTCAGGCTGGAGTGCAGTGGCACGATCACATCTTACTGCAGCCTCAACCCCCTGGGCTCAAGCGATCTTCCCACCTCAGCCTCCCACTAGGAGTACAGGTGCACCACCATGCCAGGCTAATTAAAAAAAATATATAGAGAGAGAGACAGGGTCTCACTATGTTGCCCAGACTGGTCTCAAACTCCTGGGCTCAAGCCATCTTCCCGCCTTGGTGTCCCAAAGTGTTAGGATTACAGATGTGAGTCACTGCACCCAGCCTGTGAGTCACTTTATTTTTTTGTTTGTTTGTTTATTTATTTATTGAGAGGGAGTCTCGCTCTGTCTCCCAGGCTGGAGTGCAATGGCGTGATCTCGGCTCACTGCAACCTCCACCTTCCGGGTTCAAGTGGTTCTCCTACCTCAGCCTCCCGAGTAGCTGGGATTACAGGTGCAAGCCACCAAGCCCGGCTAATTTTTGTATTTTCAGTAGAGATAGGGTTTCGCCATGTTGGCCAGGCTGGTCTCAAACTCCTGGCCTCAGGTGATCCGCCTGCCTCGGTCTTCCAAAGTGTTAGGGTTACAGGTGTGAGCCACTGCGGCTGGCCTCTGTGAGTTACTTTAAAAAGCTACCGTGGGCTGGGCACAGTAGCTTATGCCTGTAATCCCAGCACTTTGGGAGGCCAAGGTGGATGGATCACTTGAGGCCAGGAGTTTGAGACCGGCCTGGCCAACATGGCGAAACCCTGTCTGTACTAAAAATACAAAAAATCAGTGGGGCATGGTGGTGCATGCCTGTAATCTCAGCTACTTGGGAGCCTGAGGCAGGATAATTCACTTGAAACTGGAAGGTGGAGGTTGCAGTGAGCCAAGATCATGCCACTGCACTCCAGCCTAGGCAACAGAGTGAGACTCTGCCTCAAAAGAAAAGATAAAAGCTGCTATGCAATTAGATGTGAGCAACAAGATTATTACAAATTGGGGGAATAATAATAAAAATATAAATTCTGCACTCAAGATTGCTTCAAACATGCCATTAACTGTTTCACTTTAAGGAAGCAAACTGGAAATTGCGGGTGATACATAACTGGTGAGGTTTATGTAAGAAAGAAGATGAGGAATCTAATCACAGGCTCCATCCTCAAAGAAAAGACCCTGGCCACACTTTGACAGATGGAAAATTAATGTATTTTTTAAAGTTGAAATAAAATAATCCACTCCTGATCATGTCAGATAAGAGAAAGTAGGGAAGGCAAAACTTTACCTCCACTCTCTTAGGGTCTCTAGCTGGGACAGAGAATTAAATTGACATAAAACAGATTAACAAGAGAAAAGCATACAGATTTACTTAATATAAATTTTATGTGACACAGGAGCCCTCATAAAGCAATGAAGACCCAAAGAAGGAAAACCTAAATGTTTTGTACTAGGTCGAACAAAGAGCCAATTGTGGAAAAGCAGCTAAAATATATGGGGAGGCCAGTCGCAGGGGCTCACACCTGTAATCCCAGCACTTTGGGAGGCCAAGGTGGGTGGATCAGTTGAGCCCAGGAGTTTGAGACCAACCTGGGCAACATGGTGAGACCCCATCTCTACAAAAACTACAAAAATTAGCCAGGTGTGGTGGTGTATGCCTGTAGTCCCAGCTACTAGGGAAGCTGAGGCAGGAGAATCGCTCGAACCCAGGAGTCAGAGGTTGCAGTGAGCCGAGATCATGCCACTGCACTGCAGCCTGGGTGACCGAGTGAGACTCTATCTCCAAAAAAATAATAAAAATAAAATATATGGGGAGGCTAAAGGAAGATAAGAGATATTTTAACAAGGTCTGTTTGTACAGAATTCTCTCAGCTTCGACTCCCTGTCTCTGGTGATAAGAATGTTTCTTTCCTCCTGGAGGAAGGCATTCATTGTTCACATGGGAGTTTTGTTTCCTGCTTTCAGGAAGAAAAGGGGAGGTTAGAGCACTCTTCTTATACTTACCGTTTTTCTTTTTCTTTTCTTTTTTTTTTGGGGGGGGGGGATGGAGTCTGGCTCTGTCGCCCAGACTGGAGTGCAGTGGCATGATCTTGGCACACTGCAACCTCCTCTTCCCAGATTCAAGCGATTCTCCTGCCTCAGCCTCCTGAGTAGCTGGGGTTACAGGCGCTCGCCACCCACGCCCTGCTAATTTTTTTTGTATTTTTAGTAGAGATGGGGTTTCACCATGTTGGCCAGGCTGGTCTCGAACTCCTGACATCAGGTGATCCACCTGCCTTGGCCTCCCAAAGTGTTGGGATTACAGGTGTGAGCCAGTGCATCCAGCCCTAATTTTTGTATTTTTAGTAGAGGTGGTGTTTCACCATGTTGGCCAGGCTGGTCTCGAACTCCTGACATCAGGTGATCCACCTGCCTTGGCCTCCCAAAGTGTTGGGATTACAGGTGTGAGCCAGTGCATCCAGCCCTAATTTTTGTATTTTTAGTAGAGGTGGTGTTTCACCATGTTGGCCAGGCTGGTCTTGAACTCCTGACCTCAAATGATCCACTCACCTTGGCCTCCCAAACTGCTGGGATTACAGGCGTGAGCCACTGTGCCCTGCCAAGACCTCGCTTCTACAAAAAATATGAAAATTAGTCGGGTGTGGTGGCACGTGCCTGTAGTCCCAGTTACTGGGGAGGCTGAGGCTGGAGGATCACTTGATCCCAGAGGTCCAGGCTGCAGTGAGCCATGATCAGGCGGCTGCACTGCAGCCTGAGTGACAGAGCGAGACCCTGTCTAAAAAACAAAAAAAAACCTTCCCTTTACCTGTGTCTTAGCTTGGGCTATCATAATAAAATATCATAGATTGGATGCTCAAGCAACAAATTAATTTCCTGACAGTTATGGGGACTGGAAGTCAGATTAGGGTTCCAGTATGGTGACAGAGAGGAGGGGCAGTGAGAGGAAGAAAGTCTTATAAGGGCACTAATTCTACCAGTTCAGGGACTACCTCTTATATCCCAACTAATGCTAATCCCAACCACCCTGTCTCCGAATACCATTACACTGGGGGTTAGGGCTTCAACATATGAATTTGTGAGGGAGGAAGGGAAGGGAACACAAACATTGAATCCATAGCAGTCTGGATAATTATCTTTATCTTAGTGCCTTGATGGTAACTGGTTTGTTACTCTCCAACCTTTTCCCCTAACCACGCAAGAGAGTGTGTTTGCATTCTCAAAACCACTAGCCTAAACTCTACTCCTCCTCTCAAGACTTCTAGTGAAACATCATCGTGACCTGGAGCCTATGGTTTCAATTACGTTTTAAACCATAGCTTACCCAAACTATTTAAGGATAATTTTATATTTCCATAGCTATTATCTCAGTAAAGGGGTTAAGCATGACTCGGGAAGTACAGCATGATACCCTGGTAAAACAGAGGTAGGGGAAGCTAATGTAGTGTAGAGGGGGCCTAAGTTACATAGGCTTGGTGGTGTAAATAAGAACAGTAGCTTAATTTCTATACCACGCCCTCTGCGACGGTTTGCAGGCATTAGCACCTATGGAAGTATGTACTCGTTTCCCTGTTGTATAGGCGAAAAACTGACACCAGCAGTTCCCACATTCACTCAGCCACTAAGCAGTGGGGCAGGAATCAAGGCTAACTGCTATGCCATCCATACACCTTTCTGAAAGAGTTACAAAATCAGCACTTATTATCAAAGGGCCGTTGGGAGCAAGGCATTTCGGCGTATCTGGAAATGTGTGGCGATCTGTAAACGCTCCTGAGGAGAGCTGGAATCCCAAGTGGAAGGGAAGCTGGACCGGGTGGGAACTGCTCCCCAGCCCAAGGGCTGCTAGAACCCCAAGACTCCAGCCCCGAGCGGCTTCCGGAATCCGCGCGTGCTGGCCCGGCCTCTTCGGGGGCGGGGCGAGCGCCGCACATGCGCCGGGGCCGGGCCGGGCCGGGGGCGCGCGCTCTGCGAGCTGGATGTCCAGGCTGCGGGCGCTGCTGGGCCTCGGGCTGCTGGTTGCGGGCTCGCGCGTGCCGCGGATCAAAAGCCAGACCATCGCCTGTCGCTCGGGACCCACCTGGTGGGGACCGCAGCGGCTGAACTCGGGTGGCCGCTGGGACTCAGAGGTCATGGCGAGCACGGTGGTGAAGTACCTGAGGTAGGCACGGGTCTCGGGTGGCCTGCTCTGCCCCGGGGCGGGGCCTGGGACGGCCGGGCCACCTGCGCGACAGAGAACACGAGGGGCGGGACTCAGGCCGCGGGTTTTCCTCAGCCAGGAGGAGGCCCAGGCCGTGGACCAGGAGCTATTTAACGAATACCAGTTCAGCGTGGACCAACTTATGGAACTGGCCGGGCTGAGCTGTGCTACAGCCATCGCCAAGGTCAGTGGCACAACTCTCGACCTTTGGGAGCAGCCAGGGAGGAGTCACTGTCCCAGCCCCCTGGCCTAGGCACAAAGGGGTGGGAGAGACAGCTGGGCCAATATGGTCTATTACCGCCTGAAACCCCGCCGAACCACCCTTGACTCTGCCTTCAGGCATATCCCCCCACGTCCATGTCCAGGAGCCCCCCTACTGTCCTGGTCATCTGTGGCCCGGGGAATAATGGAGGAGATGGTCTGGTCTGTGCTCGACACCTCAAACTCTTTGTGAGTATGTGGGGAGGGGCTGTGGGGGAGGAGGGCGTGAGGGCTCTGGGATCTGGGGTTGAATTACCACTTTCTTCCTAGGGCTACGAGCCAACCATCTATTACCCCAAAAGGCCTAACAAGCCCCTCTTCACTGCATTGGTGACCCAGTGTCAGAAAATGGACATCCCTTTCCTTGGGGAAATGCCCGCAGAGGTAGGTGGCTCCAGTTGAATACCTCCATCCTACAGTAACCACTGCCTGTGCTCTGCTCTTCCTTCGTGTTTCCAGGCTGAGCTCATTTTAGTGCCTGGTACGGAAGGTGCCTAACGGATGGTATTCGAATAAGTGTGCAAGAGCCTTCTCCTCCTTCATAAAGTGTGCTCCATGAGTCCCACACACCACCTTCTCTAAAGCTTCCTTGCCCTTTCATCTCCCTGGTCCCTCCTTCCACTCTGTAGTCAGATCCTCTTGCCCTAGCATGCAGTAAACACATGATCTACCCCTCAGGGGCCGGAGTGGCTGCCCTATCTGAAACCCTTCCTGCAGATGCATGGATTAAGGGATGGGAAATTGGGTAATTTTTTTCCTTAACCCATTTTACAGATGAAGATACTGAGGTGCAGAGAAGTGGTTTGCTTAAAGTCACTAAATTGTATCATGGCAGAGCTGAAACCAGAATCTGGCTCTCCTGACTCGTCTCAGGCTATCTCAGCCTGTAGCCTCCCCAGTGGTGGGCAGGCAGGCAGGCACCGAGAACAAAAACTGTCTGGTCTCAATTTGGCCTGAATCAGTGACCAACTCACACTTTCTCTAGGCCTCAGGCTGCCCTCTGAATGAGACACAATACTTGTGCCTCTGAGAATGGTCTGCAGGTGCAGAGGACAGCCCTCTCCAGTTAAGGCTGTTTGTGCAGCTGCTGGCTCTGACATCCTTTTCCTGCTCCACCACAGCCCATGACGATTGATGAACTGTATGAGCTGGTGGTGGATGCCATCTTTGGCTTCAGCTTCAAGGGCGATGTTCGGGAACCGTTCCACAGCATCCTGAGTGTCCTGAAGGGACTCACTGTGCCCATTGCCAGCATCGACATTCCCTCAGGTGCTGGGATCCAGAAGGTGGGGTGGGGGAGATTGGGGCCCTACCCTCCTGACTCTTGCCCACACCAGGTCTAAAATAATTTTAGTCTAGAGGGGCAGAACACAGCTTTCTGGACCCCCATCAGGGCTGGGGAACAGTGTTCAGAAGTCCCCTTTACATGTTGGCCCCATGAAGAGACCACGGCCCAAGGGTACGTGGAGCTCGTTGGACGAGAGTTCCTCAGGTGGGAACTGAGGGGACTTCCCACTCCTCTGGGACTAGGGTAAACTAAGGTGTAGAAGGGGACGAGACATCTGGCCTCTTCCTGAACACCACCCTCTTTTCAGGATGGGACGTGGAGAAGGGAAATGCTGGAGGGATCCAGCCAGACTTGCTCATATCCCTCACAGCCCCCAAAAAATCTGCAACCCAGTTTACCGGTCGCTACCATTACCTGGGGGGTCGTTTTGTGCCACCTGCTCTGGAGAAGAAGTACCAGCTGAACCTGCCACCCTACCCTGACACCGAGTGTGTCTATCGTCTGCAGTGAGGGAAGGTGGGTGGGTATTCTTCCCAATAAAGACTTAGAGCCCCTCTCTTCCAGAACTGTGGATTCCTGGGAGCTCCTCTGGCAATAAAAGTCAGTGAATGGTGGAAGTCAGAGACCAACCCTGGGGATTGGGTGCCATCTCTCTAGGGGTAACACAAAGGGCAAGAGGTTGCTATGGTATTTGGAAACAATGAAAATGGACTGTTAGATGCCAAGTGAGTTGTGCTGTCCTTTACACAATTCTTATTCATTTGGGACACAGACAGGGAGCTACTTCTACTTATCAGTGTAGCAAGACTACAAAGAGGTTAACCGAAGGAATTTCTTCAAAGGCCTCCAAGGAATATCTTCTAATTTGTATTCAGGACCTTCCCAGGCTGGGAACAGAGATGCCAGTCAGGATTTATCTCTAGGCTAGGAGCGCAAGCTCATGTTTATTCATTCATTTGGTAGCGCTAGAAACTGGCAACTGTGGGCTAAATCTAGCCCATAGACCTAAATTTATGTTTTTCTTAACCTTCACAATATTTAGAAATCAGAGCACTTCACATAGGTCTACATTTTCAGCTTCTTTTAGCAGGAATGCTCCTTCAAAGGGTATCTGCATTCCTGTTCCCACAGCCCCCAGCATTCCTTGTCCTTTAGCTGCCTGGCTTCTCTAGGCACCTGAGTTCATGGTCCTGGGTTAGAAGCTGCAGAAAGGACTGTGCTGACTCCCTCAACTAAGGGGTGGTACTACCGCTTGCTCCTCTCAGCAGCTGACGTCCCAGAGATCAGTTTCCTTTCTGGGAGGGACTCCTCATTGAGGGGGGTGCAGAAGACCTGCAGACCTGCATCAACCCTGGTCTTTGAGGCTTCAACTCCTGAAAATCAATCAATTGAGCCCTACCTTTACCAGACCTTTAGTCTCTCTTCTTCTGTTTCTTTTTGGCTTTCTGGACAGTGCTGACTCCAGCTCTTTCCTTCTTGGGATGCTGCTGCCTCTTCCTCTTACCTCTGCTGCTTGAGCCAGTGTGTGCTCTGCTCTCTGCTTCCCTAGCCCCGCCATCCTTCTCATCCCTTACATCCAAGATGTCCTCCTCCTCTTGATGCTGCTGTCTTTTCTTCTTGCTTTTCCTGCTTCTTCCATCACTGCATGCTCTGCTCTCTGCTTCCCTGGTTCCACCACCTAAAAGTTTCCTCACCTCTATCTTCTAGGTTCAAGTCCTCCTCCTCCTGTTGCTGCCTCTTCTTTCTTCGGCTGCATGGGTCAGCATATGCCCTGCTCTCTACCTCCTCTGTCCTGACACTGCCTGCAGCCTCCTTGCCTTTTCCTCCTTCCTCCAAGACCCCCATCTTCTCCTCTTCATGGTGCCACCTCTTCTTTTTCTTCCCTTTCCTGAGGGACTGATTGGTTTGCTCTCTGCTATTCAATTCCCCAAGCCCACTTGTTCCTGCAGCGTCCTCCTTCTCATTCCCTTTAGTTGTACCCTCTCTTTCATCTGAGACCTTTCCTTCTTGATGTCGCCTTTTCTTCTTCTTGCTTTTTCTGATGTTCTGCTCAGCATGTTCTGGGTGCTTCTCATCTGCATCATTCCTTTCAGATGCTGTAGCTTCTTCCTCCTCTTTCTGCCTCCTTTTCTTTTTCTTTTTTTTGGGGGGCTTGCTCTCTGACTGCAGTTGAGGGGCCCCAGGGTCCTGGCCTTTGAGACGAGCCAGGAAGGCCTGCTCCTGGGCCTCTAGGCGAGCAAGCTTGGCCTTCATTGTGATCCCAAGACGGGCAGCCCTGAAACAGACAGGGTCCAAGTCAAAGCGAGGGTATCGGGGGAAATGGGCCTAGTCCTTAAGCCTGCAGGGAAAGTTGGTGGAGGGTAGGAGTGGGGAGCTGCCTATCTTCAGGCAATAGATGGGTAGGTAATAGGAATCATTTCCCTGGGGTAAAAAGAACCAAGAGGTGGCACAGGCCATGGTCAAAGGTGGGGAGAAAAGGGAGCTCAAGGAGCTGACCACTACTTACTTGTGTGCTGTTCGCCCCTCACAGGCTTGGAGCAGCATCTCATCAGTCAGACTGTTAGGGGAGATCAGCAGTTACAAACAGACCTGGTGGAAAGGCTTGACCTCTCCTCCTTCTAAAACATTCCTTCAACACTGAATTCTTGTTCAGGACCTGGCACTTTTTGAGGTACTAGGGATACAAAGATTAGTACAACACAGTTCCACCCACCCCCAAGAAGCCCCCAGTCAAGCATTAGATTTAGCCCTTTCTCTTGCCATCTGAAGACATCTCTTCCCACATTCCCCAAGAGCTAAAATGAAGTCTCACATCTTTGGGGACTTGGACCCCTGGTTGTCGTCATCACTGCAGCTCTCCAAGTCTTTGTTTGGCTTCTCTCCACCTGAAGTCAATGTAGCCATCTAGGAGGGGTCATGGGGGTAGATAAGGCCTTCTCAACACCATCACCATCCCTATTCCCTTGTGGAAGCCCCCTAAGAATTTATAGCTCCAGGCAGTGGTTTGCCAGCCCCCACCATTGCTCCTTGAGGAGCCACAGGGAGGTGTGCCATCCTGCATACTCGAACTTGGATAGGAGATGGGCTGCTGCTGCTGGGATGTGCAGCAGCTTTGGCCTCTCTCACCCACAGCTGGCTGGTGAGCAGAACAAGAAGAGGAAATGCTCTGGTTCATCAGGTCTTCACAGTGGACAAGTGCCAGTGACTGACAGTAAAGATGCCCCGCTCCACCCCGACCATAGTACCTGTTCACAGTACCTTCATTTAATCAGATTAATTGAGAGTCTACTATGGGCCAAGGAGTTGGGGATTCAGAGTGGAATAAGAATGAGATGGGCCCAGCCCAGATGGAATCTACATAGGCAATTATGATGGAAGTGTTGCCTGTGATAGAGGAAGGGTACTCAACTCAGACTTCAGAGAATGGCTTCTAAAAGTAACTGATGTATAAGCTGAGCTCTGGAGGATAAGAGAAACTCAGAAGGTAAAGGGGGAAAGGGAGAAGAATGTCCCAAGCAGAGGGAGCAACATGTGCAATAACCTGAAGATGGAAGACTGTCGTACCTTCAAAGAAAAGAAACAGATTGGAATCTGTTATGCTAATGGTTAGGCTAAAGTAGTGGTCCTGGAGAAAAGTGAAGAGATGAGGCTGGAGATGGCAGGAACAGGCATGCAGAGCCATATAAGCCAGTCCGATAAATCTGGATTGTGTCATCCTAGGTCAAACAAGACCCAGTGACATGATGACATTTATGTTTTAGAGAGAACACTGGATGCTTTGTGGAGAAGTCCATCCTCCACAAAGGTTGGGGTGGGGAGTGAGACTACAGGTGTTCTTAGGAGGCTGCTGGAGAAAGAAATTAGGCAAGAGATGATGATGGCCCGAAGTGGGGTAGTAGATGGTAACAGAGATGTAGAGAAATGGGAAAGATTTGCTAGGTAACATGTATAGCCCTTAGCACATAATGACCATTACATGTTAGCTTCCTCCTATTGGTACAGTAGAAAGTGGAGGCCTGAAGTCCTGGGTTCCAGTCCTGTTTGCCATTACTAGCCAGCTGTGGGCTCTTCAGCAAACCACTTTTCACCCTTTTAGCCACATCTGCAAAGCAGGGATGGTCCAGATAATCTCTCAGGTCTCCTCTGGCTTCTAAGTCCTTTGAATTAGATGTCCCCTGGCCCCCCCAAAATTTGGCAGCTCCTGACTTAAGAGACTGTACCCTACCTCCCACGCCCTATTGCTGCTCCCTTAACAGATGGCAGGATCCACGGAACCTGAAGATCTCAATTCCTGCTGAGGGTCTGGGCAGTCTAAGTAAGCAACAGCAAGGCTGGTCACAGGATCCCACTATGTTAGGAAAGTTCTGAGAATTGATAAGGCATACAAGGCAACTGTTCAGGCCCCAGGGAAACCAGGGAAGAGAAAAAGGATGGACTCTGTTACCCACAGCCTCTAATACCTTCACAAACTTCTGATACAGCAAGTTGGGCTTGGGATGATTATAACGGGTGGTCTCCTTAGAAAGGCTCCTTATCTGTACTCCATCCTGTAGAGAATTATCAGTACCAGTGAATGGGTGACATATCATGACTGCCTACGCCACAGGTCCCAGGCCCTCTGTTTCATGTGCCCATCTATCAAGAGCTCATACCTGCCCAGTTTCCACTACCAAGTTGGCCGCAGTCTTGTTGAAGAGCTCATTCCACCAGTGGTTTGTGAACTCCTTGGCAGGGTCATGTCCTACCTGCCAGGGGAATAAATATGAGCTCTGAGTGCCTGCCTCACCTGCCCTCAAGGGTCCCCTCTCCCACACATGCTAACCTTCCTCAGTCCACCCAGTCTTACCCCATGAGTGTCTTGCTTCAGTGTCACCCTGAGAGCCTGAGTGATACCATTCTCCTTCCGGCCGAGGCCTTTGCCTGCAGAGGACAGTGAGCGATTTGGCTTATTCTCCTGCCTGCTGTGAGACCTCACAAGGCACCCCCCACACAGGCCTCTTGCCATTCCACACACCTGACATTGGGGTATACTCTGTACCTCTCAGAAGACCTCCTAGCGCACTTCTTTCTAGTACCACTCCATATAGTCCCCTGCCTTTGTGTGAGCCTGAACTATCTCTTCCTTCAAATTCTTTTGGTAGAGAGCCCATATCTCTTTTTCCCTCCCCTAGTCCTCCCAACCACCACTTCTTCATTATCCACTGTCAAATTTCTTCCTTTCTTCCCTTTTCTGGGAAAGTTAGAAATTTTCTTCTGCAAATTTCCCTTTAAACTAGCTTTTCCTCCTTTAATTAAATGGACTACATGGGGGGGTAATCCAGGATGATGGCTTTCCCCTGGGCAGATGGTAGGCAGGGAGCTGGGGGATGTGGAAGAGGCCCCATGGGGATCACCTTGAGTCCATCCATGCTTTAGCAGCTGCTCCTCAGCAAACTTCATCCCACGACTCTTGACCTCTGGGGTGACATTCATGGTGAGAAAAAAGTCTCTATCCTCAGACTCTCACCAGAGAAGAAGAGGTGATATCATCCTTTTAAGAAGAAAGTAGAAAGTGCCCAAACAGCCATCAGTTCCATCCTGACTGCTTGTTAAGAATTCTCTGCTAGTTGGGTGCAGTGGCACACACCTGTAGTCCCAGCTACATGGGAGGCTGAGGCGGGATTGCTTGAGTCCAGCCTGGGCAGTATAGCAAGACCCTCTCTCATAAAAAGAATAAAGCGGCCAGGCACAGTGGTTCACATTTGTAATCCCAGCACTTTGGAAGGCCAAGGTAGAAGAATCACTTGAGCCCAGGAGTTCCAGACCAGTGTGGGCAACGTAGTGAAACCCTGCCTCTAGAAAAAATAAAAAATTAAAAAGAAAGAAAAAAGAATTCTCTTTCCTGAGCCAGAGACAGAGGAAGGAGGTGGCCTGGTCTTTGGGGAGCTCCCTATCTGGCTACAGAAAGAGCATATAGAGAAGTCAAGGAGGAATGGTGTCAATTCTGATACCTAAGTTTATGGTGTGCTCACCACATGCCAGGATGTGCTAAGACTTTACAAAGATTATTTCATTTAATCTTCCCAGCCCATTCAGGGAAATATTAGCCTATTTTACAAATGAGTAAAGTAAGGCCTAAAAAGGTTAAGTGACTTCAAGGTCACACAGGTAACATGTAGAATTCAAGCCCAGGCAGCTTGTCTGCAGAATCTGTACTGTACCACTACATAGTATCTCCCAAAATATATTACCTTGTAAACACAAAGCTAATGAGGTGCTTATTAACCTGAGTCATAAGATAATGGTACTCGGTAGAGACCAGATCCTGTACTTATGCTTCAGCATTTACACTGTCCTCTTGGTGTGGGGGCTACACACTTCTCCCACACCACTGCAGTATTTCAGTCTGGCTGGAGTTCCCCTTTTGAAAGTGTCCAACTTAGGAAGGGCACTCCTATTGAGCACTTAATGCATAACAGGTGGATTACACATATTGCCACACTGTCATATTAACTCAGTCAATCTTTTTTTTTTTTTTTTTTTTGAGACAGGGTTGCTCTGTCGCCCAGGCTGGATGGAGTGGAGTGCAGTGGCACGATCATGGCTCATTGCAGCCTCAAACTTCCAGGCTCAAGCAATCCTCCCACCTCAGCCTCCCAAGTAGCTAGGACCACAGGCACATGCCACCACGCCTGGCTAATTTTTGTATTTTTTTTTGTACAGACAGGGTTTTGCCATGTTGCCCAGGCTGGTCTCTAACTCCTGGGCTCAAGCGATCTGCCTACCTCTGCTTTCCAAAATGCTGGGATTACAGGCGTGAGCCACTATGTGTGGGCTTAACTCATTTAATCTTGATAGTCCTGTGAGATAGATATTATTCTTATTTTACAAATGAAGAAAACAAGGCCTGGGTTTCTTGCCTAAGGTTACATGGCTAGTAAATGATGGAGCTGGAATTACATGATGGAGGTGGAATGAGCCCAAGTCGCCTGACTCCAAAGTGGTCCTCTGTCTTTCTTTTTTTTTTCTTTTTTGATACGGAGTCTCACTCTGTCACCCAGTCTGGAGTACAGTGGTGCGATCTTGGCTCACTGCAACCTCCACCTCCCAGCTTCAAGCGATTCTCCTGTCTCAGCCTCCGAGTAGCTGGGACTACAAGGCTCATGCCACCATGCCCGGCTAATTTTTGTATTTTTAGTAGAGATAGGGTTTCCCCATATTGGCCAGGGGCTGGTCTCGAACTCCTGACCTCTGGTGATCCACCTGACTCGACCTACCAAAGTGCTGGGATTACAGGCGTGAGCCAAGGCACCCGGCCAAAAACTGATGTTCTTCATCACTACACTCTTCAGTCTCTTACAGCTCTTTGTGCTTTCTCCTGTAAGACCACACACAGCCTAACCCTTGTCGCAATAATTGAAAACTACATGCCCTGGAAGTTAAGAGACCGGCTTTATTCCGCCACTCCAGAGCACGTAACGCGGCGCCAGAACTCAAGAATACATTCAGTCGTTATTTGTTGAACTGAATGGCATAGTTAGGAATGGCTTTACCGGATTTTCAGTGGATAACTGGGTAGAAGCTGTGCGCCCCAGTCTTTCTGAAACCTGTGATCACACTTCGGGCACTGTCCCCTCTACAGTCAATCTGTGTTTTCAGAAGTGGCCCCAGGTTCACTCGTCTTACAGCAGTCCTAAAGAGCCGGCTGCCCTTTCCCTAGGCTTCCTTGCTCTTGAGGGCTAAATTCCAGCCCTCCTACCCCAGTGCCACTTGGGTAAAAATACTCTGCTCCTCTCACGTTTGCTAATAAGCCCGGGCTCCGACTACCACCGTTCGGGGGAAGGGAGCCCCTTACCGTCATTGCTGGGTCCGCTCCGCGGAAACATGTGCCGGACCTGACTTGTGCGCCGCCATCTTCCCGGAAATGCCGTTTTGTTCCTTCTAGGCTGTCGAAACCATAGAGACGTCCGCGGGAACCAAAATCACGGTTTTTCCAGGAGAAACCATTGCGGAGCCCAATTTGCCGGTATGGTTGCCATAGAAACTGGGACCTGGAGCGTGCCCATTTTCGGAGGTTCCGAGGCTGTTCCACTTGCCTCATCCCTGCAATCCTTGAGCAGCCAAGGGACTTCAGTACTAACTGGCCCTCTCAGGATGCCAAGAACGGCTCCGCGTCCTACACTGAGCTAGTCCCGGGCGCAAATACGAGGAAGGAAAACTCCAGGGAAGCATTGAGAGTAGCCTGAGAAATTCGTGGAGGCAGAGTAGGTGATAGCTGTGTCCTGATTTTTCAGGGTTGAATACTCATGAATACTCAGCCTTCACAGGAACAGTTATTTATGAAAGCCTAGAGACTAGACATCTCAATAGGTTCATCAAGCACTTTTTTTTTTTTTCTGAGACAGGGTCTCGCTCTGTTGCCCAGACTTGAGGGCAGTGGCGCGATATCGACTCACTCACTGTAACCTCCGCCTCCTGGGCTCAAGTGATCCTCCCATCTCAGCCTCGTGAGTATCTGGTACCACAGTCATGCACCGCCACGCCTGGCTAATTTCTGTATTTTTTTTGTAGAGAAGGGGTCTTGCCATGTTGTACAGGCTGGTCTCCAATCCCTGGCCTTAAGTGATATGCACACCTCGGCTTCCCAAAGTGTTGGGATTACAGGCGTAAGCCACCGTGACCGGCCTCATCAAACACTTTTTGACTCACCATTGTGTGCCAGAACTTGTCCCTTTGGTACTGGGGGATAAAAAGACGCATAAGACACAGGTCTTGATTTAGGGGAACACCCAGTCTAGCCTGGGAAACTTGGGACCTTGAGTGGGATTAGATGGAGGACATGCCAGTGGGACTTGGAGAAAGATACAGGATGGGTGAGACGCGGTGGCTCATGCCTGTAATCCCAGCACTTTGGGAGGCCAAGACAGGCAGATAGCTTGAGCCCAGAAGTTCAAGACCAGCCTGGGCAAAATGGCGAGACACCGACTAAAAATACCAAAAAAAAAAAAAAAAAAAAAAAAAAGCCGGGCATGGTGGTGCACGCCTGTGGGTCCCAGCTACTGAGGTGGGAGGATCCCTTCAGCCCGCTGTGGGAGTGAGGGGAGGGCGGAGGTTGCAGTGAGCCAGAAAAAAAAAAAGCAGGATCCCAGAATGCATGCCAGGCTGAGGAGTTTGGACTTGCCCTGTCGGTATGAGGATGTATTGAGCAAAGGAGGGAAAGAAGATACAGCAAAAGGGACTGCACATGCCCCTACCCCTGCAAGCTGTTCCTTGGCCTCACTGAGCCACCCAAGAACTAAAACCCGAGAAAAGTATCCTTTTCTGCCTCCCCATATCGGTATTTCCGTTGACTTAGCGCCCCCTAGAAACTTCCAAACAGAAAAATCGCCATTTCACAGGAGAGCCTTGTCATAATTGCCCTGTATGTCATACCCATTCATCCCCATAATTTTTTCCATAAAATTAATTTTACTTTCAAAACATGCTACATGGGGACAATACTTTAAACGATCGATCTTAATTACTGGAATTTTAGACACTTGCAGAAGGGATGTGGGATGCTTCAAAGGCATTCCTTAGAGATGGATTCAACAGAGAAACATTTTGTGGAGAGACATCTGACTCCTTTTCCCATTCTGCCACTCATTGTGTGACCTTGAACAATTTTTTTTTTTTTTGAGATGGGGTTTCCCTGTGTTTCCCAGGCTGGCCTTGGACTCCTGGGCTCAAATGATCCTCCTGCCTCAGCCTCCCAAGTAGCTGGGAGTACGGGTGCATGCCACTGTGCCGGGGCAAACTTGAGTTTCGCTGCAGTGTCCTGCAGCCACTGAGAAAATTCCACAGACAGGGCTTCAATTTCCACCCACCCCCACCTCTCCATCTCTTCTACCCCTTCTATCTAAAATATATGTGTGTGTGTATTATATACAAAATTGTATGTTATATAGAATATTTCATATATGTGTGTATGTATGTACATATACATATACAGGTATATATATGAAATATATAAGAAGTTTTAAAATTCCGAATGAGGTAACCCTCAAGGACCCTTTCCAACTTAGAGTTTTAGTGTGATGCACTTTGCCAGCCACTCCCAAAACTTAATGGCCATAAATCTTTGAATCAAGATTCCTAGTCTGGCCTAAGTCTTTGAGCTCACTGTTGTGCCTGATTCACTCATTCAATAAATATTTATTAAAGGTCTCCTATATACTAAGGGCTAGAGGTATAAAAAGGTCCATCTCTTGTCCTGTTAGGCCTCACGATCTTGTGGGGGTTTAAACTAGTTACCAGGCATTTATATCATTGAGTAATAAGAGTTATGGCAAGGTCAGGACACAGTGCTATGGGGATAAGATGAGAAGCATCTGACCCAGTCTGAGACCCCTGGGAGCTTCTTGAAGAAGTCACTGAGGCTGCAGCCTGTCCCTGGGGGCTATGAGAGATCACAAGAGAAATGGGTCTCAAGGAGTTCGCAGTTTAATGGGGTCTCATACCTCCTCACAAGGGTAGAAACAAAGGCCATTATGAGAGAAAAAGAATACATGAATACTTATAAGGAAATGGCCTGAAATGCAGATAACAAGATGCATAGAAATATTTATTACAGTAATATTTATAAAATGGAAAAATTGGAAAGAATCAAAATATCTCACAACAGGAGAAAGTCTACATAAATTACAGTGTAAACATACAATGGACTAATGTGTAGTCTTCAACAATGATGTTGAAGAATTCTTTTTTTTTTCTTTTTTTTTTTGAGACAGAGTCTCTATCGCCAGGCTGGAGTGCAGTGGCACGATCTTGGTTCACTGCAACCTCCACCTCCTAGGTTCAAGCGATTCTGCCTCAGCCACCTGAGTAGCTGGGACTACAGGTGCGTGCCACCACGCCCAGCTAATTTTTGTATTTTCAGTAGAGATGGGGTTTCACCATGTTGGCCAGGATGGTCTCGATCTCTTGACCTCATGATCTGCCTGCCTTGGCCTCCCAAAGTACTGGGATTAAAGGCGGAGCCACCGTGCCCGGCCAAAGAATTCTTAATAGCTTGGGTACATGTCTGTGATATAATTGAAATGAAAAAAGAAGATACAAAATGTTACCTACAGTAAGAACCTATCTATGTTAAAAATTCATAGGCAATAGGATCAAAAGTAATAAAATACTTAGGAATACATTTAACAAAAGATGTGCAAGCTTTATACATTGAAGCTACAAAACCTCATTGAAAGAAATTAGGAAGAGCTAAATAAATGGAAAGATACCCTGTGTTCATGGAATAGAAGACAATATTGTTAAGATGACAATACTCTCCAAATTGATCTATAAATTCAACACAATCTCTATAAAAAATCCCAGCTGGCTTTTTTTTTTTTTTGCATAAATCAACAAGTCCATCCTAGAAGTCATATAGAAATGCAAAGGACCAGCTGGGAGCAGTGGCTCACACCTGTAATCCCAGCACTTTGGGAGGCCGAGGTGGGAGGATCATTTGAGGTCAGGAGTTCGAGACCAGCCTGGCCAATATGGTGAAACCCCGTCTCTACTAAAACTACAAAAATTAACCAGGTGTGGTAGCACGAATCTGTAATACCAGCTATTTGGGAGGCTGAGGCACGAGGATCGCTTGAACCTGGGAAGTGGAGGTTGCAGTGAGCCGAGATCACACCACTGCACTCCAGCCTGTACGATAGGGTGAGACTCCGTCTGAAAAAGAAAAAAAAAGAGAGAGAAAAGAAAAGAATAGAAATGTAGGCCGGGCATGGTGGCTCACGCCTGTAATCCTAGCACTTTGCGAGGCCGACATGGTCAGATTACCTGAGGTTGGGAGTTCAAGACCAGCCTGGCTAACATGGTGAAACCCTGTCTCTAATAAAAAAAAAAAATACAAAAAATTAGCCGGGTGCAGTGACGTGCACCTGTAATCCCAGCTACTCTGGAGGCTGGGCAGGAGAATCTCTTGAACCCGGGAGGCAGAGTTTTTGGTGAGCTGAGATCATGCCACTGCACTCCAGCCTGGGCTACAGAGCGAGACTTGGTCTCAAAAAAAAAAAAAAAAAAAAAAAGCAAAGGGCCCAGAATAGCCATAACAATCTTTAAAAGGAAGAAAGTTGTAGGACTTACACTTCCTGATTTCAAAACTTACTACAAAGCTACAGACTGTGGGGTTTTCAAAGAGGATAGACATATAGATCAATGTAATGGAATTGAGAATCCAGAAATAAACCCATACGCTTATGGGCAATTGATTTTGCACGAGAGTGCCAAAACAGTTCAATGGAGAAAGAATAGTCTTTTCAACAAATGGTGTTGGCCGGGCATGGTGGCTCAAGCCTATAATCCCAGCATTTTGGGAGGCCAAGGCAGGAGGATCACTTGAGCTCAGGAGTTTGAGACTAGCCTGGGCAACATAGTGAGACATCGTCTCTACTAAAAATAAAAATTAGGCTGGGCATGGTGGCTCACGCCTGTAATCCTAACACTTCGGGAGGCCAAGGTGGGTGGATCACCTGAGGTCAGGAGTTCGAGACCAGCCTGGCCAACATGGCGAAATCCCGTCTTAGCCAGCATGGTGGCAGGCGCCTATAATCCCAGCTACTCAGGAGGCAGAGGCCAGAGAATCGCTTGAACCCGGGAGGCGGAGGTTGCAGTGAGCCAAGACTGCGCCACTTCACTCCAGCCTGGGCAAAACAGCGAAACTCCATCTCAAAAAAAAAATTAAAAATTAAAATTAAAAATTAACTGAATGTGGCGGCCCACGCCCATAGTCCCAGCTACTTGGGAGGCTGAGGTGGGAGAATTGCTTGGAGCCTGAGCTGTGGTTGTGCCACTGTGCTTCAGCTTGGGTGACAGAGTGAGACTCTGTCTAAAAAAAAAAAAAAAAAAAAAAAAGGAAAGAATCCTGTGAAGTCAATTTAGCATGAAGCCCTCCACTTTTTTTTTTTTTGACAGAGTTTTTCTGTGTTGCTCAGGCTGGAGTGCAGTGGCGTGATCATGGCTCCCTGAAGCCTCAATCTCCTGGACTCAAGCAATCCTCTCACCTCAGCCTCCCAAGTAGCTGGGGCCACAGGAGTGGCACACCATACCTGGCTAATTTTTGTATTTTTTGTAGAGACAGGGTTTCACCATGTTGCCCAGACTGGCCTCCAACTCCTGGGCTCAAGCATTCCTCCTGCCTCGGCCTCCCAAAGTGCTGGGATTACAGGAGTGAGCCACCGCGCCCAGCCTAAGCCCCCTTCTCTTGATACCTGATCACCCTTGATATCTGATCAGGTTCCTCATCCTTCACCATCCATCAGGTGATATCTGATTACCTCAGCCTGTCTTTGGCAAGAATCTTGTAAGGTTTTAATGCAAATCCCCTTTACCCCTGGTGTTTTTTCATAATAATTTCCCATCTCCTAACCCCCACCCTGCACCTCAGTTATAAATTCCTCAGTTATACTTCCCATGCTGTATTGAGAGTTGAGCCCAATTTCTCTTTCTCCCCCACTGCAAAATCCCATTGTCATGGTCCCTATACCTATCACAATGGTCCTGAATAAAGTCTGCCTTACCATGCTTTGACAAGTGTCATCGAATAATTTTTTTCTTTAACAAGATATTTTCCCTTCATTTAAAATTGTCTACAATTAATGTATTATTTTTTCAGGAAAGTGATTTTAAAATAACAAATGGTTTTGGGAGGCCGAGGTGGGTGAAAGACCTGAGGTCAGGAGTTCAAGACCAGCCTGGCCAACATGGCAAAACCCCATCTCTACTAAAAATACAAAAATTAGCCAGGCATGGTGGCACGCACCTGTAATCCCAGCCACTCGGGAGGCTGAGGCAGGGGAATCGCTTGAACTCAGGAGGTGGAGGTTGTAGTGAGCCGAGATTGTGACACTGCACTCCAGTCTGGGTGACAGAGCAAGACTCTGTCTCAAAAAAAAAAGAGAAATGGTTACAAATGAGAGCCCCTGAGTGCTGAGGGAGGTGGGGCAGAGGTGAGGTGCATATGACTGGCCCCAGGGGAAGACCTTCAGGAGGAAGTATGTGTGGTCCCTGAGACTGACTACCAAACCTTGAATGCCTCTCTAAATTCCTGGAGCAGAATTGAATCCTAAAAATTAAGGCACTGTGTTATTTTTCTATACTGGGTTTAAATCTACACATAGTGTTATAAAAGTCAGGCCAAGCCAGCATCTCCCCATGATTCATAAACTAGTACACAATTTATCTTCCTCCACTTCTTCCCAGTTATTTTTTCTGTCAGTAAACCCTGAGACTGAGGAAAGAGAAAATATGTTGTGGTTGCAATGAGTGTGGGATTTTTAAAAAAAATCTATATAGCAAATACTGGCAATGCTTACCTATTCGAATATTATTCACTTTTCTTTCTGTTGAGGAAAAAAAAAAGGTGAGCCTGTGTCTCACAGGATTCAATCCTTAGCCTAGGCAGGTTCTAATTTTCTGACTTCATTAACCCTTTGAGTTCATGATAATAAAGATATTATGATCCCTTGCCAACAGTACTTTACTATTTAAAATAATTTTCACACGGTGGTTTACAGTTTAGAATATCATGTTCACAAACATTACCATATTTGAGTCTCACTGTAATATTGCCCAGATTTGTGCTTACCTACAAATAGGGGCCGACAGAGCACAGAGAGAGATGGAATGAGACGTGCTCTCAGCACTATCACTGCTGCTCTCTGATGCCATCTAGTGCAGGTTCAGCTGAACACTTATTTCTATTTAAAGCCCTATTGCCATCTGCCCCTTGGTGTCATCATTCTCTCCGATCTGGATGAAGCCCTGTCTCTGACCTGCATCCCTGTCCCTCTGGGTCTTGTCTCTGCCTTTCCCTGGCCTCATTGTCTCCTTTAAAACCTTCAGTGTGTGTAAATGCTGGTCATGGTGTAGGTGAAGGATGCCAAGAAGGGAGGCAGGGTATAGCAGGGCCCTTTTCTTTTCTTTTCTTTCCTTTCTTTCTTCCTTCCTTTCCTTACTTTTTTTTTTAAAGACAGAGTCGCACTCTGTCACCCAGGCTGGAGTGCAGTGACATGATCTTAGCTCACTGCAACCTCCGCTACCCAGGTTCAAGTGATTCTTCTGCCTCAGCCTCCCGAGCAGCTGGGATTATAGGTGTCTACCACCACACTTGGCTAATTTTTGTGTTTTTAGTAGAGACGGGGTTTCACCATCTTGGCCAGGCTGATCTTGAACTCTTGACCTCGTGATCCACCCGCCCTCTTTCTTTTGCAGTGCTTGCTGCGCTTCTAGAGTTCTCCTAGAGGGTGCAGGTTTCAAGGTAGCAGACACACCCATTTGGGTTGCTTTTTTATGTTTTTCATACGACATATTTCCAGATACATCAGTAAAGATGCTGTGGAAAAATTTCTGAAAGGGGCAGTATAGAAAACACCAACACCAGTGGGAGTAGAGCTGGGAAGGAGGACCGTGATGGTAAGAACACCAAGGAATCCCAGCCTTATTCATTCTCCCTTCGAACAAGAGCTTAGCTGAACACAGGAAAAACAGAGGTCTGAAGCGCTGAGTCTGAAGGATGCCCCCAGAGCTTTGAGGGCTCTGCTGTAGCATCTTTATCTTTGAGCATCCTCCACCACGGACACCTGGTGATCCCCTAAACATGCACAGGACCTGAGCCAGGTGCAGCGCCCAGAACGCTGCAGGGGCCCTCAGCACTGGGGATACAGCCTTCCTGCCCCACCTGCTGGCTCTCTGCCTTATTACATGTTACCATTTCAATCATGGCTAAATATATTCATACACATCTTATATGAATGTATATAAATGCCTTGAAAGATTGCAAAGACAACAAAAGATTAAAAGTCATTTTCTCTATGTGGTAGGATTAAGGGGGCTTTTCACTTTTTAATGTTGTTATGTTTGTTAAATTATCTACAATTAAGTGCATCATTGTGTAATCAGTAAAAAATTAATCCAAGTAGTCTTCCAATTAAAAAATTATTATTCTATGATTCATCCTGGCATTTTGATGGCCTTATTTTTACATTTATATTTTTGAGCCTTCTGGATTTTAGTTTAAGGACAGTTATAGATCTGCTGTTTTCTTTTTCCAGATAACTAGTTGTTGCGACCTTTAGCAACCTAAATGTCCATCAATAGGCATCTCATTAAATAAATTATGCTCCATACGGACACAAATAAAGGAACAATAGACACCAGGCCTACTTGAGGGAGGAGGGTGGGAGGAGGGTGAGGATTGAAAACCTACCTATCAGGTACTACGCTTACTACCTGGGTGACAAAATAATCTATACACCAAACCCCCACAACATGCAATTTTCCTATAGAACAAACCTGCACATGTACCCCTGAACATAAAATAAAAGTTAAAAAACAAATACAGGCTGGGCGCAGTGGCTCACGCCTGTAATCCCAGCACTTTGGGAGGTCGAGGTGGGCGGATCATGAGGTCAGGAGATGGAGACCGTCTTGACCAACATGGTGAAACCCCGTCTCTACTAAAATATAAAAAATTAGCTGGGTGTGGTGGCACGTGCCTGTAATCCCAGGTCCTTGGGAGGCTGAGGCAGTGAAATCGCTTGAACCCAGGAGGTGGAGGTTCCAATGAGCTGAGGTCGCACCACTGCACTTCAGCCTGGTGACAGAGCAAGACTCCATCTCAAAAAAACAAAAACAAACAAACAAATAATGCTACAGCCACCCACTGAAATACTATGCAGACATGAAAAATGAGAGAATTTGATGTCATGTGCTGATAGGACAAATGCTCACATCATATTATTCGGTGGAAAAGCAAAGTAGGAGGCCAGGCGCGGTGGCTTACGCCTGTAATCCCAGCACTTTGGGAGGCCAAGGCAGACGGATCACCTGAGGCCAGGAGTTCAAGACCAGCTTGACCAACATGGAGAAACCCCGTGTCTACTAAAAATACAAAAAAATTAGCCAGGCATGGTGGCGGGAGACTGTAATCCCAGCTACTCGGGAGGCTAAGGCAGGAGAATCGCTTGAACCAGGAAGGCGGAGGTTGCAGTGAGCCGAGATCGCGCCATTGCACTCCAGCCTGGGCAACAAGAGCAAAACTCCGTCTCAAAAAAAAAAAAGAAAAGAAAAAAAGAAAAGTAGGAAACGGTTTGTATATCATGATCTCAGGTTAGAATATATGTATGATGTATGTTTCCATTTATCTACCTTCCTGTAGATTCTTAAATATTTTTCTGGAAAGATACAGCAGAAGGCTAATAATGGTTCAGTTGTTCCTGGGGGCGGTGAGAAGAAAGAAAGAAAAAAGGAAAGGAAAATTTTACTTTTCATTTTATTCCTTTGATAGTGGTTGAATTATTTTTCAATATGTAATGATATTACTTTTGTTTCATAACAAACATAAAAATCATAAGTGGAACATGACTTTCATGTGTGTATGGATTTTATGTCCTCTTAAAAATTAGGTGGCCAAACATGGTGGCTCACACCTGTAATCCCAGCACTTTGGGAGGCCAAGGTGGGTGGGTCCCTTGAGCCTAGGAGTTTGAGAGCAGCCTGGGCAACCTGGTGAATCCCCATCTCTACAGAAAAATACAAAAATCAGCTAGGCATGGTGGTACACGCCTGTAATCCTAGCGACTCAGGAGGCTAAGGCGGGAGGATCAGAGAGGTCGAGGCTGCAGTGAGCTATGATCGCACCACTGCCCTCCAGCCTGGGCCAGAGTGAGACCCTAAAAAAAAAAAAAAAAGGCCAGGGGCAGTGGCTCACGTCTGTAATCCCAGCACTTTGGGAGGCCGAGGCAGGCAGATCCCTTGAGGTCAGGAGTTCAAGACCAGCCTGGCCAACATGGGGAAACCCTGTCTCTACTAAAAATACAAAAAATAGCCAGGCGTGGTCATGCGCGCCTGTAATCCCAGCTACTTGGGAGGCTGAGGCACTAGAATCACTTGAACCTGGGAAGTGGAAGTTGCAGTGAGCTGAGATCGTGCCATTGCACTTCAGCCTGGGCAACAAGAGCGAAACTCTATCTCAAAAACAAAAAACAAAAAAACAAAAAAACCCCTAAAACTTAAAGTATAATAATAAACAAACAAACAAACAAAAAAACCAGGTGATCCCTTCAATCAATCAGTAGCTGTCTGTGTTTTGATTGATTCTGTTCCCTTTGAAACTTCTTCCCCTACCAGTGATAATGCCTAAAATGTATTGATTACTTTCTATGAGCCAAGCACTGTTCTGCTTATCAATGCTGTAGTTATCTAATATTCCTTCGTTAGTAGGTAGCAGGGCTGAGATTTATGCTTAGACTTTCAACCCAGAGGATATGGAACTTTTTTGTTAGTTTGTTTTGTGCACAGGGAAAGAAGGAACAGAGCCTGTGGAACTTAACCCCTACTCCATACTGCCTTTTTGTTAAACTTGCAGAAATTGGAAGAAAACTTCAATTTTATTTATTTATTCAGAAAATATCTTCTGGGTTTTTGTTTTGTTTTGCTTTTTTGAGACGGAGTTTTGTTCTGTTGCCCAGGACAGAGTGCAGTGGCGTGATCTCACTTCAAGCTCACTTCAAGCTCCGCCTCCAGGGTTCAAGCAATTTTCTTGCTTCTGCCTCCCCAGTAGCTGGGATTACATGTGCCCACTACCATGCTCAGCTAATTTTTGTATTTTTAGTAGAGACGGGGTTTCACCATGTTGGCCAGGCTGGTCTTGAACTCCCAACCTCAGGTGATCCACCCGCTTCTGCCTTCCAAAGTACTAGGATTACAGGTGTGAGCCACCGCGCCCGCCAGTAAACATTTTCTGAATGTCTGGTATATCCAGGTGAAGCTGTTAAGTTGCTTCTTCCTTTTGTTTGGATATTTTTTTTGGAGGGAGGAGTGGTCCCACTCTGTCTTCCAGAGTGGAGGGCAGTGGCTAAATCATAGCTTACTGCAGCTTTAAACTCCTGGGTTCAAGCAATTCTCCTGCCTCAGCCTCCCAAGTATTTGGGACCACAAGCACATGCCACTGCTCCTGGCTCCTGTTTCTTGCTTCTGTTAAGGAAAGCTTCCCGGAGGAAGCACAAATGGGTGAACCTAAAGTCTCTTTGATGTTGCTAGTGGGACTGAGGAGCAGGAAATGGTGGCTCACGGGAGCAGCAAACACTAAAGCTGTCCTTAGCTACGCGAAGGACTTGCAGAGGAGTCTTGCTGATAATGGCCACTTCATCTTGGAGTTCATAGCTGGTTCCTTGCATGCTGGAGATACAAAGTGGTCCTACCCTTCCAAGAGTTTCAGCTTCCTAAAAACTCTTGCAGTAATTCTGCCAGTGGATTTATTATTAAAGGGAAGCGGAGGGTGCTAGTGTGTTGCCCTCAATAAAGGGAAGTTGAGAAGTGGAAAAACACAATTCTCAAACTTTTTTGTTATTCATTAACTCATGTCATCATTTTATTGAACTCATTAATGAGAGAACCAATAAGGAGACAAAAGAGCTGCTTTGAGGAGGATTTGAGAAACAGGAATTTAAACAGTCAATAAGAAAAGAATTGTCAGGCCAGGCATGGTGGCTCACGCCTGTAATCCCAGCACTTTGGGAGGCCGAGGCAGGCGGATTGTGAGGTCAGGAGATCGAGACCAGCCTGGCCAACATGGCGAAACCCTGTCTCTACTAAAAATACAAAAAAATTAGCTGAGCGTGGTGGTGCACACCTGTAATCCCAGCTACTCAGGAGGCCGAGGCAGGAGAATGGCTTGAACCCGGGAGGCAGAGGTTGCAGTGAGACAAGATCGCACCACTGCACTCCAGTCTGGGCGACAGAGTGGGACTCCGTCTCAAAAAAAAGAAAAGAATGTCAAAATTAGATTGATAATTTAGATATAGGACTGGCTAACTTTCTAGCACAGTAAAACCAAAACCCCTTTGTGATTAACTTCTCAATTGGGCAATAAAACCCTATCATTGTATCAAGTTCTGCAGGTTAGCCTTTACCCAACAGGACTATAAATGTCTGTGCATTTGTAAGTTGTAGATTATTTATCAAATGTACTGTGACAACAAAGTCACATTCCCTGGGAGAGTCAGATGAGTGTCAAGCAAACTTATTAGAAAATGCTCTAGACCAGGTGTGGTGGCTCATGTCTGTAATCCCAACAATTTGGGAGGCCAAGGCGGGTAGATCACTTGAGGTCAGAAGTTCGAGATCAGCCTGGCCAACATGGTGAAGCCCCGTCTCTATTAAAAATACAAAAAATTAGCTTGGTGTGGTGGCTCACGCCTGTAACCCTAGCTACTTGGGAGGCTGAGACAGGAGAATCACTTGATCCCAGGAAGCAGAGGTTGCATTGAGCCAAGATCATGCCACTGCACTTCAGCCTGGGTGACAGAGTGAGATTCCTTCTCAAAAAAAAAAAAAAAAGAAGAAAAGAAAAAAGAAAAAAAAGAAAAAATGCTCTAGTGTGATATATAAAAAAATCCTCAATTTTACCATTTCCAAGTTTCAAGAAATTATTCTTTCACAGCAAAGAAGAACTCATCTAGCTTTAGAGATAGGCTACCTGGGTTACTTAGTAAGTATATGAACTTGAACAAGTTACTAGCTTACTAACCCTTTCTGAACATCACTTTCCTGGTCTATAAAATGGGAATAATAATACTGTGATAGAGTTTATTTCTCCCATGTGAAAGAACATACAGCTATAAGTTGGGGTTCACTTTTTTTTTTTTTTTGAGACAGAGTCTCACTCTGTCACCAGGCTGGAGTGCAGTGGTGCAATCTCAGCTCACTGCAACCTCCGTCTCCCTGGTTCAAGCGATTCTCCTGCCTCAGCCTCCCGAGTAGCTGGGATCACAGGCACGCGCCACCACACCCAGCTAATTTTTGTAATTTTAGTAGAGATGGATTTCACCATGATGGCCAGGATGGTCTCAATCTCCTGACCTCGTGATTCACCCGCCTCAGCCTCCCAAAGTGCTGGGATTACAGGTGTGAACACGGCACCCAGCCAGAGTTCACTTTTTCAAATTATTCCAATCCTGGTCTGAGAATGGTTGATTAATACGTGTAGATCTTACTTCTGGGTTTGTTTGACCAATATGAGATTGGGAGTGAGAATCTGTACAAACTGAAGCCAGACCCCACCTAGACTGGCCAGAATCAGAAGACAAGCCAGGGATTTGAGAAGCCACGCTTTGAGGCCTGGGAAAATAAGATGGGCTAAGAAAATAAACAGTCAAGATTTTGAGATATTTATTTGGAGGGATAGCTGAGCAAAAATACAGTTTAAACGGTCCACTTGAATATCAGCAGTGAATTGACCATTATAAACAGAATGACAAGTGACATGATTATTAATAAGTAAAATCTAATTTTACATCTTGGTAACTTTGCAAACAGCTTCTTGACATTTGCCTTTTACTGTTCCTTGTGCTTTCCATTATTTCACTTTATCCTTATCCACCTCTGAGATGGGCAGAAGAGGTACTATTTTGTTTGACTGAGAACTTCATACAGTCAGGAGCTTCATACAATCATTTGCTTCTGTGTCTCTGCAGACTGAGGCCCTTTAGAAAGTAATTTAAATAGAATTGAGTTTCCATTGTGCAGATGAAGTAACAGGCCCAGCAGCGAAGCCTGGGCCTGTGTCACCTAAGGTGACACTGTGGCAGAACTGTAACTAGAACCCAAGCCTCCTGTCCTCTACTAGAAGGTCTCCTATGCCCAGCAGCTGTAAAGGTTTGTACTGCAGAGTTCTACCTTGCACGCTCTGGGGAGTAAGCCTTGCATACTTCAGGCCTCTATATATGGCCAGGAGTGGAGTCTAGGAGAGCGTCCAAATAAAGCACCAGGCTGAGTTCAATGTTGCTGCCTTTTGGCCCTGGAGAAATGCTGGAAAGCCAGGCATGGGGGTGCCCGCCTGTACTCCCAGCTAATCAGGAGGATGAGGCAGGAGAATCACTTGAACCCAGAAGTTTGAGGCTGCAGTGAGCAATGATCACACCACTGTACTGCAGTTCTGAGTCACAGAGACAGATCCCATCTCACTCTCTCTCTCTCTCTTTTTTTTTTTTTTTTCAGACAGAATCTTGGTCTATCGCCCAGGCTGGAGTGCAGTGGTGCGATCTCAGCTCACTGCGACCTCCGCCTCCTGGGTTCAAGTGATTCTCCTGCCTCAGCCTCCCAAGTAGCTGGGACTACAGGCACGCATCATCATGCCCGGCTAACTTTTTGTATTTTTAGTAGAGATGGGGTTTCACCATGCTGGCCAGGCTGGTCTTGAACTCATGACCTTGTGATCCGCCCACCTCGGCCTCCCAAAGTGCTGGGATTACAGGCATTAGCCACCGTGCCCAGCCAAATCCCATCCCTTAAAAAAATTTTTAGAGATCCTATCTCTTAAAAAAATTTTTAGAGATCCCATCTGTTAAAAAAAATTATTAAAAAAATGTTGGAAAGAGAAAGACCAAAGAGAGCCATGCCTTTTAAAGTCCTCCCTAAAGTGTCATCTTGCCAGCCCTTCCAGTCATTCACACAACAATCCTAGTCATAAACTGGGGCCATGCTTGCCATCACCAGGGGTCAGGAAAACTGGCCAGCTGAACCTGCTTGGATGGTGGAAGCGAGTGTGGGTGTTAGAGAAGGAGATGTCGGGACTCCGTGCTTGTCTGGAATCACTCCACCACACTCTGGTCAGTAGGTATAGGACTGACAAAGCCCTTCCTCAGAGATGCTGGGTCAGTGAGGAGACCCCAGCTTGTCTCAGCCATCTCACCCCACTCCCATTTTAGCGTCTGGGGGGAAACTGAGAATGAAAGTGACCTTGAGTAAACTAAACACAGTTTGGCTATTCATTATATGTATTCCTGTCTGTTCCTTTCTCATTCTGTCCTCACTGGGTTGTTTTTGCATCTGTCAAATAGTTCTAGGCTTTCCTCCCCATCAAACTCAGCCTTTTATGGATTTACATACCAGAGACTTCCAAGCCACAGTTCAGAAGTGATTTGTGGAGAAAGGAACAGTAAATTTGTGGAGAAATGAGCCTGGGAATGGATGCAGTGGCCAGGCTGTGGAGCCATTTATATCTACTTCTCCCTCTGCCGGAGGCTGTTTGTTTGAGTTGGCAGGAAGCCAATCAGATGCACTGGATCAGGGTGTCCTGTCCAAGGAGACAGGGGGCTATTTGTCTTCTCTCATGAGAGAGACAGTCGTGGGAGGAGGAGGGAAGCGCTTAAGAACAGGGATGGAGTAGATAGGGAAAAGATAGTCAATCAGATCTCTCAAGAGTATAGTCGGCCGGGTGCAGTGGCTCATGCTTGTAATCCCAGCACTTTGGGAGGCCAAGGAGGGAGGGTCACTTGAGTCCAGGGGTTTGAGAGCAGCCTGGGCAAGATAGGGAGACCCTGTCTTTACAAATAATTTTTAAAAGTTAGCTGGGTGTGGTGGTGCACATCTGTGCACCAAGCTACCTGAGAGGCTGAGGTGGGAGGGATCGTTTGAACCTGGGAGGTCGAGGCTGCAGTGCGCCATGATCGTATCACTGCACTCCAGCCTGGGTGACAGAGTGAGACCCTGTTTCAAAAGAAAGAAAGAAAGAAAGAAAAGTATATTCAAGGTGAGCTTCCTATTATTAGATATGGCCCAAGTGAAAACCTGGAGCTTGTCTGAATTGGACAGCCAAGGAGAGAGGCAGAAGAGGATTAGTGGAAAAAGCAGAAACTTCTAGGCTTGACTCAATGACTGTATTGTGCGTGATTTGGGGCAAGCCACCTTCCTCTCCATCTCCTCCTCTAGTAAATGTTCAGCATCCTGAGGTCTCCAGTTCTGAAAGGGTATGGTTCTTTTTTTTTTTTTTTTTGAGATGGTGTCTCACTCTGTTGCCCAGGCTGGAGTGCAGTGGCACGATCTCAGCTCACTGCAACCTCCTCCTGGGTTCAAGCGATTTTCCCACCTCAAGCCTCCCGAGGAGCTGGGATTACAGGCGCACACCACCATGCCTGGCTAATTTTTGTATTTTTAGTAGAGACAGAGTTTCACCATGTTGGCCAGGCTGGTCTCGAACTCCTGACCTCAGGTGATCCGCCCACTTCGGCCTCCCAAAGTGTTGGGATTATAGGTGTGAGCCATAGTGCCCAGCCTCTTTTTTTTTTTTTTTTTAACTCACAGAACATGAAATTATATGGTTTTAATAATGCAAAGCTACTTCCATGGGGCTACAGCAGAGAGAAAATAAGGCTAAAATGGAACTTAAAGCTCAAAACATTTCTACATGGCTGTTTACAGGGGCAGGTGGAGGGAGTCCTCCCTCTGCATTAATAGAAAACAAAAACAATTGGGCCTATTCGGCATTGTTGGAAATGTTCTATGTCTTGATCTGGTGGGTTTTTACCTGTGTACAATATATGTACACACGTAAAAATTCATTTAGCTGTACACATAATTTCTATGACTTTTTTGTATGTAAATTATACCTCAATGGAAAGGTTTTAAAATGGACTTAATTAGGCCCAGCATGGTGGCTCACGCCTGTAATCCCAGCATTTGGGGAGGCTGAGGTGGGCGGATTGCTTGAGCCCAGGAGTTCAAGACCAGCCTGGGCAACATGATGAAACCTCATCTCTACAAAAAAATACAAAAATTATCTTGGCGTGGTGGCGCACGTCTGTAGTCCCAGATGCTCTGAAGGCTGAGGAAAGAGGAGGATGGCTTGAACCCGGGAGGCAGAGCAGAGGTAGCAGTGAGCCGAGACTGCGCCACTGCACTCCAGCCTGGGTGACAGAGCCAGACTCTGTCTCAAAAAAAAAAAAAAAAAAAAGTTAATTAGACGGGTGTGGTGGTGCGCGCCTGTAGTCCTAGATAATTTCGAGGCTAAGGGGGAAGATCTCTTGAGCCCAGGTGTTCGAGGCTGCAGTGAGCTATGATTGGGCCACTGCACTCCTACTTGGGCAACAGATAGAGGCCTTGTCTTAAAAAAAAAATTTTAAAAAGGCCGGGCACGGTGGCTCACGCCTGTAATCCCAGCACTTTGGGAGGCCGAGGCAGGCGGATCACCAGGTCAGGAGATCGAGACCATCCTGGTTAACACGGGGAAACCCCGTCTCTACTTAAAATACAAAAAATTAGCCGGGTGTGGTGGTGGGTGCCTGTAGTCCCAGCTACTTGGGAGGCTGAGGCAGAAGAATGGCATGAACCCGGGAGTCGGAGCTTGCAGTGAGCCAAGATCGTGCCACCGCACTCCAGCCTGAGCGACAGTGCGAGACTCCGTCTCAAAAAAAAAAAAAAAAAAAAAAAAAAGACTTGAGAGAAAGTGAATTTCCATCCAGGAAGATTAAGGATCCCCTTCTGAGTACTTTAAAAAGGTTATCTATTTGTGCTGAGGGAAGAGGTAGAATATTAGGGAACCAATAAGATAACTTCTCTTTTGGAGAGGTTTCCAAAGTCCTTCTGTCCTCAGAAATTCTCATGTTCCTCCCCAGGGACAGAAAAATCCTCCTTGCTGTCTAATCTCCATCTCTCCTATTGCAATGCTAGCCACTCCCTCTGCCCTCATGGAGCCCAGCCTTTCCCCTGGCCTCAGACAAAATCTCTTTAGAGCCCTGTAATTTGGAGTGTTGAGAGAGATTCCATTTCAACCTTTTCACCATCCGTTCTCTGCCCCTCACCCTATTCTCTTCTTCTTGGGGATGTCAATTCCTGTTCTGAGCCCGCCCCCCACCCAGGCCCTTTTCCGGTGGTATGTGCCAGCCGGTCCTGCATCCCACATCCCCAGCTGTTGACATTTCATTGCCATTACCCACAGAATAAAGAAAGGGGCCCTGTTATTCAACAATAGGGGAAAAGACAGAGACAATGGGAAATTGTGCTTCCGATGGGGTGGGGACTGAGAAGGAAAGGACAGACAGACAGACAGACAGGGGGTTGTACAGAAGAGGTCCGGTTTCTTGAAGCAGCTGGAAGTCCTGGATAGTTCCCACCTGAAAGTCTGTTTGCAAAGGCAATGCGCACTCAGGCACCAGAGGGCAGAGGTGAGTACTCTGTTGTGGGGAGAGGGGAGATGGGGATGCTGCTTAGATGAGGCGCATATGGAAAGGGAGGCAGCTCGAGCTTGGCAGTTATGGATCTTTGAGCCACATTTAGAGTTCATCCCCATCCCCATCAGTCCAACACCTTCATATCCACCGATCAATCTACACCTCTCTGGTTCAAAGGCATCGAGAAAAAATGAAGCACCTCACTTTCTGCACTCTTCCAGGTCATCATTCCTGGGTTGCTCCCTTTATTCCACTCCCCTTCATGGGTTCCCAGCCCTCATCCCAACCCCAGCATCTTCCCCTGGTCCCGGAATAGTGATTTCCACAGATATAGTCACAGGGCTGGACACAGGTCTCTTAACATGGCTTAGTGGACTGATGGGGGTGGGGGTCGTTCTTGGCACCTTGGCTTCTTCTTTGAGCACAGGACAGAAGCTTTTCCTCAAAGGTGCAAAAGGAGCAACTGTGTTGAACAGGGGCTCAAGTTCCAGGGTTTTAAGGTGCTTGGAACTCCCAGGAGCCTGGCAAACCTTCATCCAGAACCTCTTCCTCAAGCAAGACAAAAAGCTGCTAAGCACTGCTCCCTCCGTCTCTGTGAAGAGACCAGCTTCTAACAGGTAGGCAATGGGCTGCTGACTACTCTCATTTTCTGTAAGAGGTATGAAGAGCATGTGTGTGCACTGTTTTGAAATGCAGAAATATAGATTAGTGATTAAGCGCTTGAGCCTCACTGTCAGATCTGTATTCAAATCCCAGCAAACCCTTCCTCTTACTAGCTGTGTGACCTCATTTCCTAAAATAGGTGCACCTTGGTTTCAGCATGTGTACAGTAGGATTTATAATTGTTTCTGCCTCAGGATTGCTGGGAGGAGTAAATATAAAAATATACATGTAAAGTGCTTAGAGCAGTGTCAGGCACATTCAATTTTAAACGTGTTCATTTGAGCTATCATTATTGTTGGTCTCAGTCAATCTCAGTCCTCACGATCATTCTTACTTATCAAGTTCTCCTATAAAGAAGTGGTTCTCTTGCTCATGTTCGCATCCCAGATACTTTCACCTTTAACCACTGAGAAGTTTTCTATGCATAACCTCCGTTTCTCCTACTGCAAACTGGTCTTTGGTCCTCATTTGCAGAAAGATGGAGCTCCATTCTTTAGATTTCTGGCAACTTCTCAGGGTGCTTCCTCCATCTCCCCATTCCCCATCCCATCTTCCCATGAATCCTTAATGTAAGTTCATTAAACCATACACACTTATTTAGCACCTACTATGTACCAGAAACTATGCTGGGAACTGGAGATAACAGCTAACACATAGACAGCACTTATTACATTCCAGACACTATTTCAAGCATTTTGCGTATATCAATTTATTTATTCCTCACAACTACTCAGTGAGGTAGGTGTGCTATTATTCCCCACATTTCACTGATGAGGACACTGAGGCAGAGAGAGGTTAAGGAACTTGTGCATGATAATTAACTTATGCATAGTCATGCAATTAGGAAATAGAGTAGCCAGATTTGGAAAACGAATGCAGTGAAGTCAAGAAGTCTTCATTTTTTTTTTTTTTTTTTTTGAGACAAGGTCTTGCTCTATCCCCTAGGCTGGAGTGCAGTGGCACAATCTTGGCTCACTGCAGCCTCCACCTCCTGGTTTCAAGCGATTCTCCTGCCTCAGCCTCCCGAGTAGCTGGAATTACAGGTGCATGCCACCACGCCCAGCTGAATTTCGTATTTTTAGTAGAGACAGGGTTTCACCATGATGGCCAGGCTGGTCTTGAACTCCTAATCTCAAGTAATCCACCCGCCTCAGCCTTCCAGTGTTGGGATTACAGGTGTGACCCACTGTGCCTGGCCCAGTCCAATTTTTTTTTTTAAGGTCAGAGGGATAAGAATGATACAATAGGTGCTGGAGGCGATGGCTCACACCTGTAATCTCAGCATTTTGGGAGGCCAAGGAGCGTGGATCACCTGAGGTCCGGAGTTCTCAAGACCAGCCTGGCCAACATGGTGAAACCCTGTTTCTACTACAAATACAAAAATTAGCCCGGAGTGGTGGTGGGTGCCTGTAGTCCCAGCTACTCAGGAGAATCGCTTGAACCCGGGAGGTGGAGGTTGCAGTGAGCTGAGATGGTGCCATTGCACTCCAGCCTGGGCAACAAGAGTGAAACTCCCTCTCAGAAAAAAGAAAAAAAAAAAAAAAAAGAATGTTACAATAAAGGAGGAGCTGGGTGCAGTGGCTCAAACTTGGGAGGCTGAAGTGGGAGCATTGCTTGAGCCCAGGAATTGGGCAACCTAGTAAGACCCTGTATCTGATTAAAAAATTTTTTTTACCGGGAGGTGGAGCTTGCAGTGATCCAAGATCGTGCCACTGTGCTCCAGCCTGGGCAACAGAGCGAGACTCCATCTAGAAAAAAAAAACACAAAACAAATTTAAAGGGGGGAATAACTACAGTACTGAAATAGATAATTGCATTTGAAGTAGTTTTTAAAAATAACTTTATAATTTTATATTTTTTAACTTCATAATTTCTGTATCTATATGTGGATACATATTATGTTCAAATTCACACTGTTAAGTTTAGGTGCTAATAAAAGTACTTGTAAGACAAAAAAAGTCCTGGCTGGGTGTGGTGGCTCATGCTTGTAATCCCAGCATTCTGGGAGGCCAAGACAGATTACTTGAGCCCAGGAGTTCAAGACCAGCCTGGGCAACATTCTGAAACTCCATCTCTACAAAAAATAGAAAAGAAAAAAATTTAGTGGGGTTTCATGGTGTGCGCCTGTAGTCCCAGCTACTCAGGAGGCTGAGATGGGAGGATGGCTTGAGTCTGGGAGGGCGAGGCTGCAGTAAGCCATGATCATACCACTGCACTCCAGTCTGGGCGAGAGAGTAAAACCCTGTCTCAAAAAAAAAAAGGTCCGCAGTCCAGCAGATCACAGTGCACTACAGTGTGGCAAACTGGGGGTGGGTAAAGGTTTCCCAAAGGAGGTGAGGCCTGTGCGACCAATGCAGGCACAAAGGAAAGGAAATGAATGCAAACTTGGACTGTGTGGGAAACTGCCAGAAATCCAGCATGTCAGGGGAACAGTGCAGAGGCCAAAGTGGTTAAGAGGCGAGGCGGGGACCATGCTGGAGGTGCAGGGAGCAACTGGATTATAGACAGCCTTGGAAGCTGTGGTTATGAGATTGGATTTTATCCTCAGGGCAACTGGGAGTCACTTTCAAGCAGGAGAGTGACAAGGCCAGGCACGGTGGCTCACGCCTGCTGTAATCCCAGCACCAGCCTTGTCAACACAGCATGACCTTGTCTCTACTAAAAACTTAAAAAGAAACAATTAGCTGGGTGTGGTGGCACATGTCTGTAGTTCCAGCTACTCAGGAGGCTGAAATGGGAGGATCACCTGGAGCTGGAAGTTAGGGGCTGCAGTGAGCCATGATCATGCCACGGGACTCCAGCCTGGACCATGGAGCAACACTCTGTCTCAAAAAAATAAATAAATAAATAAATAAATAAATAAATAAATAAATAAAATAAAAAAGCAGGAGAGTGATAAGATCATTTTGACTCTGGCTTCAAGATGGAGAATGGGTGTTGGGAGAGGATAGAGACGAGCTGGCAGTCCAGATGGCAAGCTTGGGAAGTAGCACTTGTGATGAGGGGGACAGGTAGAGAAGATGCTAAATTAGTACCTGCAGGCTGAGAGGATGTGACAGAGGAAGAGAGGGAGAGGAAGGGGATTGCTACTGCCTTCTTCCCCTCATCACCTTCATTTTGTCACCAACCCCTTTTCTCTGCCCCAGTGGCTTCCAGCTGGACAGTCCCTTCTAGGATCTCTGATGGGAGTTCACCCACAACCCTGCTCTTCCCCACCCTTTTGCCCCAGTCCTAAGAACTGCCCACTCTTTGTGCCCTGCAGACGGTGCCGGGCTGACCCCCCATCATGCCAGGCTGGCTCACCCTCCCCACACTCTGCCGCTTCCTTCTTTGGGCCTTCACCATCTTCCACAAAGCCCAAGGAGACCCAGGTAAGACCCCAGCCCAGGCCAGAATCTGGGGGAGGCTTGGGGAGACTGCAAGGGTGGGGAAAGGGGAAAGGGCAGTTGTTGCAGGTACCCAGGGACTGAAAGTCATTGCTGAGAAGGCAATGGAGGAGAGGGTTGGGGGGCTCTGGAGAAAGCATTTGGGGAGCAGGGTCTGATGGGCACTTGGGGCAGTGAGGATTGGGGGTTCCTGCCACTGTGGCCCCCTCTGCCCAGCATCCCACCCGGGCCCCCACTACCTCCTGCCCCCCATCCACGAGGTCATTCACTCTCATCGTGGGGCCACGGCCACGCTGCCCTGCGTCCTGGGCACCACGCCTCCCAGCTACAAGGTGCGCTGGAGCAAGGTGGAGCCTGGGGAGCTCCGGGAAACGCTGATCCTCATCACCAACGGACTGCACGCCCGGGGGTATGGGCCCCTGGGAGGGCGCGCCAGGATGCGGAGGGGGCATCGACTAGACGCCTCCCTGGTCATCGCGGGCGTGCGCCTGGAGGACGAGGGCCGGTACCGCTGCGAGCTCATCAACGGCATCGAGGACGAGAGCGTGGCGCTGACCTTGAGCTTGGAGGGTGAGGCCCTTCCGCTCCCGCCCCATTCCTGTGTAGCAGCGGGTCCGCCTCGCCTGGGTCTCCCAGGGCTCCTTCCCAGTATCTCCTCCGCACCCCTGGGGACCCCAGCTCCCTCTCCCAGGCCGCGCCGCCCTTCCTCCCCCTCCGCTCCCATCCGCTGGCCCTCCCCAGGATCCCCGCCACCCCCTAGGTGTGGTGTTTCCGTACCAACCCAGCCGGGGCCGGTACCAGTTCAATTACTACGAGGCGAAGCAGGCGTGCGAGGAGCAGGACGGACGCCTGGCCACCTACTCCCAGCTCTACCAGGGTGAGCGGCCGAACCCAGCACTTCCCAAGCCCCGCGGAGCTGTCTCAGGGGCCCGAGAGAGGGCGCCAGGCGAGCTCAGTCTGGCTCCTGCCTATGACGCCTCTTATCCCCGACCTCCGCCGTCTCCCGCCAGCTTGGACCGAGGGTCTGGACTGGTGTAACGCGGGCTGGCTGCTCGAGGGCTCCGTGCGCTACCCTGTGCTCACCGCACGCGCCCCGTGCGGCGGCCGAGGCCGGCCCGGGATCCGCAGCTACGGACCCCGCGACCGGATGCGCGACCGCTACGACGCCTTCTGCTTCACCTCCGCGCTGGCGGGTGAGGCGCGGGACGAAGGCAGGGTCTTGGGGAGGGGTCTGAAAAATGTGGGGGACGAGGAGTGGACCTCAGCTTGAGATCAGGGCAGGGTCTCCGGGTCCCTCCAAGGCACCGCCCCCCCATCAGCCCGCCCGCCCGCCCAGGCTCCAGCTCACCTCTCCAAACCCTCCCTGCACTTTTGCCTCGATCCCCCAACTCCTCTTACCCAAGCTCGATCCAGCACCTCTGCGGTCCCGCACCCCAACTCCGCCTCCTGGGTGTCAGCCGCCCCTCTCCGCCCACCCTGCCCTCGGTCGGTGACCCGCTGTGGTCCCCAGGCCAAGTGTTCTTCGTGCCCGGGCGGCTGACGCTGTCTGAAGCCCACGCGGCGTGCCGGCGACGCGGCGCCGTGGTGGCCAAGGTTGGGCACCTCTACGCCGCCTGGAAGTTTTCGGGGCTAGACCAGTGCGACGGCGGCTGGCTGGCTGACGGCAGTGTGCGCTTCCCAATCACCACGCCGAGGCCGCGCTGCGGGGGGCTCCCGGATCCCGGAGTGCGCAGTTTCGGCTTCCCCAGGCCCCAACAGGCAGCCTATGGGACCTACTGCTACGCCGAGAATTAGGCGCCCACCGTGTCCCCTCCAGCGCGCGCGAAGAAGCTTGGGAGTCGTGGCGGGGGTCTCTCGCCACCCCTTTCCGGAGAGCCTCCCCTCCCTCCAGACCCGGAGCGGCCTCTCCAGACCTGCCTTCCCAGCCGGGGGCTGCGGGCCTCGGACCCCGGCTGGCCCGGCGGCGGGGAGGGGAGGCGGGGGCGCCTCCGGCGGCGAGATGCAGAGGTGACCCTCGGACCCGCTGCCGTTCGCGAACCCTAGCAGAGGACTCAGCCACCGCCGGGGGGAGGGTGAGGCGGCCGGGGGCATTAACTGACCTCTGAGTACAGCAATAAAATAACCTGGGGATCTTTTGTGTTGGGTGGAGCTGTAAGAGCTGCGAGGCGTGGAGGGGTGTGTGTGTGTGTGTGTGCACGCTCATGTCGGGGCTGATGACCCGGGATCCTGCGTGCCCACTGAGCACCTAAGACAGGGTAAGGGGCAGGGCTGTTGCTGTTAAGGGATGGGTCAGCGGAAGAGCGGGAGTGCGGCCGGAGGGCACCAATAGGCCAAGGGAGAGAGAGAAGTGGAGACGTAGTGGGCGCCTGGCCCAGGACCCACGCAGAACCCAGCATGTTGTTGCGCCAGGCGCCACGCGGGGGCGCCGCACACTCACCTAAGATTAGTTCAAATCTGCCAGGGGCGCCCCATGCCACCAGGCCCACCCTATGTGCCCCAGATAACAAATATAAGACAACTTAAACATATTTCAAAATGTGCAGGCTGCAGACCTCCCTGAAGCGTTTGCGGGGACTACTGTTAAAGATAGGAAAGTCATATTGTTGCTAGAATTGACAGGAAATTAACCTTGCGTAAGGCGGAGGCAAATACCAAACACCAGGGCCACCAAGGCAAATGGGGAACTGGACAAGTAACATTCTTAACCTGTGGCTAAAGGAAACATACTAGCAATTCAAGAGACAAATTCTAATGTTATTAATTCACTTTTCACATATATATTGGTGTGTATATACATAGGTTTCTAACTATACTACAAAAAAGCCTGAGCTAGATAATACTAATGAATGGGGCAAAGGGCACGAACACGCTAATGGTGCGTGATATATGTTGTAAAATTGATTTCCAAGGGGGTTCTTGCTATAATTGCTAAAGAAAATTCATCCCATGGAACATTATATAAGGGACAGAGAATGATAGAATGAACAGTCTTCAATAACCATCATGCAGCAAATGAGATATTTGTGCCATTTCCTAAACCTTGATTTTCTCATCTTGGCAAGGGATAATAATGTTTGTCTTTTGTGTTTGTTGTGAGAATCAGTTGAGGCATTGCATGTACTGGGTAGTACATGCCTGGTACACATAATAGGCACTCAAGTGGTACCTATAATAATTAATAATTATTGTGATTACAGTAATATGGCAACAATAGTAGTTTTTCAGCTTCTTATCAGGCAGCCTGAAGGGTTGGTTGTCGTATGGCACTATATTAGTCAAGATCAGGTAGATTATGCTGTGAAAACAACTCCCAAATCTCAGATAACAAATATAAGATGACTTAAACATATTTCAAAACGTGCAGCCTGCAGACCTCCCAGAAGTGTTTGCGCTATTAAGGATAGGAAAATCAGGCCCAGTGCGGTAGCTCATGCCTGTAATCCCAACACTTTGGGAGGCTGAGGTGGGCGGATCATTTGAGGTCAGGAGTTTGAGACCAGCCTGGCCAACATGGTGAAACCCCGTCTCTACTTTAAAAATATAAAAATTAGCCAGGCGTGGTGGCGGGTGCCTGTAATCCCAGCTACTTAGGAGGCTGAGGCAGGATAATTGCTTGAACTCAGGAGGCGGAGGCTGCAGTGAACAGAGATCGCACCACTGCACTCCAGCCTGGGCGACAGAGCGAGACTCCATCTCAAAAAAAAAAAAAAAAAAAAGATAGGAAACTCATACTGTGGCTTAAAATAACAAAGGTTTATTTCTCACTCAGGCTACACGTGCGTTGTGGTCAAAAAGGGAGTTCTTATTTTTGTCATTCAGGGACACAGGCTGATAGAGTAGCCACCATCTTGAATACTGTCAGTCACCACACTAGCAGGAAAAAATAATAAGAGCTCTGCAGGGTTTCACAAAGGCAATTAATAGCTTCCACCCAGAAGTGACACCTGTCCCTTCAGTTCACAACTCATTTGCCAGAACTAATCACATGGCCCCACCCAACCACAAGGGGGCAAGAAAGAGCAATCCTTCTTTGGCCTAGAAATAGGAAAACTGGAAATATTTGATGGACAGCATCAGTGTCCACCATAAGCACCAAGGAGAGCAGTCTAGACTCTCTCTTAGACATAGTGGTAGTCACCCAATCTTTTCTGGGTTTTCTAAGCTATTGCCTATGATGAAGTCAGAGCCCCAGAAAGCCAAGATACTGGACCCCAGCAGCTCAGCCAGCAGGAGGATGGCTTTTCTTCAGTGTAATGCCTTCAGCCTAAGGGCAAGAGACCATACAAGAAATGGTCACGGGCCAGGCGCAATGGCTCATGCCTGTAATCCCAGCACTTTGGGAGGCTGAGGCATTTGGGATCAGGAGTTTGGGACCAGCCTAGGCAACATGGCAAAACCTCATCTCTACAAAAAAATACAAAAATTAGCTGGGCTTGGTGGCACACTCCTGTTGTCCCGGCTACTCAGGAGGCTGAGGTGGGAAGATCGCTTTAGCCAAGGAGGTCAAGGCTGCAGTAAGCCAAGATCGCACCACTGCACTCCAGCCTGGGTGACAGAGCAGGACCCTGTCTCAAAAACAAAAGCAAACAAACAAACAAACAAACAAAACGGTGAAAAAGGCCATAAGAAGAGCTTTCCATTTGCTGCAAATCTCCATTTCTTCAATCACAAAACCACAGTACCACTCATTCCTACAACTACTCTGTATATTGCTATCAGCATTATTTCTTATTATAGAAAACTTTAAACATACACAAAAGTAAGGGCTGGGCGCGGTGGCTTACGCCTGTAATCCCAGCACTTTGGGAGGCCGAGGCGGGTGGATCACGAGGTCAGGAGATCGAGACCATCCTGGCTAACACGGTGAAGCCCCGTCTCTACTAAAAACACAAAAAATTAGCCAGGCGTGGTGGCGGGCGCCTGTAGTCCCAGCTACTCGGGAGGCTGAGGCAGGAGAATGGCGTGAACCTGGGAGACGGAGCTTGCAGTGAGCCGAGATCGCACCACTGCACTCCAGCCTGGGCGACAGAGCGAGACTCCATCTCAAAAAAAAAAAAAAAAGTAAGGAGAATAGTATGATGAACTACTCCATCACCTGGCTTGACCATTATCAAAATTCTGCCCTTCTTTTTTCATGGGTCCTCTCAGTCATGTTGGGTTTTACTGGAGTATTTGAAAGTAAATCCCAGATATCCTATCTTTTCACCTGTGAGACTCAATATGCATTTCTAACACACAATGACTTCTAAAAATAACCATAATTCCATTATCACACTTCCCCAACAAAATTAAACTAAACATTAGTCATCTAATATTTAGTTCATGATCATTTTTCCCTGAATGTCCAAAAAATAAAATTTTATAGTTGGTTTCCTCAAACCAGAATCCAATTAAGGTCTACAACGTTGCAATTGGTTAATTTGGGGGCTGAGGGAGTTAATTAATGCTTTTTTTTTTTAAGGGACAGGGTTTCACTATGTTTCCCAGGCTAGACTTTAATTCCTGGGTTCAAGTTATCCTCCTGCCTCAGCCTCCTAATTTTTTTTTTTTTTTTGAGACGGAATCTTGCTCTGTTGCCCAGGCTGGAGTGCAGTGGCCAATCTCGGCTCACTGCAAGCTCCACCTCCCAGGTTTATGCCATTCTTCTGCCTCAGCCTCCAGAGTAGCTGGGACTACAGGCGCCCGCCACCACGCCCAGCTAATTTTTTGTATTTTTAGTAAAGATGGGGTTTCACTGTGTTAGCCAGGCTGGTCTCGATCTCCTGACCTCGTGATCTGCCCGCCTCGGCCTCCCAAAGTGCTGGGATTACAGGCGTGAGCCACCGCACCCGGCCCGAGTAATTTTTTTTAAGTCTCTGTTAAGCTGCAATACTCCTGCCCCCTTCATTTTATCTATGCCATTGTATTTGTTTGTTTAAGAAACTAGGTCATTTTTTCCTGTCAAGTTTCTCACATTCTGGATTTGGCTGAGTGTACCCTTGCAAATGTCATTTAGCATGTTCCTTTGTCCCCTGTGATTATATTTAGAAGTTTGATTAAATTCAAGCAAGCACAGTGGCTCACGCCTGTAATCCCAGCACTTTGGGAGGCCGAGGTAGGTGGATCACCTGAGGTCAAGAGTTTGAGACCAGCCTAGCCAACATGGAGAAACCCCACCTCTACTAAAAGTACAAAAAATTAGCCGGGCATGGTGGTGGGTGCCTGTAATCCCAGCTACTCAGGAGGCTGAGGCAGGAGAATTGCTTGAACCCAGGATGTGGAGGTTTCAGTGAGCCAAGATCACGCCAATGCACTCCAGCCTGGGCAACTGAGTGAGACTCCACCTCAAAATAAATAAACAAACAAACAAATTCACATTCACTTTTTTCTGGAAACATTCCATAAGTGATACTGTATACTTCCTCTTTCATCACATCAGGAGGCACCTGGTGACTGGCGGTTCTACTTTCTTTTGTTTGTTTTTTTTGGTTTTTGAGATGGAGTCTTGCTCTGTCACCCACGCTGGAGTGCAGTGGCACGGTCTTGGCTCACTGCAACCTTTGCCTCTCAGGCTCAAGTGATCCTCCTGCTTCAGCCTCCTGAGTAGCTGGGATGACAGGCATGTGCTACCACACCCAGCTAGTTTTTTGTTTTGTTTTGTTTTGTTTTCATAGAGACAAGATTTCGCCATGTTGCCCAGGCTGGTCTCAAGCTCCTGGCCTCTAAACATCTTCCCGCCTTGGCCTCCCAAAGTGTTGGGATTACAGGTGTGAGCCACCACACCTGGGCCTTAATCTACTTTCAATGATGTTGAGATTGATCAGTAAATTCAGGCTGTCTGTCCATTAATTATAAGGTTATCCATTGTAGGTCGGGCGCAGTGGCTCACGCCTGTAATCCCAGCACTTTGGGAGGTCAAGGTGGGAGGATCACCTGAGGTCAGGAGTTTGATACCAGCCTGACCAACAAGGTAAAACCCTGTCTCTACAAAAAATAAAAAAATTAAAAAAATTAGCGGGGCGTGGTGGCAAGCACCTGTAGTCCCAGCTACTCGGGCGGCTGAGACAAGAGAATCGCTTGAATCTGGGAGGTGGAGGTTGCAGTGAGCTGAGATCACGCCATTGTACTCCAGACTGGGTGACAGAGTGAGACTCCATCTCAAAAATAAGTAAATAAATAAAAGGTTCTCCATTGTATTAGTTTCCGGTGTCTGCTGTAACAAATTACCACAAATTTTGTGTTTAAAGCAACAGACATTTATTCTCTTACCACAGAGACATTTATTCTCTACCAGCCAGAAGTCCAAAATCTACGTTTTCAATAGCACAGTGGTAAACAACAACAACAGCAACAACAAACAAAAACCTAGGTGTCAGCAGGGCTGCACTCCCTCTGGAGATTGTGGGCAGAACCCTTCCTTGCCTCTTCCAGCTTCTGGCGGCTTCTGTTCCTTGGCTTCCTTAGCCGCATCACTCCAATCTCTGCCTTTGTGGTCATGTACCCTCCTCCTCTTCATGAGTCTGTGTCTTTTCCTCTTCTATCTCTCATAAGGACACATGTCGTTGGATTTACCCCACCTAGCTAATCCAGGATGAACTCATTTCATGACCCTTAACTGAAGTTAAGGAATGAATTCATGTAATGAATTACATCGGCAAAGATCCTTTCCTCAAACAAGATAACATTCACAGTTTTCAGGGATTAGGCCGTGGACATATTATCTTTTTTTTTCTTTTTCTTTCTTTCTTCTTCTTTTTTTTTTTTTTTCTTTTTTGAGATGGAGTTTCGCTCTTATTGCCCAGGCTGGAGTGCAATGGCGCCATCTAGGCTCACCGCAACCTCCGCCTCCCGGGTTCAAGCAATTCTCCTGCCTCAGCCTCTCGAGTAGCTGGGATTATAGGCATGTGCCACCACACCGGCTAATTTTGTATTTTTAGTAGAGACAGGGTTTCTCCATGTTGGTCAGGCTGGTCTCCAACTCCTGACCTCAGGTGATCCTCCCGTCTCAGCCTCCCAAAGTGCTGGGATTACAGGTGTGAGCCACCGTGCCCAGCCTATGGACATATTTTCTAGTGGCCACCATTCGACCCTCTACACCTATCAACCTTTTATCTGATGGCACTGCTGATCATTGTCTAGATTCATTCATTCATTAAGAGTTGCAAAATGGAGATTGTCTAATTTTGTCATTCCTCCTTCTTCTTCTTTTTTTTTTTTTTTTTTGAGATGGAGTCTTGTTCTATCACCCAGGCTAGAGTAGAGGTGCAGTGGCTTGATCTCGGCTCACTGCAACCTCTTCCTCCTGGGCTCAAGTGATTCTCCTGCCTCAGCCTCCCTAGTAGCTGGGATTACAGGTGCGCACCACCATGCCCAGCTAATTTTTGTATTTTTAGTAGAGAAGGGGTTCCACCATGTTGGCCAGGCTGGTGTCGAACTCCTGACCTCAAGTGATCTGCCCGCCCCTGCATCCCAAAGTGCTGGGGTTACAGGCATGACCCGCTGCGCCAGGCCCACCTTCGTTTATTAGCTGTGAATCATCTGTAAGAAAAACTGCTCTCAATAACTGCTTTGTTACTCTGACATTTCACCCATTCAGGAAAGGTAGAATTAGTGCTTGATTATCTCGCATTTGTCTTAGGTGGGCTAAGAAGGATCTGCTTCCTAGAAGCAGATCTTGAGTCAGGAACAAAAGTAGTTTATTTGGTAAGTGATGCTAACAGGCACTGGGAGAGGAGTGGAGAAGTGGGACAGGAAAGGGAAGGGAGCCAGTTAGAGGCATGTATTAGAGCAGGTGGGCCAATGGGGATCAATCCTGCTGAGGAACCTGGGAGAAGTGTAGAAGCTGCCTCAGAGAATCCTCCCCAAGGGGCAAAGAAATAGGATATAATTGTCAACTCCCTCTGTGTTGGTTGAGAGCTCCTTCTGGGAGCATTAACTCTCTAGCATTCCTGGCTTGCCCTGAGCACAAACATGCTCCCATAGCCAGAACAAACGCCTCCAGGCAGAGTCACAGATGTTCACAAAGATGCGTCCTCCTGTAGAGGTGAATGCTGAAGGATATGGGTCACAGTACCGTCCCCCCTTTGCACTGCTAGGATCCATTTGTGCCTCTCATTCCATGAGTTCATTCTATTCTGTCTCTGATGCTTCAAGGTGGTGGCTGATTGCAATTTCTAATTCTTTTAAAAGAAAGTCTTAACAACAGGCTGGGTGTGGTGACTCCTGCCAGTAATCCCAACACTTTGGGAGGCCGAGGCTGGAGGATCACTTGAAACTAGGAGTTTGAGACCAGTCTGAGCAACAAAGCAAGACCTCTGTCTCTAAAAAATAATTTAAAAATTCACCAGGCGTGGTGGCGTGTGTCTGTAGTCCCAGCTACCAGGGAGGCTGATATGGAAGGATTTCTTGAGCCTAGCAGTTTGAGGCGCAGTGAGCCATAATCATGCCACTGAACTCCAGCCTGGGTGACAGAGTGAGACTCCATCTGTTTTTTTTTTTTTTAATTGTACAATGGGTGGGTTAGTAGGACAAACCATAACCATTGCTGCAGTTGGTTGCAAGGCTGAAATCAGCATTCAACATTTCCCTCCTCTACAGTTCATTCTGTTAGTCTGCAGGGCTTTCTCAATGGAAAATCCAGACCTTCATGACTGAAGTTCTCTGCCTTACATCACCATGCCCTTGCCAGGCCATCATTGATACAACTGCCTGTTCATGGGATAATGAAGATCAAATATCTCTGCTTGCATAATTCCTTTCTTTGTGTACTGGCCAATTGGTATGAGATGCCCCAAATGACCCAATGGCTGCTGTAGCCTTAGGTTTAGTAGCATCTTCACTGTGACCTCTGGGAGCTGCATCTGCCACTTCAAGAACCAGGGCTTCTAATCCCACAGACCTTAAATGTATAAGGACAGGAGGCACAAATTCCCCCAAGTGAGTCACTAGGACTGATGGTGAGAGGGGTATTCCTTCTTCCATACCTTGGTTCCTGTACCCCTGATTTCTAACTGTCTGGCATATAGCACTATATAATGGCCATTAACTCAAAATATATACTTCATTTTGCAGGACTGCACCCAAATCTCACAGGATCTTTTCCCCAGGCTGGCTTTAGATGTGCTGTAAAGAGGCCACAGTAATGTACTAACAAGCTGGCAGTTTCAAGGTGATGTGATATATTATAGCATAGAACCAATGGATCCTGTGGCTGTGCATCCATTGTCACATTTCCTTCGCTATAAAGTGCAGACCCTTGGTTAGAGGTGAGACTATAAGGGGTCTCATAAGGACAAATCATTGACTTTGGGCCCTTGATATTTGGTGCTGGCCCAGGCATTTGGTCAGGAAAGACAAATCCATATCCAGAATATGCACTAATCCCAGTGAGGACATATTGCTCCTCCCCCAGATTGAAAGAGATACACTGAAATCAACATACCATCAGGCAGGCACAGTGGCTCACACCTGTAATCCCAGCACTTTGGAAGGCCGAGGCAGGCACTCACTTGAGATCAGGAGTTGAAGACCAGCCTGGGCAACATAGTGAAACCCCATATCTATTAAAAATACAAAAAAAAAAAAAAATTGCCAGGCACAATGGTGTGCACCTGTAATCCCAGCTACCCAGGAGGCTGAGGTGGGAGAATCACCTGAGCCTGGGAGGTCGAGGCCACAGTGAGCCGAGATCACACCACTGCACTCCAGACTGGGCAACCAGAGTGAGACCCTGTTTCAAAAACAAACAAACAAACAAAAAACATACTATCAACTGGCTGGTTGATCTCCTTGAGGGCTGGTACCATGTTGAGGGGTCAGCATCTGTCTCTGCTGCAGACAGGCCAAACATTCAGCAGTGGCAGTAGCTAGATGAGCCTTGATGAGAGGTCGCCCATGCTAGTGGGCCCTTGCATAGATTCCAGATCTACTGCCACAACTACTCCATTCATGGGCTCACCATGGAAGCCCTGGCATGACAAAGGCTGGTTTATCCACTGGAGTCCTTCTGTCCCCTTAGCTCTTCAATGCCCCCTCTGCAGTGAATGTTCTTTGATGGTACTGACATAAGACACAAAGATTTATCACTTTGTGCCCACTCCTATAAGTCCATCCATATACCTCTTCCCTGGACATCCTTACCTCCAACCTTCCAATCTTACTCTCTTCTGGGCCCTGACCAGCCAACTAAGCCACTGCCACTGCTCAAGAATCCATGTGTATATACTTTCCTCAAGTCACCTCTCTCACTGCAGAGTAGACCACCAGCATGCTGCTTGAAACGTCCTCCCTGGAGGATTTCCCCTCATGTTGTCTTTCAAGGCCACCCCTGAGTGGGGCTGTAGTGTGGCAGCATCCAAGTTTAGCTCACATCAATAAATCAGACAGGCCCATCCATGAACCTGGCCTGCATTTTTTCCTCCTCTAAAGCCTGGTTATAGGGAAATTCCCACAAGGCTACAGGGTGAGCTAAGAGAGGTACAGGAGCAACAGGGACAGGTAAAGTGGGATCTGGACTCCCTGCACTTGTAGCTTATTCGTGCCCTCTGGACATGCTTACACCCAATCCTAAATGTACCATTTTTTGTTGCTACTGTGCCCATATGTCCTCATGACTTGGTGGGTCTGAAAATTCCCAGATCTTGATGGCAAACAGAGACAAGAAAGGGAAGGAATCCAGTAAAGGGTGCATAATGGAATAGGCTATGGCCATGGACAAATGAAATGCACGCTGCTGGGGCACTCTGGGAGCCAGTGTAGAACTTGCCGCCGTTTTCCCACCTGAGAGATGAGGAGGCTGGGGTTTTAATTTACCAACTCCGGCAAGGTGCGGTGGCTTACGCCTGTAAGCCTAGCACTTTGGGAGGCCGAGGTGGGCAGTTCACCTGAGATCAGGAGTTTGAGGCTAGCCTGGCCAAAGTGGTGAAACCCCTGTCTCTACTAAAAATATAAAAATTAGCCAGGCACGATGGCATGTACTGTAATCCCAGCTACTGGGGAGGCTGAGGCAGGAGAATCACTTGAACCCAGGAGGCTGAGGTTGCAGAGCCGAGATCACACCACTGCACTCCAGCCTGGGTGACAGAGTGAGACGCCATCTCAAATAATAATAATAATTTACCACCTCCCCACCTGTTACTGGTTGAGGACTGGTCCCAGGGGCATTAACCTTCTGGTGCTTCTGACTTACTGTGCATTTAGGCCAAGCATTTAGGTACAGACACAAATATCCTCGGGCAGCAAGCAGTCTTTGGTTTGTTGAGTGCTAAGAGAATATGGGTCAGGCCACCAACAGGATCTGCTACCCCCTATTAATTTTCAAAACCTTGAATGGTGCCCTATCAATGTCCAAAGGTGACCAATGGTTTTATTTTTCAGTATCATTATGAACTTATGGAATTTTCATGTATTTGATATGTTTCAATCTCGTACAGTCATTATTCATTTTAATGCTGAAACTGTTTCATCTTTGGCCAGTGGAAGTCTTCTCAAGTTGGCTACTGGATCTTTTTAAAATGACCCTCACCTGACCTGAGTTTTATAACTGTAACTTCCTTATTCTCTCTCCCTCTTTTTTTCTTTTTTGTTTTAGAGAGACAAGGTCTTGCTCTGTTACCCAGGCTAGAGTGCAGTGGCACTGTTCTAGCTCACTGCAGCCTCATACTGTGGGCTCAAGTGATCCTCCTGCCTCAGTCTCTCAAGAAGTCAGAACTACAGGCATGTGACACCATACCCAGCTGATCTTTCCTTCCTTCCTTCCTTCTTTCCTCCCTCCCTCCCTCACTCTTTCTCTCTCCCTTTCTTCCTTCCTTCCTTCCTTCCTTCCTTCCTTCCTTCCTTCCTTCCTTTCTTTCTTTCTTTCTTTCTTTCTTTCTTTCTTTCTTTCTTTCTTTCTTTCTTTCTTTCTTTTCTTTCTTTCTTTTCTTCTTATTGGTAGACACCAAGTCTTGCTATGTGCCCAGGCTGGTCTCCAACTCCTGGATTCCAGCAATCCTCCTGCCTTGGCCTCCCAAAGTGTTGGGATTACAGATGTGAGCCACCACACCCAGCCAAATTTCCTTATTCTCTAGTCTGACAAGCTATCCTGGCCCAGACCTGGAATTTCTCCAAAGAGTCCTTGTTCCTTTTAGCAGGAAGTGCCATGTAGAGATCACAACTGGGACCCACAGGGGATTCATTGTTATTGGGTTGTCACTACTTCTGAGCCTTTTCAGTGGCATGAGTTCATGCTGATAGTTCCAATTCAGATGAAGGATTAGCAGTATTTGCTGGGCATGGTGGCTTATGCCTGTAATCCCAGCACTTTGGGAGGCTGAGGCAGGCAGACCACCTGAGATCAGAGTTAGAGACAATCCTGGCCAACATGGTGAAACGCCATCTCTACTAAAAATACAAAATTAGCCGGGCATGGTGGTGCGCTCCTGTAGTTCCAGCTACTTGGGAGGCTGAGGTAGGAGAATCGCTTGAACCCAGGAGGCGGAGGCTACAGTGAGCCAAGATTATACAACTGCACTCCAGCCTGGGCAACAGAGAGAGACTCTGTCTCAAAAAAAAAGAAAAAAGAAAAAAAAAGATTAGCAGTTTTTGCTTAACTCTTCTTCTCTTACAGTCAAAATCTTGGTTTCTAACACTATTAATATAACTAATTACTTATTTGCTTTATTATGATAAATAGTGTGTTATAATAATGCTCAAAATAATGCCAACATTAAAATTAATCCATGGCTCCTTTTGCCCTTAGAGAGCTGGAGACATATAGTCAAAATGTTGAGTTTTATAATCACTTGAAATAATTTTTTTTTTTTTGAAACAGAGTCTCACTCTGTCTCCCAGGCTGGAGTGCAGTAGCACAATCTTGGCTCACTGCGACCTCCGCCTCCCAGGTTCAAGGGATCCTCATGCCTCTGCTGCTCCAGTAGCTGGGATTATAGGTGTGCACTACCACACACAGCTAATTTTTGTATTTTTAGTAGAGATGGCATTTCACCTTGTTGGCCAGGCTGGCCTCGAACCCCTGACCTCAGGCGATCCGCCCATCTCTGCCTCCCTAAGTGCTGGGATTACAGGCTTGAGCCTGGCCGAAAGAAAATTCTTCTATGTAGTTTTGCTCCAACTTCATATATAGTTAGGTACATTTGTTACAATTTGTTTTATACTTTTAGGGATTGCTTCATTTTTCTTCATTTTAATTTAATTAAAATTAATGTAAACTCTCTCTAATTAATTTCGTATTTTAATTATATAAAATATTTACATGGCTCCAACATCAAAACCATACAACAAGGGGTTATTACCATTTTACAGGTGAAGAAACTGAAGCACAGGGAGATTAGTACCTGCCCCAACATCACAGACAAATGAGTGGTCCTTCCCCATAGGAGGCTGGGAGAGGCACTACAGGCAGCCTTCTGGTGGGACCTCAAGAGGTAAATTCAGATGTACTCGGGCTCCAGCCCTCCAGTTCCTCCCGCTGTTCTTTGTGCAACAAGCTGATGGTCTCCTCTGAACACATGGGTTTGCAACCCTCAAAGCGCGGTCTGACCAGCTCATGGGGACGCTGGCTCCTGCTGGTGCAGCAGGGGGGCTCTCTGATGATGCTGTTCAGCCTGTAGTCCCCATTGCTGTCTCCCTACTGCTCCACATCCCCTCCCACTCCACACTCCCTGTCTGCGGCAGCAAGAGCCCTCAGAGCCACACTCAGCCATTTCTGCCCCCCACCCCCTCCTGCCTGGGCTGGGGTCCCGTGCTTCCTGGCCTCTTTCAGAAGCTATCAAAGCCCCCATTCTCTGAACACAGCTGTGCCAGCATTCAGAGCCACATCCCCCTCTTCAGCCCTACTCCCACATGCCTATGGCACAAGACCCAGATGCCCGTGCAGGGCCTCGGAGAGGAACTCAGCTGCCTAGGCCCCCACTCCAAGTCTGGGAGAAAGGGGGCAGGTGTTCAAGGAGGTTGGCAGGACAGGCTCTCCCAGTGGCCACTGTGGAATAGAATCCAGTGAGGAAGGCCCAAGGCTAACACTGGAGATGGGGGGAACTCAGGATGCAGGAGCGTGGAGGGCAGATTCTCTTTTCTCAACTTGGGTCATGGCCTCAGCTTTGGCATGGATGGGGGATGTTGGGGGTCCGGTGGAGGCAGGAGATTGATTGTTCTCATCCAGAGAGGCTGGAAAATTCCCCAGGGCCCAGGAGACTGGGAGGCAGCCAGCTGGGCTGCACGTGGGAGAGGGAGGAGAGCTGCCCACGCTCTCCCTCTCTCTCTTTCTTCTCTCCACCTCCCTCTTTCTCCCTCCCCTGATAGACATCTGGGGAGCCCTGGCAAGAACCTTGGCCTGGGAGTCAGGAGACTTGATTTTTGGTCATGGTTCAGCCAGTTCCATGCTGTGTGACTCTGGACAGTTGCTTGACCTCTTTGGGTCTCAGTTTCCGTGTTCAGAAGATATTCAAGGTTACTGGAGGAATTTTTCTCCTGTTACTGAGACAGGAGGTTCTACCTGAAATCTGACTTTCATTCTTCCCGCTGCCATTGATTCTGTTTGCTTTCAGCCAATCCCCAGGGATCTCTTTCTGAGATCTGGAGGGGCTAGGCAGAGCCCCTCCTCTGGAGGGGGTTCTTGCCTCTGGAGGAGGCTGATTCTTGCCTCCTCTCAGAAAGTAAATAGAAACGGGGGAAGACACATATGGCCAAGTGTCCGTAATTGTAAAGAGAGTCTCTGATCAGCAATTGCTGGTTCAAACTGCAGGTTAGCCTTCAGTATAAATTTTCTCAGCTGGAAATGTTGGAAAAGCCTCAGAGTGCCCATTTCCTCCCCTGAGAAATCCTCTGGAAAGGTCTCTACTCCCAAATAATGAGCTCTCCAGGGCAGTGGTCCTCTGACCTCCTGGCCAGGAGATCTGGGCAGATTAGGTTGCTGTGTGTGTGCGCAAGTGTGTGTGACTGGGAAAGGAAAAGAACTAGATTTTGCTAAGCCCGAGTCATGGGCCAGGGGTTTCCCTTGCCTAGAACAGGTACAGTAGATATTGCCCAGTGCAGTAGATATTATTCAGCCCACTGTTCAGAAGAGAGAGTTTCAGAGGAGGAACGGGGCCCTTTCTGAGGTTTGCCACTGCAAATGACAAAACAGGAATTTGACCTCAGTGCCTGTGATGCCAGAGTCCTCGTCTGCGCAACAGCAGCTGTCTGTTCTCTCACCACGTCTGGTCTCCCACCAGGGATCTGCTTTTTGGAACAGACTGTCTGGTACCAGCCCTTGTCCAGACCCAGGTGCTGCTGGCCTCAGTCAAGGGTGGATTCCCCCAGGGCACCGAAGTGAGTGCCAATCCTTCTGGTCATGAGGAGAGGTGGTAAGGAAGGTCACTTTCTCTGCCTTCTCTGGTCACAGCCAGGTTTCCCTGAGGCAAGAACTGTGGTTACATCTGAGCCACCACTGGGATTAAATTTCAGCCGCTTGGTTGCCTGGCTCAGCCTGGCTGGCCTCAAGCCCTGTAGAGCCAGTGTGGAGGTAGGCTGGACACATGCATCCATGCTGAGACTGTCCTGAGGAAGGGGGGTTTTCTTGCAGCTCTGAAATGCAACTTCTAAGGGGAGCAAAAAGACATCCTAAGGCTGCCCAGATCTGTCCCCGAAGGCCTTCTCAGATCCGCTCTTTCTACTAGAAGAATTGGAACTGCATTTCCAGGCCTCGAGCAGTTCCTGGTCCACAGCTGGAATTCAATTCAACTCATATTGGTCTAACGAAGTAAATAGATCGAGGTCCCTTCCTCCCCAGACTGTCCCAGGCACCTTCCTCTGTCCCCTTCAGTCTTGCATCCTTTCTGGGGCATTTTTCTTTTCTTTTCTTTTCTTTTCTTTTTTTTTTTTTTTTTTTTGAGAGGGAGCCTCACTCTATCACCCAGGATATAATGCAGTGGCACGATCTCAGCTCACTGCAACCTCCACTTCCCAGGTTCAAGCAATCCTCCCTGCCTCAGCCTCCCAAGTAGCTGGGATTACAGGTGTCCACCACCACACCGGCTAATTTTTGTATTTTTTTAGTAGAGATGGGGTTTCGCTATGTTCACTAGGCTGGTCTTGAACTCCCGACTTCAGGTGATCCGCCCACCTTGGCCTTCCAATGCTGGGATTATAGGCATGAGACACCGCACCTGGCTGGCATTTTTCTTGGTAAGGAAATTTACCATCTACCCCTCCCTACCCCCCAGGTCTTCTTTTCCTGTCCCTACAGTAGATGGGTCTCTGGGAAGGGGCCAGAATCTTCCCTTTAGACCCTCAAAGATTTGGAGTGGGTTTTTATGTGAGGTTCTCAAAGCCCTTTGGAACCAAGTCCATGGCACTGGGAGTGAAAGCCAGGCAGTGGTGAGTGGGGGCGTTGGCACATTCAGTGGGGAGCAGTCCAGAGTTCCCAAGAGGGACCTAGGGTGCAGTCTAGATGGAAGGCTGGGGATCTGCCTTGAGGTTGCATTTGCATTGAATGCACCTTACTTTACTTGGGGTATTTTGAAGATGCTGTGGAGATTATGAGGATCAAAGCCCTCCAAAGCTATCCTTGGTGCCAATATTGGTATCCAGGGGAGGGAATCTAGGCATCTGGCTGTCCTGCCCACTGTCCGTGCCAGGGGCTTTGCCTACAGTCCCAGGAGGGAGGAGGGAAAAGCAAAGAGAGCCTGGGAAAGGAGAGGGAAGCAGAGGCCCTGGAGCTGGGGGAAAGGAGGGTCATTGGTATTCTGGGCGCTGAGGAGTTCCTGGCTGGGCAGCACTCAAGGCCCACCCCCTGGCATCAGGCTGCACATTCAGCATCGACAGCCCTGGCCAGTAGGCCTTCTGGGCTCCCAGCAACGCCTGCATTTTGCACATTGGTTTGCATGACTGGTAATGTCCCTTCACAGGGCCACCCTCACCCCACCCCCACCCCAGGTCTAGAGATTTCCTGAATTGCTTTGCTTAACCCATGATTCTGCTGTCTAACCTCCATCCTTCCAGCTGCAAAGTCAGCTCCTCCTCTGTGCAGGGAGTGGGAGCACCACAGGAGCCAATGCCCAATCATAGCTGCCTCCAGGGAGGTAGCTACGGTCCTTTGCACCCCATTCTGCCTCCAGAAAAGAGTTTTCCATTTTTTTTATTAGAAAGGGTGTCTCTTTTCAGGAGCAAAGCCCCCATTCTCCCTTCATCCACTTCTTACAGTCTAATTGACTCCCTCCTCCTTCTTCTTTGAACAACGAGAAGACTCTCCAGTTGTCCAACTTCCACCCCTCCAGCTGCAACATCGTCATCCTTTAGCTCAGCGAACGCTGGGCGAACGCTCCCTCCCCGCCCCTCCTGCCCCTCCTCCCTACTCCAAGCCCTCGGCTTCTCATCCGCTGAACGATGTCCTACTTCGCTCGTCCTTGCTCTCGCCGCTGCTGCCGGAGCCGAAGCAGAGAAGGCAGCGGGTCCCGTGACCGTCCCGAGAGCCCCGCGCTCCCGACCAGGGGGCGGGGGCGGCCCCGGGGAGGGCGGGGCAGGGGCGGGGGGAAGAAAGGGGGTTTTGTGCTGCGCCGGGAGGGCCGGCGCCCTCTTCCGAATGTCCTGCGGCCCCAGCCTCTCCTCACGCTCGCGCAGTCTCCGCCGCAGTCTCAGCTGCAGCTGCAGGACTGAGCCGTGCACCCGGAGGAGACCCCCGGAGGAGGCGACAAACTTCGCAGTGCCGCGACCCAACCCCAGCCCTGGGTAGGTGAGTGCCTCCGCAGCCCCGCCGCCCGCCGTGGGGTCGGGGACAGGGAGAAGGGAGTGCCTGCCTGGTCTGCGCCCCCCGCCTGTCAGCCCTTGCCTCGAGGCTCTGGGGCACCCAACTCGTCGACTCCTGACACCGCAGCGGGGTAGGCTGCTGGACAGCCCCGAGCGCCTGCAGCTGCTGCTGCCATCTCTGATCTACATGCTTCCAGCTCTGCCAGTGGCAGCCCCCCTGCTGCTCGCAGTCTGATCAGCAACCCCTCGGGTCCTCGCATCTTCCCTGCTGCGCGCTCCTGTCCCAGCGCGGCCGCCGAGATTTCCGACCTTGTCCCAGGCAGGGCGGTAGCGTTCCGGATCAGTCCTTGCCTCCGTGCCCCCACGCACAGGCAGCTCCAGGAGCAGCGGCCAGCAACCCTTCTGGGGACACCTTACTGTAGTCCGGCAGGACAGCCGATCAGAGCCGCTCTAGGGGGTGGTCGGAGTGCCCATTTCGGCTGGAATCCCAACTCGGCTCCTTGCTCTGTGACCTTGGGGTAGTTAGTTGACTTCTCTGAACCTCGGGTTCCTCATCGGTGTAATGAGCAAAACATAAACAATCTTTTTCTCACAGTTGAGGTTATCCACAGGAAGCATTTAGGAGAACTGGCTCAGGTAGACATCAGTAACTATTAGCTGGAATTCGGTTACCACTATTGCATTCCTTCCTAGCACTGCCAGGGGCCTGGGAATTCCCTCTCCCAGGTATTTCCATATCCTGTCAGGTATTCCCCCACCTATTGGAATAGCTCTGCCTACATGGTTCTAATAGGACCAAGAGATTGGCGTCAAGTCCAAGGGGCACCATTATTATCTGCATTACTTAGATTGCAGATGATGACAGTAAGATCAGGGAACAGTGTTACCCTTAGACCCACCCACAGTATTACCAGTGCCTATGTTGCTATGGCTAACTTTGCTATTTATAACAGCATCATCCACATTTCAGATTCTATACGAGAGGGATCTGCAACTGCTCGGCTGGTGTCATTGCTAATAGTATTATTAGTTTTGCTTCCAATAAAAAGGACTATTTATATGATGATTGCAATTACTTCTACAGGCCCTAAGGCCCTGCTTATATTGTGTAGGCTCATGTTGCTCCTCATGAAGCCGTTAAGGGGGTAGCAGAGAGCTTCCCTCCTGCTATAGCCAAAGCTCTGGCTTCTTGTGCCTCCCTGCTGACCCTGCTGAGTGCTGGAGCTCAGTTCCTATGGGACAGACCTTGGCTGCCGGCTGATGGGCATTCAGCATGGAGGTGGTGGGTGTTGTTAGATGTGTGTACACACGTGCATGCCTACACACACACACACACACACACACACAGAGAGAGAGAGAGAGAGAGAGAGAGAGAGAGACCTGGTCTTAACTCTCTGGGTTGGGTCTATGAAGACTGTGAGGGAGATGGACATCCCGGGTCAGACAGAAATGATGTGACAAGAGGAAAGTTTCCTGAACAGCTCAAGAAATTCAAAACAAGGGCAGAGATACAGACGCTGGAGCTGAAACAGAGAGGGGGATGTTGTGGCGTCAAGGGAACGGACCGCATGACTGCTGAGCTCTCAGGGTTAGAGTTGGAGAGGTGTGGCCTGCTCTGGAGGAAGAGAAGAGGAAGTGGAGATGAGTGGTGTGTGGGATAGAGAAGGCCACAGAACCCTGGACCCCTGGGTTCTGAGGCTGGTACCGGATGTGGGGAAGTCTGAGTTTCCTCAGGGCTCCTAGCTGCAATTGGGAGGCTGAGGCCCGAGACTGGAGAGACAGAGCTCTCTCAGAACTGCACGGGGCTACCCTCTTGGCCTCACTGGTCAGTGACTCCCATTTTTGGGGTCAAGGGTAGGTTGCCCTCCATGTTCCAGAGCAGTTAGGTCCTCATTGGCCTTAGGCCCTCTTCCCTCACTCTCCCACTGTCAGACAGAGGTGAAAGGGTGGTCCAGGGTGTTGGCCCCAAAATGACTCCAACTATATGGGTCTCTGGGCTGCCCGTCAGAGAGATGGGAGCCAGGTCTGTGAGCAGCTCCAGCTCCAGCCCAGAGAGAAGGGAGGGAGGGCACCAGAAGGGGGCCAGGCCCAGGCCCTGGCACAGCTCAGATGCATGGCAAACAGTCTTCCCAGCACCCGGTGGGCACTGGCTGCTCCTGCCCAATGGTCCCCACTCCAGCCCCAGAACAGTCCTCCCAAGCACCCCAATGCCTGGAGCTGGTCTCCGCACCTCTAATCTGGCCCCATCAAGAACCTCCTCCCTCTGAAAGGTCAGAGAGAGGCCCTAAGCATCTGGTTGTGCCACTCCTCTCCCAACTCTGACCCTAGGGAATGATATCCAGACACAGTGGGGGAGATGGGGGTTATGATGGCAGGGAGGTGGGAGGATCTGGGAAAAGTAGGAAATTTCCCATCATCTCAGGCTTAGGAAAGTGCAGGGACAGGTATGAAGGCAGATGCTGAGAGGGCAGGGAAGATGGGGGATAAACAGTGGGCCTGGAATGGGAGTGCACAGCCAGTGGAATAAACCTGATCTCTAGGAAGTCCTGCCTGTAGTCTAACCTTCAATTCTCTTGCTGCATCATTGGCCTATTCCATGGCATACCTGGATCTCCATGCTCTTCTAAGTTTAGCCCAACCCTTAAAGATGATGTAGCTCTGAGTCTTCTCTCCTGGGAGCACATTGCCCTCGTGCCTGACTTGGCTTTACTAGGGATCCAGGGTCAGCCCTATCCTTCTCTGAGCCTCAGTCTCCATTTCTCAATGTCACAACACATCCTTTTTATGAGAGTGTAAGTGCTTCGAGATCTTTGGAGGAATATTCTGGGTTCTAGAGCTTCTGATAGCCAGGGGTAGGAAGGGGTAGCCCCTCCCATTTATTCTCCCCCCCCTTAGTCCACCCTCCAGCCCAAGGCTTTCACAAAAGGTAGGGTGGGGGAAGGGAGGGGCTGGATAGAGGCCAGACTGGCAGAGACAGGGGCTTTGTCCCAACTGATTTCTGAGCCAAGAGTTCCGGTGGGAAAGCCCGTGCCAGGCAGAAAGGAGAGGCTGGGAAGAAGAAGGGAGGAGGCAGCCAAGGAAGGGGGATGGAGAATGTTGGGGAGTAAAGAGAGGAGTTTCCTTACAAATAATGGTGGGGAGGAAGTAGAGGAGAGGGTGGGCTCAGGAGAAGCTGTGCTTACTTGCGTTCGGTCTAGGAGGCCCTCCTGGAAAAGGCCAGGTGAGTATGGTGTCCCTGGAGGCAGGGACAGTCTAGAAGGCAGAAGAGGCTAAAGAGATACTATGGGAGAAGGCTCTGGGTTCGAGGAAGGAGTCTGGCACTGGGAGGAGCAGATGGAATTCTGAGTATAAGAGCACCCACCATTCATGCTGTAAACTGAGCTCCTACTGTCTGCCTGGTGCTATGCATTTGTACAGGAGTTTTAAGATACTAAACACTCTCAAAGCACATGGTCCTATCTCAACTCATGAGATAGTAATGATGATGCTTTTTTATAAGTAAGAAAATAAAGGCTCAGAGAAGGTAAGGAGCTTGGCTTAGGTCACACAGTGAGTTGACTAGGACTCGGGTTTTGGTTCTGAGAAGAAATCACTTGCTGGGAAGATGGGGATCAGAAACAGAGAGTCCATGGTGATGTGAAGGTAGGGGACTTCTGGAGCCAGGATATGTGTGAACCCACATGGGTGTGGTAGGGAGCAGGGGGGAAGTCCATCCTGAAGTCTAACCCCATCTTTCCTTCTCATGTCCCTCTGTCAGCCTGCAGCATGGCCCAGCTGTTCCTGCCCCTGCTGGCAGCCCTGGTCCTGGCCCAGGCTCCTGCAGCTTTAGCAGATGTTCTGGAAGGAGACAGCTCAGGTAAGCAACCCCACTTGGGGTCACCGTCTCTGTCTTGTTCAGCCCTAACCAACTGCTTCCAGGCTTAGGGGCCCCAGGAAGAGAGAGAATTGGAGGGCTGTGGGGAAGCGTCCAGGCTGGAACACTTGGAAATAAGGGCTGAGCTGTGAGCATCTGGTGGGTTGGAGAAATCATGGGGCAGGACTAGGGAAGGGCACTGGGTGCAAGGCTTTGGGCCCCTAAGGTGGAGGATAGGGGATCCTGAAGCTAGGAGGTGGGAAAGGGGTGGAACTGGGAGAAACCCTGAAGGAGGCCCTAAAGGGAGCAGACTGGGAAACTGGGCTGGAGGACTCAGGGGGCGAGGTTGGAGGACCCTGGGGTGTGGTCTAGGAATTTTGGAGAGGAAGTGGAAGACTCTGAGAGCAGGGCAAGGAATCCTGGGGGCTGAATTGACTGGGAGACTTTGGGGGATGGGTCTGGAGACCGTCGGGGTGGTCCTGGAGGACCTAGAGGTAGGGCTGCAGGACCCTGGCCCCTGGCCCCTGGCCCCTGGTCCTAGGGGGGCCGGGGAATCCTGGGGCCGGAAGGAGGGATCCTGGAGCGGGGCTTGGAGGCCACCGGGTGGGACTCTGAGGGTCGACAGCGTTAAGTTCCAGCCGGCTCCACCCGTTCACAGAGGACCGCGCTTTTCGCGTGCGCATCGCGGGCGACGCGCCACTGCAGGGCGTGCTCGGCGGCGCCCTCACCATCCCTTGCCACGTCCACTACCTGCGGCCACCGCCGAGCCGCCGGGCTGTGCTGGGCTCTCCGCGGGTCAAGTGGACTTTCCTGTCCCGGGGCCGGGAGGCAGAGGTGCTGGTGGCGCGGGGAGTGCGCGTCAAGGTGAACGAGGCCTACCGGTTCCGCGTGGCACTGCCTGCGTACCCAGCGTCGCTCACCGACGTCTCCCTGGCGCTGAGCGAGCTGCGCCCCAACGACTCAGGTATCTATCGCTGTGAGGTCCAGCACGGCATCGATGACAGCAGCGACGCTGTGGAGGTCAAGGTCAAAGGTGAGAGGGCAGGGAGGTTCCAGAGGGAGGGAGGGAGGGAGGGAAGGGAGGACTCTTGCCTTCGGGGATCCCACAGTGTGAGAGGGAAGCAAAGGTAGCTGGAAGGCGCAGCCTGGGTTGGAAAAAGAGTGAGGAGACACGGGCCTTTGTTGTCTCCTTTCTCTCTTCAGGTGGAGGACATTCTACCCACAATCTAACTTAAGTCCCTCATGCTGTAGAGTGAGCACAATTGAACTTTATTTACCCTTGTGTACAGAGGAGTGACAAGGAGGGTGAGGGGAGGCCAGCGTGCTGGGTGCTCACCTGGCTCAGGGGTCCTCTCTGCCCCACAGGGGTCGTCTTTCTCTACCGAGAGGGCTCTGCCCGCTATGCTTTCTCCTTTTCTGGGGCCCAGGAGGCCTGTGCCCGCATTGGAGCCCACATCGCCACCCCGGAGCAGCTCTATGCCGCCTACCTTGGGGGCTATGAGCAATGTGATGCTGGCTGGCTGTCGGATCAGACCGTGAGGTGGGCAGGGGCTGTGGATTGGGGCTTCTATTGGCCCCTGAGGTGGCCATGGCCCCCCTTCTGCTGGGTGCTGCCTGCTGTGTCAGGCTGGACATGCAGGGCTTTTTGCCTCTGGGGGATGAGGCTGGTCTGAGGAGGGGAGGTGAGGACCCTGAGCATGTGCATCCCTGCAGTGCTAGAAGGACAGCCAGCTGTCAGCAAGTGTCTGCACTGTGGTGGCAGTGGGGTTCAATAGAATCAATATGGGCTGGCTCCCTGGTGAAAGCATCTGTACTAAGTGATTCTGTCCTTCCTCCCTAGGTATCCCATCCAGACCCCACGAGAGGCCTGTTACGGAGACATGGATGGCTTCCCCGGGGTCCGGAACTATGGTGTGGTGGACCCGGATGACCTCTATGATGTGTACTGTTATGCTGAAGACCTAAATGGTGATTAGGAGTGAGAGGTTCCCAGGGGACAATTTCCTACTCCCATGCTGCCCATAGGTCCTCCCGGGGCCTCTGCAGGACCTTACTATCCCTCCTGAGTTTAAGGGGGCAAGCAGGAGTAAGGAGACAATTGGTGTCCCTCTCTCCAAACACTGTCACAGAGGCAAGCTCATGACCAAAGTCTCAGCCAGGCAGCAGGATACCGAGTTTAACTCATCTACCACCTGCCAGGTGGACTCTGTGCATGACTCTGCAGAACAAGAAGTTTGGGCCCCATCTCTTTGAGCTCTAATATCCATCTTGAGGTTCTATTCAGACTATGATCCTATGAAGTAGAGTAGTTGACTCCCTGCCACAGATGAGGGAACTGGAGAAGCTTGCCCAGGGTTCCCATGGGAGACCAGAGTGGAAGGAGCTACCAGCTGCCTGATAACCCAGCCTTCTCTTCTCCACCCAGGAGAACTGTTCCTGGGTGACCCTCCAGAGAAGCTGACATTGGAGGAAGCACGGGCGTACTGCCAGGAGCGGGGTGCAGAGATTGCCACCACGGGCCAACTGTATGCAGCCTGGGATGGTGGCCTGGACCACTGCAGCCCAGGGTGGCTAGCTGATGGCAGTGTGCGCTACCCCATCGTCACACCCAGCCAGCGCTGTGGTGGGGGCTTGCCTGGTGTCAAGACTCTCTTCCTCTTCCCCAACCAGACTGGCTTCCCCAATAAGCACAGCCGCTTCAACGTCTACTGCTTCCGAGGTGAGCCCACCTCCCTGCAGAAGCTGAGACCAATCTCAGAAAGGCAGAGTTGAGTCCTAAAAGTCCTACCCCAGTCTGATCAGTTTAGCTCAGGGCTTTGCCATTTGCCTGAAGTGGTCGTGGGTGAAGTCCAGCTTGTCATCTAGGGTTCTAATTCTGGGCATGCCCTCTGGTGTGGTGTCTGTCAGCTGTTTGGCCCAAGGAGTAGTCACCTTTTGGCCTCTCCTTATCTGCCTTCCCACCAGTAGTCCATGCCTTGTTTGCTCCAGCTGGGCTGCTGAATAAGCTCCCATCTCCTGTCAGCTTATTGGCAGAGCAAAGACGACCAACATTCTGTGAATTCAATGAGTAATCTGCCCAAGTTCTTCCAGTCAACAACCAAATGCCCTCAGGAGCCCTCTGGAGGATTTCCAGAAACTACAGCTTAAGAAGGTGTCAGATCTTTAACTACCAAATACTGGTGGATGGATACAATTCCCCCAAAAGGGAGCAAGACCTTAAGTACAGTTGGGAATAGAGATAGCTTTCTGCCCACATCTTATGGCTTGTTTCTTTTTTTGAGACAGGGTCTCACTCCGTCCCCCAGGCTGGAGTGCAGTGGTGTGATCATGGTTCATTGTAGCCTCAACCTCCCTGGGCTCAGGGGATCCTTCCACTTCAACCTCCGGAGTAGGTGGGACCACAGGCTTATGCCACCATGTCTAGCAAATTTTTGTAATTTTTGTAGAGATGGGGTTTCACCACATGCCCAGGCTGGTCTTGAACTCCTGAGCTCAAGCAATCTACCTATCTTGGACTCCCGAAGTGCTGGGATTTATAGGTGTGAGCCACTGCACCCAAACCTGCCCATATCTTATGTTGGGAGCTGGAGCGGGAGGCAGTTTCTGGGACTCTCAGATGCAAAAGGCCCAGGCCAAGGGTGACCGACAATAAGAGAGGCATTGCCATGCGGTGTCTCGGTCCTTCCCCAGTTTTAAGCCTGAAATACTGTTACAAGAGCTGGAAGCAGAAATGGAAGGAGCAGACACAGCCTTGAACCTCAGGGAGCACTTGGTCTGAAGGATGAAGACACAGCTTTTGCCATGGGAACCCCCAGCAAAGGGAAGACAAGATGCCTCACTCCCAGGATGAGGAGAGACTGAGAGAAAAGCATTACTTCCATTTGGACAGATCTGTGGACATATTTGGCTGGGGTTGGGGAGGGGTGGGGAAGTAAAAGTCCATAGGAAGACAGGTCCATCTGAAAAGACCTCCTGGAACAGGGGTAGTAGTAGTAGTAGTAGTAGTAGTAATAATAATAATAGTAATAGCTAAAACTTCTGTGTGCTGGCTATGATTGTGTGCCAAGCCAAGCACTGTTTTGGAAAGAAATGGCCTGGATCATGAGGAGGGGCAGGGGAGGGGGAATATGACTACAGTTGGGACTACGATTGGTGGAGGACACAGGCAGCAAGGACACAAGGTCTGGTGAGGAGTAAGGCTCACTGGAGCAGGTGATGAGGGCAGGGACTCACTGTCCTGTCTTGCCTGGCTGAGCACAGACAGCCCTCAGGACTTTTCTTAGCCCAATTCCACCTTCACTTCATTGGTTTTCTGCTCTTGGCTCCCTTCCCCAGAGGACAAGTAAACCATTCTAAACTTCTGGTTATTTGAAAGGAGTAGGTCCCAGAAGGAGGTGGCCTTTTCCCTTGCCTACTTGCCCCACCACTGAGATCCTCAGGTGATGCCTGAAGTTATTCCTGCACTCTGCCCTCCAGCTATCCTGAGGGGATGACAGCCTCTCCCCTTCTATTTCAAGAATTTTGGAGGCTCGGTGCAGTGGCTCATGCCTGTAATCCCAGCACTTTGGGAGGCCAAGACCACTTGAGGCCAGGAGTTCGAGATCAGCCTGGCAAACACGGGGAAACCCTGTCTCTACTAAAAATACAAAAATTAGCCAGTTACGGTGGCACATGCCTGTAGTCCCAGCTACTTGGGAGGCTGAGACGGGAGAACCGCTTGAATCCAGGAGGCGAAGGTTGCAATGAGCTGGGATCGTGCCACTGCACTCCAGCCTGGGTGACAGAAGGAGACTCTGTCTAAAAAATAAAAGAATTTGGGGATACCTGGGACACCTCACACCTTGCCCCAAGCCCAAGATCACAAGGTGGTAAAGCTATTTCATCCATCCTGCTGGCTCCAGCCCCTCCCCCTAGGGAATATCTCTCACCTGAGCCTTTCCTGACCACTCCAAAGTAGTATTTTCCATCACTCCATCTTCTAACTCTGCTCAAGTGTTCTTTATCTTGTAAGATTATAATATATGTTTGTTTGTCATCTGTTCTAGAATATAATTTCCCTTGAGGGTAGGAGGTTTGCTATTTTGTTCTGCACTGTATCCTCAGTGCCCAGGGGAATGCTTGGCATGACACACTGTAGGCACTTGATGAATGCTTGAGAAATGAGTGACGAAGTTCTGGGATGCTCCCTGGGCCCCAGTAGGTGCTCCACAGGGAAGATGTGAGAGAATTGAGAGAATTCCATGGTGCAAGCTGTGACCTGGGAGGGCAGAGCTACCTATTCAGGCTCGCATCAATACTTTCCTCCTGCCACAGACTCGGCCCAGCCTTCTGCCATCCCTGAGGCCTCCAACCCAGCCTCCAACCCAGCCTCTGATGGACTAGAGGCTATCGTCACAGTGACAGAGACCCTGGAGGAACTGCAGCTGCCTCAGGAAGCCACAGAGAGTGAATCCCGTGGGGCCATCTACTCCATCCCCATCATGGAGGACGGAGGAGGTGGAAGCTCCACTCCAGAAGACCCAGCAGAGGCCCCTAGGACGCTCCTAGGTAAGTCGGATCCCTTATCCTAAGGATGTCTTGATTGAAAGAAGTTGGGGGCAGAAGAGGCAAGCCCAGGTTGATGCTAGGGTGATGGATGACATGACTCTGCCCTGTCCTTTCTCAGTAGCTCAGGGGTGCAGGGCACCTTTCCTGTCCCTCTCCCAACCTTTGCTTTTCCAGTAAATTCCACCCCCAACTCTATGGAGCTAGAGATGCTTGCACTAAGGAGCTGCGCCCTGGAAAGGTGGAACCTGCCTTCTTTGGTCCCTCTTCCGCCTCACACACCCAAAACAGACTAGAGTTTTGACAGAGTAGGAGGGAGACAAATGACCATGTTCTCCGGGGCTAATGATGGCTCACAGAGCCTTCTCAAGTGTTGCCTCAACAATATGGCTGGGGTCAAGTTCTTCCAGTGTGGCGCAAGGACCACCTGTCCTCAGGGCGGTCTCTTCCCTATTCCCCAGGGCTCACCCTCCTGAGCCCTACTTTTCTCCCCTTCCCTTTTTCCTTTCGGTCCTTGGACAGACGCTGTCCCTGGTGCTGAACCGTTTGTGCTTTGCCTAGAATTTGAAACACAATCCATGGTACCGCCCACGGGGTTCTCAGAAGAGGAAGGTAAGGCATTGGAGGAAGAAGAGAAATATGAAGATGAAGAAGAGAAAGAGGAGGAAGAAGAAGAGGAGGAGGTGGAGGATGAGGCTCTGTGGGCATGGCCCAGCGAGCTCAGCAGCCCGGGCCCTGAGGCCTCTCTCCCCACTGAGCCAGCAGCCCAGGAGGAGTCACTCTCCCAGGCGCCAGCAAGGGCAGTCCTGCAGCCTGGTGCATCACCACTTCCTGATGGAGAGTCAGAAGCTTCCAGGCCTCCAAGGGTCCATGGACCACCTACTGAGACTCTGCCCACTCCCAGGGAGAGGAACCTAGCATCCCCATCACCTTCCACTCTGGTTGAGGCAAGAGAGGTGGGGGAGGCAACTGGTGGTCCTGAGCTATCTGGGGTCCCTCGAGGAGAGAGCGAGGAGACAGGAAGCTCCGAGGGTGCCCCTTCCCTGCTTCCAGCCACACGGGCCCCTGAGGGTACCAGGGAGCTGGAGGCCCCCTCTGAAGATAATTCTGGAAGAACTGCCCCAGCAGGGACCTCAGTGCAGGCCCAGCCAGTGCTGCCCACTGACAGCGCCAGCCGAGGTGGAGTGGCCGTGGTCCCCGCATCAGGTAATTCTGCCCAAGGCTCAACTGCCCTCTCTATCCTACTCCTTTTCTTCCCCCTGCAGCTCTGGGTCACCTGACCTGTAGTCCTTTAACCCACCATCATCCCAAACTCTCCTGTCCTTTGCCTTCATTCTCTTACCCACCTCTACCTATGGGTCTCCAATCTCGGATATCCACCTTGTGGGTATCTCAGCTCTCCGCGTCTTTACCCTGTGATCCCAGCCCCGCCACTGACCATCTGTGACCCTTCCCTGCCATTGGGCCCTCCACCTGTGGCTCACATCTCGCCAGCCCCACAGAGCATCCTCAGGCCTCTCCAAGGGTCCTCATCACCTATTGCAGCCTTCAGGGCTCGGCCTATTTTCCACTACTCCCTTCATCCGCCTGTGTGCCGTCCCCTTTAGCTGCCTCCTATTGATCTCAGGGAAGCCTGGGAGTCCCTTCTCACCCCTCAACCTCCGGAGTCCAGGAGAACCCGTACCCCCACAGAGCCTTAAGCAACTACTTCTGTGAAGTATTTTTTGACTGTTTCATGGAAAACAAGCCTTGGAAATAAATCTCTATTAAACCGCTTTGTAACCAAGCTCTGGTACCCTCTGTCTCCATCTCCTGCTGTCCACCTCTCTCATTCCATGGGTCTGTGTCATGGGGAGCACTTGGATGCTTCTTCTCTGGCTCCATGTCTCTCCCTGTCTCTGTGTGTGTCTTGGCCTCTCTTCCTTTTTCATTTTCGGCTTCTCCCCTTGTCTGTCCTGGCAGTCTAACAGCCCCTCATTGTTCCCCCAGCCTCTCCTTCTCAGGCCTGTCTACACTTTCCTTCCTGGCTGCTAAGATCCCAAAATTTGACTGTACACATTACCCCTGGAGAAGTCATCATCCATAGTCTGAGGCAGTGCTGGGAGTTGTAGTCCCTCACTCCTGATGAGGAGAAACCCCTGCAGCCCGGAGTGCATGTGTTGTGCATTTATATTCACTTCCAATCCATCTTGGTGGTGCCAAGGGTCATAGTAACTGAGGGAACTGAGGGTCTCTCAGCATAGAGGCAGTTCCCTGGCATTCAGTTGCCCTCACCCCCATCCCCTAGCCCTGCATCTCAGCAGGGGGTGGTATCTAACTCTCATCCCACTACCTACAACTTCCGTCTTCTCCACTAACTCCTGCACTAATGATCATTCCCTACTCTCCAGAAGGAATGGCTTCACCCTCCCCAGACCCAAAGGGTCTCAAAGTACCTAATGCTGGAGAAGACACTGATCAAAAGCAAGTGATGGAGAGTGTGAAGGAAGGAATCAGGTTCTGGGGTCTGAGAGAAGCCCTCTCTACTCAGGAAGGCTAAGATTCCCAGTGGAGGTTCCTGGAGAAGGCTGGGATTCCCTTAGCCCTAGGACCCCCATGTTAGATGGATCACATCCTGAGTCCCACCCAGGCTTACCCATGTCAACTGTTAGGTCCCTGCACAACTGGCCTTGGAGTTCAGCCCTGTGGGGGATAGGGAGGGGGTTTGGTGGGAAGAGGAGCACAATTGGAGGTATCTACAGTGTCTTAGTTTCCCCACCGGGAGGGTAAGTGAGAGGTCTCCTTGGCTGCTGTTTCAATGGAAAGAAAGGGAAAACTTTCTGGTTGTGTAGAATAGTTGTCCCCAAAAAGGGAGAGGGAAAATGACAAGAAGAAGAGTTCTTCACCCGACTCTGCCTGCGCTGGGTTCAGGTTCTGTAGCCCACAGCCAGGGGGAGGGGCCTATGGCTTGGGTAGGGGACCAAAGACCAAGTTTGAGAGCCTCTGTCCCCCAGGGTTGGAGGGTTGAATGGGAAGGAGCAGAAAGGACAACAGGAGGGACAGGAAAGTGTGAGGAGTGGGAGGGGAGTTCAGAATTCTACCCTCTGTGGGGCCTGGTGCTTAATGGGTTAAATGAAATACCTCTTCCTCTGGGGTTGGGAGGTGGGCAGCACCACAAGCTGGGAAGAAACTATTGGCAGGAGGGAAGATGACAGAAGGAGTGCTGCTGGAAAAGCTGATTCATTTCACCCAAAACAGCTAGGTCATCCCAGCAAAATTCTTTGAATCCACTCCAGCTTCTCCTCTCTCCACCCCTACTGATTCCCACCAGGCAGTGGGACCTGTGGCCAGGCCAGCGGGAAGCACTGTGGACCTTGGCCATGGCTTCTAGAGGTGGATGGTAAAGTCTGAAGGGTTCTGCCCTGGAGTGGTTTTGCCTCTCATGGCTGAGGGCCTTGACCTTACCATGGCTGAGGGCCATGACCTACACAGTTGGTCTGTGGAGCCATCTTCCTTTGGGTCATCTGAACCAGAAAGGATTGGAAACTGACAGCTCCTGTAGCACCCAAGCACATCCTAAGGACAGCCACCTCCTACCCCAGGATACAGAGAGAAAAAGTCCAGTAAAGCAGATGGCCTAGCCAGATGGAGCTAGATCCAGGCAACAGATTGCAGACCTTCAGGGCAGTGTGTTAGTCTAAGAGGACTGCCTGGAGGAGAGGGAGCCAGAAGGAGGGATTGAGATGGATTCTAGGTTGGAGAACCTGCAGAAGGCCCAAAGTGGAGTTGGGAGAGGGAGCCTGGTAAGTGGAAGAGTCTGTGGATATAAGAAGGGGAAGTGAGAGGTTGGGTGATATTGAGAGAAAGCTGCATGTGTGAGGCCAGTCAGCACTGCAGGACAATGGGAGCTGCTGCGACTTAGTTCCTAAGCTGGGGGAGAAGGGGCAGGGCCTAGAGTGAGGAAAGTGGGCTGGATCTCCACTAACCACTTCTGGGACTGGCTGACTGCCCAGTGGACAGCAGGAGGAATGGTTAGTATTCACCTGGACCACACCAATATCAGGTCTCAGGAGCAGTCAAGGGATACCACCCTCCACTGTTGCTGCGGTAATCCTTCTGTCCCCTCCTTCACTTCCATTCATTCCACCTGGACTATACAGAACTGTGCTGGGACCTGGCACAAAGACAAGGGGGTGTGGCACTAAACTCCAAGCCTAGAGAAGGAAAATGACCTGCCCAATATCACACAGAAGCCAGATAAGAGTTTAGAGCTATAACTTTCTGTGCCCAGTATCTTTCTCCATTGTGGGGCTGGGTTCTCAGGGCTCTCCTAGCCTCTTCTCCCCAGCCCCTTTTGGGCTGGGCTCACACTGGTGGCCATAACAATGGAAGGCTGAGCCAATGCTGAAGTCGGGAGCGGGAAGAGGAAAGAAACCCAGAACTCAGGGCTGGGTTGTGACCAGAGACAGGCTCTAGGGAGAACTTTTAGGGTGCTGTTATAGCTTCCAGGACAGAGAGACCAGGGCTGGGGGACCCTCTGCACCCTCTCCTGGAGGGCTCAGGCTGCAGAGTGCGGCTGCCTCGCTCCCCCCGCCTCACTTCTTTCCCCCTCTCAGGTGACTGTGTCCCCAGCCCCTGCCACAATGGTGGGACATGCTTGGAGGAGGAGGAAGGGGTCCGCTGCCTATGTCTGCCTGGCTATGGGGGGGACCTGTGCGATGTTGGTGAGTGTTGAGGGACGGGGGGCAGGTTTGAAGCCTGGACCCTGCCACAACGTGCTACTTCTGGAGGGGGGAGGGAGAACATTGGTTTTGGCCTTGTCATTAATGAGTCCCTGTTTTAGGCAAGTTGCATAACTTCTTTGAGTCCTACCCTCAATTTTCTTATCTAAGTGAAACCACAATGCCTCTCATAGGGGGTCCATTTGAGACCAGTGCAAAGCATACTCCTGGCATTTAATCGGTGGTCAATACATGACAGGCTCCATTCTCCTGGAGAGGAGAGCCACTGCTCGTTAGGATGGAGACCCAGGCCGGAACTCCATCCCTCACCCTGGTTCCTGTCTCTTAGAAAAGGCACCAGCGCCCCTGCCCAAGAGCCCCTCCAGGCTCCTGCTACCCCCTCATTCTCTACTAGCTCTTTTGCACCGCCCTCCTGTCCCCCTTAGTCCCGCCCCTCTCGGCCTGCGGTAGTGGAAGGAGACCAGCCCCTTCCAGGGGACCTGGCCCTCTGGGTTTTGGGGCCCTAAGATGCCCGCCCTTATGTGCCGCAGGCCTCCGCTTCTGCAACCCCGGCTGGGACGCCTTCCAGGGCGCCTGCTACAAGCACTTTTCCACACGAAGGAGCTGGGAGGAGGCAGAGACCCAGTGCCGGATGTACGGCGCGCATCTGGCCAGCATCAGCACACCCGAGGAACAGGACTTCATCAACAGTGGGCTGGGAGACAGGGCGGGAGGGGCCCCTGCCATATGCTCTCACTCTCTCTCACTCGCCTAACCGCCTTCCTCATTAACCCATGCACTTATTCCTTGGTTTTCTCAAGCGTGCATTCCCTCACTCATTCGTTCACTCCCCTTCTCATTCTCTCTCCCTTCCCACCCTACGCTTAGGCAGTGGCCTTCGGGAACGGAGAGTGGAGGTTCGCGCAGTAGAGTGCGCCTGTGTGGGCCGGGCCGCCGTGCAGGGGGCCGCCTCCAATCCCTCCAACCTCCCTGCTCTCCGACCTCCGTCGGCCTCCTCCAACTCCAACTCCAATCTTGTTGAAAGTTTTGACTCTTTTTCCAAAACTCCCCTTTTCTAGCCTGGGTTGATATCTTCCTTATTCTCCCACCCCCATTCCCCTGCTTTCCATCTGGCCCTTGAGCAGAGGCTGGGGTAGAAGAACCCGACAAGGGCGGGTGCTGGATCGCGGGGAAGGGTTTCCAAGGCAGTCACCGCAGACCGCCCGGGAGCGGGGAACGGCCGCCATCTGCTGGCGGCTGCGCTCACTGCACGCCTTCGTCTCCCTAGACCGGTACCGGGAGTACCAGTGGATCGGACTCAACGACAGGACCATCGAAGGCGACTTCTTGTGGTCGGATGGCGTCCCCCTGGTGAGAGGCCCCAGTCGAACCCCGCCGTCTAGCTCACTTCCTCTAAGCACTTCTGTTCCCTACCACCCCCACCCCTCCCGACCCTGTCCCCTTCTTTTTCCGGCCTCCTTCCCTTTCTCGTGCCCTGTGCCTCTTCTCCCTGGGCTCTCCTCCCTTCGTTGTGTCCTCTTTCTTCCCTTCTGGCTCCCATTCTCCCTCCCCTAAAGTCCCTGCCCTCTCCTTTCCCCTTCCCCGGGAGATCCCCTACCCCCTAGCCCTAACCTTCCCTCTCCTGGGGCCCCGCTCACCAGCCCTCCTCCCCAGATCCTCTAGGCCCTCTCCCGGTGCTCCTGGTGTAGGAGCTCCTCACCACCTCCTCCGTTCCCCCAGCTCTATGAGAACTGGAACCCTGGGCAGCCTGACAGCTACTTCCTGTCTGGAGAGAACTGCGTGGTCATGGTGTGGCATGATCAGGGACAATGGAGTGACGTGCCCTGCAACTACCACCTGTCCTACACCTGCAAGATGGGGCTGGGTGAGGGCAGGCAAAGGAGGGTCCCAGCAAGGAAGTGGAGGGGTGGGCTAGGGGACCAGAGGGACTGATGTTTGTAGACAGAGAGTGCAAAGCAACATAGAGGAGTCAGAACGTGTTCCAGACCATGGGAGAGCTAACAAGTTACGTGGGTCCACTCGGAATCCCTGATCTTTTTTTGTCATGTTGTGGCCCATTTTTCTCTTCCCCATGGAGATTCTGGGAACTGTCACCCACAGAGCCAGGCTCAGTTCCTAACTGTCTTCCTTTGCAGTGTCCTGTGGGCCGCCACCGGAGCTGCCCCTGGCTCAAGTGTTCGGCCGCCCACGGCTGCGCTATGAGGTGGACACTGTGCTTCGCTACCGGTGCCGGGAAGGACTGGCCCAGCGCAATCTGCCGCTGATCCGATGCCAAGAGAACGGTCGTTGGGAGGCCCCCCAGATCTCCTGTGTGCCCAGAAGACCTGTGAGTGCCAGGAAGAGGCAGGTGGGAGTGGGAGACAGTAGCCAACAGTAGCCTTGGACTCCACTTAAAGTCCTGCCTGTCACTGGCCATGTGACCTTGGAGCCATCACTGCCCCTCTCTGAGGCAAAGGGGAAGAGGTGGGCTGGAGGCTCTGGGGTTCCTTCAGTGCTGATGTCTGATAACATGCAGCCCCATTCTGGGCTCTTACGGGCTGAGCAAGAACATCAGAGGGCAGGCTCTGAGGAGAGGAGAAGGAAGAGCCAGGGTGGAGGGTGAGTGTGTGTCTTCCCCAGGCCCGAGCTCTGCACCCAGAGGAGGACCCAGAAGGACGTCAGGGGAGGCTACTGGGACGCTGGAAGGCGCTGTTGATCCCCCCTTCCAGCCCCATGCCAGGTCCCTAGGGGGCAAGGCCTTGAACACTGCCGGCCACAGCACTGCCCTGTCACCCAAATTTTCCCTCACACCCTGCGCTCCCGCCACCACAGGAAGTGACAACATGACGAGGGGTGGTACTGGAGTCCAGGTGACAGTTCCTGAAGGGGCTTCTGGGAAATACCTAGGAGGCTCCAGCCCAGCCCAGGCCCTCTCCCCCTACCCTGGGCACCAGATCTTCCATCAGGGCCGGAGTAAATCCCTAAGTGCCTCAACTGCCCTCTCCCTGGCAGCCATCTTGTCCCCTCTATTCCTCTAGGGAGCACTGTGCCCACTCTTTCTGGGTTTTCCAAGGGAATGGGCTTGCAGGATGGAGTGTCTGTAAAATCAACAGGAAATAAAACTGTGTATGAGCCCAGGCAAGTTGGATGCTTCTGTGTGTATGTCCGTGACAGACAGAGAGAGGTGTGGTTGGGCAGGGCATCATAGGATATATAGAGCTTCGGGGTTTATTCGCTTCCAAAGGTCAGAGACGTCCCCAAGATGTCAGCAAGTAGAACAGTGCCAGAATAGCTGCCAGGAAGTACTTATGGAATGAAGGAAGGCACAGGGGTTGGGGGACAGCTGGAGTGATGCAGCATGTTTGCAAAGAGATGGAGTGCCCTGAGTGCCTAAGAGTCAAGTGAACGTCAATGAGTTCTGTCCTGGGAGGGAGAAGGGCTGGGGTCCCAGAGAGGAAGGCAGAGGTTGGTGCCTTGGTGTCCCAGTTCTGAGCTTCCGGAAGGGCCGGCCTTCCCTCATGGGGGTGTGAGAGTGAGGGTGATGGGAGAGCTCCGCTGGCACTGCAGCATGTCTGGGGGTTAGGCCGCAGGAAGGTTTACGTCCAGCAGAGGAGGCAGAGATGCAAGAAATAGGGAAACAAACTAAGGGCCAAGGGGAGGTTCCCAGCCCTGCGGTGGACTGGGCTTCGGGGAACGAACTGGGGGCCCGCACAGGCAGCGGCCAGCAGAGGGCGCCGCGGACCCAGCACGGTGCTCTGAGAGTGCCGTGTACGCGTGCGCCGGTGGAGACGGGCAGAGGGGTGCGAGGAGCCCCAGGATCCCGCTAGGGGGCGCCGCGGACTTGCGTCCTGAGGAGGCGGGAGGGGAAGGGGGGTGGCTGGCTATGTGGGGGGGTTAGACTTCCGGCCAGGCTGATCTGGCCCTGGGGGCTGTGAGTCAGCGGAGGTTGAGAGGATGAGGTCACTCAGAGAACTGGAGAGTGACCCAGCGCCCGCGTGTGCCTGTGTGTGTGTGTGTGTGTACGCGTGCGTGTGTGTACGCGCATGCGTGTGTGTGAGTGTGCACCCTTCTCCCAGTGCACAGAATTGTTGGTGAAGTGCATGTCAGGATGCAGTCTGTCCTCATGATGAGGATGAATCATTGCTGCAGATCCTCAGGCACACACGGTCACACATAGGCACACACGTGCACACTGTCGTGTGTACACACTCCTGCATGTGCCCACTTAGTTACAGCACATCACCCACATGGGCAATACTTATTCCTTCTCTGAAGCCAGTAAAATCCAGAGACAGGGAGACAGATCCGGAGGAGCAAAGGCTGATAGTAATACGGGGAGACCCAGAGATAGTGGGCAAGACAGGCAGACACAAGTTCAATACAGCTCTGTGTTGGTGGGAGCTGGGGCTCTCCTAGGCCATCCCTGCCCAGCTCCTGGGCCTTCCCCACCCTATTTCTAAACTTGAAACCAGCTGGTCTCTGATATACCAGTGTGACCTCCCACACCCACCTACCACCACATTCCTCCCTCACCCCAGGCCTCACCTCCCCCACCTTCTGCCCCCCACACAACTCTGCCCTGCGTGGCTAGGGAGCAGGGGCTTCTGTTTCTTAAGGAGCTATAGGGAAGAGGATGATTCTGGGGCCAGAGTAGATCCTCACTGTATCCTGTATTACCCTGTGATTGTCCAGTCAATGCATTTTTAGGGCTCTCGGGGGCATTTAGGTGGAACTGTGAGTGGATGAAGATCAAGGTGGGCCTTTGAAAGTAGGGCCTGAAGAGGAGAAGGCTGGGGAGGGGCAGTGTCTGTCCCTGGGCTCTTACGGGAGGTTCCCTGAGGTGGAGTTTAGATAGTATATTGGATTCCCCAGAGAGCCCATGGTGGTGAGCTGGAAGGGGCTTTGGTTTCCCATCAAGGCATTCTCACCAACTCTCCCCAAGAGCGGCAGGAGGGCTCCATCATCTTCTCTGATGTATTGATCAGGAGAGCTCCAGAGGTAGACAGGCTGAAGCTGGAATACTGCCCTGTCCCTGACACCTGCTGGGGTGTTCTGGCGGGGCCCGGAAACGGAAGCCCTCTCCTGGCTTTGTTGGGTTTCCTGGGGAAGGCGGAGCTGGTCCACGGGTGACTCAGCGTCCTGCACAGAGTCCAACCCCTGGCCCAGTCCGTGTGTGTGTGTGTGTGTGTGTGTGTGTGTGTGTGTCCTATCCTGGCCTTGGGCAGGAGGAATTGGCCCCTCATAGAGTGTCAGCCCCATCTCTGGGGATGTGGAGTAGGGGCCACATCTGTGTCTGCCTCTGCCTCCAGGGCACAGCACTAATCTAACGATGTGCTCGCCCCTGCCAAGCCCCTGCATGTGTGGTTAAGCTCTCAGCCTCCTTCCCACGTCTAAACAGGGGTCCCTTCGCAGAGTTTTCAGTTTCCTGGGAATGAAGGAGATCAGAATGTGTATGGAGGGAAGAGACGCAGCCTGGGTGAGATTTAGGGGCTTGAACATTGCCGAGGGGCTTGGCAGCCTGATGAGATGGCCTTCCAGAGAGCCCCAACTTATCTGCCAGGGTCTCCAGCTTCCTTCCTTCCAGGCTGCTCTACCACACACCTACCTCCCCATTCCTCCCCCACACCCCCAACTCCCACAGCACTGTCCTGACCTCACTGGGGCCTTTGTCCCAGCCGTGAGGCCCTGTCTGTGGGCCTGTCTCCTGCACAGGGAAAGAAAGAGCCCCATTGTTCTGGCTGCCTGCTGTGACACAGCAGCTCCCAAAGACTTCCAAAAATGCTCAGCCCGTCAGGCTCCCGTGGGTGAGTGGACTTTCCCTGGGGGCTGCAGGCAGATCTCTGCCTGGAATGAGGGCCCAGGTGCTGTCTCTCCCAGCTGTGCAAGAGTTCTTTCAATCTGCAGACTGGAGGTCCTTCCTGAGATCTGACTTCCGCTCTGCATGCTGCAAAGCAGCCTACTTCCTCCCGAGAAGGGAGAACTGAAAAAGGCAGGGACAGAGCATGAGGAACGAAAGGAAAGGAAAGGAAGGAAAAAAGGAAGGAAAAAGAAAAGAAAGCAGGAGAAAAGGAAGAATGCGAGGAAATTCCCCCCACTGAGAGACTCTAGACTAGTTAATTGTCTGAGTGGGTGGATCTTGTGGCTTCTGTGTTTATTCCCGGATGCTTCTTCCTTAGTATTTAGAGAGCTTGCTAATGGGGAGGCTGTTGACCACAGGACTGGAGTATTTAAGGGGGCTAGGCCACAGTCCCCTGGCCCATGGGTTTTTGTTTCATTTTTTTGAGACAGGGTCTCACTTTGTTGCCCAGATTGTAGTACAGAGGCACGATCTTGACTCACTGCAACCTCTGCCTCCCAGGCTCAAGCGATTCTCGTGCCTCAGCCTCCTGAGCAGCTGGGACTACAAGGCGCATGCTACCATGCAGGCAAATTTTTGTTTCTGTTTTTGTAGGAACGAGGTTTCTCCATGTTGCCCAGGCTGGTCTCGAACTACCGGGCTCAAGCAATCCTCCTGCCTCAGCCTCCCAAAATGCTGGGACTACAGGCATAAGCCACCTCGCCTGGCCTGGCCCATGTTCTATAGACCCCAAGTGGCATCTAGGAATTCCTAGTATCATTGGCAAGGGACATCGCTCTGTGCCTCAGTTTTCCTGTCAGGGTGAACTGAAGTTCTCTCTGACATAATTTCCTGGCAAGTGAAAGGAAGAAATCCTGGAGAGACCAAAAGACTCAGAAATTGGGAAGGGGCCAGGGAGGAGGGAGGAAAGTAGGTAGAAGACAGAAGAGAGGTGAAAATGGGGAGACAGGGAAGGAGAGTTGGGTCCCTGAGTGGCAAATGTCTCTCCTTTATGAAGAAGATGGAGTCCTGAAGACCCAGGAGGGGGCCAGAGTCAGTGGAGCATTCCCGAACTGTGAAGTCTCCCAGCCACCCTTCCTGGGGCTCTGGGGCCCTGGCGCTTGCAAGCAGCTGAGACGGCAGCTGTTGGGAGGGGGGGTTCCTCGACAGAGGCCTCCTGGCACCTGCCTCGGTTTATTTCTGGAGACACAGCTGAGTCATGGGGGTGGGGAGAGTGAATGGGACTGGGGGAGGGGAGACTGTGACTAGAAGAGAAGGTTGAAGAAGGAAGAGGGCTCTAGGGCCTGGGACTCTGGGACCTAGGGTCCATCCCTTTGGGGCCAGAGCATCAAGAACAGGAGGGACATCCACATTGGAGCCCCTGGAATAATGGGGCTTGGGGAAGGCTTTGGGGAGTAGGAGGCAGGGCCTCTACCCTTGAAATGTGGGAGAAGAGACAAGCCTGATCTGGGTGTGGGAATGCTGTGTTAGAAAGACTGGGAGGCCAGTCACAGTGGCTCATACCTGTAATCTCAGCATTTGGGGAGGCCAAAGCAGGCGGATCACTTGAGCCCAGGAGTTCAAGACCAGCCTAGGCAACATAGCAAGAGCCCGTCTCTACTAAAAATATAAAAATTAGCCAGGCCTGGTGGCTTGTACCTGCAGTCCCAGCAACTTGAGAGGCTGAGGTGGGAGAATCGCTGTTGTGAGCCAAGGAGGCCAAGGCTGCCGTGAACTAGGATAGTGCCACTGCACTCCAGCCTGGGTGACAGACGAGATCTCCATCTCTTAAAAAAAAAAAAAGAAGAAGAAGAAGAAAAGAAAGAAAGCAGAAGGAGAGGGGAAAGAGGGCTCCCAGCAGGGAGGTAGATGGGAGACCCCAGTGCCATGAGAGAGGAAAGAGAGAGGGCCATGTTTTCCTCTGTGGGCCATTCTTTCTGTCCCTCTCTCTGCTTCTGAGCCAAGCCGCCCCTCCCCTCGTTCAGCCACTTGAGATTCTCATCCTAGTCTTTCTAAGGTCGGCCTGTAGATTCAGGAACAGAGTACTTGGGTCCTTTCTTCAGGCACTCGAGCTGCATTCAAGAGACATCCTGTTTTCCCACCTCCCAGGAAGACCCTCAAGTCTAACTTCCATCTGTCCTGCTGCAGGACCCATCCTGGAACTTAGCTCTCCCCTGTGGGTGGGGCTGGGGGTCCAGTTGGGACCCAGGAGCCTGTGCCCAAGCCCAGAGTCGTCTCAGGTTTCCTGGGCTTAGGTGGGCTTTTTTTCCATCCCCTCTCCCTTCCATGGGCAGCCTTAGAGAGCACATTCCAGCTGAAATTAAATCACATTCCTCTCTCCCTGCTTCATGAGGATGGCATTGCTGACAGCAGCTGTGACACCACAGGGTCAAGTGGCAGCAGCTGGTTCCCCAGGGAGGGGCTGAGAAGGGGGCAGGGAGGGAAGTGGAGGACCAGGGCCTGTCTTTGGAGGCAATAAATGAATTCTGATTCTTTGATCTCAAGAGACCAGAGAAAGAGGCATAGACCCTGCAGTGGCAGGGATCAAGGTTAGACCACAGGATGTCCTAGCTGTGTGGGGATGACCCAGTCCCAGGAAGGCCCCGTGGGGGAAGGAGGTGTCCAGCATCTCTTTCTGAGAGGACACTGGAAGAACGCGCTCTCCCCACTCCAGGGCTGGGCTCTCACACAGACATTGAGGCTGAAGGAGCCCTTTAAGAGGCCACGCTCTGCACTCCCTTGGCCAGAGCCCAATGCCTAGGTCTTTGATTTCCTCTGAGACTCTGGTGGCAGTGGCGGCAGGAGCGGCAGCAGCAGCAACGGGACAGCATCAGGCTGGGTTGAATGGAGAGCTCAGCCCCTGACCTCACCCTCTGAGGCGCCTCAGCCTGCACAGCCTTATAAGGAAGTGCCCCAAACAAACCGAGGAAGCAACCTCCGGCCCCCCACCCGGCCCCACCCCGTCCAGAAGCTATATTTACCCAGAGGAGGCCCCAGAATAACCTCCCACTTGTCCTTGCACTGATTGGAGGGGTGGGGGAGGGGGGGATACTGTCCCTCTGTGCTCCCTCCCCTGGGACTCCACCCTCAGAAGTTTGTCCCGTTGTCTGTCATGGTCATTCATTTATTTAATACGCGTTTATTCAGCACCCCCTGGGCTCCCAGGCACTGAGCTAGGCTCTGGGCGATGACCAGGACAAAGGTCTTGCTATCCCAGAAATTCCCATGATGACAACATGTCTGAGACCCCGCAGTCTCCTGGTTTTGCTCCTACTCTGGCCTCCTTTTCCAGCTCCTTCCCGGTCATCTCCTGTCTGTCAGGAGCTCCTCTGGAGCTCTGTCCAGGGCTCTCTTCATCCTGTATGCTCTCTCTGGGGAATCTCTAGGCCAGTGACCCCCTAATTCTTGTCTCCAACCTGGCCCTCTCTCCTGTGCTCCAGTTCCATGTGTCCACCCACCCCAGGCACCTCCTCCTGGAGGTCACAATTTCCTGCTGGACTCTGCTGCTCAGAAAATAGTCCTACGTCTCCCAGCTGCCCAGGCCAAAAACCTGGGACCCTCTGCTGGCCTATCCCCCTCCCTACCGTGGATTACCAAGTCCTGAGATTCCCTTTCCTCACGTGTCTCTTCTCCACCACCACTGCCACCACCACTGTCTCCTGCCTGCACTGTGGCAGGCAGGAGCCTCCCTGAAGCCCTCCTGCCCACACCAACCCGTTTCCACACAGCAGCCAGAGAGTTTGACTTGAAATGCAAACCTGGGCAGGGGGCGGTGGCTCACACCCGTAATCCCAGCACTTTGGGAGGCCGAGGCGGGCAGATCACCTGAGGTCAGGAGTTTGAGATTAACCTGGCCATCATGGTGAAACCCTGTCTCTACTATACAAAAATTAGCCGGGTGTGGTGGCAGGTGCCTGTAATCCCAGCTGCTCTGGAGGCTGAGGCAGGAGAATCTCTTGAACCTGGGAGCAGAGGTTGCAGTGAGCCAAGATCGCACCACTGCACTCCAGCCTGGGTGACAGAATGAGACTCCCGTCTCCAAACACAAACAAGCAAACAAAAAATACAAAAATTAGCTGGGCGTGGCCTCGGGCGCCTGTAATCCCAGCTACTTGGGAGGCTGAGGCAAGAGAATTGCTTGAACCCAGGAGGCAGAGGTTGGAGTAGCCAAGATTGCATCACCGCACTCCAGCCTGGGTGACAGAATGAGACTCCTTCTCAAAAAAAAAAAAAGAAACGCAAACCTGGTCAGGTCACCTCTGCTTACAACCCTTTAGAAGCTCTCACTTCAGAATTCATTCATTGCCTCCAAATACGAAGAATTCTTTGTTTCCTGCCTATCTAATGAGACCTCTGTCCCCGAACCCTGGCTCTCTCTTCAGTCTCATCATGAACTTTCTCTTCCCTCCTCCACCGTCTGGCACAGGAGCCTTCCTTCTCTTCCTCAGTTGCCCAGGCTCTCTTCCTGCCTCTGAACTTTGCACGTGCTGTTCCCTCTGACCAGAACCATTTTCCTCCCCCTCCTCCCCCACTGGCCACTCCTGCTCATCCTTCAGGTTCTCAGGAGAGCCTTCCCTGTCTACCCCCTCCCGTACACCCCCCAGCCCAGGTCAGGCGAGGTCCCCTGCACTCTGCTCCCATAACCTAGGGCACTTCTCCGTTTTCAGATATGATTTCCACTGAGAAGCCCTTGTTTAACTGGTAGGTAAAGCTGCCTGAGTGAGGAAGCACATTGTTCTTTATCTTGGCTCCCCAGTGCCTGCACAGCGCATGGCATGTAGTAGATGCTCAGTAAATAGTTGTTAACAAATGATGACTACTCCTGTTCTCACCACCAGGAATGTCCCTGTTACTGTCCAACCCTCATTCCTCTTGCTGCATTGACAGACAATCACTTCCAAAGAGAACACGCCTTCCACGACATATATCCTTAGGGAAGTCCTCGCTTCTACCCTGTTTGAGATTATTGGCAGCAATGGCCAGTTTGGTAACTCTATAGGCGATCAGGGGCCCTGTGTGGGGGGTAGGGTGGGCACCAGGCACAGGGAAGGACTGCTTGGCTAGGCCCCTGTCCTTGGCCCTTGCCCAAGCGGAGGTGCCCAAGGGCCTGGGGAGATCAAGCACAGGGCACCTCTGTCCCATTGGAGGGGCAGGGAGTGGGCCTTCCTTGCCTGGATGCCAATGCACTGGCCCCAGGCCTAGCAGCCTGGCAGGATTAGATAGGGCCTTGTTAGCAGTGGGTACAGGAAGGAGAGAGCGGAGGTTTGGGCTGCCAGGAGGGTGGGGTGGGGAGAGACAGGATCTTGGCCCCTGAGGGATAGGGCATAGCGGCTGTGAAATGGAGCCTGGGTGCCCAAGACAGAGGTGCTAGATGGAGACAGGCAGAGAAGCAGACAGTGAGGGCCTGTCAGGGAGGCCCCTATCCACCTCTCTCTGGCTGGATGACAGAAGTAGGAGCCAGAGGGGCTGGGACTTCATCTTCTCATCTTTCTCCAGCCCTCAGCCCTGAGCCCAAAGGGAGGAAGAGCCTGCTCCTGGACTTGGGATTGACTCCAAACTGGAGCATTTGTTTGGCAGCCCTATCCCACCCCCACCCGCGCTATTTAGAAGTGTCGCCAGATCTTCCTTCCCCGCAGAGCTGAAGCAGCGAGTGGTTTCTATTTGGGTATCCTGACTTCAAGGCCTGCAGGCCCCACCTAATCCAGGAACCCCTGGTCCCCTCCCTGTCCTACACAGGGACACAGAGAGCTCCTGGGAAGTGGGGTGAGGAGGAGACACTGTGGCTGGAGGACCCTCGGGCTAAGCTGCTGCCAGCACAGCACTGTCATCAGCACACCCCTAGCTCCCACCCTGACAGTTCAGCTCCCCCTCCACTTTCCCTTCTTCCCTGCCTCCTGCTGCAGCGTGTGAAGGAAGTCCTACTGAAGAGCTACGCTGTCTTCAGCCTCCTTCCTGCTCTCCTGGGCCCTGGGAGGCTCCCAGGTCACCTGGCCCAGCCTCTCTCATTGTGTGGCAGAGTCTGAGGCTCAGAGAGGATCAATGCTGACCTGAGGCCATGCAGCCAGACTGAGGAAGAACAGGCCTGCCTCTTCCCTCACCCTGCTCCCACCCAGTCAGGCTGAGGAGATCAGGCCAGACAACTTGTTTGGGTTTAGAGACAAGGGGGCTTATTATGCTGGCGGCACCAAGGCACTAATGGGGGGGGGTATACAAGGGTGGGGGTGGCCCCAAGGCCTAATCCCTGTAATCAGTACTGTGGGCAGAGATGATGATGGGCCTGGCTTCTGCAGGCGCTGAGGTCACCTGGACTGGCCTCCCCCAGCCAAGCAACAGCCCCTGGCCCTCCCCAGGCCCCAGCACTGCTCCCTGCAGCTTGGGTCTGTCTGCCCTCATCCCCCCAGGTCCTCCTCTCCTCAGGAGGCAGCCCCTCCCCAGCACCAGCTTCCTCCTCTCCCCCGCCACCCCCCGCCCGCCCCCGCCATCTCTCTCCTGTACTAACCCTGAGGGTCCCCTCTGAGTGGGGGAAAGAAGAGTCCAGACTTTGAAGCGGAGGCATTACTTTATTCAGGCAGGGACTAGCCAGGCAGGGCCACAGCGTGGCAGGGATGGGGGGAGTCAGCACATGGGAGTGCCGTCACCTCCATTAGCCACAGGCCAGACGGCCCAGGAGGGCGTGCTACTGCAGTGAGATGGTGCACTACTGCAGTGAGGTGGCGCAGGGCTGGTGAGCTTGGGCACAAAAGCCAGCATGTCACCCTCCCTTTGGAGAAGCCTCTGGGCCACAGGCCTTTTCCAGCTGACGGGATGCGGAGGGAAGGGGACCTAGTACTATCGGGATTCAGCTGACTTAGCCTATGAGATGGAGCAGGCAAGAGATTCCCTTTGCAGGGTGGGAGGTTATATTCCTACAGCCTCCATTCTTGGAGTAGGCTCCTTTGCCACACCCCTTTTCACCTTAGCGGGCCAGGCCTCTCAGCCAGAAACCATATGTCAAGAGATCGTAAGTTAAGAGTGCTGCTCCTGAGCAGGGAGCGGGCTTGGAGGCGTCCTTCCCCTCCCCGCACCCCTAAGTCCCCAGTGCCGGGCAGATGGTCTTTTCCTAGTCCTCCCCTGAGGACCAGGACTCTCTATCTCCTTCCCTCTGAGTGAACTTCAGGAACTGACCCTGGCCCAGGTGAACAGGAGCCCCTGCCCAAGAGGTCTTCAGAGCACTCCCCTCCTCCTCCTGAAAGGGGCTCCCTCGGTCTCCCTCAGAGACTAGCGGCATTCCTTGCCCCACTTCCTCAGACTGCTCCAGCCCGTTCATCACTCCCCCATTCACATGCTGTGACTTCCCCTCCAAGTTGGGACCCTGGCCATTAACACCAATGATGTCTGCCCCTGGGCCTGCATCCTCCATCCCACTGGGGATCTCTAGAGGGCCAGGGACTTTGTCCTCCCTCTCCAAGGAAACAGGGTCAGACTCTTCCTCTGAGCCAGAAGGCTCAGCACTGTCCTGGGACTCCGTTTCCAGGGCAGTCTTGGGGGCACCAGCCACTGCACCCCTCAAGCTGTCATCCCAGGGGACACTGACACTCACAGAATCAGACTCCAGGAATTCCCCTCTCTGGGAGCTACTCAGGGCCTGGAGGCTGCCAACAGAAGACCCTGGCCCCCACCGCCCAGCCCCTGGCTCCCTCCCCTCCTCCTGATCCTCCTCTCCCTCCTCCCCACTTTCTTCCTCATCTGCAAACCCATCGGACTCCCCATCTCGATCCCAGGCTGCAGGATCCAGTAGCAGCTGGGGCACCTGGCCCAGAGGTTCTGCCACCTCCCCAGGGACCCCAGGAAGAAAAGGTGCCTCAGTCCCCAGGTCCTCAAATTCTTCTGACAGGTCAGAGTCACGGCCACACTCCTCTTCTCCCTCCTCCCCCTCCTCCTTTTCTGAGGGTGGGGCCTCAAGGCCCTCGGAAGCCAGGACAGCAGGATCCCAGCCCTCCTTTCCAGTCTCCCCTTGAGGGGGTGGCCTCTGCTCTCCAGTGGGGTCCCACCTGGGGGAGGTGGGGGACCTGAGGTAGAAGCCCAGGGGAGTGGAGTCTGGAAGGGTCTCCCCGAGCTCATCCTCCTCGCTCTCTTCTCTGCTCTCCTCCCCTTCCTCCTGGGGGCCCTCGGGGATCTCCCCAGAACCCAACTCCTCCTGCTCGCTCTCTACTTTCCCCAGGGCTTCAGCCCTCCCCTGCACCCCCCAGCTAGCCTCCTGACTCCCTTCAGCCTGAGGCTGAGGCCCAGGGGCATCTTCCAGGATCGGGGTGTACGTTGGGCTGGGGGAGACCAGCACTGGTGGTACATCCTCCTCAGCTTCCTCTGACCCCAGAGGCCAAGGTGAAGGGGCATCACTTCCAGTGTGGCCCAGGGTCTCAGCAGGGAACGCCTCCTCTGCTCCCCTGGGGGCCTCAGCCTCTGACTCCTCCCTACCCTCCCTGGGAGGCTCCCAAGGGTCTCTGCTCTTCCCAGGCAGCTCGGAGAACTCTGTCCCCAGACCACCTGCCTCCTCTAGGTCCTTTCTAGGCCCTTCCAAGCCCTGAACCCTCTTTGCCTCCAAACTCTCCTCTTCCAGGGGTGGTTCCATCACCTCTTCCCTGGTCAGATGGCCTGGGTCCCCCAGCCCTCCCACCCCCTGCCCCGGGCCTGGCTCAGCTCCCGCAGCAGACTCACCCATGGCAGGCTCTGACCCCAACATGACCTCTGGGGAGGCTTGGTCACCCCCTGGGGCCACATCATCTTCCACCAGGGGCTCTATCGCCTCTGGCAGCCCCTGGGGAGCCTGGAGGCCTGGGGCCCCCACCTGTTGTGATTGCCCTTCAGGGTCCTGGAGGCCCTCAGCCCCTCCCTTCACACTGGCTCCCTCAACCAGGCCTCTCTGCTCTTTGGGCTCAGGGCTCTCTGGGTGCCCCTCGCCTGGGATCCAGACCTCCTCTGTGGCATTCAGCTCTCCCTGCTCTACCACCTCCTCCTTCCCAGTGAAGCCATCCTGCTCCCTCAGATTCAGCTCTGCCTCATCCTCATTTTCCACTCCAGCCATCCCAGGAGGGCTTTCCTGAGCCAGTTCTTGGTCCTTCTCCACCGTATCTTCCCACCTCTGCACATCTGCAGACTGCGGCAGCTCCTGTCCCTCCTCCTCCAGAGACCTCAGTGACTCTTGGTACTCTCCCTTTCCCAGGTTCTCTTCCTCTTCCAGATTCCTTTGACTTTCCTTGTCTACCTCCTCTGGAGATCTCAAATTCTCCAGGTTCCATGCTCCCAGAGATCTCAATGATTCCTGATTCTCCTCTTCCAGGAGTCTGAATGTCTCTTGGTTCACTTCCACAGACTCCAGTGGTTCTTGAATTTCCTTTTCTAGAGGATTCATTGCCCCCTGATTTATTTCTTCTGGAGTCCACAGTGGTGCTTGAGTTTCTGGAGATTTCAGTGTTTCCAGGTTCTCTTGTCCCGCAGACTTCAGTGATTCTAGGATCTCTGTTTCTAAAGATTTTACTGCCTCTACGCTCTCTTCTTTGAGTGACTTTAAGAACTCTTGATTCTCATTTTCAAGAGGTCTAGCTATCTCCTGGTCAAGAGACTTCAGTGGTTCTAGATCCACTTTTTCTGGGGGTCTTAATGTCATCTGATCCTGTTCCCCTAGAGACCTCCGTCGCTGTTGAGTCTCTTTTTCAAGAGTTCTCAATGTCTCTTGGTCCTGTTCTTCTAAAGACCTCAGTGATTTGTGATTCTCTGTTTCTAGAGGTCTCACAATACTCTGGTCCTCTTCTTCTAGAGTCTTCAGTGGCTCCTGGTTCTCTTTTTCTAGAGATCTAAAGGCCTCTTTGTTCTCATCTTCAAGAGACCTCAGGGGTTCCTGATTCTCCTTTGTCAGAGGTCTCAGTGCCTCCTCATCCCCTACTTCTGGAGATCTCAGTGGCTCTTGATTCTCCTTTTCCAGAGCTGTCAATGACTCTAAGTTCTCTTGCAGAGAACTTACTAATTCTTGATTTTCCGTTCCTGGAAATAAAAATGTCTCTAGATTACCTTCAAGAGATTTCATTAGTTCTTGATTCTCCTTTTGCAGGGATTGCAATGTCTGTGTGTCCTCTTTTCCTGTAGGCTTAAGTTGGCCTACAGCCTCTTTTTCTAGAGGTCTCACTACCTCCACATCCTTTAATAGCTCTTTATTTTCCTTTTCTAGACTTTTTAGTGTTTCTAAGTCTTCTTCTAAAGACCTCGGACATTCTTGATTCTCCCTTTCTAGTGTCTCATGGCTCTGGTTTTCCAGAGTCTTCAGTGACTCTTGAATCTCCTCTCCCAGAGACTTCAGGGTTTCTTTTTCCAAAGGAACCTGGGAGTCCTGGATTTCCTTCCTGTTTAGATCCTCTTCTTCCCATATTTCCTGCTGCAAGCTGCTTACCACTTTGCCCTCTATGGCTGTTTCTTTCTCTACCAACCCCCAGATTTGCCCTTCACCTTCCCCTCGGCATATGCTGAACACTCTAGACCCACCGGATTCTCCATCCTTAGCCTCTAAACTGGAGTGGTCAGGGCTGAGGGGTGGTGCCAAGGAGGCATGGTCCTCTGGGGACTGGCCTGTACTGGCCTCTTGCCGCTGGCCCCCAGGCTCCTCTGGTCCAGGCAGGACGCTGGCAGGAATGGCCACCCTGGCTTCAGCCCGCAGGGGCTCTGGAGCCTGTTTCCTCCCACCCTGTGTCTGGAGCAGAGAGAGAGGAGCATCCTGGGCTCTGATCTCTGCATCTACAGCAGGAGAGGGTGCCTGAGGTGTGGGGGGGATGGGGGTGCTGGCCAAGGTAGGGGTACGGGCCTGGAGGAATTCTTGGTTCTTAAGAAAGGCTGGCACAGGTGTCTCAAGGGTAGCAGGCAAGGGTGAGGGGAGGGAAGTTGGGCTCAGGACTGGGAGCAAAGATCCAAGACGCCGGCCCTCTGGGGTCCTAGGGAATTGCAGCTCCAGCTTGGGGTCTGGAAAGGCAGAGGGGGAAGAAACAGCATCAGTATATCACTGGCAATGAGGGGAGCCACAGAGCAGCCACCGCTGGCAAGAGTATCCATGCGCCTGCCCCTGGCGCCCATGGCTGGGCTGAGAGCATGCTCACTGACACTGGAGGCCACGGACTTGAAATTTAGATTGGTGCCTCTCGGGAAAGATAGGTCTGGGTATGAAGAGCAAAGCAGGGTAGTTTCTGGGGGAACTTGGCCCCTCCTCTTACCCTGAAAGCTGAGGGAAGTCTTGGAGCCACCGCCAGGTGTTTGCAGCCGGGAGTTCTCAGCCTCCAGGAGGGTCCTGGAGAGGACAGAGGGAAAGTGGGGTCAGCCCTCTGCCCCCAGGCCTGCAGGCAGCAAGCCAGCTGGGGACAACTCAGGCTGAGCTTGCACCATCCAGGCCCTGCAGGCTTCCTCTTCATTTGACACTGTCACACAAAAGCCACACTCAGGGTGAAATCACACAGTCACATACCCACAGACATCACACACTTGGTCACACAAAGTCACACTGTATTTGGGATACACAGCAGAGCTCAGACATAGAAGCAGATTCCCACACAGTCGGACATTGCCCTACACACACCCACACAAGGCTTAGGCTAGCCTCCTCCTCCCACCCCAGGCCAATGACCTCATCCTCTGTGTGGGGGACCGATTCTCATGCTAATTGCTGCCATTGTCCAAGCCACCATCTGGAGGGTCTGAGAAGGAGAGGATTCTGGGGAAGTGGGAATTCTCAGGCCGTTCCCATGGGATGGGCTCCCTCCTCCTTCCCCGGTGGCCCCCAGAGCTAGCGACAGACAAAAGCAAATGAATTCAGCTCCCCCTCTCCAAATCCTTTTCATGCCTCAAAAAATAGCAGTTAAATTCCTCGGGGCCCACCAGACCCTTCCCCTTGGTGGCTTCACTGGGGGTCAGGGCCCTCATCTCAGGATCTCTAAGCACTCTGGATCCCAAGCTCTTCGGGGCACAGAGGTCTTTGTGTCCAGGCCCCTTCCTCAGCGCCCCTTGAACCAAAGAGGGGAGCAGGGACCAATCAATTCAATAACTTAGGATGAGCAGCTGCTCCTCTCTGCTTTGCTCCATGATCTCTGAGTCTGGTTAGCACTCGCTGTAGCCTCACCTCTGTCCTTGCCAGTGCTGCGGCCTTCCTTCTGGGCTTCTCTTCCCTGGCGGTGGAGCCCCTCTCCTCCACGTCCTCCCCAGAGCCTCACTGACCTTCCATCTCTGGGCCTTGCCTCTCCTCCTTTCCTGGATCTCATGTGGCCCCTCACCAGCCACAGAGCCCCTTCCTCAGGCCCCATCAATGGCCCCTCAGCCAACAGGACCAGTTTCCCAGAAGAGACTGCGGGCTTTGCCCAAGGCCACATAGCAAGTGAGAAGCCACCCCTCCTTGGTCTCAGCCATTTCTAGGATAACAGAAAATGTGGACAATGAAAGGCTGGGCAGGACCAAGGGCACTAGGGGCATCAGAGGAGTCTCGCCCCATGACATCCAGGCTAGAAGAGGCCTTGGAAGTCCCCCAGCCCAGCCCTCAGCCCCTAGACGAGGCTGAGGCCCAGGTCAGGTGGCAAGTCAGTGCAGCCACCCCATGCCTGCAATGCCTCCTTTCCGTGGCTGCCAAAGGACATGACCCCCTGGGTGCGGGCACACATAGAGTTGGAGCTTTGCCCCTTGGGGGAAGGGTCTGGATGCAGTTGCCCCACACGGGCCCAGCCCCTCTCCAGAGGCTGTCCCGCTCGGCAATATCATCTCTCCTGGGGGGATTTCCTGGGCACAGGACATTGCTCAGGTCTCCAGCCTATGGGGGAGCAGACGGTTTCAGGCAGGACATGTTCCGGTGTGGAAGTGACCAGCCTAGAGTCACAGAACCCAGTGGCAGCAGAGTTGCCATCACCTACACCTCTGGTCCCCTTCAGCCACGTAGTCTGCCCCAGCATGTGTGTGTGCCTCTGTGTGCCTGGGTGGACAGGGCTCGTCTCGTACCTGTACGTGGCCACCTCCAGGCTGAGGGACATCTTGAGGTGCGCCAGCTGCTGCCGACCTTCCAGGACCTGAGCGATCTGGCTCTGTAGGCCCTGTTTCTCCTGCTCCAGGGCCTCCACAGCCAGCTGCAGGGCAGGCGAGAGGCAGTCAGTGGAGGGGCTGGGGTCCCTTCTGTGAACCAACCTGCCTCCTGCCCGCTGCCGCTGCCCGGGAAGCACCTCCTGCTCCCTGGCTGACTTATCTGTGTAGCAGACCCCCGCCTCCCCTACCCTATTCCCTGCCCAGAGAGCCCCCTCTGGATCAGCCAAGATGAGCCCAGGGCCCCTGTCAGCACTCTCAGCTCTCTCCCATGGCCTGCTCCTCCTCTGAGGATGCTGATTAAATGGTAGCACATGTTGCTCAGAACACAGCTCCCACAGGAAGGGGAGGTGAGGGAGGAGACGAGATGGGTTATGGAGAGAGAAGAGGGGGAAAAAAAAGCGAAAGCAGAAGGAAAAACGATTAATCAAGATGCCTGGAGCCTGCAGGACTGGAAGGCAAACAGCCCCCGTCCCCCGTTGGTCCCATCTCCCACAACTGTCTCCTGCTCCTCACAGCAGGCTCTCACCCCCGCCCCACCCCCATTTCCCACATGTTCTGGATTCTGTCTCCTCTGAGAGGAGGGATGGGGAGGTGGCCATGGCACCTCTGTGTGGCCCAGGCAAGAAGCTGTTTTCTCAGCTGCTGGTCACATCTGTGCCCTGTGAGAAGGAGCAGCTGTTATGGGCCTCTGGAATGTGCTCCAGGGAGCCGAGAAGCCATGACATGGGAGGGGGCTGGTAGCCATTCATTCACGGCCCCTCACTCCTCCCCTCAGGAGAAGGAGGGCTGTGAGGAACTTGGTGATTCTGAGTGGCCAGGCCACCAGATTCAGCGCAGAGGCGACAGTGCTGGGTGTCCTCCTAGTAATACCAGAGCCTGGGAAGGGACCCGGAGCCCCGGTCATCATCAGAGCCAGAAGGTGCCATCCAGAGAGTGGCGGGGCTGCTGCAACGGGTCTTGGGCCTGACTGCCCACCCGGGATGTGCTTCGAGAAGCCCCACCATTCGCATCCTACACTAGACGGGCTGTAAAAGTCTAGGACTTGTGGCACCAGGTTTCTGAGAACTGGCTCCTGATTCAGCAGCCAGCTAGCCCCACTCCCTTCCCAGAAGGTCTCTGAGCTTCATAAGGGACTTTCTGGAGCTTTCTGGGACTTTCTCTCACCCAGGCCCTCAACCTCCTCACCTGGAACTTTTCAGTAGCCCGCAGCCGCTCCTGCCAGCGGCCCTCCAACCTCTGTTCCAACGCTGCCCTGCGCTCCAGGAGGCCTCCGCGCTCAGCCTGGAGCTGCTGCAGCTCCAGGCGGCCCTCGCGGGCACCCTGCACCGCCCGGCCCAGCCGCTCGCGGGCCTGGCCCAGCGACGTCTCCATGTGTGCCACGCGCTCCTGGTAGCCGCGCACTGCCCCGCGCCACGCCTCGCCCAGTCGCCTTGCCAGCTCCTCTACCTCCGGGGCCGGCGCGGGAGGCCCGCGGGGCGGCGCGGGGCAGCGGGGGGCACAGGCAGCCTGCGCGTTCAGGCCGACGCGCTCCTCCTCGTGCGCCACGCGTAGAGCCTCTAGCTCGCGCTCCAGCTCTGCCACCTGGCTACTCAGCCAGGCCCGGGCGCATTTCTCTGCCTCGACGGCGCGCCGGTTGCGGGCTACCTCCTCCGTCGTCCGCTCCCGGGCCAGCCGCAGCTGCTGGCATCGGCCTGCCACGCCCTCCAGCTCTTCAGCCAGGTTGTCGCGCGCCACCTCGGCCGCGTGCTTCTCCCGCCAGCGTTGGTCAACGAGGGCCCGCAGGGCCGCCAGCTCGTCGTCGGCATGCGCCCGCCAGGAGGTGTCCGCGGATTGTGCCCGGAGCCCCCCGAGCTCCGCGCTGAGCAGCTCATTCTGCTCCTCCAGCGCCTTGACCCGGGCCAGGTAGGCCTCCAGGCGCCGATTGAGCTCCCACATCTGAAACGACTCCTCCCCCATGCAGCCCTCCATCCTGCTCGTCTGACCCACTGAGGATGGACAGACGCGGGGCACCGGGAGAAGGGAGCGGCTCGCAGAGCTTTTAGGACGGAAGAGAAAAGAGACCGACGGGGACAATGACGGGGCGGGGCGGGGTGGGAGTAGCCTGAGCGACTGAGAGTCGGGAGTGGGAGCGAGGCTATTCATACTCCCGCCAGGCGGGCGGGAAGAGGGGCGGGACCCAGGCCTTAACCCCTTAGAGGTCAGAGAGTGGCAGCAGCCTCTGTTCCTGCTTCCCCAGGGTGCTGGAGAGTGGAACCAAAGAAGAAGCTGTACCATGGAGAATCGGATCTGATGGTGGTGGCTTTCTGAGGGAGGAGGCTGTGAAGAAGGGTCACAATCCCCGAAAAAGGCAGATAATGCACAGAACTGAGCCTGTGGGGGTGGGAGTACCAGGACGTTCCAGCCTGGGAGGGAGTGCAGTCTCAGTTACTCAACACATCCGAGAGAGGTATCACTTACTGAATTCCTCTAAGACTCAGTTTCCTCATCCATAAAATGTGAGCAATGATGGAAATCGCATGGCTGCTGAAAAAAATGGATGTGGCCAGGTTTTTGTTTTTCGTTTTTGAAATAGCAAATGCTCCTCCTCCTGAAATACTGGAGAGAGTACTACAGCATTGCAGAAAGAAGCTAGAGAGACGCTGCCTGGAAAACAAGAACAAATGTCTGATATTAGGACACACGGATACACACACACACACACACACACACACACACGCACACACGCTATTGCCTGAGTCTCCATCAGAAAAGGGAGCGACCAGGTTAAGGGCCGTCATGGGCTTAAGAACGTTTGTCCATCCTTCCTACAAGTCTTCTGTATAACTGCGAGGTTCAAACATCCGCTTTAGGAAGTTCTGTTCTTGGGGAAGGGCCCCTTCTCCCGCACCCCCTGCCAGGGAATGTTGGGTAGTGGACGCCCTCTGGCGGCTTTCAGAAGTGGAAGCAGCAGGAAGAGGCCATTCTTTTCCTTCCTAACGACTAGCCCAAGTTTATCCAGCCTTTATGATGTGCCCAGTCGTGTTCCAATATTTTACTTCCATGATCTGACTTAATCTTCAAAACAACCTTTTAAAGATTCTACAGTTTATGAAGTAGAGAGCTCACCAAGGGTGAGAGTAGTAGGGAAGGCTTTCTGGACGGAGTGCATCCTTGAGCTGGGAGGTAAAGGACAGGTGGGATTTGGGGGATTTACAGTGAAGGAGAAGTAGGGCTGGGGAGGAGATGCAGGGATAATGAGACGGAGGGGATCTTTGGGGAAGGCGTTTCTGATCAAGCTGCTAAATCCAATTTAGCTCAAGTGTTAATTGAGTACCTACTATGTGTCAGCACCAAAGAGATTGCAGGAACTCTGTCCCAGCCCTGGAAATGCTTATAGTTTGGTGATGTGAGGTCAACAGTGATGGGCACTCATAGTCTGTTGGTGGAGGTAAACATAAAAAGATGACTACAATACTTAATCAGCCTCCAAGGTGCTGGGGACAGAGCCAGGCAGCACAGAGGATGGAGAGGGTTTTCTGAGTAGAGGGTACAGCCGGGTCAATAACCAGGAAGTCATCCCTCCAATATCCCCTCCCCTTGAGGAGTCTCTCAAGGACCCCATCCCTGTCCCCAGGCCAATGGGGCTTTGGAATTCACCACCAATATGTAGAATAGAGGCCAGGGAGGGGTTAGTGACAGGACATTGACTGAGAGTCAGTGCAGGCCGGGAGGCTGAGGATCTGGGATGCCCAGGCTCCTTCAACCTTGCATTACCTCATAAATCCTGCTGTTTGGTTTGGGCTGAGGGCTCCCCAGAGTTGTGGCCAGCAGAGCTTGCTTGGAATCTCCTCCTCTCTTTCTTTTATTTTTATTTTTATCTTTGAGAGGGAGTCTTGCTCTGTTGCCCAGGCTGGAGTGCAGTGATGTGATCTCGGCTCACTGCAACCTTCGCCTCCCCGGTTCAAGTGATTCTCCTGCCTCAGCCTCCCAAGTAGCTGGGATTTCAGATGCCTGCCACCATGCCAGGCTAATTTTTGTATTTTTAGTAGAGATGGGGTTTCACCATGTTGGCCAGGCTGGTTTGAACTCCTGACTTCAGGTGATCCACCCGCCTTGGCCTCCTAAAGTGCTGGGATTACAGGCATGAGCCACTGCACCCGACCTCCTTCTTTCTTTCACTTTCTGTCTGGGAGGAGAGGGATGCTAAATGTTTGAGATCCCCTGGGATTCTTGGGGGCGGTCCCCTAAAGAGGTAGGGTGGCATTGGGCTGGGGGTTCCTCTCTGAACCCCTCACCCTCACCCAAAGGGGAGACATTTGGAACTGTGTCTCATGCAAAGATTAGCTGACTTTTGCACTTTCTAACTGAATGACATTGGACAAATCACATAACTTCTCTAAGTGAGCCTGAGTTTACCTATTTGGCAAAGCAGGTTAATACCCACCTATCCCTATAAGTTTGTTCTGATAATCAAATAAGACCAGGTATAGGGAAGTCTTTGTATAAAGCCTTTTTTGAGGACCGTCACAATGAAAGCCATTAAGCTAAAGAAAACCTCCTCTTGTGAATCACTCTTGTGAGTTTTAGGAATTATGGGGAATAGAGATTGTTAAGAATTCTGGGGAAGAGTGTGGTGTTGATTTTCCTAAAACAGGAGATGGTAGGTTCCAGCATTCACAACCTAGAGGATCTGACGTCAGTGCTTACCAGATTCTAAACAGATACCTGATATTTGAGGTACTTAGAGAAATAAGGCCCTCCCTAGAGAAACTTAGGCCCTCCCTTCATCTCCTTCCCTGGTGACTGCATTTAGTTACTGGGATGTTTGTGGGGCCATTGGCCGTACCTTTTATTGGGTCTCTGGACCCAGGACATATGAACTATGTGGTACTACAGCTGGTGGATACAAAGTCAGCCCAGCAGTCATCCCCAGAGATGGCCATGAGCAAGCTTAGTGGGTTCTGTGTGCTGCCCCGAGGGAACCTGTCCTTGGTCCTGACAATTAAAAGTTTTAATTAAAGACTTGAATGAAAACATGGAAGCCATGTTTATCAGATCTACAGACTATGCAAGAACTGAGAGTTATATTTTAGCAAAATAGAAAAAAAAAACAGATGACATTTAATAGGGATAAGTGTAAAATTCTGCTTTTGGTTTCAAAAAATCAACAGCATAAGAAGAGGAGAATAAAGACCGGCTGAAGAGTAGGGAGTGTCTAGCAAAGAAGAAAGAGCTGGGGGTTTTAGAAGACTACAAGCTTGTTAGGAAGAAACCAATACTGGGTGGCTGTCTAAAAAAGTGAAAAGGATAAAAGTGACTATAGATTCAAGGTGTCCAGATGAGCAATGGCAACACTCCCATTGCCCTCCACATCTGGAGTGTTGTACTGGACACTATATTTTAAAAGGGACCTTGATGGATTGGAGTTAATCCCAGAAGAAGATGACCAGATGGTAAGGGATCTTGGAATAATGTTTTTGTATTTTTAATTTTTAAATTTTTTAAAATTTTATTTATTTATTTTGGAGACAGTCTCGCTCCATCACCTGGGCTGGAGTGTAGTGGCGTGATCTCGGCTTACTGCAACCTCTGCCTCCCCGGTTCAAGTGATTCTCAGTCTCCCGAGTAGCTGGCACTACAGGCTTGTGCCACCATGCCCAGCTAATTTTTTGTGTTTTTTTTAGTAGAGACGGGGTTTTCACCATGTTCGCCAGGCTGATCTCGAACTCCTGGCCTCAAGTGATCTACCTGCCTCAGCCTCCCAAAGTGCTGGGATTACAGGCGTGAGCCACCACACCCGTCCCAGAGTGTTTGATAAAGACTTTCTGAATGAACTTGTGTCTAAGCTCTGAAACTAAAAATAATGGCCTCTGAGTAGCACACACACAGCCTAAAGGAAATTGCCAGCCCCCACCCTGAAGGCCTTCTCCCCACCGAAGTCTGCATTAGAGAAGGCAAGCGGAATGTGAGGAGACTGTGACCAGCAGCACTGGAGTGTGGAGTGGCCAGTCCAGGATGGCAGGCTGTGGCTTTCCCTCCTCTGCTCAGAGGGCAAGGATGATGCCCACCAAGGAGAGTGGGTGCAGCCTCCCCAAGGAAGGACTCCTCAAGGCAGGGCCTGCCAAAGGACACATTGGCATCCCGCTCCAGGCCGGCTGTCTTTTAGGGTGGAGGACTTGCTCATCCACTCTCTTAGCCTCACTGAATAAGGGACACAGAGCCTGGAGAGAGATGAATGGGGAAAGGAGAGGGGCACAGGAGGAGACAGGTGAGATTCTGTGGGCCAAGAGGACCCCACAAACGGAGCCCCCATGGTGCAGCCGGCTTGGGTGTCACCACACCCAAGGGAGCTTCACGTCTGAGGGAGGTTGACTGTAACACTAGGTAAGTGGCACCTACCCCTGTGTCTTCCTCTCTCCTACAGCGGGGAAATAAGCCTCAGAGGGGGCCACAGGGGTGGGGGTGGGTGCAAAGAGCAGAGCATTCCTCTCCCCAGTGCCAGCCTTTGGACCTGGGGCCAAGCCTTGGCTAGCAGGTAATGAAGAGTGTTTTAATGGGACAGGAGATTGAAGTTTAAAACTGGGTCAACTGAACTATATAGGACTTGTATAGCCCAAAGTACCTAGAAAGCTCTAGAATCTGCCAAAAAGTCATTATAAGACAGGAGGAGGAGATACAACAGAACACTGCAGGCGGTGGTCGGACAGATCTAAAACTCTTTCATTTTTGTTACCTACCCTATCCCTTACCTTCTTTGCCTCACAATGCATGGGCTAGGGCAGGGGCCAGGAAGTCGCTCTTGCCCTCATCCCTAACTTAGCCCCTCCTCTACTCTGCCTTTCCCTCCACTTCCCAGCTAGACAGGTCTTACTGGACGCATGTGGCAAGGATAAGGTCAGCAATGAGTCTTAGAAAAGAGATGGGGAGAAGGAAACAAACAGGAGAAGGAAACCAGGTGGCAGGGGAGCAACTTTGAGAAGCTCTGTACCAAGGCACCTGGGAAGCAGGGAAAGGGAAGGGCCTCTTCTGGGCAGCCTGGCTGGGACCTGGGAGCTCTGCATCCTGGCTGGGCCCTGCCTTTCTGTCCTGCTTTTCCCCGGCCACAGGAGGGAGGCTTGGAGCTGGCACCAGTAGGTGGGAATGTCCCTTCTCACTCTATTTTCTCCTTTCCCTGCTGGAGGGATGATGGGACTGGCTTTCCTGCCCTCTCCTTCCCTTCATGTCCACAGCAGGAAAGGTGGCCTTCCCATTCTCTGTCCTGGGGGTAGAAGCTAAGGAGCAGCCCAGTGGAGTGAAAAAAACATTGAACGGGGAGCCCTGTGTCACTATGGGATATTTGAAATAATCAAGTCACCCCTCTGGGACTTGGTTTCCTTACTGATTTATTTTTTTAAATTCTACTTCCTTTTATTTTTTGAGACAGGGTCTCGCTCTGTCACCCAGGCTAGAGTGCAATAGTGCAGTCATGGCTCACTGCAGCCTTAACCTCCCAGGCTCAAGCGATCCTCCTGCTTCAACATCCCAAGTAGCTGGGACTACAGGCACGTGCCACCACACCCAGCTAATTTTTTATTTTTTATTTTTGTAGAGAAGAGGTCTCACTGTGTTGCCCAGGCTGGTCTCAATCTCCTGAGCTCCAGCAATCCTCCCACCTGGGCCTCCCAAAGTGCTAGGATTACAGGTGTGAGCCATCGAGCCCAGCTTTTTTTCTTTTTGAGACAGGGCCTCACTCTGTCACTCAGGCTGGAGTGTAGTGGTGCTATCAGGGCTCACTGCAGCCTCGACCTCCAGAGCTCAAGTGATCCTCCCACCTCAGCCTCCCGAGTAGCTGGGACCACAGGTGCATGCCACTATGCCCAGCTAATTTTGTTTATTTTTTGTAGAGATGGGGTTTTCCTGTGTTGCCCAGGCTGGTCTTGAACGTCTGGGCTCAAGTGATCCACCCACCTCGGCCTCCCAAAGTGCTAGGATTATAGGTGTGAGCCACCTCACCTGGCCAAACAATATTTATTAAGCACCTATTGAATACCAGGTGCATGGCAGGCACCCAATAAATGTTGCAAAGGAATCAAAGGTGACCGATATGGAGCCCTTCCCCAAGGAGCCTATGGGTGTGTTAGAGGGCAGGCCTGGGAGCCAGGGAGTATGTCCCGTGCAGACAGGCAAGCATGAGCAAGGGAAGTTAGAGGAGGGGGCAGGCATGGTGAAGGGAGGAGCATCGGCCTTTGTCCTCTAGGCAGCGAGGAGCCATGAAGGGTTTTAACCTCAACCAAAGGGTAGCCTGGTCAGATTTGCATCTTAGAAAGATCATCTTGGAGGGTTGGGGTAGTGGCGAGTTAGAAGGCAGTTGCCACTAGCAAGGTTGGATGAGACCTGAGCCTAGGGGTGGAGAGGAGGGAAGAGACATGAGAATTTCTAGGCTGTGTGTGTTCCAGGATGAGTTAGATGTGGGTTTGGAGGGAGGGGACAGGGAAGACTCCCAGGTATGTGGTTAAGCCTTGGGGAAGGGGAGAGATAGTGGCATGGGGGAGATACAGCAGCTTCCAGATATGCAGTTTTAGGATTGGGGGCTGGGATAGAGATTTAGAAGGATGCTGCCTGGTTAGAGTGGATAAAGGGCGACTAAGAGCATGGATGAGGTCGCAGAGGATAAGGGTAAGGGTATAAAACAACAAGCTGTTCCCTTTTAACCCTAACTCTCTGGGTCTGTGGGGTTTTTTGTTTGTTTTGTTTTTGTTTTTGTTTTTGTTTTGAGACAGAGTCTCACTCTGTCACCCAGGCTGGAGTGCAGTGGTGCAATCTTGGCTCACTGCAACCTCTGCCTCCCGGGTTCAAACAATTCTCCTGCCTCAGCCTCCCGAGTAGCTGGGATTACAGGCACGTACCACCATGCCTGGCTAATTTTTGTATTTTTAGTAGAGGCAGGGTTTCACCATATTGGTCAGACTGGTCTCGAACTCCTGACCTCAGGTGATCCGCCTGCCTCGACCTCCCAAAAGTGCTGGGATTACAGACATGAGCCACCACTCCCAACCTGGGTCTGTGGTTTTGATGAGCAACTTCAGAAAAGCACCCTGCCCACTTCCTCACTCAGCGCAGGTCTCTGTTCTGCAGAAAGTAGTGGGTTCTGTTGGGGCATGGCCACCAGGGGCCATTATTGCCTCAGGAAAAGCTACATTCTCTGGGAAACAATTTTTGAAAACCTTAAGATTTGCATAGTGAGACAGGTAATATCACCATCATTATCATCCAGTTTTCTACCTGAGGAAACAACTCAGAGAAATTGAGTAACCTATCCAAGATCACACAGCTAGAACTTGAACTTCACTTCTGACTCAGCCTGTACCTCCTTCTTTCTGGGAAAGAAGGCGATGTTGGGGGATCAGAGGATGAATCAGAGAGGAACTAGTAGGGAGCCTTCAGTATCTTTGCCATTCCTCATGCTCCTCCTACCATCTCACTCAGGGCCAGCTTAGCTCCCCTGGAGCCAGGAAATGACCAGCTCTGGATTCAAAACCCTCTCCCTAGGTTAAAATCTAGTCTTCCTATCCCATCACCACCCACCTACCTAGTTTTTGGGAGAAGTAAATAGAGGAGAACTAAAGGCCAGGTGGGGCTGGGCTGGAGCTGAGATTAGGGGGCCAGGGTTAGGCTGGGCTGGGCTGCCAGGAGAGGCTGAAGCTGAGGTCTATGTTTGGCAGTACCTCTGTGCCCTCCCACACTAAGTTCCCATTAGGGAGCTGACTAAATGTCCACCCTCATGCTAGCCTGATCACATCTCCAGGGCTGAGTGTGGCTCTGAACACCCCACTGAAGGAGGGCACAGATACCACAGTGTGCTGACGAGTGAAAGATGCATTATCCAGAAGCAGTGTGGCAAAGCTATTAAGAGTACAGGTGCTGGCCGGAAGCGGTGGCTCACGCCTGTAATCCCAGCATTTTGGGAGGCCGAGGCAGGCAGATCACCTGAGGTCAGGAGTTTGAGACCAGCCAGACCAATGTGGCAAAACCCCGTCTCTACTAAAAATACAAAAAATTAGCCAGGTGTGGTGGTGGGCACCTGTAATCCCAGCACTTTGGGAGGCCGAGGCAGGAGAATCACTTGAACCTGGGAGGCAGAGATTGCAGTAAGCCGAGATCGAGCTATTGCACTCCAGCCTGAGCAACAAGAGCACAACTCCACCTAAAAAAAAAAAAAGAGCATAGGTGCTGGAGGCAAACCTGAGTTTGAGTTCTGGTGAGGCACTTAATCTTTCTGAGTCTCAGCTTCCTTATCTATAAAAAGGGACAATAATACCCACCGCATCCGAGCAGAGAGCGATCACCCCTGTAAGGGACTGGGTCTATCTTATTCAAATTCCCCGTGCCTGATCCTCCACAGGTACTCAAAGTATGCTTATGAAATGAATAAATTAATGAATAAAGGGGTGTCTAGGTTTTTACTGATTGTGCTGCTGTGAACGCTCCTGCCCGTGCTCCTGGGCACATGCACATGCCCATTTCTCAGGTGCGACCTGGGAGGGAATTGCTGGTCGTAGGGAAAGCATATCTTCAGCTTCACCTGATAATGCCACATTGATTTGTGTTTGTTTGTTTGAGATGGAGTCTTGCTCTGTCACCCAGGCTGGAGTGCAGTGGTGCGATCTTGGCTCACTGTAACCTCTGCCTCTCAGGTTCAAGTGATTCTCCTGCCTCAGCCTCCCAAGCAGCTGGGACTACAGGCCCACACCACCACACCCGGCTAATTTTTTGTATTTTTAATAGAGATGGAGTTTCACCATGTTGGCCAGGCTGGTCTCGAACTCCTGGCCTCAAGTGATCCGCCTGCCTCGACCTCCCAGAGTGCCGGGATTATAGACATGAGCCACTGCACCTGGCCCCCAAGTTGTTGTATTTATTTATTTATTTATTTTGAAGACAGAGTTTCGCTCTGTCATCCAGGCTGGAGTGCAGTGGCTCGATCTTGGCTCACTGCAACTTCCACCTCCCGAGTTCAAGCAATTCTCCTGCCTCAGCCTCCCAAGTAGCTGGGATTACAGGCACTTGCCATGATGCCCAGCTAATTTTCTTGTATTTTTAGTAGAGATGGGGTTTCACCATGTTGGCCAGGCTGCTTTCGAAATCCTGACCTCGAGTGATCCACCCGCCTCGGCCTCCCAAAGTGCTAGGATTACAGGTGTGAGTCACTGTGCCCGGCCCACATTGCTTTAAAAAATGCTCATACCAGTGGCCAGGCACGATCGCTTATGCATGTAATCCCAGTACTTTGGGAGGCCAAGGTGGTCAGATCACCTGAGGTCAGGAGTTCAAGACCCGCCTGACCAACATGGAGAAACCCCAGTCTCTACCAAAAATACAAAATTAGCTGGGCGTGGTGGCACATGCCTGTAATCCCAGCTACTGAGGAGGCTGAGGCAGGAGAATGGCTTGAACCTAGGAGGCGGAGGTTGTAGTGAGCCAAGATTGTGTCACTGTACTCCAGCCTGGGTGACAGAGGAAGACTCCGTCTTAAAAAAAAAAAAAAAAAAGTGCCCATACCAATTTACTCTTGGTACTGTGAGGCTTTTATTTATTTATTTATTTATTATTTTTTGAGATGGAGTCTCGTTCTGTCACCCAGGCTACAGTGCAGCAACATGATCTTGGCTTGTGGCAACCTCTGCCTCCCAGGTTCAAGCGATTCTCCTGCCTCAGTCTCCCGAGTAGCTGGGATTACAAGCTCATGCCTCCATGCCCACCTAATTTTTTTGTATTTTTAGTAGAGACGGGGTTTCACCATGTTGACCAGGCTGGTCTCGAACTCCTGACTTCAAGTGATCCACCCGTCTGGGCCTCCCAAAGTGCTGGGATTACAGGTATGAGCCACCATGCCTGGCGGTACTGTGAGACTTTTAAATTTTTCACAATTGTGAACTATGCTCACTTAATACAACTGGGGAAATATTAAATGAATGAAAATTGCAAACATCATGTGAGCAGGAAAAGCAAGCTGCAGTAAAATATGCACAGTGGATGCCACTTATTTAAACGTTTAAAACCCTGCCAAACCAAACAATATGTTATTTATAGATACTTACATATGTAGTGTTTATATATAAATATATATAGATAGATTATATATATATTTTTGAGACAGGGTCTTGCTTTGTCTCTCAGGCTGTAGTGCAGTGGCAAGATCACAGCTAACCGCAGGCTTCACTTCCTGGGCTCAAATGATCCTTGCACCTCAGCATCCCCCGAGTACAGGGACTACATGGGCGCACCACAACGCCGAGCTAATTTTTGTATTTTTTTTAGAGATAGGGTCTCACCATATTGCCCGGGTTTGTCTAGAACTCTTGGGGTCAAATAACCTGCCCACCTTGGCCTCCCAAACTGCTGGGATTACAGGCGTGAGCCACTACACCTGGCAGCAAAAATATTTTTTTAATTATTTTTTATTTTTACAATTATTTTTTATTATTATTATTATTATTTTTTGAGACGGAGTCTCACTCTGTCACCCAGGCTGGAGTGCGATGGCGGAATCTTGGCTCACTGCAACCTCTGCTTCCCGGGTTCCAGTGATTCTCCTGCCTCAGCCTCCTAAGTAGCTGGGTATACAGGCGCCCGCCACCACGCCCGGCTATTTTGTATTTTTTAGTAGAGACGGGATTTCACCATATTGGCCAGGCTTGTCTCTAACTCTTGAGCTCTGGTGATCCTCCCACCTCGGCCTCTCAAAGTGCTGGAATTACAGGCGTGAGCCACCATGCCTGGCCTTAAAATGTTTTTTGTTTGTTTGTTTGCTTTTGAGATAGAGTTTCACTCTTGTTGCCCAGACTGGAGTGCAGTGGCGCCATCTCGGCTCACTGCAACCTCCACCTCCCAGGTTCAAGTGATTCTCCTGCCTCAGCCTCCCAAGTAGCTGGGATTACAGGCGTGTACCACCATGCCCACCTAATTTTTGTATTTTTAGTAGAGATGGGGTTTCACCATGTTGGTCAGGCTGGTCTCAAACTCCTGACCTCAGGTGATCTGCCTGCCTCAGCCTCCCAAAGTGCTGGGATTACAGGCGTGAGACACCACACCTGGCTTAAAATGTTTTTAAAAATAGAGATAGGTCTCGCCACTATGTTACCCAGGCTGGTCTCAAACTCCTGCACTCAAGTGACCTGCCCTCCTCAGCCTCCTACAGTGCTGGCATTACAGGTATGAGCCACCATGCCCAGCATGCAAAAATATTTTCAAAAGGCAAAATAACAATAAAAAGAATGGAGAGGACAGTGGCTCTGACTTGGGAGGAAGAAAGAGATGCCAGCAGGGGACAGGTGTGGTGGCTCACGCCTGTAATCCCATCACTTTGGGAGGCCAAAGCGGTCGGATCACTTGAGGTCAGGAGTTCAAGACCAGCCTGGCCAACGCGGTGAGACCTCATCTCTACAAAAAATACAAAAATTAGCTGGGCGTGATGGCAGGTGCCTTTGCCTGTAGTTCCAGTTACTCGGGAGGCTGAGGCAGGAGAATCACGTGAACCCAGGAGGCAGACGTTGTAGCAAGCCAAGATCACGCCACTGCACTCCAGTCTGGACGACAGAGCGAGACTCCATCACACACAAAAAAAGAGAAGCCAGCAGGGAATTGATGCTTGGGAGCTGTGGGGGCTTGAGAGACGCACACCACCGTCTGGAATGTGATTCTTTATTGATCGAGTACATGAACTATTTCAAAATAAATAAAACCTAGAGTGGGGCCATCTTAAGTGTCTAAAAGGCTCTTGGGTAAAAGAGCTTGGACTTTTCTTATATGGTTCCAGGAGGCAGAACCAGGTCTGAAGGGTGGAAGCTACAGGCACCAATTTCAGCCCAAACGAGCCAGTCACAATACTTGTCTCTGTCCTGGAACGAACTGCCACCAGAGGGAGTGAGGACCCTGTTCCTGGGTGTTCAAACACAGACCAGATAACCACTCTTGGGGGATTCATTTTGAGATCTGTTCTAGAGGACTGGTGGCTTCTTGAATCCCAGGAACTCTAACAAGCTGGGAATGAACAGCAGTCCATCTTGATCCCTGGGTTCCCCTTCTGTCCTCTCTGGGGAGCTTCAGTTTCTGCCCTTAACTATTTCCAGAGACCCGCAAATGAATTCCAAGAACCTCCCTGGATTGTGGGATCTAACAGAACGGTTTGGAATCACAAGGAGGAAGAGGCAGTGGGCTGTAGACCACCAGCCCCTCGCCTGGCCAAGTGGGAGAGGGGTCTCAGGGCCCAGGCTCAGCCTGGAGGCTCAACCACTAGCAGAAGCAACTTCTGCGCGGCGCCTCCTCCCCGCAGTGTTGTGAAGTCCTGCCCCAGCCGGGTGGCATCAAGGCGAGGCTCCCGCTAGACCCCTTCGCTAGGTGTGGTGTCTCGAGAAGCCACTAGGTGGAGCCAAGACACCGAGGCTCTCCTCCCGTCCCATTTCTGAGCTTGGGGGTCAAGCTGTCTTTCTGCAGGGAGTCCAGGGTCCAGAGGGACTGACTAGGAGAGAATGTGAGCAGAAGACGTTCGGGTGAGTCAACTCGACGTTGAGGTGAGTGGATGAACGGTAGGAGAGGGAGTGAATTGGGAAGGGATGTGTTACTCCGTCCAGGACAGCTGCGGGGAGGGGAGGTATATTTATCTCCTGAGCTGGTGGCAATAAAAATAACCAGGGGCCTGGGTAACCCAAGCTCCCCAGCCTCCTATGCTGGGTGGGGGCCATCAATGGGGACTGGAAGGGAAGAGTGAGGAGGAGGCAGAAGACGGGGCAGGAAAGGTCTTGCGTGCTGCCCTGCCCCCCAGCTGGGGCTACCGCATGCCAGGGACTGGGCTGGCTGGAGGGGGGCGCAGAGAGGGAAGGAGGAGGGGAGAGGGGAGCCAGGCAGGAACAATGCTGGCTCCCAGCCAGCAGCTGAGTTGAGTGGGAGACGACTAAAGAGAGAGGAGGGAAAGGGAAAGAATGAGGTGTGGAGAAGAGAAAGAAAAGAAAGCTGAGAGAGGTGGAGAAAGTTTTCCCACTTGTGCGCCCACAGCACTCCCCACCCCAGTCCCTGAGCCCCTTGAGAAAATAAGCCTATCTTCTGGGTTTCATCCCCTTGAGAAGTTAAAGCGACAGCAGGAGGCACTTAAGTTAGCCTCCAGGAAGGACTTCCCTGGAGGAATGTGGGCAAACCCTGGGGAGAAGTGAGCCAAAGAAGGCTGTGGGAGGGTGGACTCTCTCTGAGACTCAGCTGGGCTGTGGAACGCGTTCTTGCCCTGAGACTGGGTGCTAGACGGGATGACCTCACCTTTCTGCCTCTGTGTTTCTACAGCTCCTTGGTTGGTTTCTGCATCAGGGGCTGTGATGACAGAAGGACAATTGCAGGAAAGTTTTGATGAAAGATTGAGCCTTTATTTGCAGCTGTGAGGACGGGGGCTGGGGCTGAGACACAGGCAGCCTGCGGGCAGCAGAGGCTGGCGGTGGTAGAAGTGGGTTCTTCTGGACACCCGTCCCACAGTGCTTGCTCTGGAGGTCCCGTCCTGGCTCCAGAACTTGGTGGGAGGAGCGGGAGTGGATGTGCTTGGCAGAGAGTAGGAGCTCAGAAAATACTTCCTCAATGGATGGAAGGCTGAATGAAAGTTCTGGAGTCAGAGAGTGCATGGGGTCCCGCTCACGAGTGTCTGACACATAGCTGATGCTCAGCAAATGTTTGTCAAGGGACTAAATGCTGCCAGCCTGCCCAAGGCCAGGCACAGGCCTGGGTCCTTCTTTGTAGGCACCCCAAGTGAATATGAAAACAGTCATGACACCTGTGCCTGTGTCTTGGGTCTCCTTCTACTCAGGCACGTCCTGGGGTGGGCTGCGATGGACTTAGGGGCTGGTTGGGCGGCTGAGGAATCTTCTGGGTCCCCCCTTCTGGCTGCAACCTGCATCAGGCAAGGTGGCTCCTCCTCCCCACGCAGCTCTCGCTGAGACCTGGGTCCCCTGCTCTCAGGCTCCTCTTGAAACCTTAGCTCATAACCCCTCACCTGAGCCTAGAGGGCCCCACACCTGTCCCGGCCTCATCATCTGCAGCGGGGAAGGACAGGAGAGAGGCCCAGCACGGGGGCAGGGGCTTGCCCACTCCGGGATGAGAGGTGGGAACGTAGGCTGTGGGAAAGACTGACATTTCTTTCCACACTGAAGAACCCAGGCCCCTCGCTGGTGAGGAAGAGGGTGCGGAGGGGTCTGGCTGACACCCGTTGGGACTAAGCTGGTTTGTACTGAACCCAAGCAGCCCCTCTTCTGTGACTAATGATTTCCCTGACACCTGGGTGACCCCCAAGCTGGCCATGCCCTTTTGTGGTCCTCCAGTTAGTTTCCTCTCACACAAAGGAGAGGCAGGATCCCTGAGGTCCCTTCCTTCTGGGACTCTGCTCTCTGGTTCTGGAATTCCCAGCTTCTAAGATTCCACCTTGGGGCTGCGGGAGGGAGGACTCCTTGCTGAGGACCATGCAGCTGTCGGGCTTGAGTCACCAGCTTGAGTCCCTGCCTGGCCTGACACACCCGCTCACCTCAAGCAGCGGGGGTGGGAGCTGAGGCTCAAGTCTAGACTCCTCCAGACGCCCCCAGATCTGCCCTGACGGCTTCCAGAATTGCCCTCCTCTCTGCCTCTGCCATTGGGTCTCTCCACCGCCCCCTGTGAGCGGCTGGATGCCTGGAGGAAGCTGGAGAGGCTGGCCAGTGCTGCAGTGGGCCGGGACAGGAACAAGGAGCAGCCCACAGTTTCTGGGGTGCAGGGCAGGGACGGAGAGCAGCAGACATGTGATGAGGAGGGAGAAGAACAGAGAAGATGAACTTTTAAAGTCCTTTCCCGCTGGAGGAGCGGGGGCTGCATGTCCAAAGGATGAAAAAGGGACCAAATGTCACGGGAAATGAATGATGGGCCAAGAGGAGACCCGGGGCTGGGTTAAGTGGGGTCAACCCTGTCTCACCCGACGCCCTTCAGTGCCAGTGATTGAGCAAGGGGCTGACCCTGCCGTTGGGGAGCGATTGATGAGAGCAGATGCGGGGAGCCTGTGGGGACTGGGGAGGAGGCTCAGGAAGGGGAAGTGGGGGGGAAGGAGCAGCCCGGCTTCTGGGACACCCAAGGAAAGAGCAGGGAGGGACCCTGACTCCTGCAAGGGTGTTCTAAGGAGCTCTTCTCTTCGAGTGGAAATGGGGACGGGCAAGGCACTCTAGAGGGCCAAGTGTCACGGAAAGAGAAGGAAGTTAGACAGGAGAGGAGGGGGAGGGGGCTCCTAGGTCCCATCCTTCCATAAAGAGCCGTGGGTCTGACCCCGATGCAGGGGAAACCAAGTGTAGGCAGCAAGGATGTGTCCTCGGGGCTGCAGGAAAGTGGCACTGGACCCTGGGAAAGATGGTAGGAAGGGGCCGCCTGCAGCTGGGGTGGGCCTGCAGTGGGGAGATCTGGCCCTGGCTGGGGGCGGGGGTGCTGTCTTCCTGCCAGGTTTCTGCCGCTGCCTGGGAAGAGCCCAGCCCAGAGATTCTTATCCAGGGCAGGAACAGAACTGGTTTCTCGACTGGCAGTGCCAAGGGGGACAGGGCAGGAGGAAGCCAAAAGGTCGGGAGGGCAGTGCCAGGCCCAAAGGAGAGAGGTGGGAAGCCCTGGCCAGGGGACCTCCGACGGTCACTAGAACAAGAGCCTCAACCCCCTCTGCTGGGGCCCCGTCAGCCTGGCCCATCCACCTTATTTGCCTGTGACTGATTCACTTTCCACAAAGACTCAGGGAGCCCCTCCCAGGCCCCCCACAGCCCACAGCCCTGTCCCCCTTTTTCCTCAGGTGCGACTGGCCCAGCCAGGAGAAACACCTGGTTGGACTCAGCTCCTCCCCTCCCCACCTCCCACCACACTTGAAGCCTCCAGAGATCATTGGGGGAGGGGCAGGGGAGCCTCAAGCGGTGGGGAACCCTGAAGACTGTCCTCAGAGCCTGCTGCCTTTTATCCCCCGCCACAAAGGGGCCGGCAGCCACATGCCCATCCATCTTGCGCCTGTGGCGGTCCTTAAGCAGTTCTTTGTTGGGACCTAGGGTCAGAGGTGCTGGCCAGTACGCCCCCTCTCCTGGGACCACCGCCCCTGGGGCCCTTTCTTCCTCCTCCTCCCCTCCTCCCAAGTGTCTCAGGATCTCTCCACTTTCTCCTGTGTCACCTCCCCTGTCCCCTCCCTTTCCTCTCCTCCCACCCAGTCTCCTCCCTCTCTCTTTTTTTTGCCTCTCTCTTCTCTCATTTTCTGTCTGTGTGTCTTACACTGTGTGTGTCCCTCGCATTCTCCATCTCTGTCTGTGTCTCTCATTCTGCCTCTCTCTGTCTTTCTCGGGGCTTCCATCTCTGGTTCTGCAGCTCCGCATCCCTCCTTTGAGGACCGCTGTAACTCGGCCCTTCCTGCCACACGCAGGCATGAAGTTGTCCTCAGGTGCTAGGGTCTCGGAGGCCCCACTGGGCCCTGGGCTCCTGCTGGGCTTTGTCCTCTCTGGTCTCAGCTGTGCCCTGAGCACCTCTGGGTTTTGACTTCACTGGGCCTTTCTCTCAGCTCCACACTCCCATCTCTTGTGGGGGAAGAAGAGGAATCGGCCCTGCCTCAGTTTCCCTAAGATGTAGGTGCAGACTCTCCCAGTGCCTGTCAGGGTCTGCCATGTATGTCAGCCTCCCAACCCCAAGGCAGAGTCATTCGCTTCCTGCACCCCCCTCCCCTCCCCACTTGCCTTGCCCTTCCACCTTCTCTGGGCCCCCTTGTTCCAACTGTGGCAGGACTGGAACCATGTTTCGGCCTCTCCTGTGGTTGGGCTCTGAGAAGCTTGGACTTCAGAGAAGAGAAGCCTCTCTGCCCACAAAGATCTCACAGAATTTTGGGGGCACAGGCAGGAGGTGAGAGCTGCTGTGCCTTTTCTCCCAAACGCACTGCTGAGTAACAAAGGCCCAGGTAACGAAAGAGGAGTCCAAGAGGGCCTGGGGTGGGAGGGGAAGCTGGAGGGACTTTCTCACGGATGGGGCCAGGCTGGGCCAGCAGGGTGAGGTAGCCCCTCCCTGATCCAATCTCCCAGTCCATGACTGTAACTGTAACTTGTAACTTCCTTGTCATCTCAGGCTGGCCCTGGCGGGCAGGAAAGTAACTGGAGAAGCAGAGCCAGGAAAGGGAGCAGCCCCCGCTCTGCACTCAGGGAGTCTCCCCATCTCAGGGATGAGACACAGCCTCTGCCTTCAGGGAGCCCCCAGTCTGAGCAGGGAGCCCCAGCTCCTGCTCTCAGGGATCTCCTGGGAAAAAGAGAGGCCTCCTCTCTCTGCCTTTCTCAATAACTTTGTTCTAGGAAGAGACAAACTAGGCAGAGAAATAAGAGCACGCGCTCCAGACGAATGGAAAGACAGAGCTTCAGCCTCCAGAGCCTAAGGACGTGGGGAGTAGGGAGCCAGGCTAAGGTGGGAAGGGGTAGGGGGAGCTGGGTGACCTGGATGGGAATGAGATGGAGCAAGGAATCTGGAAGGAGGTGAGATGGGAGGCGGTGATGCAGAAAGGAGGAGAGGAAACAAACAAACAGGCTGGGGCACAGTGGCTTACGCCTGTAATCCCAGCACTTTGGGAGGCGAAGGCGGGCAGATAGCTTGAGGCCAGGAATTTACCAGCCTGGCCAACATGGCAAAACCCCCGTCTCTACTAAAAATACAAAAATTAACTGGGCATGGTGGCGCACGCTTATATTCCCAGCTACTCAGGAGGCTGAGGCAGGAGAATCGCTTGAACCCGGGAGGCGGAGGTTGCAGTGAGCCCAGAAAGCGCCACTGCACTCCGGTCTGGGTGACAGAGGGAGACTCTATCTAACTTTTTTTTTTTTTTTGAGATGGAGTCTCCGCCGGGCGCAGTGGCTCACGCCTGTAATCCCAAGACTTTGGGAGGCCGAGGCGGGTGAATCACGAGGTCAGGAGATCAAGACCATCCTGGCTAACATGGTGAAACCCCGTCTCTACTAAAAATACAAAAAATTAGCCGGGCGTGGTGGCATGCGCCTGTAGTCCCAGCTACTCGGGAGGCTAAGGCAGGAGAATGGCGTGAACCCGGGAGGCGGAGCTTGCAGTGAGCCGAGATCACGCCACTGCACTCCGGCCTGGGGGACAGAGCGAGACTCCATCTCAAAAAAAAAAAAAAAAAAAAAAAAAAAAAGAGATGGAGTCTCGTTCTGTCTCCCAGCTGCAGTGCAGTGGCGCGATCTCGGCTCACTGCAACCTCCACCTCCACCTCCCAGGTTCAAGCGATTCTCCTACCTCAGCCTCCTGAGTAGCTGGGACTATAGGCATGCGCCACCACGCCCAGCTTATTTTTTATTTTTTTATTTTTTTGAGATGGAGTCCCGCTCTGTTGCCCAGGCTGGGGTGCAGTGGTGCCATCTTGGCTCACTGCAAGCTCCGCCTCCCAGGTTCAAGCGACTCTCCTGCTTCAGCCTCCCAAGTAGCTGGGACTACAGGCACGCGCCACCATGCCCACCTAATCTTTATATTTTTAGTAGAGACAGGGTTTCACTATGTTGGCCAGGCTGGTCTCGAACCCCTGACCTCTTGATCCGCCTGCCTCGGCCTCCCAAAGTGCTGGGGTTCCAGGTGTGAGCCACCGTGCCCAGCATTTTTTTTTTGTTTTTAGTAGAGACAGGGTTTTGCCATGTTGGCCAGGCTGGTCTCCAACTCCTGACCTCAGGTGATCCCCCCGCCTCAGCCTCCCAAAGTGCTGAGATTACAGGCGTGGGCCACCATGCCCAGCCCACTTTTTTTTTTTTTTTTAGGTGGAGTCTCACTCCGTCTCCCAGGCTGGAGTGCAATGGCGTGATCTCGGCTCACTGCAACCTCCGCCTCCTGGGTTCAAGCGATTCTCCTGCCTCAGCCTCCAAGTAGCTGGGATTACAGGCGCATGCCACCACACCCAGCTAATTTTTTTTTTTCTTTTGAGACAGAGTCTCGCTCTGTCACCCAGGCTGGAGTGCAATGGCGTGAGCTCGGCTCACTGCAACCTCCACCTCCTGGGTTCACGCCATTCTCCTGCCTCAGCCTCCTGAGTAGCTGGGACTACAGGCGCCCGCCACCACGCCCGGCTCATTTTTTGTAGTTTTAGTAGAGACGGAGCTTCACTGTGTTAACCAGGATGGTCTCGATCTCCGGACCTCGTGATCCACCCACCTTGGCCTCCCAAGGTCTGGGATTACAGGCGTGAGCCACCGTGCCTGGCCTTTTTTTCATATTTTTAGTAGAGAGGTTTCACCATGTTGTCCAGGCTAGTCTCGAAATCCTGACCTCAAGTGATCCTCCTGTCTTGGCCTCCCAAAGTTCTGGGATTACAGCTGTGAGTGCCTAGCCTGGGAGACTCTATCTAAAAACAAACACAAACAAACAAACAAAAAGCAGGCATCCAGAAAGACTCTCAGCAGCCAGTCCAGCAGGCTTCATTTTTCCATTTCTGAAAACAGCCCCGCCAGCCACTCAGTGACCAAAACCAGAAGCCGCAGAACCATTCTCCACACCTCTCTTTCTCTCATCCTTTCACCTCCCCTCTACACATCACTGTGCCCTGCGCCTGACTCTCTCCATCCTCTGCCTGTACACTTCGCCAGCCTCCTGCTGGCTTTTCCTTCACCCATTTCTCTAGTCCCTCTCCACCTTGGTGCCAGAGAGAACTCCTAAAAACACACAGGCAATGCTACCCCCTTCAAAAATCCTTTGATGGCTTCTCATTGCTCTTAGAATAAATAACTACTTGGCGTGGAGTTCAGGATTTGCAAGACCGGGCGCTGGCCACCCCTCCAGCCTCCCTGCACTCCGGTCAAGCCTCCGATGCTTGGCTGCCTCCAGGCTTTTAGCCTGTGGTTTCCACTGCCCAGAGCACCTTCCCCTCTGCTTTTACTCCTCTACGCACCTCCTCTGCCCATGCCCGGTCTACCTGAGGCCTGCTTTATTATTCTCTCCCTCGTCCCCCTTTTCCTTATAGCCCTTACCACAATTTGCAATTATGTATGTATTGGTACACTTATTTTTAAATTATCTTTCCCCACTAAAGGTCTGTTTTCCCCTACAGGTCCCATGAGGGTGGAGAGCTTGTCTGTTTGATTCATTTCCGTGTTCCTAGTACCTAGCAGGGTGCCCAGCTCCTAGGAGGCTTTCAGGAAACAATATTAGATGAGTACATGAAAAAGCCCCTCACCTCTCCAATCCCGCACTCAGAGCCCAAGGGCTCTGGACACTGTCTCCCTACTCCCCGACCTTGGCCCTCTGCCCTCAGCCGTAGTGTGTGGCTTTTCATGGGGCAGAAGTGGGAGGCCCTGGCCCCGGGGCACCCTGGTCTTGCAGGGAGAGGAGGCTTATAGGCTATGAAGCGTGACCACTGACTGTCAGCGCTGATGAAGGGAGAGGCCACTTAGGGCTACACAAGGAGCTAAGCGTTGGAGAAGCGCTGGGCGCCAATGGACAGAGAGGATGGCAAACCATACAGTGGGTCCTTCTCAGAGGAGCACATGTGGTAAGGGGAGGGGCCATGGCTTAAAGAGCCTCCAGTACTGCTTTGGATTTTATTCTGGGCAAAAGGAAGGGCTGCAGCTAAGGTGAGTTTTTATTTTGTTGTTTTTTAAACAGGGCACTGACATGATGAAAGTTTTGTTTTAGAAGAATCCCCTGGCAGAAGTGTAGGGGGTGGGTCAGAGACAGGACCATCACTCTCTGAGGGCTTCCTGTGGCTAAGTGCTATGTGCTGAATGTGACTTATTTTACTTAACTCTTGTAACAACCCAGTGAGGTATTATTTATAATTGCTAGATATGGATTAGAAACCTGAGACTCATGGTGACCCTCTTCATTGGAAAACTGTCCCTTCCCATGTCTTAGGATTGAGGGATTGTCACAGTGCCCCACCTGTGCCAACAGCACCTAGTCCAAGGGATGGTCATGTGACCAAAGCAGAACAGAGTTGAGTCTTGGAATGTTGAAGATAGGGACCCTGGGTCTCTCTTTTTTTTTGGATCTCAAACCGTAACTGTAAGCTTAGGGCATCTGAAGGCAATTTCCCATGACTTGGAGAAAACTATGTGACAGGATTGAATGTGGCTGATGCACAAAAGAAACAGATGAGGCCGGGCACGGTGGCTCACGCCTGTAATCCCAGCACTTTGGGAGGCCGAGGTGGGTGGATCACCTGAGGTCAGGAGTTCAAGACCAGCCTTGCCAACATGGCGAAACCTTGTCTTTACTAAAAATACAAAAATTAGTTGGGTGTGGTGGTTCGTGCCTGTAACCCCAGCTACTTGGGAGGCTGAGGCAGGAGAATCACAGAATCACTTGATCCTGGGAGACGGGGGTTGCAGTGAGCCGAGATTGCACCATTGCACTCCAGCCTGGGTGACAGAATGAGACTCCATTTCAAAAAAAAAAAAAAGAACAAAGAAAGAAAGAAACAGATGAGCAGGATGTGTGGACAGGGAGAGGTTGATGACCGTCACTGAAATTCTGGATCCAGCCATACCTGAAGCCAGACCCAGCTGGAGCTTCCTAGTACGTAAGCCATTAAATTACATTATTTTGTGTTTTAAAAACACAAAATAACTGGCTGAGTACAGTGGCTTGCACCTGAAATCCCAGCATTTTGAGAGGCTGAGGCAGGAGGATCGCTTGAGCCCAGGAGTTTCAGACCTGGTGTAGACCTGAGTGTGGAGGCTCAGGGAGAGGGTTGGAGGAGGATCCAAGGGACCTGGAAGATTTAGAAGCCAGAGGCAGAAGGGCATGTGGGAGATTGAGGCAGGGAGGAAGGATGGTAGCAGAGATGGCTTGTCTCAGACACAAAGGGCTGACAGGCAGGATGAGACCTCTCACCCAGAGGCCCAGGCAGCTGCAAGGCCAGCTTGTGGGTGCCGTTGAGCTCATCTGGAACCATGTGGGAGGCCAAGGCCAGGCCTGGGGTCACCCATGGGCTGAAGCTGGAGGAGAGGGAAGCAACAGCTGGAGGAGGAGGAGGAAACTGTCACCATGATGGAAAACATGGGAGAAGGTGGGAGTCAGCTCCTCAGAGCCCAGTGCCCCAGCTGAGAGGTCAGGAGGAGGAGGCCCTTGTGACCTTGGAAGCCAGAGCAGGACACCAAGGAAGGACCTTGGAGAAGGGAATGTGGAGGTGAGGCTTGTGGATTCAGCAGCAAACGAAGGGGTGGTGGTTAGAACGGTGACTGGAAGGACTGTCCTCTCCTGTTGTATAACTCAGTTCCATGCTGCAGAAACACAAGTCTTTCCCATACTACATTTCAGAGGCAAGGTTGAACTCAGGTGACTTATCTACCTGCCCAATGAGCCAGAGACAGGTTTTATTTTTTTAAAGCATTTTAATAAAATTAACAAATAAATATTCTAAACTGTATAGGCTACAGGGACAAAGGGTAGAAGCTAGAGGGCCAGTCTTTCCTGCTCAGGCCCTCAAGTCCCCTTTAGAGAGACCCTGCTCTGGGCTGGTTTGGGGCTAGGACTGCTGACTTGGGGAGGCGGGGAGTGAACCCGGAATGGGTGATCTGGGCTCTTGCAGCCATTCCTCTTTGTTGGTGTAGGGGAGGAGAGAAGAGGTCAAAGAAAGCAAGACCCTGCAAGAGGCATCCCAGTGACCCCCAGAAGTGACTGGGGTAAGGGGAGCGCTATCCTAGAAGGAGGGGGTGGGACGGAGGGGGCAGTGAAGCAGGGCGGTGAGCATGGCCAGTGGTGGGCTTCGGCCGCGGTTCTACCTGTGGCCACTCACTCTCGGACGTAGACCCTGGTGCACACAACGTCATCCGCCGTCATGGTCTGGAAGGACAGAAGTAGTTGTTAGCCTGAGAGGCCCCTGGGGTCCTGTGGCTTTGGAGAGGAGGGTTGAATGGAGGTACTCTGCTTGGCCTCCAGGTCCAAACCTGCTTCTTGGCTCAAGACCAACAGGCAGGAGCTGGTCCCAGAATGCCCAGGCATCAATGGAGGGAGGATAGCAATAGAGCCCCTGGGGCCCGTCCTCCTCCTCAAGCCAGGAAGATCTCCCTGAAGAACTGCTGGGATCCCTCAGTACATGCCCTTTGCTTGCATAAAAGGAACACCATTTCTAATTCACACAGGGCACTGTATGGGATAGGGACACCTTAGTTCTGTTCAAGCAGTCCCATCAGCAGGGTGCGGAGTCCAGCCATGGTTGTTCTTGAGTCTCCTGCACCCTGGGGTCTCCCAGAGAATCTTGGAAGGTAGCACTGGGTTTGCTATTAGTGGGGAGGAGGCAGGACTTACCAGGATCAGTTCCCCATCGTTGGTCAGTTCTCTGGTCCACGAGGTCTTGGGGCCCTCTCCCTTCAGGAGCTTCTGCTCACAGACCATTTTATTCTCACTCTCCCATTTCACCAGGCTCTGCAAGAGACAGGTGGCCAAGTGAGCTGGGCCCATAGCAGGGGCAATGCAGTGAGAGGGATAAGGGAGAGAGCCCCTTTCTAGCCCCCACCACCACCTAGGGATTTTCCCTACTGGGACAGAGAGAAGCTAGGAGTTAACTGCTAGCCTGGAAAATGGCAGGTTGAGAGGCAGGGCAATGACGCCATGACCCTGGAGCCCCTTCTGGCACTCACCTTACAGGGCCTCCCATCCACAGTCTGCTCCTCAAACTCCTCCCCAACCTTGAAGTTAATCTCTGTGGTGCGCACGGTGGTGGAGGTTTTGATGTAGAAAGTGTCTCCCTCCTGTTTGATCTCCACTGCTGGCTTGGACGCTGCAGCCACAGCAATCTTCCTCAGCATCACATTCACCCCTGTGGGGAGAGAGGAGAGGCTCACCTTTTAGGGGCCTTTGGGCACCTCTCTCACACCCTCCCCATAAGACAGTTGGAGCAGGCTGATTTGTGACTTGCTTGGGGTGGGTGTGTTGGGGGGTGCATCTGCCTGGTGCCTGGGTGTCTAAGAAAGTGCCTTGAAGGAGACGGTAGGCGGTGCAGCCCTGAAAGATGAGGGGGTTTAGGGAGGAGAGGGAGAGAGGCAGTGGCCTGCCCCTGGGAGTCCTGTTCCTAGCTGTGGCCCCACCTTGTTGAGTCAGCAGGTCTGGATCAGGCTCCCCACGTCTCAGCTCTTCAGTCCCAGAATGCCCAGGGGCAGCTTCTCCCCAGCCCCCTACCCAACAAACATCCTGCTACTGGCTCCGGTTGTCTCTGTTTACTTCACTTTTGGCCTTTTGTCTACCCTGTTGACAGCTCATCAGAGTCACTGGGACTGTACCCCTGGCCAAGCACAGGCCAGACCCCATCACTCATGTCCTGGGAAGTAGGAGCCATTTCCCTTTTTGCCCTATCTACCCACCGTATCTAGTGCTAGATAGGTCTTCATTTGCCCAATTTCTGCCCCACAGCAATGAAAGAGAGCAGGGGCAGCTGCTTCCCTCTACAGAATGGTCAGCAGCCTGGGAAGACAGAGGCTCTGGAGTAAGGTCCAGGAGGCTGTGATTTCCTCCTGGCTCAGCCCCCTTACAGGCTGGGTGACCCTGAGCAAATGGCTTAACCACCCTGAGCCTTAGATTCCTCAATTGTAAAATGGAAATAACAGCTTCTTCAAAAGCCAATCAAGGTTGGGTATAGTGGCTCACACCTATAATCCCAGCACTTTACAAGGCCAAGGCAGGTGGATTGTTTGAGCTCAGGAGTTCGATACCAGCCTGGGCAACATGCTGAAACCCCGACTCTACCAAAAAAAAAAAAAAGCCAGGGCTGGACGCAGTTGCTCACACCTGTAATCCCAGCTACTCAGGAGGCTGAGGCAGGAGAATTGCTGAATTGCTTGAACCCGGGAGGCGGAGGTTGTAATGAACCGAGATCATACCACTGCACTCCAGCCTGGGTGACAGAGAGAGACCCTGTCTCAAAAACAAAACAAAACAAAAGTCTGGGCGCAGTGGCTCACGCCTGTAATCCCAGCACTTTGGGAGGCCGAGGCGGGCGGATCACGAGGTCAAGAGTTCAAGACCAGCCTGACCAGCATAGTGAAACCCCATCTCTACTAAAAATACAAAAATTAGCTGGGCATAGTGGCGCGCACCTGTAATCCCAGCTACTTGGGACGCTGAGGCTGGGGTAGGAGAATCACTTGAATCCGGGAGGCGGAGGTTGCAGTGAGCCAAGATCACACCACTGCATTCCAGCCTGGGCGACAAGGCGAGACTCCATCTCAAAAAAAACAAAAAACAAACAAACAAACAAAAACGACCTGGCGCAGTGGCCCATGCCTGTAATCCCAGCACTTTAGGAGGCCGAGGTGGGTGGATCATCTGAGGTTGGGAGTTTGAGACCAGCCTGACCAACGTGGAGAAACCTCATCTCCACTTAAAATAAAAAATTAGCCAGGCATGGTGGCACATGCCTCTACTCCCAGCTGCTCGGGAGGCTGAGGCGGGAGAATCACTTGAATCCAGGAGACGGAGGTTGTGGTGAGCCAAGATTGTGCCATTGCACTCCAGCCTGGGCAACAAGAGCAAAACTCTGTCTCAAAAAAAAAAAAAAAAAAAAAGCCAATTGGGATGGTATGTGTTTAGGACTTAGCACACACAGTGCCAGGCATATGCTTAAGTTTTCAGGAAACAATAGCTATGATTGTTGGTATTATTTTTACTGATAAAAGGAAGGCAAAGGGTCAGGTGCCATGGCTCATGCCTGTAATCCCAGCACTTTGGGAGGCCGAGGCAGCAGGACTGCTTAAGCCCAGAAGTTTGAGACTAGATTGGGCAACACAGTGAGACCCTACCACTAAAAAAAAAAAAAAAAAAAAAAAGGAAAGCAAAAAGCTGGGGCTCAAAGCTCTCTGCATTAGGCACCGTACTCATCTGCCCTTCTGGAAGACTCCCATACCCCTGTCCCCTCAAGGGAACCCCCTCTGCTGTGAGAAGAAGGAATAGAAAAGGAGACTGCCCTCCCCGCTCTGTGTGATGTATCCCCTTCTTCAGGACCCCCCACTCCCCTCACAGGGTCCGGCTATCTCATTCAGCCTCGTGGATTCAGACTCTCTGTGCACCTCCATATCCCAGCCCAGATTGGACCCCTTCTCTCTGCTCCCCAGTTATTAACCGAAGTGGGGGAGATAGGAGACAGCACCCCTCTGAAAGGAAGACGTGCAGAGCAGGGGGCCTCTCTGGATGGGCTCCAGGTCTAAGCTCCACACACCCACCTCACCTGGCCTGATCTGCCGCCCTGTCCTGGAGTAGAGCCAGGGATGCACTAGGCGGGGGTGAAAGGGCCCTCTGCCAGGTAGCAGGATTTCCCTGCCCCTGATCTGGCCAACTCCCTGGACCTCCTCCAGACCTGGGTTCCTAGAGAAACAAATCCTCTTTCCCCTCAGTGCCAAAGCATACCTACCCTACTGCAAACAGAAGAGAGAGGGAGAGAGGAAGCCTTGCCCCTGGGGAGCCCAGGACCCCCATTGTTGGCTGCTGAACTCTTGTGTCTAGGAAGAAATGACAGGTCCCCAAGTCTTATTGAGATGGACCCTTGACTAGAGCTAAGAGGGGTGTGCCAGGACCGAAGTTCCTGCAGAGGCAAGGCTGGGTTCAGAGGAGACATCCTTTCAGCGAGCCCCTGGTGCCTGTGGAGCTGAGGGCCCAGCTTAGCCGGCCTTAGCTGGCTCAGGACTGTGTTTGTCTAATGGATCTGTTTTTAATCTGCCCCCTGCAGGGCCTGAGGAGGGCACGTGGCTCAGAGAGACCCTGCAGGGAGGACAAACAGACTGAAGACAGACAGCAGGATTGGGGCCTTGAATCTTACTCTTCAGCTGGGGCCTGGGGGTGTACCAGACCACCACCTCATCCACTGAGGACAGGGGCCAGAATCCAGAGAAGATGAGGAGGGAGTGGCATCTAGGCTTTCCAAAGAGAAAATTTCTTTTTGTCTTTAAGTTTAGCAAGGACAGAGCAAGAAAGACTGATATGACTCCAAGAAGTATTGTGGTTAGATCGCAGGAAGAACTAACGGCAAGGACTGATGGAGATCCCTGCTCTCTCTGCAGCATTCCAGACCTGTCTTAGATCCAGACTCACTCCTATAGTCCAGGGAGAGGGGTGCCTTCCCTCCCTCCCCTCTCGCCCAACCCAGCCGAACTACCGTCTCTCTGTTGAGTGCAGGAATTGAAGGCAGCAGGCCTGCCCTTACGCTCCCAGTGGCTGGGGTCCTTAACTAACGTCCATCTCTCCCCCAGAGTCCTCTCCCAGTCACCAGGTCCTGGCACTCTCCCCTGCCCCAGATGTCTAGCCCAGTTGGCCCAGAGGGCACACAGAAGGTGGGCTGGAAAAGTGGGAAAGGCAGTCTGGATTGACTTAGTTTTCCCCACCTTTGACCAACACACCCAATTGGGCTGCAGCCGATCTATGGTCGGGGGAGGTAGGTGGGAACCTAGATTTTTGGAAATGTGGGATTGGGGTTTCACACGAAACCATTTGTTGAAATCCAAGAAAGTGATAATTATCCCTAGCGATTTTAGAACTCTGGAGCTGCTCGCTGTATGAAAATACTTGTCTCACAGATGGGGGGTGGGGAGAGCAGAGTGGAAAGTGCAGAGGGGGAGGAAAGTGGGGCTCAGGGGGCGCTGGGGCAGCAGATCACCTCGCAGGCAGAGCTGGGCGCCGAGGGGTAATGAGCCTGCCCTGGGGATTGGGTTACCGAGGGGGGCACCGGGAAGGAGATTGGAATGTCTCCGAGCGGCTGGGCAGGGTAGGGAACCGGGCTCCCAGTCTGGATGCAGGGTTCGTGGCTCCACCAGCCCGCAGCTTCTGAACTGCAGAGAGCCAGGTGCCTCGGCCCGCCGAGTCCGGCCGCTGAGGCCAGCCTCCCCTTCCCCCAGAGGCCAACCTCGCGCTTCTGGTTTCTACGTGATTCACAGGCCGTGAGTCACCGCAGTGTTGGCACCGGTGGGCCCCCGCAGGAGAAAGCGGGATTTAGGCGTCGTGCCCAGAGCCCCGGGACCCGGACGCCTGGCACGTTTTTCGGGGATGCAGGCACCCAGTGTCTCACGCCCTGATTGTGGTCCCGCTGTCTTTCTCATCCCCAACTTCGAGGACTCCAGAGCCCCCCCTTGCCCCACCTGGGCCCTCGAACATTTCCTTACCCAGCACTTTGAGCAATTCCTCGAAGTTTTCCGATCGGATGATTTTCCAGTTGCCAGAGAAGTTGGGCATGGTGGCGGCGCGGGAGGCGGTCCCCGTAGACTCCTAGGCTGGAGCACTGGACACTGTCTTTTAGTCAAAAGAGACGTCGCCGTCGCCGGGTCGTCAGGTTCTGGAACCAAGACAAGTCCAGGGACAACCCCAAAGCTGGCCTGGGCTCCCGCGCGGACAGCTTTTATACCCTGTACGGAACCGCCCCTGCCCAGGATTGAAGTGGCCCCGCCTCCCGCTCCGCCCCCCCCCACCTGGGGGGCCCTGCGCCCCCGCCACCAACCTCTGGATCTAGCCCGCGTGTGGGTCCAGGCTTCTCTGGGGACCGAGATAGCCTTCTCCTGCGCTAGTAAGTGGATGGGGAAGCGGACGCAAAGCCAGCACTTGAATCGCGCTCTCCGCAGAGGCGGGGGGAGCTAGCTGCGGGCGCAGATGCTCAGGGCTCGTGTATGGCTGTCCCCCACCCGAGTTCCTCACGTCTCGCCTGTTCCCCACCCATCCCCAACCTGACTCGGTGCATTCAACTCCTTGGTGCCGGACACCTGGCGACCCCACCCGCAGGCGGACCCCAGATCTTGAGCCGTAGCTGGCCCTAGCTCCATTGAACCCTGAACTGGATCCAGTGGGACCACTCCGTACTCAGAGAGGGGCTTGGGAGCTGCGGGGTTCCGGGGGTTAGGGATCTAAGTGAGGCAACGGCGCCCCCTGCTGGAACAACTCGGAGAGGCTGGGCGGGGGCGGCACGGTCCCCCCACCCCTCCACCCTGCTTCGGGCTCACGTAATGCCTGGGGACTCTGGAAGTAGTCGCCAGGCGACTCGCTCCCCTTAATGCGCTGGGCGGACATTGAAGGGTTAAGCAGGAGCCCAGGGCGCGAGGCTGGGAGGGCAGAGGTCACAGCCAATCACTTGACGCAAGGTCTTTATTAAAACGCTTTCTCTGTCGCTTCACTCCCGAGACCCCGAGGGGGTCTCAGTAGGGGGAAGGGAGGGAGGCGGGGACAGAGGCGCGGAGCCCTGGCGAGCTGCGCCACCACCTAGATAGGCGGGAGGATGGGTGCCGGGGGAGAAGGCGGAGCAGGGTCTCAGGTGTCACCATCCTGAGCTGTAAAACGGGCGGAAGGAGCGACCTCCCCTCCCTTGGAGAGCGGCTTTGAAACGGGAGATCAAAGAGGGTGGGAGGAGGGCACGGCTTCCTGCAGAGACCCGAGTGGGAGTGGGCGAGACCCCAGTGGAGATGGCAGGGAGACGGAGAAACAGAAACGGAGGTCAGGCGGGGAGCCTCGGGGACAGGCCTGGGACCCGAGGCCGGAAACCGCAGAGGAGCGAAGCCTGGCGGGATGCAGTGATTGGAGCCAAAGGAACCGTCCCGGCCTGTCCAACGCGGGGGGGCCTTCGGCCCGGTGGCCCTGAGCGAACCGATGCACGTGGCCCCGCCGCATCCCATCCCCCACCCTCCCCAGACTCTCCCTCCCAGCTCCTTCTGAGGCGGAAAGAAAAACCCTACATCTGGTCCCAGCCCTGGGTCCCTGCCCTGGCCCCTCCTCGCCAGCGTGGCCAAGGGTGGAGCAGGCAGTCGCTCTCAGATCTCTGAGCCCTTATGTTTAGAACCTAGGGGCGATCTAGGGAGTTGGGAGCTTTGGTGGGAGCTGGGGAAGAGTCTGGAGGAAGATGACCAAAGGAGAGGGGCCAGAGTGACCTCAGCATTAAGAACTGAAGGCTGGAGAATGTACTGGGGGGTCGGGCCTCCGGGTTGCAGAGAGGGAAATCTGCAGAAATGGGTGGGTGAGAAAATAAAGCAGCTGGGCTGACTGGGCAGCAGGAGGGATGGAGATTCCACTGCATAGGACTTCTCTATGGGGCCCCGCCCGCAATAGCCAACAAACTGAGATTTGAATACTTCAGCCTGGGTTTAGGGGTCCAGGTTTTGTGTGGGAGAGCTTACTTGGGGGTGTTTGGGAGGCCTGGGCTTCTGCAAGGAAGAGGGCAGCAGGTCAAGGAGCTCTCTGAGGAAGGACAGACAAAAGCAGAGATGGTGGAAGGAAGCGGGGTGGGGCGGGGTGGGGGGTTCCCTGGGAAGTGCTTAGGGCCTGGGGTTGCAGGCACAGCCCCAGCTCCTCCCCCATCCTCCCTGCTCAGCAATGCTGTAGGTAAAGGAGGGGGATTAGGCTCTGACAGTGAAATCAGGCTCCTGGCCAAAGGGATGAGGAGAGGCTAGAGGAGGGAACATGGTGGAAACCAGATTCCTGCTGCCCCTCCTTCCCTTCACTGCCCCCTGCCTCCCCCACCCAGGTCATTTCGTCCATCTCCATGCCACCAGCCCTCTTGAGCCCCCAGCTGGAAGCGCCCAGCCTCCTGCTCAATAAGCATCCCTCCTCCTGCACGACAAAAGGATCAGTGCACTCTCCCCCCTAGCCTTGTGAGTGACTAAAGATGTTAAAACCTCACCCAAAAGATGGTCACCAGGATGCAGGGACAGTCATAGGAGGGGGTGATTGGCCCCTCGATGCTAGAGCAGGGGAGCACAGGCTGGATGGCTTGGCTGAGGCTGCTGGGGAGGCTGGAGCCAGGCAGTGGGGCTCCCTGGGGTGGGGGCAGGGAGACCTGGGCCCACTCCCCTCTCCTCACTTCCCCACTCCCTCCACCAGCCAACTGGCCATGATTTCCAAAGAGACAGAAGTAAGACAAAGGGAAGTCGGGCTGGGAGAGGAATTCTTTCCAGATGTGAGCATTTGCGGTTTGGCAGCTCTGGGCCTGAGCTCCAGCTCCAGCCCCAGCACCCTAACCCTGGCTGAGGGAGGTGGGTAGGGGGTCTAAGCAGGGTGCTGAATAGCTGAGGCCGAGGTCTCAGCCTCTAGCAGCCCTGTTACCCCAGGGAGCAGCAGGCACGGAGGGTTCTTAGGGAAGATGCTAGGGAAGGGGACTCGGGGAGGTGGAGGGGTAGGAGATGAGAGAGTGGAGGGGCCTGGGGAAGGGGACTAACCAAGGAGGATGGAGATGCCTAGAGGCAAGGAGCAGGGGCTAGGACCCTGGAACCAGGCAATGGGGAGGAGCTGCAGCCTTCATCAGCCACTCAGTCACAAACAACTGGCTTTAATTTCCCGCTGGGATCAATAAGGAGAAGGAATTTCCCAGTGCCTCTGGCCTTTTAATTATGACCTAATCTGCTACAGATCTGCCCAGGGTGACCCTTTGCAGGAGCTTTGGTCATAACCCTCTTGGGGCCCCCCCAGGAATCTGGAGACTCAGTGAGGGGAGGGTGCAAAGTTGATGAGAAAAGCTGGGGGGGCAGAGGTGGGATAGGTAGGGGTGGAGTGAGGAGGAAACAAGCTCGAGAGACTTAGGAGAGCAACATTCTGGGACTTTGTTCCATGGTGGTGTGGCTAAAAGGAAGGTGGCTGGTCTTACACCTGAAGGAATAGAGATGGGCAGGAGAGGGCTCCTGGATGGTGAAGAGTGTGAGTGGGTGTAGATGTGTATATAACTGAGGCGTCTAGGACTTGGGGAGAGGAGAACCCCCTCCCCTTTCCATTACTTCTTGAGGCTAGCAGGGAGAAGGAGTGACCACCCAGCCCAGCCGCTGGAGAGGGAAAGGTTGACTGGGGATGGGAAGTGTGGGAGAGTGATTAAGCCCCCACCCTCACCCCTAACCGGGACCATGGAGATTCTCTGGCCAAATTCAGCATTTGGAGAAGAACCTCACCCTGGGCAGTGTTATTGTATCTGCTGGGTCAGAGAGTTTGTTGGCTGGAACGCATGTAGAAATTAAACCCAGGTGGGGCTAGACACCTGGATCTCTGCTACTCCGCATAGGGGCAGCAATGAATTCAGGACTTCTACGGAATGCAGGGAAGTCTGAGAGTAGAAGAGAGGGGCTGGGAGCAGCTGGGGCAAGAGAGTTCTGTCTCCTGGCCACCCTGAGCCTTCAGGATTCCACTTAGCACAGAGCACAGACTCAGGCAGGTTGCCCCCCAGTCTGGCCTGATCCTTGGTACAGAGAAGAGTGCTGCTTTCTTTTCTCTCTGGGTTCAGGGGCCCAGCCCTTTTCAAGTCTGAGAAGGCCAGGCTCTGATTTGCCCCAAATGAAATTGTCCTCACAGCAGGATAAATAGGAGTTAGGCCTGAAAAAAGTTCCCAGCAAACTGAAGTGCAAGCAGGGAGAAGGGTCAGAAATCTAGAAAGGAGGCAACTCATTTCCCAGAAACATTTGCATGCAGGAGAGAGATCGTGAAAACTAGGGATGATTAGGGTAGAGAATCCTGAGTGACCTGGGTAAAGGGGCAGCTGGACCCAAAGGCAGGGGATGACAGTAACCTCCAGGGCTAGCCCTGAGGCCTAGCAAAGAGAGGCAGATGTGGCCCAGTAGGGTCAGGACCACAGACTGGGAGGAGGGGGCTGACCAGGATTACAGTCAGATAAGGAGAGGGTCTGCGCAGCATCCAGGTGGCCAGGCGGTGCCTCTGACTGTGACAAGAGGCATTATAGGCAGACCAGGGAGGATCTGCACAGCGCCAAGGCGGTGCCTCTGTTGTTCTTGGCTCTGCCACCTCATTCCCAGCTCCAGCTGCCAACGCTTTCCTCAGGGCTGGGCTGGGCTGCTGAGCCGCGGGAAGGGAGAGGGAGGAGGTGGGGATGCACTGGTTGAGGACTTGTCCAGACTGGGTTTCAGTTCCCTGGATGGAGAAGTCAGTCTACGCCATGACTTGACCTACAGTTAAACTCCTCTTGACTTTTAAGATCCAGTTTTTAGGGCTGGACCCCTCCACCACTCCCACCCTTCACCCTGCACTGGCTTCTTAACCCCTGGCAGCCCAGGGCAGGAGGCCAAAGGTGTAGCCATGGCAAGTTTGGCAAGCTGAACACATGCGTTCACGTGGCACCTAGGAGAAGTGGCCAGCCCTAGACAAGGTGCACAACCAGCATGCAGCCTCCAACCCTGCCACTGTGGTCCAGGGCACTAGACCTGGGGAACACAGGCTACGTCTCAGATGCCTCCTCTCCCACCCTCTGAGGATGGGAAATAGAAGATCCAGGGTCTGGGCACCTTCACCTTCCCCCCACCCCCTGGCACTGAGATGATCTGGAGTTTCTGGAGGAAGAAGGAAAAGGTTGGGTGGGGAGTGTGCTGCAGGCAGGGTGGTCACTAGGCCAGATAACTGGATTCTGGGATTGAAGAGGAAAGAGGCAAGAGGAGAGGAGAAAGGCAAGGTCCTGGAGAAGAGGAGACTGAGAGGGGTGCAGGTCTGGGTTTTGAGGTTCTAGGTGGGGACAGAAAGAGGATTTTGGACTCACTGTCCCTAGGAGGCAGGGTAGGAGGGGCTAATGGCTCAGCTTCAGGAAGGGGGTCAGCTAGCTTGCGCAGAACTCCTCTCCAAGGCTCCTTGCGGCTCCCATTTCCCTCCTCTCAAGTCTCCAAATGCAGCTCTTGTCTCCAGACAGTGGGACCCAGCAGTCTATCCCCCAGCCTGCTTCCTAGGGACCTGTGGAAACCAGCTCTCTTAGGAGTTCCAGGGAGGAGGCTGGGGTCCCAGAAGTTGAGAAATAAGGACCAGCTTCCCCATCCCCTGGGCCCTTCCTGCTGCAGACCAGACCCAGGACTGACGGCCGGGCAGGCCCTTTCCTTGGGGCCAGTGAGTCAGACTCCCGGGAGATAGTCAGAGGTGTTGGGGGATTTGAGCAGAATAAAGGAGGGCCCCAGGAGCCCAGATTCCTGGTCCCCACCCCCACCCTCCCCTCTTGAACTGGCAGGGAATTAAGAAGGGATACAAGAGTTCAGAGTCTGGCCTCTTAGCCAGGCTAGGGCCTTGTCCTTCCAATGACCCCCCACCCCCACCCCTCCTTATAGCAGGGCTGAGAGATGGGCGGGCGGGGGAGGCCCCAGACTGACCTAGTCCTAATGGTTTTCTCTGGGCAGCATGAACAAAATGGGAAAAAGATGTGTGAGGTGGGAAGCTCTGATTTCCTTTCCCCTGCAGGCGCCAGCTCTGGAAAATGTTAGCTGTCAAAGAGAGACTGAACAGTCTCCCACCTCCCCCTGCCCAGTACTCCTACCCCATCCCATCCTCCAGGGCCCCCCAGCCTGCCCGGATTCCCAAAGGGCACTGAGCTAAGGCCTGTGAATTTCAGAGTGAGCCAGGCTGAGAATGCAAACCCGTCTCAGGAAGCCCCCAACCTCTCCCTGCCTGTGATTCCTCTAACAACCTGGAGCTAGGCATCCAAGTGGGTGCTTTGGAACTTGAGGATCCACAGGGACACATCCCTGGGGGATCAAAGGAGCCAGCAGCTCCTGAATTTCACAGCTGCCAAACTCCTGCCACAGTCTCAGCGCCCTAAATCCCAGAGCTAAGGGACTGTCAGTGCCAGGTTTCCAGGTTTCCAGATGATCTGGGTATTTGTTTGTTTGTTTGTTTGAGACAGTCTCACTCTGTTGCCCAGGCTGGAATGCAGTGGCACAATTGTAGCTCACTGCAGCCTCAAACTCCTGGGCTCAAGTGATCCTCCCACCTTAGCCTCCTGAGTAGTTGGGACTACAGGCATGCACCACCATGTCCAGCTAACTTAAAAATTTTGTTTTTTTTATAGAGATGGGGTCTCGCTACGTTGCCCAAGCTGGTCTCAAACTCCTGGCCTCAAGCAATCCTCCCACCTCGGCCTCTCAAACCGTTGACATTACAGGCAGACATGAGCCACTGCACCTGGCCTGATCTGGCTATTTGGTGGATCAGTCTTCCCACTGAGCCCATAGTAACTATCCTAGAGAGGGAGCCCGCCAGATCCAGGACACTCACTGGGTGCACCTTTCTTGTTGCTTGAGGGCACTTATGGTCTCTGTGGGCCAAATCTCCTCATAAGCTATCTGACCGTCAGGTGCTGGTCTCCCAGGAGTCCCAGGGAATTGATTCCAAAGCTGGGAAGAGGCAGTCCCTGCGGTAGAGTGGAGAGAGAGAGAGAGAGAGCGCATGCATGTGCACATGTGGCTGAGGAAGCCACCAGAATACTCTGCCCTTGCCCCAGTCCTGGCCCCATCGTTCTCACCTGAACTCCACCCTCCTACAATTCAGGAAACCTCCCCAAGAACTACCCATTCTGCCCGCCCAGCTGGGAGAGCCAGCCACAGCCCTGGGTCTAGCAGTGCTGGCTGGATTGTCTGCCTCTACCTCCCTATCGGCCCTGGTGTGGGTTCCCTCTCCCTCCCCAGCTCCCAGGGCAGGGACAGTCAGTTGCCTTCTTCCTCCTTCAGTTATGGTTTGGATCCCTTTCATGAAATCTTTCCAAAGAAGCGACCAAGCAAGATTCCACAGGGTGCAAGGGAGTAAAGGACCTGACTTTTAAGGAAGCTGCCTCTGGCCTCGGGGAACCAGATGATTGATGATTTACATTTCTGGTGCAGCTATGAGCTCTGGCAGGCAGGGTCAGGGTCACAGGCGTGGGCCTGGGAAATGAGTGGCACTTACTCTGGGCCCAGCACTGTGCAAGAGTTTCCATATGGTGTCCTGGGTGTGTCTGATTCCAAAGCTTTGCTTTTAAACACTTCAGAATGGAATTTGGTTGAGCCTGGAAGAGGATTAAGGTGTGCTTGTCCTTCCATGCCAAATTCTTAAAAACACCTTCTCTCTCCACACTTCCCCACCTCTCCAAATCCTATGCATTGTATGTACCCTTTGAAAGAAAGCATAGAGGCTGGGCGCGGTGGCTTACCATGTAATCCCAGCACTTTGGGAGGCCGAAGGGGGTGGATCATCTGAGGTCGGGAGTTCGAGACCAGCCTGACCAACATGGAAAAACCCTGTCTCTACTAAAAAATACAAAATTAACTGGGCATGGTGGCACATGCCTGTAATCCCAGCTACTTGGGAGGTGGAGGCAAGAGAATTGCTTGATCCCAGGAGGTGGAGGTTGCAGTGAGCCGAGGTGACGCCACTGCACTCCAGCCTAGGTGACAGAGTAAGACTCTGTCTCAAAATAAATAAATAAGTACCTAAAATAAAATAAAAATGAAATGGAGAGGCCGCCTAGGTGCGGTGACTCACGCCTGTAATCCCAGCACTTTGGGGGCTGAGGCGGATGAATCACTAGGTCAGGAGTTCAAGACCCAGCTGGCCAACATGGTGAAACCCCGTCTCTACTAAAAATACAAAAATTAGCTGAACGTGATGATGTGTGCCTGTAACCCCAGCTACTCAGGAGGCTGAGGGAGGAGAATCGCTTGAACCTGGGAAGTGGAGGTTGCAGTGAGCCGAGATTTTGTGCCATTGCACTCCAGCCTGGGCAACAAGAGCGAAACTCTGTCACAAAAAAAAAAAAAAAAAAAAAATGGCCATTGTGTGGTAGCTGCCGCCTGTAATCCTAGCACTTTGGGAAGCTGGGGCAGGCAGATCACCTGAGGTCGGGAGTTTGAGACCAGCCTGGCCAACATGGTGAAACCCTGTCTCTACTAAAAATGCAAAAATTAGCTAGGCGTGGTAGCGGATGCCTGTAATCCCAGCTATTTGGGAGGCTGAGGCAGGAGAATCACTTGAACCTGGGAGGCTGAGGTTGCAGTGAGCCGAGATCACGTCATTGCACTCCAGCCTGGGCGACAGAGCGAGACTCTGTATCAAAAATAAATAAATAAATAAAAAGGAGAGTGACACAGCCCTGGCTGAGGCAATTATCTCTGGCTAGGAGAGCTCAGAACTCTTTAGTCTTCTCAATTCTTCCTATGCCTTGGTTGTCCTCTTAGAAATCCCCTCCCCCAAATTCTTTTTTTTTTTTTTTTTTTTTTTTTTTTTGAGATGGAGTCTTACTCTGTCACCCAGGCTGGAGTGCAGCGGTGTGATCTTGGCTCGCTGCAACCTCCACCTCCTGTGGTCAGGTGAATCTCCTGCCTCAGCTTCCCGAGTAGCTGAGATCACAGGAGTGCGCCACCATGCCCAGCTAATTTTTGTATTTTTAATAGATACGGGGTTTTGCCGTGTTGGCCAGGCTGGTCTCGAACTCCCAACCTCAGGCGATCCACCCGCCTCAGCCTCCCAAAGTTCTGGGATTACAGGCAGGAGCCATCAGGCCCAGCCACCTCCCCCAAATTCATTTTTTTTTTTTCGAGACGGAGTCTCACTCTTGTCGCCCAGACTGGAGTGCAATGGCATGATCTTGGCTCACTGCAACCTCTACCTCCCAGGTACAAGTGATTCTCCTGCCTCAGCCTCCCGAGTGGCTGGGATTACAGGCGCACGCCACCACACCTGGCTAATTTTTGTATTTTTAGTAGAGACGGGGGTTTCACCATGTTGGTCAGGCTGGTCTCGAACTCCTGACCTCATGATCCGCCCGCCTCAGCCTCCCAAAGTGCTGGGATTACAGGTGTGAGCCACCACGCCCGGCCTCCCCCAAATTCTTTAAGGCTCATGCCATGTGCTCATTGTGTCTTCTCCTCCTTTGCTGCATCTGCGCAGCTCAGGTCACTGCATGTCTAGCTCAGCTCCCAATCTTTCTCTGCTTCTAATCCTGCAGCCACCAATGCACCTTCAATGCTTACTCAACATGGATGCCAACTACTTTGTCTCCATCCTGTTTGACACTGGCCTCTGGACCCACATCCCGTCCTTCCATTGTAGCCTACACAGCCCAACCATGTAAACTCTCCCTTTCTACATTTGGGCTGCTAAGTGATCCTTTTTTTAAAAGAAAAAAAAAATCACAACCAGCTTGCAGTGCCCCTGCAAATTCAGTTTCTGACAAATCAGGAACTCAACATTGTTCGGCAGCCCTTCCTTAAGTTCTTGGTCAGCTCACTCTCCTGTTCTTCTTGAAGCCCTCTCCAAGCTGTCTTTATTCTTTTCAAGTTCATGACCCATTGGCTTTCCCCTCACTCAGCAGACCACTCTGCCTCCAACTGAATGAGGTCAAGGTCTCTAGGTGATAATCACTTTATTCCACCACCACTCAGAAACATATTTATCTGCCCTTACCCTTTCCTCTTTCCTTTCTTTCCCAGAAGATAAGGTGTCCTTACTGCTGGCCAAGGCTAAGCTTGGGATCCCTCCTGTCTGCACTTTCACGATCTACTGTAGCATTCATTCACCTGCCCCTTGCCCAGCCACATTATGATCCACTGGCTCTATCCCTCAGTATCTTCAGGCCTCTGCTCCTATAGCGACCGTCACCTGCTCCCTCCAGAACCAAGAAAGAGCAGTCCACACCCACTTCTCTCCTTCCCCACTTCCAGTTTATCCTCCAACCCACTGCAATTGAGCTTTTTGTTACCTTCCCAACTCCCACCCCAGACATTGTGCAGAGGAAGGGCTACAACAGACCCCTTTGTTCGTTCTTACCTTACCTTACTGACTTCTCCATGAAGTCTGATCTCCTTCCTGGAAAGTCTCTTTCTTGATTGTCCTCTTACCTGTCTTGTAGCTCTCTCTTAGGCCTCTCTACCTCCAGAAGCTTGTAAGTCCAGGTGTTCCCCAAAACTCTGATTTTGACCTTCTGCCCTTCTTCTTCCTCTTCTTCTCTTCTCCTTCTCCTTCTTCTTCTTCTTTTTTGAGATGGATGGAGTCTCATTCTGTCACCCAGGCTGGAGTTCAGTGGTGCCATCTCAGCTCACTGCAACCTCTGCCCCCCGGGTTCAAATGATCCTTCTGCCTCAGCCTCCTGAATAGCTGGGATTACAGGTGTGCACCACCATGCCCAGCTTATTTGTGTTTTTAGTGGAGACAGAGCTTCACCATGTTAGCCAGGCTGGTCTTCAACTCTTGACTTCAAGTGATCTGCCCGCCTCATCCTCCCAAAGTGCTGGGATTACAGGTGTAAGCTACTGCACCAGGCCAACCTGCTGGTCTTCTTTATATACCTTTCCTGGAAGGCCTCCTCCCAATCCAAGTCTTCCATCCCCCTGCTACCCTGTTGTCTTTGAGCCTTAGTTTCTAGCCCCAGATCTCTTTGCTATGCTAAGCTCCAGTCTAGTTATCCGGCTGCTAACTGGATATCTTCAGACAGCTCAAAGTCAACCCAATAGAATATCCAACACATCTTCAAAACCTGCAGTTCTCTCCAGCATATTCTCTATGTTGGTGAGTGGCACCACTACTGTCTACTCAACCTCATTCAGAAATATCAAGTCAACCTTTTTTTTTTTTTTTTTTTTTTTTTTTTTGAAACGGAGTTGTGCTCTTGTTGCCCAGGCTGGAGTGCAATGATGTGATCTCAACTCACTGCATCCTCCGCCTCCCGGATTCAAGCGATTATCCTGCCTCAGCCTCCTGGGTAGCTGAGATTACAGGCGTGTGCCATCATGCCCGACTAATTTTGTATTTTCAGTAGAGATGGGGTTTCTAGGCTGGGCGTGGTGGCTCATGCCTGTAATCCCAGCGCTTTGGGAGGCCGAGGCAGGCGGATCACGAGGTCAGAAGATCAAGACCATCCTGGCTAATACGGTGGAACCCCGTCTCTACTAAAAATACAAAAAATTAGCCGGGCGTGGTGGTGGGCACCTGTAGTCCCAGCTACTCGGGAGGCTGAGGCAGGACAGTGGCGTGAACCTGGGAGGCGGAGTTTGCAGTGAGCCGATATCGCGCCACTGCACTCCAGCCTGGGCGACAGAGCGAGACTCTGTCTCAAAAAAAAAAAAAAAAAAAAAAAGAGAGAGGGATGGGGTTTCTTCATGTTGGTCAGGCTAGTTTCGAACTCCCGATCTCAGGTGATCCACCCGCCTCGGTCTCCCAAAGTGCTGGGAGACCGTGAGCCACCATGCTCGGCTCAAGTCAACTTTTTATCTCTTGCCTTGTTCTCTATTTTACTGATTCTACCTCCTCAGTGATGCTCAGATGCATCCTCCCGCTTTATTGATTGAGGCCTCCATCATTGCTTATACAAATGATCCCAACAGAATTCATCTCCCAGGCCTTCTTCAATCCAGCTTCCTTTTGGTTGCCAGCATCATCTTCCAAAAAAACCACAGATCTGATCAGATCACTGCCCTGCTCGAAATCCTTCAATGACTTGGGATGGCACTTGGCACAGTGCACTGAAAATAGTTTACTGGTTTCTCTTCTTCAGGTTGCTGTAAGCAACTCAGGGGCAAAAACAATGCCCGTTTCCCTAGTGCCTAGCACAATGCCTAACACACAGCAGGTGCTTAATAAATATTTCAGTGGAAAGATTCCAAGTCTCACCAGATGCCATTTGCATGTGTTAACAGAAGAGCAGGGCAGTGGTTAAGAGCAGAGACTTCAGATTGGCAGACTTGGGAAGTCGGAGTGCCAGCATCGCCAACCTCCAGCTATTTGGCCTGGGAAAGATTTCTTATCTTTTGTCAACCTGTTTCCTCAATTGTTAAATTAATACCACCTACTTTACAGAGACTGAGATAACGCATCTTTTCATTTATTTATTTTTTTTGAGACAGTCTTGCTCTCTCGCCCAGGCTGGAGTGCAGTGGCATGATCTCGGCTCACTGCAGCCTCCGCCTCCGCATTCAAGTGATTCTCGTGTTTCAGCCTCTCAAGTAGCTGGGATTACAGGCATGCATCACCACATCTGGCTAATTTTTTTGTATTTTTAGTAGAGATGGGTTTCTCCATGTTGGTCAGGCTGGTCTTGAACTCCTGGCCTCAACCATCCACCTGTCTTGGCCTCTCAAAGTGCTGGGATTACACGTGTGAGCCACCGCACTGGGCCAAGATATTGCGTCTAAAGGGGTCAGCACAGTGGCTGGCACAGAGAAGCACTCAATAAATGGCTGCCATTATTATTATTATTATTATTTTTTTTTTTTGAGACGGAGTCTGGCTCTGTCGCCCAGGCTGGAGTGCAGTGGCGCAATCTCGGCTCACTGCAAGCTCCACCTCCCGGGTTCACGCCATTCTCCTGCCTCAGCCTCCCGAGTAGCTAGGACAACAGGCGCCCGCCACCATGCCTGGGTAATTTTTTGTATTTTTAGTAGAGACGGGGTTTCACCGTGTTAGCCAGGATGGTCTTGATCTCCTGACCTCGTGATCCGCCTGCCTCGGCCTCCCAAAGTGCTGGGATTACAGGCGTGAGCCACCGCGCCCAGCCTATTATTATTACTGATGATGGCAACCATCAGTTAAATATCAAGGTTAGAAAAAAATCCCAGGATTTTGGCACTAGAACCATTAAGATCAAGTGACTTACTTATGTCACAAATTTAGTAAGTAGCAAAATCAAGTTTGGAACCCATTATCAATGCAAAGTAACTTCTTTAAGCTGTCATCTCTTTGGTGAAAGTGCTTTGTGACCTACATTACACCCAGACTGTGGATTCAGGATATTCATAGAGGTACCTGGCATATCACATTCTTAGGTATTTGTCTCTCTAAACTTGAACTTGGACTAATGTGCCTTGGGGCAAGTTCGTAATTACAGTACTGTTGATCTTTCCTATTGTCCACTGTAATTATCTATTAAACTAGTAATCAAATGATTCCTCCTTGGAGCCTTCCCTAGATAACTTTTTTTTTTTTTTGAGACGGAGTCTTGCTCTGTTGCCCAGGCTGGAGTGCAGTGGCATGATCTCAGCTCGCTGCAACCTCCGCCTCCTGGATTCAGGGGATTCTCCTGCCTCAGCCTCCTGAGTAGCTGGGATTACAGGCAGGTGCCACCATGCCTGGCTAATTTTTGTATTTTTAGTAGAGACAGGGTTTCAACATGCTGGCCAGGCTGGTCTCGAACACCTGACCTCGTGACCCGCTGGCCTTGGCCTCCCAAAGTGCTAGGATTACAGGCGTGAGCCACGGTGCCCAGCCCTTTTTTTTTTTTTTTTTTTGAGATGGAGTCTGGCTCTGTTGCCCAGGCTGCAGTGTAGTGGCTTGATCTTGGCTCACCGCAGCTTCCGCCTCCTGGGTTCAAGCGATTTTCCTGCCTCAGCCTCCTGAGTAGCTGGAACTATGGGCGTGTGCCACCATGCTCAACTAATTTTTGTATTTCTAGTAAAGACGGTGTTTCACTACATTGGCCAGGCTGGTCTCGAACTCCTGACCTCATGATCCACCCACCTCGGCCTCCCAAAGTGCTGGGATTACAGGCATGAGCCACCGTGCCTGGCCAAGCACTGGTTCTTAAGGGCAGAGAGATGAGTAGTGCTGAAGCCTAAAATCTCAAAATACATGCTCCCTTCCCCGTTTGAGAACTACTTTGTTAAGTGAAGTTTTAGACTATCACAAGTATGTTCAGCAGGATATGTTCTTACACTCTTGTCTTTTCCTAGTCTCACTTGTAGCAGAGGGTCTTTTAGTATAAGAAAACTTCATTATGCCATGAAAAGAATATTACTAGCAAAAGCTTACATGTTGTCATGCATTTGCTCCACTCTGAAAGACCTCAGATTTTTTTTTTTTTTTTTTTGAGACGGAGTCCTCACTCTGTCGCCCAGGCTGGAGTGGAGTTCAGTGGCACAATCTTGGCTGACTGCAACCTCTGCCTCCCGGGTTCAAGCTATCCTCCTGCCTCAGCATCCCAAGTAGCTGGGAATATAGGCATGTGCCCCATGTGCTGGGGATTTTTTTGTATTTTTGTATTTTTAGTAGAGATGGGGTTTCATGTTGCCCAGGCTGGTCTCGAACTCCTGACCTCAAGTGATCTGTCTTAGTCTCTGTGTTGGGATTACGGGCGTGAGCCATCACATCCAACAAGACCTTAGATTTAAGCCAAAACAGGACTTGCTGACTGGGGTTCAGGCAGCAATCTACAATAGGGTTTGTCCACTATCAACTGGATGAAGTCAGGACAGAGACAGAACAGGAAGGGGATTGAAGTACAGGGGATTCCCAGGCACCCTTGCTAGGTAAGCTGGGCTCTGACAAGGAAGTGTGATGAGGGTAAACAGTTAAGGAATTGCCTGCAAGGTCTTCTCGTCTCCCAGGTTTTTCTTGGTGAGCAAAAGTAAGAATGAGCTCTTTTCTCTTTTTTTTTTTTTTTTTGAGACGGAGTCTCGCTCTGTCGCCCAGGCTGGAGTGCAGCGGTGCGATCTCGGCTCACTGCAAGCTCCGCCTCGCGGGTTCACGCCATTCTCCTGCCTCAGCCTCCCGAGTAGCTGGGAATACAGGCGCCCACCACGACGCCTGGCTAATTTTTTGTATTTTTTTAGTAGAGATGGGGTTTCACCGTGTTAGCCAGGATGGTCTCAATCTCCTGACCTCATGATCCACCCACCTCGGCCTCCCAAAGTGCTGGCATTACAGGCGTGAGCCACCGTGCCAGGCAGAATGAGCTCTTTTCAACATTGGACTGAGATCAAGTACTTTTGTTTTGAGGCTGTAGCAGTCATGTGCCCTTTTAGACACAGGGTGTGGGGGTAGGGGGATCATAAAAGCCAGTTGCTACTTTACCAAGACACATACAAAGCCAGGGTTTTTTTTTTTTTTTTTTTTGGTAGCGATGGGGTTTCACTATGTTGCCCAGGCTGGTCTCAAACTCCTGGGCTCAAGCCATCCTCCTGCCTCAGCCTCCCCAAAGTGCTGGGATTACGGGTGTGAGCCACTGCACCGGCCTGACAAAGTTAGTTTTGTTTCAGCCAGTAAGTACCCTAATGAGAATATTGTCGTTATCTTCATTTACTGATTACAATGTAGTTAAGAATCGCTTGCATGTGTGTATTCTTACCAGTTTCTGTTGCGGCCTCCTTGCACTATTCTTAGTTCTTGCTGTGCAAGGATACCTGGCACCCCTTTGTGAAGTCATGGACATTAAATATGTTGGGCCCCACAGGAACCAATTTGCTCAGAGCACAATGGCTGCCTGTGCAACAGACCCCACAGTGCAGGCCTCAACAAGACCATGTCTGGGTCTGGTCTGGCTGCACGAAATTCACTTCTATAGGCAGCTGTGACCGTGACTCTGGCCCCTGGAACCAGACCAGCCACTCAAGAATGCAAAAGTCCTTGTGTAGACATGGAGTCTGCATTCTCTCAAGAAAGTGCAGATAATGATCCTGGACACAAGGTCAGACTGGTGACTCTTTCCCAAGATGGGGTGTGTACCACCAAAAGCTGGCAGCAGGACCAGGCTGTCATCACCAAGCACCCTTTCTCCCCTGCTCTGCCCCTCCTTCATGCCCACTCTCTCTATCTCACTCTCCTGGTCACATACCCTGTGTGTGTCAGGGGGAGTTGCATGGCTTGGGGTGTCATTTTAGGTGTGCTCATTCCTTTTTTTTAAAATTGAGATGGGGTCTATTTTGCCTGGGCTGGATTTAAATTCCTGGGCTCAAGGAATCATCATGCCTTAGCCTCCCGGGTAGCTGGGATTACAGGCGTGAGCTGCCATGCTCAGCTCTGATGTGTGGTAGGGATGAGGACAAGGAACCATATGTGTCACGTGGGTTACGCACAAAGGCTTGGTCAGTTCTATGACTTCCAGGAAGGGCCCCAGTTAGTGTCATCCAGTGAACCTGGAAATCCCCTAAGAAAACTACAGCTCCACAATACTTTGTGATAGAGCTATTTAACATAAAGAAGAAACTGTACATAATTGCTTTTCCATTATAAAAATTTATCAAGGGAATAATTTGAGTTTTTAGAGGCTTGGTTTAGCAAGGTAAAAAAGACAACCAAATTATTAAAACACTTTATAAATTATTTTAAAACCTACCAACTGGGGCCTAAATGAAATAAACCCCCTATTACCTTAGGAAAGAGACAGCTTTCCTAAATCACAGAAGTTGGTTTCCAAGCTACACTCTTACTTCTAATGCCTTGGAACCCTAAGGAGAACTAAAGCTCACCAGCGATGGCTGCTCTGGAAGTCAAGGTGGGAAGAACAGGCAATATCCTGACACAGGCTAGATACAGACTCTGAGCCAAAAGCAGACTCTGTGACATGGAAAGGGACCACACAATTTTAATTTTTTTTTTTTTTTGAGACAGAGTCTCGCTCTGTGGCCGTGGCCCAGGCTGGAGTGCAGTGGCACAATCTCGGCTCACTGCAAGCTCCGCCTCCTGGGTTCACGCCATTCTCCTGCCTCAGCCTCCCAAGTAGCTGGAACTACAGGTGCCCGCCACCACGCCTGGCTAATTTTTTGTATTTTTAGTAGAGACGGGGTTTCACCGTGTTAGCCAGGATGGTCTCGATCTCCTGACCTCGTGATCTGCCCGTCTCGGCCTCCCAAAGTGCTGGGATTACAGGCGTGAGCCACCACGCCCGGCAGGGACCACACAATTTATTAACCAACCAGGTTAATAAATTCTTTTTTTTTTTTTTTGGAGACGGAGTCTCACTCTTGTCACCCAGGCTGGAGTGCAGTGACACGATCTCGGCTCACTGCAATCTCCGCCTCCTGGGCTCAAGCGATTCTCCTGCCTCAGCCTCCTGAGTAGCTAGGATTACAGGCTCCTGCCACCACACCCCACACATTTTTTGTATTTTTAGTAGAGAACGGGAATTCGCCATGTTGGCCAGGCTGGTCTTGAACTCCTGATCTCAGGTGATCCGCCCGCCTCGGCCTCCCTAAGTGTTGGGACTACAGGTGTGAGCCACCATGCCTGGCCCCAACCAGAACACTTCTGAGCGTGGAAGAGGATGCTGTTAATTACTCAAGACCAAAAGGCATAAAAGGAGACATATGTCCACCCAAGTGATAAGGCAGTTTGGGAAACTACATTTCCCAGTATGCCCTGCCCCTTGAAAGTTAAAAATCTTAACTGGCACAGAGCACCCTGGGACACCTGTGGTTAGCACCATTTAAGAAGTAAAAGGTATAGGGTTGGGTTCTGACGTGAAGGCTTTCCCCTTCCATGGGACACTTAACCAGACACAGGACACAACACCTGAGGTGAAATTTCAATGGGTATTAAGTCTGGGGTAGAGCTTCTCTCTCCCCAAATCTAGCTTCCAAAGATGTGGAGCTGGTGGAGCTGTCCATTGGTCCACTGCCCTGTTTCTCCTGGGTGCTGCCTCTGCCTCCTCATATCACCAGCGTCCCCACTGCCACTAGTCTGTAGGGGGATTCCGGGCTAGGTGCTCTTCCCACTCGACTTCAACCAACTTATATAGCTCCATGGTGGCCTGGGCATCTTCCACAGAGGAATGTCCGCTCTTCCCAACCTGAGCAAGCAAGGAAGACAAGAGCATGAAGAGAAAAGAAACCGTTTCTTCCTTCCCAGTGTACTCTCTGTACTCCTCTTCCCCCTGCCTCCGCTACACAGTTTCTTCTGCAGTCAGCAGCCTACAAAGACAGAATTCTGGTGGGGTCCTACTCCTTATGTAATTTCAGGGGTTCAACTCCTAGGAAGTCTTTGCCACTGTCTACCTCAGTCCTTTCTGTGGCAGTATGTATAAGCCATATTAGGTTCTGTAGAGATAGAACATACCAGGTCAAAGACAGGTCTTCTGAGTCTTCCACTTTCCCTAGTTCCTTAACTGCTCTATATGTGACATATGTCCCCATCTTCCTGCCAGATGGGCCACCCTTTGCTGAAATATAGCGTGTAAAATACGAGCGGTCCTTGCATCCACTACACGGTCTCTTGGACCACCACTGCTACCTGCTTTCTTCCTTAGTTAGGGTTTTATATCTACTTAGGACTTTTTCCCTTTTCCAAAGCACACTTTGAAACATTCTATGAGGTAGACAACAGGAATTATTATCCTGTGTACAGATGGAGCTCTTCCCATCACAGCAGCCCACCTGGATCTCTACAACCACAGGACTTCTGAGATCAGAGTCTGGCTAGGGGCATCAACGAGAGCCATGTCCAAGATGGGGGCGGGGGATGTGGGGAGATGCTACCTGGATATCCCGGTTTAGCAGCTTCTTGGTGAGATGCTTCAGAGACATGGTGGCATTCTCCGGGCAGTCAGCCTTCCGGTTGAGGGGGGGGATATGGGAGGTGTCACGGGTGAGGGACTTGGGGTGAAAGTACTGAAGGGCTTTGAAGTCGTTGTGGATGGCATGCCCCACCACTATCTTCCCTGTGAGTATCTTCAAGATCTGGAAGAAGTGTGGGAAGAGAGTGGTGAGAAGGAAGACTGAAGTGGAACCCCTGCATTCTGAAAGCCCAACATGACCATCAATCCCTTCTGGATTCTTTCACCAACTGCCTACCTCTCCATCCTTGAAATGCTCACTCCCACAAGTTTTCTTTCTTCTGGAATCCACCTTCCTCTTCCACAGGTGATTTCCATGGTATACCCTGTTTGGACTCATACTGCCAGTGGCTCCTTACCTTCTTATTGATCTCCACCCCATGACATTAATTTGCCTTCAGTCCTAAATGACACTCATGTTTGAGATGTCCATGTATTTAGTTCAGTTCTGGCTTGCTACATGAAGTCCTTTAACTATTACCATTATGTTGGCCTTAGACACATGGCTGGGACCCGGGCTCCAGGGAGGCTAACAAAAGCCCAAAATTACATGCAATTAGATGTGTATGGGTACTAGAGGAAGAGAATCTGTGGCTTTCATCAAATTCTCAGAGTCTACAAACCGTAAAAAATTAAGAATCACATATAAACTAAAGTTGCAGAAGCAACCTTATTCACACTAGTTTTGGAACCAAGTAAAATAAAAATAACTTCTCAATATTTCAGGAAACTGTTTTTTTTTTTTGAGATGGAGTCTTGCTCTGTTGCCCAGGCTGGAGTGTACTGGCGCGATCTTGGCTCACTACAACCTCCGCCTCCCGGGTTCAAGCGTTTCTCCTGCCTCAGCCTCCCAAGTAGCTGGGACTACTGGCACCTGCCACCATGCCTGGCTAAGTTTTGTATTTTTAGTAGAGACGGAGTTTCACCATATGGGCCAGGCTGGTCTTGAACTCCTGATCTTGTGATCTGCCCGCTTCAGGCTCCCAAAGTGCTGGGATTACAGGTGTGAGCCACCACACCTGGCCTTCAGGTAACTTATTTTTTAAAAGAGATGAGGTCTTGCTATTTTTCCCAGGTTGGCTGGCCTCAAACTCCTGGGCTCAAGCAATGCTCTCACCTCAAACTCCTGAGTAGCTGGGATTACAGACACATGTCACCACACCTAGCCATTTCAGGCTCTTGAAGTAGGAGGACATGCTACCAATGAGGACAACCGAAGAACACACCACAGGCTCTGAAGGCCATTCCCAAATGAGGTTCCAAACAGGTTTTCAACAAAAGTGACAGTCCTGCATAGCCTCCCAAAGGGACCCCCTCTGAAGGGGCTAGGCTCATCTGGACATACCTTAGTCTCATAACCCCAGCTTGGCACTGGGGAAGTGCTTTATGATGAAAACCAGACGTAGTCCCGTGAACTAGATATTTCGTTACTCCTGACTTCACCTACTTACTGTCCACCACCACCTTCACTTCTTATTAACCTCGACATATAGCCCTCATCAAAGCTGGGCAGATTTGCTGTCTCAGACCCGTCCCATCTTCTGCCTCTCCTATGCCTTTGCTTGGCTGCGCCCCTTTGTGCACAAGATGTTTAACTCTTCTTTCCGTCTTTTCTAAAATAGTCAGTCACCTCACCTCTAACGAACCTCCTCCAACTGACCGCATATAAGGCATTATGGGAACAGCGTGTCCAGAGAGGGCAGAGTGTGGACCTGAAACTGCAAAGACGTGGACCAAGGGCGCCCTCTGGCGGCCTCCTGAGACCAGCAGGTCTCTTGCTCTCCCTTCACTTCCTCTTTCACCCCTCCCAGCTCACTCTCCTTTCCGTTCATGCCTTGCGCTCCATGGCCAGCACAGGGCTAGGAGTGAGATGACAACCCGAAGTGCCGGCCCTGTGCCGTTTATGCCGTTCACTGGTTACCTGTTCCAGTTGGACAATATATACCCCAGCTCCTCCTGTCAACTTTCTGCCCTCTCTTACCACCACCACTTTCCGCACTTGCCCCAGGCTACTTTTTGCTTGGGACGAGCTCTCCACCTTTCCTCTCTCAAGCTTAGGCTCCAACTCGCAAGGTTTTTCCAAATCAAGCCCTTTCTCCTGACACTGGTGTCTGCAGCTCTGTCTAGTTTCATCACTTGCTGTTATTTTTCTATGCAGATTCCCAGTTCCCCAGACCCAATTTAGAACCTAAAATAGTTTTTTTGTTTGTTTTTTTGAGACAGGATCTCACTCTGTCGCTCAGGCTGGAGTGCAGTGGCAGTGGTGTGATCTCAGCTCACTGCAGCCTCGACCTCCTGAGTAGCTGGGACTACAGGCATGTACCACACTTGGCTAACTTTTTTGTAGATGAGTTCCGCTATGTTGCCCAGACAGGGCTTGAGTTCCTGGGCTTGAGCGATTCTCCCGCCTCAGCCTCCCAAAGTGCTGGGATTATAGGCAAGTGCCACTGCGCCCGGCTAAAATAGATCTTGACCAATGAAGTTTGTGACACCAGCTAATTGTACCTTCCTGACTTTCACTGCTTCTTCCACCGACAGGGGGCCTTCTTCAACAACTGATAGATTCTCCTCCCTCCCTCCACAAACGTTGGTGTCTTCCCATAGTGATATCCTTTGCTGAAAAATGATTTAGACCTCTCTCCATCCACCTCCCTGCCACCATCAAGCCCCATGCTTCTTACCTGGCCTCGAGCAATCTTGAAGGGTGTGGCATTCACCATGTGCTGCTTCCGGATACCACTCCACCTGGTTCGGTAGTCCACAATGTGGCAGGGGGGAAGAATGTACTCGTCATAAAGCACATCTCCGTTGTAGTTGACAATGCTACATCGAGCCAAGGAACTAACATGCCCCTTTGGTCCTGTGCCCACCATCTCACAGTCAATTGCCACCATCTTCCGTGGCAACTTCTGGGATGCTCCGGAGCATTTATTCTCTGAATGAGCTTGGGTGGAGTTCTGTGGGGCATTCTTCTGAGGATGGTTCTTTTTAGAGGATTTCTTCTGGGAGCTCTTCTTCTGAGAGCGGGTTGGGTGGCTATTGATCTTTGGAAGGGCACTCTGGAACTCCCCCAGCAAATCTACTTTAGCAGCAACAGAATCAGCCTTTTTTGAAGGGGCAGGGGTCAACCAAGACACTGCAGCTTTCTTGTCCAGGGGCTGTCCTGACCCATTGCTGGAAGCAGCTGTCTTCTTTTTTGGGAAGGAAGGGGTCTTCCAAGTGCCATCGACCGTAGGAGTTTCCCCTTTCTTTGAAGGTTCAGAGTGCAACTTAGGCGCCTTGCTAGGGGGTTGGTTCTTTTTACTCAGAAAGCCTCTCCGTTCTAAGAGCCTCCGCTTCTTGACAAAATTTCGGTGCTTGGCATTTCCTTCTAATGCCTTTTTGGGAGGAGGTTCCCCAAAATCCAGATTGAGCAGTAAAGTAGACATAGGGACAATGGAAGGCGGAAGAGTAGTTGGGAAGAGTGGCTTATGGATGAAAAGAGGATGTGGGACTCATTCTCTGCTGAATCCTACTGTCCAACATGTGGAGGTCTGTAGTACACCCTGGGGAAGAAAGTGATCCTGGTAATTGAGCTCCTAGGCCTGGGAGAAAAATGAGGTAAGCTCGATCTCCGTAGGACTTATGGAAGGAAAGACATCAGAGCAATCTCTCAGACAGAGGGGAAATGAAAACATAACATGAAATGATGGAGGGAGCATTGGTGTTAGCCAGCAAGCCTGGATTCTAGTGAAGCCCAATTCACCAGCCATTTGGTCTTAGTAAGGTCATTACCGCGCTCTAGGTTTGAGTCTCATTTGTAAAATGAAGGGAGTGGAGGGGCTTATAGAGCTCGAACCCTCTGAGTCTAAGAGGCTAGAACACGTGCGATCTATACTCCGCCTAGGAAAGGAACATCTAGGTATGCTCAAAAACAGTGAGAAGTATGGCGTAGATAACCTCTGGGCTACCCAGGCATCCGCAGCGTGGACCACCAATAGAGACACAAATCCAGGCATCCCTTTCCCTTGGCTCCAGGCCGGAATTGGGGGCAATCTCCGCATGCATCTCACCCAAGTCCTTCTCCCACGCAAGGACCTTGACACCATCTACCAGCGCGGGGGTGGGATCGAGGCTTGAGGCAGCCCACCTGGATAAGCATACTTCGGATCCCCGCGGTACAGATCGATCTCTCACGCTCACAAACCTACCTCCCAGACGGGTCCAGCTAAGACCGGAAGCGTCCGGAGCCGGATGCGGAAATCGGTGCGCGCCGACGAAGCCCGGGAAGGCAGGCGCGCGGGTTAGAACGCGCCAGAGGTCGGCGCGCGCACACCCGCACCGCCCCGACCCCAGGTAGTGAGGCCAGTGATTCCGAGTGTGTGAGGAGCGGCAGTGGCGGCGGAGGAGGGGGCGGCGTGGGTGGGGGCGGGGGCGGGATGCGCTCCCCGGCCCCTCTAGCCCCGTGGTGGTACAACGCGAAGGTGTGGGAAGGCCGCGATAAACCGGAACTGCAGCCCGCCGGACACCTCCGGCTTCACTTCCGTAAGAGGAGAGGAGTGTACGGCAAGGGGCGGGAACTGGAACTTGGCCCGCCTCGTTGTGAGCTGAGCTCAGCGGCACGCTTTTGTGGCGTCACTGCACTGTTACCCCGCCCTACGTGTCTCTGACGCTGACACCTTCTCACTGTGAAACGTCGCGACCTGTGACGTCTGGGGGGCGCCTCAAATCTTCCACTCCAGCATCGGATCCCGGAAAGGCAGCGTCGGAGACTGGACCCAAAACTCTTCCTGTTCTGCCTGCAGAGTTGAGCCCCGTCCGGGTCCTGGACCCGCGTAGTACTGACCCTGGATCCCTGTTCACTGCGTTCTCGCTCCCCGCGCTCCCTGCTGGACCCCGGGATGCCGGGCATCTCCGCCCGAGGCCTCTCTCATGAGGGGAGGAAGCAGCTAGCTGTTAACCTCACCCGTGTCCTGGCACTCTACCGTTCCATCTTGGATGCCTACATCATCGTGAGGCCACAGGGGCGTGGGTGGGATGTCTCTGGTCGTGTGGTTGGCTAGGTGCCCACGTCAGGGAGAGAATCTGGAGAATTAGCCTCTGATCTCTTTCCTTCTATGAGTTTCAGTCTTTTTCTGTACAAGAAGGGGTTAAAACTGGAGTGATCCCTCCTTTTTTTTCAGCTGACATAAATAATATTTCTTTTTTTTTCTTTTTCTTTTTTTTTTTCTTTTTTTTTTTGAGACGGAGTCTCGCTCTGTCCCCCAGGCTGGAGTGCAGTGGCACGATCTCGGCTCACTGCATAAATAATATTTCTAGTACCTACCTAGATTGTTTTTGTAATCTTCCCAGATCCAAGGTAATAAAATGCGTGGACATTGGAACCATGCTGCAACTATGTTGAACTCTTCTTGGAGCATGTCAGGTGTTCCAAGAACACACGTTATTCATCCAAGCTTTGAATAAATTCGTGGTTTTGTGGTATAGTAGACAGTCCTGGCTCTGGAATCAAAAAGGCTTAGTCTAGAATCCTGCCTCCCCTATGATGTTAACCTTAGGCCTCCCTAACCCCCAACTTGTCCTAGTCCGGGTTTCCTCAGCTATACAATGGATCCCAGTCTGAAGGATTATTGTGAAGAATAAATGAGAGAATGTGTAAATGGCACCACCATCCACTGAATTGTTTAGACCACAAACCCAGAGGCCATCATTGATTCAGTGCTGTCCTTCATTGATCCACAATCCAGTTCTTCAACAAGTCCTCTTGGCTCTGCCTTCGGAATAGATCCCAAATTCATCCATTTGTCCCCACCTCCGTTGCTGCCACCCTAGGCCAAGCCACCATCACCTCTCTTCTGAACTACTTCCTAACCGATCTTGCTGTGTGCTTACCTCTGCCCTGCCATTACCAATTCTTCACTGAGCAGCTAGATTGATAGCATTCAAATGTAAATCTGATCACGACAATCCCTTGCTTCCTAGATACTTTTATGAAATCCTAACTCCTTACTATTACCTATAAAACCCATATTCTGGCTCCTACTGTCTCTTGAACTCTATCCCATTTTATTCTCTCACACATTTCACTGTGCTATACCTCTGCTGGCCTGATTTCTGTTCTGCCAATATGGCAGGCATCTGGACCTTTGCACTCACTGCTCTTCCGCCACAGAAAGGCAATCGCAGAATGGTTAAGAACAAGGACTCTAGAGTAAAATTGGTTTCAAATCCCAGCTCAGGCCGGGTACGATGGCTCACACCTGTAATCCTAGCACTCTGGGAGGCCGAGGTGGGTGGATTGCCTGAGCTCAGGAGTTTGAGACCAGCCTGGGCAACACGGTGAAACCCCGTCTCTACTAAAATAAAATAAAATAAAAAAATAGCTAGGCTTGGCAGCACACACCTGTAGTCCCAGCTACTAGGGAGGCTGAGGCAGGAGAATTGCTAGAACCAGGGAGGCGGAGGTTGCAGTGAGCTGAGATCGCGCCACTGCACTCCAGCCTAGGTGGCAGAGTGAGACTCCATCTCTAAAAATAAATAAATAATCCCAGCTCAGCTATTTGCTAGCTTTTGGACGTGGGCAAGTTACTTAAGTGCTGTGCCTGTTTCTACATCTGTAAAATGGGGGATAAAAAATAATACCTACCTCAAAGTGTTGTTTAAAGGATCAAATGCATTAATACATGTCAAATGTTTACAGCAGTACCTGGCCGAGAAGGTGTTAAATAAGTGTTTGCTATTACCTGTATTTTCTTTACATGCCTAGCACCTATTCATCATTCAAGTCTCAGCTCAAATGTCACCTCAGACAGGTCTTCCCTCATCATCCTATCTAAAGTAGTCCTTGCCCAAACTCTCCATTACATTACTGTTTCATTAGTGTTTTGTCTATATGACATATGATGTTGTCTGAAGTTTTGTTTTGGTTTGTTTTTTTTGAGAGGGAGTTTTGCTCTGCTGCCCAGGCTGGAGTGCAGTGGCACAATCTAGGCTCACTGCAGCCTCTGCCTCCAGGGTTCCAGTGATTCTCCTGCCTCAGCCTACTGGGTAGCTGGGATTACAGGCGTGTGCCAACATGCCTGGCAAATTTTTGTAATTTTAGTCGAGACGGGGTTTCACCATATTGGCCAGGCTGGTCTCGAACTCCTGATCTCAGGTGATCTGCCCGCCTTGGTCTCCCAAAGTGCTGGGATTACAGGCGTGAGCCACCATGCCCGGCCAAAGTTATTATTTTTTTTAATGTAAACTCTGCAGGAGCCAGAATCTTGTCTCAGGTTCACTGTTGTATTCCCTGAGCCTACAATAGAGCTTGATGTATAACCGAAACACAGCCCCAGAATTTGTGGTGGACGAATGAATAAAAAGACACCAGTGTCTGGCACATATAATGCAGGTTACTAAGTGGTAATGTACTAATACTGTGTGTCAGTCACTCTGGTAAGTGTTAGGGATGCAGATGTGAAGATACCATCCCATCCCTCCCCTTAAGAAATTCAATTTAATAGAGAAAACAGACACAAATAAGTGCAGAAATTGCTAAAAGAAGTGTGTCCAGAATGCAATCTGGACTCCAGGGAAACAGAGTTAAGCCACCAGAGTCGGGGAGGCTGGAGCAGGCTTCAGAGAACTGACTCGGCTTAGCAGGAGGTACCTGCCAGTTACAGGCAGTGGCCCTATGTGGCAGCAGTGCTGGGAAGAGGCAGGCAATGAGGTGTGTAGTTGAGAGTGGTGTGGGAAAGAATGGGAGTGGTAGTAGCTTGCTGATGGCTTCTCCCCTTCTTCTGTAGGAATTTTTCACAGACAACCTATGGGACACACTCCCTTGCTCATGGCAGGAAGCATTGGATGGACTGAAACCACCACAGCTGGCCACAATGCTGCTGGGGATGCCTGGGGAAGGGGAGGTCGTCAGGTATGGGCTAGAAGGTCCCTGTGCTGGGGAACTCAAGGCTTTAAGCCCTGCAGTGAGCATATTGCTCAGAGAGTCTCATAAGGTCTTCCTGGGCCTCGGGTTGTAAACTGCTGCACTCAGATGTGATGGGACTATTCACTGGAGGCCTCGGCTGGACTATCTCAGGTACAGGTCAGTGTGGCCACTCACCCTGCTGGCCCTGAAGTCCACGGCGTGTGCCCTGGCCTTTACCCGGATGCCTGGCTTTCAGACCCCCTCAGAATTCCTGGAGAACCCCAGCCAGAGCTCCCGACTAACAGCTCCATTCCGGAAACATGTCAGGCCCAAGAAGCAGCATGAGATCCGGAGGCTGGGAGAGGTGAGGAGATGGCTGGAGCATGGGTGGTGTCTGGGAGCCCAGGGACTCCTTAAGCCTGGCTTACAAATATGTGTGCCCTTTACCTCACATGCAAGGCCAGAGGCCCTAGACATTCCTTTACCTCAACAGACATAACTAATCATATTTTGATGCTGGGGTTCTTTTTCATTCTTTTGTGGGGTTGGTTGGCAGCTAGGTCTGAATCACTGTCTCATTCCTGTTCCCAAATCTCCACAATCTGCTCATGGCTTCACGCAGGGTTCTTGTTCTGTGGGGGAGATTGAATCACTGACCTGTGAGGCAAGGAGAGTGGGCCTGAACCTGGGGTCAGGTCCACTCTCCTTGCTTCCACCCTCACCCTTATATCTTTCTTTCCAAATCTGTCTTCACATCCAGGGCACCCTCTGTCCATCTTTCTCTGTCATCTTTGTCTCTTCCACTCTCAGTATGGGTGTTTGCCCCAGGAGTCAATAACCAGTGGCTAGGAGACCTTTGTTTCCTCCTTTTTCAGTTGGTGAAGAAGCTGAGTGATTTCACAGGCTGCACCCAGGTTGTAGACGTGGGCTCAGGCCAGGTGAGCCAGAGTCTTGATGTACTGTTTTTTTGAGTCATGGGGACATAGAACACCTGGAAGGCAGGTTATCGGGCCACAGGCCCAGCGAGGCAGGTGTCAAGAAGCGTGGAATTTTTTTTTTCTCTTTGCATAATTTTTTTTAAGCCAGTCAGATTTAACAATGGGGGAGTTATATACCAACTTAAGCCACACTGATGTTAATAAGTTCTGTAGGGTAAAATTTAAGCCTTCTGTGGGGCCTGGGACCCAGGTGTCCAGGTTACCCATGGGGAGGGTGATAGTGGATAGGGCACTGAACAGGGCTGTTTCCATCCTCCTCGTGACTCCAGGGCCATCTCTCCCGCTTCATGGCTCTTGGCCTGGGGTTGATGGTGAAGAGCATCGAAGGGGATCAGAGACTGGTGGAGAGAGCCCAGCGCCTGGACCAGGAGCTTCTGCAGGCTCTGGAGAAAGAGGAGAAGAGGAACCCGCAGGTAGGCCAACCCTTCCTGCGACCTGGACTGCAGGAGCAGGGGCTGCTTGGCTGGAATTGAGCACAGAGGCTGGATTACATCTTTCAAGTTTCTCAGCTTGAACTGGTGTGGTCCCTAATTTCTATTACCTCTTTCCCAAGGTTGCCCTTTCCCCAGTGCCTCCCTGTATCTCAAAGTTACTTTCTATTTACAAAGTGCTTTCCACACCAATGTATACTTCTCACTACCTGTGAAGTGGCCAGTCAGGTTTTAGACTTGTTACAAATAAGAAAACTGGGTCTCAGATGAAAAGATGTACATGGTGAATGATAGGTCCAGGACTTTTCCCCCTCTCCTGACTTGTGGTCCAGCCCCTCCCGCACCCACCTTATCTCCCACATTCCTCCTTGGGGAATAACATGGAGGACAGATCCCTTCCTGTGGCCTGAGGTGGCCTGGGGACAGCAAACAGACTTCCCATCTGCCTTTGTCCTTTCCTGCTTCCACAGGTGGTCCAAACCAGCCCTCGTCACTCCCCACACCACGTGGTTAGGTGGGTAGACCCCACAGCCCTGTGTGAGGAGCTTCTGCTTCCACTGGAGAACCCGTGTCAGGGCAGGGCCCGCTTGCTGCTCACAGGCCTCCACGCCTGTGGGGATCTGAGTGTTGCCTTGCTGAGACACTTCTCCTGCTGTCCTGAGGTGGTGGCCCTGGCCTCAGTGGGCTGCTGCTACATGAAGCTGAGTGACCCTGGCGGCTACCCACTGAGTCAGTGGGTGGCTGGGCTGCCTGGCTATGAACTGCCCTACCGGCTTCGGGAGGGGGCCTGCCATGCCCTGGAGGAATATGCTGAGCGGCTACAGAAAGCTGGCCCTGGCCTTCGAACTCACTGCTACCGTGCAGCACTGGAGACAGTCATCCGACGGGCCCGGCCCGAGCTCCGTCGGCCAGGCGTGCAGGGTATCCCCAGGGTCCACGAGCTCAAGATTGAAGAGTGAGGTTGGGGGACGGGTGGGGGGCAGTGGAGAGGAGATTTCTTTTTTTTTTTTTGAGATGGAGTCTGGCTCTGTTGCCCAGGCTGGAGTGCAGTGGAGCGATCTCGGCTCACTGCAAGCTCTGTCTCCTGGGTTCATGCCATTCTCATGCCTCAGCCTCCTGAGTAGCTGGGACTACAGGTGCCCGCCACTACACCCGGCTAATTTTTTGTATTTTTAGTAGAGATGGGGTTTCACCATGTTAGCCAGGATGGTCTCAATCTCCTGACCTGGTGGTCCGCCCACCTCGGCCTCCCAAAGTGCTGGGATTACAGGCGTGAGCCACCGCACCCGGCCTGGAGGGGAGATTTCTAACGGAGATCTTCTACCCTCACTTTCAGCATAGCCTAAAGAAAATCTAAGTATACCCAGAGGAATGATTTGGAGTTCTCTGATCAGGGTACCTTCTCAAAATTTCTTTAAGAGAGTTGTCCCTCTTTTATCAGGAGACTAACAAAGAAACATGAAGTTTTGGCCAGGCGCGGTGGCTCATGCCTGTAATCCCAGCACTTTGGGAGGCTGATACGGGCCGATCACCTGAGGTCAGGAGTTCGAGACTAGCCTGGCCAACATGGCGAAACCCCGTCCCTACTAAAAATACAAAAATTAGCCAGGCGTGGAGGCATGCGCCTGTAATCCCAGCTACTCCGGAGGCTGAGGCAGGAAAATCGTTTGAACCCGGGAGGCAGAGGTTGCAGTGAACTGAGATCGCGCCACTGTACTCTAGCCTGGGCGACAGAGCAAGACTCTGTCTCCAAAAAAAAAAAAAGTTTTTTAAATGCTAAAAGTATGGCTAAATAGTTGGACAGAACTGGCTGAAAATGTTTAAATCAATTTACTATTAGACAGACAGCTCACAGCCAGAGAAACATTCAAAAATACATGGCCAGGTGTGGTGGCTCATGTGTATAATCCCAGCTCTTTGGGAGGCCAAGGCAGGAGGATTGCTTGAGGCTGGGAGTTAGAGACCAGCCTGGGCTACGTAGAGAGACCCTGTCTGTAAAAAAAAAAAAAAAAAAAAAAAAAAAAAAAATATATATATATATATATATATGCACATATGTTCATGAAAACGCATATTGGGGTAGAAAATAAAGCAAAGTTGGAACTGAATTAGGAACAAGCAAAGTTTAAGTGAGAGGTGACAGTTCTTAAAACCAAACTGAGTGCTGAATGTGACTGATCCCACAGATATGTGCAGCGGGGGCTACAGCGAGTGGGGCTAGATCCCCAGCTGCCACTGAATCTGGCTGCCCTTCAGGCCCACGTGGCCCAGGAGAACCGTGTGGTGGCCTTCTTCAGCCTGGCTCTACTGCTTGCCCCACTGGTGGAGACGCTTATTCTACTGGACCGGCTGCTGTACCTTCAGGAACAGGGTGAGGGTGGCCTACAGCAGGGACCCAAGGACTATAGTGACTGGGGTTCTGGGGCTCCTTCTCCAAGTCCCAGCCCCAACATCTTCTGGGCCTAGCTAATCACTGTTGTGATCCTTGGACCCCACCTTTGAGTAGGGGATTGGGAGTAGGGGATTTGTTAAAAAATTAAGAATCCAGGCTGGGTGCGGTGGCTCATGCCTATAATCCCAGCACTTTAGGAGGCCAGGGTGGGTAGATCACTTGAGGTCAGGAGTTCAAGACCAGCGATGGTGAAACCCCATCTCTAGTAAAAATACAAAAAGTAGCCGGGTATGGTGGCGCACACCTGTAGTCTCAGCTATTTGGGTGGTTGAGGCAAAAGAATTGCTTGAACCCAGGAGGCGGAGGTTGCAGTGAGCCGAGACTGCACCACTGCACTCCAGCCTGGGCAACAGAGACTCCATCTCAAAAAAAATATTAAGATTCCTACCAAATCAGCCTCTGGTGAACCTCTCTAAGGTGCATGTTAAGCAAGCTTCCCAGGCATCGAGAACCTACAATGCAAGAGGACTGCCTCCCAAGTCAGTGCCTTGGGAACCCGTGTTCCTTATGGAGAACGGGGTCTCCTTAGCCCCGCTGGATCCTCCCCCATGGGGAAAAGGGACTATGCCTACAGGCCTGGGCAGAAGAGGCTGAGTGAGTTTGGTTCATTCTTCCCCTTATGATTAAGCCCTTTCTCCCAGGTTTCCATGCTGAGCTCCTGCCCATCTTCAGTCCTGAACTCTCTCCCAGAAACCTGGTTCTGGTGGCCACCAAGATGCCCCTGGGTCAGGCTCTTTCTGTTCTGGAGACTGAAGACAGCTGATGCAGCCTGAGGAAACATCTCAGACCCCATCATCTGAAAGTGCCCAGAGAGCACAGTGGCAGAGTACATCTCATCCAGAGAAACAGCATCCTGCATCCTCCAGAGTCCTGGTTCCTTCAGTTTCATCCCCTTTCTCTCCTTCCATGGATTATGTAATACATTGTAAAGTTTTAATTAATTAAAAATTGGATATCTGTTTCCTTCCCATTTCTGTAGGTAGATAAAAGGAGATGCGCACCCTTCCTGTGGCACTGCTGCAAGGGTGCTACAGTTAGGACTCAGACGCCACTCCCCACTGGCCTCCCTAGCAGGTGGGGTAGGTGATGGCTTCTGTTACTCACAGATTTCCATGAAGGGGACTTCTCTCCCCCTCTTTGGCCTCCAACTCAGAATCTGCAGGCCCTGCCCCTTGGGAGGGCCGCCTTAAGGCCAGCTAACTTCCATCCAGGTTCTGTCATAAACTCAGGAAAGAAGCTTCTTCCCTTCAGTCCCTGAGAGTGTGCTGGGATTAGGGGTGCCATTCTACCACACAGCAGCTGTACACAGGAGGACTCATAAAGTGCTCTTTATTGGCATCTGAAAAAGAAGTGCCTCAGCCTTCAAGGCTGGGACAGAAGTTGGGGAGGAGCTGCTCTGCCCCAGGCTCAATACCAATAGACCTTCTTGTATTTCCGGGTCTCCTTGATCCCCATGGCCTCCATCACCTCCTCCTGCAGTGTCTTTAGACAGGGCACATAGGTTCTTTCTAAAGCATCTTCCACTGATGTGTCTTTGGGGCCATCTGTTAAGCCAGAGGAAACTTAGATGGGTGGGAGGGCTTGCCAACTTTCATTAATGTCCCCTACTCTCACTCCTAGCACCCACCCCTGACCTTCCTGCCCCTCACTCTCACCAATCCACGTTTCAGGGACGATGCCATCAGCTCTGGGAAATTCGGGTTTAGGGATAATTCTCCCTGATCGTGTGGAGACTCGTACCCGCTCTCCTGCTTCAGTAAATCTCCACTCGATCTCAGTGGGTTTCCTGGTGGATAGAAGAGGTGAGCCTGGCCTACGAGCCAGGCTTCCTGCCACCCTCCAACCCAAAAGAGTCAGTGGTTCAAAACACAAGGGTTACCACCGCGTTTCTCCACCTCTGTGTTGGGGTTACCCGCAGGGAATCATGTCCATGAGATGGTCCCTCTTAATTTCCAGAGCATCCAACCCACCATTCCCATTGGACAGCACTTTTTGGACCCAGAGGGTGAGAAACCCTCTGCCCAGAGCCCCGTTGCTTGCCTGTCCATAGGATCCACAAGTTTGACCTGGCGGTGGAGCAAGGGGGCTTCACTAGGGATCATGGTTCCCCGGTAATCCATGGTCTTGCCAATGTAGCGGTAATGCTGTCCAAGAGAGGGGAGTGTCAGAAAGCACGGGGTGTGAAAGGGGTTTGCCCTTGCTACTCGGCGCATTCAGCCCAAGTTGAAAAGTAGAAGGTTCAGTAATGCCGCCATCCCCTCAGCCAGTCTCCTGCCACCCTGTGCTGCTCTGAATGGAGAGGGACAGATGAGACAGGCTTCCTGAGCATCCCCATCCCCTCTCTCAACTTACTGTGTTCAGCCCTCCCACGACCACCCAGTTTCGCTGCCGGATAACTTGAACCACTTTGCCCTGCTTCCCGGCATCCTTGCCTTCTAGGATCTCCACCTGTGGGAAGATACGAAGGTTAGGGAGGGGGATCCTTGCCCAGGAGGTTCCCCATCACTCTACCCCCTGTATGAGGCTCTCACCGTGTCCCCACAGAACAGATACCAGTCTTCATCAGAGATGGGTTCCACAACCACTGGGCGCCGCCTGATCCATGGGGGGTTCTTCCTCTTGTCTGCAACAGAGCCTGGGGGGCTCATCCCATAGCGGTAATGGGGGGGCAGAGTGACCTTGGATGCCAAGGCCAGCAGGGCAGAAAGACGCATGCCTGGAGGTTGTAAGAAATCCCTTTGCCAGCAAAACGCTCGAAACCTTCCTTGTCAGCTCTGGGCAGATGGATAGAAACGGGAACAAAGAGGCAAGGGAAGGAACATTTTTTAAAGCACTTACTCTATTGCTCAATGGACCTCATCACATTGAATCCTCACAAGAGGTTATCATCTTTATAGATGAGAAAATAGAAAGGTCAAGTAACTTGCTTATGATTACAAAGCTACTACATTGGAGAATCAGTATTCAAACCCACATATATCTGACTTCAAAGTCCAAAAAATTCATTAAGGACAAGGGCCATGTTATCTATCTCACTCTTGAATCCAGAGCTTGGCCCCTAGTAGGTGCTTAACAAATACTTATTAAATCAATGTATGAACAGCAGGATAGGAAGAAAACAGAGGATGGAACGCTGGCATACGGCCAAAAGGTAGGCAGTTGTAAATCAGTGAAATGAACAAATAGGTAGCAGAAATAAAAACTGGGGTTAAAATGTCCCTATCCCACTTAGAATTCCTATCCTCAGATAGGAAATAACCACTCCTCCCTAAGATAGCTCCTTTTCTAAAGGAAAAGGACCCAGGGCCAGACTCTAGAATTACTGAGTCCTAAATTTCCCAACTAAGTATGTTCTCTAAACCACTCGATTCTCAATTAATGAGGTGGTGAATGAACTGAAGGCATAAATGGTAAGTGCTTCAGTTAACTGAATACTTGCAACTTACCACGTGCCATGCTAAGTGCTTTCCTGTATCTCATTTATGCCTAAGGACAACCAAATGAAGAAGTCATGATTAACCTCATTTTATAGATAAAAATGAACCCTAACTTCAAAGACAAATAAAGATACTACAATGGCATAAAGAGCCCTGGACAAGGAAGTCAGACCACCTGGGTTCTACTCCCTGCTCCACCATCATCTTACTGTATGACGCTAGGCAACTTAACTTTTTTTTTTTTTTTTTTCTGAGACGGAGTCTTGTTCTGTCGCCCAGGCTGGAGTGCAGTGGCATGATCTCAGCTCACCACGACCTCTGCGTCTTGGGTTCAAGCGATTCTCCTGCCTCAGCCTCCTGAATAGCTAGGATTACAGGCATGTGCCACCATGACCCGCTAATTTTTTTTTTGTATTTTTAGTAGAGACAGGGTTTCACCATGTTGGCCAGGCTGGTCTCGAACTCCTGACCTCAGGTGATCCATCTGCCTTGGCCTCCCAGAGTACTGGGATTACAGGTGTGAGCCACCACGCCCATCCAGCAATTTAACTTTTGAATTTCAGTTTCATCATCCATAAACATTTACAGGGTTGTGGGTGTCATTTAAATTATTTTAAATATTTTAACAAAGCAAGGTGCAAAATAATGTATTATTATCCCTGTGGGGTAAATATACAAATATATATTCCAGCACAGTTATATTTATGGAAAGGAAACAAGAAACCAAAGTACTTGTTTAAGGGGAGAGGAACTGTTTGGGAGGTCTGTTAATTCCATTTTGTTCCTTCCCGTAACGTTTGCATTTTCTAACCATGTGCATTTAAAAATATGTATTAACGGTTTATCTGAACAGTGAGATACTGGCTCATTTTTCTTCTTTATACTTCTCAGTATAAAGGCCTGATGTTATTTTCGGAAAAAGAAACAAAAACAAACAAAAAAAAACCCCACCTGTTATTTTCAATTAATGCTGACTGGCCTAAGTGTTCCTGTGAGTATTCAACAAATGCTTAGAGAGGACTACTATATGACAAACCTAATGCTGGGAATTTCATTGCCGGCATTTGGTCTTCACATTGCCCAGTGAGGAAGGTGAGGTTGCCAGATGCATCGTAAAGTCCCTTTTACAGACAAGGAAATCAAGGCCCTGAAAGCCGGAGTGACTACCCTGGTTCATACAGCTTGACTAGGAGCAGGGCCAATCTTAAGACCCGAGCCTTCTGTGTGATTGCTGCAAGGAGCCCCTTCACCTCAGTCAATCCAGGTCTGAACCACCCCAGCCCAGAGCAGCTTGCATGCCCCCGAGATCCTTCCCTTCTTTCCCTTCACAATCTGGAGATGCTGCTGGTGAGCGTCCCGCAGTGGGGTTTTCCCTGCATGTTCTGAAGGCGCAGTGCAATGTAGTGGGGTCGAAGGTCTGCCCTCTCAGGTCACGGCTCCAAAGGCTTCCCCCACCAGCCTCATCCCAGACATCGCCAAGGCCTAGCTGTCTTCAGCACCCACCCGCTCCAAACTTCCGGTGCAAATAAACCCTGGGGAGGCGACTGAGCCATGGCCAGGGAAAAGGATAGGCTCTTCCCGCACCTGCCTCTCGGACGGGCACCTCTAGGGCGGGCGGCCCTCACCTCCACTTTCCGCGGCACTTCGGATTTTCAGCACATGGGCCCTCAGCGTCCCCTCCCCCGCCACGCCCGTCGACTTTCTGGGAGTTGTAGTCCAAGTGTAAAACGGAAGCTCAACCACGAATCTTACCTCTCAGCATGCTGGGAGTTGTAGTCCGCCGCTAGAAAGCTGGAAACAGGAAGTTTGGCGGGGGTAGGAAATCAAGGAAACCGGAACACACCATGAAGCATGTCGGGAATCGAAAGGCAAGCTGGTTCGGCTGGCCCGCCTGGCACATTCCCGCGCATGCTCTGCGTGGAGGCCGCTGGGAATTGTAGTTTCTAGAGAAGAAGGCTCCATTTTCTAGGTGGTTGTGGCTTCCTGTTCAAGGCAAAGGGCCGCCCTTTCCAGACAGGGCTACCGCCAATGCTCTCCCTGTCCTTCTCTGCTGGAGTGGGGGCAGGGCAGATTCAAAAACTGCCGGTAGGCTTTCTAGAGGAAGGGATGAAACGTGGGCCCTTCCAATGCTAGTAGCCGATCTAGTTACAAAATGTCAGATCTGGAAGGAAACAGAAATGATCTAAACCAGTCATTCCACTTAACTCAGGGAGTACTGGCGGAATTTCACCCTACCAACCCCCTCCCCCTACCACCCCATCACCAGCTAAGGGTGGCAGGTACCCCTAGCATTAGCAAGGAGAAAGGGTTATCCTATTATTTGACTTGCACTTTGGGGTCAAATTGTTTATACAACCAGCCTCCAAACTCCCACTTCATGGCCATCTTGGGCTGTGGCCGATACTCGCATCCTCCCACACCCCACTTCTTGTGCAAACCCTTTTTTAAAAAAAACTTTCCCAGGTGCGTTAAACAGTGGCTGGGCAGGAGTAGAATGAATGGTGTGGTTTATTCTACGACTCTGCCCACAAGAAGTTTGGATTTCCAAATGCCTAAAAATGGAGGAGGTTGACACCCTCTACCTAAATCTGAGATGACCTGGAAATCATTTGCATTCCATTACCCCACTTTCTGTCTTCAGTTAACCAATACACCCCCAAAGAATCAGTCAGAATCCAATATAGTAATCAACGGGTTTTATTTTCCTAGAACTGAAATCATCTACGGTTCTCAGAGCTAAACTTCCAAAGCTACAGTCAGCAATTTTTCATCAGAGCCCAAGGGAGAGGGGCCAGGGTAAAAGAGACGAGACTGTAGAGAGGCATAGAGAGACCAGTAGGAAGAGGGTGGGAGAGGGCACTTATTTCTCTCTGTCCTCTCAGTGGGTTACAAATCAGATCTGGTGACAACACTGAGGGGGCCAGGTCAGGGTATGTGGATGAGAAATGACACTGGAAGGAACATCAAAGCCCCAGCTACAAAAAGAAAGTCATCAAGCCCCAAATAGAAGGGGAGCCTCCCAGTGCACCTCAGAAATGGGGGCAACGATGGGGAAGGAGCAGAATGGAGAGCACACAAAGGGTTAGGGGTCTTTAAAATTTTTTTTTGTAATTTTCTTTTATTAAAAACATTTCCTAAAAAATGTGTCTTTTCCTTTATGTCTGGGTGATATATATGACTATAAGCTGGCCTTGAGCACTGTGTGGAGAGGAAAAAGGACAGCTAGGAGTCTTCCCAAGCATCCTATTTGTGGCTTCAGAGATCTAAAGGGGGACAGATGCTCAACACTCCCACCCAAATGGGTAAAGTCAACCCTTCAGGTCTCAGGTCCTTGGCCCGAACAACTTGGAAGCCCCAAATTCTCTTGATGATTAACTACAACTCCCAAAACTCTTGGGGTCGGCAAAAGGAAAAATGGGTGTTGTCAATCATCAAGGATTTATGGAAAGGAGCCCCTCCCCTACAAGCTGTCCCACTTTCCCTGAATCTAGGCAGCTGGGATAATAGGTGTAGCAGGGGACAGGAGCTCAGAAGGAGGCCGCCCTCCTGTGCTGCCCCCACCCCGCATTTGAGGATTGCCCCTCCCAGGCCCCACAAGCCCACCCTGCTGTTGATGCTCCATCCTTTCCATTCCTACCCCTGATCCCAACCCAGAGGTCCAGAATGCCTAGGAGAGTGGGAGAAGGGTGTCAGGAGGTGGGAGCAGTTGTCCCAGGCCCCAGCAGAAGCCTGGAAAATAGCTCCAAGCGGAAGGAACACAGTGGCCTCAACTCATTCCAGGGAGAAGACATGGCTCTGACTCAGATCATAGGAGTATGGGGACCTAGAGGTGAGAGCCAGGTGGCCTGCCCCATCCAGGTCAATCTCCATGGGCTGGGCTTGGAGTGGGAAAAGTGAGTAGAAGAGGAGAGCAGGTTGGGGTGGGAAAGGGGTTCCCAGTTTGCAGGCCATGGCCAGTTTCCCCAGTAGCACCCAGACAGCAGCAGGAACAGGGTGGGGGCTCCTCTTGAAACATTGGTGGCTACAGGCTGTGAGGGAGGGTTGGAGGGGAGAAGGGTTAATGGTGTGGCCTTGGCCTGGCCTTGCCCCAGCCAGTGCCGGTCTCCTAGGAGAGCCCACCCTGCCTCCCGAGAGGCTGACCACTGCAGGCCCTTTTCATCCTCTTCTCCGAGAGTGGCCGGTCCCCCCTAGTCCAGCTGCCAAGGGGTCAGGGGGCTCACTCACCTCTCATGATCTCTGATGCCTGGGGCCTCAGCATCTTCCTTGGTAGCCTCTTCCTCTTCATCCTCCTCCTCTTCTTCCTCTTGGGGAGGCCCCCGGCCAGAGCCGGGCTCAGAGGGGGTGCTATTCTTTTCCACCTCCATAGGAAGGGGCCTCTCAACCTCCAAGGTGGCTGCCTCCTTCTCCTCTCCTTCAGGGTTTTCTGCCTCCTTGGGACGTTTAGGAGAGTCCTAGGCAGGATCAACAGAGGAAGTGGGCTGAGGCTGGAGAGGGAGGCCACCAGCCACCCACTCCTCTCCTCCGGGGCTCCTTCCCAGGCTGACACCCACAGTCCTTCCCCAACCCTACTAGCTGAAATGCCTTCTGTGTCCCATCTGGTCAGCTGGGGACTCCCCAAGACTAGGGGCTGGATCGACCTCTCAGACTGGGCACCCCTGAGGCAAAGCCCTGCTCCTGTGGGATACCCCATGGGGAATGTTGAGGGGGGCCCAGGCCCTGGGCAGGCAGCAGTTACCTCCAGCAAGTCCCCTGCTCTCCTCTTCAACGCTCCTTTCTCGTTCTTCTCCTTGGCTGGCTCATCAATGACCAGCTTCCCTTCCTCGTCGCTGCTGCCCTCTGCATTCCCCTTCTTATCACCGTCACCCTCTGCAGCTTCGGGCTCTGGTTCAGGCTCTTCCACACAGCTCTTTTTCTGGGAGGACTGCAGCAGAGACAGCACAGGCTGAGTGGCACCAGTCGCTGCCATGCTGGGCCCCCTCCCCAGACCCTCCCTCAGCCACTCACTCCTTCCTTTTCCCGCCTCTCCCCCACCCCCACCCAGGTGCCCAGTCTCACGAGTGATTTGAGACCCACCTCTGTCGGATTAGCCCCGGGGTAAACCCACTGGCCGGGCAGGCAGGGCTCTGTGCAGGAGGGGGGAGGGCTGGAGCAGGAGGCAAAACCTCGGGTCAACTTCTCCCAAAGGGAGCTAGGACCCTTTCCCCGCCAACCCCCGCCCCCCACCCTCCCGCCTCGTCCTGCCCGGCTCACAAGCACCTCCTCCTGGAAGCCTTTGTGGAAAGAGTTAAGGCTGTGTCCTATACTCACACTAGGCCCAACAAAGGCCTGTCCCCACTTACCGCCTCCATCCTGTTCTTGCCCCCCAGACTGCTGTCTCACAGTTGTCCCTAACCACAACTACACCACACAGCCCAACCCTATCCCTTCTTGCAGGAAGCCCCCTTCCCACCACCCTGATTAGCTCCTACCCTGAAAGCCCTGGAGTTTCTGAAGACTAAGCATCATCTGTGGGCCGGGGGCTGCCAGAGCCCACAGCCACATCTGCTTTCCAGGGGGTCTCTGGGGCAGGCGGTGGCTCACCTGATAGCCGGAAGCCTTGACAGTAGGGTTGTTCTCGATCTCCCACAGCCCCTCGCTGAACCCTTTCCTCTTGTTGGGCTTGCCAAACTTCTCCTTGGATTCCTCGTAAGGGAAGAGGTCTTTGGGGCCCAGGAATGCCCTGGTGAGAGATGGGAGACTGTGCTCTCAAGCCCCTCACTGCCCCTGAGCTGCACAGCCCGGCATGAAAGGGGCACCAACACCACCTCACCTTCCCCAGAGTAGTCCTCCCGGGGCCCTCCCGACCTATACCCCTTTGGCCTCCACTCACGTCTCGTGGGTCCCGAAAAAAAAGACTTGGTATTTGTTGGCTGTTGATTTCACGGCAGCCTCAGGCATCTCGTCAATCTGGGGTGAGATGAGGGGGTGAGGTTAGCTAGAGTCCTGAGGTTTTGAGCCTGAGGCAGGGGTGCTGACCTCCAAGGCACATTTATATAAAATCAGACTGAGAGGGACCCAGGATAGTCAGCAAGATGGCTTTTGGGCCATTTTTAGCAGTGACACTTTATTCAAATGAAGTCAGACATGAAAGCCCAACAGAAACCCAGGAATCCTTCCCTCTCCGTCACCAGCCAGACAGCACCCATTCTGCCTCCCAACATGTCTGGCCACAAAGCCCCCTGACTTTGCCATCACCTTCTCCATTCTCCACAATCTATTCTCCACAATGCAGCCAGAGTGGGCCTTTGGGAATGTTGGTCCAAGGATTTCGTCCCCTTGCTTCAAAACCCTTCAATACCTTTTAAGGACTCTAGAACCCACCTGTTCACCCCTTCTGCACAATGGCAAGATCTGAATCCCAACTCTGCCCCCACTTGTATGACTTTGTGCAACTTACTGAACATCTCTCTGCCTCAGTTTCCTCATCTGTAAAAGGGAGACAGTCATAGTACTAAAGCTATAGGGCTGTGAGGATGAAATGACCATAACTTGGCATGTGGTACATCCTACACGTCTTTGCTTTCATCAGCCTCTCCCAGTACACTGTCTTTTCTGCTCTGACCATGGTTCTTGCAGTCTCTAATACTCACTCACTCCTGATCATCCTTATAGCCTCAGCTCCGCCATTACTTCCTCCAGAAAGCTTCCCTATCACTCCTGGCCTGGCCGACTCCCTAGGTAAAACTCTTTCCTAAGACTTCCCCTTTACAGTGCTTTCCCAGTTCTAATTTTACACTGATTCACATTATTATTTAACATCTATGTGCACTATCTGGACTAGACCAGCCCCAAGGTCAGAGACCAGCTCTGCTTTTATCTGCAGCACGGTGCTTAGCATACAGTAGGTATATAATTATTTACTGAATGAATTTACCAAACAGCTAAAAGGAAGCTGCTCTGGCTGAAGTGGAGGGGTGAGGTCAAAGGGCTGCCTATCCAACGCCCGCCAAAAGGCTTCTAGGGAACTCTGAAAGGCACATAGTCAAACTCTCATTTTACAGATGAGGAAACTGAGCCCAGAAAACAAGTGATTTGCCCAAAATAACATAGCAAGTTGTTGAGGGCCAGGTCTCAGGTCACCTGACTAAATCCCCCGCCCCACGTGTCCCCGTGGTGAGAAGCGCTGTGGTGAAGGTGAGAGGTGCAGAAATCTGAGGTCAGGGAATCCAGAGGCAGTGGCCTCGCCAGCCTCTCCCAGATCAGGCCTGGAAGCCCAGGCCAAGCTGAGCCAGGGGTGGGTCGTGGGGGAAGGTGGGGCGGGTGGGGACTACAACTCCCAGCAGCACTTGCAGCAGCCCCAGCAGCCAGGCTTCCCGCCGGACAGAGGCCAGGTGGCCATGATGACTGGGGCCCCAGGCGCAAACAGGAGAGACAGAAAGGCCAAGGCAGTGATTAACACACAGAGACAGGGACAGAGGGCCCAACTGGGGGCCTGGGGAGACAGGGTGGATGGGAATGCGCTGAGACACACCCAGGAGAAGGGGTGGGGCCCTGGGCATGAATCTGAGGGGCATCTTGCTCCAGACTTGGAATCTTCAGGCTTTTGGGCACCTCCCCGCTTGCCCCGTGGCCTCTGGGGACAGAGGTCCAGCCCTTCCCCCCCAGGAAGGCCCAGCACAAACTGGGCCCTTCCCACAACCAGGAGACGCTGGGTGTGAGAGCAGGGGGTGGAAAGGCACGCAGTTCCCCCTACAAACACGATCCCCATCGCCATGACAACGCAACCCCGCCCCCGGGGCCACTCAGCAACCAGGAATGTGACCGCCCCTCCCCCCTCCCCCCCGCCCCCCCCCCCCCGCCCCGCCGCCTTCTCTCCGGATTGGGGAGGAAGGGACACTAACACACCCCACCCCCAAGCCTGCAGTCTGGCACCTGGGTCCCCGGCTGTGCTGGAAACCACAGCTAGGGCTGGATTACCGCTGCAGGGGGTACGGGGCGAAAGGGGGCGTCCTTCTCAGGAAGCCAGACCTGGAGCAGGGACAGAGGAGTCGGTCCTCAGCCAGGACGCCTGGGTCCTGTTACCAGCTAGCTCCCATCCTCCTCTTAACAGGGGGAAGCAAAAAACAAAACGAGCGCCCCCAGGGGTTAGAGATCCCAGGAGACAGGCATAGGACAATAATAGCAAACGCCTTTCCTAGGCCTTTCTTCTGTGGATCTGTGTGCACCCAGAACCAGGGGTGGGGGTGGGGACTGAAGGGTCTAAGGCTGGGACTTAGAGCTCTGTATTTTCAGTGCCCACACCTGAGCCAGGGCATTAAGATGCCCACAGTAAATGCGTGATGGAAGAGGAGAAACTGAGGCTTCATAAGAGGGTGTGTGTGGGTGAAAGTTCAGAAATAAGGAGAAATGAGGTTCTTTGCAGAAGCACAGACTGCAAAGTGGCTACCTGGCCACCGTCTCGTGCCACCCCAGCTTCCCATGGAAAGCACACTCAGAGGCAGATAGCTGAATGGTGTGGCAGGGGACCCAGGAGGCCACCAGCTGCCCAGCCCCAGCAGTGGGGGAGAAACAAAAGAACGAATGGGATTAAAAATAGCATGAGGCACACCAGATATGCCAGCCCTGCTGACTTCTAGCTACATAAAGGATGGGTCTAGAGGGAAGAGAGAGGAAGACAGGGGCCTGAGCAGATAGGCATCTCCCCCCAAAGCATCATCCCACCTGGCTCCCTCACCTAGAGTATAGGCACTTGTGGGGAAGGGCCAGGGGAGGTGTGCTCTTCTCACTTGATGGAATTTCTAACCCTTCACCCAAAAGAGGAGAAATCCCTTCTACAGTGACACCTCTATCCCTCAAGCTACAAAGAAAATGTCCTTTCTTACATTTGGAAGTGGAGGGCAGTTCTTCCTAGATGTAGAGGTTATGAGGTCTCAGGGCAGCCCTGTACCCCAATACAGACATCTGTCTTCCAGGTGGTGCCTTTGTATCCAGGCTGTGACTCAAAACAAGTGAGTCAAGGCTAACTGGGTCAGGGTGGGGCCAAATAGTGCTGGGGACCCCACGGTACCCCCTCCACTAGCCAGCAATAGGGGAACTCGGCTACCTCTTAACCATTCCAGATCCAGGCAAGTTACTTATTCTTAGGCCTTGCATTTGCCCGATTCCATCAGACAGGCCTGAGCACATGAAACACCAGCCTCCCAAGCCACAGACACCCTCTGAGGTCCAAAGAGTAATCCGAAGTTTTCAGGTAGAGTGGGGAAAGAGAACTGAACACCTCTCCCCCAGCCTCAGACTAAAAACAGACCCAGCACTTAGGAAGGCAGCAGGGAAGGCTAAGCACACACTGGCTACCAGCCAGGGTTCTGACCACCACACCCAGGGCTGAGGCCTAACCTGACCCAGGAACCGGAAAATCTGGGGCAGGAGACAGTTGGGGCCAGGAAAGTGTGGCAAGCCCAAGAGGCAGAAAAGAGAAGGTACAGGGGGAAGGGGCACCGGGAGGAAAGACGGGTGAGGTCCTGGCTGCCCAGGTTTTCTGGGATTGTGAAACAGGAAGCAGCAAAAGCAGAAAGGGATCAGGGGGGAAAATCCCTGAAGTCTTGGAGGTTAATTGTTAAGAACTTGGAGATCCCCCAGGAAGTTAGGCAGGCGGAAGAGGGAAAGGAGAAGGTTAAGATGGAGTCACACCATCCTTCCAGGCAGGTCCTGCCTATCACGTGGCCCCTCTGGCTGGGCTCTCTCTCAAGCACTGGGACCTTCTAGTTTCACCCAGAATCACCCACCCTCCCCAGCAGCAGGGACTGAGGAAGGAAAATCCACACACGGGCCTTCTTTATGGCTGAAGATTTGGGTTTCCTATGAGATGGACGAGTCAGTGAGGTTCCCTCTTACTTCTCATCCATCTCAGGAAGGGCCCCTCAGGCTCTGCCTCTCTAGGGACTAAGACACGGTCCAAGGAATGGTGAGGAGACTCGAGGTCTGTTCTTTTGGAGTACAAGGGGACTGTGTCTGGGAGGTAACAGCCTTGGGTGTAGCCATCCCTGCAAGTATCACAATCAAGAGCCAGAGACAGGCAAAGTGTGGGGCCCCACCTCTTTGAGATCCAGGCTGATCTCCCTACCCCAGTTCTAACTTTATCTAAAAGGTCCAGGCCTCAACAGAGGAAGAAACGCTGCCTCCCCTGTCCTTCCCTTCTGTCCTGGAGGCCCAAAGTGGAGAGAAAATGGATGGGATCCCTAGTCCTAGGGACTGCCCTTACTCCAAAGGCCACCAGAAACTTGAGGTCTTCCTCACAGGGGCCAGTGTGGGTCCTGCTGTGTCCCTGCCCCTTTTCTCTCTTACCGGATGCAGAAGGGGTTCCCTGCAACCCACATTCCAGCTAACACCCACTCCCCAAGGGCTTAGTCCAGCCTCTGGACTTTGTCCCACCCTCAGGAGGTAGGAACAGTAGAGACCTGGGTTCAGTTCTTGTCCTACCCACCAGGGCCTTGGCATCTGGGCCAAGAAGCCAGCTGGGTCAAAGGGTGCAGGGTAAAGTACAGGAGAGTTGTAACGCAGAGAGTCCCGCTTCTCTTTGTACTTCACTCCCAATAGCGGAAGCCGGTCCTCATTTGATCCATCTGAAAGTTTCACGGAACCAGGAGCTCAAGGCATGTGGGATTAGGCACACTCCTGAGGAGTGGGTACAGAGCGAGGAAGGGTCTCTGAGTTTTCTGAGTGGCCCCAAAGTTGGCCTGATACCCTGAATAAGCCTGGGCCAGACAGACACAGACTTACACTGAGAAGAGCACCCCAAAGATATGCAGTCCTTCTGCCCTTGGATTTTACTCTACAGGAGTCCTACACTCTAGGATACTGAGTCATGCCCTCGCCCAAAACCAAAGGCCCCTCTACACCAACTTTAAGTTGCCAAATGCACTGCCCCCGCATCCCCCCTCCTTTCCTCCAGCAACTGGCAACCTCCCATCCTCCTTACTTAACCTGTCTCAGTCCTTAGGGGAAACATGATGAGCACACCAGGCTTGGCTGCAGGGCCCCACCCTCCCACCTGGCCAGGTGCTGGGGTTGTGGGGGGGGCTCATACTGGCTGGCTGAATTAACCACATGGCAGAGACTGGGCCGTTCTGGCGGAAGATCTTCACATCTGAGCGGGGGAAGGAACTTGGGCTCCCCTAACCCCTACTAAGAGGCAGTCTGTACTGGACTTCCTAATACCACAAGGGAATCTGCCACCTCAATCCTAAATTTGAGTTGGCAGCATATGGAGGAATATTTCTGTGGAGCTGAGGGCTGATGGGTTCTGACGGATAATTTCCAAGCCAGGTAGATCCCCTTACGCCGCCCCCAACGATCCTTCGACCTTTCCAACTTTAGACCTCTTACAGATGCCCCAAACCAAAGTTTCCTAGAAGCGAACTCCGCCTCCATCTAGCCCTCTCCGGGTTGGGATCCTTCTTAACCATTTATCCACGAAGAGAAGAGTTTGAATTAGGGGCGACAATCCACGAACAAACTAGGGGTCTCTAAGGGGGTCTTAAAGGGGGTGGCGGCGGCGCCTGGGGTCGGGGGAAGGAATAACACGACTGGCCCAAAGCCAGACTTCGCGCTCGAAACCTCTGGGAGTATGGGGGCTGGGGGCGGAACTGAGCACGCGGAGCTGGGGGCCGGGAAGTGACCGGCGCCCTCGGATCCCCACGCCGTGAACACGCCACTACGCGCGGACGCCGTGCCCGCCAGGTGTCTACCCCCACCCCCGCCCGCCTCCACCATTATATAACCGGCGGGTGGGCTTGGAAGCGACAGAGAAAGAGCCGGAGACCTACAAGCCCCCTGCCCCCACCTCTGCCCGCTCCGCGCGGAGCGCTCGTGCCCTTCCCGGTGTTATGCAACCCAAGCCCGCAGGGGGTTAGGGGGCGGCGGGCCGCGCTGCTCACCCGGGCCGGCCAGTGTGGGTAGCCCTTCATCTTGGCGAACACCAGGTCCCCGCATTTGTACTCCTTCTGCCGGTTGGATCGCGACATGGCGGGGCTCCGGGCGCCCCGGGCTCCGCGCCGGGCCGGGAAGCGCGAGCCCAAGTTTGCGCGTGCGGCGGTGGCGGCGCCGCTCCGCTCCGGCCCTCGCGCGGCCCCCGCCTCGATGGTGGCCCCCGGCCCGAGCTCCGGCGCGGCCACGGCGTCTCCGCCCGCGCGCCGCACGGACGGGGCGGGCGCGGATCGGGGCAAGGCTCCGGCGCGGTGGGTGCGCGCTCGTGCAGTTGTTTGTGTTTGAAATTCAATTGCTCCCTCCTCTGCGCGAGGCCTCTTCCTCCACCCCCCGCCCGGTCCCCACTCCTCCTCCTCCCTCCTCCCGGACCCACTCCTCCTCCTCCCCCCGCCCCCCAACCTCGCGCTCCCTCCCGCGGCGGTTTGATGCGTGCAGCTTCTTGACGCCCAGGGCCTGCCACGGCCCAACGCCCAACCCGGAGCCGCCTGACGGCGCGTGGCGGCACAGGCATAAGGAGCCGATCGCCGAGCACGCCGAGCAGGCTTTGTGTGCCCGCGGTCGGTGGGTGCCCGCCCGCCCGGGAGGAGCTGGCGCCCGGCTGGACGGAGCGGCCCCCGCCCTTCCCCCGACTCCGCGGAGCGCTCACCACCGCGGCCCCAGCGCAGTTAAGTGTGGACGTCTGTACACGGTTTCCGCCTGCCCTCTGCTCCATCTCAATCCACAAATATTTACTGGGCACCCGCGGTTCTTGGCAGCGTGCTAGGCGCCGAGGGCGAGAGGAGTGGGCGCCGTGCCGCTCCGCGCACTGGGGTCCTCTCTGGACCTCGCCGTGCTTACCGTATGGGGGGTGGCCCTGGAAACGTCGGGGATTTGAGCCCTACGTCCGCCTTTGCTAAGGAGGAAACGCTTGAGTTTGGTAGCCAGGAGATGGCCAAGGAGTTGAGGCACAAATTGGCCACCTTCCGGGTGCATTCGATCTCGTTTCTCTAAGCTACTGTCTTGCCAAGGAGACTTGGACTCAACGGCTAGCTAACCCCGCAAAGATGAGCTCAGTTCTAGTCGGTTACGGTAGAATGCCAATAAACCCAACCCCTTCAGTAAACTGTGAAGACCGAGGGGCCAGGTGCTACCTCTTTTCGGAGGTGGGGAGGGGGGTCTGGGAAGGCTTCACAAAGGTGATGACTGAACTGGGCATTAAAGAATGAGTAGAATTTTGCCAAATTCTGCGAGACTACATTTTGGCCTAGGTTATATGCTAAGAAGTGATAGAACCAAAACTTGAACTCAGGTCTCTTCCATTAAGCTAAATAAGACTTTATTGTAATTACATCTTTGATTTGCTGTCACTGTATTTGCCCACATTCCAGACACCTATGTTCCCTTAGAAATAAGATATTTGGATCTTATGTTACGGCATATACACGTCCTTAAAATTTAGCAACAAAATATGCTAGGTTTGAATAGGTAAAACATATGCATGTTTTTCTTCCCACGTTTCCTGATCCTATTTCAAAGCATATGCAAAGTCTCCCTGCAAGGAAGTCCAGGATGTAGCCAAAAGTTCCAAACCCACATCCTACCCTGCTGTTCATCTGTCCTGAGAACTTGGACAACCTCCTGAACTCTAAGCCTCAGTTTCCTCTGCTGTAAGATGGGATAACATGACTGCCCTGGTAACTAACAACAGAGGCATAGAATGGCTGCTTGTCACTAGGGGATGCCTGCAGTTGTTCCCAGAGTCCTGCATGACACTTGGCTGTCCTTATGTCCATGGCAATATGTTTCACTATTTTTGCCTTTATAACAGTGTGGCCTCTCAACCATAGTTCCCCTTGTGATAAGAGGCACACCAGGCTGCTGGCACAGGGGGGCATTCTGGAAGGTCCTGTTGCAAGAAAACAGCCAAGCAGGCCCTCAGCCACAAGCTTGTCAATTTGTTTCCATAGCAAATTCAAACTTGTTGCAACAGAGCAACTAGGTTCTAGTTGGTGTTTACTCTACAATGCATTCCATTTTGAAATGCAGTCAGTGTAATAGTCCAGATTCTATCAGGCTAAATCTTTTTGTTAGGAGAGAGTCTTGTCACAAGTTCTTGAAGATGTTTCAAGAATAAGTCTCCAGCATCAGAACAGGTTTCCTTTAACTATCTAGGTCATATTTTATTCTATCTATCTATCTGAGACAGAATCTCGCTCTGTTGCCCAGGCTGGAGTGCAGTGGCCAATCTCGGCTCACTGCAACCTCTGCCTCCCGGGTTCAAGCGATTCTCCTGCCTCAGCCTCCTGAGTAGCTGGGATTACAGGTGTGTGCCACCACGCCCGGCTAATTTTTGTATTTTTAGTAGAGACGGGGTTTCACCATGTTGGTCAGCCTGGTTTCGAACTCCTGATGTCGTAATCTGCCCACTTTGGGCCCTCCAAAGTGCTGGGGTTACAGGCGTGAGCCACCGTGTCCGGCCTAGGTCGTTATTATAAACATGCACAGTTTCAGTGCAACAAACATGGTTTTTTGTTTGTTTGTTTAATTGTTGTTTTGTTTTTTGGAGACGGAGTCTCGCTCTGTTCCCCGGGCTACAGTGCAATGGTGCAATCTCGGCTCACTGCAACCTCCGCCTCCCAGGATCAAGCGATTCTCCTGCCCCAGCCTCCTGAGTAGCTGGGATTACAGGCACGCGTCACCACGCCAGGCTAATTTTTGTATTTTTAGTAGAGACGGGGTTTCACCATGTTAGTCAGGCTGGTCTCGAACTCCTGACCTTGTCATCCACCTGCCTTGGCCTCCCAAAGTGCTGGGATTATAGGCGTGAGCAACCGCGCCCGGCCAACAAACACGCTTTTAAACTATTTTCCAATTTGGTACACTCAATTTAGTAAAAAGCAAGAGCCCTTCCCATTTCTCCACTTTGTTGCATCATAATAGCCAGCGTGGAAGTGGAAATGGGCTTCTAAATTCTTGTTGCAACAAAATCTCTTGGGCCTCTCATTCAGTCTACCATGCAGATGCTGGTTGCAATAATACAACCAGGGTTCCTTTTGTTGCAGTAATCTCCTAGGCGTTGGTTGCAATTTAATATTCAAGTGCTCCTTACAGTAACGTCATCAACCAACTCGCAGCTGCCCCTAACAACTAAGCCAAGAGCTGCAGAAGGTCAGTTACACAGGCGGGCATAAGCCTGCTTCCCCTGGGATTCACATCTAACCTAGTGCTTTGCAGACGTTAACGTGCAATCAAATCACCTGGGAATCCCTTTTTAAAAGAGTGTAGATTCTAGGCCGGGCATGGTGGCTCACGCCTGTAATCCCAGCACTTCGGGAGGCCGAGGCAGGTGGATCACCTGAGGTCAGGAGTTCAAGACCAGCCTGGCCAACATGGTAAAACCCCGTCTCTACTAAAAATACAAAATAAAAATTAACTGGGTGTGTGGCAGGCGCCTGTAATCCCAGCTACTTGGGAGGCTGAGGCAGGAAAATCACTTGAACCCAGGAGGTGGAGGTTGCAGTGAGCTGAGATCGCACCATTGCACTCCAGCCTGGGCAACAAGAGTGAACCTCCGTCTCAAAAACAAAACAAAACAAAAAGTAGATTCTAATTCAGGAGGTTCGGAGTGTGTGCATTTCTAATGCGCTCCAAGGTGCTGTTGCTGCTGCTTAGAACCATCATTTCAGTAGTAAGGGTCTAAAACAACACGACTCACAAGACCTCAACCCACCAGCCCAGGTGGAAACCAATTCACAAACGTCTCAGTGAAATGATTCTGTTGATGCTGGTGCGCACTTCTACATTTATGTGGGGAAGGAGGTCAGGACAGAAGTTGAGGGACTTGGGACCCCAAAGCAGATAAGGTTGTGGGGTGCAGATCTGGCTCTAGGATCCTGAAGCGAGTCTCTGGAGGAGGTCAGGCAAAATGGTGGCAAACTTTTATTTCTGTACGGATCAAGAAGGAGCTGACAGCAGCGGAGAGATGGAGTTTACAGTAATGGGGGAAGGGGTGGTCTAGTGGAAAGAAGCTGGTTTGGCATGTCAAGGGACTTGGGTTTGATTCCCACTTGCTGTTTACTGGCTTTAGGGCTTTGGGTAAATGACTTAACTAGAATTTCTAAACAAAATTTTCTTGCACTGTGAAAAATGAGAATACAAAACCTCACCTGCTTATTATTAGGTTCAAAGGAAATGTCCACTTCCTCCCCTTTAACTCCCAACGGAGTCGAGGGTTTTGGCCCTCAACACTGTGTGACCTACTCACATCACGATTTCTTGGCCCAAGTTACACCCTCTGTAAAGTGGAAGAGAGAAGAATAGTTAGATTAGACCAGTGGCTTTGACAACTGTGCCTCCATTGCCTACTTCCACCCACGCCACCCAAAATAAAAGAGCAGCCCTGCCTTTGTGCATTCTGTGTGGAGTCAGAGTGGTTGAGAATATGGGCTGTAGAGATAACAGTCTGAGTCCTGCCACCACCATGGACACTTTGTGTGTAACTTTAGGAAAGACACTTAACTACCCTGAGCCTCAGTTTCATGTCCAGAAAACGGGGTTGTGATTATGATTGAATGAATGAATGCACTGAAGTTCTTTAGGCCAGGGCGAGGTGGCTCACGCTTGTAATCCCAGCTTTTTGGGAGGCCAAGGTGGGCAGATCACTTGAAGTCAGGAGTTCGAGACCAGCCTAGCCAACATGGGGAAACCCCATCTCTACTAAAAAATACAAAAATTAGCTGGGTGTGGTGGCGGGCCCCTGTAATCCCAGCTACTCAGAAGGCTGAGGTGGGAGAATCGCCTGAACCCAGGAGGTGGAGATTGCAGTGAGCTGAGATCATGCCACTGCACTCCAGCCTGGACGACAGAGTGAGACTAGGTCTCAATAAATAAATAAATAAATAAATAAAGTTCTTTGCACAGAGCCTGGGACATAATAAGTGCTTAATAAAATTGGTTATCACTGTATTTATTGTTATATTAGATTTTGTGTAATATTTGGTTTGAAAAAAATGGATTCCTTCGCAGTAAGCTTCTGAGGTACTGGCATTATGCCCTGACAAAGCTGGCAATACCACAGTGGGTGAGGGTGTTTAGGATGGAGTTGGGAGTCAGCTTACTTAGGTTTGAATCCCAGCTATACCATTTGCCAACTGTGTGACCTGCAGCAAGTTACTCAACCTTTCTGTTTCTCAGTTTTCTTATCTGTAAAGGGGGAATGTTGATAAACCAGTTAATATATATGATATATGTAAAATGCTTGGAGCAGTGCCTGGCACATGGTAGGTACTATTAGTTACCATCTGTTAGCTATTAGCTGTTAGTATTGTAGTATTAGCTATTTTTCTTTAAAATGCCTATGTTTTCTAACTCCTCTGTATATAGATACAACACAATTAAAAAGTTATTTTTTTAAAAAGGTGGTCTTTTTTTTTTTTTTTTTTTGAGATAGAGTCTCACTCTGTTGCCCAGGTGAGTGCAGTGGCGCAATCTCAGCTCACTGCAACCTCCACCTCCTGGGTTTAAGTGATTCTCCCACCACGGCCTCCTGAGTAGCTGGGATTACAGTTGTACGCCACCACGCCCATTTAATTTTTGTATTTTTAGTAGAGACAGAGTTTTGCCATGTTGGCCAGGCTGGTCTCGAACTCCTGACCTCAGGTGATCCACCTCCCTCAGCCTCCCAAAGTGCTGGGATTATAGGCATGAGCCACCGTGCCCAGCTTGGTTCTGTTTTTTTGAAAAAGGGAAAATTATAAGAGTTATTCTCTAAGTCTCTACTGGCCAACACATGTGGACATTTAAATTTAAATTAAGGCCGGATGTGGTGGCTCACGCCTGTAATCCCAGCACTTTGGGAGGCCGAGGTAGGCGATCATGAGGTCAGAAGTTGAAGACCAGCCTGACCAACATGGTGAAACCCCGTCTCTACTAAAAAAAATGCAAAAATTAGCTGGGCATGGAGGCGCATGCCTGTAATCCTAGCTACTCGGGAGGCTGGGGCAGGAGAATCGCTTGAACCCGGGAGGCGGAGGTTGCAGTGAGCCGAGATCACGCCACTGCACTCCAGCCTGGGCGACAGGGCAAGACTCCGTCTCAAAAAATATATATAAATAAAATAAAATAAATAAATTTAAATTAAAGGCCGGGTGTGGTGGCTCACACCTGTAATCCCAGCACTTTGGGAAGCCAAAGCGGGTGGATCACTTGAGGCCAGGAGTTCAAGACCAGCCTGGCCAACATGGTGAAACCCCACGTCTACTAAAAATACAAAAATTAGCTGGGTGTGGTTGAGCACAACTGTAGTCCCAGATACTTCGGAGGCTGAGGCCCGATAATCACTTGAGCCTGGGAGGCAGAGGTTGCAACGAGCCAAGATCATGACACTGCACTCCAGCCTGGGAGCAAGACTCTGTCTCAAAAAAAAAAAAAAAAAGTTCAATTTGACTAAAATTAAATCCAGTTAAATATTCAGTTTCTTAGTTGTACTGGCCACATTGCAAGTGTTCAGTGGCCTCATATGGCTAGTATGGTGTAAATACAGAACATTTCCATCACTGCAGTAAGTTCTATTGGACACCTTTGTTCCAGGGCAGTGGCTGTTGACTGGAGCTGCACATTGGAGTCACTTGAAGAATGAAAAGATATGGCTGGGTGCGGTGGCTCACGCCTGTTATCCCAGCACTTTGGGAGGCTGAGGTGGGTGGATCATCTGAGGTCAGGAGTTCGAGACCAGCCTGACCAACATGGTGAAACCCCATCTCTACTAAAAATTCAAAAATTAGCTGGGCGTGGTGGCGCACATCTGTAATCCTAGCTAGTCAGAAGGCTGAGAAAGGAGAATCACTTGAACCCAGGAAGCAGAGGTTGCAGTGAGCCGAGATTGCGCCACTGCACTCCAGCCTGGGCGACAAAGTGAGACTCCATCTCAAAAAATAAATAGGCCAGGCGCGGTGGCTCACGCCTGTAATTCCAGCACTCTGGGAGGCTGAGGCAGGTGGATCATGAGGTCAGGAGATCGAGACCATCCTGGCTAACACGGTGAAACTCCATCTGTACTAAAAATACAAAAAACATTCACTGGGCATGGTGGCGGGCACCTGTAGTCCCAGCTACTTGGCAGGCTGAGGCAGGAGAATGGCGTGAACCCAGGAGGCGGAGCTTGCAGTGAGCTGAGATCGCGCCACTGCACTCCAGCCTGGGTGACAGAGCGAGACTCCGTCTCAAAAAAAAAAATAAATAAATAAATAAATAAAAAAAATTAGCCGGGTGTGGTGGTGGGTGCCTGTAATCCCAGCTACTCAGGAGGCTGAGGCAGGAGAATTACTTGAACCCAGGAAGCAGAGGTTGCAGTGAGCTGAGATCGCGCCACTGCACTCCAGCCTGGGCGACAGAGCAAGACTCCCATCTCAACAACAACAACAAAAATGCCTGAGTCAGACACCCCCTAGAGTTAGATTTAATTGCCATAAAAGGATTTGTCCAGGAGAAAGACATGAAGCAGAGGTGAACTTCTAGAAGCTTTATCTGGCAGCAGTGCAGAGGTGGAAGGGCCTGAAGTTGCTAAGCCAGGAGAGAGAGGACAGCAGCGGTCCTGGCTGAGTGACGTGTGTACCTGCATGGGGAAGGGACTGTGGAGGCTCCTGGGGAGTTGTATTCCTGGGTTCTTTTTTCAGCTCTTTCCAAGAATTATGGTGACAATGAATGGCTCCTTGGACCTCAAAGGAGAGATCTTCAACCTTAGTAGGGCAGGAAGAGGTCAAAGCACCTGAAGATCTTCATGAGTTCCAGACCACCATCTTTAAAATCTGGTTTAACGTTTTGTGTAGGTAGTACATGCCAATGATGCAAACTTTAGGAGGTAAAAGGAGTGATTTACCAAAAAGTCATCTCCATGTTACCCCTCTCCCTTCCAACCCAGTTTTCTCCTTAGAGGCAGAAATATTGTGGGTATTCTTCCAGTAACATTCTTTCTAATTTTCAAGCAAATGCAGAGATAACTATTTCCTTTACACAAATTGTGACACACCGTATACACTTTGCTCTTTTTTACTCAGCAATATATTTTGAGACTCCATATTTGTACATGAAGATCCATCTCATACCCCATTCTTTTTTTTTTTTTTTTTTTTGAGATGGAGTCTCACTCTGTCACCCAGGCTGGAGTGCAGTGGCGCGTTTTCCGCTCACTGCAACCTCCGCCTCCCAGGTTCAAGTGATTCTCCTGTCTCAGCCTCCTGAGTAGCTGGAATTACAGGCGCACGCCACCATGCCCGGCTCATTTTTGTATTTTTAGTAGAGATGGGGTTTCACCTTGTTGGTCAGGCTGGTCTCAAACTCCTGACCTTGTGATCCGCCCACCTCACTCTCCCAAATTGCTGGGATTACAGGCATGAGCCACCGTGCCCAGTCACCCCATTCATTTTAATGGTAATAGTTTACAATGTTTCTGTGTCATAAATTGTTAGTTTACTTGCATCCCAGGACTAGAACTATTACAAATTATTTAATCAGTCCCCTGTTGATGGGCATTTAGGTTGTTCCTTTTGATAACACAAATAATGCAATAGTAAATAATACTGGACACATTTCATCTTATTCAGGAGTGAGGATCTCTCACCATTTTTCTTTCCACTTTGCAAAGTGAAAAAGATAAAAGGCCATTCATAGCAGTATTGTTTGCAGGAGTTTGCTGACAAGCAGTACTGGAAGTAACTTTGCTGCCTACAGACAGGAGTGCCATAGGTTAGATGAGAAGCCCACCATTCTGTACAGCCACAGCCCCCAGGTGTGTCTGCATTCCTTTGGTCCCTGGAGATTAAAGTAATGTAATGTGGGGCCAGAGTCAGGCCAACAGATTTGCCATGGCTCTGAGCATGCCTGGCCACACTCTTCAGCCCTTTCCTGCAAGGATGTTGCTGGTGAGACACTGGGGACAGAGGCCTGGGGAGGAGAGGACTCAGGGAGGCGTGTGGGTGAGGGGGGGCCAAGTCCTCTTTTCTCGACTAATAATTAGATTGAGCCCTGCCTCTCAGGGTAGAGGTAGCCTCCCCACATGCTGGGCAGCAGCTCTGGCTAGGCTGGCGGACGCTGTGGTTCTGTAGAGGACAGATGGCAGGGTGGGGACTGAAAGGCTGTTTCTGCCACCACATTGCCTATGGGCTCAGGGCTTCACTCATTTACCCGGTCATTCATTTATTCACTCTCACATATATTCCTTGGGCATTGTTAGGTGTGTGCCAGGCCCTGGATGAGTGTTGGGGGATGGGAGGAGTACTGAAGATGACAATGACAGGTGGCTGGCCAGGACGATAAAGAGGCTCATCCATGAGTTGTTGGCTCTTCAGCCCTGGGGCCTGTCAGTCACCCTGACACACCCTGATCCTGCTCTGACTTCATCATTCCAGTTTGTAAGCTTTTATTTTTCTCCAAATTTTATCCTTCCCTGCCCTCTCCTTGCTTTTTCTCCCCCAGCCTTTTTTTTTTTTTCTGTATCTTTGAAATTCAAAGTATACGTGGAAACCAAAATAAGATTATATCAAGAGGCCAGGTGCAGTGGCGCATGCCTGTAATCTCAGCACTTTGAGCGGCTGAGGCAGGCAGATTGCTTGAGCTCAGGAGTTCAAGACCTGGGCTACATGGCAAAAATGTTTCTACAAAAAAAATACAGGCAGGGATCACGCCTGTAATCCCAGCACATTGGGAAGTGGAGGTTGGGGGGGATCAGCTGAGGTCACGGGTTCGAGACCAGCCTGGCTAACTTGGTGAACCCCTGTCTCTACTAAAAATACAAAAATTAGCTGGGCGTGGTGGAGCGTGCCTGTAATCCCAGCTACTTGAGAGGCTGAGGCAGAATTGCTTGAACATAGGAGGTGGAGGTTGCAGTGAGCTGAGATTGTGCCACTGTACTCCAGACTGGGCAACAAAGTGAGACTCTGTCTCCAAAAAATAAAAAATAAGGCCGGGCGCAGTAGCTCACGCCTGTAATCCCAGCACTTTGGGAGGCTGAGGCCAGCGGATCATCTGAGGTCAGGAGTTCAAGACCAGTCTGGCCAACATGGTAAAACCCCATCTCTACTAAAAATATAAAAACTAGCCCGGCGTGGTGGTGGACGCCTGTAATCCCAGCTACTTGGGAGGCTGAGGCAGGAGAATTGCTTGAACCCAGGAGACAGAGGTTGCAGTGAGCCGACACAGTGCCACTGCACTCCAGCCTTGGCGACAGAGTGAGACTCTGTCTCAAAACAAAACAAAACAAAAAACAAAAAAAAAACCATAAAAATAAATAAATTAAAAAAGGCCGGGCATGGTGGCTCACGCCTGTAATCCCAGCACTTTGGGAGGCTGAGGCGGGCGGATCTTGAGGTCAAGAGATCGAGACCATCCTGGCCAACATGGTGAAACCCCTGTCTCTACTAAAAATACAAAAATTAGCCGGGCGTGGTGGCATGCGCCTATAGTCCCAGCTACTCGGGAGGCTGAGGCAGGAGAATCACTTGAACCTGGGAGGTGGAGGTTGCAGTGAGACGAAATTGCGCCACTGCACTCCAGCCTGGCAACAGTCTCCATCTCAAAAAAAAAAAAATTAATTAATTAAAAAAAAAACACAAAAAATACAAAAATTAGCCGGGCGTGGTGGCAATGTGCCTGTAAGGTCCCAGCTACTCCTGAGGCTGAGGTGGGAGGATTGCTTGAGCTGGGGAGGTCGAGGCTGCAGTGAGCCCAGATAGCACCACTGCACTCCAGCCTGGATGACAGAGTGAGATCTTGAATTAAGGGAAAAAAAAATTATATCAAGACACTGAAAAAAACTCTTGCAAATCAATAAAAGGATAAACAATAGGAAAACAAACAACATGAACAACAGTTTCATATAAGGAAAAAAAAAAAAACAGGCCGAGCATGGTGGCTCATGCCTATAATCCTGTAATCCGAGCACTTTGGGAGGCTGAGACAGGAGGATTGCTTGACCTCAGGAGATCAAGATGAGCCTTGTCAAGAGGCTGGTAGCCTCTTTAGCGAGACCTTGTCTCTACTAAAAATAAAAAAATTTAGCTGGGCAGAGTGGCCTGTTTGTTTTATCTCTATTACTCTTATTAGAGTCTCTCCTCAATATCTAACCCTTGGTTCCTGCTCATGTATAAGAGCAGTGGGCTAGAAAAGCCACTTTGTACCTCTGGGTACCTGGTTGGGGCTTGTCATACTAAAAACTTTACATCATGGCCAGGCGCGGTGGCTCATGCCTGTAATCCCAGCACTTTGGGAGGCTGAGGTAGTCGGATCACCTGAGGTCAGGAGTTCGAGACCAGCCTGACCAACATGGAGAAACTCCATCTCTACTAAAAATACAAAAAATTAGCCAGGTGTGGTGGCACATGCCTGTAATCCCAGCTACTCGGGAGGCTGAGGCAGGAGAATTGCTTGAACCCGGGAGGCGGAGGTTGTGGTGAGCCGAGATCGCGCCATTGCACTCCAGCCTGGGCAACAAGAGCGAAACTCCGTCTCAAAAAAAAAAAACCAAAAAAAAACTTTCCATCAGGGTGATCTGGTTGGGAGTTTGTAGGGGGAATCCCTGGTATCAGACTCTAAACATTGATTCTCAGCATTCCTCAAGGCCACCTTGGTTCTCAGCTCTCTTAGATGTGCCCAGCCAATTACCTATGGTGCATCTCTTTTCCACCTTCCAAAATGTTGTTACTGTGTTGTCTTCTCTTCCGAACTCTCCATCATTGTGGGTTTAAGTTTTTTCAAAATGATCTTTAATGCCTTTACAAAAAAATCTCTTTACTGATGTTTCAGTAGGGTTTTAGGAGGGAAACAAATATGTTTAATCATTTCATTCTCTCTCTTTTTTTTTTTTGTTTGAGATGGAGTCTCTCTCTGTTGCCAGGCTGGACTGCAGTGGCGCGATCTCAGCTCACTGCAACCTCTGCCTCCTGCATTCAAGTGATTCTCCTGCTTCAGAAGCCTCCTGAGTAGCTGGGACTACAGGTGTGTGCCACCGCGCCCAGCTAATTTTTGTATTTTTAGTAGAGACAGGGTTTCATCATGTTGGCCAGGCTGGCCTCGATCTCTTGACCTTGGGATCCACCCGCCTCAGCCTCCCAAAGTGCTGGGATTAGAGGTGTGAGCCACCATGTCCGGCCCTCATTCTGTTTTACTGGAAAACTTTTATTATGATTACTTTCGAAAGGCTCATAGATGTACCAGTTACAAATTTCTTTTTTTTTTTTTTTGAGACGGAGTCTTGCTCTGTTGCCCAGGCTGGAGTGCAGTGGCGCGATCTTGGCTGACTGCAGCCTCTGCCTCCCGCATTCAAGCAATTCTCCTGCCTTAGCCTCCCGAGTAGCTGGGACTACAGGTGCACGCCACCACGCCCAGCTAACTTTTTTGTATTTTTAGTAGAGACGGGGTTTCACCGTGTTGCCCAGGCTGGTCTCGAACTCCTGAGCTCAGGCAATCCACCTGCCTTGGCCTCCCAAAGTGTTAGGATTACAGGCATGAGCTACCGCGCCTGGCCTAAATTTCTATTCTTTAAAATTTTTACTGAGACAGGGTCATGCTCTGTCACCCAGGCTGGAGTGCAGTGGTGCGATCTCAGCTCACTGCAGCCTCAACCTCGCAGGCTCAAGCGATCCTCCTCTTTCAGCCCTTCCCAATGAGGTGGGACTACAGGTGTGTGCCACCATGCCCATGCCCGGCTTTTTTTCTGTTTTTGTTTGTTTGTTTGTTTGTTTTTGTAGAGACAAGGTTTCACCACGCCTGGTCTCCAACTCTTAGACTCAAGGGCTTCTCCTACCTTGGCCTCCTTAAGTGCTGGGATTACAGGCGTGAGCCACCGTACATAGTTAAAAATTTCTTTTTTTTTCTTTTCTTTTGAGATGGAGTTTTGCTCTTGTCACCCAGGCTGGAGTGCAGTGGCATGATCTCTGCTCACTGAAACCTCCACCTCCCGGGTTCAAGCGATTCTCCTGCCTCAGCCTCCTGAGTAGCTGCTTTTTGTATTTTTAGTAGAGACAGGGTTTCTCCATGTTGGGCAGGCTGGTCTGGAACTCCTGACCTCAGGGGATCCGCCCGCCTCAGCCTCCCAAAGTGCTGGGATTACAGGCGTGAGCCACTGCGCCTGGCCTTGCCCAGTTACAAATTTCTACAGGTATAAAAGGGTACATAATGAGAAATAAATCCCCTTTCCTTCACTTTCATGAAGTTTCTATTATCAATTTCTTGCTTGAAAACACTTTTTGAGGATTTATACCCAATAAGGTGAATCATTAATTTTCACAGTAAGGGGATCCTCGCTTAGAAAACATTTGTTAAACACAGTCTGGCCAACATGGTGAAACCCCGTCTCTACTAAAAAATACAAAAATTAGCTGGGCATGGCGGTGCACACCTGTAATCCCAGCTACTCGGGAGGCTGAGGCACAAGAATCACTTGAAGCTGGGAGGTGGAGGTTGCGGTGAGCCAAATTTGCGCCACTGCACTCCAGCATGGGCGACAGTACAAGACTCTATCTCCAAAAAAAAAAAAAAAGAAGAAGAAAGAAAACATTTGAGACAGGTCCCTGTCCTTTAGGGGCTTCTCTGCAAGCTGGCAAGATGTGTTGACAAACAACAAGGACAATCATTTCTCTTAGTTCTAAGGCATTTCACTGTGTGTTAGTATCAGGCATTTCTCACAGAAGTAGGACAGGGCTCTGTAATACTTTATCCGCGCCCCCCCCGCCCTTTTTTTTTTTTTTGAGACGGAGTTTCACTCTTGTTGCCCAGGCTGGAGTGCAATGGCGTGATCTTGGCTCACCACAACCTCCGCCTCCCGGGTTCAAGCGATTCTCCTGCCTCAGCCCCCTGAGTAGCTGGGATTACAGGCGCCCGCCACCGCACCCGGCTAATTTTTATATTTTTAGTAGAGACGGGGTTTCTCCATGTTGGTCAGGCTGGTCTCGAAGTCCCAATCTCAGGTGATCTGCCCGCCTCGGCCTCCCAAAATGCTTGGATTATAGGCGTGAGCCACCGCACCCGACCTTCTTTATCCATTTTTCTTTCTTTCTTTCTTTCTCTTTCTTTCTTTCCTTTCTTTCCTTCTTTCCTTCTTTCTTTCTTTCTTTTTTTTTTTTTTTTTTTTGAGATGGAGTCTTGCACACTTGCCTGGGCTGGAATGCAGTGGCGTGATCTCGGCTTACTGCAACCTCTGCCTCCCGGGTTCAAACGATTCTCCTGCCTCAGCCTCACGAGTAGCTGAGCTTACAGGCGCCCGCCACCACACCATGCTAATTTTTGTATTTTTAGTAGAGACGGGGTTTCACCATCTTGGCCAGGCTGGTCTCAAACTCCTGACCTCGTGATTCACCAGCCTCTGCCTCTCAAAGTGCTGGGATTACAAGCGTGAGCCACCACACCCGGCCTACTTTATCCATTTTTCAAAGGAGGAAAGTGAGACTCAGAGAAGAGAAGTGACCGCACAGTCACCAGAGAGTACGTTGGGGAACCTAGATTTGAAAGCAGATTTTAGAAATCAACATTGTGCAAGGCATACTAGCTGTGAGGTAGGACTTGATGGTCTAGTTTCTCAATGTGGTCCTCAGTGCCTGGTTTGCAACTAACTGAGTAGTTTCTTACAGATCCAGGCTTCCAGGCCCAACCCACATCTATTGAATAGGAATCTCTTAGGCTAGATTTCAGGAATTTATATTTTTCAGAAGCTTTCCTAGTGATGCTTATGCACATTAAAGTTTGAGCACAGATTGCTCTAAGGAGCCTTCATGGAGAAGGCAGCATGGAGTTTGTCTCTGAAGGGTGGAGAGGTTGGGGAGGAGGTGCCCCATATCAGGCTCGTCTGATAGAGGATTCAAGCTTGGGCCTTTCACTGTCTCTCTGCATTGTGGTCATCATTGTCCCTCCTCATCAACCTTTCCAATTTTCTCTTCAGCCTCCTCCCAAAACCTCAACAGCCTTTTCTCTGGCTTCGCTCAACAGAATTTTCTGCAATCTGGGAACAGGGAGGTGGTGCCCACACAGAGATGAATTAGCATGTAAAGGACACACACATACAGGGCAGACAAGTAGAGGGCACTCAGTCACAGGCAGACAGGAAGGGGGCAGAGATGGGTAAACAAGAAAAGGATACAAAATCACAAGCGGACAGGGAAGGACTGGCGCACAGCAGATCATCACAAGCAGACATAAATGGGCTGGACAAGGACTCCTATAAACATGGATGGAAAGGAAGGGCACTTACAGAGACAGATGTAAGAAAGTCACATACAAAGCCATAAGAAGCAGCACTCACAGACGTAAAGGAATGTAAAGGACATCTGCAAATGGATAGGTGGGAGGCACAGCCAGGTAGGACGGACTCAAGTGATTCCTCAGAACGGTCGCCCTTTACCCCACTGAGCTGAGAAGGGATTAACCTCAAGTACCTGGCCCGGATTGTCAGAGCCTTGCCCATCTTTGTCTCACTGGTTGCTGCAGAGGGAGGCCAGGCCCCAGGCTCCAGGGTAAGGTGTGTTCCTGGATGTGCACCCCGATCCTGGTGAGGGAGATCACCTCCTCCCTTTTACGTCACATTTATTTCAACTCTTAGATGCTTATTATTAGACCTGCAGCCTCGCTTCTTTCTGGCTTGCAGCCCAATTTCGTACGGGTCCCTTGGGCCCTTGCTCTTTTTGGGATGTTTTATTCTAATTCCCAGTCCCAGCCGACTGGGAAGCTTCACCAGTTCATTTACAGATCACTTTGCCTTTAAGCAATTTTCCTCAATCCGCCAGCTTCCCAGACTCCCTTTCGTTCCCGACATCACTTGCAGTTTCTAAGAGCATCATATCTCCCAGAAATCTTAGTGGCCAAGGGGCTACCCTAGGGAACTTCAAGTACCGAAATGCTCTCCTGTCCGTCTCAGTGACTGCCGTGGTGACCGGTGGGGCTTGTAGTCACCTCGGAATTGTTAGGCGACGAAAAAAACTACTCACCCCAGGTGTCCCTGCGTCAGAGGCGGGTTTCTCTCCTGTCTCCCTTTGCTCGCCCCTAAATCCTTCCTCGGACTCCAACTCCCGCCGTGCCTTGCGCTGAGATCCCTGCGGCAAAGAACCGGGCTGTGTCCAAAGTGTTCTCTGGAAGTTGTAGTTCCTGTATTGGTGAGGCAAGGAGGAGGCGGAGTGACTCGGCGGCCATTAGCTGTGTGTAGTTGCCCGGGACTAGGAGCTTAAGTGAAGAGGTACGCCTTGTTCGGTGGAAATCAGCCGTAGCCATGAGTTTCTGCCGGGGCTAGCCCTAGAGTACGGAGCAGGCGGACTTTTCGGTTCCCCGCCCCGCCAGGTGGCGGGGCCTACTAGGCCTCCGGGCATCCCCGGTCTCAAGTAGGCCTCATCTGCCGGCAAGGGCGCCCGAAACGCGGGAGGCGCCATGTCGCTGGTTGCTTACGCCAGCAGCGATGAGAGCGAGCCGGATGAGGCTGAGCCCGAGCCGGAGGAAGAGGAGGCGGTGGCTCCTACATCTGGGCCCGCTTTAGGGGGCTTGTTCGCTTCTCTCCCTGCGCCCAAGGGTCCGGCCTTGCTGCCTCCGCCCCCTCAGATGCTGGCGCCAGCCTTTCCCCCGCCGCTGTTGCTTCCCCCACCCACCGGAGACCCCAGGCTTCAGCCTCCTCCCCCCTTGCCCTTCGGCCTGGGAGGCTTCCCCCCACCTCCAGGCGTGAGCCCGGCTGAAGCGGCGGGAGTTGGGGAGGGACTGGGATTGGGGTTGCCCTCGCCCCGAGGCCCTGGCCTCAATCTGCCCCCTCCAATTGGCGGTGCCGGTCCCCCGCTGGGGCTTCCCAAGCCAAAGAAGAGGAAAGAGCCCGTGAAGATCGCGGCGCCGGAGTTGCATAAGGGAGATGTGAGTATCCGGGGAAGGCACCCCCAAACTGTCCATCGGGTTTGAGTCGGCTGTAGGAGGGACATGTGGAGATTTCAGAACTCCTTCCTACAAACGCATCCGTGGATTCAAGGCCACTGGAATCCTCTTATAATGCGATTAATTGAGCTGAAGTTGGTCAACTTGGGGGAGTTTGGGTGTTTGCCCATGTGGGTTTCCTGAAGCTGGGCTTGCCTGCAGAAGGCCACATGTCATCATCACCTGGTACTGACAGGCCTAGGGACACTTGGATCCGCTCCCCCTTCTTTGCATCTTCACTTCAGTCCGGCTTTTTCCCCTTTCCTCCTACTGAGAACAGGATGAAATCTGGCACCTGAAGAATGACAGGAGACAGGGCTCCTGAACCTTTGCCGAACATCTGGGACAAATCTTTTCCTTGCCTCTGAACTCAAAAGCATCAGGCCTGGAGGAAAATGATAGCAATCTTGGTTTCTATTTTTGAGGGGAGTTAGAGGAGAAATCGAATATTTGTTTAGTGCAGATCATTTGCCGTTCATTGGTCCTTTCTTTCAATTATTACAGAGCTCTGGGAGGTAACATACTATTGTTTTACAGATGAGAAACAGGTGTCCAGCATGCACGATTTTACCTGGTAACAGGGCAGAGTGAAGATTAAGATTAAGGTTCAGTCTCTCTGAACCTCAGATCTGTGCCTCATATTCATCATTTAGCTATGGTCAAAGCTAGGTGAGTTAGGATGCTTGGGTACTGTTTCTAGAAGAGGCAGCGAGTCTTACCTGTTTCTATATGTGACAGTGGAAAAATACAAGGCTCCTGGAGTGAGGGCTTTGGAGATAAAGGAGAGATTAAGCCTTGGAGCAGGAACTGCTTAGAATTACTTACCGGAGAGAAATTTATTGCCCTTGCTTTTCTTCAGACTCCCAGCTCTGCCTAGGAGCCATTTCCATTCGTTGAACTTGCTGTTCCTTAAATTTCTTCTCTCAGATATCCTAATGTTCTCTCCCTCACCTCACTTGGCCTAAAAGGCCTGTTTTCGGTGAGGACTTCCCTAGCCTACTATGTATTTAAATTGCAACCTCCTATCACCTCCTCCTCCCCATTGCTCTTTGTTTTATTTTTCTCCATTGCACTTAACATCATCTGTCCTCCCACTAGTATATAAACTCCATGAAGGCAGGGATTAAAAAAAAAATTCACTGCTATAACCCTAGTACTTAAAACAGTGCCTGGCACATACTGAATACTCCCATGGATATTTTGTGAGTGAAAGAACTCCAATATGGATTTTTCATGGAAGGAGTTTCCAGAGTTTCCCTCCCAATCTTGTTTGAAACTTTCTTCCTTTTTTTTTTAAATTTTTTTTATTTTTATTTTTTTTGAGACGGAGTCTCCCTCTGTAGCCCAGGCTGCAGTGCAGTGGCACGATCTCTGCTCACTGCAAGCTCCGCCTCCCGGGTTCACGCCATTCTCCTGCCTCAGCCTCTCGAGTAGCTGGGACTACAGGCGCCCGCCGCCACGCCTGGCTAATTTTTTTGTGTTTTTAGTAGAGACGGGGTTTCACCATGTTAGCCAGGATGGTCTCGATCTCCTGACCTCGTGATCCACCCGCCTCAGCCTCCCAAAGTGCTGGGATTACAGGCGTGAGCCGCAGCACCCGGCCACTTTCTTCCATTTTATTTCCCCCTTCTTTCACACCTGAGAGTCTCTCATCCTAAGTCTAGGATCCAAAAAAAAAAAGCCTTTTATTGCTCCATGGAAACTTACTTTGGCTTTGATTTAACCTGGAACAAGGAAAGATCCCTGAATGAGACAAATAAAAACAGTCTACATGGACATGGAAAGCTCATTTCTAGCTCTGTGAAGGTAGCATTATAGAAAGTTGGGAGAGGCCGTAGAATCTGCCATTTGGGTTGGCTGAGGTGGCAGAAAACTCTGAAGACTAACACTCCCTCCTTTGTAAGCATTCACTAAATTTCTGAGGTGAACAGTAACATGGCTAATTAAAGTCCTAGCCCTTGCTGGTTGAGTTTCCCATTTTTGTTCTGTTCAAGTTGGTCTTTTGGTTCTCGGAACACATAATTCCTGCAGAAAGGTAGCCTAAGAATGTTCAAGATGGTCAGGTGAGGGTAACCTTTGTCTTTATTTATCTTTTGAGATGTAGTTTCGCTCCTGTTGCCCAGGCTGGAGTGCAATGGCACAATCTCAGCTCACCGCAACCTCCGCCTCCAGGGTTCAAGCGATTCTCCTGCATCAGCCTCCCGAGTAGCTGGGATTACAGGCATGTGCCACCACGCCCAGCTAATTTTGTATTTTTGGTAGAGACTGGGGTTTCTCCATGTTGGTCAGGCAGGTCTTCAACTCCTGACCTCAGGTGATCTGACCACCTTGGCCTCCCAAAGTGCCGGGATTACAGGTGTGAGCCACCACGCCAGCCAACCATTGTCTTTAAAAGAGCTGTGCCCCCTCCAGATGTAAGCCCCTCCAGTTCTGAGCTCTATGTCTTACACTTAGGCTCTTAGTACGCATTTGAAAGAATGAATTAGGTTTCCTTAAGTAAATAATTTCCCTTTAGAGTTTGGTGCTGAAGTAGAAGTAATTAGAAGTAATTAACTCTCAACCATTTCGTTCAATTGATATTGAGCTCTTTCTTTGTACCTGGAGCTAAGAATGTACAGTAGTGAACATGATAGCCCCAGCCCGAAAGGAGCTTATGATCTACTGGAGAAAACACAGAAGGAAATAGATTTTAGGACAAGGCAGAGAAGGACCGTGATAAGCTGGTGCCATTGGAGTATACCTAGTGGGCATTAGTCCAGTCTTGGGAGGTTGGGGAGCCCTCTGGGGGGAGATGTCTAAGCAGAGATAAGGCTGAAGAAAGGGTAGTATGGGAGCAGCACAGCAGAGGAAACAATGTATAAAAGCTTGGAGGACAGAGAGGGACAGTGCTTTCAGGGAACCTCAGGTGAGTAAAGCACAGTGGCTGGAGCATTTGAGAGGGTGGGGAGTGCTGAGAGAATGGGGCTAGAGAGAGAGAGGCTCAGGCCAGATAATGGGCCTTGGATGCCATGCTAGGGTCTTTCTACCTCATTTTGGGGTTGTGAAGACCCCTTAAAGGCAAGAATTCTCTGATCACAGAGTGGTGAGAACCTTGGAGGGAGCAAGACTGGCAGAATGTGAGAGGCTGGTGGCCTGGATGATGAACTAGGGGATGGAGAGAACTGGAGCATCGAGGTATATTTAGGAGGGGGAAGTGATAAGACTGGAGGATTGATTAGATGTTACACTAAGGAGAGGATTCAAGATTGACCCCCACTGCATTTGCCTCAGGCAGCTGGGGGGTGGTGTTGCCATTTATTGAGGGAATACGGGAGGCAGAGCAGATTGGGGGTTAGTTAGATTTCATTTGTTGCAAGTGTTAGAAGCCAACTCAAGCTAGTTTAAATGTTTTTTTTTTTTCTTCTTTTTTAAATAAATAGAGACGTTGTCTCGCTACATTGCCCAGGCTGGTCTTGAACTCTTGAGCTCAAGCAGCCCTCCTGCCTTGGCCTCTCAAAGTACTGGGATTACAGATGTGAGCCACCACGCCTAGCCTTAAATGGTAATGCATCATAAATATACTGTGGTACCTCAGAAGGGACCTGCATCAGGAACCTGAGATCTGTTGGGGATCTCTACACAGCTGTTCTTTGCACATCTGATTCATTTTTTAAAAAATTTGTTTTATTTTTAAATTTTAATATATTTATTTATTTATTTGTTTTGAGACCAGATTATGGGACTGGTCAATTTTTGTATTTTTAGTAGAGATGGGGTTTCACCATGTTGCCAAGGCTGGTCTCAAACTCCTGGGCTCAACTGATCTGCCTGCCTCAGCCTCCCAAAGTGCTGGGATTACAGGCGTGAGCCACTGCTTCTGGCCTTGATTCATTATTTCTCTGCGGATTGGCTTCTTAACCTTTGTTGTAGGTGAAGGATGGCCACCCACACCTTGGTTTTGATTTCTTTCCTTTTAGAGATCAGTCCAGATTGAACTATGATGGTAGTCTCAATTCTGGTTTTCCTGGAGTGAGAATTTGGTTGATTTGATTTGGGTCATATTATCCAATCATCTGCAGTCAGCGTAGTACCAAATTCTCCCTCCAGGCGTATTCCAAAATTAAATTCAGTCAGCTTTTGATTTTTGTGGGGAATTAGGAATGATCCATAGAATGGATAATCGTCCTTTCTTTTTCCCTTCTTGCTGTGACCCAAGCTACACTGGTTGATTTCATAGGCTCAGGGGAGGCAGACTTCTCCTAGCATATGAGAAACCAAAATCAGAAGAATAAGTCTGCTGGAAGAGTTTTCTATCATTTATAAAGTGTATTCCAAAGCACACAGAAATTTCAGGGTTATCTGGATTAGTATTTACCACCACTTTCAGATTGTTTACCAAGATAGTAGAAAATTTGAAGCTCTGAGACAGATTTCACTAATTTTTGTCACTTCTAGTAACCAAATAAGAATTGCCTGCAGTGGATTTAGCTAAGTTTTAGCCCTAGCTAAAGGGAAGGGAGAGTGTGCTTATCTGTGTGGGGCACCTGCTTAATGTCTGAACTGTGCTGGGCACTTACTTTAGTTTATAAAGAAGAAAACAGGAGTTTAGAGAACAGAAGTGATTTGCCTGAAAACACAGTTTGTGAGTAGCTGCAATTGTATTTGAACCTGGATGAGATTTGTTGTGTTTATCGGGGTGTCTATGGAAAACATGGAAGAGCCTGGGGCAGCCAGAAAGCAGAAAGCAATACAAATGAGGAGTGCAAAAATGGGAGTGAAAACGGTATCCTAGCAGCAGGTACTTGAGACTTAAGAGTGAAAAAGGGTTGATGAATGTAGCAAATGGGGATAACAGTAGTAATGATTAGGGTTTGGAGCCCCGGGGTGTGGTGCTTAGGGGGCGTCTGTTCTTGGGTTCTTATTTCCTCCTTGGCTTTTAGTCCTGGAAGCTAGTGATTGCTTTTTGGAGAGGGAGTGTCTCAGAGCCAGAGCCTGGGAAGATAAGAGAGAGGCCGCCGTGGGGAATGAGGCTCTGATAGATTAGCAGATCCCACTGGACCTAGCTTAATGGAAAATGTCTGTTTCCGTTCTTGCTCAGCAGTCTCGGGGTATGTGTGTCTTGTCACTCTTGGCAGCTGGAACAGAGAGGACAGTGGTGGCCATTGAGGCTCAGGTTCTCGTGAGGCCAAGAAGAAATACAATACTTTCTTATTAACAGACTCAACAGTTTGTGCCTCAAAACCAATGTGTGCCTATTGTGGCCCGGGACACTCTCAGCCCTGGATGCTCCGGTGTTTCTAGCATTGTCCTTCTTTCTTGATCTAATGGCACAGACCCACTCAGATGGCCATTTGCTGGTCTTTAGCACTCTCTAGAAGTTGACTCCACAACCTCCATTTAATATACTCTTGAGGAAAACAGTTTGGCAGTTCCTCAAAAGGTTAAACAAACAGAATGATGATCCACCAATTTCACTTCTAGGTGAAAAGAATCAAAAGTGGAGATTCAAACAGATACTTGTACACCAGTGTTCATAGTAGCAATACTCCCAGTAGCCAAAGGTGGCAACAACCCAAGTGTTCATCCACAAATGAATAGGTAAAATGTGGTATGTGCACACGTTAGGATATTATTCAACCTGAAAAAGGAATGAAATTCCGATACGTGCTACAACATGGATAGACCTTGAAGACATTATGCTAAGTAAAGTAAGCCAGTCACAAAAGGACAAATATTTTATAGTTGCGCTTATATGAGGTATCTAGAAAAGTCAAATTCATAGAGATGGAAAGTGGAATAGCAGTTACCAGGGGCTGGGGGGAGGTGGGGATAAAGAGTTACTGTTTAATGGGTGCGGAGTTTCTTTCTTTTTTTGAGTCACCTTTTTTTTTTTTTTTTTTTTTTTTTTTTTTTTTTTTGAGACAGAGTCTCTCTGTGTTGCCCAGGCTGGAGTGCAGTGGCTCAATCTTGGCTCACTGCAACCTCCGCCTCCCGGGTTCAAGCAATTCTCCTGCCTCAGCCTCCTGAGTAGCTGGGATTAAGGCGCCCGCCACTACACCCAGCTAATTTTTGTATCTTTAGTAGAGACGGGGTTTCACCATATTGGTCAGGCTGGTCTCGAACCCCTGACCTCGTGATCCGCCCGTCTCGGGCTCCCAAAGTGCTGGGATTACAGGCATGAGCCACTGTGCCCAGCCCTTTTTCTTTTCTTTTTTCTTTTTTTTTCAATGAAACAGGGTCTCAGTCTGTTGCCCAGGCTGGAATGTTGTGTCTCGATTATGGCTTACTGCAGCCTCTACCTCCTGGGCTCAAGCAACCCTGCTGCCTCAGTCTCCGCAGTAGCTGGGACTACAGTAATGTGCCACTGTACCTGGCTATGTTTTTAAACAATTTTTTTGCTGGGCATGGTGGCTCACGCCTGTAAACCCCGCACTTTGGGAGGCCGAGGCTGGTGGATCACGAGGTCAATAGTTCAAGACCAGCCTGGCCAAGATGGTGAAACCCCATCTCTACTAAAAATATAAAAATTAGCTGGGCGTGGTGGCGCATACCTGTAATCCCAGCTACTTGGGAAGCTGAGGCAGAGAATTGCTTGAACCCGGAAGGCAGAGGTTGCAGTGAGCCAAGATCGTGCCACTGCCCTCCAGCCTGGGTGACAGAGCAAGACTCTGTCTCAAAAAAAAAAAAAAAAGGCCGGGTGCAGTGGCTCATGCCTGTAATCCCAGCACTTTGGGAGGCTGAGGTGGGCGGATCACGAGGTCAGGAGATCGAGAGCATCCTGGCTAACACGGTGAAACCCCATCTCTACTAAAAATACAAAAAATTAGCCAAGCGTGGTGGCGGGTGCCTGTAGTCCCAGCTACTCGGGAGGCTGAGGCAGGAGAATGGTGTGAACCCGGGAGGTGGAGCTTGCAGTGAGCCGAGATTGCGCCACTGCACTCCAGCCTGGGCTGCAGAGGGAGGCTCCATCTCAAAAAAAAAATTGTTTTTGTGTGGAGATGGGGGTCTTACTATGTTATCTGGGCTGGCCTCAGACCCCTGGGCTCAAGTGATCCTCCTGCCTCATTTTTCTTTCTTTTGTTTTTTTTTTTTGGAGACAGGGTCCTGCTCTGTTGCCCAGCCTGGAGTGTAGTGGCACAATCTTAGCTTACTTCAGCCTTGGCCTCCTTGGCTCAAGCAATCCTCCTACCTCAGCCTTCTGAGTAGCTGGGATTACAGGCACATGGCCGATTTAAAATTTTTTTTTTTTTTTTGAGACAGAGTCTCGCTCTGTCGCCCAGGCTGGAGTGCAGTGGTGCAATCTCAGCTCACTGCAACCGCCGCCTCCCGGGTTCAAGTGATTCTCCTGCCTCAGCCTCCCGAGTAGCTGGGACTACCGGCACCCGCCACCACCCCCGGCTAATTTTTGTATTTTTAGTAGAGATGGGGTTTCACCATATTGGCCAGGCTGGTCTCGAACTCCTGATCTTGTGATCTGCCCACCTCGGCCTCCCAAAGTGCTGGGATCACAGGCGTGAGCCACCGCACCCGGCTAATTTTTAAAATTTTTTGGTAGAGATGAGGTCTCTCTACAGTGCCCAGACTTGTCTCAAAACTCCTGGGCTCAAGCAGTCCTCCCATCTGGGCCTCCCCAAATGCTGGGATTATAGGGGTGAACCACTGTGCCTGGCCATCCCCGCCTTGCCTCATTTTTGAAGTTGTCATTTTAGTGTTCTGTTTCAGGGAGTCTGTCATTTATGGTGTGTCATGAGATGATTCATAATAGGGGTCGGTAGAAGTTTTATATAAGATGTTCGGGCTGGGTGTGCAGTGGCTCATGCCTGCAATCCCAACACTTTGGGAGGCCAAGGCAGGTGGATTGCTTGAGGACAGGAATTTGAGATCAGCCTGCGCAACAGAGTGAGACCCTGCCTTTTATCTCTACAAAAAAATTTTAAAAATAAAATAACTGAGCATGGTGGGCAAGTGCCTGTAGTCCCAGCTACCTGGGAGGCTGAGGCAGGAAGATTGCTTGAGCCCAGGAGTTTGAGGTTACAGTGAGCTGTAATTGCGCCACTCTACTCCAGCCTGGGCACAACAGAGCAAGACCATGTCTCAAGGGAAAAAGATGTTCAAAGAGAAGAATGATTGTGAGTAGCCATAGCAATCCTCTAAATCTAGAAATAATAGACTGTTCCGAAGTCTTTATAGAGGTTTTTTTTTTGTGTGTGTGCTTTTAAACTATAAACTCAGGTTGTCAGTATAATGGAAACAATTTGTGACATTTACAGAGAAATTGAATTTTCTTTCCACAGTGGATCTGGCCTTCAATTCTATTAGCTGTGGAGCAGTTTGCCTATTACAGTCTTACAGTAGCCACTTTTTGTTTTTCAAAGGATCTGAAAAATAAGAATATGCTTGTATAGTTTTATAAATGTAATCATCTTAAATTTGGGTAAAATTTGTTTATTTCAGATTATTGCCATTGGACCTGTTGCCTATGATGTCAAAGTTTAAACGTATTTGGGGAATCCATGAAAACCTTATATACCCCATAGTGAGGTTGTTCTGTGTGGTCTGCCAGAAAGGAGATAAGTCTTCATGGTCAAAAGACGAGAGATGGTGAGGAGTCTGTAAGGAGCAATGAGAGTTAGTTTAGAACAGAAAGAAAAGGTAGAAAATGCTTAGGTGCCAGGTGCTTAAGTCTTTTCTTGGGTGAGTTTGATATCTTGGCAAACCAGAGAAAATAATAATTTTTGAACTTTGTTTAGAATTTTAGTTTGTATCATTTTCACTGGCAGTAGCTCCTGTGGTTGTGACATGGGTAAGTACTATTTGCACCTTAGGCTTGGGGAAGTTAAATAGCGGGATCCCTTAGCCAGTGAGGGGCAGAGCTGAGACTCAAACCAGTGCTTCTGATTTTGTGCTTCATGCTCTCTCAGCTGTGTCGTGTGGGATCTAGTGAGTGTGAATCTCAGACCTGGACAGCAGACAGCTCAGTTTGGTGTTCCCGCAAAAGCACGGGCACTGGAACTGGTTCTGATCCTGGTTCTGCCCCATCCTATTTTATCTCTCTGAGCCTTACTTTCTTCACCATAAAGTTGAGATAATAATAATGCCTACTTTGAAGTGTTATTATAAGAATTAAATGAAAAATGAGTAAATTGCCTGATACATAGGAAGCACTTGGTGGATGGTTGTCCTTTCCTTTGCCACCCTTTTCCTTTATCCCCCACATTTAGATACTAAGATGGATTTCCCTTACGGGTTAAAAAAAAAAAACATATTTGGCAGCAGTTAGTAATTAAATTCATTGTGTACTGACTACTGGGAGGAAGTATTCAACTATAAGAAATACTCTTTGCTGTCAGAGTAAAGGCAAGAATATATGTGAAAAATGTAATGTTTACAGAGTAGGCACAAATGAACCTGAGTTAATATGATGCCATCCTAAGCAAATGAGTGATGTAGGGACACCTAGTGAAAAGGAGCAAGGTGAGAGTCATCAGAGAGACTTCTCAGGAGTTTCGAGTCAGGAAGTAGAGAATGCAGATTGATAACAGAATGAGAGGTGGCAGTGATATGGGAGGGGTGGGAGTGACAAGGGGAAGGACTTACATGAAAGGAAGCACAAATACAAACAGGAGGTTCTTTAAGGGGATTCAACATTTTTATTGTAAGTTGACATTTATCATTGTATCTATAGGATACAAGATGATGTTAAGATTTATGAATACTGTAGAATAATTAAATCAAACTAACATAGCTATCACTTCAAATGCTTATTTTTTTTGTGGTGAGAACATTTGAAATTCACTCTCAGCAATTTTGAAATGTATAATACACTATTATTAACTATATTCACCATGCTGTGCAATAGATCTCAAAAAAAACCCTCAGACGTATTCTTCCTGTCTGAGATTTTGTGCCCTTTTACCATCGTCTCCTCAGTGGTAACCACCATTGTACTCTCTGCTTCTATGAAGTACTTTCTTTTAGATTCTACATGTAAGTGAGAACGTGTGCTATTTGTCTACTTTGTCTGCTTGGCTTATTTCTCTTAGCATAACGTTCTCCAGTTCTATCCATGCTGCTGCAAATGACAGAATTTCCTTTTTTAAGGCTGAATATTGTTCCATTGTGTATAAATACCACGTTTTCTTTATCCATTCATCTGTTGATGGACACTTAGGTTGCTTCCATAACTTGGCTACTGTGAATAATGCTACAGTGAACATGGGAGTGCAGATACCTCTTTGGCAAACTGATTTCAAATCTTTTGGGTAAACACCTAGAGAAGTGGAATTACTGGATCATATAGTAATTCTTTTTTTTTTTTTTTTTTTGTGGCAGGGTCTCACTCTGTTGCCCAGGCTGGAGTGCAGTGGCATAATCACAGCTCACTGCAACCTCGACTTCTTGGGTTTAAGTGATCCTTCCACCTCAGCCCCCTGAGTATCTGGGACTACAGGCGTGCGCCACCACACTCAGCTAATTTTTGTATTTTTTGTGGAGACAGAGTTTCACCATATTGCCCAGGCTGTCATATGGCAATTTTTTTTTAGATGGAGTTTTGCTCTTGTTGCCCAGGCTGGAGTGCAATGGCGCAATCTCGGCTCACTACAACCTCTTCCTCCTGGGTTCAAGCGATTCTCCTACCTTAGCCTCCCGAGTAGCTGGGATTATAGGCGCCTGCCACCATGCCTGGCTAATTTTTATATTTTTAGTAGAGACGGGCTTTCATCATATTGGTCAGGCTGGTCTCAAACTCCTGACCTCAGGTGTTCCCCCGCCTCAGCCTCCCAAAGTGCTGGGATTACAGGCATGAGCCACCGCGCCCGGCCGGGTAATATATATATATATATATATATATATTTTTTTTTTTTTTTTTTTTTTTTTTTTTTTCTTTTTTTCTCCTGAGATAGGGTCTTACTCTGTCACCCAGGCTGGAGTGCAGTGGCATGATTTTGGCTCACTGTAACTTCCACCTCCCAGGCTCAAGCGATCCTCTCATCTCAGCCTCCCTAGTAGTTAGGACTGCAGGTGTGCCACCACCATGCCCAGCTAATTTTTAATTTAAAAAATTTTAAAATTTGTATTATTTTAATTATTATTATTATCATTACTGAGACCAAGTCTCGCTCTATCACCCAGGCTGGAGTGTAGTGGCGCAAGCTCGGCGCTCACTGTAACCTCCGCCTCCTAGGTTCAAGCAATTCTCCTGCCTCAGCCTCCTGAGTAACTGGGACTACAGGCAAAGGTGCCCGCCATCATGCCCAGCTTTTTGTATTTTTCGTAGAGACGAGGTTTCACCATATTGGCCAGGCTGGTCTCGAACTCCTGACCTCAAGTGACCTGTCTTCCTTGGCCTCCCAAAGTGCTGGAATGACAGGTGTAAGCCACCGGACTGGGCCTATTTTAAATTTTTATTTATTTCTGTTTTGTAAAAAATTTCTGAGTGAGGTTCCTCTTTTATTTTCTATTTCATCTTCTTTTTTTTAAATATTAGAGGTGGGGGGGTCTCACTATGTTGACCAGGCTGGTCTTGAACTCCTGGCCTCAAGTGATTCTCCAATTTTGGAGTGCTAGGAAGTGCTCCCAAAGTGCCAGGATTACAGGTGTGAGCCACCATGCCTGGTCTATTTTTTTTTTTTTGAGACAGAGTCTGCTCTGTTACCCAGGCTGGAGTACAGTGGCACAATCTCAGCTCACTGCAACCTCCGCCTCCTGGATTCAAGCAATTCTTGTACCTCAGCCTCCCGAGAAGTGCGCACCACCACGCCTGGCTAACTTTTGTATTTTTATTTATTTATTTATTTTGAGATGGAGTTTCACTCTGTCGCCTGTGCTGGAGTGCAGTGGCGTGATCTTGGCTCACTGCAACCTCTGCCTCCCAGATTTCAAGCGATTCTCCTGCCTCAGCCTCCCGAGTAGCTGGGATTACAGGCATGTGCCACCACACCCGGCTAATCTTTTGTATTTTTAGTAGAGACGGGGTTTTACCATGTTGTCTGGGCTGGTCTCAAACTCCTGGGCTCAAGTAATCCTCCCGCCTTGGCCTCCCAAAGTGCTGGGATTACAGGCGTGAGCCACTGCGCCACACTGTCATATGGTAAATTCTATTGTTAATTTTTTTTAAATTTATTTTAAATTTTTTTTTTAATTTTAAGATTTATTTTTATTTTAAATTTTATTATTTTTATTTATTTTTAGTATTTGAGACAAGGTCTTACTCTGTCGCCCAGGGTGGAATGCAGTGACATGATCACGGCTTGCTGCAGCCTTGACCTCCTAGGCTCAGGTGACCCACCTCAGCCTTCCGAGTAGCTGGGACTACAGGCATGTACCACCACGCCTGACTAAATTTATATTTTTAGTTTTTTTAAGGCACCTCTATATGGTTTTCCGTAATGGTAGTACTAATTGAGGGGATGTCTGAACCACACTTGGTGCTCTTATCTTATACTGCCTTTTATTTTTATTTTATTTTATTTTTTGAGACAGAGTCTTGCTCTGTCACCCAGACTGGATTGCAAGATCTTGGCTCACTGCAACCTCTGCTTCCGCGGTTCAAGCATTTTTCCTGCCTCAGCCTCCCGAGTAGCTGGGGATTACAGGCGCCCACTACCATGCCCAGCTAATTTTTATATTTTTAGTAGAGATAAGGTTTCACCATGCTGGCCAGGATGGTCTCAAACTCCTGACCTCAGGTGATCTGCCTGTCTTGGCCTCTCAAAGTACTGAGTTACAGGTGTGAGCCACTGCGCCCGGCCTTATACTACCTTTTATTACAGTGATTTGGGTACTTATTCTTTTTACTGGATTGTAAGTTCTTTGAGGGCAGGTACTTTTTTCATATCATGGCACACACACGGAATCTTTGAAGCACACTGCGGGAAATGGTCCAGACTGAGACTAGTGGTCTAGGACTCTAGCTGGCCAAGCCCTGCCTGGGACACTGGTTAGGAAATGCTGTGTACAGTACTTAGCACAGTGTCTTGAATATAATAGGTAATTATGATTGAAAGATACTTGGAAGAGATAAATTCAAAAAGGAACTTGTGAGATATGAGAGCGAGTATAGAACAGCAGAGGATTTGAGTTCTCACAGAATCTTGGAGATGAATGGGATCTGAGATTTTGCCTAATTGCCTTTTTATTTGCAGATATCCAAACCAAGGCCCTGGGAACAAATGGAAAGCTTTAAGGTTCATGGCTGGGGGAATAATTTTTTGAAATAAAAATGTTAAAGCTTGCTATTCATATGCCTTGCGGCTCTCCTTGACTTGAAGGTGCCAAGGAACTGAGATAGAGCTAAAAGTTTAGCTATTTTTCAGCATGAGAGCTTGTCTTAGAAGCAATCCTGATGAGTCAGAAGGATAACACAGATGACCTCCTGTCTTGCCCCAGATCCTCATGGTCATCATTTGCCTGCTTTCTTCCTGGACATGAACAACTGTGTCAGACAATAGATCATACTTGGAGAAGGAATAGATTTCTCCAATGGCTTTGACCTTTAATGCCTCATAGAAGAGTAGTTAACACACCACTCAATCCCACTGGAGTTCCCCAGCCTTGTGGTTATGTAGTCTATATAAGTGGTTTTAAAAGTGAAGCTGAGATTGGGTGAGGTTGTGGGCCAATTCCCATTCATCTTCTAGTGGACAGAATTATAGGAAGAAGAATGGGTATAGCTTTTTCTTTCCACCAAGGACCAAATGGGAGGAAATAGTCTTAATTTAACAGAAAAGAAATTGATGCCAAAAAGGCTGTGCAACAGGTCTGAGAGGGCAGGGGAATTGAGTAATCAAGGGAGGCCAAGGCATACCCTGATTTCTCTGAAGCTGTTTGAGATCAGGAAGGGAGCTGTGTTGTTTGACTGGGCCTGGGGTGAGTGTACCTCTGTACAGAGGTGGGGCACAGACAAGATGGCCACTGTTGTCCAACCCTTCATATGTGCTATATTTAATGTGTTTCCTTTACTGTCCTAAAACAGTGAGGCCTTACTTCATTTCTTTTTCTCTTAGTCAGATTCTGAGGAAGATGAACCCACAAAGAAGAAAACTATCCTTCAGGTAAGCATTGTGATATAAACCATTTTTTTTCTCTTCCTGTATTATTTCCTCAAAGACAGGACTTACAGTATCCAGCAGTTTTCAGATTAGGCTTAGAGCAAACACAGATATTTGAGGACTATTTAGGTTCGGCTTTGTTTTTCTTTAGAACTTCAGACCTTGTGCATCTCTACCCTCTCCACTCTATTCCTGGCTTTAACATGCTGGTATTACCTTTCCTGGAAGACAGGCAGTGGTAGGGAGATGAATTGTAACTCAATTCAGTTCATTACGTATAGTGTAAAAGGATTATTTAGGGAGGGTAGAATAAGTGGATTAGTCAAAATGATGTTAAAATTGTCTGTCTTCTTCCTGTCTCATTTTTAACCTGGAAAATAAGCACTTAAATAGCACTTACTGTGTACCAGGCACTGTTCTAAGTGCTTTACTAGCATTTAATTGATTTCATCCTCATGATAGTGCCTAAGCCATAGTGTTATCATCCCTGTTTTACATATGAGGAAACTGAGGAACTTGCCCAAGATCAGACAACTAGTGTGGGCAGAGCTGGGATTCAGACTCAGGCAATCAGACAATATATATATTTTTTTTTTGAGATGGAGTTTCGCTCTTGTTGCCCAGGCTGGAGTGCAATGGTGCAATCTTGGCTCACCGCATCCTCCTCCTCCCAGTTCAAGTGATTCTCCTGCCTTAGCCTTCCGAGTAGCTGGGTTTACAGGCATGCGCCACCACACCCGGCTAATTTTGTATTTTAAGTAGAGATGGGGTTTCTCCATGTTGGTCAGGCTGGTCTCAAACTCCCGACCTCAGGTGATCCGCCCACCTCGGCCTCTCCAAAGTGCTGGGATTACAGGTGTGAGCCACCGCGCCTGGCCAGTCTGACTGTTGAGTCCAAGCTCTTAACTGCTGCACTCAGCTCCTTGTAATTGAAACCAGAAGTCCTCAACAAGACAGTGCTAGTAGATGATTTCCCTGCTGTTTGCTTCTGTTTCCCCTCATCTCAGTACCATTATCCTGGCCCCCAGAAGTTTCTTCCCATTCCTTCCACACTTGGTGATTTATACATTCTAACCTCATGTTGATCATATGTCTCAGGGAAAAGCAGAAGTGGTCCTGCTTTTATAAAGTGGCTGTCTTGCCTGGCACGGTGGCTCATGCCTGTAATCCCAACACTGGGAGGCCCAGGCGGGCAGATCACCTGAAGTCAGGAGTTTGAGACCAGCCTGGCCAACATGGTGAAACCCTGTCTCTACTAAAAATACGAAAATTAGCCAGGCGTGGTGACAGGTGCCTATAGTCCCAGCTACTCGGGAGGCTGAGGCAGGAGAATCGCTTGAACCCGTGAGGTGGAAATTGCGGTGAGCTGAGATCGTGCCACTGCACTCCAGCCTTGGCAACAGAGGAAGACTCAGTCAAAAAAAACATAAAAAAATACATAAAAATAAAATAAAATAAAATAAAAAATAAAAAAATAAAATAGTGGCTGTCTTGTGATTCAAGTGGCCTTCTCCTGACTCAGTTAAAGTTGCTTCCACCTCTGAGCAGTTTTAGAAGGACGTAGTTGTGTGGAAGTTAGAAAGATAACTGGCAAGGCTGATGTTTGTATTTATTTATTTAATTTTTTTTTTTTTGGGGGGGACGGAGTCTCGCTCTACCGCCCAGGCTGGAGTGCAGTGGTGCGATCTTGGCTCACTGCAAGCTCCGCCTCCTGGGTTCACGCCATTCTCCTGCCTCAGCCTCCAGAGTAGCTGGGACTACAGGCACCCGCCACCACACCCGGCTAATTTTTTTGTATTTTTAGTAGAGATGGGGTTTCACCGTGTTAGCCAGGATGGTCTCGATCTCCTGACCTCGTGATCTGCCCATCTCGGCCTCCCAAAGTACTGAAATTATAGGCGTGAGCCACCGCGCCCGGCCCTGGTGTTTGTATTTATAGTAGATGAAAAAGGAGTCATGCAAGATGTTGGCGTGCTGAGACTGAGCAAAGGCAGTCCTGTTACCAGGATAGCTTCCTGGAGGAGGTAGACTGGCTCAGAAGGCGCCCCCACTGTAAGACTGAAGACTGTAAAGAACAATCTTCCAGGTGGTAGGAAGAAATGAGTAGATAGAGGAATTCTGAGCTCTTAAGGCAGAGTGGGGACTTAGGACTGCAAAATGTTGTAGCCATGACCCCAGATATGTGACAAGTCAGACACTTCAAGGTAGCCTGAGGGTGTGCTCCGCCCTGTACCTCAGTGTGGTTCCTATGAACCGGAGCCTCTGGGCGCTTCCAGGCTGGACCAAATCTGTGAACACACACACAGCAAGAAGAGCCCAGTCTCCACATGAGCAGTTCTGTGTGGCTTGACTCAAATGTCTTATTTACTCTGGGCATTTCTTGGCTGAGAAGGCTGGAGTACACTAGTACTCTAAGACAGTGACACAGTGACCTTATTCCATTCTCCTTTTCCAATTGGCATTTCCCTTAGCTCTACAGTTAGGCCAAACGGGCCTTTTAGCATAGAGAAAGCAGAATCTGAGAGATTCTTTTGGGTAATAGGAACTCTGGATGGGCTGGGCCAGTGAGCTTACAGATCAAAAGTTAAATGCTTGACTCTGGCATTAACAAGCTAATATGCCACATCTATAGGGCTTTCCTTGGGTAGGGTAGGGGACTTTCTTCAGATTAAAAAAATACAGCATATATATATATACACTCATTTCTGGCTGACAAAACTACCTCTGTATGTATGATGGCACTAAAGATACTAAAATTACATATTTTTGTAAAAAGCAGTAATGTCTTAGATTAGGGAAATTTGCAAGCTGAGTAAGTCTGAAAAGAACTGAAGATGATCTTATAAAAACCCTTTCAGTCAGCTAATGTAGAATTCTATGGTCTTAAGTAAAAAATACCCTTAGGCCGGGCGCTGTGGCTCATGCCTGTAATCCCAGCACTTTGGGAGGCCGAGGTGGGTGGATCATAAGGTCAGGTGTTGAAGACCAGCCTGGCCAAGATGGTAAAACCCCGTCTCTACTAAAAATACAAAAATTAGCCAGGCATGCGTGGTGGTGAGCACCTATAATCCCAGCTACTCGGGAGGCTGAGGCAGAGAATTGCTTGAACCTGGGAGGCGGAGGTTGCAGTGAGCCAAGATCATGTCACTGCACTCCATCCTGGGTGATAGAGCGAGACTCCGACCAAAAAAAAAAAATACCCTTAGCACTTAAGTCCTAAGGGAGCTGCCCCACCCAAGCTGAGGCTTCAGGTTCCTATCTAAGGGGGGGAAAAAAAAGAGAAAGGAAATCCTGTTTCCTTTGCTTTGGGGATGGTGACAAGGAGAGCAATTTAAAGGGTTGGAAAAAGCTGTGTCAGGCCCCTTGCAGTCTCTGGACTCACTGCTTCCTTGTTGAACGTGCTGGGCCTCCACTCTTTCCTAGGCGTCATTAGCGCTGCTGAGGGGTCTCGCTCAGGGTTAGCTTTCTCCCTTGGTCAGGGGAAGGGACTTTTTTTTTTTTTTGAGAAGGGGTCTCACTCTGTCACCCAAGCTGGAGTACAGTGGCATGATCTCGGCTCACTGCAACCTCCGCTTCCTGGGTTCAAGCGATTCTTCTGCCTCAGCCTCCCAAGTAGCTGAGATTACAGGCACCCACCACCATGCCTGGCTAATTTTTGTATTTTTAATAGAGACGGGCCTTCAGTATGTTGGTCAGGCTGGTCTCAAACTCCTGACCTCATGATCCGCCCACCTTGGTCTCCCAAAGTGCTGGGATTACAGGCGTGAGCCACCACTGCCCAGCCGGGAAGGGACTTTTGCAACAGTATGAATGTTTCTTTTAGACAGAACCTTGTTCTTGATTTTGGGTAGCATTCCAAAGGAAGGAGAGGGTTCTTGTGTTAAGAGGTCCCTTCAGGACACGGAGAGAGGTTGAGTGATGAGCTGGAGAGACCTGGGCTTTTGGGGAGGAAGGACGATGTGAGGTTAAGAGCATCGTATTTGTTGAAGACACAGAGTTGAGGAAGGCTCGCTCTGTGGAAGAGGGCAGTGGAGCTGGGTTGGGATGGAAGAGAAGAGGAATGATACCTCACCTTGGGAGAAGCAGCCCGCAGAAAGGCCTGAAGTAGCAGGAGTCAAGCCCAGATTAGGTGGTCTGAGTGGACGGAGGTAAGGAAGAAACAAGGGCTGGTAAGATTTTAGGCTAGAGAACTTATCTGTAACTGTTGTTTTTGGTGTTGCTAGTACATAAAATCTCACTTGTCATCTTTCTTTCCTCCTATCCCACACCTGGGCTCACCAGGGATCCAGTGAGGGGACTGGTTTGTCTGCCTTGCTTCCCCAACCTAAAAACCTGACTGTGAAAGAGACTAACAGGTTGCTCCTGCCCCATGCCTTCTCCCGCAAACCCTCGGATGGCTCCCCTGATACTAAGCCCTCCAGACTGGCTTCTAAGACCAAGACTTCCTCTCTTGCCCCTGTTGTGGGCACCACAACCACCACTCCGTCGCCCTCTGCTATCAAGGCTGCTGCCAAGAGTGCTGCCCTGCAGGTGACAAAGCAGATCACGCAGGAAGAAGACGACAGTGATGAGGAAGTAGCCCCCGAAAACTTTTTCTCCCTCCCTGAAAAGGCTGAGCCACCTGGAGTTGAGCCATACCCTTACCCCATCCCCACTGTCCCTGAAGAGCTGCCTCCAGGCACGGAACCAGAGCCGGCTTTCCAGGACGATGCAGCCAATGCCCCCCTTGAATTCAAGATGGCAGCAGGTTCAAGTGGGGCCCCTTGGATGCCTAAGCCTGGGGACGACTACAGCTACAATCAGTTTTCCACATATGGCGATGCCAATGCCGCTGGTGCTTATTATCAGGTGGGTAGGAGGCACAGAGGGCAGGCGAGGGAATGTTGGAACATGGTGGTCAAGGAGAGCTTTGAGCTAGTGATACAGCCTCTGTGGTGTCACTTTGGCTAAATTAACCTTCTCTATTTATTAGGCCACAGAACATACCTTTATTCTGAACCATATTAATCTAAATTGCCCAAGTCTTAAAGTGTGACAGGGTGAACCACATAAATGACATCTTTATTCTGAAAACAATCTATTTATTTTTTATTGATCCATAATATTTGTACATATTTGTGATTGATATATATATATATATATATATATATATATATATATATATATATATATCTGTTTTTTTTTCTTCCTAACCTTTATTTTAGGTTCAGGAGGTACATGTACAGGTTTGTTACATGGGTAAATTGCATGTCACGGGTTTGGTGTACAGATTATTTTGTCACCCCAGGTGATGAGCATAGTACCTGATAGGTAGGTTTTTGGCCTTTTTTTTTTTTTTTTGGAGAAGGAATCTCACTCTGTTGCCCAGGCTGGAGTGCAGTGGCACAATCTTGGCTCAGCTGCAACCTCTGCCTCCCGAGTTCAAGTGATTCTCCTGCCTCAGCCTCCCGAGTAGCTGGGACTACAGATGTGTGCCACCCTAACATGCCCAGCTAATTTTTGTATTTGTATTTTATATTTTTTGAGACGGAGTCTTGCTCTGTTGCCCAGGCTGGAGTGCAGTGGCACGATCTTGACTCACTGCAACCTCCGCCTCCCAGGTTCAAGCAACTCTCCCACCTCAGCCTCCCAAATAGCTGGGACTACAGGCACATTCCACCATGCCCGCTAATTTAATTTTTGTATTTTTAGTAGAGACGGGGTTTCACTGTGTTGGCCAGGGTGGTCTCAAACTTCTGGCCTTAAGGGATCTGCCCGTTGCAGCCTCCTAAAGTGATGGAATTATAGTGTGAGCCACCACACTTGGCTGTAATAGGTAGTTTTTGATCCTTACCTTCCACACTAAAGTAGGCCCTGGTGTCTATTGTTCCCTTCCTTGTGTCCATGTATACTCAGTGTTTAGTTCCTATTTATAAGTGAAAACGTGGTATTTGGTTTTCTGTTTCTATGTTAATTTGCTTAATGGCTTCCAGCTCCATCCATGCTGCTGCAAAGGACATGATTTTGTTCTTTTTTTTATGGCTGTGTAGTATTCCATGGTATATATGTACCACATTTTCTTTATTCAGTCCACTGTTGACGGGCATGTAGTTGATTCTGTGTCTTTGCTATTGCAAACAGTGCTGTGATGAACATGTGTGCATGTGTCTTTACAGTAGAGTAATTTATATTCCTTTGGGTATATACCCAGTAATGGGATTGCTGGGTTGAATGGTAGCTCTGTTTTAAGTTCTTTGAGAAATCTCCAAACTACTTTCCACGGTGGCTGAACTAATTTACATTCCCATCCGCAGTGTATAAGTGTTCTCGTTTCTCCACAACCTTGCCAGCATCTTTTTTTTTTTTTTTTTTTTTGAGATGGAGTCTCGCTCTGTCGCCCAGGCTGGAGTGCAATGGTGCGATCTCAGCTCGCCGCAACTCTGCCTCCCAGGTTCAAGCGATTATCCTCCCTCAGCCTCCCTAGTAGTTTGGATTACAGGCATGCGCCACCATGACCCGCTAATTTCTTTTTGTATTTTTAGTAGAAACAGGGTTTCTCCATGTTGGTCAGGCTGGTCTCGAACTCCTGACCTCAAATGATCTGCCCACCTGGGCCTCCCAAAGTGCTGGGGTTACAGAGGTGAGCTACCGCGCCCTGCCTATTTTTTATTTTTTTATTTTTGAGATGGAGTCTTGCTCTGTCACCCAGGCTGTAGTGCAGTGGTGCAATCCCGGCTCACTGCAACCTCCACCTCCCAGGTTCAAGCGATTCTCCCGCCTCAGCCTCTCGAGTAACTGGGATTATATGTGCCCGCCACCATGCCTGGCTAATTTTTGTATTTTTAGTAGAGACTGGGTTTCACCATGTTGGTCAGGCTGGTCTGGAACTCCTGATCTCAGGTGATCTGCCTGCCTTGGACTCCCAAAGTGATGGGATTACAGGCGTGAGCCACCGTACCCCGCCAACTTTTGGTTTTATTGCCTGTGCTTTTGAGGTCTTAGCTGTAAAATTTTTCCTAGACCAGTGTCCTGGAGCACTTCCCCTATGTTGAAAACAAAATCTGATGTCGGAGCTGGTGAGAGGTATGAAGGGAAGGTGGAAGAGGACTGGTATCTAATCTTAGAATTACAAGATAGCTTCCTGAAATGTGGATGATGAGGATAAGGGAATCTATGGCATAGATGTCTAGATAGCAGTTAGTTTAAGAAGAGTTTCTAGAGGTGAGGAGTATTGAGAAAAACAGGAAGGGAGAGTTGGGGCCAAGGAGGAAAGAAGGGAATCTGGAGGGTTGAGTGTAAAGTAAGAATAAAGAGAATAAAAAAATTAATAATAAATAAAGAGAATCCTGAGGGTGGTTTGAGGTTTGAATCTCAAGCTGAGTTTGGGCAAGTTACTTAACTGGCTCTCTCAGTCTCAGATTCTTCAGGTGTAAAATGGGATATCAGAGCAACTCAAAGCGTTGCTAAAATAATTACATTAGTTTAGCGTGGTGGTTCCTGGAAAATAGTAAATGTTCAATAAATGCTGATTGTAACTTTTTATTCACGTTGTATTCACCTGTTGTTTGGAAGAGATATTTAGATTTGATGTGTATGGCCCCAGAGAGTAAAAGTATAGAATGCCAGGTTGTACGTAGGTTTAAGAGAGAATTCCTAGCAGTCAGAGCTTCTCAAGATGTAGAGGGCTCCTAGGAGCAGGAGTTGGGGGACCTGGCACCAGTGGTGGAGTTGAACAGAGGCAGCTGGCTGGCCCCATGACTGGGCAGCTTCAGCAAGTTTAAAAACTGCTGGCCTGGGATGGTTGGAAGACTTAAGTCCCTTCAACCACTGTGATTCTCTGAATGGTCAGCATTATTGTTTTCAATCTGGGCATGAGTGAAGAGAGAGGGCTTTGTGGAGAACCTGTTCTGACCAAATACTTTGAAAACAATTTTGTTTGCTAAATCTTTGCTGTTAAGCCTTGTTGTTTCCTATAGGCTGAGCAGAGATAGTATATCTGCCCTTAAGGTTGTTCTTAGAAGGATGGAGGAAGATAGGCTGGGCGTGGTGGCTCACGCCTGCAATCCCAGCACTTTGGGAGGCCAAGGCAGGCGGATCACCTGAGGTCAGGAGTTCAAGACCAGCCTGACCAATATGATGAAACTCCATCTCTACTAAAAATACAAAAATTAGCTGAGCGTGCTGGCATGCGCCTGTAATCCCAGCTACGTGGAAGGCTGAGACAGGAGAATCGCTTGAACCCAGGAGGCGAGGTTGCAGTGAGCCAAGATGGCGCCATTGCACTCCAGCCTGGGCAACAAGAGCGAAACTCCATCTCAAAAAAAGAAGGATGGAGAAAGATAGTGTTTTTACCTCTTTAGCAGGAAAATAAAAAAGATGCTATTTAAATTGAATAACAAATTGGAATTCTATATGCAGTTATAAACACCACTGAGATAATCTATGTAAATTAAAGCACTTTAAATACACTAGGGGACTCTGAAATTTAAATGTATCTTATTGTGAATACCATTATAAAAAAAATCCATACTCTAATTGCTCTGGATTTTTATATATTATTTTATGTAGTGAATATTAAACCTATTTTCATTTAGCTCATCATAAAACAAATGTTCTTAGAAGGGCATTTCTTGGAGTTTAAGACGAAGTGGAAGAATTAGGAAAAAGTATAGGCAAGGAGGAAACAGTTTATTGGCCCTGTGGCTGCCTGACTTCACCAAGCAGAGGCCTTGCCCTTGCCTTCACCCTCCTCTTCCTCTAGGGTCTGCAGCAACATCTGGGCCACTCGCCTCTAAGGGGAATCATGAGATTCCTGAACTCAAAATCTGGTAAACGAACCTGCTTTGTTCCCAGCTTTGTAAGTTTCATTGTATCCTAATAGTGGTTATTTTAAATCAGAGATCTATAACCTCCCCACCCGGTTTAGACTGTTTCCCTGTATCCACAGGACCAAACTAGAATGAGGAGCAGGAATGGCATGACGTATACCTTCTCGTCCCTGCTCGCATCGTAGCTCATTGGGGTCTTATGAGCAGGAGGAGCAGGGCTGAGGGCATGGTAGAGGTAAGAGGTGAGAGTCTCTCTTAGGAAGTAGCTGAGGGAGCAAGGTATAGATTGAAGCAGGAGAGACTGTCTTTGTTTCTTGTTACCCTTTCCTAAAAAATATCCATCTGTCTGGATAGTGTAGATGAGAAAAGCTGTAGGGACTGTTCTTGAGTTGTAGGTCGGTCCTTGGGATCTATGCCTTTAACTGGTCTGTTTGAGGAAGCTGTAGTATAGCTATCTCACCATTGCCTCTTTGATGACAATTTTCTGTTTCTGGACAGACCTTACCTTCCCCTCTCCAACTGTGCCCTCAGTTGGTGTGTTTTTCTTTCCTGTTTGGCTGCAGGATTATTACAGTGGTGGCTACTATCCTGCACAGGACCCGGCCCTGGTCCCCCCCCAGGAAATTGCCCCAGATGCCTCCTTCATCGATGACGAAGCAGTAAGTTAAGAAAGCACAAGTGACCATCTTTGACCGCTGGGCACCACATTTCAAATCTGAAGCCAAAGGAAATTAAAAAAACACACACACACAAAAGACAAAACTGTATCAGGATTAGGTTGGCAACATGTAATGGAGAAACTCTAAATAATAGTGGCTTATATAAAGGAAGTTAGTTTTTTTCTTCATGGAAGAAGGATATGGGTAGGCAGGCCAGGGGTGCTTTGGAAGCTCCACAGAGTCAGGGATCTAGTCCCCTTCTTTTTTTTTTTTTTTTTTTTTTTTTTTTGGTAGAGACGGGGTCTTGCTTGTTGTCCAGGCTGCACTTGAACTCCTGGGCTCAAGCATTCCTTCTGCCTTGGTCTCCCAAAGTGGTGGGATTACAGGTATGATTTACCATGCCTGGCTTCAGTCTCTTTCTGATCATCGCTTTGCCATCCCTAGGCTGTGGCCTTTATTCTTATGGTCCATGATAGTTAAAGCTACAGCCATCACATTGGCATTGGAGATGCAGCAGGGTAGAGAAAGAAAGAGGAGGAACACTTCCCCTCGCTTTCTAGGAGACTTCCTGAAAGTTCCTAAGAGCACGTCCACTTTGATCTCACTGACTAGAATCTGCTCATATGGCCGTATCTAGTTGTTTGTGTTTTTTTTGTTTTTTGTTTGTTTGTTTTGAGCAGAGTCTTGCTTTGTCGCCCAGGCTGGAGTATGGTGGCACGATCTCAGCTCACTGCAACCTCTGCCTCCCAGGCTCAAGTGATTCTTGTGCCTCAGCCTCCTGAGTAGGAGTAGCTGGGATTACAGGCATGTGCCACCATGTCCAGCTAATTTTTGTATTTTTAGTAGAGACGGGGTTTCACCACATTGGCCCAGGCTAGTCTCGAACTCCTGGCCTCAAGTGATCAGCCCGTCTCAGCCTCCCAAAGTGCTGGGATTACAGGCGTGAGCCACTGCATCTAGCCGGCCATATCTAGTTGTAAGGGGGTCTAGGAAATGTAATGTTTTATTAGTTGTGTGGTAATATGCCTAGCAAAAATTTTGGATTCTTTCACACTAAAGAAGAGGAGAATGGATTTAGGGAGGCACCAAGCAGCTATGTTAAATACCGTTGTGTTTCACATAATGGTCTCTCACTGCTGCTGAGCTTTCCTAAGCTTCAGCAAAAGGAAAGGTGAAAGCACAATGTCCTGTGACTTTCAGGCCCTTATTCAGGATATAAAGTACTGTTCTATCTGCAGGGAAGTCACAGCCTATTAGGAGGGATCTGCAGAAATAGGGGGTGCTACCTCACCATGGAGGTTCTTATAAAAAATAATTCTTCTCTGCTTACCTTTTCCCAGAAAGGTGTCCATCCCTTTGCATACTTCTGCCTGTGCTTGATACTGTGTTCATCCACTCCCCTATGGATATCCTTCTTGGCAGGTTTGATAGTTGGTTTCTTTGGGAACCAACTAAGCCTAGGAGACAGCTGAGAACCCAGTTAGTGGCAAAAGTCAGTTTCTTCTAGGTAGAGTGAGTATAGAAGGCCTCACTAATGTTGAGATCAGGACTGGGTCTCACTGAAGCTTCTAAGTTTTAAAATTCTATTCCTTCTTCACCCCACATTTGCTTTGAGGCACACCTCTGGATGACTTGTGTGATTTGCATTTTGCTTTTTTAGGAAGAGGAAGGCGTAGCAGTGTCCTAGAAAGTTTACTGGGCTTTTTTTTTTTTTTCTTTACCTTAAAAGCTTTTGAAGTAAAGCTAAGACTCTGTGTGTGTGAGAGACTCCTTTTCTACGCAGCCCCACATTCTTTGTCTCTAATGTCCACTCTGGTGTGGGGTCTGTTGATTCGGTGATACCGAACAATTAGAAGGAACAGAGATGGACAAACAACTGATTTTTAAAGGAGAAATCCTGGAGTTCTGTGTTTTCTGGGGGCTTGGAATTTTATTTTTTTAGAGGCGAGGTCTTGCTGTGTTTCCCAGGGACCACAGGCACTCACCACCACACCCGGCTAATTTTTTAATTTTTTTATAGAGATGGGGTCTCACTTTATTGCCCAGGCTTGTCTCAAACTTCTGGGCTCAAGTGATCCTTCCACCTTGCCTCCCAAAATGCTGGTATTATAGATGTGAGTCACCCTGCTTGGCCTGCTCTATATTCTTTTTTTCTTTCTTTCTTTTTTTTTTTTTTTTTTTGGAGACAGAGTTTCACTCTTCCCGCCCAGGCTGGAGTGCAATGGTGCGATCTCGGCTCTCTGCAACCTCTGCCTCCTGGTTTCAAGCGATTCTCCTGACTCAGCCTCCCAAGTAGCTGGGATTACAAGTATGCACCACCACACCCAGCTGATTTTGTATTTTTAGTAGAGGTGAGGTTTCTCCATGTTGGTCAGGCTGGTATTGAACTCCCGACCTCAGGTGATCCGCCCACCTCGGCCTCCCAAAGTGCTGGGATTACAGATGTGAGCCACTGTGCCTGGCCTACTCTGAATTCTTAATTCTAAAATTGTATGCAGTCCTTTTAGGCAGATACCATTAAAATAAAATTGATTTGGGGGTACATGTGCCAGTTTGTTACATGGATATATTGCATAGTGGTAGGCAGATACCGTTTGAATACAAATTCATATCACTGGTTCTCTGCTCTCATTCATGTTTGGAGATACCTCTTAGCTTCCCTTTTCCTGGGTTCAGGAGACGTTCTGAGTAGAAGTAGCCTTTCATCTGGCATCAAGGGAGTTTGGTAGATGGCAGGGTGAAAGGACGTAGAGAACTGAGGGTGCCTTGGGATTGGTGAGTCACAAAATCATTCCATAAACTCTGGCTCTTTAGTGGCATCTGCTGACACCCTTGCCCAGATTCCTGACTCCTGCATTTTTTTCTTTTCCAGTTTAAGCGGCTGCAGGGCAAGAGGAACCGAGGGAGAGAAGAAATCAACTTTGTGGAGATCAAAGGTGATGACCAGCTCAGTGGGGCCCAGCAATGGATGACTAAGTCATTGACAGAAGAGAAAACCATGAAGTCATTCAGCAAAGTAAGTGGGAAACGTCTATTGAGTGGTCAGCTTGGGAAGCTGCAAAGCAAAATCTTGTCTTACTCCCCGTCTTGACCCCACACCCCATTGTTATTGTCACAGCACCTTTAGCAAACACATTTTGCCCATGGTACTGGAGTATGCACTAAACCTCACAGATACAGCTCCTGCCCTCTAGAACTTTGCAGGACTTTAACAGCTCTGCAGCTGGATGGGGGGTCTGGTTGCTGAGATCGAGTAGTTGGTGAGGCCTCCCAGCCTGTGGTTGTGGCTTCTTCTCAGGCTGCACAGAATCCACAGCTGCTCTACTCTTGCCGTACAGTCAGATCCTTCTTTCCTTTTTTTGATTTAAAGTTTTTTGCTTTTTTTGTTTTAATTTTTATTCTTTTAAAATACTATCTTCTTCCTTTCCTTCCCTCCCTCCCTCCTTTCCTCCTTTCCTCCTTCCTTCCTTCCAATTGTTTTCATTTTCTGGTGTTTTTTTTTTTTTTTTTTTTTTTTCAGAGTCTCACTCTGTTGCCCAGGCTGGCATGCACTGGCTCAGTCACAGCTTATTGCAACCTCTGCCTCCCAGGCTCAAGTGATCCTCACACCTCAGTTGCTGGGACTACAGGTGCATGCCACCATACCAATCTAATTTTTGTATTTTTTTGTAGAGTTGGAGTTTCACTATATTGTCCGGGCTGGTCTCGAACTCCTGGCCTCGAGTGATCCACCTACCCTGGCCTTGGCCTGCCAAAGTGCTGGGATTACAGGCATGAGCCACTATACCCGGCCCCGGTTAGTTCATTGTTTCAAGCTGGGACCTGGCTCAGCACATTTTTGAGGTGTGGGCACAACAGCACCTCAGAAATCCTGGAGTCCCTAGATTCTGAGCATGCAACTCTTCTGTGTTCTCTTCATTATTGATGGTAGCCAGCTGTAGTCTTTCCAGTGCTTTTATTCATCACATTTCCCACACCACACTCCTGCCTTCTCTGTCCTAGTTTTCTTCAGTCAGTATGATGAACATTTCTTCACCTAGTAGCTGAGAACAGCAAATGTGGACATTTATGAGCCTGCCACCGGAGGGGAAATGTGGGAAAACCCTGGACTTGAGCCCAGCACCAGCGAGACCAAGGTCGAGGATTTTGTTCCCTTTTCCTCCCCCCATTTGCTTTGCTTTGTTCTATGGCCACAGATGGCCACACAAGCCCCAGCCGTTTGTTTTAACTGAATGCTGGCGGTCATACAGGACAGAGCAAAGGACTGTGGTTAGATCAGCATAGATCCATCACTGTTTACTGGAAAAACCACTTAGGAGAGCATGCTCTACCAACTGTGGGTCGAGAAGCATAGTCACATAGTAATAGCTACTGTTGTTAATGCTCACCGTGGGCCAGGAATGGAGCTGGATGTTTTATGTGTGTCATCTTTAACTGTCACATTAAATGACATTAAATAGCAGCAAGCAATTAGTATTTGCTATTTTCCTATCTCCAAGTTTTCTTGCCACCGTCTCATTATATTGAACTAGATTTTGTTAAAAGGAGAAAAAGATATGGTCCTTGTCCTTGAGGAGTTGACAGCATAGTTGGGAAGAAGAGATTTAAGGACACTTGAGTGTAAATGATTACAGTACAGATTGATGACATAAGTGCTGAGGAGACTCTAGAGAGGAGTTTTGGGAGTTGGGTGGAGATGATTAGGAAGCTTCTAGTCTGAGACAACTCTGGCAGAGGACAGAAAAACCGCAGAATGAAAGCCCAGACCAATATAGACTTTGACAGTAAATCATTTGCATCGAAGTTTGGTTACGGGTTCAGTGCAGTTACGGGCGGAGGCTGGAAGACTGGGGAGAGGTAGAGTGATTGTGAAATTTCTAATTCCAGGGAAGCTGCTGGCACTTACTAGAATGGGGAAGGCAGGGGTTTTAGCCAGAGGTGATTGATGGGAGCGAGCTTGATAAGCAGTAGGTGGGAGACAGGCTAGACATCTGGCTTGACTGGGGAGAGGGGGACAGAGATGAAGAGAGTTTGAAGGGAGATGGGCACAGGGATTGTGGGAGGGCCTGGCAGGGGGGCAGAAGGTCACCTGTGCCCTGGCCCACAAACTGTTTCAGACTGACTGCACGCAGTTAAACTGGTCTCAGATGTCCACAGCAGACAGAACCCCATGCTGGGTGCTAGGGGTGGGGTGGGATTACCAAAGACGCAGAAGACAGTCCTGACCTCAAAGCATTTCCAGTCTAGTGGGGGATATTAGCAGGCTATTTCAGGCAAGTGTTCTGAGCTGGGTTTTTTGTATAATGGCTTTAATAAAAATAAAGGCTTTGTAGTATATAGAGGTAAAAACAGCTCCAACTTTTCTCCCCCAGGATTTGGGCTGTGGAATTGGCTTCTCAGCCCCTAACACCACACCATCTGGGCACATGAGAAACTTCTGCTTTCATCCTGTGGATTAATGAATATGTTTTCTTCTCTTGCAGAAGAAAGGTGAGCAGCCAACAGGCCAGCAGCGGCGGAAACACCAGATCACATATCTTATTCATCAGGTGAGAGACAGCTGAGGGCTCTGGCTCAGGCAGGATCTCTGTAAATCTGGGAATTTGAAGGCTGAGATACGAGTTAGAAGCCCAGATGCTTATCTTTTAGCAGCCCATCTTTTAGCAGGCATCCTCTCCTATTCTCAGAGCGGCCACTAGGAGGGGATACATCCTTCAGAATTATCCTGCTCTACTTCAGTCTCAATGCAGATAAGATTCAGGTGCAGGTGCTTAGAATAAAACTCTTAAGTGAAAATCCAGATATCCAAAACATAATGTAAGAGGAGAGTGAAATGGTTTATCATAGGGTTCTTTTAAATAGCAGGTTTCTCTAGTAATTTAAAAAACTTAAAAAAAAAGTTGATTCACCAACTTAGCCAAACATCCACCTGATGAAGAGGTTGGTTTTATATTCTTCACTTCTGTGGCAGGGAACATCAACACAAATAATTCAGAATTACAGGTAATCCAAAAATGTCTTTTGAAACTGGAATATGTCTTGGTATTTATTTAATATGACTGGGCAGCTTTCAAATACAGTTGACCCTTGACCAACACAGAGGGTTAGGGATGCCAGCACCCTAAACAGTCAAAAATCTGCGTATAACATTTTTTTTTTCCCTTTTTGGAGACAGGGGTCTTACTCTGTCACCCAGGCTGGAGTGCAGTGGTACAATCATGGCTTACTGCAGCTGCCGTCTCCTGGGCTCAAATGATCCTCCTACCTCAGTCTCCTAAGTAGCTGGGACCACAGGTGTGTGCCATCACACCCAGCTAATTTAACAATTTTTTTGTAGAGATAGGATCTTCCTGTGTAGCCCAGGCTATGTGTATAATTTTCGATTCCCCTAACAGCTAACTACTAATTGCCTACTGTTGACCAGAATCCTTACCGATAACACATATTTTGTATTTTGCAAAATGTGCTGGGTTGTCACACCTGCTGGCATAGCTGCAGCGATAGCAACAACTTCACAAATTTCCTTTTTTTTGAGACAGAGTCTCGCTCTGTTGCCAGGCTGGAGTGCAGTGGCACAATTCCTTTTCTTTTTTCACAGTGGTCCTTATGCTAGATTCATTTATCTTGAAGTGGCAGGCAACTGCAGCTGCAGACCCCAGTCTACGGAACGTACCAAACAAGTCAGCTTTTTCTTGTAATGTCATGACTTTTCTCTGCTGCTTGGGAGCACTTCAGCATGACTAGCAGCACTTCGTATGGGTCTTATGGTGTTAAGATTTATGGGCTGGGTATGGTGACTCACGCCTGTAATCCCAGCACTTTCGGAGGCTGAGGCGGGCGGATCACGAGGTCAGGAATTCGAGACCAGCCTGACCAACATGGTGAAACCCTGTCTCTACTAAAAATACAAAAAATTAGCCAGGCGTGGTGCCTGTAATTCCAGCTACTCAGGAGGCTGAGGCAGGAGAATCGCTTGAACCCGGGAGGTGGAGGTTGCAGTGAGCTGAGATCGCGCCACTGCACTCCAGCCTGGGTGAGACTCCATCTCAAAAAAAAAAAAAAAAAAAGATTTATGACATTGTACGCAATGAAAAACACGAGAACTGAGAGAGCACATTTTACTGTGATATGCAACATACTAGAGAGACAAGCAGCTCCCGTGGAAATGATTAGCATTACGTGGTGTTTTAAGCAGGTACAATACTTGAGCTCACTGCAATAGCAATAAGAGGTGGCTGTGAAATTATGACAGTACAGTGTGTACTACAGTGAATTTTATGCAGTTAAGATTTAATGCTGTATCTTTTTGTTGATGTTTCTCTTGACTACAAATGGCACCATGTATGATCTGTATTTGTGTGTGTACATTTTGATAAATTTTAACTTTCTATAGATTTGTGTATATTTTATGGTAGTAATGATAAAAATAGACTAGTACCTACATATATTTTATGCATTCACAACATACCTTTTTCTTAGTTTTTTTAGTATTTCTAAGTTACACAGTTTGTGTTTTCAAGTTGTCACGAATTTCCAAAAAAGTTCTAATATATTAAATATTTATTAGAAAAAAACCCATGTATGAGTGGACCTGTGCAGCTCAAACTCATGTTAAGGGTCAACTGTATTTAGTCATTAAATATCTTTTTAAGACTTATTGAACTAAATGGTGTCAAAGATACAGACATGAATAAGACCCTTTCCTGGCCCCTTTCCTGGGAAGTGTACATTCTGGTTGGTGATTTCATGGCAAATCTTGCTTTCATTGTTTTTGTCATATTTTCACCTTCCTTTCAGGAACTCCTTTGTACTCTTTCCCTGTCTTGTGGTTTGTAGGGAAAGGATTTGAGAGTAGGATATTATTTAAACTCAATCTCTTAACCCCCACCCCAAATTCCAAAGGAGATGAGCAGGCATCAGATAACTTTTGGAGGGTCTTGAGAATCCCCTTTCTAGGGTGGTACTTCTACATTCCAGAATGTGGTATAGAGCCAGGAGTTGTTGAGATCAGAAGAAAGAAGTCATTCTTGTACCTCTCAGTTTTTCACAGCTTCAGTCATTACTTTAAAATCCTTTGAATTTCTAAGGTACCACACACTGTATTCAACACAACTGCAAAACTGTATCTCCAGGCTAAGCAATTGTTTGTTGGTGTTCTGTTTTGACTGGTCCAGAGGAGCCTTTGAGACTGTCCTCTCCTACTCTGCCGGCTGGGTGTCTAAGAGAGCTGATTGTCTTCCTCTCTAAGAGAGCTGATTTTCTTCCTTTTAGATGCTAAATTCTAGTTTTCATTTGCCCATTTCCTATTTCACCTTTTGAGTTTTAATTCTACTAGAGGAAGCACCAGGATTCTTGAGTCTTTATTTTGCTTAAACCTTGATAACTGTCCAAAGAAATGATTTTTCTTTGCTTTCTTGGGGCCTTTCCCTTTTACTTTGATAAGTCTTTCAAGGGGTTTGCAGTTCCCCCATAATCGTTTTGATAGGAGAAAGATTTTAAATTGGGAAGCTCACAGAGGCAAGAGGACAGCGTTTCTCAGAATTCCAGTTTGACCCTCCCCTACCCTTCTTCCTTGCCACAGGCCAAGGAGCGGGAGCTGGAACTGAAGAACACCTGGTCAGAGAACAAGCTCAGCCGCCGTCAGACCCAAGCCAAATATGGATTCTAGGGCTCTGGAACTGATTGCTCCCAGGATCTCCTGCCAGCCCAGCTGGCCTGGCCCCCAGCTTCACCTCTGGGACCCCAGCTGCTCTAAGCCCAGGATCTCTTTCCCCAAGGACCCAGCCCTCGCCTCTGCGAGAATGAACATATTTGATAGATTTTTCTTAACAAGTTAGAAAATTCAGCTCCTTTCTGTCCTGGAGCTAGCAAAGACTTGTGTGATGCCTCCGAAGGGGCTCTGAGTTCTGGGGTGGGAGTTTTGCTCTCTGTCAGGTGTGATAAAATGTTGAACCCTCCCCACCACCACTTTTTTTTTTTTAAACCAGGGATGTCTGTTGAAATAAAACATTCAGTCTGACAAACATTGCCTGCCCTGTCCCTGGATTTGTGTTTACCTTGTGTAAAGCACCTTCCAAATGATCTTGAGCTGCCTGATTGCTTTGCTATTTTTCCTCTCTATCCACCATCTAGCTGGGTTTGTGGCCATTGGAAACCCTAGAAATGGTATGCACAACTTTATATGAGGCAGGATGATTTTCAGAGAGGCCTGTGATCCCAAATATGTATTGCTAATCTCAGGTACCTCTGGAGACTGGGTGAAGTCAGGAGGTTTTTTCTGTAGTACAAAATAGTGTCAGGCATAAAAATCCTATCCAGCAGGAGGTAAAGTGGCAAAATCCCTGTCCCTGAAGATGATTCAGATTGACGCTGGTAGTCACTGGTCTGGATCAGTTTGGAAGCTTCACATTGAACTTGGGTGCTAGAGAGATACCCTTGGAGACTTCCAGAGCCCTAGCCTTCATTGAAGAAAGGAGGTACAGGGTCTGTAGACTCCAATTATCTGTAAGGCACTGTGACGCCCAGAAGTGGCAAGACGGATGGGATGATTCCAAAAACAGTGTGCAAATCATACTGCAAACCACCACTGAAAAATATGGCTAAGGGTACTAGGATTCCAGTAGGGCTTAGCTGCTGTGGTTTCCTGCAGGAAAGTAGCGTTGAGGAAACTCCTGCAGAGAGCATTAGATGTCAGGTGGAGGAGCTGTTGACCAGAAATAGATGCTTGAGTGTACTGTTGCAGGAAAACACTGGGAAGAATTAGTGTTTGGCAGTCCTGGTGACAGAGAGGGGAGGCTAAGGCCATAGGGGCATTTGAGGTATGTGGTGGGGACCTGGGGGTGGGAAGGAAGAGGCAGAATTTAGGAACCTCACCAAGCTTCTGGTTTTGTGTGCTGGGGTAAGTTGAGGAGTCTGTTTCTCATTAAGTACAGAGAGGGTTTCATCACTTACAGGAAAACCACCCGCTTATCTGAAATCTGACCTACTTCGGGCTGGAGCCAGACAGGGCTCCTGCATCCCACAGGGACACTCAGGCTGTAGTTGTCCAGATCCATGCATCCAGCCAAGACTTCAGCAAGGAGCTTCAACCCTACCATGCTCCCAGTATTCACAGAGGCAGTGGGGGTCAGGGCTGAGATCTGCCCCTCTGGGGCGTCACAGGTGGTGAGGTGTGCTCAGCAGGGCCTAAAATCTTAGGTTCCAATGAGTCCAGTGCTTCCTTTCTTATATCCAATATGCTACAGATGCAGCCCGGCCCATACGAGTCGCCACACTCCTGGGATTCAGTAATTCAACTTTCTCATTTTAGGGGCTGTGTCATGTTGTAGCTGGAAGTGCTCTGGGCTGGGAGGCAGAAGATGGTGAGAGGGAGACTCCCAGATCTTCTGGAAATGGACAGAATTGGGCTAGATATCTCTAAGGGTCCTCTTGCCTCCCACCTCCTTCAGTTCACTCAAGAGTCTTAGGCCACATTTTTTTTAAAGCCACTTTTTAGTCCTACCAAAGATGGCATTGTATTTGGTGGTTGGAATTTCCTGGTCACTGAGAAATAACCAACAATTAGAAAACGGATAGACTTTATTTGGGAGGGCTTCCTGGAGGTGGTAGCCTCAAGTTCTGATGAACAGAAGACAGAGACAGTAATGAGGGAGAAATAAGAGTGATAACTTGGTTAAAATTAGCATGGCAGCAACAGCCAAGGGGCAGAAGGAGAAAGGTGTGAAGGCCTTGGTCAGAAATGGATCCAATTAGCCCTGGAAGATGTTGGTGGGGCCGGGGCAAAGCTGGATGTGCAGTGTCACATTGACCAGAACAGTGGAGCTGAAGAAGCTGAGGTCTACGAGGATCAGACTTAGAACCCTCACAGAGATGATACGGTTGTCGTAATGAGGGTGTTTCAGTGCCTCTGCAACGCTGCTGGCCCCTTCGGAGGGGCCCAGCCACATCTCCACTCTAGCCGGGGTGCTGAGCTCACTGTCCAAGAAGCTCCAATGTATGGAGGAGTGGTTAAAGTTCAGTGGGGCCTGGGGGAAGTGGCAAGGATGTTGGAATACTCTGGGCTGCGTGCTCCTGTCTGCCCCTTTTTACCCCTTTCCCTCTAGGTTCAGCTTTCTTTTTCTTTTTTCTTTTTTTTTTTTGAGATGGAGTCTCGCTCTGTCGCCCAGGCTGGAGTGCAGTGGTGTGATCTCGGCTTACTGCAACCTCCACCTTCCGGGTTCAAGCGATTCTCCTGAGTAGCTGGGATCACAGGTGCCTGCCACCATGCTCGGCTAATTTTTTTGTATTTTTAGTTTCACCATGTTGGCCAGGCTGGTCTCGAATTCCTGACCTCAGGTGACCCACCTGCCTCGGCCTCCCAAAGTGTTGGGATTATAGGCGTGAGCCACCGTGCCCAGCACAACCGGCCTAAGTTCAGCTTTCTTTCAAGTGAGGACTCAGTGATGACCAGCCCCGCCCCTCCCTGAGTGGGTTCATGGGATGTGATGTTACTCTTCAGTCTCCCTGAGAAGCCCCTGAGCCAGAGTTACAGATCACCTTACTGAGACTGTGCTGCATTAGTTGAGGGGGCAGATAGGATGAAAGGGGCAGCTCAGGGGAGGCTGGAGCAGGAAAGAGCCATCAGGGTAAGGCGTGGAGCTGAAGGGGCAGGGGCTGGAGGACAAAGCTGGACCCTATAGTGGGAGCAGTTCTCTCTGCTCACAGCAAGGTCTTCCATGTGCTGTGACAGGGTGAGAGGCTGCCCTTTCACAGATCTAAGAGTGGGCTCAGCCAGAGAGGCTCTGCCTGGAGGAGGCAGGAGGAGGGATGGAATGACCATGGGAAGACTGTCGGTGAGAAATGCCCTCCCCCTCCTGGCATGTGGAGTCTCGCTCAGCATGATCGCCCCAGTTCGCTTTTACTGTACAAGTTACTCAACTTCTCCCTCCTGAGGTCTCACCGCAGCCCCAGGCCTCACCTTGGAGTAAAGTCAGCAGGATTGTGCAGGGGTGCCCCTCGTCATGGGGAGGGAGGTTCCACCACCTTGGTCTTCAGGGCTGGGCCTGCAGCTGTGGCCCTCAGCAAGACTGGGACCTTATCCTTTAGCCTAGGAGGGGCCCTGGGGTATTAAGAGGAACACTGGGTTGGGATGACAAGATCTGGTCCCTGGGCCTGACTGCCTTTGGCTCCCTGTCACCTCCCCTCTCTAGACCTCAGTTTCCTCTTTAGTTGAGCCAAATACTCTGTCATCAAGGGTCTCTGAAGTCCCTTCTAGCCCCAGCAGTATTGCTTTTCAAAGCCCTTCACTTGCACGGTCTCATTTGTGTGCAATGAGACCCTGTGCGCAAATGAGGCATTATCTCCATGCATAAGGAATGGAGGGACCAGTGTCACAGAAAAAGGGTTCCCCTGCTGAAGGTTGCACAACTAGTTAGCACAGGGTCATAACAGACCCAGGGCTCTTGACGCCATAGCTTCATCTGAGCTCCACCACCCCTTTGGTGTGTCCACCCCATGCTCTGTGGAGCCACAGAAGGAAGAAGAGGGTCCCTAGGTCCTGCTCTGCCCCTGGCTTTGCTCCTGCCCCTGTTCTGCTCCAGGCTTTCTCCTCCAGAAACATCAAGTGGGTCACTGGGCATTTCTGGTCCCTTCCCCACACCTGCCCATTCTGTTACACCCCAAAGTCTGGAGAAATCTATTTTCTGACTTTCTAATTTCTGTCTCTTGCTGTACAATAAATATGCCACTCTTTTCTGCCTCCTCCCCTGCCCCAAGGAATCAGCCACGAGGTAACTGACTCCCTGCGTCTAATCTGAGACCTTTCTGGCACTTTGAGCCTCCTCTCTGATTTCAGCAAAGCCATCTGCTCCTCCCTCCCTGCCCCTCTGCCTCCCTCCCCACCTCTCCTCTTGCTCAGGAGGACATTTAGATCTGAGGTCTAAACAAAGGGAAGTGGAACTCCAACTCTGTTGACTCAGCAACCATATTTCTCCTTAAGCTGATTAGCACTGGAGTGGAAAGAGGGGAATTGGCCAGTCACTGGAGCTGGCGCCTGGGCCAGGCTGGGGGTGGTATGGTGGTGGCAGTGCCCAGGCCTAGGGACTGTGGCTTAAGGAAAGGGTCTGGAAGATTCTCGTGCCTCAGGTAGGTACAGGGGCCCTGACTGGCGCTGATTGCCTGGACTAGCCTCTTGTAGGAATGAGTGTGAAAAGAACAGGCTGCACAGATGGGACCACAGGAGTCCCCAGGCCTGGGCAGCTCTGGAGGGGTCGTCTCTGCTCTGAGCCCTGAGGATAATCCAGGGGCAGACACAGCCCTGCCTTAGAAAGCCCCCTGTCTGGCTGGGCATGGTGGCTCACACCTGTAATCCCAGCACTTGGGGAGGCTGTGACAGGAATATAGCTTGAGGCCACGGGTTTGAGACCAGCTCTGGCAACACAGTGAGACCCTGTCTCTATAATTTTTTTCCCCCAAGACGGAGTCTTGCTCTGTCGCCCAGGCTGGAGTACAGTGGTGCGATCTTGGCTCCCTGCAACCTCCGCCTCCCAGGTTCACGCAATTCTCCTGCCTCAGCCTCCCGAGTAGCTGGGATTACAGGTATGTGCCACCATGCCCGGCTGACTTTTGTATTTTTAGTAGAGATGGATGGGGTTTCACCAAATTGGCCAGGCTGTTCTCAAACTCCTGACCTCAGGTGATCTGCCCACCTCGGCCTCCCAAAGTGCTGGGATTGCAGGCGTGAGCTACCACACCCAGCCAAAAAAAAATTTTTTATTTTAATTAGCTGGGCTTGGTGGTGGGCACCTGTAGTCCCAGCAACTTGGGAGGCTAAGGCTGCACTGAGCTATGATCGTGCCACTATAGTCCAGCCTGGGCGACAGGGCAAGACCCTGTCTAAAAAAAAAAAAAAAGTCCCCAGTCTGAGACAAAAGTAAGACCCAGGGCATATGCCAGAGCCCCAGAGTGTAGAGCTTTGCACAGGAACAGGAGGCTGGCTCTGAAGTGGGTCTGGGCAGAGAATGGGGAAGCAAGAGGGATAGGGGAGAGAATGGGGTCCTGATTGAGGCAAAGGGCCTAAGCCCAAGAGGCTGGGAAGATGAGAGGCCTGGAGCCAGTTCCGAGGGGATTCCTGTCCTCTAAGGGGCTCACACACACATCTTCCTCCTCCCGAGTCCTGTACTTGGCAGGGCGGTTGCAGAGGAGGTGAAGGGGCTGTCCCTCAACTGCTCACCTCTCTGCCCCTCTTTCTTTATGCCTCAGGTGGTATAGCCACCCCTATGTCCCTGGCTGCCTACTCAACCCATCCCAGCTAAAGAAGGAATAGTTTGCAGAGGTCTGTATTCCTGGCCTTGGTGTCTGTCAATCCTCAAGCCCCTCCACCCTCACTGCAGTGGCAGTTCAACTCCTTGCCTTCCACAGTATGAGAGAGAGAAAGTCAGAGACAGAAACAGAAGGAGCCTGGAGGACTTGAATCCCTGTAGGAGAAGGCAGTTGGTGATGATTTATTAGCCAGACAAGAATCAACAAACAAGTTCTAACATCTGTTCTCACCAAACCATTCCTCAGACAACAGCAGCATTGGACCAGGGCCCAGACTCAAAAGGCTCAGAGGGCCAAGGAAATTAGACTCCAGGAGGAGAAACCAGGACAGTGGGAGCTAACAGGGCCCTCCTTGCACACTTCTTTGCTGTCTTAGATCACCAAGGACTGAGCCATTGGATTCTTGGGATCTTCTTAGGAGGGAGCAGGCTCCGCATTTGCTTCTCTGACCTCCAGGCTTCTTTGTTGGGGGTCAGGCCAGACCTGTCAGGGGGACAGAGTTAAGCCAGGATCCACAGGAGGGGACCAATGAAGCACCCAGGCCTCCATGCAGTAGAACTCTGGAAAGTGGCCAGACTTCCTGTTTGAGGAAATCTCTGATGTTTCCTATGGACTTGAGTTTGTGGATGTGTGGTAAGGAACAAAGCACTAAACAGGGAATCAGGAAGCCTGGTTCTAGTCCTTGACCTTGGCCAAGTCACTGTCCCTCTCAGGCTATGTTTTCTTCTCCGCATAGTGAGGGAGCTGAATTTGATCACTAAGGACAAATGTAATGCTGCTCATCCTCCCGCTCTTACCCGTGGCAGACATCACTAATCAATCATGTGCTTTTTTTCTGCTGAGTTCAGATATGACCTTAACATCCTTTCCAATGCAGCACTCTAGGCAGCCACGACCAATGGATTGGAGTTGGCATGCAAGATGACACCTCTTTGCCATCCTTGCAATAGATGATGGCTGAGCTCCTTTCCAGCTTTGAACACCTATGGTTTATTCCATCCACATTTCTTGAGAAGTGTGCCAGGTGTGTGTGAAGGTCTCTGGACCTGATGCTCCAAGTTATCCTCACCAAGCTCAGACTTACCGCCTACTGAGGAGGCCCAAGGGGAAGCCATGCCTGTCCTCTGTCCTGAAGCACCTGTCTAGAAAGATTGTGGGGGAGGGTGTGTCTCCAGGCGGGTGGGGGCTGGTGGGGCAGGGGAGGGCCTTGCCCAATCACAGAGTTCTCAGAATGCAGCTGGGAGCCACCTGTATTCTGCAGAGAGAAGGACAGTTCTAGGTCACACCCTCTACCCTCTGCCTCCTAGGTGTACTTGCAGTCTCAAGACATCTGATCTGAACAGACTTTGGCTTCCAGAGAGGGTATCTAAACTCCTCTCATTCATTAATTCAACAAACATCTCCTGAGCACCTGCTCTGTGCCAGGCACTGGGCTGGGTGCTTTGGAAACAGATGGGTAAGTCCCAGCCCCTCCCTTCAGGGAACTCACACTCTAAACTAGGGAAGGGACAGAGAGAAGGAGATGGGAGGAGATGGATGTCTCAGGTGATCAGTGGCATGGCAGGTGTGTGTAAGGCACAGGGGGTGGCCTCTGAGAAGGGAAAGCTGGTCTTGAAGGATGATTAGAAAGTTGCCAGGCAGCGGGAGGATGAGGTTGCAGGAAGTTGCTATAGGCAGAGATACTGGCGGGTGCAAACCCCAGGAGGCTTGAAACCACTTGGTGAGTTTAGAGAAATGTGAATCATTCTAGGAGAATGGGAGTGGCTGGTGGTAAGGCTAAGGAGGTGAGACCCCCCACCCAACCCAAGTCTAGAGTGCTTCATGGGCCAGGCAGCTGCTTCAGCAAGACCATTCTGGCTCTTTGGTGCAGAGTGGATCAGAAGTGGCAAGAATGGTGGTTAGGAAACCAGTTAAGAAGCTCTTGGGAGCCAGGTGAGGTGGCTCGAGCCTGTAATCTCAGCTGAGGTGGGAGGATCACTTGCACCCAGGAGTTCAAGTTTGCAGTGAGCTATGATTGTGCCACTGCACTCCAGCCTGGGTGACAAAGCCAGACCCCAATGATGGGGGCTGGAGCTGGGGGAAGGAAAAATATACTTAGGAAGAGATCCAGCAGGAATGAGTGGCTTACTGGGGGAGTAAAGAGGGAGCTGTGCTGAGGGAGCCCTGGGATTCTGGCTTGGCTAGCTGGGTAGCTGGAGAGTTAGCAATCAGGACAGTGAACATGGGACCGAGCTGTTTGGAGGGCAAGGGTGAGAGCGCTGTTGGCCGTGTTGAGTTTGAGGGGCTCAGGGATGCTGGGGGGAACTGACCAGAAGCTTGGAAAAAAGTTTGGACGGAGATATGGACAGGTGACGTTAGCTCTAGGACAGCAGACGTTGGCAGGGGTGTGGGTGAGCGCGAGCAGGCTCAGGCTGAGCAGGGAGCCTGGGGCACCAGCAAGGAGGGAGGATGGGGAAGGGTCTGAGGAGGGAGGCTGGGGAAGGGCTTTGGGAGGGCCGCAGAGGCCGAGGGAGAGGGTGGGATGGCTGCTGGGGCTAACCCATGGCATGAGGTACTGACTTGAAGGGTAGGCAAGAAGACTTAGGGCTGGGGAGAAGGAAGAGGGAGACAGGGAGTACACAGAAGCAGGCTGGGAGAGCAGGGTCCCCCTCCCCTGAGCTCACTGAGATGACATAAGGGAACCCAAGTGCTCTTTTTCTCCAGGACAGCAGGGCCGTGAAGGCCAAGGGAGAGAGCCAGAGAGGCACGGGGTGGGGTCAGCCCCAGGTGCGTCTGAAGAGGGCCTGCAGGACAAGATGGACGCAGATCAAAAAAGCCTCGATGTGGGAGGTGGAGGGGCACCCTGCCTGGGGGCCTCTGTTTTCTGTGTGAGATAGGAGGGCATGGGGGCTTGACAAAGATGAGGTCTGAGCGACTCTGGGGAGAAGAGGGGGCAGCCTCTGGGCCTGGAGAAGGGAGGCTGGTGCCTGGATCATTCTGTTCTTCCCACATCACCTCACACCTCTGCCCCTTACCCTGCCCCAGGCATCCACTCTGAACACCTTCTTCACCTTCCCCCATCTACCTGCAGGGAGACCTTCTTGCACCTACCTTTCCCTGCATACCCATTTACCTGGCCTCCTGGGACAGGCCTGGACCAGCTCTTCCGTAGGACAGGGTGCCCAAGGGTGGCGGGTAGGCCCTCATCTTCCACTTCCACATAGATGTTGCTGGGGGCTTCCCCAGGGCTGCCCCGGCCCATGGCATAGAAAGCTATGGGTTCATCAGGCTCATTGTAGATAGGATTGGAGGGCTTGGGGCGTGGGGCCGGGCGGTGTCGTGGAACAGGGATTGTGTAGACTTCTGGGGGCAGCTGAGGTTTGGCGGGGATGGGAGGCTTGGGCCTGAGCAGCTGGGAGGGCTGGGAGAGAAGGTGAGGCCAGGGAGGAGTGGGGTGAGGGAGGCAGGGTTAAAGCCCCAGCCTAACTCCCAGCCTGAGCCTCTGCCCCCGCTAGGCCCCTCCTCCTCCCCGCTGCCTGCACCCCCTCGCAGGCCTGTCCTCCCACTCCCTCAGCCCCTGCAGCCCAATACCTCCTTCTCCCCGGCCCCCTCTTTCTGCATCGGGACTGGGGCTTGCCCCTGTTTGATGATTGGGCTGTACTGGGGGTTTGGGTCCTGGCTTTTGCTTCCAAAGTTTGATTCTTCGGTCCTCAGGGAAAGTCCTGCAGGCTCAGGAGTCTGCTGGGAAAGAAGGAGGTCTGAGGCACTCGGTGGAGCGTTGGGGTGGGGGAGGTGATCAGGAGGACAAAATAATCCAGTCTAAGTGGAGGATGGGGGAAGGGGGAGGAGCACAGAAATTTGGCCTGGGCTGGGTTCCCTGGATGAGGAAGAGGGGGTGGTGACGGCAGGGAGACCCAGGGTTGGATGGAGGCAGTGGTAAGCTCTGGTCACAGGCCATATCTAGCATTAAAGTTTTTCTTTTTTAAGATAGAGTCTCACTCTGTTGCCCAGGCTGAAGTGTGGTGGTGCAGTCTCAGCTCACTGCAGCCTTGACCTCCTGGGCTCAAGCTATCCTCTTGCCTCAGCCTCCCAAGTAGCTGGGACTACAGGCATGTGCCACCACACCGGCTAATTGTGTTTTCATTTCTTGTAGAGATGAGGTCTCACTATGTTGCCCAGGCTTGGTCTTGAACTCTTGGGTTCAAGTGATCCTCCCACCTCAGCCTTCTTGCGTCTTAGGATTACAGGCGTAAGCCACCACACTTGGCTGCATTAAACTTAATTTCTTCTGGAACACAGGGCCAGGCCAGATTCCATTTGTGCCTGTGGTTCTGAAAATGCAACATGGCTTTACACGTCTTTAACTGAAAAATTATTGACATGGGGACCAATCTCCATGACAGCTGTGCTTGTGTTTATTTCTGTACTGCCGGTTACTTTATGGAAATATAAGCTATTTTTTTTTTTTTGAGACCAAGTCTCATTCTGTCATCCAGGCTGGAGTGCAGTGGCGCAATCTCGGCTCACTGCAACCTCCGCCTCCTGGGTTCAAGACATTCTCCTGCCTCAGCCTCCCAAGTAGCTAAGATTACAGGCGCCCACCACCACACCCAGCTAATGTTTGTATTTTTTAGTAGAGATGGAGTTTTGCCACGTTGGCCAGGCTGGTCTCGAAATCCTGATCTCAGGTGATCCGCCACTTTGGCCTCCCAAAGTGCTGGGATTACAGGTGTGAGCCACTGCGCCCGGCCATAAGCTAACATTTTTAAGGGCAGAGACCACCTCAGGAGAGAGGAGCCCCATGTGGGATGGTTCCGTCTCACAGAGGGTCTGCTTTTAGCTCCGTGTTAGCCCTTGGTCCATGAATGCTGTCCCCATGCCTGCTGCCACTGTAGGCTAAGGTCACAGGGCTTTTCTTGTGCTCCTGCAATCCACCAAGTGCATGTCTCCATCGGGAGGTGTACTGCAGATATACTGTGGAAATCAAAGAATTCTTTTTCCTGCCCTAACCCCCTCCTCTCTCAGCATCTCCTTCCGGAATAAAAAGTAGCACCTCCACCCTGCTGCCGAAACAGCACCTTAGGAGTCATCCTTGATGCCTCCACCTCCTCCCTCTTGACATGAAATCAAACACAAGTCCTGCTCCTTCCACTGTCTAAATATCGTTCACATCTGAGTACTTTTCTCCATGCACATGGCCAGCACCCTAGTTCAGGCCTCCTGACTCCTCCCCCTGCATCGTCTTGCCCTTCCAATCCACTCTCCAGTCTTCGAGCAGAGCAATCTTACAGAAACTCCCCTAGCAATCCTTGGGTGGCAGCCCATTGCCCCAGAATAAGTCAGACTCCTGAGAGCTTGAGTGACAAGACTCTGTGTGATCTCAGACTTCTACAGCTCTGCCTTCAGGCTTCTCAGGTCAGGCTGGCTCCTCCTCACCCCCAGACTTCCCTACGCCCTGTGAATCTCAGGTCTCTGCCTGTTCCTCACAGAAAAGGCAGTGACCACAGGCACTGTCCCCACTTGTTTTAACTGACCCAAATCAAGTTCTGTGAAACTCTTCTTGTCTAGGTCACCAATGACCTCCTCTCTGTCAAACCTAGTATCAATTCCACCCTCTGCCCTCACCCGCCTTCACTCACTTTCTTCGCTTGGCTTCCAGAGCATCACACTCTTCTGGCTTTTCTCCTCTTTCTGAGCGCTCTGCTCTGTTTTCTTTGTCAGTTCCCCCTCATTTCTGCAAACTCTAAATGCTGGAGACCTGGGCTTCATTTCCTTCCCACCTACACTGACTTCCGAGTGAGATTTCTCCCCTCCTAAAGGTTTTAGAGTCCATCTAAGTGCTGGTGACTCTCAATATTTGTCTGCAGCCCATCCCTTTGTCCCAGTCCCCAGACTCTGAATTCCAGCTGCCTACTTGACATCTCCATGCTGAACTGCACGTGTAGAAAACAGAACTCCTGATCACCTGCCTCCTGCCTGGATGTGTTCCTCCTAGAACTTTTCTCAACTCAGTCAATGACAAGTCCATCTTTTCACACTCCTCATCCAATCCCACAAAAACCCAGCAGCTCCACCTTCTGAGGAGACTTCCACCCTCCTCATGCCTCCTGGAGGCACCCACCTCTGCTACCCTGACCCAGGCTGCCATCATTTCATGTGAAATATTGCTCCTCCCGAAACTTGCCAGGCCATGTCACCCCTCAGCTTGTAAGTCTCCAGTGCCACCTCGTCTCGCTCAGAATAAAACTTCAAATGCATACAAGAGTCTACAGGGCCCCCCTCCCTCACCCCTCTGATCTCATCTCCTACCTCTCTATCCCTCAGTCACCGGATCCACCCATGCTAACTTCCTCTCTGCTCCCATCATTCCTCAGACACACCAAGTCTCCTCCTGCCTCAGGGCCTTTGCACCTGCTGTGCCTGCTGCCGAGAATGCTTTTCCTCCAGTTGTCTGCATGGCTCTTCTCCTATTTCATACAGGCCTCTATTCAGATGTCCGCTTACCCGAGTGGCCTTCCCTGACACCCTGTGTAGAACAGCCCCAATCCTGTCACTCTTCAACAATATTTCACATGAAATGATGGCAGCCTGGGCCAGTGTAGCAGAGGCAGGTGCCTCCAGGAGGCATGAGGAGGGTGGAGGCTGGGTCTGCTTGGAAGGTGGAGCTGCTGGTGGAGCTCTTTGGTTTTCTTGTCAGTGTGTACTCATCATTACTAGACAGACTCTGTCTTCTTTGCTTGTTATCCATATTACTCACTCGTCTGTCTCCTCCTTCTAGAATGGAAGCTCTTGAAGGCAGAGATATTCAGGTCATTTACATTCACTCCTGTTTTTCCAGTGCGCAGAAAGTTGCGTGGCACACAGTGGTCCCTCAGCACTGCCTGAACTTGTGCACCGCTGCCTGCTAGGCTAAATGGTACCCTGTATTTCTTCTTGAATCACAGTCTCCACCCTGGATTTCTATTACTTGTCTGTTTTTGCTGCTGGAAAGTAGGCTTTGTGAGTTTGAGATCCATCTGTCTGTCTTGTTCATGGGTCTGTTCTCAGGGCCTGCCAGCAGTTGGTAGGCCCTAAGTACTCCGTAAGTATCTCTTACATTAAAAAACAAATGACTAGGCTGGGCGCAGTGGCTCACGCCTGTAATCCCAGCTACTCAGGGGTCCCATTCAGGAGACCCCCGCATCCTCCCCTGGCCTCATCCTGGAAGGGCAGCCTGCAGGGGCTGCTACTGCAGCAACAGGGATGGGAAAGTAAGTAGTTGGACTTCCAGATTTCAGAAGTCAAAGCTGAAAATACCAGGTGGAAAATACCAGCATTCGAGGCCTTAGGGATAGGAGGATAATGGGGCCTAGAGGGGGGAAGCTGACTCAGGAGGCTGAGGCAGGAGAATCACTTGAACCCGGGAGGTGGAGTTTGCAGGGAGAGAAGATCGCGCCACTGCACTCCAGCCTGCGCGACAGAGCGAGACTCTGTCTAAAACAAAGCAAAAGAAAACAAAAAACAAAACCCCAAATGACTCTGTGTGCCCCTGGCCTCTCCTTGCCCCTCTGACTCCGTGTGGCTGGGCTGGTCTCTTAAGGACGGTCCCCCAGCACTCATATTTCTCGAAGGGCCTGCCACCCTCCCATGAAGATGAAGATGCCTGGGTAAGGGAGGCATGCCCGAGTGGTGTTTCGGGATGAGAAAGTGCCTGGTGCCGCGTCCTGCGCCTGGGCTCTGAGCGGGAGGGGCGCTGGCCCGAGACCCTGGGCTCTCTGGTCAGGGTCTGGGGCGCGTACCTGTCGGGCGAGGGGCTCGGTGAGCGTCTCCCCGTAGGGGCTGAGCGGGTGCGCGGTGTAGTGCAGCAGCAGGTCCTGCAGCCGCGCGTGGGCGCTGTCCTCGCCCAGCACCACGTGGCGCCCGTCCCTGAGCTGGGCCAGCAGGAAGTGGCGGCAGCAAGTCCGGCTCCTGGAGGGCGCCGTTAGGGATCAGACTATCTCCCGCTCCTCGGCCAGGGTCACCAGCGAGAGGCGTGATCCCCACCTTCAGCAGCCCGGGGAATGAGCTAAGAGCCCGGCTCCTCACGGGATCAGACCCAAGCCCCGCCCCTCCCGAGCCCCGCCTTGTGTCGCCCGGCGCGGGGCCTCGCCCCTCACCTGTAAGTCAGCACGAAGGTCACCGCGCTCTCGCTGAACCGCACCAAGTAGCACCCCTGAGGCTTGGGCTCCAGCAGCCTCTCTGCCTCCCTGTGGGTGACGGAGAGAGGGGGCCGAACCCTGCTCTGACACTTCCAGCCTCGCCTCTGTCTCCCCGGCTCTCACGAGGAACCCCTACCCCCAAGCAAGCATGCTGGAGCGGCTAGAGAAAGGCTAGGGCGGAGATGGGGAGAGAGAGCACGTGGGCGCTGCTCTCCCGCTGCAGGGATTAGGCGTGGACAGGGGCCAGGGGTCCCATTCAGGAGACCCCCGCATCCTCCCCTGGCCTCATCCTGAAAGGGCAGCCTGCAGGGGCTGCTACTGCAGCTACAGGGATGGGAAAGTAGTTGGACTTCCAGATTTCAGAAGTCAAAGCTGAACTGAGGAGGTGAACAAAGAGTTAGGGAGAAATGAGGCTGAGAAATGGAGGAGGGAGATTCTGCAAGGGTGGAAGAAGAGAGGGCTGGGAGATAAAGATGGAGTAAGCCTGGAGGGAGAGAGAGGTGGAAAATACCAGCATTCGAGGCCTTAGGGACAGGAGGATAATGGGGCCTAGAGAGGGGAAGCTGAGGTACACAGAGGGCTGGACTGGAGCCTCTCCAATGATCTCCCCTGGAGAGATGCCTCAGTGAAAGGCTAGGAAAACTCTGGGAGTGGGAGCCTGGAGTGGGCGCCTCCATCTACTCCAGACTGGTAGAAGTGGGAGCCTTCATCTATTCCTGGCAGGTGGCAGGACCCAGACCCAGGACTTGCCCTGCCCCTGTCTGGGCCAATTTCCTCCTCCATGACTCACCTCCGGGTGATGAAGCCATGGAACCAGGCAGGGGCTGCCCCGTGCTGCAGGAGCCAGTGGGCCTGGGTCTTCTGGAACCAAGCCCGGGTCTCGGCCTGCAGGAACAGGCTTCCTTCTCCAGGCACCTCCTCTGCCCTCTCAGCATTCCCTGTGTTGGAGGCAGCCTCCGGGGCCTGGGGAGATGCCTGGATCAGGGAAGAGTTCAAGGAGGGGGAAGCAGCATGATGAGTGGGCCTTCTCCTGACTTTGATCCACCTGCCACCTTCTTTTCCTCATACCCAGCCTCTCCTGTCTATTTTAGGGTACAATTGCCCAGAAAGTCCTTCCTAAAGTCTAACTTAAATCCCTTCTTCAGCTCCAGCTGTTCTGGCTTCCAGAGACTCTCCTTCCTTTGCCCTCTGGGTCCTGAGGGCTTTTAATCCAGCAGCAGTGAGCTGTCACACTGTGCTCTAGGAGGGGCGGGAAAGGCAGCACAGCCTTCCAGATGGACAGAGTCATTCCCTGGCCTGGAGGATGAAGAAACATGATGCAGGAAGTCACCCTAGAGGCCAGAATGAGGGAGGGCTTACTTCATAATATGAGGGACTGACCTAGTTCGCAGGGAAAATTATTGACTGGGCAGGAGAGAAGGACTGAGACGGGAATGTGGAATGCACTGGGCAAATGGTCACTGACACAGAGTGCAGATGCCTGCTTCTGGGACTCAATGCACTGCACCCTGGTCATCTGCGGACTCAGCCTGAGCTTCCAGAGGGCCTAGGAGCAGTAAGGGAGTGAGTGGGCAACTCGGCGCATGAAGGAGGTACTCCTCATTTTCGTTCTCTCTCTCTGTGCCCCAGCCCGTTGGCAGACCCGGATCATTCCTGCCTTCTCTTGGAGTGGCCTTTGTCCATCTGCAAGTCCTTCCCCATGGGAGGGTGGGAGAGATGAGGGAGCTGCACCACGCTGCCGCCCCAGGTTTCCACTCACCGCAGTGTAGCCCAGGTTCTGGCAGCTCCTGCGGGTCATGTCTGTGATCTGGAAGGTGCTGAAGGTTGGGATGGGGGCTTCGTGACTCCCTGTGAGCACAAAGAGGGCTGCCGGGGTTTCTCAGAGAGGAACTATGTCTGTCTCTGCCTCCCACCCCTCCTCCCAGGCTCAGGGGATCTGGAGGGCTGGGACAGTCTTAACGACAGGAAAAACGCAGAAGGGCAGCAGGGGAGTTTCTCAGGCATGAGGTTAAGTAGCCAAGGCGGCATGGGGGGCTAATGCTGCCAGAGGAGGTTGTGAGGGACACCAGGTGCCTAGAAGGAGAGGCTGGGAGTCAGGCTGGCCTTCGGATGGTCAGGGAGGCAGATCACTTCAGGGCAGGCCCTTCTTCTGGTCCAGGATCTTCTGCCTCCTTCTCCCTTCATCCTCCTGCTCCCTCCTCTCTCCTCTCTGAGAAGCCCTCAACAAACCCTGTCACCTTTATCCTCAGGGATGAGTGGGCATGGAGCCCCAGGCAGGGTTGTGGTCACCCTGCCAATCAGCTTTGCCAGCTCTGGCTTAGGGTGGGGCCCCTCATCCCTGAAGTGGGAGCTCAAGCCCAGGAGGGAGGGCAGGGGGATGGGGGTCTTTGTGCCCCCTCCCACCCATATCCTTCAACTTCACACTTACCTTGGGGACATATCTGGGCCAGGGGGAACTCCATGAGGGCAGCCTCACAAGGGATCCCAGAGCAGGGTGTGTGTATGTGTTCCGGAAAGGTGTGCACACTCAGCAACTCATCATCTCTCCTCTCACCCTGGCCCCGGGGGCAGGAAATGTCGCCTTACCCACAGCCTTAGTTCTGGCGAGGACTCACGTCATGGAAAGCCTTAAGACGATTGTCCCACCCCCGGAAGCCACGCAGCTGTAGATAGCGGTGGTATAGCGGTGGGGGGTATCTGTGTCACTCTGTGTTTAGGTGTTAGGAAGCCCTTACTGCTGCCTGACCTTCATCCCTCCAGATTCTTTCTCTGCCCCCTCACCCCAAACTAGAACTTCCCTTTCTCTCTCTCTCTCTCTCTCTCTCTCTCATCTCTCTTGGCTTCTATTTCTTTCTCTCTGGAAAATCTCCCACTCTGCCTCTTGGCCTGTTCTGAGCAGTGGGAATGGGGATGTCAACCTCAAGGATAAGCCACACAAGGTGCTTATGGATCATGCTTTGAGGAGACATGAGGAAGGGAGGGGGCAGGGCTGCAACAGGAAGGATGTGGGTCAGACTTCTGGAAGGACTTTTTGAGGACATGTGAAATCTATGAGTCTGGGCATGGTGGCTCATGCTTGTAATCCCAGTACTTTGGGAGGCTCAGGCGAGAGAATCGCTTGAGCCCAGGAGTTCATGATCAGCCCTGGGTAACATAGTGAGAGCCCATCACTATTTTTAAAATAATAATAATAATAGTAATAATAATAAAGAAATCTATAAGACAAGGGGTTAGAGAGGAGGGGGCCTGGCTTCCATCATTCAGCAGATAATGGAGCTGAGTTAGGGCAAAACCAGGCAATATTGGAGGAAGGAAAGAGAATTCCTCCAGCTAAGCAGGTCATCATTAGTATCAACACTATCAGCAGTTGTCATTAATAACATCAGTGTTGACATCTTTTTTTTTTTTTTTTTTGAGACAGAGTCTAGCTCTGTCACCCAGGCTGGACTGCAGTGGCACAATCTCAGCTCACTGCAACTTCCGCCTCCCAGGTTCAAGGGATTCTTGTGCCTCAGCCTCCCGAGTAGCTGGGATTACAGGCTTGTACCACCATGCCTGGCTAATTTTTGTATTTTTAGTAGAGACAGGGTTTCACCGTGTTGGCCAGGCTGGTCTTGAACTCCTGGCGTCAAGTGATCCACCCACCTCGGCCTCCCAAAGTGTTGGGATTACAGGCGTGAGCCACTGCACTGGCCAGTGTTAATGTCTTAAACTTTCAATGTGCTTAGACTTCCCACCATACCAAAGGACCAATCCCATTTCTCTCTGAATTTATCTTCACAAACTAAGAAGGGGACAGGAACATTATCCCCATTTACCAGAAGCTCAGAGGAGTGCCTTGGCCAGGGTCTTTCAGTGTCTGAGAAGTTGGTGTGAGTGCTGGGACTAGAAGGTAGACTTCCTTTCACTAATTTCACTGTGATTTAGGCCAAAGGTTCATGACTATGTGCTATGCACTGTTCTTGGTACTGAGAACCCAGAGAGGAAAAAAAAAACTTTGTTTCAAGATGTCAGATGGGGGAGATGGACTTGCCAAGACTTACTGTTTTTTAAAAAATTGTGTACTGTTTTTTTGCTTTTAAAAACATGCTCTAAATTTTTAATAATTTTTGGGGTACGGTTGGGTTTTGGCTACATGGATAAGTTACCTAGTGGTGATTTCTGAGATTTTAATGCACCTGGCACCCAAGCAGTGTACACTGTCCCCAATATGTAACCTTTTATTCCTCACCCAACCTTCCCCCCAAGTCCCCAAATTCCCTTATATCACTCTCATGCCTTTGTGTCCTCATAGCTTAGCTCCCACTAATAAGTGAGAACATACGATATTTGATTTTCCATTCCTGAGTTACTCCACTTAGAATAATGGCCTCCAGCTCCAACCAAGATACTGCAAAAGACATTATTTCGTTCTTTTTTTGGCTGAGTAGTATTCCATGATGCAGATATACCACATTTTCTTTATCCACTCATTGGTTGATGGGCACTTAGGTTGGTTTCATATCTTTGCAATTGCAAACTGTGCTGCTATAAACATGCGTGTGCATGTGTCTTTTTAATAGAATGACTTCTTTTCCTTTGAATAGACACCCAGTAGTGGGATTGCTGGAAATAATGGTATTTCTACTTTTGTTTTTTTAAGGAATCTCCATACTGTTTTTCATAGTGGTTTTACTAATTTACATTCCCACTAGCAATGTAAAACTGTTCCCTTTTCACCACATCCATGCCAACATCTATTTGTGTGTCTGTGTGTGTGTGTGTGTCCGTGTTTGAGATGAAGTCTCACTCTGTCACCCAGGCTGGAGTGCAATGGCGCTATCTCGGCTCACTGCAACCTCTGCCTCCCAGGTTCAAGTGATTCTCCTGCCTCAACCTCCCTTGTAGCTGGGACTACAGGTGAGCACCAACCATGCCTGGCTAATTTTTGTATTTTTAGTAGAAAATAATGGGGTTTCACCATGTTGGCCAGGCTGGTCTCGAACTCCTGACCTCAGGTGATCCCCCTGCCTCAGGCTCCCAAAGTGCTGGGATCACAGGCATAAGCCACCGCACCTCACCACATCTATTGTTTTTTGACTTTTTAATTATGGCCATTCTTGCAGAAATAAGGTGGTATCTCATTGTGATTTTAATTTGCATTTCCCTGATGATTGTGGTGTTGAGCATTTTTTCATATGTTTGTTGGCTGTTTGTATACTTTCTTTTGAGAAATGTCTATTCATGTCCTTTGCTCACTTTTTGATGGGATTATTATTTTTTTATTTTTATTTTTATTTTTATTATTTTTTTAGATGGAGTTTCGCTCTTGTTGCCCATGCTGGAGTGCAATGGCATAATCTCGGCTCACTGCACCTCCGCCTCTCAGGTTCAACAGATTCTCCTGCCTCAGCTTCCTGAGTAGCTGGGATTACAGGCATGCGCCACCATGCCTGGCTAATTTTGTATTTTTAGTAGAGATGGGGTTTCTCCATGTTGGTCAGGCTGGTCTGGAACTCCTGACCTCAGGTGATCCACCCGCTTTGACCTCCCAAATTGCTGGGATTACAGGCATGAGCCATCATGCCTGGCCTATTTGTTTTTTTCTTCCTGATTTGTTTGAGTTCCTTGAGATTCTGGGCACTGGGTGTTGTTGGATGCACAGCTTGAGAATGTTTTCTCCCACTCTGTGGATTGTCTGTTTACTCTGCTGATTACTTTTTTTTGCTATGCAGAAGCTTTTTAGTTTAATTAGTTCCCCATCTATTTATTTTTGTTCTTGTTGCATTTGCTTTTGGGGTCTTAGTCATGAATTCTTTGCCTAAGCCAATGTCCAGAAGAGTTTTTTGGATGTTATCTTCTAGAATTTTTATGGTTTCAGCCCTGAGATTTAAGTCTTTAATACATCTTGAGTTGATTTTTGTATAAGGAGAGAGATGGGGAACCAGTTTCATTCTTCTACATGTGGCTTGCCAGTTTACTCAGCACCATTTATTGAATAGGGTGTCCTTCCCCAATCTATTTATTTGTTTATTTTTTGAAACAGGGTCTCACTCTGTCACCAAGGCTGTAATGCAGTGGCACGATCTCGGCTCACTGCAGCCTCAACCTCCCGGGCTCAAGTGATCTTCTCACCTTAGTCTCCCAAGTAGTTGGGACTACAGGCATGCGCCACCACACATGGCTAATTTTTGTACTTTTTGTAGAGATGGGGTTTTGCCATGTTGCCCAGGCTGGTCTCGAACTCCTGGGCTCAAGCCATCTGCCTGCCTTGGCCTCCCAAAGTGCTGAGATTACAGGCGTGAGCCACCACATCCAGCCCCCCCAATGTATGTTTTTGTATGCTTTGTCAAAGATCAATTGGCTGTATGTATTTGGCTTTATTTCTGGGTTCTCTATTCTGTTCCATTGGTCTACATGCCTATTTTTATACCAGTACCATGCAGTTTTGATAACTATAGCCTTGTAGTTTAATTCGAAGTTGGATAATGTGATGCCTCCAGATTTGTTCTTTTTGCATAGTATTGCTTTGGCTATATGGGCTCTTTTTTGGTTCCATGTGAATTTTAGGATTGTTTTTTATAGTTCTGTGAAGAATGATGAAGGTATTTTGTTGGAAATTGCATTGAATCTGTAGATTGCTTTGGGCAGTATGGTCATTTTCACAATATTGATTCTTACCATCCATGAGGATGGACTGTGTTTCCATTTGTTTGTGTCATCTCTGATTTCTTTCAGCAGTGTTTTCTTTGTAGAGTTCCTTATAGAGTTTTCTTTGTAGAGTTCCTTGTAGTTTTCCTGGTAGAGATCTTTAACCTTCTTGGTTAAATATATTCCTAAGTTTTTTGTTTGTTTGTTTGTTTGTTTTTGCAGCTGTTGTAAAAGGGATTGAGTTATTGATTTGATTCTTAGGTTGGTCGTTGTTGGTGTACAGCAGCATTACTGACTTGTGTACACGGATTTTGTATCCTAAGACTTTACTGAATGTATCAGATCTAGGATCTTTATGGTTGAGTCTTTAGGGTTTTCTAGGTGTACCAGCATATTATTGGCAAACAGCAATAGTTTGACATCCAGTTTGATTTCCAATTTGGATGCCCTTTATTTCTTTCCCTTGTCTGATTGCTTTGGCAGCATTTTCCTAACAGATACTTACTAAAGCTTGTAGTGAGTTAGTGGTGTAGGCTGGTGCTACGGGAACCCCCCTCAGAGGCCCCCTAATTTAGCCTGTGTGTGTGTGTGTGTGTGTGTGTGTGTGTGTGTGTGTGTATGTGTAGGGGGTTGAGATGTCAGAAGACATGAGATTAAGCTGAGTTGTAGAGGATGAGTAGGATTGAAGAAGGTGGGGAAAGGTGTTTCTAGAAGAGGGACCAAGCTCAGAGTGGTGAGGAAAGGAGAAGTGCAGCAAAAAACAGACGCAAACAATGTTACTGCATTGGCTACTTCAAAATGAGCTGCAAAGTGCAGTGGCCAGTTGCTTGGTAAGCATTTCACTTGGCAAGGAGGACTTTCTTCAGACAGGGTGCAAGGTGAAATCACACGTTGGAGTAATCCACAGAAGGGAGAAAGGAGGAGCGATTTATCTGCCCAACTCCCTGGTGCTTCCCACTTCCCACTGGATAAGGTTATCCTATAGGAACCGACATAGAGGTTTCATCCTCTGGACCTTGATGTCTACTTGGGAAGCCAGATGCCATGGCCCATGTGTGATGTTTGATTTTAATCAGAAATAGAGGGGTGACTCAGAGAGACAGCCTCAACATGTGGGTGTGAAGACCATGCATTCCTAGGACTACAGCTTTGACGTCAGGCAGCTCTGGCCACAAAAAAGGGCTCTGATAGAGGCAGTGGTGGTTTGGGAGGCAGGCAGCCCTTTTGGAAATAAAGAGTCAATTAAAAGAATCTAAGGAAACATACACAATTTGTGTCCAACACGGTCCACCCCCTGTGCCCTCTCATTATGTTCAGCTCCCAGATGATAATTTGGGCTTCAGCTTGTTCTGTGCAAACGGTGACATTCCTAGTTTCTTACTTATTCCTTAAGAAGGGAGCTACAGATCCTGCCAGTCACAGGGTCCCCTTCAAGATGGTAGTCAAGAGTGTTTTTCTCTCGATTGAAGCCAGGAGTTGGAGAACAGCCTGGGTAATAAAGCAAGACCTTGTCTCTACAAAAAATAAAGAAAAAAAGAGCCAGATATGGTGGTGTGCTACTTGTAGTCCCAGCTACTTGAGAGGCTGAGGTGGAAAAATCGCTTGAGCCCAGTGGTTGGAGGCTGCAGTGAGCTGTGATCCCACCACTGCACTCCAGTCTGGATGACAGAGCAAGAGCCCATCACTAAGGAAAAAAAAAGTATTTTTCTCAAAGACCGAGGCTAAAAGATTAGAAAAAAAAAAAAAAAAAAAAGCTATAGCCTTCTTACTTGTAGCTAGTCCAGAGGCTCTAATTGATATTCGTCATTTCCCTCCTCCATTCCAGATTCTCCACCTTCAGTTAGCCCTTCATCTAGTTTGAGTTGTTTTCCTGGTAGGGTGATCCAGACCTTCGTTGCTAAAAGGTGTAGATCCCTAGTTGCCCTGTCCTTGTTGGTTGTGGTAGCAGCCCATTAACAGTCATCACTAGACACATGAAACTATTCAGAGATGTCCCAGAGAGTCCCTGGGTACAAGACATTCTCCTCCCTGACTCATGGTGTGGCAGCTACTTTAGCTCCTCATGGTAACCATAATTGATGATCCCAGCCAGTATAGGAACTTCCTTCCTTTGCCTGTTGGTCCACTGCATGAGGATCTCAAAGTGAATAGGTGGAAGTTGCTGCTACCAGTTGAATGGAATTCTTACTGTGTCATCTGGTACAATTCTTCTACGTCTGTTAACTAGGACCTCTAGCCTGGAGGATCCCAAGATGATGGTCAAGGGAAGCATGCATTCACAAATAAGTTGCTGGATGTAATAGTGAGAGGAGCCATTTCTGATTCCAGTCCTTGATATCCAGATCTGTGTATTCTGATCAGAGTGGACACAGTACAATATTGTGCGCACACCACCACATCCAGTTCAGTTTCAAGCTCCATCCTGGAGGAGAAGGCTCCAACTCCACAAAGGGGTTTTCCCCAGATGGTGCCTTCCTGAGCCTTCAACAGGCCACGCCATCATTCCACCAAGATGACTAATTATGGGTGATGGGGCAGGACCAGTCCACCCTGTGATCGCGAGCCTGTTGTTGTGCCTCTTTGCTGTGAAATGGGTTCCTTGGTCTGAGGCACTGTGATGTGGGATACCATGCTGAGAGATCAGGCATTCTGTAAGCACATGGAGGGTGCTGCTGGAGTTTGTAATCATTCTGGTGAGGACACATCACTGCTCCCTCAAAAGAGGAAGGGGTCTGATGTCATCAACCTGTTACCATATGGCTGGATGTTTTCTCTCCCTGCTAAGGAATAGTACCAGGTATAGGGCTCAGTATCAATGTGTTGCAAGCAAGTTTGGCGCTTGGCTGTAGCTCTGCACCTCAGTGAGAAGGTGTCCATGATCTTGAGCCCATGAAAAGCCACCAAGTCCACTATGTTGATCAGGCCATTGTGCCAGCACTGGGCATACAGGTGGCGGAAAGGAAAGGCTGGCTAACATCTACGGGATGAATTATCCTGCCCAGTGGGTTGTTCACTGCCTCCCCAGTGATAGATGCTCTTTGGTGGGCATAATTTGCGTCCCAAAGATCTGCACCCTGTGTGCACACTTCCATAGGCCCATCTGCCAGTGCTGGGCCTGGATGAGGCAAGTAGGTTCCTAGGGAGGCACTCATCCTTAGGATTGTGCAAATGCTCCCTAGTCCTGGCCCTGCCATACCCAATGTCTTTCTTGGACTTTCTTTTCTCCAGTCTTTTCATTTTATTCCTTTCGGAGCCCTGCCCAGCTGGCCAGGCCAGGTGCCACTTCCCTGTAGTCAGTGTATATTCTTACCCTGGACTATCGCTCCCCATGTGCAAAGTGGGGAGTGCAAAGTGACCAGCTATATGCTTGCAGCTCTGATCCCTGGCAGGGTTCTCCTTTACTGTTGTCCTTCAGACACCTCCCGAGTGGAGCCACAGTGCTGTTAGCACCAGCATATCATCCTGGCACATTTATCAGTTGGTTATATGGACCCTCTACCCACCCCTGCCCAGAGGACATACATGTGGATTGAAGAAGCAGTAAAATAGAGGCAGGTGATTTGGGAGTCTGGGCCACCACCTGCTCATGCAATTTACTTATGTGTTCTGAACCAGCTTGCGCCTGGTTTGAATGTATCCCTCCCATCACCTAATGGATTACTGCCTTGGACGTCCAACCTTATGACCCATCATTCAGCTTAGGATGGCCATCTCAGGCTGAATGGTCACTTGGTGCCCATTGGTCAGGCACTTAGTCTCTGCTAGGGCTCAAGAGCATACTAAAACTATTTTTCAGAGTGTAATTCTTTGTCAGAAAGAGCATGACATGTTTGTCAGAGATGACATGGCAGGGTTGTTCTGGAACCCTAGGGTGTGTGCTGCAGTTCTCCCTAGGAGCTCACCAAAGACTCCATCCTTTATCCACCATGGTGATTCCAACACCACTGGACATGCTGGGTTACACGGCCCAGGAGGCAGAGCAGCTTGTGCCACAGCCTGAACGGCGGTAGGGACCTTCCTTTCTTTTTTTTGAGACAGAGTTTCTCTCTTGTCACCCAGGCTGGAGTACAATGGCGCCTCTCAGCTCACTGCAACCTCCGCCTCCCAGGTTCAAGCGATTCTCCTGCCTCAGCCTCCCAAGTAGCTGGGATTACAGGCATGCGCCACCACGCCCGGCTAATTTTGTATTTTTAGTAGAGACGGGGTTTTGCCATGTTGGTCAGGCTGGTCTCAAACTCCCGACCTCAGGTGATCCGCCCGCCTCAGCCTCCCAAAGTGGTGGGATTACAGGCATGAGCCACTGCACCTGGCCCAGTAGGGACCTCTCTTATCCTGGGACTCACTTGAATTGGCTGCTTGAATTCTGGGTCACCCAATAACTAGGTTGAACGAGATTCTCAAGTGCAGCATATCTTGCCTCCAAAATCCAAAGAGGCCAAATAAATGCCTTGCCTTTTTCTTAGTGCTAGGAAGTGCAGGGTGCAACATCTTGTCCTTTATAGCAAGCTCTAGGATGGGGCTTTTGGAAAGAATATGGTGATCAAGGGAATCCGAGGAGATCTGTGTCCAATATAGCAAGAATAATATGCACGGTGGATCATACAGATAGAGTTATTCACTTTTTTATTCCTACTGTCTGCTTTCAGGGAACAAAACTGATGAGTTTTAGGTTTTACCATCCTGCCCTTTGTGTCCAAACCTTAACAATGGCCCCATCATTACCTTGTATATTCAGTTATTATGTGACAAATAACTGCCAAGGCCTAGCCTTGCCTTATTTGAGGATTACCTGGTGCCATTTTACAAGTGAGAAAACTGAGATCATAGTCAAGAGACTTAGCTTCTGTCACACAATAAGAACATTAATCTGAACCTGGGGCTTCCAATTTGGAACTTGTAGGCCATGGGGGTGGAGAGAGATATGCCGTCATGTCCAGCTTGCCATGAGCAAACACTGTGCTAAGTGCTTTACCGGTCTGAACTCACCTGCCCTTATAACCGGCCCATGAAGTGGGTGCTATTATTATTCTCCCCACTTTACAGACAGGGAGTCTGAGACTTGGGGAGGTTAAATGACTTGCCCAGGGCCACACAGAAAGGAAGTGGGGATTAGAACCAGATGGTCTGGTTTCAGATTTTGGGATCTCAATCACTAGCCAGTATAGCTGCCAAAGAGTTAAGGACGCAGCCCCCCACAGATGGGTGGGCACTGCCAACTGCTTTTCCACAGAATGAGTTCATGTTAAAGACACCTGAGGAGAAAGGAAAAGGAGCAGGACTTTCCAAAGCCTCAAACTATTACTAGAGCAAAAGAGCTCTGTATGGAATTGCCCTGAGAAGACCCTTTTCAAACTTTTTTTGGTTTGTTGTTTTAAGAGCTGGGGTTTTGCTACGTTGTCCAGGCTAGACTTGAGCTCTTTTTTTTTTTTTTTTTTTTTTTCTGAGATGGAGTCTGGCTCTGTCACCCAGGCTGGAGTGCAGTGGCGTGATCTCGGCTCACTGCAAGCTCTGCCTCCCGGGTTCACGCCATTCTCCTGCCTCAGCCTCCCGAGTAGCTGGGACTACAGGTGTCCACCACTGTGCCCGGCTAATTTTTTGTATTTTTTAGTAGAGACAGGGTTTCACCTTGGTCTTGATCTCCTGACCTCGTGATCCGCCCGCCTCGGCCTCCCAAAGTGCTGGGATTACAGGCATGAGCCACTGTGCCCGGCTGATCTCTAAGTAGTTGAGGCTAGAGGCACACACCACCACATCCAGTTCAGTTTCAAGCTTTAAGAAACCAGAATCCAGGATGTTTTTCTAACCACCAGCCCAAACCCTATCCTTGCAGGAATGTATGCTTTGCAGCCTTTTAAACCCAAAACATGGACTCATTTGCAGAATCATAGTATCTTTTTGCAAGTAGTTTTTCTTTCAGCAGAATGTGCTTTGCCAACATCATGAGCAATCATAACATACTCCCACAACACTACTGAAAGGAGCAGTGGGATATCTTAGATTTCACATAATGCCTTTTCTCTGAACAGTTTTAGGCATTTGTAGAGCCAAAGCATTACTTTATAGTTACTCTTCCTGTATCTATTTAGTAAACACGGATTCTATGCCTACAGTTCACCAAACATGCAAAAGTAAATAAAAACTCAGCTCCTTGTTTTGGAGCTCACTTCTGGGGGAAAAGAAATAATCATTGCATATTAACTTTTTCTTTATTTCTTTATTTTTTTGAGACAGGATCTCTCTCTGTCACTCAGGCTGGAGTACAGTGGCACAATCACATTTCACTGTAGCCTTGAACCCCCAGGTGCAAGCAATCCTCCACTTCAGCTTCCCAAATAGCCGGGACCACAGGTGCATGCCACCACACCCAATTAATTTTTATTTTTTTATTTTTTTATTTTTTTTTGAGACAGAGTCTCACTCTGTCACCCAGGCTGGAGTGCAGTGGTGCTATCTTGGCTCACTGTAACCTCCACCTCCCAGGTTCTAAGGGATTCTTTTGCCTCAGCCTCCCAAGTAGCTGGGATTACAGGCGTGCGCCACCATGCCTGGCTAATTTTGTATTTTTAGTAGAGACGGGGTTTCACCATGTTGGCAAGCCTAGTCTCGAACTCTTGACCTCAGGTGATCCATACACCTCGGCCTCCCCAAATGCTGAGATTACACGTGTGAACCACTGCACCTGGCCTATTTTTAAATTTTTTTGTAGAGATGAGTCTCCCTATGTTTCCCAGGCTGGTCTTGAACTCCTGGGCTCAGTTGATCCTCCTGCTTCAGTCTTCCAAAATGCTGGGATTAAAGGCACGAGCCACTCTGCCTGGCTGCATATTAGTGCCTCTTACTGCTAATTGAAAAATTAGGTAACAAAAGAAGTGAAATAGAAGTGAGAGACTATGAACCTGAAATGGTCAGCTTCTGGCCCTGACTTCAACAGCTACTTTTCTTCCGTGGGTCTGCCATGTGTCTGGCTGTTTCTAAATCAGGCTTTATTATAGAATTAGTGTATGAATTTATAATGAGCCAGGCCTGGTAAAATCATCCCTTGTTCTTATGAAGGTATGAAAAAAACTTATTTCACAAAATGTTATATAGTATATTAATATATCCTTTTTTTTATTTTTAGAAATGGGGGTCTCACTATGTTGCCCAGGCTGGTCTCAAACTCCTGGGCTGAAGCAATCCTCCTGCCTCAGGCTCCCAAAGTGTTGGGATTCCAGGCATGAGCCACCACATCCAGCCTATAATATATCCAATGTTTGAAAATTATAAGGCCATTTGCAATTGTAATATTATTACTGATATTGATAAATTAGATCATTTGCTTGGTTTTTAATATATTATAGAAGGCTCAAAGATCAGCTGATTTACTTGAATAGACAATAAATCAATGGCAGAAGTGATAGGTTTCGAGTTTATTTTCTTCATTTGTTTCCACTCTGAGGTGGTAACCGTGTCTTATTTATGTTGAATTCTCAGTGCCTGGTAAAATGCTGGCATGCAGGAGATGCTGAGTAACTATGTATTGACATTTTGAGGAAAAAAAAAGCAAAGAAAGGAAGAAAAGGAAGGTTTAGAGGATAACAGCCCTTCCAGGGAGAGGCAGCTCGTGCTGACTCCTCTTCCACGCTCCCTGCTGGGCTGCCTCCCAGGCTGTCTCCATGCTTCTCCTCACGCGCAGTCGCGGGTCGGCCTCTGTGTGTGGCAGATGATTCTTCACTCACACGCCTGTGTTTGCCACAGGCACCCGCGTGGACGAGGATGATGAGGAAGAAGGAGCTGTGGTTTACCCTTCAGTATACGGGTGACTGTGAAGCAATGGAAGGAGAGTGGTGGGGGTCAGGGTCTTTTTGAGTCTCTGCTCCACCACCAGAAAGGCTGTGTGGCTTGTGGCAAATCCCGGAAGCCCTCTGAGCCTCATTTTCCCCATACGTAAAATGGGAATAACCCAGACTAAGTCATTGTACGTAGGAAATGACCAGTGACTCAGTGCATTGCTTTGTCAACTGTAAAAGGCTGCTGCTGTCAGGCCGGAATTATTATCATTGTTCTATTTATTATACCCTTAGAGGAGCAATAAAAAGTGGAAGTCCATCCAGGAAGCTCATTCAACAGAGTGGAGCCCTCCTTTGATGTAGCTGGCAGTGCCAGGCCCTGGGGACATAGCAGCAAACAAGATGTGCGCAGCCTTGCTCTCTGGGAGCCTTTATTCTGGCGGGGGAGAGAGAAATAAATTTATGAACAAATAGGAAAAGTGATTTCAGCTCACGATAGGAGTGAATAGGAGGTATGAGGATGACAGTGTAGGGTGTTAGATGTAGAGTAGGTGACGCTTTTGGAAGGCCTCTCCATGAGGTGACAGGTGAGAAGGAGCCAGCCATTCAAGGTCTAGGGAGAGTGTCTCAACAGGGGACAGTGGGTGCCACCACCTAGAGCACACAGCACAGCCACAGAACAAGGCTCCCCGTATCCCTCATCCCCCCTTTTCAGTTCTGGGGTGGGGCAGAGCAGGACTGAAGATGGGGAGGAACTAAAAAGGCAGTGGGGAGGGCTGTGGAGTGTCTGCACAGGTCCCTCCAGCCCAGAAGTCTGCCTCCCCAGCCCAGGTTCTGCAGAGAGTTCCAGAGTCCTGGCCACCCTCAGGATCCTGCCTTTTTGACAGGGAGGCCCTTGGGGATAGACTGTCTCTCGTTGGGCCCAGCTCTGGGTAGGATGACACTATAAGGAGGAGGACTGCTCGCGCTCAAGTATCCACCCCCCAGACTCAAACCAGTTGTCTTTTTCTTTTTTCTTTTTTTTTGAGACAGAGTCTTGCTCTGTCACCCAGGCTGGAGTGCAGTGGCACGATCTCGGCTCACGCAACCTCCGCCTCCTGGGTTCTAAGGGATTCTCCTACCTCAGCCTCCTGAGTAGCTGGGATTACAGGTGCCTGCCACCGCATCCGGCGAATTTTGTATTTTTAGTAGAGATGGGGGTTTCACCACGTTGGCCAGGCTGGTCTTGAACTCCTGACCTCAGGTGATCCTCCAGCCTTGGCCTCCCAAAGTGCTGGGATTACAGGCATGAGCCACTACGCTTGGCCCAGTTGTCTTTTTCTATTTGAAAAGGGCCAAACAAGGAGAGCAGTGAGTCTGATTGTTAGCATTCAATCACCTGATTGCCATTCTCTCCCAAGCCCGCTGTCTAAGCATTGCTCTCCACGCAGTGGGGCAGTCTCAGCACAGCCCGTCTGTGGCTCCGCTCTGCAAGGCCTGAACGCTGCTTTGCACAGCCCACTTCTGGAAACCGTGCTTACCACTTTGATACACATTGTGATCACTGCAATAGAAGTGTTTTCACCTTAAAAATGGAATCAGTTACTCTGTGTGTGGAAGCCTGGGCCCAGGCCAGCAGCTCTGTCAAACAGAGGGGGCTGTCTTGGACTTTGGAACAGCTGAGCCCTCCATGACAGTGCTGTCTACATGCAGCCCAGGTTACGAGACTGCCAGGAATCTCTGGTGTGCCTCGACATTTCACTGGGATAGAGGTAGCTGGGAAATAGCCTCTCTTATTATATCTTCACCCCTCCTCCACCCTTGTGCCCAGGTGAACCTGGGCAAGTTTCTTGATCTCTCCAAGCTTCAGTTGCTGTCTGGTAAACGGGGGAAGAACACCTTTCTAGAAGAGAGGTTGTGGGATTCTTTTTTTTTTTTTTTTTTTTTTTTGAGACAGAGTCTCGCTCTGTTACCCAGGCTGGAGTGAAGTGGCGTGATCTCTGCTCACTGCAACCTCCGCCTCCAGTTCAAGTGATTCTCTTGCCTCAACCTCCTGAGTAGCTGGGATTACAGGCATGAACCACCACGTCTGGCCAATTTTTGTACTTTTAGTAGAGATGGGGTTTTGCCATGTTGGCCAGGCTGGTCTCGAACTCCTGACCTCAGGTGATCCGGCCACCTCGGCCTCCCAAAGTGCTGGGATTATAGACGTGGGCCACCACGCCCAGCAAGGTTCTGGGATTCTATCAGCAAATGGATGTGCCAGCCATCAGAGGCTTGGGTATTTTCTTACCTTCTTTTCTACCAGCCCCCAGAATCCTGAAGGGAGCATTTAGCAACCTTCTTGTTCTTGCTGACTAGGGCTGAGGGTCAGACCTCAGGTCTACCCTCTGGCTTTATCTCTCCCTTCAACCCTGCATGCTGCTGGGCCCTGAAAGGGCTCCCAAATGTCATCCTCTCTCCTCAAGGGGCTTACGTCCTAGAGAGGAGGGGAGGAAACTCAAGAGAGTGCAGTCTGGGGGCATCTGGGCTGGGCCTTGAGAGCTAAGTAGAATCCCGTTAAGAAGTCATGGGTGGAGAGAGTGTCCTGAGCATAGGGAAGGGCTTGGGCAAGGATGTGGAGGCGGGATGGTCATTTGGAGCTGTGGCAGGAGCACGCTGGGTCAGATCAGCTTGCCCTTCCCACTTCTCTACTTCTCGCTCCTGCTGTGTGTACTTTGCTGCCAGAAGTTTCCTGAGGCTGAATTTGATGTTAGACTGAATTGCAATGAACCTGCTGGGGCAGTGGTGACAGGAGGGCAGGGGATGGAGCCCCGCAGCAGCTGTAGTTCTGTGTCAGGTGACCATGTGTCCAGATGGTGCTGGGTCAGAGCTGGCAGTGCTTGGAGGGGGTGGACAGGGATGGTGAAGAGAATGAGAGAGCCTGGGAATCTGGAGAGACTGGCAGAGATAGTGCTTGGCTACTTGAGAGCCAAGTTCCAGGACTGCTTGGAAGTCATCAGGGAGGGAAACTGCTTGGTATCCTGGTGGTCTCAAGGATGCCAAGAGATACCCTAGAGAACCCAAGGAGGCTCCAGATGTTCTGAGGGACCCATGAAGCTGAAGGTATCACAGGAACTAGAGGATGTGAGGGTTAGGGCAGAAAGATGTTAGAGGGAATTGAGGATCTCATAGACTCTGAGTGCTGGAACTAGAGGGCTAGAAGGGATGGGAGATTGAAGGGTTTCCCTCTTCCCTCCTCCATCGTGGCTGAGTATAGACTTGGTGGCTGAGGAGGAGTCATGGCAGTCAGGCCTCCAGACTTCCTAGTGTAGCCCCAGGGACTGAGGTCCTCACATGTCCCAGCATCATCCCTGACCACCTGAGGGAAGAGGCAGCTGGTCCAGCTGATGCTTTGGCTCAGGGATCATGTGTCCTGAGGTACATGGTGGATTTTCCATTTGACGGGCGACTTCACCTGAGGATTGGAGAAGTAAATTACCAATAACTTTGCTGGAGCAAATGAAACTTAACTAGTTTTAGTTAAGTATGTTGAACCAAGATTCAGTTCAGGTCTGGCTCTCAAGGTAGTATTTTCTTTCCCTTCTGTACTCTCTGCCCCTAGTTGGTTTGTTGTCATTAATTCATCAAGCATCTATTTGAAGCCTAGAATGTGCTGGAGTTTGTTATGGTTTCAAGGGATACAAAGACAAATGAGACATGAGGGCAAGAAAGATACATAGGCAAACAATCCAGGTCATTCAGAGTTTAACTCTGAAGCAAGGATTTGGGAGAAGGGGTATAAGAAGGAGTGGTCTATTCTGCCTAGGATGAGATTGCAAGGGGAAGAGAAATCAGTAAGGGCTTCAGAGAGGAGGCAGCAGTTGAAAGAGCTGATTTAAAGGGGAGTAGGTGATTCTCAAGATATATGGGAAGGGAGAGGTGGAGGAGAGTGGAGGATGCTGAGTCGCAGGAGCAAAGTGAATGAGGGCATGCAGGCTTAGAGCTGCAAAGCCCTCTGGAGGATGGTATGGGTGTGAAGGGGCAGGAGGCTCGAGAGATGAAGCCTAGAGATAGGCCTGCCTGCGAGCTTTGTGCTTACCTCATTGGCACTGGGGAGCCATTGAAGGATTTTCAGCAGGGAAGCATCGAGATCCGAGTTTCATCATCCTCATTCCTTCATTTATGGTGCTCTTGTAGCATTTGGTTCTTACACAGCTGCATGAGGGTTTGCCATGGTGTACTGCAATTGTTTGTCTACATGTCTTCTCTCCCAGCAGACAGCATGCCCCTCAGGGCAGGGGCTTGTTATTGCCCATCTTTGTGACTTCTTCACCCACTGCAGGACCTACTATGAGTGGGTATTCAGCACATCGCTTCTTGCTAAACACATTTTGGTGCTGGGGCCATACAGACACCATCCTGCTCATAAGGACTTATGCCCACCCATCTCCAAAGCCCTCTTGGCCCAGAGTGGTACACCAAGTAGGCAGCATGATATAGTGGAAAATAGGTGTACAGATCTGACTTTGAATCCCAGCTCCGCCATTTATTAGTTGTGGGACTTTGAGCAAGTTATTTGACTTCTGTAAGGCTCACTTTCCTCATCTGTAAAATGTCAGCAATAGTGTGAGCTTACCAGATTGTTTTTTGTGTTAAAGTGTATGTCAAGGCTGGGCGTGGTGGCTCATGCCTGTAATCCCAGCACTTTGGGAGGCCGAGGCGGGCAGATCACCTGAGGTCAGGAGTTCGAGACCAGTCTGTCCAACATGGTGAAACCCCATCTCTACTAAAAATACCAAAATTAGCTGGGCATGGTGGCATACCCCTATAATCCCAGCTACTCGGGAGGCTGAGGCAGGAGAATTGCTTGACCCTGGGAGGTGGAGGTTGCAGTGAGCTGAAATCGCACCACTGCACTCCAGCCTGGGCGATAAGAGCGAGACTCCGTCTCAAAAAATAAACAAAAAAAAGGTGTATGTCAAGTGTAGACATGTGGTAGGTGCTCAATATATTTTAGGTATAAGAAAAATAATAACTACCATGATGCTGGTCATTTGCTTGTTTCTTGGCTCTAAACCCTCCCTTCTATACTCTGCTCTGTGAGGCTGGGGCTGAAACTCTGCCAACCACACTTCCCAGACTCCTTTGCCCGTTCTGTTAGGTTCTGCCAGTAGCAGGTGCTGCAGGGAGACAGGGGAGGACTCACTTCTTTCTGTTTGTTTCCTTTCAGTGTTGCTGGGGTACCAGCTGGGCAGCACCACCTCCTCCTCTGAGGGACTCCACCTCTATAGGGTCCCTTTCTTGCATTTTTAGATTCTCACAACCTCAACTCGCCTCTTTGTTCCCCCAGCCTAGGGGAGTTAGCTTCTTCCTGCAGATATCTCTGTGTTACTTAGTGTTCTCTTTTTGCTTCTCAACCCTTTCACACCAGTAAAGTCAATCCCTTATATTCAATTATCTCTCTGTGGAAATACCTAGAGTGGTTTCTGTTTTCCTAAGGGGACGCCTAACACTCACACCATAGCTGTGTATGGTAGTAGGTATTAAATGCCCTGTGGGTGGTATAGAGATCAGAAAGGGCATCACGGGGAAGCCACAGAGACCAAGGATGCAGAGGAGGGAATGGGGACAGATGTGAAGGCCAGTCTCAGAAGATGCAAGTCCCAGGCTTGGTGGTGGGTGACACAGTACAAGCTGGCAGATAGGGAAGAGTCTAGACTGATTGAAACATGGGCTTTGTATTAGGCTGGGGCATATCATGATGCTGGAAAGGCAGGTTGCAGCTAGAAGTAGAAGGCTTAAATGCCACAGCCTGGGGACAGGGAAGATGCAATTTAGAACTATAGACAGAGACCGAAGGCCAAGAGAGGAAAATGCAGCTGTATTCTCAGTCTTCGAGGCAGAGTGGGGTGGTGGATGTGGGCTGGACCTCCAGTAACTGGCTGTGTGATCTTAGGCGAGTCATTTTGCTTCTCAGATCATTGATGCTGCCCTCTCTAAAGTAGATTTTAAAACATCTAATTTGGAAATAGAAAACTCTTTGCCACTATAAAGAGTTACTTATGTTAAATGTTATTCTGACAGCATTCCAGCCTGGGTGATAGAGACCCTGTTTCAAGAAGAAAAAAAAAGAAACAGAACAAAAACTATTCTGGGTAGGTGGGGAGGAGTGGCTCTGGGGGAGGAGATTCAGGAATGGGCCGGGGAGACGGGGGGTTGTATTTTCAGGCTGGGAAAGAAAGGAGAGTGGGAGCCCAGTGAGGAAGAATTTGGGGAAGGCCTCAAGGGGTGTGATGGTCCACACTTCGACTGGGAGGAAAGGGTGAGCAGAGAATGAGGGAAGGAATGGAAAAAGGAGACACGTCTAGGTGATGGGCATGGAATGTGTGAGAAATGGGAGGGTGTGGGAACCCAGACTTGGGAGTTTGAGCCACTATAGGCAGAGGCCGACCACACAGGGTTGGGAGGGGAAGGTGCCCTCACTTTTTATAGCCCCAAAATCCTGTAAACAGAGAGCTATTGGCCTCCCTTGGGGTAAGCCTAGGGTTGCTAGGAATCTCTGAGAAGTGTCTGCTTTTCTCTACTTCCCACCTGTTTTATGTCTCCTGGGATGGAAGACACGGTAGGGCTACAAAAACATGCTGCCAATCCTGAATTCAATAAAATGGACTTTGTCCCAGCCTAAAACATGGAGGAAAAAAATGTCCTTGGAGAGTATGTATGTGACAGAGCCCGCGATACACACCCAGGTAGCGAGGGGACAGAGCAGGGCGCCTATAAGGCTCTGTGCACTCATCCTGAGCCCAGACCTCTGGGCAGGAAGCCTCGTTCTTTTAAAAGCAAACTGCTTGTTTTTCCCTGCATGAATAATGTATGTTCTTTAAAAATCACAAAGAGAAAATACAGATAAGCAAAAAGAAGATATAAATCATCCACAACTCATCACCCAGATGCATATTTATGCTTCCAGATATTTTTTCTGAATTTGTACATGGAAATGTAAAAAATGGCATCATTTATATTATCTGTAACCTGCTCTTTTCACTCCATAGTTCATCCTGGCCATCTTTCCATGTCACTAAATGTACTTCTGCAGTATCTTTGTAAATGATATCACAACCAGATAACAACGACAATAATTTGTATAGTGCTTTATAGCTTACAAAGCACTGGGCATCCATTATCTTATTTCAGCTCTTGGCCTTCCAGCATTAAGGTCTCTCCCCTAGGAAATTCTGCTTCCAAAAGAGGTACCCCTGCCTCCTTCACACCTGTGCCTCCCATGCCCCAGAAGTTGCCGCCATCTAGGGAGGGTTGCTAGCCAGGCCCCTTCTCCCTCTCCGTTTCTTGTCTGAACCTGCTGACAACTTCTGTCCTTTTTGTCTCATTTTCTTGAGACTCCCTTTTCATAGTCTCAGAATTTCCTCCTGGCTGCCACCCTTGTCTTCTCTGCTTCATCTGTCCTCCCCTTTCTCCTCCTGCGTGTCTGTCAGCCCCCCTCCTCCTGTCCAGTTCTGCTTAAGACACAGGATGACACACCTGGGAGGCTGGGAGCCAGAGTGGGCCCTCAGGATGGGACCCGTCTCATCTCCAGAAATGACTGAGCAGAAAGTCCCCCTGTTGTTCACAAGTGGGGAGAGTTGGGGGCCACACCCACAGACATCAAAGGGACAGGGCTGGGTAAAAAGTCCCGGGGTGTCCTCAGAGCTTCCACAGCTGTGCATAGGGACGTTTCTGAGTTGCTGTCTCCCTACCGCTGCCTCTCTCTTCCACACCCTGCTCTATTTCTTTCTCTCCTCATGACCTACCTGGCATCCCCATTCTTTCTTGTCCTCCCTCTGACATCTAGAGGCCTTGGTGATTGACAGCTACCTCCCTCTGTGTGGAAGGACAGGGTAGGGAGAGAGGCAAGAAGGAATGCCCTCTGTCCTTGAACCAGCCTCACTTTTTGGTCCTGGAACTTCAGTCCTATCTTCACCCTGTGAGTGCCTCCCTTATGCCCCTCCCTCCTCCCTCCTCTTTCATGGTGGGAGTGCTGAAGGTGAGGAGAGGCTGGACTCTGCCTGCAACTCTGGGCCTGCTAAGTCGGGGAGGCCAAACCATTCAGATGTGCTGCCTTCACAGGGCTGAATGAGGAGCATATTTCACAGGACTGAATGAGGAGCATATTTCACAGGACTGAATGAGGAGCATATTTCACAGGGCTGAATGAGGAGCATATTTCACAGGGCTGAATGAGGAGCATATCTAAGCTGGAGCTGGACAAGCTATGCAATTAGCCAAGATCCTGGGCAGGAGTCTAGATCTCCTGGCTTTGGAAAAGGGCAGATATTTCAGAGTTAGGGAAATCCAGATATCCACGCCCAGTGGTCACCCCACCCCTCGCCACACCCACTCTGAACACTTAACCCATGGCCCATCAGGCCACTTTTCAACAGCAAGGACATCAGAACTCTGAGCCATGTGGCCCCTTTAAAGAGCCTTGCCTCAGCCAGGCATCAGCTGCAGCTGAGGAATTGATCTCCAGCTCCTATCTCACCAAGTGCCCTTCCCATCTGACCGTGCATCTGGAGCTCGCCAAGCACCTTGTGCTCCAACTGTGTACCAGGGACTCACCAGGTACCTTCTGCACTATATGCCCAGGGCTCCCCAAGCACCCTTCACTTCAGCTTTGCATCCAGGGTCCAGGGGCTCACCAAGTATCATCTGCTCTAAACCCATCCCCAGCTCCGCCCACCTGGATTCCTTATTTGGCACACATTCAAGAGGATGCTACATTCCCCACTCTCTCCAGCAGTGGATGGTGCCACCCTAGTGATCACTTACTAGTGGGCCCTTGGCCGAGTAACCCAGAGGGGCTCAATTTCATGGTGGATGACCAGGAGATGAGCCAGGTGGTTCAAGCTCTCTGCCTCCTGTGCAAAGAAAGGGGGTGGACAGGGAGTGTCAGTACTTTGTCAATCGACCTCACAGGGCTTGGAGGAGACCAAAACTTCAGTCCTAACCCTGGGAGCAGGTGGTGTTGGCCTGAGGAGTTATGCATGGGAGCCTCTGGCTGGAAGCAGGAAGACCTTCACTGTGGGTTGGTGGTCACATACTAACATCCCCCTTGTTCTTAGCCCTCAACAGAAAGTGCGAGAAGATGCCAAACAGCTCATGGACCAGGGGAGGAGCTTCCACAGTGCGTCCACACTGGGCCAAGGGCAAGGTCCAAAGTGTCTACTCCAGGACTGCCCCTTGGTTGGACATCTAAGACCTGGTACTCTTCCATCCAAGCTCCCTGGGACTTGGAGCTTGGTATTATGGGGCGGGATAAAACACGTTGGTATGAGCAGGTGTCGGAAGCTGAGCTCTCATGTCCTTGTACCCCATTCTTCTTCCTACTTGGTGACAGCCAGGAACCACTCTCTGCTCCGTAGCCAGAGCCTAGAGGAAGAATAACTGTGAGCCTAGAGGAAGAGGAACCTCATCCTGCTGCCACCGAGGCCTGGCTTAGTGGCACAGCTCACTTGACTTCGGACCATTTCCACCTCCTCCCCCAGGCCTCTGGGCCTCTCTCCCCAGAGAACTCCAACCTGTTCTCCCAGCCCCCACAAAGATGCATCAGTTGTTCCTGAGCTTAGAGGGGGTAGGGTATGAGATCCATAGTCCCCAGCACCCATTCTCGGGTGGAAGACCTGCCACAAGGCCACAGGGACAGTTTTGAGGGATGGATGGTAAACATTCCCTTCTTTTATGCTCACCTGTCTTCTCCCAGCCAGCTACAGGCTTTTTTTTTTTTCTGGAGTTCTGTCTGAATCTGGGGAAGAGGAGGGGGACCAAGACGGGTGTTTCTGTATTTCAGTCGCTGCATTTACTGTTCTGCCTCTGTGGTAGGTGTTCATCCTTCCTTCTCCAGGTCAACCTGTTGTCTGTCTGCAACTGTCTCTCAGGAGACATATTTTCCCTCTCCAAAGCTTCCCTGTAGCATTGGGAAGTCCCTCCTGAAGTCCAACCTCCATCTATCTTGCTACCTAGTTAAATCCACTTCTTTTCTAGGACTTGGACAGCAATAGAGCTTATTTCCTAGCATCCCTACATTCTTCCCCCAGAAGTACTTCTGGGCCAGACACCACCTGCCCATCTTTGCAGGTGCAGCCGCGATGGCATATTTCTGAAGCCCTCTTTTCTTCGACTTCCAATCCCTTCCTTAAGCTCTTCCACATCCAGACAATCGGCACTGTGAGGGTTAGGGGGCATAGGTAGTGGGGAGAGGGGTTGACCCCACTGCTGCCCTGCAGGCGTGTGCAAATGCAGGCATGCCTGTGTGCTCTGTGTGAGTGTGCAGGTCTCAGAGCCAGGGCTTGCGTGGAGTCTCTCTACCCTTTCACCCTCCTGGAGGCCTCTCAGAGACCCAGCAACAGAAGGCAGGGAAGCCCAAACTCCCCAACTTTTTCCCTTAGCTGCGGTTCTGCTGGTAACCATTAGGGGTCACTGTTGCTTCAGTCACCAATGCAGGGCAGGGGAGGGGTGGGGCTCCACACAGGTGGTCCTTGCTGCCCACCCTGGCCCTGTGGGGATAACAGGGTAGTTGTTGTCATAGAGACGGCCTCACGCAGACTCGTGCCCACTCCACTCTGGTGTGAGGGAGCTGTGGTTTGCAGGACAACTGCTGGCGGGCGTGAGCAAGGGTGCACAGAAAGTCTCATCTCGCCAGACCCAGAGTGTGTGGCATGTGTGTGGCATGGCAGCTATGCCCCAAGCCCCTGGGGGCAGGAAGCTAAAGAGTTCTGAGCCTTGGGCAGCCCCTCCCGCTGCCACCCCCTTCGTCAAGGTTTGAAGTCATTCTTTTGCAACCCTTCCCTTTCAAATGCCCTCATGGCACTGGCAGAAAAGCCTGGGAGCTGGCTCTCCTGTGCAACATCCACATGCCTCAATGGTGTCTCTACACGTGCGATGAACACTGAGATTCTGGCCTCCCAGGATAACCACAGGGTGCCAGACACACAGACCCTGCTCTGCTGTGTGTTCCCTGGCTTGGGTGGGGGCATCTGGCATGAACAGGTGATGTCATCAGGGCCTCTCCCTTGCCCCATGTCTGCCCACTTAAAGTCTGTCCTATGACACTCCAGAAAATACCTACCCAGTGGACCGATATAACGAACATAACAAGGGGTGAAATTAAGATGAGGTGTCCGGGACTGGTTGGTTCTGCTTGGAGGCTAGACACAAAGGTTCCCTGCCGGGCTCAACCACTTCTGGTCCTGAGCAGGAGATAATAGCAAGATTGTCCTGCCTCACTGCCATGGCAACCCTGGCTGCTCGGGTCCTCATGGAGGTGGTGTTTGACAGCAGTGTATTTATCCCGTGTCTCTGCCTTAGGGTCACCACCTCGAGTCCCAGAGGAGGGAGAAAGGAAGTTCATCCAGTGTTAACACCATGTAGATGGAGAGATAATGGGCTGCCTGGGACCAGGGTACAAACAGGCCTCAGCATTTATTGTGCCTTCTCCAGTCTTCCCATGAGAGGCAGGGGTGGGGGCGGGGCTGGGTGAGGGTGAGGGGAGGGAGGAAGATGAGGCTCTGAAAGCCTTAAGCATCCAGGGCTAATCATTGAGGGGAGGGACTGAAGAAAGGGTGACTGTACTCCAAGGGATGCCCCTGGAGAAAAGGAGGAAGGAGCACCAAGCTTGGGGAGCCCTGGGCAGGGCAAAAGGAGAGGAGGAGGTGAGGGCGGGCAGGCTGGGAACCACTCCCCAGGCCCCTGGGTTCTCCCCATGCCACCTGGTCAGTGGAGCTGAGGGGAGGAGGTGAAACCAGTGGCAAGCAAGGCAGTCATGTGGAGCCCCACCCCCCTCCCATACATGCATGGAGAGCGCCCCAGGCCTGCTTCTGATTGCTCATCTGATTTCAAACATGTCGCTGGCCCTACCTGTCCAGAGGAGACCCCAAACTGAGGGGCAGGGCCTCTAGGGTGGGCGGGCCCCCTCTTCCTAGTCTGAGTGGGGTCCCTACCTCTGAGGGCAGGACATCTCTCCCTGACCTGATCTCTACTCCTCTGGCTTTGACCCTGCTTGCTCTCCCCCGAGGGACTCAGAGTCTGAGAAACTCCTATGGTGAGACCCCTCTGCCCACCCCCACAGCCTTCCCTGCTCCTGTTCTCTGCCCCACCCTCGGCCATCCCTTGCCCTGAGTTGGGGTGGGGGTGAACATTCAGGCGTCTCAGCCACAGAGGTCGGGTCCCTTCCTGTCTCCCCATGGGAGGCCAGCCAGGGAATGAGGTGCCCCTCAGTGCCCTGGACCCCCATTTTGAGGGCTGCAGTCTCTTGGAGTGGGTGAGGAGTCAGGCTCTGCATCGGTGGTAGGCAGGGAGCCCCGGGCCCCCCGGCATTCCGGGCTGTAGTAGAAGGAGAGGAGGCGGAAGGAGGGCCGCAGCTCCTCCTGTATGCTGTCCAGAATGTGTGTGAAAGATGGGCGCAGGCGTGGGTTCGGCTGCCAGCAGCGGCTCATCAGCTCCTGCCTGGTGGGTGTGGGGAGCAGGGTCAGAGGCATCCGGGAGCCCCTGCCACGCTCTCAGCCTCCTGCACTGAGGGTCAGTTGGTGGGAGTGGGGATCGTGGGCCATTATGCCTGGGAGGGTGAGAAGGGATTAAATGGGAGTCTTGGGGGTTTGGGATAGGGGGGTGGCGCTCATAGCTGAGGGTCAGTGGATGTCAAAGCATCAGAGGAGGTGAGCCAGAATCATGGGGCCGGGTGGGGGAGGGTTGTAGGTAGATCAACAATGAGGAAGGGGCAGGGGAGGTGACTCACAGCTGAAGGGGACAGCCCTCCAGCTCCTCCAGGACCCCGCCATCCATGACGAACTTCAGCACCTGCTCATTGGACAGGCCCTGGTAGGGTTGTTCTGCCAGGGTCACAATCTCCCAGAGTACCACGCCAAAGGACCTGGGGGCATGCAGGAGCTCCTGAGCCCAGCACCCTTCGTGCTACTCAGTGCATTCCAAGGGATGGGGGTGTTCCAGGCCCCTCCCCAGATCCCGCCTCCACATCCCTGGAGCCCTGTGCTCCAGCTCGGCCCCACCAGACATCCGAGTGGGTGGTGAAGATCCCATCTTTGAGGGACTCGGGGGCCATCCAGCGCACGGGCAGCAGCCCCTTCCCACCCTTGCGGTAATAGTCTGTCTCATACACGTCCCGAGTCATCCCGAAGTCTGGAAAGTGAGGGTGAGGGTGGAGGAGGTGTGGGGCATAAGAGCCACGCACTAGCTCCTGCCCCTGGGATACCTCTCCCAATCTTCTCATCCTCCAGAGTCACCAAGAACCCTGGAAAGTAGGGGCTCAATGGACCTCAGAACTCATCCCATCCAAACCCCTCTGCCCTTGGACAAGAGACTAAGATACAGGGTGGGGGTGACTTGCCAAGGGTCTCACAGGCTGTCAGGACCAGGGCTGTGGGTCTCCTGATGCCTAGCTTAAGGGAGTCTCTCTACTTTTCAGGCCGCCCTCATCTGCCTGGCACCCTCTGTACCCCCGATCTTGACGGTGAAGTCCTGGGACACCATGCAGTTGCGGGCTGCTAGATCTCGGTGCACAAACTTGTTGGCAGCAAGGTAGGCCATGCCGTCTGCAATCTCACCAGCCATTTGGATCATTTCCCCCAATGCTGGCTGTGGGAGCCCAGGGTTGTTCTAGAGCCAAGATTGGGGGCTGGTGAGGAAGGAACCCAGAGGCTGGTCTCCTGTCCAGAACTGGCCCCCACCTCCCACACTGTGCCCAACCCTTCTTTCACTCCCCAGGGTCTTCCTGGTCCCTACCTCTGCCTCAGGCCGCAAAGATCGAAGATGGCTCTTGAGGTCCCCACGGGTCATTAACTCCATGATGACCAGAGTTGGCTGGCCCTGAGATACCACACCCAGGAGACGCACCTGGGACAGACAAAGGGCCTAGCAGACCCCCTAGTTCCCCTTGACCCATTTGGCCAAAATTCTGATCTGCTATGACCACAGTCTGACTCAGACACCAAACCTGACCCTAACCCCAACCATGACTATAACCTGACTCCTGACCTAACAATGACCCTGACCCTAACCCATGACCTTCATCATATCTGATGATCATCACAGTCACGAACTTGGTCCAACTTTGGCCTTGAGCCCAATCAGGACTCTAATAATGATCTGGACACCCAATATTGAGCCCCAATCATGACTGATCTCAGCCCTAGCCATGACTCTACAGTGGCCCTACTATGACCCTGTTTGACTCTAACCCTAACCATGACCTTTACCCCAATTAGGATCCTAACCATGGTCCCAATCTTGACCTTAATGGTGCCCTAACCTCATCTCTGACCCTTTCTTTCTTACCACATGACCTTTACACTAATTATGACCCTGACAATGCCCTTGGCTCTCCCTTACCACATGGTGACACTTGAAGGCTTTCATGACAGAAGCTTCCTTGAGGAACTCAATGCATTCCCGTGGGCTGGCCAGCTCATTCACCGTCTTCAGGGCCACGGGTGTGGACTCCTCTCCAGCCTCAAGTCCTCGTGCCAGCCCCTCATATACCATCCCAAAAGAGCCCTGGCCCAGTTCCCGGATTATCGAGATCTGCTCCCGAGGCACCTCCCATTCATCAGGGACATACACTGCAAGGAGGTGGAGGGTCACAAAGCGAGGATGCTGCTCTCTGCCACACCTCACCCCCCAACTTCTCTTCTCCTCTTCTGAAGGGCTCTTGTCCCAAGGCTATCTTCTGCAAGAAGGTCTTCTGGAAGTCTGTCTCTGCTCCTCTCCTGTCTCCCTTTCCCACACCACCTGTCCACCCACTCCCAGACCTACTATCAGAGGCGCTGAAGTACTCTGGATTCACAGAAGCATACAGGGTTCTGTTTCTGCAACGGGAGGTGAGGGGGTCAGGCTGGAAGGGTTCTCAGGAAGGAATGAGCAACATCAGAAGAAGGAAGAAGGACATTTCAAGGAGGAGGGAAGTTACTGACCACACCCCCAGCCTTGGTCAGGGTGACTCCTGGGGATCCCTAAGTACCCTCCAAGTTGGCCTTGGCCCTATTCCTGGGATCTAACAGGGAATAGGGAGGACACAGGAGTAAAGGGGCTTCCGCCCTGTCAGCTAGTCCCTATAGCCAAGCTGATCGAGGTCCAGCCCCATTTTCCTCTTGCAGTCAGCCCTGGAAGGATCTGACATCAGGCATTCTGGAACACATCCCCAGGCCTCCTGCTTCTTCTCCTAATAAGGGACAGCTCTATTATTTTTCAGCTTGGGTGCACAAACTCTCACACCTGACAGGTGGTGTGAGAGTGTGGTGACCAACAATCCCAGTGTGGCTGGACTGAGAGGTTTCCTAGGATGTGCAACTTTTACTGATAAAACCAGGAAAGTCCCAGGCTAACCGGGATGAGTTGGTCACCCTAACTGAGAGGTATGTTTCCTCTGTGCCACCGCAGGGGAAGAGTTACTGCCTGTATGGAAGACCTGTCTTTCTACTGTCTCATCTACCTCCCTTTGACAGACTTTATGATGAGGGCTCAGGGAGAAAAGGGGGTGGGGACCGGTGGGACTTATCATCACCTCTTCTTGCCGTAGAAGAAACCAAGGGCAGCAAGAACGATGAGCAGCGTGAGCCCCACAGGGGTGGCAGTGAGGAGGACATGCAGCCCCCCAGCATCCTCCTCCTCTGGCAGTCAGAGGGCAGCAGAGGGTAGAGTCAAAGATGTAGAAGTCAGAGGGAAGGTCATGCTTCTCTTTCCATGCTGGGAGGTGAGGATGGGGAGGGATGCGGGGGAGGGGCCTGTGGTGGGCTGGGGACCAGGTAGGGCTGTTCGGTGATACAGGTCTGTGACAGAGGCTGTGTATACCTGGGCCAAGGATGTAGAAGGCAACACTGTCTGTCCAAGAGCCATTGCCAGCCAGTGAGGTTGCCCTAACCCTGGCAGAGTAGTTTCCAGGGGGCAGCAGGGCCAGGTGGACTCCCCCAAACTTCGCATATCGAAGACGGGACACACACAGCACTGTGGCCTCCTGAGAGTAACGCAGAACAGCTGGCTGGGAAGGCGATGTAGGCACAAAACGGGGCTGGGACGGGGGTCCCACGGGCACCTACCTCTCCCAAGCGGCGGTACTTGATTTCGTACTTGAGGATGAGTCCGTTGGGGTCTGGTGGCTCGAGCCAGCGCAGAAGGACACTGTTCTTGCTGGAGGCCTCCCAGGCCACCTTTCCTGGAATACCATCAGCCTCTCCTGCGGGAAGGGGCATCCAGCAGCCGGGCCAAAAGTGGTTCATCTCACCTTATGTTCAAACCCAAGCTAAACTGGGCTGAGCTGGGAGGTGGGGAAAGCTTTGGGATTATGGGAACTGAGAGGGGCAAGCAAAGCGAGGCTCTGGGGTTAGCGAGAAGTCAAACCCCAAACCTTTGCACAGGGTCCTTGGGGTCGGTGATGGGGGTAGAAGGTGTGTGTGTGGATCACCTACTGTGGGGCATGGTGCGCGCAAAGACGAAGGTGGCGGCGCTGCAGCCCACGGTGTGCGCCGCGTGGTTGCAGGCATGGATGTCGATCCGGTATTCCGTGAAGTGGCGCAGGCCGCTCAGCACCGCTCGCTCACGGGGCACCTTGTCCTCCTGGATCTCGAAATCCGAGCTGTTGCCCCCCAGCCGGAGGGGCCCAGCTGCCCGGCGGTGCCGCCCTGAGTCCCTGGGGAGAGCGAGTCAGAGCCAAGGCCCAGCCCCCAAAGCCACGCCCCTCAGCACCTGCCCTAGTCCTGCTCACCTTTGGGGGCTCTTGTTGATGGACGTCACCTTCCAAGGGGATCTGGGGAGGCCAGGAGTAGCCCTATCAGGCCTGTCCGGATGCACCCCTGTGCCCTCTGCAGCGCGTACCGCCTCCAAAAGCACCCACAACCCGGGACCCGCCCACACAAGCAAGGCCCCACCCACAAACCCCACCCCTCCCGCAAGACCCGCCCCTCACAGGCCCCACTCATCAGACCCTCCCAGGCCGCGCGCGCTCTTCGCACATGGGGATGGTGATCGCGTTGTGTAGAAAGTTTTCAAACTTCTTCTGGAACGAGGCCTCTTGCGCCTCCAGCGGGGGCAGAACCTGACCAGGAGGTGGGTGCTGGCAAGGGCAGCAGTCGGACTCCATCTCGGCCTCAGGATCCCCGTCTTCGCCGTCGAAGCGCGGATCGTTGTTGCTGGTGGGCAGCCGCAAGCCTGGCGCCGCAGCGGGAAGACACTAGTAAGACAGGCGGTCTACCCGCCTCTGATCCCCCCCACCTGCCGGGGCCCTGCGCCTCCATCTCCCCTTCCCCACCCGCCCCGCGGCCGGCCTGCGCGTCGTCCCTGCGCACCGCGGTGGCAGTAGTCATTGAGGTAGAGGTCGCCGTCCTCTGCCAGCCGCTGCCACAGCACCAGGTAGTAGGTGAGGTTCCCATTGCGCTGGGTCGGTGGCTTCCAGCGCACCAGGAGGTGGGAGGAGGAGTTGGACGTGGAGATGACGTCTTGGGGCACCGTGGGAGCTAGGAGTGCGAGAAGGATGCAACTCAGGGGTGTGGGTCTTCCTCCTGAATACTATCTAGTAATGAGCCCTCCTTTCTGGGGTCCAACAGCCTTGTTCTCCCAAAGAATAGGTGATCCTCACCCCTGGCTTCCTAGAACTCAGTGTTTTGTTTCTGTCCTCCCCTTCTCTGCCATAGGCCCTTCAGTTCCCTCAGCTATTGACCCCGGACTGTCCCAATCCCAGCCCCGCAAGGACCTAGGCAAATGCTCCCCCTTCTTTCTAGGACTCAAGCATCTGGCCTTCCAGCCTCTGTGGGCCAGGTGTTCAGTGCCCCGGCTTCTCTATTTCTGGTGCCTGTGCTCCCCTGTTCTCATGGATGCAGGCGTCTGACTGACTCTTGCACCCTCCAAATGCCTACCTGCAGGCAGCGTTCGGAGGTAGACGATGGGACTCTGGGCTCCTTGATGAGGGCTGTCCTCCTCAGTGGTTAGCGTGATGGCCCGCACAAACACTGCGTACTGTGTCCAAGGCTTGAGGGAGGCTAGGGTCACCCCTGGCTCCTGGGTGCGGCTTAGGGGCAGCTCCACATCCAGCAGGTTCCAGCTCTGGGTTCCACAAGCATCTGGACCCACGTGCTCTGTGGCGTTCTGGAATGGGCTGAACACCCATCCCCAGAGCTGAGGGGTCATTCAACCCCACCCTCAAGTTCTGGCACCCCCGCTCTGAATCACCCCAGGACTGTCATTGTCCTTCCAGTATGCATGAGGGCAAAGCCATGACTCCAGCCACCTGTTAGACCTTGGCAAGGGGGGGCGGAGGAGGGGAGGGACTGTGATATCTGTGTCAGTGAAATTTGTAATGATATAGCTCCTCATCCTTAGCAGGGAATATCAAGTTCTAGTTTCAATGAATATTGAAAAAATCTTGCATTGAATAAATAAAACAAGAAAGTGTGTGTGAAAGAGTCCCCTCTCCTAGAAACAGCAAGCAATAAGGTTATCCTAATTCCCCTAAGTCTAATTGCCTGGAACGAGGAACAGGAGACTGCTCCCTTCCCAGTGTCTTCACTTAGGCCCTTGAATTGACTTTGGAGGTTTATGAGCCTCCCAAACTATAGCAAAGTTTTGTGCATGTGTGTTTTTCTAGAGAGAGTGTTCCTAGCTTCAACAGCTTCTCAAACATGTCCATGACCCTAAAAGGCCAAGACCCACTGCCACAGGGAAATTAAGGGGCCAGAGGCAACTAGTGCTGGCTGCCTGAAGGCCAGTTTCGGGGCAGGGCTTGGGGAAGCATCACTGGCTTTAGGGGTAGAAGAGGGCTCCCTGGGGGAGATGACAGTGGGCCCCCCATGGGAGATAGCAGAACAGACCATGGGAGACAATGGAACATCACATTGATGTTCATGATAATTTGTTTCTTTGGACTGGGAAGGGGATGATGGAATTCATGCTGAGCCAGGGACAAAACTTGAGGGAGGTCAAATTGGGTGGCAGTGGGGGAACTTGTGGCCCAGCGGGAAGTGCCTGCCTTTGTTGGGACCTATAAGCAGGATAGTCCAGGAGCAGGTTGGGGGGGTGGGGGCTCATAGTGGGTGTCATGGGAGCAGGTGTCCTGTGAGGCATGACACACTGAGCAGGTCTGGGTCTGTTTGGAGTCAGGATTGGGCAGGATCTGCAGTGTGTGTCTCTGAGGGAGCATAGCTGCAGCCACGCTGCAGGGCAGTGATGTTAGGGAAGCTTGTTGAAGGGTTCCCAAGGTTCTCTGCTCTTTGAGCCCAGAGACAGCTGTGTATAGTTGTGCAGATTGTGAAGTGCACAAGCCGGGGAGCTGGGGGAGATTCACACTGTAGTCATGCCAGGGCTCCTTAGAGTGCAGTCCACAAACCAGCAGCTTCAGCATCTCCTAGGAGCTTATTAGACATGTGAATTCTTGGGCCCTGCTCAGGATTAACTGAATCAGAATCAGTGGGGGGCGAGGCCCAGGAATCTGTATTTAACAAACTCTCCAGCTGCCCACGCTGGAGACCTTCACCTACCACTGAGACCTAGGAGGGTCTCGGCCATTTGAGTGGGTCTCCTACAACTGACTTCCTTCCTTTCTCCTCCCAAGCCAGACCCTGAGCCAGTGGTCAGCTAAGTCCTCTCCATTTTAATTCACAGGAAATGCTTCTAAGCCAGGTGGCCTCCATCTTCTATAATATCTACCAGAGAGAGAGAGCATGAACTCCTTACTCCTGCCTTCCCAGCCTGCATCTGAAATCCACTTCCCTCCTCTAAGGATATCTCCTTTTGATTCCTAACCGTGTTTTTGGAGAAGTCTTTCCTGTGGTCTAACCACTATCCTCATTGTTAGGGTCAGTTGACTCTCTCCAAAGAAAAGAGCAGCTGTGGTCCCTGGCGGCCCCTGCTCCCTCCCTTCCTAAGGCTTAAATGAAATGCTGGCAGAGCTGCTCATAAAACTGGCCAAATTAGTGGGCGCTCCCCAAACCGCTGCTGGGGCAGGAGCGTGTGGTCAGTGTAGAACATTAGCATAATGAAGTGAAGTTTAATGATCCAAGCCTTCCCAGCAGGATGGCTCTCCTGGGCTCTCAGAAGCCCTGTCTTCTCCATTTCACTTGGTGAGGGGAAACCGAGGCATGAAGGCATGAAGAAGGTGAGGGAAGAGAGCCAGACCTGGGCCCTACCACGGAGTACAACTTGCGGGTCCTGGCTTCCTGGGTCTTCATAGCCTCGCTGAGCTCCGCCCTCACCTGCCTGTGGTCCCGAAGAAATTGGCCTCGTCCGGTCCCGCCCCCGCTCCGGCCCCGCCCCCGGCACTCACGACTCCTTGTAGTACACGATGAAGCTGAGCAGGTCGCGGGCCTCCAGTGGCTCATAGCGCTCCCAGCGTAGCAGGATGCGGTCTGCCTCCGTCACGTTGGACACGAAGCGCAGGGTGCGAGTCTGGCCTGGGTGGGGCGAGGGGCCTGCTCGCAACCGCGCCTGCCAGCTGCTTGAGCGCCCACCCTGACCCCGCGGCATCCCATTCCCAGTGAGACCTCTGAGGAGAACTTCTCAGAGTGTCCCCCTCGAGCTTTCTCCCTCCCCCGGGTGTGCGTGTCTAGTGTGTGGCCGCGTGTCCACCGGCACTGGGGTTGGGGTCTCACAGGCGGCGCGGTCTCCGTTGGTGCGGGGGTTGATCTCAGCCTTGTTCTGCCGACCTCGCGTGCCTGTCACCTCCTCCAGTCGGTAGATGTGTTCCAAGCAGAGGCGCGGGTTGAAGGCGAAGTAGATCTTGCCCACGGGAATGGTGAGCCCCGCGGCCACCCAGGACCCTAGCTGTTGTAGGTTCTGGTTGTCCAGCACGTAGAGAGTGTAGTTCCTGGGGGAGGCCAGGGGACCTTGCTCTGCGGGGAGGTGGGGGCAGGGGGTGGGAAAGGGGATGGCTTATGGGTTCCTCCTGGAAGGGTTTTGCTGGGCCCGGGGAGAGGGGCACTCAGTGGCTGGCTCACACCAGCACACCGGGGGCATTCGTGCATACCCACTCTGTGCCACTGACCAGGAGTATGATGTCTGCCAAGTCACCCCATCTTTTGGTTTTCCTCATCAGTGAAATGGGGTCCTCAGCTTCCCTGCCCCCATCCTTCCCTCGACTCTCTTTGAACTGAGCACCTGCTATGTGCCAGACTCTGGAGGCTTTGGAGACACCAGGAGGAGTAGTACTCAGCCTGGGCCATTCCTTTCCAGCTGAGGTGTGGACACTCTCGGTGTACATGCAATGTGTCTGGAGACATGAGAAGCCACAGAGAGCCACTAGACTAGATGACTAGATGGTAACTTTTTTTTTTTTTCCTCACTCTGTCATCCAGGCCAGAGTGCAGTGGCACAATTGTGGCCCACTGCCGCCTTGACCTCCCGGGCTCAGGTGATCCTCCCACCTCAGTCTCTTGAGTAGCTGAGACTACAGGCATGCACCACCACGGTCAGCTAATTTTGTATTTTTTATAGAGACAGAGTTTCACCATGTTGCCCAGGCTGGTCTCTAACTCCTAGGTTCAAGTGATCCTCCCACCTCGGCTTGCCAAAGTGCTAGGATTACAGGCACGAGCCACCGCATCTGGCCTGGTTGGTTATTTATTTATGTATGTTTTGAGCTGGAGTCTCCCTCTGTCACCCAGGCTGCAGTGTAGTGGCACGATCTCAGCTCAGTGTAACCCCTGTCTCCCAGGTTCAAGTGATTCTCCTGCCTCAGCCTCCTGAGTAGCTGGGACTACAGGTGCCCACCACCACACCTGGCTAATTTTTGTATTTTTAGTAGAGATGGGTTTTCTCCATGTTGGCCAGGCTGGTCTTGAACTCCTGACCGCATGGTGATCCTCCTGCCTTGCCCTCCCAAAGTGCAGAGATTACAGGCAGGAGCCACCGTGCCCGACCTGGATGGTAATTTAAAACATTCTTTTTTTTTTTTTTTTTTTTTTTTTTTTTTTGAGATGGAGTCCCTCTCTGTAACTCAGGCCCTAGGCTGGAGTGCAGTGGCACGATTTCGGCTCACTGTAATCTCTACCTTCTGGGTTCAAACAATTCTCCTGCCTCAGCCTCCCAAGTAGCTGGGATTAAAGGCACGTGCCACCATGCCCATCTACTTTTTTTGTATTTTTAGTAAAGATGGGGTTTCACCACGTTGGCCAGGCTGGTCTTGAATTCCTGACCTCAAGTGATCCACCCGCCTCAGCCTCCCAAAGTGCAGGGATTACAGGTGTGAGCCACCGTGCCTGGCTCATTCTTTTTATTTTAAAAAATGCTGGCTACATTATAGGTAGGCCTTGACTGGCAGATGATAGGAATGGGTTTCAAACCCAGGCAGTCTTGCTCTGCAGCTGACAGGACCAGATGATGACAATTATAGCCAACTGTTATAGAGTTATATGTGACTGTAATTTATATTGTATATACTGTGTTCCAGGCATTGTTTTATGTGCTTTACACATAACAACTTGAGTAATATTCAAAACAGTCCTGAGAAGTAAGTAATGTTATATTAGCCCTATTTTACAGATGAGAAAACTGAAGACCAGAGAAGTTAACCTACTTAGAGTCACACGCCTAGTGAGTAGCAAAATTGGTTCCAGAGCCCATTCTCTTCACCACTGTTCTGGGAGTGTTGGAGGAAGGAGTGTAATAGAAGGAGCTGGTCAGAGGCCTAACCCTTACCCATCCACCATGGCGTCTCCCCGGATTAGTTTGAGGTTCTTGAAAAAGCCCAGGGACACGAGGGCAAAGGAGTGCTTGATTTTGAGGAAGCCAGTAATGGTTTCTACCAGCCCCAGGCTGTGCTGCAGCTGTGGCTCCAGGTTGTCTAGGGATGGGAAGACAGGGCTGGAGTAGGAGCAAGGAAGGTGATGGGTCTGTGGGGCAAGGGGGCTGAATGGGGGCCCCGGGAAGGTGGGCCCTCAGGACTGGGACCCAGGATGATGGAAAATTGTGCTGAGTTGGGTCATTGTAAGGGTTGTGTCTGGGAGGAAGGGTATGACCAGGAGGAGGGGTGTGGCCCCAAAGTAGGTACTGACAGCCCTGGCGAAGGTTGAGGATGAGGCTTCCCTCCACATGCGTGCAGCCCACAAGATCCTGTGCCGCCTGGATGGAGTCGATGGTCTTGGTGCCTACCTTGCACTCTTTAGGGCACAGCCCCTCGCACTTGTGGCAGAATATGCTAGCAGGAGCAAGCAGATGTCCTGAGCCTTGGACCAGTTTGGGCCTCCTCAGGCCTCCTCACTGCTCCCAGGGTGCCCCCCACCCTCCCTACACTCACCTGCTGCTATTACGGGTGAAGCCAGAAGGGCACTGGGCCAGGCAACTGCCCTGGTGTATGCCGAAGGTGGAGGCACGGCCGGGCACAGAGTGCAGGCTGGCACAGCGCTCAGCTGTGACACAGCGCCAGGACTCATACTGGTAGGTGCCTGGCGGGCAGGCCCACAGGCAGGCACCCTGGAAGTAGAGGTGGCGGCAAGCTACACAGGCACGAGGGTCTTCTGGCTGGCTGCAGCCCCCCAGGCATTCGGTGTGGCAGCACTCGCCCCTCGCTGTGCAAGCCATCCCATGGGGGCAGGGGCACACTGTGGGGAGAGTGGTGTGTTAGACGTTGGCCATGCCCCCTCAGTCCTGGCTGTCCTTCCAATGCTGGCCCCACCCTGTTTCTCTTGGGATGACACTCAATCTGCACCCAGGTCCCTCCCATTCAGATGACACTGGTTGCCGACTCTGTTCCCCTCCGATGGGATTCTTGAGGACAAGGACTGTGGCCGTCTGTGGCTCCCCACCTCCCACAGTGCCTAGTCGGGGGTGTCAGAGCTCAGGACAGAGCAGTGACCTTGTCCATCAGGGTTGTTGCTCTCCAGCCTGCTGTCCTGTCTATCCTATCTAGGCCTGGTGCCCAGATCATGGCTGGGCATGGTGCCAGGGTGAGCGGGCCAGCCTCTCCTGAGCAGCTAGGCCCAGGGGCCTGGGAGTGTGTGCAGGGAGGGGCCGACATCTGTCGTTTTACCCATGCTCCTGCCCATACCGCCCCCACCTCAGCTCCCTGCCCTGGGCAGGAGGTGGCTCCAAGCAGCAGTGGGAGGGTTTGGAGCTGGAGGCCCAATCGCCTAGAAACTGCACAGTGGTAGCTGGCTGGCTATGGGAGCGATCTGTGGGGTAGGGGTCAGCCAGGTCGTGTTGACACTGTACATGAGAGGATGCGCAGCAGCTGTGTTTACAGCCAACAGGGAGGCATCAGGGAGGTGGGGTGCAGCCGATACAGCAGGGATCTTGTTACTCTCCCGCCCGCCCTGCTGCTGAGGCGCTGGGGGTGAGAGGAGCTGACCTCCAGGAGCTGAGTGGAAAAGACCACCAGGTTGGGGGACCCCAGATCTGCTCCCCACCTCTGAAAGGTTTTCTTTTCCTTTCCTATAACGTTTTGCTTACTCCTGCACCAGCCATCCCTTTTCTTTCCTCCTTTCTCCTTTCTCTACTGCTTTTTTCCTCTCCTTGCATCATCCTAAAGGTCCCACCTTACATCTTTGCTCTCACCTGTTCAGTTCTTCATTGATCATCTCCTTTCTTCTCCTGCTCACCCCCAACCTCAACCTCCCATTACAGTATTGCCAGCTGACCCTGGATCACTGTGCTGTGGCCACTCTGATTAGGAACATAGAACTGCTACCATGACCCAGGCCCTGCTCTGACACTTTGTAGAGTAACTCATTCCTCATGACACCCAATGATCATTTTACAGCTGAGGAAACTGTGGCACAGAGAGGCTAAGTGAACATAGCCAGTAAGTGGTAGAGCTGAGACTTGAACCCAGGTCCTCTGGCTTTGGACTTAGCCACTGCCCCACACTGCTTCTTGCGCTGCCTACTCTCTGTTCATGCCTATTCTTTTCCCCCCATGCCCACCTTGAACCTGTCCTTCACCTATTCCATGATGCCGCCTTGGGCCTACCCCTTAGCTGTCTTATGCCACATTGGTTACGTAACTTTTCTGAGCCTTAGTTTCCTTACCTGCCTCATAGGATGAGTGAGGATTAAAAAACAGTGGCAGCTGAAAGTACTGACCCACACCATCCTGTGGCCACCCAGCCCCATGTGACCCTGCTCTCTCCCTTCCCTACATTCATGTTCTGTGCCAGTGCCCACCTCTCTGGCAGTGGCTGGAGGTCCAGCATCTGTAGTCAGTGTGCCCGCTGAAGGTGGTCTTGGCACAGGGCTCACCAGCAGCACCCAGCACACCAGGGCACACGTCAGCACACTCCTCGCCCAGCTTGTTGCCCACGATGTGGTTGGCGCCAGGTGCTGGCTGCAGCAGTCCCCAGTCAATGGTGGAGAGGTGGCAGAGCTCCTGGTTCTTCTCCACACGCACAGCCCCACGCAGCACGGCCCCAAGTGCAGGCAGTGCCACGTCACGCAGATGTGGCATCTCAAAGATGACCAGTGCATAGCCCAGGAAGAGGCGCGTCCCGCGGATGACTGCTAGGTTGGGGAAGAGGTCGCGCAGGCTCTCCAGTCCGTAGACACGGAAGAGCAGCAGGTAGTCGGTGACCTGGGTGAGGCGAGGGAAGCTGAGGCCGCGGAAGTCCTCCCCGGTGGCTGTGAACATGAGCAGGATCTGCAGGTGGCCCTCCACCACGCTGCAGTTCTCCAGCTGACGAAGCTCTGCCACCTCTGAGCGAATATCCAGGCTGGGGCACACTGTGGGCATACACGGCACGCAGCATTGAGTACAGCCCAGGCCAAATTCCCCATCCAGCCCTGGCAGCTTTGGAGGGGAGCCACACTGGCAGTAGGACAATGAGTGAGGAGCCGGGCTCTGCTCTGGGTGTGGGGTGGCCTCCTTCCTGGGCCCCGGAGGGCTCACCTGCAGCCTGCAGGGTCTCTACCAGATGAGCCACACAGGCAAAAATGAACTCCTGATCCTCTCTCCCAAGCCCATCTCCCCTTCTTGGTTAATAGCGACTTCATTCTTGCAGTCAGGCTCCCAACGACTGCAAGCGACTCCCAGCGACTTCATTCTTGCAGTCACCCTTAACACCTTTCTTTTTCACCTTGTACGTCCTGTGGGTTTATCTTTAAAATATGTCCAGGATCTGAACTGCTTGTCAACACCTTCACAGCTTCCACCATCATCTTCCCCTGGATTGACAGTCATAGCCTCCCAAACTGTCTCCCCAGTTCCACCCTTGTCCCTCTATGGGCCATTCTCCACTCTGCAGCCAGAGTGATCTCAAAACACAGATGGATCACGTTTCTCCTCTGCTTATAACCCCCCGTGACTTCCATCTCTCTTGATCTTACTACAGCCTACAGGGCCCTGCACAGTTTGAGCCCTTGTAGCCTCTCTGATTTCATCCTTTTTATCATCTTCAGCCACATTGACTTCTTTGCTTTTCCTTATATGTAACAGGAGCTTTACTACTATAACAAGCCAGCAAAGCTTCTGCCTTGGGGTCTTTGTCCTTCTGTTCCTTCTGGCCAGAATCCTCTTCCCTCTACATGGCTTGCCCACCTCCTTAAGTCTGGCCAAATGTCCCCTTCTCAATGAGGCCTTCTCTGACCATCCAATTTTATCTATCTATCTATCTATCTATCTATCTATCTATTTATTTATTTGATATGGAGTCTCACTCTGTCGCCCAGGCTAGAGTGCAGTGGCACAATCTCAGCTCACTGCAGCCTCCATCTCCTGAGTTCAAGTGATTCTCCTGCCTCAGCCTCCCGAGTAGCTGGGATTACAGGTGCCCGCCGCCATACCCAGCTAATTTTTTGCATTTTTAGTAGAGGCAAGGTTTTACCATGGTGGCCAGGCTGGTCTCCAACTCCTGACCTCAATTGATCCACCCACCTTGGCCTCCCAAAGTGCTGGGATTACAGGCGTGAACCACCACGCCCGGCCTGAACATCCTAGTTAAAATTGACTTCTATTTTCACTGGCTGGGTGCAGTGGCTCACATCTGTAATTCCAGCACTTTGGGAGGCCGAGGTGGGAAGATTGCTTGAGCCTAGGAATTCGAGACCAGCCTGGGCAACATGGCAAAACCCCACCTCTAAAAAAAATATACAAAAATTAGCCAGGCATGGTGGTGCACACCTATAGTCTCAGCTACTCAGGAGGTTGAGGTGGGAGGATCGCTTGAGCCCAGAAGGTCAAGGCTGCAGTGAGCCGTGATCACGCCACTGCACTCCAGCCTGGGCGACAGAGTGAGACCCTGTCTAAAAATAATTATAATAAAATAAATAAAATTGTGACACTTTCTACTCCCCCTTCTGCTTTATTTTTCTCTATAATTCTTAACACTGACTAATGTGCGTGTGTGTGTGTGTGTGTGTTTGTATGTGTATAATATTTTGAGACATGGTCTCACTCTGTTGCCCAGGCTAGAGTGTAGTGGGAGGATCATAGTTTGCTGCATACTTGAACTCCTGGCCTCTTCAAGTAATCCCTCTGCCTCGGCCTCCCAAAGTGATGGGATTACAGGTATCAGCTATCATGCGTGGCCATATATTTATTTTTAACACTGGCTAAAATATAATTTATATATTAACATAGATATTTATTTATAGAAATAGATATATTTTGTTTATTGTAAGCTCCATAAGGGCAGGGATATTTGTATAATTCATGTTGTACCCTAGTGGCTATACCAATAGCTCCTGGCACAAAGTTGGCACTCAATAAATATTTGATGAATGAATGAATGAGTGAATTCTGTGACTGCGAAGAAGTGATCTGAGCTTTGCAGGTCCCATGTCTCTCCCAGTCTTAAGGGAGTTAGATGCCTGTTCCCTGAATTAATTTGATTACTCTTGAAAGGACATTCCATTGCTAAAGATTCAAGTTTCAGTTCCTCAGCCTGACATTGTAGGGTGTAGATAAACCATTCCTTACTAATGCATCCAGCCTCAGAAGGGTCCTTCAGCCTCTCGGGTCAGACCTTTCTTCCCTGACCCTCTGGCCTGGAGTTAATCACTTCCCCTTTAGGCTCAGCTACACTTAGTCCAGCGCCCACATCACATTACCTGGGGGCATGGCTCCAAAATTGTTGTATACATCTCTGTCACCCCCTCCAAGGAGGGTGGGACCCTTGTTAGTCAGCTCTGCTTTCCCCCAGTTGTGCCCAGTCCAGGGCTGGAACCACTGGGCACTCAGGAACCATGGACAATGGATGTCTGGATCCCAAGTTCACTCCTTCCTTGGGGACCTGGGTGTGTCTCGCTTCTTCACTAGGGCCCAAGCCCCACTTCCCTTTCTCTCCCTGGACTCTCTTGCTCCCAAGAGGACCTTCCGTGGCTCCCCACTGCAGAAGATTCAAGTCTGAATGTTTCAGCCTGACATTCAGCTCCTGCTAACGTCTCCAGCCTCTACTTCCCTTCCCACCGAGCCCTCCGGTGTTATCACAAACACCACATGCCACATGCCACGCTATCCAGGCCCCATTCCTGATAGTTTGTTAAGAGAGGTGGGCAGGCAAGGCTGGCTCCCTGGGGGTTACTTCACATCTTCTCCCTGTTGTCATTAATGGTCCTGAGCTTGGCTCTGCCCAGCAGCTGTGTATGTGTGTGTGTGTGTGTGTGTGTGTGTGTGTGTGTGTGTGTGTGTGTGTGTATGTCTGAGCCCACGCAGATACACACACAAAAAAGAGGGAGAGAGAATGAGAAAACACTTCTATCCCTTCCAGGCAAAAGCCAATCAGGCTCTGCGAGGCAGATAGGGGTTCTCTCAGGCGCCCACTTCCCATCATGCCCCTGCCTCTCCAGGGCTCCCCTGATGGGAGTCATTTGGAAAAACAAATCTAAAACCTTCACAGTTTAACCCCTGCCTTCCCTCAGGACCTGGCTCTGTGCAGAGCTGCACTGGGAACAGAACATCTGGGTCCCCTGAGCAAATACTAGCCCCTCCAAGGATGTGCTCCTGTCCTGACAACCACACTCCCAGCTGGCATCTGCTGTGCAGAAGAGGAGGGGGTTCGGTGGTCGGGGGAGTGGTGCTATGCCTTACAGACAGAGGATCTGTGACTAGCACCCTTTAGGGGACCTCCTACCCAGCCCATTGCATCACTCTCCCATCTCCATGGGAAGAGGAGACTCCCCTGCCCCTGGGAGCCCCCAGTCTGAGGGGCATCATAGGACCTCTCGGGCAAGCACAGAGTCTGGATTCCTGAGCTGCTTCAGTTTGGAGGGGAATGGTGGGACTGGGGAAGGGGATACCTCCTAATCCTTCCCTTTTTGAAGCTTCCACCCTCAGCTCTTTTTCCTCTTTCCACCAATCCCCCAGCACCTCCATGAGGGTCATTTAGTCTATATAGTCCCCCCACCCCTCCTCTCTAAAACGTACTGATGGGCAGTATCTAGCCTGGGGGACAGGCCCTGGGGTGTTGAGGAAGAGCAGTCTTCCCCCAAAACCAGCCTTCCTCCCTGTAGGGATTGGGCCCTAAGAGGGGGGACACAGGACAGGGCCCTGGAGGCAGGAGCTCAGGACCCAGTCTAGCTTTACCCTTAGTTCTCAGAGCTGCAGTTTCCTGTCGGCAACATTGCCTCCATTACTTAATGGTGCCTGGTTCTCAGCTACCTATCCCACCCCTGCCTCTTCCCATTCAGTGGCCCTAGAGATGACTTCTAACACTCTCACGGCCTCATTTGGGTTTTCAGGCAAGCTTCACTGGGATCACAGTTTCACTAGTAGGGACGGAAGATATCTACTTGTCCACGTTTTGAAGCTCTTCTCATCTCTGAGGGAGCTGAGGGAAAAACACCTTTATGTGGGGAACTAACTGCTTTTCCTGCTGGGCAGTTCTCCTGAGCGCTAACCCCAACCCCCATGTTCCAGTGCAGAGTAAGTGGAGGTGCTGTGGCTGCAAGCTCAGTTTTTTGGCCTCCCAGCTGGCTGGGAGGGAGGTAGGGGTCTGGGAGCCAGTTCTGGGGACTCACCCTCTACTGTATCCAGGCCAAATCCCAAGGAGAGGAAGATCACAGGCAGGCATGCTCCCCAGGGCCACAGACTAGGCACTGCCATTGTCCCAGCCCTGGCTTGTGTCCAGTCCCGGCTCTCCTCCCGGTGACTCTGGGGAGAACGGTGTGATAAGCCCTAAGGGACACAGAGACCAGGGTTCAGATAGGAGAGGGAGGGCAGGGGCAGAGAGACAAGGAATCCCACACAGAGACAGCAGGAGACAGAAAAAAAGAAATGAGAGTCACAGAGACACAAAGACAGTGACAGGCAGTTGGAGACAGAGAGACTCAGCATGAGATTGAGAGATGGGGACAGAGATGCAGACAGTGACAGGGAGAGTCTCGGGCCTCCAGAGGGAGAAAATGACACAGGGTTCTGAGCAAAAGGCAGGCCGAGAGGCCAGCCAACCCTGAGGGCGGAGCAGCAGGCTGGGGACCGCTCCCAAGGAGGGCAGCGGGGGTCCCGGGGCGCGTGGGACTCCGCAGGGAGAGTCTCCCTGGATCCCTCCGGGCGCGCGGCCCCCCAGCGCCAGCTGACAGTGCTGGCTGCGGTCCTTCCCAGGGCCGGCACGCAGGGGCCGCGCCCAGCTCCCGCCCTCCCCGCCCCCCGCCTAAACAGATTGGTTCGCAGGGACCTTTCCGTTCTCTCCACCCCTCCCGCCAAGTCAAAATATTTAGCCTGACAACTGAGGGGAGGACAGGTCTGTTGGGGAAATAAGGCCAAAATACGGGGGGAGGGTGGGCCAAGAACTGAGCTTCCTCAAATCCCGCTGCGGCTGCAGCGGCTCCCGCCAACCCTTTGTCCCCACCACAGGCTTCTTCCAAGTGGGGCTGCACCGCCGGAGGGGCAGCCAGCGCGCCCGGGCTTCTGGGGAGCGCTGTGTCTAGATTCTGCTTCCCGGTGCCTTGACATCTGCGGGGTAACTTCTGGCAGCCTCGACCCGGGAGAACGTGGACAGCCCTTGGCCTCTGGGAGCCCCTCTCAGCCTCCTAGGAGGCCTCCTTGTCCTCTTTGGAGACCCCTTAGCGCCAGGCTCCGTCACCGCCTAGTCCCTTGGTTCTGACCAAGATCCCGAGGAAGAAGGCGATCACTGTGTAGGGCTCTGCCTCCGTCTGGTCACCTTCTTGAGCTCAGGCTGCTCGGTCGGTCTGTGTGTCCCTGTCTCGGGGACTTGGGGGGCCATCCGTGCTGGGGCCTTGGCGGAGAGAACCGTGAGCCTCTAGGAGGTCGTCCTTCCCCCGCTCCCTGGGGCCTTGCCTGTCTCCCCGCCAAGAGACACCCCTCTTCCCTTCGCTCTCCCCAGCTTGAGACGGATGGGTTAGTGCAGCCACGGAGGCTTGCGCGGTGGGAGGGGTTGGGACCAGCCTTCTGCTGCCCTGGGTGCTGGGGATCCCGGGGCTTTCCAGGTGCTCGGCCTCCAAGGTGCGCGGTCCTCAGCTCCACCCGCGGGCGGCTCCTGCGTCCGAGGAGCTAAGAGAAGATCTATTAATTTCTTCACGAATAAATCGATGCTCTTGTCAGGGAGGCGATCGATGTCAGCCCTGCCCTGCCTTGCCCTATCCTGCCCCGGGGCCGGCGCTGGCTGGCCGGGGTCAGGGACTGAAGCTGAGACCTGAGGCGTTGCTCACTGGGGGCTGCAGATCGCACCCCCAGGCACCCAGCGCGGGCGGGGAGCTCGCGCCTTTGCGCGCGGGCTTCTCGCGCCACCCTGTGGCTTCTCTTGGAGGCGCGGTCTTGGCTCTCCGGACTCCCTTCGGCCGGATTAGGCGACCCCTTCCCTTTCTCTGCCCCGTCTGTGTCTTCCTCCCCAGGTTCTGCGATTGATCCTTTGGTAGTCCTTTTCGTTTTCTTCCTAGAGTTCGGAGAATGTTCTACCTAACTTACTCCAAGTGACATGCTCACTCCCCTAGGCACGCGCGCCGCGAGGATGGAGCGCTGAGCCTGGGGCTGGCTAGGATGACCTGGACAGCAACCTTTCCTCAACGCAGTCATCTTCCCTCCTCCCCAAATGTAAAAATGCAGCTGCTTTAAGCTGAGAGAAATAACGTATCAGCTTCCCACCTCCGGCCTCAGCAGACACCTCCGAGGCGTTCTGCTGCGGCCCCTCAGCGTCTGCCGGAGCTGAGGCGGATCCTCGGGGAGAAGGCTGACGCTGGGGGCCCCTAACAGGGGAGGGGGCAGAGGGGGGGGCGTCAGAGAGTAGGAAGCGGGTGGAGAAGAGGGGCAAGGCGGGGCCGGGCGGGGGCCGCTGGCTCCGCCCTTTCCTGGCGGCTGGGTCTTTAACACCGCCCAGCGCACATGTCGGGGGAGGCCTGGCAGCTGCAGCTGGGAGCGCACAGACGGCTGCCCCGCCTGAGCGAGGCGGGCGCCGCCGCGATGCTGCGAGGCGGACGGCGCGGGCAGCTTGGCTGGCACAGCTGGGCTGCGGGGCCGGGCAGCCTGCTGGCTTGGCTGATACTGGCATCTGCGGGCGCCGCACCCTGCCCCGATGCCTGCTGCCCCCACGGCTCCTCGGGACTGCGATGCACCCGGGATGGGGCCCTGGATAGCCTCCACCACCTGCCCGGCGCAGAGAACCTGACTGAGCTGTGAGTGTCCGGCGGGCGGTGGGGGGGCGCGGGGACAGGCAGGCATTGCAGTGCCCCGAGGGCGCGGACTCGCTGCTTGTTTGCTGGTCAGGCAGGACGAGCACGGCGGAAGGCTGGCACCACGCAGCCTTCGGCGCTGCCCGGGCGTTCCTCCGCAGCCGCCGCTGCCCTAGCAAGCTTTATGGTCAGTGCCTGGATGTCCCCTAGTGTTCAGGGCAGCTGGGCCGCCGGCTTCAGGGAGATCGAAGGGGGAAATCTCCGTGGACCAGGTCTGAGAGAGCCTAGCCGTCTAGAAGGCGCTTTCTGGAGCTCAGCCAGAAGCCCCTGCTCTGTCCTACAGAGAAGGATGGTTACCAGCAGAGAAGTCCCCAGTTTGTCACCCTTACTGCCTTTTTCCTTTTCTAGGGGCAAGCCAGCCCCCGCCCACTTTCTTGTTATGAGGAGGCAACCCTAGCTTTTCTTCTGGAATTGGGGATTGAGCTGGCTGGCATTGGTGGGAGGCGGTGAGGAGCTGAGTGGTTGAGCTCTCCTCTTTCCATTTTTACCATTCCTTCCCCCAGAACCCGTTGATTTGGATCTGGGAAATGGGACCCCCTCCTGGATTTTCTCTCCCCACTCCCATCTCCCTCTCCAACCTTGTCTCTCTACCTGGGGCGGGGAGTCAGGGCCCTTGCTGAGAGACCCTCCTCCCTTTGGTACACGAAGCTGGGAGGAATCTTCAGCATTCTGCAGGACTCTGACATTCTGCAGGAATTGGTTACAAAATACTCAAGTACTTTTTAGCAGCTGGTGAAACCTATGGGAGTATGCGGTAATGACTGGCCTGGAGGTACTCAGGCATCATATGGTGATGGCTGGAAAATACTTGAATATTACATATGGCTATCATGGCCAGCAAGACATCTAGAAGAGGGGAGAACTGCTAGAAAATCCTCCTCCTGTGGCCTGGGGTTTCGAGGGTGGACAAGGAACCTTGGCCTTGTGCTGTGATGGGCTGGAAGGTATCCGAGGTGAGGATCATCACTGTCTGGAAGTTACTTGAGCAGCTTGCAGTAATTGGCACTGAGTTCCTTGGGTATCTCATGGTAATTAACGGGAAGGCACTCAATCTCTCTCTCTAATAGCTCTAGGGAGACCAGGAGTAGAGGAGATGGCCTTGTCTTGGTCTAGGCCTAGGTCTCTGCATGATGGGAGGGGGCATGAGAGACAGGTTGCCAGTCCTAGTCCAGTTCTCTCATCACCCTGGGCCTTCAGATTGGGGTCCAGACTCCTGAGTGCTCCCCATCAGGGCTCGTGTTTCCCAACTCTTTCCAAGCCCCAAGTGGGTCCAGCAGGGTAGGGATGGGAGTGGTAGGGGGAGTGGACAGGCCAGAACTGGGGACTAGCAAGCATGTAGGGTGGTGAGCTGAGATGTCCCCCTGGGTGGGGCTGCAGCCTGACATCCCCCTCCCCACTGCCTGCACAGCCCCCTCCCTCCTCACTCACCCGCAGAGCTAACGAGGAGATAATGGACTCGAATAGACAGATTGATTATGAATCCAAACGAATGAGGCAGCTTTGAGGCAGCTTTGAGCACGCTGGCCTGACAGCTCCCACACACCCTGCCAGCCCACTGCATTCTCACCCCCTCCCTGGGTCCCTACAGCTTGAAACCCTCTGGGCAGGGGCTGGGGGGTGGGTAGAATAGGGACTTGGCCTCCCTCGGAGTCAGTGGAGGTTACTTTATAGGCCTCTACTAAGTCCACAGGGAAACTTAGGACCTGATCCTGGCTGTCCTGGTGGGGCCAAGGCTGGGAAGGGAGGAAAGGAGGAAGGGAGGGGTCACTTAGGCTGGTCCTGGTTCCTATAAGTTAGGGAAAGTTAGAGGGTAGAGGGGGAGAGTTCTGAGAACCGTCAGTGAGTCAGGGGCCCCTGGCATGTGTATTGTTGGGGTGGGGGGGGCACACTAACATGTCACTACAGGGCAGCCGAGTTCTCAGGAACTCCCTGGTATGTCGGATCCAGCAGCTAGGCAGGCCCCAGGGCGTCAGCTGTCCCCTAGCCCCGAATGCCTACTCATTCTTCTTTCTTTCTTGTCTATCTCGCTTTCTGTAGCTCTCTGTCCTTATCTGTCTGTCTCCCTCCCCTTATCTGTCTTCCTTCTTGCCTGTCACTATCTCTCTGACCTCTTCCTGTCAGTTTCTCTTTCAGTGTCTCTGTTTCACTCTCTCTTTGTTTTTCTGCCCGTCTGCCCCCACCCTCCTCGTTGAGCCTTTCCATCTTTCTGTCTCTCTCTCTCTCTCTCTTGCTGTGTAAGTCAGCCAGTCTGTGCCTCTTCTCCCCTCCTCGACACTCTGACTGCCTCCTCTCATTGCTCCTCTCCTCTTTCCTGGGTCCCTCCTTGGGGTCCCTAACTGATAGCCTGTAAGACTCTTGCTTGATCTGCTGAAAAGATGGTAGGGGAGGTTTCGGTGGAGTAGGGGTTGCTGCTTGGGTGTGAAGAGGGGCCAGAGGCTATGGGGGTGCAGAGATGTTTGTGTGTGTGTGTGTGTGTGTATGTCTGTGTGTGTGTGTAGTACAGGTGAGACCAGGCAGTGGCCCTTGGGCGGGCACGTTTGGGAACACACATTTGCATGAGCACAGGCTTCGTCTGTGCTGGGTGGGGCAGTGGCAGGGATAAGCCTTGGCCTTTTGTGGTAGCAAGTGTTTCAGTACAACCTCCCACTGATGAGTGTGTGCCAGGGATGCCTGATATAAAAGGAGAACACCAATCTGAGAATGGACTTGTGTGTGTGCACGTGAGAGATGGACGTGAGCTTTGTTTCTGTGTGTCCATGGGTGAGCGTGTTCCTGCAGGCACATGTGCAGGTGCATGGCGTCATCTGTGCAGATGCTTATGCCTCTGTGTGTGCGCATGTGCATACCTAGGTGTGTGCATGTGTGCAAGAGGTATGTGAGAATGTGCATATGTGTGAGGGTGTGGGGATCCATATGTATGTGCGCTTGTGTGTTCATGCACACACATGTGCATGTGTGACTTGAGGTGCGTCTCTGTGCACATGTATGCATTTGTGTGTGCACGCCTGTGTAAGTGTGTATGCAGGTCTGAACAGGTGCATATGCGTGTGCATGTGGCATGTGCATGTGTATTGTGAGGGAGTAAGTGGGTGGGCATGGGAACTCAAGTGTGGGCCTGAGCCCTGTGACTCCCATCCGCTCTCCCCACAGCTACATCGAGAACCAGCAGCATCTGCAGCATCTGGAGCTCCGTGATCTGAGGGGCCTGGGGGAGCTGAGAAACCTGTGAGGGAAACGGGGACTGTGGGTGTGGAGCTCAGCATGGGCCTGGGGGAGACCAGAAGGTCAGGGAGGGCTCAAGCATCCGAGGGCCTGGGAGGACCTGAGAGGCTGAGCACTGAGGGACTGGGAGAAGTCAGGAAGCTCAGGGCTTTGAGGGGTCTAGAGTAGTTGAGGAAACAATGAGGGGCCTGAGGAGGGGTAGGGGTTCAGCACAGGGGACTGGGAGGCTGGGATGGGCAGGGAGGGCCAGGGGCCCAGAGTAGCTGAGACCTGGGGACTGATCCTCCTGCACCCCTCCCCAGCACCATCGTGAAGAGTGGTCTCCGTTTCGTGGCGCCAGATGCCTTCCATTTCACTCCTCGGCTCAGTCGCCTGTGAGTGTGGCCAGTGCTGGGCAGTGGGAGTTGGGGAGGACACCCAGACTTGGGCTGCTAATGGGCTTGGCTGTCCCCGGGGAATGATTGCGAGGAGGGCCCAAGCCTGGTCAGGGAAGTCACCTCACCATTCTCCTGGGGCTTCCTCCCATCTCCCTCAGGGATGGCATGCTCTCGCCCCTGACAGCTAGAGGTCCTCCTTGCCATCTCACTTCCATGGTCCATGCTGCAAGGACACTTCTCATAGGTGCCTGCCCTATCTTTCTTCCCAGGGCTCAGATACACACCAGTGCAAAGGGAGCAAGCGGCAGGAGCAGGACTCCTGGGTTCTGGCTGGGACTCCATTTCCCAGGGACTCATTGACTTGGCCCCTAGGACATCCTGGGAGCTGGGGTGTTAGGTCTGCCACTTGTCACCCTCCTCATTCCTGGGAGTCATAACTATCCCTCCTGTAGAGCAGTGGACCCCAACTTTTTTGGCACCAGAGACTGGTTTCATGGAAGACAATTTTACCACGGATGGTGCGGGAGGAGAGGATGATTTCAGGACGAAACTGTTCCACCTCAGATTATGAGGCATTAGTTAGATTCTCAAAAGGAGCACACAACCTAGATCCCTCACGTGCGCAGTAGTTCACAGAATCTAATGCTGCCATTGATATGACAGGAGGCGGAGCTCAGGCGGTAATGCTCACTCACCGCTGCTCACCTCCTGCTGTGTGGCCCGGTTCCTAAGAGACCACATATTTGCCCTGTTTATAGCCCCTCTTCCTTGCTGTGCTTCTCTTTTTCTTTAATTTATTTTTTAAGAGTCAGGGTCTCCCTCTGTTGCTCAGGCTGGAGAATAGTGGCACTATTACCCATCTGTGGCCTGGGAATTGGGGACCCCTGCTGTAGGACAGAGAGGGTCATGGGATGGGCAGGAGAGACTATCAGAGTCCCTGGCAGCCCCTCCCTGGCCTTCTGAGGGCAGGAGTTCAGCTCCCCTGTCCCCCAATATGAGCAGGCAGAGAGATGGGAAGGATGGTGGGGCTGACACTCATGGAGTTATGCAGGGTCCTCTAAACTCTGCTGTGTCCAGCAATTTAACAAAGCAAAATAAAGTGATGTCATATCACCGTCTATGCACCGGGGCTTCAGTTAAAAACGTGCTCAATGACACTTCACGATACTTATGTCAATGAATCTTCACAATCAACCTGGTGAGAGAGAGAGTGTTCTTGTCCCCATTTCATAGATGAGAATTCTGAGAATCAGAGAGGTTGAGTTTCTGGACTGAGGTCACACAGCTGTAAGTGGCAGGATAGAACTTACACCTGCTCTAGCTGGCTCTAGAGTGGGTTGTGTCTTTGGTCCCTATGTGGTGGTACTTCTCCCACCCAGCCACCACAAATTCTAGGTTGGCTAGGAAAGAAGAGGGGTCAGGATAGGCCCCTCAGAGGCAGAGGGTCCCAGCAGCGGCAGCCTGGCACAGGGCACAGGGCACTGGGGCTCCTACATCATTTTCCTGTGTGGCCTGGAGCCGGGCCCCTGCTGGGCTCACTTTTTCCATCCATACAACGAGGGGGCTGGGGGTGTGGGGGTGTGGGTCCTTTCCTGCCTGACCTTTTAGTCCCTGAGGAGGGCCCGGAAGGAGGAGGAGGAGGGGAGCTGAGGAAGTGCGTGGAGTTCCTTGTGGTCAGGTAGGGGCAAGGGAGTGGCAGCCTCAACCCTCCCCCTCTTCCTCTGGCCCCGTCCTGGGCTCTGTAGGGAGGGGAGCACAGATGGACCCCTTCCCCCAGCTGTGGCCTCAGCACTTTGCCAGCTGGGGCCAAAGCAGTGGGGGAGGGAGGAGCGGCTGTTCCCTCAGATCCCCCTCCCTGGGGTCTGGAGAGGGGGTTAAGTGGGGTTAACCCTTGTTGTCCCAGGGAAAGGAGTGGGACTCAGAAAGTCCCCCCACCCCCCACCCCACCATCTACACACACTGCCTTCCAGGGCTGGTTCTGGTTGCCTAGGCCGGGGCGGGGGAGCCAGATGTCAACTTCTTTCTTGGCTCCTCCCCTCCCTCATTCTGGTCAGAGTGAGGTCGGGTCACTCAAGGGGTCTGTCTTGCTGTGTCTCCACGCCCGCAGGAATCTCTCCTTCAACGCTCTGGAGTCTCTCTCCTGGAAAACTGTGCAGGGCCTCTCCTTACAGGAACTGTGAGTGGGGGCGCTTCCAGGGGCAAGAGCACCAAGTGTGTGTGTGCCTGTGTGCACTTGGGTCTGTTGGATGACATTGGGTCACTGTGTCTGTGTGACACTGCTGGGGGGTCTCTTTGGGGACTATGTGCATGCCAGTGAAACCCCCATCAAAGCAGGGGCTGCAGGACTACCCGTTAAGGGGGCTACTGCCCTGAGGAGCTGGCCTGGATGACTGTGTGTGTGCTGGGCCTGGCTGAGCAGATTACAGGCCCACTGTGTGTCCAAGGCACATCTGCCCACATTCCCAGGGCACCCTGCACAGGGGTGAGTGGGGCAGCAGGGGTCCATGTGTACCTGGTGGGCACTTAAAGCCTCTGGGTCACTCTGGGGGGCTGTGCCCTTCCCTCCTTGTCACCATGCTGAGAGCCCTTGCCTGGTTTCTCATCCTGGGGAGCCTGGGGTGAGGGAGCCCCATGCATCCCTCAGACGTCAGCTGTCTTGTCTTCCACTTTCTGCATTAGATTTCTTTCATTTTTACGTTATTTTTTCTTTTTGTAGAGTTGGGGTTTTGCCATGTTGCCCAGGCTGATCTTGAACTCCTGGGCTCAAGCCATCCTCCGCCTCGGCCTCCCAAAGTGCCGGGATAACAGGTGTGAGTCACAGCGCCTGGCTTATTTCTTTTCTTTTCTTTCTTTCTTTTCTTTTCTTTTCTTTTTTTTTTTTTATGAGACGGAGTCTCGCTCTGTCACCCAGGCTGGAGTGCAGTGGCACAATCTCATCTCGGCTCACTGCAAGCTCCGCCTCCTGGGTTCACGCCATTCTCCTGCCTCAGCCTCCTGAGTAGGTGGGACTACAGGTGCCCGCCACCATGCCTGGCTAAGTTTTTGCATTTTTAGTAGAGACGGGGTTTCACTGTGTTAGCCAGGATGGTCTCGATCTTCTGACCTTGTGATCCGCCCGCCTCGGCCTCCCAATGGCCTATTTCTTTGAATAACATCCTGTTACTGGAGTCAGAGAGAAAGACCTCTGTGTCCTCCCTTTCACCTGTAGACGGTCCTCCCTGCTGCCTAACTGCTCCCTCTTATCCCCTGTGATCCCTCAGGCCCTTTCCTTGACTCTGTTGGTGTCCCCCATGCCCCCCAGGGTCCTGTCGGGGAACCCTCTGCACTGTTCTTGTGCCCTGCGCTGGCTACAGCGCTGGGAGGAGGAGGGACTGGGCGGAGTGCCTGAACAGAAGCTGCAGTGTCATGGGCAAGGGCCCCTGGCCCACATGCCCAATGCCAGCTGTGGTAGGTGCCGGGTGAGGGAGGTGGTGTAAGGGGGCTGGGGAAGAGACCTACCTGCCTGAGGGAGAGGGCACTGAGCAAGCACTGAAAAGGCCTGGGGAATGGGCACTGGCAAAGGCTGGGGGAAACTGCCTGGGGTGACATCGCCTGGGCTCCAGGTCATTGAGGAGGGTGGGGGAAGGAGCAGCCCCGCAGTAGAGTTCTGGGGCCACTCCCAGCTCTAACACCCCTTGGCCCTCGGGCGTCCTGGGTGGCCAGGTGTGCCCACGCTGAAGGTCCAGGTGCCCAATGCCTCGGTGGATGTGGGGGACGACGTGCTGCTGCGGTGCCAGGTGGAGGGGCGGGGCCTGGAGCAGGCCGGCTGGATCCTCACAGAGCTGGAGCAGTCAGCCACGGTGATGGTGAGAAGACCTTCGCTGGCAGCCCCCAAGAGGTCCAGGCAGAGCACAGGGGACAAAGATGGGGAAAGAGAGACACACTGTGGAGGAAAGAGACAACGAATAAGGAGCACACTGAGGTTGAGGGACGGACAGAGATGGTTTAGACCCACAGGGCTCAGGCCTATGCTCTGGGGCAGCCCAGGGCACGCACACACCCTCAGGGTGGGCACTGACCCAGCAGGGACCCCAGGCTATACTTGAAGCCCCAGGACTTAGAACCCCTTTCTGGGAACATGGTGTTGGCTGCAAGGGAGAGGGTCACAGAAACCTTACATGTTGGAGCTGAGAGGAACCCAACAGACCATCCCTCCCGTACATCACTTTTCTCTCTCCCTTCCTTCCTTCCTTCCTTCCTTCCTTCCTTCCTTCCTTCCTTCCTTCCTTCCTTCCTTCCTTCCTTCCTTTTATGGAGTTTCGCTCTGTTGCCCAGGCTGGAGTGCAGTGGCGCGATCTTGACTCACCGCAACCTCCGCCTCTCGGGTTCAAGCGATTCTGCGATTCTCCTGCCTCAGCCTCCCGAGTAGCTGGGAGTACAGGCACGCGCCACCATGCCCAGCTAATTTTTGTATTTTTAGTAGAGACAGGGTTTCACTACGTTGGCCACGCTGGTCTCAAACTCCTGACCTCGTGATCCACCCACCTCGGCCTCCCAAAGTGCTGGGATTACAGGTGTGAGCCACTGTGCCCGGCAGATCACTTTTCTATATAAGGAAACTGGAACCCAGGGAGGAGGCACAATATCAGTTGTACTGCATCCGGGATGAGTTCTCGGGGGTATCGTGGTCTTTTTTCTGGAGATTCTGGAAGCAGCATCCTCTTGGGCATGTGATGAACGTATTAGTAAGGGAGGCATAGGTCTGGCTCCAGCTCTCTCACTAATTAATTCTGGGAATGACTTTCAGAAAAATCCCTTAATCTGCCTGCACTTTGGTTTTCTTATCTGTAAGCTGAGAAGGTGGACATGATGGCCTTCTGATGTCCTGCCTGCCCCTGGGCGTTCTCTGGCCTCTATCTCTGTTATCCATACATGCCTTTGGACATCTTCCCAGGCCTTACCCTTTGTCCTTAGGCTGGCGATGGGCCGATGAGAGTAGCCACAGGTAACTCAGTCGGCCTTGTTGACGAGGTCAACGGCAGCTGACAATGGGCTGTGCCCACCCAAAAAGCTGGCTCCACCTGGGCAGGAGGAGTGGATATGCAGGGACCAGGAATGTGTGCCTGGGGGGCTGGGAGCATGGTGTTTATTTGGGGAGCCTTCACTTTGGTGGGAGAGTCCACCCCAGAATTGCTGGAGGCCCCTGGAACCATGTTGAGGGAGATGCCACTGGGGCGCTGAGCAGGGGGCTTCAGACATGGTGGAGGGACAACTAGCCACTGAGCAGTTCCTCCCTGCTCCAGAGAGCAAAGCTGCCTAGAGTGAGTAAAAGAAAGGGGACCAGGCAGAGGCCATACCCCTGCATGGAGAGACCTTAGATCAACTCTGTTTGGGGTGATTCCAGGATTTGCTTTCTCTTTGGGAGACTTACATGTTTGCTACCATCTGTGTTTTCTAGAAACTACCTATACAAAAGTCACTCCCTACTGGGCACAGTGGCCCATACCTGTAATCCCAGCACTTTGGGAGGCCAAGGAGGGATAATCACTTGAGACCAGCAGTTTGAGACCAGCCTGGGCAACAAAGCAAGACCCTATCTCTTAAAAAAAATTGCACCCTAAATGGGTTAAATGGAGGAGAAGAGAGGCTGCTCTCCCTCAGTTAGGAGGATAAGGGGTGGCAGACCAGCTCAAGGGGAAGAGTTATTGGCCCCACAGTAGTTGGAGGGGATGGGACAGCCAAGGGAAGCAGAGGGCAGGGCAGGGCTTCCCCTCGAAGTGGCTGGAACCCAGAGCTTGCACAAAAGGCTGGAAACTCTACTGGAACCTTTGAACTCACATATTCCAATGGAAGCCTGGGGAAACCATACCTCCTCTGGCATGTGGTCAGAGGATTCCACATTTATAAAGTTTTCGGATAAATGAGATTTATCCACCACTTCATTATTTTCATTTTGTGAAAATCACTTTCTAAAATGTCAGAAGATAATTTGTCCACCTCTTCAGCTTACAAAACAAACAAAAAACCCACAGTTCAGCAAGATGAAGAATTGTCGTAAGATCATGTAACTTACACATGACAAATCCACGGTTTCCTAGGAAGAGAAACTTGATCTGATTCAATCCTGACGATGATTCAGAATCAAGTCACTTTGCCTGTCTAACCTCACCCATGGTCCTCATCTGCTGCAGGAGGCGATGCCGCTGCTGTTGTTTCTAACTGCTGCTGTGCTATTTGCACCATCTCTTTGTTTCTGATCTTCCTTGGGCTGAGACTCAGTTTGTTAGAACTGTGTGTAAAACAGGAATGAATAGGCAGTGAGGTCCTAGTGGGGTCTCCAACGAGCTGTGTACAAATTTGGTACTTGGGATGCGTGACATCTGTTTAGCTGCTCAGATGGCTGGTTTTAGTTTCAGTTTGGGATATTTTGTGCCTATTTTGAGGCTACTGGTTAGATTTTAGATTTTTCAGATAATTAAATACGTGATCCAGGCTGGGCGCAGTGGCTCACGCCTGTAATCCCAATACTTTGGGAGGCCGAGGTGAGAGGATTGCTTGAGGCCCTGTTCAAGACCAGCCTGGGCAGGACAGTAAGACCCCGTCGCTACAAAAATAAAACATAAAATAAAAAAAAAATGTGATCCAGGAGATAGTCAACGAACAAACCTAAAGGAGGAAGGCCATTATCTGCTACATTCTCTCCCACCCCTCTCTCCCTTCTCTTCCCTCCCAGCCCTCCTCTCCTTTCCATCTGGAGCCAGAGGGGCTCTCCAAAGACTTCAGCCCCAGCCCCAAGCTGGCTAAAGCTCCTTCTTATTCCCCCCTCTCTTTCCTGATCTAGAAATCTGGGGGTCTGCCATCCCTGGGGCTGACCCTGGCCAATGTCACCAGTGACCTCAACAGGAAGAACGTGACGTGCTGGGCAGAGAACGATGTGGGCCGGGCAGAGGTCTCTGTTCAGGTCAACGTCTCCTGTGAGTCTCAGTGGCAGCTCCGGCACCCACCCCCTACTCATCTCTTCTTCCCTCAAAAGAGGATGTAGGGTGGGGGGCTGGAAGAAAGGGTGGGATGTGTGTCTCCACAGCTGCTCCCTCCCAGCTGTTTCCAGATTCCCATGAAAACCTGATCCTTTGGGGGAAGTCCTGGGGTCTTGTCAAGGCCAGAGGGATGGAGATGGATTTCTTTCTGGCCCCCTGCCCGAGCCTTGCTACCTGAGGCCCTCAACGCCAGATGCCCGGCTGTTCCCACTGCTCCGAAGTATTTTTTCATGCCCGTCCCTCATCGGGTCCTTCTCCCCGCATCCTAGTTTCAAAAGAGGAAATTCTCCTCCTGAGTTCCTCTTTACGCTCGCTGCCTAATTTCTCTAGATCAGCCAACAAATTATCTTAAATATTCTACTTTACATCAGTTTTCTTCTTTTATTGTGAAATATACATAGAAATGTGCAAAAAATATATATATTTTAAACAATAATTACTCTTACCAGCATCACGGAAGATCCCCCACCACCCAACACCTCTCCCTGTTCGCAATCCCATCCCACTCTCCCATCTCATGTTGACTTTTGTCAGGATAACCATTTCCTTGCTTTTAAAAATAATTTTTCTCAAATATGCTTTCCTATCGGTATCATTTAGTTTTGCCTGTTCTTGTACATTATATAAATGGAATCATACTGCGTGTATTATTTTGTATCTGGTTTCTTTCATTCAACATTATATTTATAAGATTCATTCATGTTAATGGGAGTTGCTATATGTAGCTCATGCAATTCATTGCTAAATAGTATTCCTATGTATGAATGCTATATTATATATATATATACATATATTTATGCATACATACACTTTTTTTCTATCATTGAGGGGCTTTTACTTTTACCAGATTGGGTCTATTTCTTTTTTTTTTTTTTGAGATGGAGTCTCGCTCTGTCACCCAGGCTGGAGTGCAGTGGCGCGCTCTCGGCTCACTTCAAGCTCCGCCTCCCAGGTTCACGTCATTCTCCTGCTTCAGCCTCCTGAGTATCTGGGACTACAGGCGCCCTCCACCACGCCCAGCTAATTTTTTGTATTTTTTTAGTGGAGACGGGGTTTCACCGTGTTAGCCAGGATGGTCTCGATCTCCTGACCTCGTGATCCGCCCGCCTCGGCCTCCCAAAGTATTGGAATTACAGGCGTGAGCCACCGCGCCTGGCCCAGATTGGGTCTATTTCAAACGCATATCTTTTTTCAAAAAGAGTGTGTGTGTGTGTGTGTGTGTGTGTGTGTGTGTGTGTGTGTGTTTGAAGAGATGGGGTCTCAGCCTGTTGCCCAGGCTGGAATGCTTTGGGATCATAACTCACTGCAGCCTTGAACTCCTGGCCTCAAGCGATCCTCCCACCTCAGCCCCCTGAGTAGCTGGGATTACAGGAGCAAGTCACTGTGCCTGGCTTTTCCCCAAAAATTTAACTGTATATATTTTTGGCTGGTTTGATTGTTAGGGCCCCTGACCCATCTTCTTCAGCTTGGTTACACTGACTTCTTCTAGATTCCTTATCCCAAAGACTCCATGTTTAATTGTCATAAGCTGATACCCCACTCCTGTGGGGCTGTGACTTATTTATGGCCCACCACTTATGTTCTTTAAGCCTCTAAATTTTATATGCCTGCTGCCTGATTTATTTAAAATGTATTGTCAACTTTCTTCAAAACATCTCTCCTTGGTGAATTTCCCAGGGCCTGCTGACCTGTTTCTCCCAGGCCTGCCCTTTGATTTCGGGTTCTACTCGCTTTGCCCGTGGACTTGTCGGGTGTGTGCCAGGCTCCCTCCAGCTGCGCCCTGACCTCCTGCTGTTGCTCTTTCTGGCCCACAGTCCCGGCCAGTGTGCAGCTGCACACGGCGGTGGAGATGCACCACTGGTGCATCCCCTTCTCTGTGGATGGGCAGCCGGCACCGTCTCTGCGCTGGCTCTTCAATGGCTCCGTGCTCAATGAGACCAGCTTCATCTTCACTGAGTTCCTGGAGCCGGCAGCCAATGAGACCGTGCGGCACGGGTGTCTGCGCCTCAACCAGCCCACCCACGTCAACAACGGCAACTACACGCTGCTGGCTGCCAACCCCTTCGGCCAGGCCTCCGCCTCCATCATGGCTGCCTTCATGGACAACCCTTTCGAGTTCAACCCCGAGGACCCCATCCCTGGTGCGAGGGCCATCCTGAACCCTGCCCCCACTCCTGGGCTCCTCCTGGGTTACAGCCAACTTCCTGCTATAGCCCTGACCCCAGAAATTGGAGTGCCTGGTTCGGGACAGAAAGGAGTCTGGAGTCCTGGTGTCCCGCTGTTCTGGCCTCCTTACCCTCTCCCCAAGCCAGGACTCCTGAACTCCTGAGCTATTCCGTCCTTGTCGGCTGGCTGAGGAGACAGCCATGCAGCAGGGCATCCTGGCCCAGCTGGAAAAGGGTCACATGCATCTTCTTCCTTGAGGCCCAGCAGCCCACCTCCATCCCCCCTCGTCCCATGAAGGAATGAGTCCCAGAGTAGGCAGGGGACTCACTGCTTTCCTCCTCCCTCTGACTGCTTTCTCTCCTCCCTCTGACTGCTTTCTCTCCTCCCTCCTGCTGCAGTCTCCTTCTCGCCGGTGGGTGAGTAGCCCAAGGTGGAGGGCAGGTTCTGCCTGGTCTCTGGAGCTGAGGCTGGGGCAGAGGGTACAGCTGAACTGATCCCTGAGAGACCAGCTGGGGCCAGGGTTGGGGGGTTACTGGAGGCTACAGTGTGTGTCAAGGCTCACCCCTCCTGCCCTGTGTCCCTACAGACACTAACAGCACATCTGGAGACCCGGTGGAGAAGAAGGACGAAACACCTTTTGGGGTGAGATAGGAAGTAGAAGCTTGTGCAGACTTTGGGACCGGGAGGCTGGGTAGAGGCTCATCTGCATGTCATTTCTGGTCAGAGCAGGGAGATCACTACCATCTGGCCTGAGCTCTGACGGCCACCCGCACAGCCACTGCAGGGGTCCCCAGGGGAGGATGAGGCAGGTCTGGAGACCTGGCTCCGGGCTCCCATGCAGGATGAAAAAATGGCTTACTACAGGAGGCTCTGAGAGTACAGGAGGAGCCCCTGGATCTAACTACCCCTGTCCCCCACCAGGTCTCGGTGGCTGTGGGCCTGGCCGTCTTTGCCTGCCTCTTCCTTTCTACGCTGCTCCTTGTGCTCAACAAATGTGGACGGAGAAACAAGTTTGGGATCAACCGTGAGTCGGGGCTGCAGAGGGCTGTCTGTCTGTCTGTTCTCCTGGCTTTGTTTCCTACTGGCTCTTCCTGACTCTGTCTCTGGGGGGCTGTGCACATGGGAGTTCCAGGGCGTGTGAGTGTGTTTGGGGTATAAATGAAGGCCTGGCTGTGAGGCTTGTGAGTGTGAGTGTGTGTGGGAGCGTGTGTCGGGCTGGTGCTGGGGTAGTTTCAGAGGCGGCAGCTGCTAATTGGTGGCTGGATTGTAGTCAAGCATTAAGTGGGTCTGGGAGGTCTGGGCTCTGTGGGGGTGGAGGGGGAGTTCTTTGGTGCCCATGGGGCCAGGGGTGGGACAGGAGCCAGCACAGGGAGAGGCGGTGGTGCCCCCTTCCCCCTGCCTGCTGTCTCGCTCCCTAGCTTCTCAGTCTCTCCCCTGCAAGTTACAAGGTGGGGGTGACCAGGCATCCTGCAGGCAAGGGTGGGCAGGGCCAAGGTGTGGGCAAACCCCTCCATGCGGCTGTGTCTCCTCTCTAGGCCCGGCTGTGCTGGCTCCAGAGGATGGGCTGGCCATGTCCCTGCATTTCATGACATTGGGTGGCAGCTCCCTGTCCCCCACCGAGGGCAAAGGCTCTGGGCTCCAAGGCCACATCATCGAGAACCCACAATACTTCAGTGATGCCTGTGAGGGGCTATGCTGGGTCAAGGGCAGGGACGAGTGTGTGTGTGTGTGTGTGTGTGTGTGTGTGTGTGTAGAAGCCCCTAGGCCTGAACGATCCCTCCCTTTCTCCCACCCCTCCCCAGCCCTATTCCAGCCATAGGCCCTGTCATATTCTTCTCAGGCTGAGTCCAGCCTGGCTCTTAGCTGCATCCCCTGCCCAGAGTCACAGCTAGCCCAAACCATGTCCTCTCGGGGCAGGTGCAGCCCCACACTATGACATGGGGCTTGCTGAAGGGGTGCAGGTTGAATTTTAGCCCCCATGCAGTCCCTCGTCTGGGCAGCCTTGTGCAGCACACAGCCCTGCCAAGACAGTCCCCGCTACAACCCCAGCCCTCCCAAGACTGGGGCTACCGTCTGACCCTGCAAGCCCCCTCAGGTGTTCACCACATCAAGCGCCGGGACATCGTGCTCAAGTGGGAGCTGGGGGAGGGCGCCTTTGGGAAGGTCTTCCTTGCTGAGTGCCACAACCTCCTGCCTGAGCAGGACAAGATGCTGGTGGCTGTCAAGGTGAGACCCTGCCCCGGGGGGTACTGCTGGCCTGGGTCCCACCCCCAGGAGCTCCATCACATCAGGACAGAGTGGGGGGAGATGCAGAGGGCTGACATGGCTGGATACCGGGGTGGGCGGGCTGCCCTGGGTGAACAGCAGTGAGGGCTCGGCCCCCAACTCAGTCCTGTCCCTGCCGCTTCCATCCAGGCACTGAAGGAGGCGTCCGAGAGTGCTCGGCAGGACTTCCAGCGTGAGGCTGAGCTGCTCACCATGCTGCAGCACCAGCACATCGTGCGCTTCTTCGGCGTCTGCACCGAGGGCCGCCCCCTGCTCATGGTCTTTGAGTATATGCGGCACGGGGACCTCAACCGCTTCCTCCGGTACCAGCACCTGGCCTCAGCGCTGGCCCCGGCCCCTGGCTCTGGGCCCCGTCTTCCCTTCCCTATAGACATCCCTGCTTGTCTTTCAAACCAAGGGGAGACACCAAGAAAGATCAGGAAGGCACATTCCCGTCCCCAGGGAGCTCTGAGATGGTAGAGGAGGCAGATGTGTGAACATAGGGGTGACTCTTGCAAAGGACAAGTGTCAGTAGTCAGGGAGGTTGCGATGGCAAAGGCCGTGAGCTAAAACTTTGGGGTGGGTGGGCTTTGCAGAGGGTGTATGTGCATTTGTGTGTGGCACACAAAGGCCAGGCCTGTAAGGGTAGCAGTTTAGATAACGACAGTAACAACGACAGTAATGAACATTTATCAGGCACCTTCTATGTTCCAGGTGCTATGTTATATACTTTATAATTTATTATTTTTTATTTTTTAACATGTATTTATTACTGTTATTGTTTTAGAGTTGGGGTCTTGCTCTGTTGCCTAGGCTGGAGTGCAACGGTGTTGCAATAATAGCTCACTGCAGCCTCAAATTCCTGGGCTCAAGCAATTCTCCCGCCTTAGCCTCCCCAGTAGCTGGGACTACAGGTGCACACCATTGCACCTGGCTCTACAATTTGTTCTTATTATGGTTCTATGTGCTGGTACATATATATCTTGTATAGTAATATAAATATGTATTTATTTTTTATGGCCTCCAAGCATATATTGCAATTTACACTTGAAGCAAGTTACAAAAAATTCATTTCTTTGGCTTCGGACAGAACAACTCTGATACATTTATCTATTTGTGCTGATAATTTTAATAACTTCGAGAAATGTGCCTGTTTCACAGATAAGGCTTAGAGAGGTTCAGTGACTTGCCCAAGGGCACACAGGTAGTGAATGGCCCAGGGGTGATGTGGCCCCAGGCAGAGCCCCTACTCTCAGCCCCTGATGTGATGGTCACATGTTCCCTCGGTCTAGTCCTTCTCTGATGAGATCACCCCCGGGAGGATGGGGCAGTGTTTGCAAGGCAGGGAGAAGAGCAGGGTTTGGAATCAGCTGCCACTTATGAGCTGAGCCTTCTTTGCCAAGTAGCTTTCCTCTCTGACCTCACTTTCCTCACCAGTAAGAGGGACAGTGTGGGGGCTGTGGTTCTGGATGAGCAAGCGCTGTATGGTTGTCCAGTTGATGGTCATGATCTGGTCCCCAAACATCCCTTTGGGAGTGATGGGTCATTCATGCAGTCAGGCTGCAGGACTCAGCTAGGAGAGACCCCTGAGTCTTGGGCTTATCCTGTGGACCAGGAGGGAGCCCATGCAGGGTGTGGAGCAGGAGGCGAGGCCAGACCCAAGGTTGAGTGTGGAGGAGGATAGGCACAGAGGAGCCCAAGAAGGCCAGGGAGGAGCCTATCTCTTTGCTCCCAGACATGGCATAGGCTCAGTGCTGGTCTTGGGGACACAGGCTAGGGAGATACCAGCATCTGGGGCCCAGGCTGTGGGAGACGAGGCTCTAACTGCTGGATGGAACACTGGGGGAATCAATGGAGGGAATCATTAATGCTCAGAGATGAGTCTGGAAGACTTCCCCTAGGAGGGACCATCTGTTCCTTCTCCCCTCCAGGCCTTTGTACTTCCAGTTCCCTCTGCCTGGGGCATTGGGCCTCCCTCCCTCCATAGAAAGATGGAGACAGACACACAAACTCTACCCCTCCCTGCCTCAGCTCCCTTCGAATGGCTTCAGGACTTGAGTCTCAATTTAGGTGTCCCTTCCTCTAGGAAGCCTTCCCTGGCTTTTTCCATTCCCACCCGTGGTGCCTGCCAGGTGCCCCTCACACTGCACTGCCATGACCTGCTTATCTGCATCATACTCTGCACTGTAGCCCCAGTGCTTGGCACACTGGAAATGTTTAACAAATGCCTCAACTAAACAAATGAGGAGAAGATTGGCTAGTAGGAAAGGGCATTTTTGGCAAAGTGATCAGTTCAGGCAAAGGTTCAGGAGAAGGAACATTGGGGAATATGGATGAGTGACTAGGACTGACCCGAGTGCTCGCTCTGGGGAGAAGGCGGGCATCCTGGACACCTTCGAAAGGAAGGAAGACCCCGTAGGAATGGCTGGACACTGAGGGCAGAGGGGAGAGAGACAGGACAATCAAGGACTCCCTGGTTTCAGGGTCTGCCTGGGTGGGAAGGGTCCCTTCCCTGAGGCAGGGGCAGGCTTGGGGAAAGACACCGAGCTCCAATTGGCAAGGGCTGAGTCTGACATGCCTATGGCAAGGGATGTAGGGGCCAGTGGGCATCTGGAGTTCAAGGAGCTGCCAGAGAGGAAGGCATGGATGTGGGAACCATGGGCTGTCTCTGGTGGGAGCCCTGGAGGTGGGCACACCTGTTCCGCTCCTCCATCCCACCCCTCTGGACAGCTGCCTCTACTGTTCTCTCAATCCTCCACTTCCAGGTCCCCAGTCTCCTCTCCCATCACACGCGGCTGCTGGGGATCGCCTTCCTCAGGCTCCTGGGAGTTCTATCCTCCCAGCCTATCCCCTCTCCTTTTCTTGTTCACAGATCCCATGGACCTGATGCCAAGCTGCTGGCTGGTGGGGAGGATGTGGCTCCAGGCCCCCTGGGTCTGGGGCAGCTGCTGGCCGTGGCTAGCCAGGTCGCTGCGGGGATGGTGTACCTGGCGGGTCTGCATTTTGTGCACCGGGACCTGGCCACACGCAACTGTCTAGTGGGCCAGGGACTGGTGGTCAAGATTGGTGATTTTGGCATGAGCAGGGATATCTACAGCACCGACTATTACCGTGTAAGGGTCCTTTGTCCCCAACGCCTTCCCCTGCATCCAAACTGTAGACACCCTGGATCCCAAGACCACTGAGAGCCTGCCCTTGCTAGGATGGCTGCATGGGTCTGAGATTCACTGGCTCTGGTTTTCAACCTACCTCCTCGGCTCCTGGTGGAGGGGGCTCTGTCTCCTTCGCTATCCCAGATGGAAACAGCACCTTCGGTTTTTGCCTCTTAGACCTGAGAGCCACCACTGTTTGTTTATTTATTTATTTAATTTATTTTTTTGAGACGGCGTCTCACTCTGTTGCTAGGCTGGAGTGCAGTGGCACGATCTCGGCTCACTGCAACCTCTGACTCCCTGGTTCAAGCGATTCTCCTGCTTCAGCCTCCCGAGTAGCTGGGATTACAGGCCACACGCCATCACGCCCAACTAATTTTTGTATTTTTAGTAGAGATGGGGTTTCACCATGTTGGCCAGGATGGTCTCGATCTCCTGACCTCGTGATTGCCCACCTCGGCCTCCCAAAGTGCTGGGATTACAGGCGTGAACCACCGAGCTTGTGTATTTATTTTTAATGATGGGGCTGGGGTAGGCTGTGCCTTGACGGGCTGTCCCAGGCGCCCCTGGAATTGATGCAGTGTCCGCCCGTGGCAGGTGGGAGGCCGCACCATGCTGCCCATTCGCTGGATGCCGCCCGAGAGCATCCTGTACCGTAAGTTCACCACCGAGAGCGACGTGTGGAGCTTCGGCGTGGTGCTCTGGGAGATCTTCACCTACGGCAAGCAGCCCTGGTACCAGCTCTCCAACACGGAGGTCAGCCCCGGCCCATGGTCACCCCTTGCTGGCCTCCCCGTCCCATGCCCCTTCAGGTTCCTTTTTCAGGGAACTCGGTTCCCCTTCTGCCCCTCTGCCACAGCCTGTTGGGGGGCCCTTTCCAGCGCCGTGCCCACACTGTGTCCCCTCCACTGTGGCCCTTTTCTTCTCTTCCTCCCTTATTCTTGCCTTCACCTACTGTCCTAAGCCCAGGCCCAGTTGGCCCCTGGGGGAACCTCAAAGTGCTTTGTACAAGGAGCCCAGACCCCCATCCCTAGCTGCATTTTATAGACCTAAGCAGGAATTATCAGAGTGGAAGGGACCAGCACGGGAAGAGGAACCCAGCACAAGAAGGCCCAACACTGCAGCAGGACGGCTGGAGGTTAGACTGTCAGAAGGACAGTCCTACCCCCTCCCCCTGCCCTCCTAGCTGGCCACAGCCAGAGCAGGCCCCAGGTGTTCTGTCTCCCAGAGCAGCTGCCCCCACCCCCTGCTTGGCTCGCAGCTGTCAGTTTCCATTTCTCCTCCTAATGCAGTCTGCTCCCCGGAGGCTGGTGGGGTGGGGGAGAGGGTTATAGATTTTAATTTTCTCAAGCACTGAGAGAAGAAATGGAATTAGTGCCGCCCATAACCCAAGTCCTCTAATAGGGAGGGGGGAAGAAGGGGAAAAGAGGCTCCAGGCCCCTTCTCCAATCACTCCCTGCCACCCTTTCTCCTTTGGATTCCTTGGCTGCTTTAGCAGTTCTTCCTAGAGTCTAACTTTGATCTTTCTTGCTGCAGTTTCTTTTTGGGAGAGCTAGTCAGTCCCACAGAGTGGTATCCCTAGAAGGGAGAAGTAAGGATTGCCCTCTTCTTTAAAATGAAAGCCAGCTATTTTTCACGCCCTTTAACTGCAGTTCTGCTCTATTTTCTTTTCTCTCTCTGGAGCTGAGAGTCAGAGGGCCCTTCTCCTCCTCCTTTCAGCCCCCAACACTAAGCTGATGGATTGATAAATACCTCAGCCCCTCGCCTTCCTCAACCCACCTGGCAAGTCTTCTTAGGATCTGATCCCAGTTTTCTGGAAGCAATCCTACCCCAGCCCAAGCTTCCCATAGTCGAGCCTTAATCCTTCTCACTTCTCAGTGTCAGAGCAGAAATGAATCCTGGGGTTGACTGTGTCCATTCGGGTTATTAGCAGCTAAGAAGCCCAGACGAGTAGTGTGAGCTGCCTTGGGAGCCTCAGTGAGGGCACTGGGACTGGCCTCACTCTCTTGCCCCCAGCCTAGTGGGCTTTCTCCTCTGTCTCTCCGGTGGCCCCAGGCAATCGACTGCATCACGCAGGGACGTGAGTTGGAGCGGCCACGTGCCTGCCCACCAGAGGTCTACGCCATCATGCGGGGCTGCTGGCAGCGGGAGCCCCAGCAACGCCACAGCATCAAGGATGTGCACGCCCGGCTGCAAGCCCTGGCCCAGGCACCTCCTGTCTACCTGGATGTCCTGGGCTAGGGGGCCGGCCCAGGGGCTGGGAGTGGTTAGCCGGAATACTGGGGCCTGCCCTCAGCATCCCCCATAGCTCCCAGCAGCCCCAGGGTGATCTCAAAGTATCTAATTCACCCTCAGCATGTGGGAAGGGACAGGTGGGGGCTGGGAGTAGAGGATGTTCCTGCTTCTCTAGGCAAGGTCCCGTCATAGCAATTATATTTATTATCCCTTGGCTGTGTCTCTTGCCAGTTATTGGGATGACGTCGTTCCAGGAGGGAGGCATTGGGATTCAGGTAGGGGGACAGCTCTCTGGGATCTTCCCCCACTCAGGTTCCCCTCAGCTGCCTACCCCTACTCCATGGACCTGTCACTCTCACCTTTGACTATAGTTTGGATCCCATTCCCATGGTCACCTGGCTCACCTGCTGGTAAGGCAGCCTCTGGTCAAACTTCCTAGACCTTGAGAGCCTAACTGTCAATCTTTGTAGTTCATGTTCAGGAAGGCTGGGCTATAGTGGAAGGGGTGGAAGTTAGATGTACTGGTAGGATGGGAGCGTTGATGGGGTGTCTTCCTTGTATTGGTGTGTCCGGGACAGAGCAAGCACGCAGCAGCAGATGAGAGAGAAACATGTGTGTGTGTGTGTGGGGTGATGGGGGGCAGGAAAGGGACGGAGCTGGACTAAGGATTGATGGAGGCAGGACCCCTTGTTCCTGCCCCTCTGTTACTCTTCTTAGCTCTAGGTGCTTTGATTAGCATCTGGAGGCCAGGTACTGTGTAAAGAGGCTATTTCCTAAGGACAAAGCCATCTCCCTGTCCCATTCTGTCCAAGGGAGTAGGTGAGGTCTCCCCTGTCCTCTGTCCCTTGGAACATGACTGGCCTTAACTGAGTGGTCTGAGGCTCTGTCAGCAGCACTGAGACTGGGCCCCATCATGTCAGGGCACCTGGGCCCTGTCTTCACCTTCCCTAACCCAAAGGCTTGCATTCCACCCAGAGCCAGGGAGGAGCAGCTTCCCCGCCACCCTCAGCCCTATCACTTCCAATCACCTGTCCAGTTCCTGCAATAATGCAAGCTTCCCATGGCTCCTCAGGGCTAATCACATGGCTGTCTCATGTCCCTGGGTGCCAGTCCCACCCCACCCCCACTCCCATGATTCAATCTGTGTCTTATCGCCCCTAGGCCTAGCCCTGTGGTGTGTCTGCCTCTTGTCCAGGCTGGTTAGTGCTAATGGAGGACTGACCCAGGGCTGCAGGCTGATCGATGGGGGAATTGGGGTGTGTGTGTGTGGTTGGTCCCTAAGGGCCAAGTTCACAGGCCTTCCTCTCCTGCCGGGTATGGGTGGGGCTGGTGCCGCATCACCCCTATGAGGGAGGGCACTTAAAGCAGATGGAGCCATCGGGAGGAAAGGGCTTGGGAACATGGTGAGGGATGCAGAGTTGGGGGATCAGATCCAACAGGTGAGCCCAGGGACAGATGCAGAGGGAGAGACAGTGCAGAGAGAGAGACAGGGACAGGACATACAGACATAGTGACATAGAGAGAGACTGCAGAGGGAGATATAAAGACTGAGACATGCAGATAGAGAGAAAGATGGAGACAGACACACAGACATAGCCGGACACACATGGAGAGAGAGGGTGAGACCAGCGCTGCAAACAGACACAGGTACGGCAGTGGCTCAATCAGAGGAAGTCTGGGAGGACATCATGGACTCCCCAGGGGGCTTTCTACCTCACTCACCCCCTCACCTGTGCCCTTTGAGCCTCTCTGCAGGGGCTAGGAGAGGATGGGACACCCAGACGTGGAGGCTCTGTGGGTAGAGACAGGAGGGGACCTGAGGTTTGCCCCATAAAGAGCAGGATAGGGGCATCACTAAAGAGCTGGTTTGGAGGTCAGGTAGCACGAGGGAGCTGCCAGGGCATGTGAACCATTTTCAAGGTTATCAGGCCTCAGATGTGGGGACATCAGAGGCTCTTAAACCATAACCAGAAGTATTGCTGGAAAAGCTGGGCAGGTGAGGTGAGGGATTCTGGGAATAAGGCTTGGACAGGGAAGGGAGATTCCGGGAGAGCATGGGAGAAGGAACTGAATATCTTTCATTGATCTGGGAGCGGGAGCTGGAGCCTGGCACTCCAATCCCTTCAGGTGATCTGGACCTGGGCTTTGTCTTGACTGGTGAGGAGGGGGCTTGCATCCATATTTCCCTCCCCTGAAAGCACCCCATTCCCTCCCCTTCACTGATATACAGATAGGTGTGCACATCAACAGGGAACCTGGCCTACCCCCACACGGCCTAGACACACATGTGCAAACACAGACACATGCACACATATGCACACACATACACAGACACAGAGCCCCCTCCCCAATCACTGGATTCCGCTGTCATTAACAGTGCCCCCCTCCACCTCGCTGTGGCCCTTGCCCCCTCCCTGTTAATTACCTCCTGGCTGTGCCAAGTCCATTAGCTGCCCCCGCCCTGACATACCCCAGGGGCTGAGCACCAGCTGAGATGGATAGCTGCTGGGGGATCGATGGAATGGGGCCCCAAGGACCCCGTGGGGGGCTGGGACCAGGACAACAACCTGAAGCTGTAAAGATCGGACATTTGGGTTCCCCCCAACCTGGCCCAGGCCCCTTCCTTTTCAGAGAGGGCTGTCTTGGTTAAAAGACAGGGGCTCAGAAAGGGTCGTGGGCACCTCAGGAACACCCAGCACTGAAGAAAGAAGCTGGAACTCTCCCGTCTAAGCAAGCCTCTGCCAGCTCCTCCGCATTTACTCTAGAAGGAAAGACTCAGTGGTGCGGAGACCAGTGGGGCTCCCCAGGGGCCTCCAGCACTGGGATGGGGTCTCTAAAGAACGAAGGGGTGCAAGCCACCCTCAATGCTCTCAGCCTTCCTAAGGAGCCTCTGCCTCCTTCCTGCCCTGCTCCCACAGGGGCTGGCTTCCTGACAGGAGAGCAGAGCATCTGTCCAGGTTTCCAGGAAAAGGACAGGCAGAGTGCTAGGACAGCCTTGGTGGAGAGTGACCCAGCCTGTGGCCCCTTGCATCCCCAGGCCAAAGACAGAACCTAGAGAGAATTCCAGACGACAGAGGCCCTGGCCTTTCTAAGTACGAGCTGGAGAGAGCCTGTCTTGCCAAATTCCTGAAGCAGCGTTGGACAAGCTGCCCAGCAGGGGTAGGGGAGGGGGATTCTTCTGGTAGGAGCCAGGACCCAGGAATCCAGACTTTCAGCCCGCTGCTTACTGAACTGCCAGGCGACTCAGGCACCCCTGGGATGCTGGGGAGTGAGGTGGCCCCATTGCTCTAAGCAACAGTACCCTCCCAGACTGTCTCTCTCTGTCTCCCACCCCAGCGCGGATGGACTCCCGTGCTAAGATGGAAAGTTTGAGCAGCAGTGGCTCTGGAGTGGTGGGCAGGATGGAGATCTGGAGGCAGGAAAGACAGACAAGACAGGCCAGAGCTGCAGGAGGAGCCCACACGGCGGGGCAAGGAGGGGCAGAGAGGAGAGGCAACCCAGATCCATGCAGAGACTCAGCCCTGCATGTGCAGGGAACAGAGAAGAAGGCAGAGAGCCTGAGATACAGGACAGAACCCAAGAGCCACAGAAGCAGAGCCTCAGAGGCCATGCGCTTTTCATGAGCCCTGCTTCTAGTCCAGCCCTGGGGACGAGAGGCTCTTGAGCCCACCGCCTACTGAACTGGGCCCCATTCCTCTTCTTAAAGGGCTATGTTTCCTGGTGCTTAAGCCTCTAGATTCTGGAATCTGGTTGTGCCACTTACCAGCTGTGTGACATTGGGCAAGTTACTCAACCTTTCTGTACTTTAGTCTCCTCCTCTGCAAAATGAGGATAATAATAGCAATAACCTCACAGGATTGTTATGAGGTTTAAACAAGTCCCATGTGGAGAGCTCTCCCTGTAGGGCCTGGCCTTAGTAGCTGCTATGTAAAAACACTCTCTCCCCCTCCTTCTTTCCCTCCCTATCCTTCCTCCTCCTCTCTATCCTGCCAGCCGAGGCCCTAGCCCTGGTATGTGGAGGTGAGGCAGGTTGTATGTTTTGAAGGGATAGTGCTTGCAGAAGAGAAGCTCTTATTCCCTGATCCCAACCACTCCCTCTAGCTGCAGGGGACTTGCCAGGCTGCAGAGAGTGTGAGGTGAGGAAGGGCCTTCTCCCTCCCTCTGACACCCTGTGGGCTCCAGGTCCCTGCGCTGATCCAGAAGGCCCTGATGTAGGAAGAGCCTCCAGCCTCCCCTGCCCCGTGTCCCTCGTTTACTCTTCTCCTACTCCCTGATTTTCCCTAGTGAGAATTTCTCTCTCAGCTCACCGCCTCTGGGCAGCCCTCCGGGATTGGACAGGGAACTTTGTACCCTTGAAGGGTGTTTCTGAGGACACAAATCCTCGTAGACCCTGAGACAGGTCTCCAAGAGTATGGACCTGGAGTGCGAAACATGCCTTAAAGGCTTTGTATCCCTTATCCCTGTGGCCTCCTGTTCCTGAGTGCCAGGAAGTCCTTCCTACAGTCTACCCTCGTGCTTCCCACCTGGATCTGAAGGGGTTACACAGCTCCAGGCCCGCCCACGGCAGGTCCCAGCTGCCTGGGGCCTGTGGTCAGAGCTAATGTAGGCGAGAGTTGGAGGACAAGAGGGGATAAAGTTATTAGCGTCTTCATCTTTGAGGAATATCGATCGCCAGGTCTCCAGGCTCACTTGGTCTTATAATGGGGCTCACGGGGGTGTTGGGAGGGGCTCAGAAAACTCTCACAAATCCCTTTACCCATATCCTGGAGTGGGCACTGGGCTACCCATGTCTGCTGAAAGGAAGATAGGCAGAGACACAGTTTGGGAGGCGAGTGGCCTGGGAGGCAGGAGTGAGGCAGGGCTGAGAGGGGAGTCAGGGCTTGGCAACCTGGGCAAGGAGCAGACTGGAATGGGCTTGATTTCAGTTCACTACACTTTACTTTAAGGTTGAGTGTGTGTGTGTGTGTGTGTGTGTGACACACAGAAAGACAGAAAGAGAGAGAAAGTGAGCGAGAGAGGGAGAGAGAGAGAAAGGGAGAGCTTTCCCAATTGAGTTAGAGAGGTCCACGAGGGCTGCCCAAGAGCGAGGAAGGACTCCCTCCCCCCAGGCTCATGTACACAGGCTGGCCCACCAACCCCACCCTCCTGCCTGCTCCTCCAGCACTTGGATGCTCTGAAACACCTTCCCTGCCCTCTCCAGGCAGCTGTCTGGTGCTCCTTTGAATGGGATGTTCTTGATGTGATTTCATGTGTGATGGTGAAGGGTACCTCACAGTGGAGCATGTCACCCCTTCCCACCCAGGGTGATTCTGGTCCCAGTATATCTGGGTTTGTGTTTGTGTGTGACAGTCCTTGTGAGAAGGTCTGTGTAAACTCAGCTCTCTGCATGGGTCTGTGCAAATTCGTGCTCCTAATCTGAAATCAGAAGGGATGTAGGCTGGGGACAGGGCTCAGGGATCTGGCTGTCCAACCCCTCCAGGGAGGTCCCCCTATGGGTGTTTCCAGCCAGAAGTTTCCAGCTCCTGGCTGACTGGAGACGGAGCTTAGACTGTAGAAAGACCCTGAGGGGAGAGCAGCAGGGTCTGGGAACTGAAAGGCGAAAGGCACAACTCCCTCCCCTCTCCCTTCTTTCTTCCCTCCCTCCCTCGCTTCCTTCCTCCCTCCCTCCCTCCCTCCCTCCCTCCCTCCCTCCCTCCCTTCCTTCCTTCCTTCCTTCCTTCCACTTCTGTTCTTCCTCTCTTCCTCCCTTTTTCTTTGGAAGCAGGGAGGAAGGAGTAGAGGAGGCTTCTCTGGCCAAGGGGGGTCAGAAGCTCTGGCTCTTTCCTCTGGAGGAGCTGGCGTCCCCTCTGCTGGGCTGGGAGAGGAGGTAATTAATGACAAGGAGGCCAGGAGGGGTGAGTGCTCAAGGCTAATGTTGGTATTAATCAGGAGCTGGTCCCCAGCGAGGGATAGGATTCAGCTGGGGCGCTGTGTGTGTGTTGGGGGTGATGGGGGACCAGGAGCTTCTGCCTCATCCCATCAGCCTCCCTCCCTCCCCAGTACCCCCACCACATCCAGCCCTCTTGCTCTTGCCCCTTGCCCTCATTTTTTTTTTCTGGAGGTCCCTCCTGCTGTGTCCTTCAACCTCCTGCTGAGGGAGGGGCGGATCCCTCCTCAAATCCAAGTCCAAGCCGCCCCCTCCCCACAAACCCCTCACCAGCCCTTCCTGCGGGCAGGCACATTAGGTGATTCCTGAGGCTGTCAGCCCTGCTAATTGCCTCTCAACCTTTCCCTCATCACCAAGGCGGCCCCCCACGAACTCCATTAGCCCCCCCTCTCTCCCCTGATAGCCCCTAAATCAGCCCCAATTATTCACAGGAGGGGGAGGTCTGAGCTGAGCTGTGATTACAGCTACAGTGGGGGGTGGTAGTGAGGGATGGGAGTTTGAGTGCCAGGCAGGCTGGTGGGCAGGCCAAAGGCAGAGCTGGGAGGGGGAGAGGAGAGTACGGATTGGGACCCTGTAGGCAGATTCAGACCAGGGACCACACAGGGGCAGGGACCTGAGAGCCTGAGATGGAGGGGGAGGCCAGGCTGGAAGGTGGGCAGCTAGGGGGTCCTGGCTTGTATTTTATGGACCACCCCCTACACACACACACACACACACACACACACACACACTAAGACCCAGGAGGGTGAGGGAGGGGATCAGATGGGCATGGCCCCTGTGAGTGGGCCAGGTCCACCGCTGTCATCAGCACCATTGCCAGGCATTTATGACAAGCTTGGTGGAGAGGAAAGGAGAGCGGCAAGAATGTGCTATCCCTGTGGGACTCCCCTGAGACAACCTCACTGCTCCTTGCAGCCCCTACCCAGGCCAGCCACCCACCGGTGCCATGTGTGGGCACAGAGGCCACTCCCTCCCCCTGTCTGTGTGTTCTGGCTACAGCATCCCTGCAGGACTGTGGGTGAGACATGGAGTGGCATGCACGGTGTGTGCCAACATTTGGCCTGCTGGGGTGAGTGTGTGCAGGAGTTGAGACCAGCCTCCTGCTCACCCTCAGCCGCAGCCTCAGGGAACCCTCTCCGGCCCCTTCCAGGAGCCTAGGACTCCTCACAACCTCCTTCCCACTCCGGAGGGAAGAGGCACCCCCACTCTAATCCCAGCTGCCCTCTGTGAGCCCTTGCGATGTGCTGCGCCCACTCCTCAGCACCTCCACTGGCCTAGCCACCAGGCTGCTCACCCGGATTAGTGCTGCGGCCCCTTCACTGGTCTCCCCATTTCCACTGTTGCTCCCCACAGCCTATTCTCAAAACAGCAATCATTCTCTTAAAATCTGAGTTGGATCATGTCTCTCTTCTGCTTGAAATCCTCTAATGGCTTCCATCTCACGCAAAGCAAAATCAAATCGCCTTATCGCAGCCTAGGAGGGCCTGAAGGATTCGACCCCCATTATGCTTCTGTCTTCAATGTCTGCCACCATGCTCCCCATCACTCACTTGGCTCCACGCTCCAAACAGAGCTACTATTGCTATTCTCTCAATACAGCACACACTCTGGCGCATTTGTACTTGCTGTTTCTTGCTCTTCCCCCAGAAATCTCCATGGCTCCTGCCTTCATCTCCTTTACCTGGAGGTTACCTTTTCAATGACATCTTCTGTAACCACCTTTCCAAGAATTGCACCCCCAGCACTCCCTATTCTCTTCCCTGTTTTATTTCTCTATTTTAAAATGATAGTTCTTTTAATCATCTAATGTGTCATGATTTTCCTGATTTAGCGTCTTTACCATCCCTTCCCCACTACCACTAACAGAATGTTAGCTTCATTTTTTTTCCACTTTCTATATTTAGGCAGAAAATCTTATCTATTTTGTTCATAGCTGTAGCCCCAATGTCTGCATATAGTAGGTGCTCAATAAATCTTTATTCAATGAATAATTGACTCTTTCCCCAATTCACATGTGAGCTCTTTGAGGGCAGGAAACTCTTATTTATTGCTAAAATAAGTTATTAAATAAAGGTTTAAAATAGTACCTGGTAATCCGTAGGAGTAAGTTAGGAAGAGGAGGTAAGTTAAATCAGTAGGAGGCTGGCGCACCAGCATCCCCCACCCCAAAGTTAGTAGTTGCTATTATCATCATCATGGTCATCATCAATGTCATTTCCTGTGTCCTGGGTACTAGGCAGACACAAAATGGTGCCTATTGAACAGCTGAATGAATGAGAACCTCGAGCCTGCATCTGCCTTCCTGGCAGGCCTCAGGGGACGTCCATCCTTTTAGCTATACGTAGGGCTGGGCCCAGCAGGCAGAGCTGGGGGGCAGGGAGCTGGAAGAGCATTGCACAAGGTGGTACTTTATTGAGCACTTACTTTGTGCCAGGCCCTGGGAGCATAAAGATGATTTTGACCTGGCCTCAGTCCTTGAAGAACTCAGAATCCTAGGGAGAGAGACATGTGTGTGTTAAACATTTCATGCCTGAGTGTGGAAGGATGAGAACAAGTGGGCCAGGCAAAGGAAGGGAAGAGCGCCTGCACCTCTTCCTTTTCAGGCCTCAGTCTCCCACTCTGCTCCTTGAAAGTGCTGGATCAGGTGACTTTCAAGGTCCCTCTGGCCTCTGATAGTCTGCAACTCCATGGTCTTTGGCCGCCGGCCCTTGAGCTGTCCTATGGTTTCTGCTGCCCTCTGCTGGAGCCTCTTGGTGACACTGAAGTCCTAAAAAGCCTCCTTGAACCTTTCATTCTTCCTTTTCTTCCCCAAAGCCAACAGCACCATCCAGTCGCCCACCCACACACACCTCTCATCCCTTAAAACACCAATTAAACATCTCTTGCTTGTCTCTGACATCAAAGTTTCCCAGACAAAAGTATTCTCAGTTATACATTTTAGACAATCTGAAACTGAATACGTACATGATTTGTAACTGTTATGACCCAGCAATCCCATTCCTAAGTAGCAATCAAGAGAAATGAAAACATATATATCCACATGAGACTTGTACAAGAATATCCATAGTAGTTTCACTCATAATAGTCCCAAACCAGAAAAGACCAAGGGCCCATCAGCTGGGGTGGGGATAAGACAAGGTTGGTCCATACAGTGGAATTCTACTCATGGTGAGAAGGAGTGGACTTTTCAAAAGCTCTGTGGTAAGTGAAAGAAGCTAAAGGAAAGCAAGCACATATTGTGCAGTTCCATTTATATGGAAATTCTAGAACAAATAAACCTACAGTGACAGAAAGCACATGGGGGATTTCTTTCTTTCTTTTCTTTTTTTTTTTTTTTTTTTTGAGACAGAGTCTCACTCTGTCGCCCAGGCTGGAGTGCAATAGTGCGATCTCGGCTCACTGCAACCTTCACCTCCCAGGTTCAAGTGATCCTCCTGCCTCAGCCTCCTGAGTAGCTGAGATTACAGGCACCCGCCACCATGCCCGGCTAATTTTTGTATTTTCGGTAGAGACAGGGTTTCACCATGTTGGCCAGACTGGTCTTGAACTCCCGACCTCTGCCTGCCTCGGCCTCCCAAAGCGCTGGGATTACTGGCATGAGCCACCACGCCCGGCCTAACAGATCAGAGATTTCACAGGGTTTGGGGTGGGGAGTGAAAATGGAATTTGGAGACATTATCTGCAAAGGGGAGCAGGCAAACTTTGGAGGAGATGGAAATTTAAAAACTTTTTTTTTTATTGGGATGGTGGTTAAACAGATGCACACACATACAAAAAACTCATCGAGCTAGTGTTATGCTAAGTGCAATAAGCCGGACACAAAAGTACAAGTATTCATGATTTCACTTACTTGAGGTATCTAAAACAGACAAATTTATAGAGACAGAAAGTGGAGTAGTGGTTACCAGGGGCTGGGGGCAGGAGGAATGGAAGTTACTGTTTAATGGGTACAGAGTTGCAGTTTGGGATGCTGAAAAAGTTCTGACCTTTTCATCGGAAAAGGAGATGAATAACACCGATGCTTCCACGCAAGTGATGTACTTAATGCCACTGAACTGTACACTTGAAAATGTTTCGAATGATACATTTCATAGTATGTATATTTTACCCCAATTTAAAAAAGTCTAAAAAACAAAGCTCACCAAATTGTATGCTCTAAGTAGGTACATTTTTTATTGTATGTCAATTATACCTCAATACAGTTGAGTTTTAAAAGTCTCCCAGGAGGGATGATACTGCTTTGCTCTCCTCACCTAAGCTTACTCTGTGGCTCTCTGTGTGAGGAGGTGGAGTGTGAGCCCTGGAATTGGACGCACCACAGACCTCGGTTCAAATCTTGCTTGTAGGCGGGGCGCCGTGGCTCAGGTCTGTAATCCCAACACTTTGGGAGGCCGAGGCAGGCGGATCGCCTGAGCCCAGGAAGTCGAGACCAGCCTGGACAAGATGGTGAAACCCCATCTCTACTAAAAATACAAAAATTAGCCTGACGTGTGGGCGCGCGCCTGTAATCCCAGCTACTCAGGAGGCTGAGGCGGGAGAATCGCTTGAACCCGGGAGGCAGAGGTTGCAGTGAACTGAGATCGTGCGTGGGAGACAGAGCAAGACTCCGTCTCAAAACCAAACCAAATAGTGCTTCTGCCACTAATTAGTGTCCTAAGCCGCTCAGGACGTCGGTTTCGCCATATGTAAAAGGACATAATGATGAAACCAATCTCGAGTGAAGGATTCAATGAGGCAATACGCCTGAAGGGCTGACCACGGCGAAAGCTAATGTTCATTGCTATCAGGCGGGGAAAGCTAATGTTCATTGCTATCAGGCGGGGAAGGGCTCCCAGGTCTGGTCCCCCGGCTGTGGGGCTCTGGGAAGCGGATGCTAGCCGCGAGGTGGCGCTCGCACCGGACTCGGTGGGCTCAGGAGTTGCTTACGCGCTGGTGGGTGTGGGCCGGAGGCGGGGCGGGCAGAGGCGGAGAATGCTTCCCAGGGTCACACCCTCCCGCGGTGTGACTTTTTTCTTTTCTTTTTTTTTTCTTTCTTTTTTTTAAGATAGGGTCTCGCTCTGTCGCCCAGGCTGGAGTGGAGTGGCAGGATCTTGGCTCACTGCAGTCTCGACCTCCTAGGCTCAAGCGATCCTTCCTCTTCAGCCTCCCCAGTAAACCGAGACCACAGGTGCGCGCCACTACACCTGGCGCGTTTTTTTTTTTTTTTTTTTTTTGACGGAGCTGTGCTCTGTCGCCCAAGCTGGAGTGCAGTGGCACGATCTCGGCTCACTGCCACCTTCGTCTCCTGGGTTCAAGCGATTCTCCTGCCTCAGCCTCCCCCAGTAGCTGGGATTACAGGCGCCCACCACCACGCCCGGCAATTTTTTTTGTACTCTTCGTAGAGACGGAGTTTCACCGTGTTGGCCAGGCTGGTCTCTAACTCCTGACCTCAAATGATCCGCCCTCCTTGGCCTCCCAAAGTGCTGGGATTACAGGCCTGAGCCACGGCGCCCGGCCCTAATTTTTGTATTTTTAGTAGAGACAGGATTTCGCCATGTTGGCCAGGCTGGTCTCCAAACTCTGGGCTCCACGATCGGCCGGCCTCGGCCTTCCAAAGTGCTGGGATTATAGGCATGAGCCACCGCGCCCGGCCTTCCGCAGTGCGATTAGGGGCGGCAGGAGGAGAGGGGGGCCTCGCCCTGTCAGCCTCTCCGAGACTAGTGGGATGCGGTGCCCGGGAGGGGTCTTAATAAGATCACGGTTGCTGGGCAGCACTGGACAGTGCCCGACGTAGGCGATCTCATTGATTCCTTCCCACAACCCCACTTTGCAGATAGGAAAGCTGAGGCACGAGAGGGTAAGTAACCCAGGCCGCACAACGAGGGGAAGCTAGGGAGGGACTGGGGCCCTGGGCCCCTGCGCTGACCTCCCCTCCTCATCCCCTTCTTATCCCCCTCTGCTCCTGGCCCAGGCCGCGCAGAGTCGGCCTCTGTGATCCCACCCAGAATACAGTTTTCCCTCCCGGGCGCCTGGATCTCCCCTCCCCCGGCTCCTGTTTCCTTGTCAAAACTTCCTGCCTTGGCGAGGGCCCGAGTTCCCACCCCCTTCCTGCCCCCCGCCCCTCGGCGCCCCTCCCGGCCCTGCGATCAGCAGCGTCCCGCCTCCCCGCCGCTCCCGCAGTCAGGCTGGGGCTCGAAGTGGGGACCCTCGCCCCGTCCTCGGCTGTCCAGTCCTCCTCCTCGCAGACCCCGGCGGTTCCTACCCCAGGCCGCAGGGGAGACGGGGCCCCAAGGCAGGTGAGTGACTGCGCGCCCCCTGGCAGGGGAGGCCCGGTGGTGCGGCCCCGGAGACCACCCTGCCCCGGGGAAAGGGCTTGCGGTCCCTGAGGTCCCCCTCCTCGACTGGAGTCTGAGGCCCCAGACCCAGGAGTGTAGAAAAGAGGGACTGATGGAGAGAGACGTGAAGGAGGGGAAGGGGACAGTGGAGGGGGCCAGAGAGGATGGGTTGGGGGTTCCCTTCCGTAATGAACATGTAAATGAGATGAAATGCTAGCGAGGTTGTTCCCTAAGCCCCTGGTCCCCGGACTTTGTGAGTCAGGGGCAGCCTGGCTCACTGCCCCCTCCCAGGGCTGGGAAGAGAAGACTGGGTGCTGTCCTTGGCTTGCAAGGGAAGTGTAGCCACAAGAGCATCGACACTGGAGCCAAGACTGCCTAAGTGCCACCCTCCACTCTGCAGCTTACTGTCTGTGGGGTCTTGGTCAAGAGGCCTGACCTCTGTGCCTCAGTTTCTCATTTCTAAAGGAGAATAATATAGGGCCTACCTCATGGGTTGTGAGGCTTAAGTGAGCAAAAACGTGTCTCCTGCTTTGAATGACGCTAGATAAACAGATTATCAGTGTCATCTCTCTGTCCAGCGGCAGGAATGTTTGAGGGAGGATGTAGGGGAAGGACCCAGGTTTGCAGGTCCCTGGCTCTCACATCTTTGCCAGTTATGAGGACTGGGGGTTCAGCTTGAGGTCCCGGGCAACTGGATCCTCAGAAAACTTGGCAGGCTGATGATCTGAAGTTGTGCTAAGGGCCAGGTGGGTGTGTGGGGGGTCCAGGAGCCCAGGCCCCAGCAAGGCAACCCTTCACCCCCACCCCCGTCTCCAGCCTCCAGTAGCTGCTCTCCACTCCCCTGTTCTGGCCTGTTATGAGTGGCCTCTCCTGGGGCTGGGCTGTGACCCTAGTCCCCGGGGACAGGAACAGCTTGTGCTGGCCTGAGGTTCCCAGGCTCAGCCAGGGCTCAGCTCGGGCAGGATTGGGCCGGGTGTCAGCTCTCAACCCTGGCCTAAGCTGGCCTTGTGCTAGGGGGACGGTTGGAGACGGGGGAGCTCATCTCTGAACCCCACTCAAAACCAGCTCATGGTATAGGGCCTGTTGTGTGTGCTTGTGAGCCAGTCATAAGCCAGGGTGTGGGCGCAGCCCTCCTATCTCCTGTGTCTCCTCCCTGCTGTGTGGCCTCTCCCACTCTTGAGGCCTCCGAAGGCCCACCCACCATGTTCCCCACTGCAGGTGGGGCTGCCATCTCTAGGAGCTGGGTTGGCCAGACTCACTTCTCTGCCTTCCTCTCTCTCCACTGGAGGATGAAGCTGAGAGTTGGCATCTGTTCCTCCACCCTCTGTCCCCCCTCAACATCTCCTATCAGACTCTCCCAGAAGAGGAAACTCACGCTCCAGGCAGCCTCATCCACCAGTCGGAAACCTGGAGAGAGATAGAAGGTCATGGGGCTGCTGTGTGCCTCCCCGCACCCGACACACACTGCTGGGGAGGAGGCTGAGGCCAGGTGGAGCCTCCACCACGGCATTCCCCAAGCCTCTCCTCTGAGGAGCCTTGGGAGCCTTGAGAAAGAGGCCTCCCAGGACTCATGGGGGACCCTGGGGTGCCATCCTAGCTTTGGGGAGGATCTTGGCTTCTGTCATCTAACCTACAGGGGAGAAGCCAGAAGGAAGAGGCAGAGAAGACAGGGAAGGAGAGAGAGAAACACAAAGACAGAGATAGAGACAGATATAAATACGGAAACAGAGGCTGACAGATGCAGAGACACAGCAGAGGCACAGACTCATTACAACAAAATGCCCGGAGGGAGAAAAGCAGGCCTAGAAAAATAGAGCAGAGACCTAGGGATAGAACAAAAAGGAGGCGGAGACAGAGGGAGAGGAGGAGAAAGTCAGAAGACCAAAGAGAAACTGTGAGGTTAGAAGGCAGCACACTGGAAACACCAGGCGAGGTGGCTCACGCCGGTAATCCCAGCATTTTGGGAGGCCAAGGTATGAGGATCTCTGGAGGCCAGGAGTTCAAGACCGGCCTGGTCAACATAATGAGATTGCATCCCTACAATTTTTTTTTTTAATTAGCTTGGCATGGTGGTGCCCGCCCATGGGCCCATCTACTCAAGAGGCTGAGGTGGGAGGATCACTTGAGCCCAGGAGGTTGAGGCTGCAGTGAGCCATGATCACGCCACTGCATTCCAGCCTGGGCACACAGCGAAGCCCTGTCTCAAAACAAAACAAAAAGAAAGCAGCACAGGCTTTGGAATGACATAGACCTGGCCCAAATCCCTGCTCCGGCTTCAGTTGCCTGTGTGGCCTAGGACAAATCACTGAACTTTTCTGGGATATTTCTTCATAAAATGGGAGGCATAATAGCACTTACTTTATAGGCTTGCTGGGAGAACTAAAAGACAGGATCTAGCCACAGCACACATTTAACGAGGCGCAGTAATTAGTATCCCAGTACCTGGGAGGTAACCCAGGGGTTACCTCCCCACACTGCTTTGTGCTTTGAAGCAGATTTGAATCCTGCTCTTGCCCCTGGCAGCCAGACAGCCCTTGGCAAGGCATTTTACCTGAGACCCTCCACTGTGCTGCCTACCAAATGGGGATGACAATCACCAGCACCTTCCAGGGTGGCGGCGAGGGTTGGGACTGGCACTGGCGACAGCCTGCGGGAGGGGTTGCGATTGATGTGTGAATCAGGATCCCTGCAGGTGAGTGGGCCCTGGGGCGTAGCCCGCTCACTGCTGGTGGGTGCTCATGCCCTCCCACTTTTGCCCTCCGTCCTACCCCCATGAATTGGCACCTGGGGCCCAGTCCCTCTGTGTAGCGGGAGATGTGTGCAGTGGACAGTGAGGGGGTGTTGGCCCTGGATGGGGAGGCACAGGATGAGGGCTCAGGCGGTGTGGGCATGCCCCTCCACCTCCAGGTGACTCAGGGCCTGGAGCTGTTGTGCACTCATCCCATAGGAACTTGGAGGCCGGCCCTGAGGAATTCCTGCTGGAGGTCAGGAGGGCAAGTCTGGAGCCGCCTTTTGCTTTGTAACGTTGAAAAGTTCTTTCTGCATTCCACTTTCCATCATCTCATCAAACACGCACCTCATTGTGTCTTGAGGGCCCCGAGACAAGGGCCCAGCTCTACTGTCTGGAGTACGGGGAGAAGCCACAGCTTCTGAGCATCTCTCCCTCTCTCCCATTCCTGGGAAAGTCAAGGAGCACTGGAGTCAGAAAGATTTCAGGGTGTATCAGTCCATCCACTCCACACAAATGTTTAGTTATTGCCTGTTGGGTGCCGGGCATCCTGGGTGTAAGTGCTGGCCAGTCCTGGGGTTAAAGTGGTGAGGAAGGCAGAGAAGTGCCCTGTCCCTGGGGAGCTCCAGTCCAGTGAGGCAGACTGACTTTAATAAAAGCATAATGACTCATAGGATGGGAGCCGCGAGGAAACACCCAGGGGGCACCCAGACCCGCTCACAGAGCCTTGGAGAGGAATAAGATTTGAGGGAGTCCAACCTGGTGGGGAAACCAGACTCACAAACCAGCAATCACAGATAGGGTATCCATCAGCCTAATCAGCCCAGCAGACTTGGAGTACGTCGGGGGCTGTGAACCCCTGGGTTGGCCTGGGTGAGTTCCGCTTGCTTCCAGAGGAGGTACACTGGTGCCAGGACTTTGGCTGGGGTTTGGGGAGGTGTGGAGCCTCCAGGGACAGGTGCATGTCCAGCTGGGAGCCAGCCTCAGGGCATTCAGGGGGAAGAGCAACCCCCGGCCTCCTTGAGGCCACGCGGGTCTGTGGTGACTGTGTGTTCCTGAGAGCCTGCAGGAAGGCCTGGAGAGCAGGGAGGAGGGCGTGAGCCTGGAGCCACTGAGGGGCTTCTTGGAAGCGGCTGGCCTTGAGGCTGTGTAGAACCTGGGCATTTCAGGGGTGGCCTGAGCCATGGTGGCGGTGTGGTGAGAGGCATGTGGGGTCAGCGGCTGTCCAGTGTGATGGGAGCGCAGGGGTAGAGGTAATGAAGCTGGACCCCCTTGTAGGGGCTGGCCCCCTGGGGGTTCTTTCTTGGGGTGTAGGCAGCCACAGAGTGGGAGAGGGGGCAGTGGCCAGAGCACTTTCTGAAGGTAATCTCGGGGTGGCGATGAGCAGGGTGGGCCTGAGGGGGCACTGCTCCCTAGTCTATGTCACCCAGGGTTTACCTCCCCACACTGCTTTGTCCTTTGAAGCAGATTTGAATCCTGCTCTTGCCCCTGGCAGCCAGACAGCCCTTGGCAAGGCATTTTACCTGAGACCCTCCACTGTGCTGCCTACCAAATGGGGATGACAATCACCAGCACCTTCCAGGGTGGCGGCGAGGGTTGGGACTGGCACTGGCAACACCCTCTGGGAGGGGTGCGATAGATGTGTGAATCAGGATCCCTGCAGCTGCCCCATTTCCTGATGAGTAAACAGGTCGGACCTAGGACCCTCTAGCTTCTGTTTCCTGAGCCACAGAGAACACAAGTCCAGCCCCTCACCCCTGCCCCTTTCCCGCCCAGCCTCTGGCGCACTCTGGCCGCATACGCAGGCTTCCTGTTTCTCCATCCGGCAGACATGCCTGGCGTGCCGAGGGCCTGGCCCCGCTGGATATAGGCAGTGCTCTGTGCTTCAGTGTGCAAGCGTGTACATGGGTGTACTGGGTAGCCTGTGGAGTGCAGCAGGCTGCTGGGGGAGCTCCCTGTGTAGGGAGGGAGGGGAGAAGTCTTTGGACTGCGATCTCACTGCTGGGTGGGAAGGACTAAGTGATCCTGTCTCCATGGCAAAGATAGGTTAGAAAAGGCCACAGAGAAACAGACACAGAGACAGGGAGACAGACAGAAAGACAAGAGAGATACAGGGCAAGACAACCTTAGCACCAAGCTAAGACGCATGGCTTTAGTGAGTGGATTGTAGCTGGAGTTCAGCTTCCACTCTGTCCTTGAAAGTGGATGCTGTTATGCAGTAAATACACCGTGCAACTGTACATGGCAGCCTTAGTATAGGAACGGAAAAAGAGAGGCAGGAAGACAGAGACCAAGAAGCTGATGAAGGAAGGGGATGGGGAAAGGCAGATAGCAGAGTTTCTGATGAAGAACAAGACAAAAGTCCAAAAGGAAGAGGCAGAAACCCTGGAGCTTGGAGGATTCTGTTTTTGCATCAACACACATCCACGGAGCAGGCTCTAGTCTGAGGTCTGAGGTCTGAGGTTCTGTTCCAGAATGGTCACTGGAACCAGCAGTTCCAACCTTTGCAGGGCCCTGAGAGATGGCGGGGAGTGCTAGTCTCCCATTTTACAGATGAGGAGATGGAGGATCAGAGGACTCAAGTTATGTATTATAACTCAGGTTACACAGCTTGTAAGACAGAGATAGGACTAGAAGCTTTGTACTCCAGGATAGGAAGTGATGAGAGAGAGAGGGAGATGGAGAAGAGAGGAGGGGGCAGTCGGACCGAGCAAGGAACTAGGGTTGGTGCTTAGGCCCAGGGCTGGGGGAAGCAGAATTTAGGCATTCTGCCTTGTCAACCGCATCTGGCTTGAAGATGCACCTGGCGGGCAGCCCATCGTTTTGGGGGATCAGGTTCTCGGGGGAGCCTGGCCCCCTCCTGCCCCCACTTCCTTTCTCTCTGTCAGCATTTGCGGCCCCATTCCCATTCCCGGATCATCCTGGGGGTTCTTCAGAAAAAACAAGAAGGTTTTTCCTGGAATTAATACCCAAAGGCGCCAAGGGGAGGGCGGATGGGGGCCACATTGGGTGCAAGAGGAGGAGTGGGACTGAGAATGCTATCATGGAGACAGCTAATGTTAACTGAGCATATTAGGTACTGGGTCTAACTGCTTTATCTAGATCAACTCATTTAGTCTGCACAGCGACCCTACAAAGGAAGCACTAATCTTATCCCCATTTTCTAGGTGAGGGAACTGCAGGCTGGGATTCACACCCAGGCTTGAACTTGGGCAGGGGTTGGGGGTGCAGAGGTGAGGGGTTATCCTATGCTACATGACTTCCCAGAGAAGCTGGAAGGGAGCCCGTGGGGAAGTCCCTTCTGCTGTCTCACTTCCGTCACCCTTACTCTCTGCTTTCTATAGAAATGGATCCTCTTGTCCACCAGGAACTCTAATCCCCCCCACCCCTGCTCCCCTAGAGCCCACACTCAATTCCTTCCTCCTAGGAGGGGTTGGGGCACAGTGAGGGTAGGGGGGCTCCCCACCAGAGGGAACCAGCTGAGCTGGAGTTTAGGGAAGCCCAGGGAGGGTGATCTGGTCTTCTGTGTGGGCTCGGAGGCTGAGAGGGCAGGGATGCTGGGCTGCGCAGGCGGGACTGGGATCTCAGGGCCTGGCCAGGAGCCCAGCCGATTTGCATCTCGAGGTGGAGGAGAGAGAAGTGTCAGCTCATTCTTGACTGTAAACACATCTCAGTTCCCACGCTTCTGATCATGTTCTTGTGGCAGCCCCCACCCCCATCCCCTTCTCCTGTCCAATCCCCTGGCAGCTCCCCCACCCCATAAGAGAGACTTTTAAAAAGAAGATACAGAGCCCCTGGGCTTCCCATCTGGACTTGGGAAAGAGTAGAATCATGGGGAGTCCTCTGCCAGCAGCCTGGATTTGGATCCCAGCTCTGACACTCCTGGCTGTGCGGTCCTGGTCAGGTTTCTTACCCTCTCTGTGCCTGCTTCCTCATCTCTGAAGTGGGCCATAACACCTACTACAAGGGGTTAATGTAAACTTTAAATGTGATGATCCACGTAAATCTCTCAACACCCTGCCTGTCGCAGCTCAGTGAACGATACGTGGGGTCACCTTATGATTCTCGGGAGGGAAGGTGTTTGAGTCCCTCAAACCAGAGGCTTGGAGGGTGAAGGTTGAGTAGGGGAACAGGAGGGGGCCTCTGCATGAGAAGAAGCAAGCCTGCAGCAGGGGTGCTCCAGGGTCCCCCTCAGTGAGTGCACTGTGGGCCCCCAGGGCAGAGCAGGGGTCCAGGAGTGGTCTCATTTCACCCCCTTGAGGGGTATATGCAATCTCTTGGGTATATGCAATGGGCCCATTGCTGCTGTGGCTGGAAGGGGTTGGGGGAGCATGGGCCAGGCTCAGGTGCCCTGCCCCTCAGGGACAAAGGCTTAGATGGGAACTAGCCTGGAGGCCAGGCTGGGGCTCTGGGCTCCTGGTCTGGCCTGTGTTCCCTTCTCAGAGGCAAAGGATGGTCAAGCCAAAACCTTCCTCTTCCTGCCAGGACCCCCATCTCATCTGTCCCCTCCCGGGGCCACCCACTGATCTCCCCTGACCCCACCCTGGCTTCCAGCCCCTGGGCTGACCAGCTGATGCCTCCTCCGCACTCTGGCCCTACCCTGAGGACCTTTGGGAAAACAGAACCTACCCACCCTTCCAGCCAGCTAACCTCCCAGCCAGCCAGAAGTGGGTGGGGATGAGAGTCAGCTCCTCCTCATGCTCCTCAGTCCTTCAGTCCATCTCAAAGTCCCCCAGGTGAACCGTGTCCTCTAGAAGTTGGCTGGGAGGAGGTGACAGGGACAGGACTTGGGTGGGTAGGGGCTGACAGGAATGGGAGGAAGGACCTTTTCTCGGCCCAACAACAGCTCAACCTATATGGCACTTCCTCCCTGGGCCTTAACTCGACTCCTTCCTGCAACAAGTTTTGTCCATGCCACCACGCCATAGGCTCTGTGAACAGATCCAGGGCAGAAGGATGGCTGGGGAGTCCTTGTGTGTCTCAGGAGATGAGGCTCACCCAGGGACAAGGGTGATGAGCCTGGCTTCAGACAGACTGAGCTGCAGTTGGAGCACAGGGGCCCCACGCCAGGGCCAGAGCTGAGGGTCAGGGAAGAGGGGAGTGTGGAGACCGAGAGATGAGGCAGAGGCATATGGAGGGCTCGGGGTCCTGACCAGGGCCCTGGCTGCCAACCACACTGAGGGAGAGGTGGAGAGAAGGTTAGCTGGGGCTAGGCAGAGCGATCCCTGGAGTGGGCATTGGGCCTGGGAAGATGGCTGGAGCAGGGCAGGGTGGGAGGGGATGGTTTGGGGACATTGGGAGAAGGGATGACTCTATTTGGGAGTGGGGATGTGTCTGGGTGATGTGGGGGTGGAGCTCTGGGACAGACTCTGGGGAGTGTCTCTAGGGCACTCCTGACTGTGGCCTCTCCCCTTCAGAGGGGGCCACAGTGTCAGCTCTGGAGACAAGCTGCCAGAAAGAGGCTTCTGGTCATGGCCCTCCCGTATGCTACCCACTGCGTTCAGGATGGTGGGAGGATGGAGCCACCCCCGTCACGCTCCCTGCTGTCCCCCTTCCTAGCCAGGCTCTGTTTCCTGTTTTCAGGCTTCATATCCTGAACGCTGGGATCCCCCAGGACATTCCCTGGCCCCCAGGCCCCAGGTCCCAGGCCCCAGGGCTGAGCTGTGGGCAGGCCCCACCTGGTGAGTTACTTGGGGACTGAGGATGGATAGGAGGAAGCACAGAGGAGGCTAGAGGCTGAGATTCGCCCTGCGGGAAGTGTGATGGGGCATGCGGCTGGGCTGCACTGGAGGGGTGGGTAGACGCTGGCACTGGGAGGATAGGTGGGCCAGCATCCTGGATGAAAGGCTGGAGATTTGGCTGCTGGAGGGTTAAAGGTGAAGGAGGAACATGGGCGGCTGAGATGGGGTTAATTTAGGAGCCTAGACCTGGAGGGAAGGAGCGGCTGCCCTTCTTGGGGCTGAGAGTGGCTTTGGGGACCCTGGGAGTGTGTGGGTGTGGGGTGTGGGGTAGGGCCAGGCAGCAACATTCCAGAGATACTCAGGGGGGTAAGGGGCCAGCAACCGCGACCTTTCTCTCGTCTCAGAAAAATTATAAGCAGATGTGGGCGCCTCGGGGAGGCGTAGAGCAGGGAGCCAGAGCAAGTTTTGGGAACACGGAATGCAGACCCTGAAGCCGGCTGCGGGGATGGGCACTGCGGTAACTCATCCTCTCCTGAGCTCAGGAGCTGAGGCAGCAGAGCCGTCTGAAGTGCTGGGAGCCAGGGGTGGTGGGGATGGAGAGGACCCCATTTCCGAATGGCTGACAGGGCAGTCTGAGGGAGGCGGGAGCTTTTCCTTAAATGCAAGGCCAGGTTGGTGACCTCTTCAGGTGATGGCACCTAGAGTTGGGTGTTGTGGTGTGCTGGCTAAGGTGTCACAACTGACTCTGGGAGGGAGACTGGCCTTGGGTTTTAGTGTTTGCTAGTTTCTCTGGTGTCAATAACCCCCCATGCCTGATTTCAAGCTACTCACGTGACATCACTGAACATGTTGCTAGGAAGAGATGCATACAATTGGCTCTCTGGGCCCGTATGAGGTGGTTCCAGCACACCACTGGTTGGGAGGTCACCTGGACCCAGCCCCACTCCCACCATATAGAGCAGGAAACCCCTGACAGCGTTTCATCAGGCTGGTTTTGGCTTCTGCCTGCATATGTCCAGTGACAGGGAACTCACCACCTGAGGTAGCCGATTCTATTCCTGAGCCGCTCTGACTGTTGGAAAGTTCTTCCTCTGACTGAGCCCAAGGCTGAGTCCCTCATCACTTCCCCTCACTGGTTCCAGTCTCACACCTTGGTACAAATATCAAAGTGCCCTGGGTAGGGCCTGGGCTGGGGGCTGGGGATTCAGAGATGAAACGCACTGGGTCCCTGCCTCTGGAGGTCATGGTCAGGGAGCAGGCACTGGAACAGTGGGGTGGGGGTGAATGATACTGGGACCCCCAGAAGGAATGAGTGGGATCATCTGCCAATGAGCATCAGGAAGTGGAGGAGGGAAGGGGTGGCACCTGAACTAGACCTTGAAAGATGGGAACTCCAGGTGAAGAATGAGACGTGAGGGTGTCTAAGCAAACTATGAGCAAAGACCGGAGGCGTGGAAGTGACTGCAGTTCAGGAGTGAGGTGTAGGGGAGCTGGAGCTCAGAGCAAGGGGCCAGAGGACACGGGGCCGCAGTCTGGTCTCTTCTGCATGCCCACGGCTCAGATCTCTGCAGACAGGTCCTCCAGGCTGCTGGCTGCAGCGCCACTGCCCACTCTGCGCCGGTCTTGCTGCAGGCCTCTGCAATGTCACCGCCTCTGTGTCCCCTCCTTCTCCTGGCTGTGGGCCTGCGGCTGGCTGGAACTCTCAACCCCAGTGATCCCAATACCTGCAGCTTCTGGGAAAGGTGAGAGGGCCCCTGCTGCACCTTGAGGGCACCAAGCCCTAGCTCCCGATTGTCCCTATTGTCCCTACTGGGGTCCTTTTCTTGGTCCTTCCTTAATCTCCTTCCTTCTCTCTAGTCTCTCCCCTCCCGCCTATTTCTCTGTTTCTGCTCTCTCTACTCCTCTCTATGGGTTGCCTTTGACTCCAGCCCCATTTCTGACCTTGTCTCAGTCTCTGAACCATCCTTTCTCTTTCCCCGTCCCTTAGTTCCTGTGGGAGGCCAACTTTGGAACAGAGCGCAGAGTGGGAGCCATTCGTTGTGGAGCAAGCAGAGGGGCTGGCCCAGGGGGAGCAAAGGAAACAGGGCGGGGAGAAAAGACCCAGGGCAGAATATAGCCGGAAATACTTCAGCCCATCGCCGCCAGCTGGGCCCAGGAGTCAGTTCTCACTCACCCTTTCCATACAGGGAGGAGAGGGCAGGGAGAGAAAAATGGAAGGCTCCGGTCCAATAGAGTGGGAAGGGCGCTCTGATGGAGGGTATCCCAGGAACCTTCCAGTTCTGGGAGAAGCCTCCAGACTTGAGAGGTGGGACAGGATGGGGGTCCCATCCTAGGCTACGAGAGCAGCCCCAGCGTTGGGCTGTGGATTCCCCACTGTGGCCAAGCCCTCATGGCCATTTTCCCGTTGTGGCCGCTCAGGCCTCCTCCTGCCCTCGGCCCTGACCCTGTTCCCTGTCTTGCAGCTTCACTACCACCACCAAGGAGTCCCACTCCCGCCCCTTCAGCCTGCTCCCCTCAGAGCCCTGCGAGCGGCCCTGGGAGGGCCCCCATACTTGCCCCCAGCCCACGTGAGTGCTCCTCATCCTCCATGGGTGGATGGGCTACCTGAGTCGCTGCCTCAGCCTGGCCCCTGGCCCTCTGTACCTGTTCACTTCTCAGAAACTCAGAGGAAACTCCTGGCTTCTAGGGATTCATTCTGCATGGTCTGTGTCGGGTACGTGTGTATGGGATGTATATGTGAATGCGTGTATGTGTGTTTAGGGTACGCATGCATGTTACAGTATATGCCTGTGGGGTTGGGGGGGGGGCAAGAAGGGAATGCTCTTTCTTTTTTTAATAGACAAGGTCTCGCTCTGTCACCCAGGCTGGAGTGCAGTGGCGAGATCGTAGTGCACTGCAACCTCAAACAGGGAATGCGCTTTCTATGCGCCCTCAGCCCAGAGTGTTGAGTGGTGCCCCTTCCCTGGCCTCCCCCTGGCCACACTGTGGTGAGTGCGGACAGCAGGGAGGGCTGAGGGCCGCCTTCCTGGCCTCCGCAGGGTTGTATACCGGACCGTGTACCGTCAGGTGGTGAAGACGGACCACCGCCAGCGCCTGCAGTGCTGCCATGGCTTCTATGAGAGCAGGGGGTTCTGTGTCCGTGAGTCCAGGGTTGGGTTAGGGAGCGGGGTGGGGCAATGGAATGCGGGGAGCTTAGCCTACTCTTCTGAGTCCCTCCCGGCCCCCGCTAGAATGGGGTTACTCCTCTGCCCTTTTGGGTTCCCCCCTCCTCTCCTCTCCCTGGCCTTGTCCCCAGGATGGGGATCAGCACTTCCCTCTCCATCACCACTTCACACCCCTGTCTCCAGCCGGCCCCATGTGTCTCCCACCCCATCTCTCCATGTCCCTCAACAGTGTCTCTGCATCGCTGTCTGCCCTAGAGCTCTTGTTCTGTCTTTGGGCTGTCTCTGTCTCTCTGTCACTGTGTGTCTCAGGACTTGGTGTCTGGGTCTGCCTCTGTCTCTTCCTCTCCCTGACTCTCTGTTGCTATTGGTCTCTGACTTGTCACTATCCAGTCTCTCCTGCCCACTGCACCCCCCTCCCAGCACCCTGTAATGACTGGAGCCTGTCTTCCTCTTCCTCCCACTTCCCTCAGCCACTGCCCATCACGAGCCTCTGCAAACACTGCTCTCCAGAGAACCCCGACCGCCACCTGCCCTCTCTCTGGACAGTGTCCATGTTCAGTCCCCTTTTGAGGATCTCCCCCAAAGCATTTTCCCAACAAGGTGCTCAGACAATTTCACAAAAAGGAACAGGGGAACCCAGAACACTGGCATCTTGCTAAGTTCTCCCCCTGAGTTGCTGCCCCTCAGTCTTTATCTTAGAGGCAGAATTGGGGCTTGGAGAACTTCAGGTCCCTGGTTTTGGAGGAAGGTGGGGTTAGGCTTTGCAGGATAAAAGCTGGGTAGGGGCAGGGGTGGACACATCTCACCACACCCATCTCTGTCCCAGCGCTCTGTGCCCAGGAGTGTGTCCATGGCCGTTGTGTGGCACCCAATCAGTGCCAATGTGTGCCAGGCTGGCGGGGCGACGACTGTTCCAGTGGTGAGTGGCTACTGACCCCAGGGAGTGGCCTCTTGTGCCTTCAGGGCCACAGGACCCTCAGGTACACCCTCCCTACCAGGGCACAGGGGCTTAGGACCCCAGGGCGATTACCCGCCAGAGCCCCATTGCTGCCATCTGCCTTTTCTGGAGATGTGGAAGACAGGGTGGGCCTGTGGGGGCTGGGAGACAGAGGCTGGGAGACAGAGACGGGGAGGCTGGGGATGGACTAGACCCCTGGTGACCCCCTTCCCGCCTCCTTATCCCACAGAGTGTGCCCCAGGAATGTGGGGGCCACAGTGTGACAAGCCCTGCAGCTGCGGCAACAACAGCTCGTGTGATCCCAAGAGTGGGGTATGTTCTTGCCCTTCTGGTCTGCAGCCCCCGAACTGCCTTCAGCCCTGTACCCCTGGCTACTATGGCCCTGCCTGCCAGTTCCGCTGCCAGTGCCATGGGGCACCCTGCGATCCCCAGACTGGAGCCTGCTTCTGCCCCGCAGAGAGAACTGGGCCCAGGTATGTAATGGGGGGAACGACACTTTAACAAGATCGCAGACACAAGGCCACACAGATCTATGTGGGGAAATGAGGTGACTCAGACAGGGCCCCAAGTGTGGGGATGATGTGGAGGCCAAGATCCTGGTCCCAGTGGATCCTATTCCTCACGAGTGGAGTGACCTTGAGCAAATCATTGACTCGTTGTGGGCTTGTTTCCTGTCTGTAAAACGGGAATAGTATTGTCTACATGGCAGGGTGGCTGTGAAGATAACATGAGGTAGCACGTGTGTGAAGGCATGCTGCAAAGTGAGGCTGGGACAAGGACCCAGAGAACCCTGTTGCAAGGCAGGGTGCAGGGGGAGCTGGGGAGTCCCGGGAGGGAGAAGGTAGACCTAGGTGGAAATCAAGATCACGCTTTGTGGAGGCGCTCGTGGAGTTGAGCCTACTACAGTAGCACAGATGTTCCCCGAGAGTGAACAGACCAAGCCAAGGTGAGGAGGTGGGGGCGCCCGAGAGGCAGACATGCCACCCGTGGCTCTTTGCTCACCCCCACCTGCCGGTGCCAGGGTGTCCCTGCCATTTCCAGTCCTGGAAACCTTTGCTTTCTGACTCGACAGTCCCCAGCAGGAAAGAGCAAGTGTGAATCACTAAGTCCTGAGGTGGGGGTTGTGGGGGCAGTCCTTGGAGGCAAGAGAGGAAGCAGTTATTGCTTGTTTGCACATTGACTCCACCCACTCTGTCCTGCAGCTGTGACGTGTCCTGTTCCCAGGGCACTTCTGGCTTCTTCTGCCCCAGCACCCATTCTTGCCAAAATGGAGGTGTCTTCCAAACCCCACAGGGCTCCTGCAGCTGCCCCCCTGGCTGGATGGTATGGAGGGTGGGGCCTGTGGGCATGGGGTGTGGGTCTGGGGAGAATTCTGTGGGTGGTGCTAAGCAGGGCTCCAAGGTGAGTGAGGGGGGTGAGCTCTGTGGTTATGGGGGTGTCAAGGGGTCCTGTGGCCTTGGGGAGGAGGCTGGGTGCCTGGGGCCCTGTTGACCTCTTATCCCCACAGGGCACCATCTGCTCCCTGCCCTGCCCAGAGGGCTTTCACGGACCCAACTGCTCCCAGGAATGTCGCTGCCACAACGGCGGCCTCTGTGACCGATTCACTGGGCAGTGCCGCTGCGCTCCGGGTTACACTGGGGATCGGTGAGTGGCGTGGGGCGGGCGGGAGACGGGAGGGAGGAGGTGGGGCGCCGCCAGGCTCACTCAGCTAGGTGCCCAGGTGCCGGGAGGAGTGCCCGGTGGGCCGCTTTGGGCAGGACTGTGCTGAGACGTGCGACTGCGCCCCGGACGCCCGTTGCTTCCCGGCCAACGGCGCATGTCTGTGCGAACACGGCTTCACTGGGGACCGCTGCACGGATCGCCTCTGCCCCGACGGCTTCTACGGTCTCAGCTGCCAGGCCCCCTGCACCTGCGACCGGGAGCACAGCCTCAGGTGGGCCGCGGGACATGTGGTCAAAGGATCAGGAGGCCAATGGGGAGGTCTTCCTGGCCGAAGTCACCACAGAGCCAGGGCCATATCCAAGGGGGACAGGTGTCACAGAAGGGGAAAGGGAGGGACCTCAGGGGCCGGGAGGGGCCTGGGGTACCGCTACTTGCCCCAACCCAGTTTTCAGAATAGCGCGGAGCCTCCCTAGTGACCCCCTTACCCCAGCGATGTGCGAATCCCACTGACCACGCGGAGGGGTCGGGAAGCTGCCCTGCCCCTGCCCAGCTCAGACCGCGCCACGCCCCCGCCTCTGCCCCCAGCTGCCACCCGATGAACGGGGAGTGCTCCTGCCTGCCGGGCTGGGCGGGCCTCCACTGCAACGAGAGCTGCCCGCAGGACACGCATGGGCCAGGGTGCCAGGAGCACTGTCTCTGCCTGCACGGTGGCGTCTGCCAGGCTACCAGCGGCCTCTGTCAGTGCGCGCCGGGTTACACGGTGAGGCGCGCCCGGCTGCAAGGAAGCGAGGCAGGTGGAGAGGCCAAGGAATGGGCCGCCCCTCTCACCCGCTCACCCTCTTTCAGGGCCCTCACTGTGCTAGTCTTTGTCCTCCTGACACCTACGGTGTCAACTGTTCTGCACGCTGCTCATGTGAAAATGCCATCGCCTGCTCACCCATCGACGGCGAGTGCGTCTGCAAGGAAGGTAATAGGGTGGAGTTTCCCAGAGAGAAGACTTGGGGGATGGCCAAGGGAAGAAGGGAGAGTCCAAGAGTATGGGTGGGCCAAGGGCAGGGGAGCGGCTGCAGGGTAAGGGTGGAGGGGCAGCAGCTGGACACAGGGAAAGTATCCAGGCTACTTTCTTCCTGGAATATCCACTTTGCTTTTCTTCAACCACAAAGATCCTACCTGTCCTTAAAGGCTGAGGCCAAAAGCCACCTCACTGGCGAACGTCCCTCACCCTCAGTCATACGGAAACACAATTACCATGCTGGGAAGGGCCTCACATCTGCCAGAGTGACACATTGGCAACCTTTAGGCTGGACTCGGATACAGTTGTGCTTTGTTTGGCTAACAAGTCTCCCATCTTCAGTCCCCACTACTCCCTGTTGTCTGGCACATCCTCTGTATAAGTCATTTAGTTACCTGATGGGGCCCCTGTAAACATTTGGGTTTAGTGCCATCCCCTTTATTTTGCAGAAGGCACCCCAGACCCAGAATGGGGTGGTACCTCACTGGAAGGCAGTTAGCCTTCTGCTCCGCATCAAATAACTCATAAGCTTTTCTCCTGTATGGTGCCGTGAACACCCCCCACCCACCCCAGCTCATAGCATAGAATCTGGCCCAGCCAGCTCCCACTGTGTGCTTGCTCAGGAAGGGAAATGGGTCCCCATACCTACCTACCAGGCCCCTCCTCCAGGTTGGCAGCGTGGTAACTGCTCTGTGCCCTGCCCACCCGGAACCTGGGGCTTCAGTTGCAATGCCAGCTGCCAGTGTGCCCATGAGGCAGTCTGCAGCCCCCAAACTGGAGCCTGTACCTGCACCCCTGGGTGGCATGGGGCCCACTGCCAGCTGCCCTGTCCGGTGAGTGCTGGACAGCCTGTCTGCCTGGGGGTGGGGAGGGCATGGCGTCCCCCAGCTGACTGGCCTACCTGCTCCCCACTCCTTCTCCAAGAAGGGGCAGTTTGGAGAAGGTTGTGCCAGTCGCTGTGACTGTGACCACTCTGATGGCTGTGACCCTGTTCATGGACGCTGTCAGTGCCAGGCTGGCTGGATGGGTGAGCATTCTGGGGCCCCAGGCCTACTGTGGATTGGGGGATGCATCCATAGGAAATGTGTCCAGAAGAGCCCCCTGGAACTGAAGGGGGCCCAGCCAGGCACACCCGACTGCTGTCTCCCACAGGTGCCCGCTGCCACCTGTCCTGCCCTGAGGGCTTATGGGGAGTCAACTGTAGCAACACCTGCACCTGCAAGAATGGGGGCACCTGTCTCCCTGAGAATGGCAACTGCGTGTGTGCACCCGGATTCCGGGGCCCCTCCTGCCAGAGATGTGAGGCTCCCTACTGCCCCTTCCACCTGCCACCAGCAGGGGGCAGTGTAGTGTCAGCTGCCAGAGCACCCCTCCCCCCGCGCCCGCCGCCCACCTCTCCCACCTTACCCCCGGTCTCTTCCTCTGACCCGTCTTCAGACTAGTTACTGCAGTGGGAAGGTGGGAGGGAGACGGTGGGGTAAGGGCTGATTGAGGATTGGCCTCTGCCCCCAATCACCATGTACCCCTTTCCCCCAGCCTGTCAGCCTGGCCGCTATGGCAAACGCTGTGTGCCCTGCAAGTGCGCTAACCACTCCTTCTGCCACCCCTCGAACGGGACCTGCTACTGCCTGGCTGGCTGGACAGGCCCCGACTGCTCCCAGCGTATGTGGTAGCTTGTGTGTCTGAGCATACGTGCATGCTGAGAGGGGGTGCTGAGGACGGGAGGTCTCTGTCCCCCAGCTCCTGGGTATAAAAGCCTCTGGGCCCACCTTGAGTAAATATTTACTGGGCACCACCTACATGCTGGGTACTGTTCTAGGTGCTAAGGATGCAGCAGTGAACAGGTCAGGGGGAAAAATTCCTGCCCTTCTGCATGGGAAGCCTGGGAAGAACAGTATTTTTATGGGAGCAGGGGAAATCATAGGCTTAGCTTGGGACATTTTCTCTTGATTTCTTTTTCTTTCTTTCTTTCTTTCTTTCTTTCTTTCTTTCTTTCTTTCTTTCTTTCTTTCCTTTCTTTCTTTCTTTTCTTTCTTCTTTCTTTCTTTCCTTTCTTTCTTTTCTTTCTTTCTTTTTCTTTCTTTCTTTCCTTTCTTTTCTTTCTTCTTTCTTTCTTTCTTTTCTTTCTTTCTTTCTTTCCTTTCTTTCTTTCTTTTCTTTCTTCTTTCTTTCTTCTTTTCTCTCCCTCCCTCTCTCTTTCTTTCTTTTTTTTTTTTTTGACACGGAATCTCACTCTGTTGCCCAGGCTAGAGTGCAGTGGCATGATCTCAGCTCCCTGCAACCTCTGCCTCTGGTTTAGTTAATTCTTTTGCCTCAGCCTCCCCAGTAGCTGGGATTACAGGCACACACCACCACAGCAGGCTAATTTTTGTATGTTTAGTAGAGACCCCTGGGGTTTCATCATATTGGCCAGGCTGGTCTCGAACTCCTGACCTCAGGTGATCCATCCGCCTCAGGTGATCTTGGCTTCCCAAAGTGCTGGGATTACAGGTGTGAGCCACTGCGCCCAGCCCTTTTTTTCTTTTGCATTTTTCAGTTTATTTTTATTTATATATTAATAAATACATGTATTTCTTTATTTTATGAGCCTTTCCCCCACAAAAATATATTAAGATCATTGAAAAGATTAGTCCAAAAAAGCCAAGTAAAACGAGTTTGGAAAGAGGAAACAGGCTGTTATGAAGAAGACTGAATTTCAGCTTACCAGCAGGCGGGGTAAAGAAGGAAGTCATCTTGGTGAAGAGTTTTTCCATAGACTCTGGTTACAACTACTATTAGATTATTGCTAGTGTTAGACACACAAAAATAATGCCTTAAACAGGACAGATGTTTACTTCTCTCTTATGTTAAAAACAAAACAAAAATCCATCCGGGGTAGCTTGGAAGCCTTTGGTTGTGTGGCACTGAATACACTATTTTGAAGTGGCTATTAGATAGTCAAGTGCAGATGTTGAGTAGGTAGTTGGACACGTGGGTCTGGAGTTTGGGGGAGAGATGGGGCTGGAAATAATCATTTGTGAGTCATTGGTTGCAGATACTGTTCAAAGCTTTGGTGTGCCCAGGGAGACCAAAGCTGAGCTAAAGGCTTCAGTGATGCTGGGGGCTGAGAGTTCATCCAGGAAAAGCTGTACCTGCCCCACCAGACAGGCCCCATGTCTCCCGTAGCATGCCCTCCAGGACACTGGGGAGAAAACTGTGCCCAGACCTGCCAATGTCACCATGGTGGGACCTGCCATCCCCAGGATGGGAGCTGTATCTGCCCCCTAGGCTGGACTGGACACCACTGCTTAGAAGGTACCAACAGAAGGGGAACTCCAGGCCCCTGCCTCCAACTTAACCCTTACCCAAAAAAAGGAGACTAGAGTTTCCTGGCGGCTCTGATGCCGGCCTGCCTCCTTGGCTGTCTCCCCAGGCTGCCCTCTGGGGACATTTGGTGCTAACTGCTCCCAGCCATGCCAGTGTGGTCCTGGAGAAAAGTGCCACCCAGAGACTGGGGCCTGTGTATGTCCCCCAGGGCACAGTGGTGCACCTTGCAGGATTGGTGAGTTCTTTGCCCTCTCCTTCCCACCCATTGTCCCCAGGGAACTGGGACCTAGGCCCCTCATACAGTCCCTACTTCCCTCCTGAGCACCTCTCCCATGCAGCAGAGCCAAGATGCCATTCTGAGTGAGCACCCCATTCCACACAGGAATCCAGGAGCCCTTTACTGTGATGCCGACCACTCCAGTAGCGTATAACTCGCTGGGTGCAGTGATTGGCATTGCAGTGCTGGGGTCCCTTGTGGTAGCCCTGGTGGCACTGTTCATTGGCTATCGGCACTGGCAAAAAGGCAAGGAGCACCACCACCTGGCTGTGGCTTACAGCAGCGGGCGCCTGGACGGCTCCGAGTATGTCATGCCAGGTGAGCTGGCACAGGGCCTGGGGCACAGATGAGTGGCTGGCTCATAGGCACAAGAGTGGATGCTGGGCATGACCCAAAGGGAAGATGAGGAGTGGGGAGGAGGGAGGAAGGGAGGTCAGGGAGGCCAAAGTACTGATCTCCGGGGACAAAACAGCTCTCTTGGACTCCTGCCCATCGCTGAGCTCACCCTGTGCTTGTGTCTGTCATGCAGATGTCCCTCCGAGCTACAGTCACTACTACTCCAACCCCAGCTACCACACCCTGTCGCAGTGCTCCCCAAACCCCCCACCCCCTAACAAGGTCAGTGCCGGGGGAGGGGGTGCACTGTGGAGGGAAGCGCACAGACCAGCTTCTCTGGAAAGCCCTGTCCTTGCCTCTTGCTCTCCCTCCTGCACTGTCCCCTCTTAGGTTCCAGGCCCGCTCTTTGCCAGCCTGCAGAACCCTGAGCGGCCAGGTGGGGCCCAAGGGCATGATAACCACACCACCCTGCCTGCTGACTGGAAGCACCGCCGGGAGCCCCCTCCAGGGCCTCTGGACAGGGGTAGGTGCCGGGAGGCCAGGGTCTCTGGCGCGGGTGGATGTGTGCAGCCCAGATGCCGCGTCTGAGTGTGTGTGTCTGGAGACGGGGGCTCTGGGCCCCATTTCTAGAGGAAGTGTGAGCCGGGGGAGGGGACAGAGGGCTGATTACCAGTTGCCTCCTCCTCCTCAGGGAGCAGCCGCCTGGACCGAAGCTACAGCTATAGCTACAGCAATGGCCCAGGCCCATTCTACAATAAAGGTATGGGCACAGGGGCAACAAGGGAGGTGGCTGAGCTGGGGCTGAGGAACCAGTGCCTCCATGCGGCCTGACTTCTTTCCTCTATCCTTAGGGCTCATCTCTGAAGAGGAGCTCGGGGCCAGTGTGGCTTCCCTGAGCAGTGAGAACCCATATGCCACCATCCGGGACCTGCCCAGCTTGCCAGGGGGCCCCCGGGAGAGCAGCTACATGGAGATGAAAGGCCCTCCCTCAGGATCTCCCCCCAGGCAGCCTCCTCAGTTCTGGGACAGCCAGAGGCGGCGGCAACCCCAGCCACAGAGAGACAGTGGCACCTACGAGCAGCCCAGCCCCCTGATCCATGGTGAGCCCTCCCTCTCCACTGGCAGGAGCAGCAGAGAACTGGGACAAGGGAGGCAGAAAAACAGAAGGAACAGAGGGAGAAGAGAAGGCATGATGTGGCATCAAGAGTGAGGCCTTTGGGGTCAGCTTCGGGCTCAAATCAGGCATGACGGGGAGGCGACGTGGCCTCTCAGAGCCTGTGTCCTCATCTGGAGAACAGTATGGTGTACCTTCTTCGCAGAGCTCAGGATAGAAGTGGGGTCGTACAGCATCAGAGTGGTGGAGTTGGTACCCAGAAAAGTAGGGAGCCAGGCAGGTGATAAAGTCTCCTCATATCCTGGGAGGTGGGCGGGCTGAGGTGGCTTTCTCCATTGGCAGCTGAGAAGCTAAGAGAGTTTTGCTTGGAGCCGCACGGCCAGCTGATAGTAAACTGGTGTATGTATCCAGGCCCCATCTGCTTCTCTTTGCCTTGAAGAGGCTGAAGAGGAGAGGAGTGCAGTGGGAGTGGAGGGAGTGGGGAGAGTGGTGGGAGGAGCCACTCCCTCTTATCTTGTCCTCATGTTTCCAGACCGAGACTCTGTGGGCTCCCAGCCCCCTCTGCCTCCGGGCCTACCCCCCGGCCACTATGACTCACCCAAGAACAGCCACATCCCTGGACATTATGACTTGCCTCCAGTACGGCATCCCCCATCACCTCCACTTCGACGCCAGGACCGTTGAGGAGCCAGGATGGTATGGCAGAGGCCAGCACACCTGGCTGTTGCTGCTCAAGGCTGGGGACAGAGCCTAGTGTACCCCTGCCAGGAGCAGGGAGTGGACCGGCAGGCTGTGAACATGAACAACGCTTAACAGAGCAAGTGATGGGAGCCTTGTTCCTGGGTTCTACCATGGGAGACGCTGATCAGCAGGATGCCTGGCTCCCTTTCCCAACCCACTGCTCCCAAGGCCTCCAGGGCCCTGTGTACATAAACTGGTGGGTTGGAAGTTGCTGGGTAACTCTGATTTCAGACATGCGTGTGGGGTACCTTTTCTGTGCATGCTCAGCCTGGGCTCTGTGCGTGTGTGTGTTTCTGTGATTTTAGAAGGGTACCAGGCACAGGTTCTGTCCTAGGGCACTTACCATTTAGTAGGGAGATGGAACCAACCCAATTAACTCTAGCAATAGCCTCCTAACTGGCCTCCTCCATTGATTCAGTGAACCTTCCAATGCATGGCTCATAATTTCAAAATACAGGCTGGTTAGTTACTCCCTACCTGAAAGCCTTCATAGGTGCCTCTTTGCTCTTCTGCCAGTATCAAAACTTTTGAAGGCCTTAAAGGCCCTGCTTTGCCTGGCCCATCTGTCTCTCCAGCCTCACCTTGAACTGTGTTCCTGTCACTGCACGCCAGTCACACCGGCCTCTAGGTCCTCCTGTAGGCCACTCTTCTTTCTGGCACAGGGACCTGCACACCTGGAGTGCCCTTCCTCCCCCACTCGCCTGTTCACCCCTGCTTTTCCTTTACACCTCCTCCTCAGGGAAGTGCCCACCCTCCGTACATCTTTCACAGCCCTGATTGCAGCTGTGTTCACTCACCAGGTACCTGCAGAAGGCCTACAGGGTGCCAGGCACTTCTTTAATGTGTTCTTTCTTTATGTGATTATTTGATTAATCTCTGCCTCCCCCACTAGACTGTAAGCTCCCTGAAGGCAAGAATCCTGTGCTTATGCTCAATATTAGCTCTCCCTTGGCACAGAGTAGGCACTCAACAAATGCTCCCCAAAAGGCTGAGTGGCTGACTGAATTAAGTACCAGTGACATGCAGTAACTGCTAAGATAGATGAGCCATCTGTATGCTCTGACAGTTACAGACTGAATAAGTTGGAGACTTCCCTAAAGGGTGGCATTTCCCCAGGGTAACAACGCAGAGCTCAGGTGTGGGAAGGTGCCAGGGGCAGGGGTGCAGAGGGGCTGAGGCTGAGGGGGGTGCAGAGGCTGGAGAAAGGATAACAGGAGAGAGTATACAGGCATGCCTTGATTTATTGCACTTCACAGGTAGCAGAATTTTTAAAGAAATTGAAGGTTTTGGGACATATATGTGACAGCAATAGGTTAAGAAAAGCAAAGCAGAGAAATTGAAGATTTGTGTCAACACTGCTTTAAGCAAATCTGTTGGCACCATTTTTCCAATAGCATGTGCCCATTTTGGGTCTCTACATTGCATTTTGGTAATTGCTTGCAATATTTCAAGCATTTTCATTGTTATTATATGTGTTATAGTGATCTGTGATCAGTGATCTTTGATATATTATTGTAATTGTTTCGGGGCGCCATGAACCGCACCCATATAACACGGTAAACTTAATCAGCAAACGTTGTGTGTGTTCTGACTGCTCCACCGACCAGCCGTTCCCCCAAGTCTTTCCCTCTCTTAGGGCCTCCCTATTCCCTGAGACACAACAATATTGAAATGAGGCCAATTAATAACCCTACAGGGGCCTCTAAGTGTTGAAGTGAAAGGAATAGTCACACATCTCTCACTTAAAATCAGAAGCTAGAAATGATTAAACTTAGTGGGGAAGGCATGTTGAAAGCCAAGACAGGCTGAAAGCTAGGCCTTTTGCACTAAATAGCCAAGTTGTGGATGCAAAGGAAAAGTTCTTGAAGGAAATTATAAGTGTTACTCCAGTGAAAACATGAATAATAAGAAAGTGAAACAGCTGGCCGGGTGCGGTGGGTCACGCCTGTAATCCCAGCACTTTGGAAGGCCAAGGCAGGTGGATCATGAGGTCAGGAGTTTGAGACCAGCCTGGCCAACATGGTGAAACCCTGTCTCTACTAAAAATACAAAAAATTAGCCAGGTGTGGTGGCGCGCACATGTAATCTCACCTACTCAGGAGGCTGAGGCAGGAGAATCGTTTGAACCCGGGAGGCGGAGTTTGCCATGAGCGGAGATCATGCCATTGCACTCCAGCCTGGGTGATAGAGCAAGACTCCATTAAAAAAAAAAAAAGTGAAACAGCCTTGTTGCTGATATGAAGAAACTTTTAGTGGTCTGGATAGATCAAATCAGCCACAATATTTCCTTAAAAGCCAAAGCCTAATCTGCAGCAAGACCCTAACTCTCTTCAGTTTTATGAAGGCTGAGAGAGGTGATGAAGCTACAGAAAATTTAGAAGCCAGCAGAGGTTGGTTCGTGAAGTTTAATGAAAGAAGTTTAAGAAGCCATCTCCATAACATAAAAGTGCAAGATGAAACAGCCAGTGCTGATGTAGAAGCTGCAGTAAGTTATCCAGAAGATATAGCTAAGACAACGATGAAGGTGGCTCCTCTAAACAACAGATTTTCAATGTAGACAAAACAGCCTATATTAGAGGAAGATGCCAATCTAGGACTTTCACAGCTAGAGAGAAGTCAATGTCTGGCTTCAGAGCTTCAAAGGACAGGTGTTAGGGGCTAATATAGTTGGTAACTTTAAGTTGAAGCTAATGCTCATTTACCATTCCAAAAATCCTCAGGCCCTTAAGAATTATGTTGATTATTTAGTGTGGCGTGGTGGCACATGCCTGTAGTCATAGCTACTTGAGAGGCTGAGGTGGGAGTTTCGCTTAAGGCCAGCAGTTAGAAGGCTGTAGTGAGGCCAGGTGCGGTGGCTCATGCCTGTAATCCCAGCACTTTGGGAGGCCAAGGTGGGCAGATCACGAGGTCAGGAGATTGAGACCATCCTGGCCAACACGGTGAAACCCTGTCTGTACTAAAAGTACAAAAAATTAGCCGGGTGTGGTGGCGGGTGCCTGTAGTCCCAGCTACCTGGGAGGCTGAGGCAGAAGAATCAATTGAACCCAGGAGGAGGAGCTTGCAGTGAGCCAAGATTGCGCCACTGCACTCCAGCCTGGGCGAAAGTGTGAAACTCTGACTCAAAAAAAAAAAAAAAAAGAAGAAGGCTGTAGTGAGCTATGATCATCATCACTGGACTCCAGCCTTGGCGACAGAGCAAGATCCTGTCTCTAAAAAGAAAAAAAAAAAAAAGGCCGGGCATGGTGGCTTACGCCTATAATCCCAGCACTTTGGGAGGCTGAGTGGGGAGGATCACTTGAGGTCAGGAGTTCGAAACCAGCCTGGCCAACATGGTGAAACCCCATCTCCACTAAAAATACAAAAAAAATTAGCCAAGTGTGGTGGCGCGCACCTGTAGTCCCAGCTACTGGAGAGGCTGAGGCAGGAGAACTGCTTGAACCTGGAAGGCGGAGGTTACAGTGAGCCAAGATCGTGCCACTGCACTCCAGCCTGGGTGACAAAGCACGAATCTGTCTCAAAATAGATAAATAAATAGAAAAGAATGCTAATTTTACCCTGCCTGTGTCCCTGTGCTCTGGAAAAGGAACAAAGTCTGGATGATAGCACATCTGTTTACAGCATGGTTTACTGAATATTTTAAGCCCACTATTGAGATCTACTGCTCAGAAAAAAGTATTCCTTTAAAAATATTATTGCTCCTTGACAATGCACCTGGAGATGTACAAGGAGATTAATGTTGTTTGCATGGTTGCTAATACAGTATCCATTCTGCAGCCTGTGGATTGAGGAGTAATTTCGACTTTCAAGTCTGATTATTTAAGAAATACATTTTGTAAAGCATGAGTTGCCATACATAGTGATTCCTCTGATGGATTTGGGCAAATTCAATTGAAAACCTGGATAAGATTCACCATTCTAAATGCCATTAAGAACATTTGTGATTCATGATGGGAGGAGGTCAAAATATTCATGCTAACAGGAGTTTGGAAGAAGTTGACTCCAACCCTCATGGATGACTTGGAGGGGCTCAAGACTTCAGTGGAGGAAGTAACTGCAGATGTGGTAGAAATAGCAAGAGAACTAGAATTAGAAGTGGAGCCTGAAGATGAAACTGAATTGCTGCAATTCATGATAAAAGTTGAATGGATGAGGAGTTGCTTATGGATGAGCAAAGAAAGCAGTTTCATGAGATGGAATCTACTCTTGGTGAAGACGCTGTAAGCATTGTTGAAATGACAAGAAATGATTTAGAATATTCCATAAACTTGGTTGATAAAGCAGTGGCAGGATTTGAAGAATTGACTCCAATTTTGAAAAAAAGTTCTACAGTGGGTTAAATGCTATCAAACAGCATTGCATGCTATTGAGAAATCTTTTGTCAAAGGATGTCAATCGATGTGGCAAACTTCACTGTTGTCTTATTTTAAGAAATTGCTACAGGCACCGCAACCTTCAGCAACCACCACCCTGATCAGTCAGCCGCCATCAACCTCAAAGCAAGGCGCTGCACCAGTGAAAAGATTATGACTCACTAAAGGCTCAGATGATAGTAACATTTTTAGCAATAAAGTATTTTTAAAATTAAGGTATGTGCATTGGGCTGGGCGCTGTGGCTCATGCCTGTAATCCCAGCACTTTGGGAGGCCGAGGTGAGAGGATCACTTGAGGTCAGGAGTTCAAGACTAGACTGGCAAACATGGTGAAACTTCGTCTCTACTAAAAATACAAAAATTAGCCAGACATGGTGGTGTGCGTCTGTAATCCCAGCTACTAAGGAGGCTGAGGCAGGAGAATCGCTCGAACCTGGGAAGCAGAGGTTGCAGTAAGCTGAGATCATACCACCGCACTCCAGCCTGGGCGACAGAGTGAGACTCCGTCTCAAAAAAAAAAAAAAAAAAGTTATATGCATTTCTAGACATAATGCTATTGCACACTTAACAGACTACAGTATAGTGTAAACGTAATTTTACAGGCACTGAGAAAAACAAAAGCGGTGTGACTCACTTTAATGCCATATTAGCTTTATTGCAGTAGTCTGGAACCCAACCCTTAGAATTTTGGGGGTATGCCTTTACTCAAATGGGGCCCACCAGGGCAGAACCATCAGGGTCTAGAGTAGGAGTCAGGTGATGACTTTGAATCCCAGGTTTGTAAGGAGTGTGATTCACCTTATTAACTCGTTAGAGGATTAACTGAGTCCCCAGAGACCTCCAGGAGGCTAAACAGATGGAGGTCGAGAATATAAACCTAGCACCACACCAACTAGATGGGTTTCTCTAGACGCCTTTCACCAGGTGCTCTCTCCTTACTGGACAGCGGGGTGGACTCTGGAGAGTGGACCTGCCCCCACCTGGATTCTCCCTAGTATCCTCCGACCGCCCACTACCCCACTCCCCCAGGCTCCGCCCCGATCCCCCAGGCCCAGTTCCAGGATGACTTTGGATTGCCCGCCCTCGCCCTATCCCTGTCCCCGCTCCCGTCCTAAGATCCACTCGTTTCCTTCGCCATGGCTCCGCTCAGGTCCTAGGTCACCCTAGCCCTTCTCTCTTAGCACAGGCTCGGCCAGCCCTGGCCCTCTGGGACCCATCAGCTCCTGCGATCTCTGGCCGGCCTCGCCCTGCCTGCTCCGCCGGGCCTGGCCCGCCCCTCGGGTTCTGGCTCCGCCACCCGCCCTCGTGGGCTCTCCCCTCGCCTTGCTCTGCCCTGCGGCGCCCCCTGTCGGCCCCGCGTGCTCTCTGCGGTTGCCCCTTTCCCTCGGGCCCGCCCGCCTCGCGCGGTTGTCTTGGAGAGGGACGCGTAGGCTACGCCACCGCGGACGGGTCGGATCCGGTCCCTGGACGCGGAACAGAGATCCCCTGATTCAGCCACCCCCAGACTGAGCCCCGTAGAGTGCGTTCTTACCTTCCTGCCCCGACGAAGGTCCCAGAGACGCTGCGGACAACACCAGCATGTCGAGCGAGCAGAGCGCGCCGGGGGCCTCACCCAGGGCCCCGCGTCCGGGGACCCAGAAGTCTTCTGGCGCGGTGACCAAAAAGGGAGAGCGCGCGGCCAAAGAGAAGCCAGCGACCGTTCTGCCTCCCGTGGGGGAGGAGGAGCCCAAAAGCCCTGGTACGCTGGCGCCGGGGTTTGGGGATCGGGCTTCCAGGCTGCGTCTTCCCGGGTTCCCACTAGCTACTCACTGCTCCAAGGTTATGGCTGAACTCATACATACCTACGTTGAGTTCCTGAATCTCGGCTTGATAGATGTTTCAATTGAACTTGATCTTAAAGAACCCACACTCTGGTTTGGGATGGTGACAAATACCAATAAGATGTGATAAGATATAGAAGAGAGGAAGGCCCAGGGGGTGAGGGCATCAGGGGTGTTGCCAGGAGGTGCCTTTGAACAGAGTTTACAGATGTTCATTCATTGATTCAACAATTACTTTCCAAATGCCAGCCATGAGGCCAGATATGTCACGGAGGAGAACGAGGTGGACACAGTCCTGCCCCCATGGGGTTTACATCCTCTGGGAAAAGAAAATGAGTAGAATGGTATAAGTAGAGGTATGGCCCTTTTTGTTGCAAGTGATAGAACCCCAATCAAACTAAGCATGAAGGGGAAATGTATCCGAAGTCTTCTTGATACAAATCTGCCAGCTTCGTCATCACGGGGACAAGAACTTGCTGTCTCTGGAATCGAAGTAAAACAACTTGGGAAAAAGATCTGATCATCCAGCATTAGCCAGGTACTATCTCTTTGTCAGTGCTGGTGGATGGGGAGAAGGAATTATAGGAGCTGGAGAAACAACATCTTCTGGAAGGGAAGACAAGACAGTATACAATCCCCTACAGGTACGAAGCCAGTTACATTCAAAACACACACACACACACACACACACACACACACACACACACACACACACACAGACATGGCTGCTGTATAGAATACAGGGTGGAAGGAGGCAAACAGATGAGTTACCGGACTATTTCAACAGCCTAGTCTGGGGACAGTGGGAGTTGGGATAGGGCAGTGAGAATGGTGAGGCTTGGTTGAGTTAGGCTCCTCAGAGAAACACTTTTGAGGTAGAAGTAATAAGAGTTGGCGAAGGACTGGACAGGGTAGGGAGTGAGTGACAGAGCAAGAAAGATTCTGAGGCTTCTGGACTGGGCACTGGGTGGGAGGAAGTGCCATTCATGGAGATGGGAAAGGCCAAAGGAGGTGCATGTAAGGGAGGAGCTCTAAGGGGTGATGCCAGCTGGACAGCTGGACACATGGGTCAGCAGTGCCTGAGAGGTTAGGGGTGGAGTTGTGACTTTGGGTGAAGTTGTGACTTTGGGAGCTGCTGATGTTCTGGCATAATTAAGTCCTGGCAATGAAAGAGACCCCTCAAGGAGGCAGGGAGTATAATTAGAGAAGAGGAGAGGGCTCAGGATCCAGCCTTACAGGTTGTAGAGGATGGCAGGGAAACCTGAGCAGCCAGCAGAGAGGTAGGAGAGAATGGGAGTGATGCCTGCACAGGCACCTGGATAGGACAACATGGAGGTCATGGTGGCCTTAGCAGACACCAACTGTGTGCTGTGGCAGGGGCAGATGTGGGCTCGTGTCCGGTAGAGAGTGATGGCTGATATAGGAAGGTGTAGGGATTTAGAGGAAATCCTATCTAATGGCTTTTATTTCTGAAGAAGCTACGAGGTGAGATCATTAGTGAGCATAAGAAAGGGGTGTGGAAGGGGAAAAGAGCTGTGCTGTGTGACAGGTAACTATCTGCTAAAGTGCAGAGAGCCCATTTCCATCCAGGCATGAAGTACTACAGGGCAGCGCTCTTTTAGAGCAGGGCTTCTCAAGGTGTTGTCCTTGGACCAGCAACTTCAGCATCATCTGGGAAGTTGCTAAAAATGCAAAATCAGGGCTCTCACCTGGGCTACAGAATCAGAATTTCTGTAGGATAGGGCCCAGGAAATTGTTTTAGCAGGCTCTCCAGGTGATTTTTAAGATGTTAAAACTTGAGAATCTCTGTTCTTGAGAAGGGAGGTATGAGTGAAGCAAGGAAGCATGAGGGGCTCTCCCAGCAGAGGGAAGTTTGGGAGGGCAGGGAGGTGTGCAGGAGCCAGCCAGACCAGGGGGTCACTGCAACCTCCCTATGCCTTCTCTTACCTGCTTCGCCCATTTGGCTGTGCCTGGGTTACCACTGATGGCCAGACACAGGAGGAAAATGCCTCTCATGCCTTTCCCCATGAACCCTCGAGCCTCTCTGCATCCTGCCAGCTCCTCCACTCCCTCAGGCAGGCTCCCTACTGCTGAGCTGCAGGTGTCCCTCCTGGCACAGCTCCTGCAGCACCTGCCCCTGTGGCCAGCGTGCTGTTCTGTGGAGCTCCAGGCTGTCCGGCACTTGGCAGGGACTCCCATCCTATCTCTAGGAGCCACTTCTTCCTGGGATGCCTATGGTGGGGAGCCAGAAAGAGCAAGTGTCCCTTGAAGACTCAGAGTCTCAAGTTTGCATAGCACAGCCCTCAGGTTGGGATGTGGTGGGCGCGTGTGAATTAATATAACTCAGAAATGAGTTAATATTTCTAAAGCATTTCAAACAGCACTGGACACTAGGAAGTGCCATATAAACACACTGGACAGGGGAAATGTTAAATAAAAGTATCGTTCTGCTGCTCTTGGGTGTATGTGTAGGGAAGGAGTGGGAGTGGAAAGGAACTCACATCGGGCCTGCGCTTTCTCCCAGGGACCCTGAGCAGTTCCAGCAGGGAAGGAGGACTTGTGAGGAGGAGGCTGGGCTGGGGACACCTGGGAAAGGCGGAAGCCCGGGCTGGGAGTGGAGAGCAGGGGTGGCAGTCGCTTTGACCTGGGGGTGGGGAAGCCAGCACACAGAAGAGGGGACCCCGTTGTCTACCGTGCACGCACGCCCGTTAGTCCCCTTTCTCCGAGCTCTTGCTTTCCCCGTTTCCTATCAAGTGTTTTCAGCGTCCGTACTTCCAAGCGTTTGCAAGTTGAATGGCTGCAAAAATATCCGTCTGAGGAGGGCCCCTCCGCCCGCGCGGGAGAGCTTGGGGATGCGGGGGTGGGCGTGGCCCCTTCTCTCACGCCCCTGCCTGCCCCCGCAGAGGAGTACCAGTGCTCCGGGGTCCTCGAGACCGACTTCGCCGAGCTCTGCACGCGGTGGGGCTACACGGACTTCCCCAAAGTTGTCAACCGGCCCCGCCCCCACCCGCCCTTCGTCCCCTCCGCCTCTTTGTCGGAAAAGGCCACCTTAGGTGAGTGACAGTGGAGCTCCCCGGTGCCTGCCAGGGCCGCCTAGTCCATCCTCAGCCTCCCTTCCCACGCCGGGCCAAATGGAGGGACGCGGGGCGGTGTGTGTGTGTGAGTCGGCGGTATTCGACGAGGCCGGTGGGGAGGTGGGGGAGTCTCCCGTCTTCCTTTCCAACCCAGCAGAGGCGCGAGTGGCCGGAGAGGCAGAGTCCGCAGGCCGGCGCCTCCCCTCTGGCGGTGTCCTCCAATCCCACCCGGGCACCCGTGGGCCGGCCCGGCGTGGGGCCCTGGAGGTGGCTGTTCCCCTCCCTCCTCACCTCTGCCTTCCAGACGATCCGCGGCTGTCGGGGTCCTGCAGCCTCAATAGCCTGGAGAGCAAATACGTGTTCTTCCGGCCCACCATCCAGGTGGAGCTGGAGCAGGAGGACAGCAAGTCAGTGAAGGAAATCTACATCCGCGGTGAGCCCCGCTCCCCCCACCCGCCCCAGCTCCCTCCCGCTCCCCTGGAGCCTCCCAGGTCTGAGGCACCTGCCTCCTCTTGGCCCGCAGGTTGGAAGGTTGAGGAACGGATTCTGGGTGTCTTCTCTAAATGTCTGCCCCCGCTTACCCAGCTACAGGCCATCAAGTGAGAGGCACTGAGGGGATGGGCGGGGGACCAGAGTGGGAGTTGGGGCTCCTGGTGGCTTGGGAGAGAGAACCAAGGGGCATGGGAGACCCTGGCGACGGTGGGGAGGTCGGGGGTGGGGGATGAGGAAGGGCACCGCTGGGAGAACGGTGTGGGGAGGGTTTTCCAGTAGGAGGGGGCGCTCTAGCTCTGTGTTTCTGCACTTCCCGCCCACGACAGCTTGTGGAAGGTGGGGCTGACCGATAAGACCCTGACCACCTTCATCGAGCTCCTGCCTCTCTGTTCATCCACGCTCAGGTCAGCAGACTGGGAGGCCCCCTGTGCCTGGGAAGCCTGGCTGGGCGGGTGGTCAGAGGGGAGCAGTGTGGGGATGGAAGTGGCAGGTCCCAGCTCCTGTGGGCCTGCCTGGCATCCCTGTGGAAGCAGAAGCAGGCAATGTCTGTTGGATCATGATACCTCCATTAGACAAGAAGCCAGGTCCGCTTTTCTGCCCACACCAGCACCCAAAGAGCCTGATCTTCAGGGGCTCAACCTGTCTCCCCTGCATTAGTCTCATTACCCTCCACTCCCTCCCCAGAGGTTCTCGCTCTCCTTCCTGGCTGCCTGGGGCTCTGGCCCTGTACTGGGGGCTGGTAAGAAACAGTTCTTATCCTCCAGGAACTCGCAGTCCAGGGAGGGAGAGAAAAGGACACAAGAATAAATACTGCAGGGCAATGTGGAGACTGGTGATGGAGGACTGGTTCATCAGAGGAGGGAGTGGGCAGAGAGAAGTGCCACCCACTTTATGGATGTGAGGCAGGAAGACCTGGAAGACTGCCTGGAGGAGGTGGTACTGAGCTGAAGGAGGCCTAGGAGCAGGCCAGAGAGGGAATTGGGAAAGGGTGTACTTGTATGGGAAGGAGCAGGAGCAAGGCATGGGGCAGGGTAACTACAGGTGTGGTTGGGAGTGTAAGGGGCAAGGCTGATTTGGCCCTGCCCCTTCTCTAGGCTCCCACAGCACCCTGCCTCTTCTTGCTTCATGGTGGCGGGGGGGTACCCCTCCATGCAGTGGCTTGCCTGTCTTCCTCCTGTAGATGGCATGGATGCTCCTTGAGGGCAGGGACTGTGTCTTCTTCAGCTGGGGGTCCCCAGCACTCTGTGTAAAACACCATGAAACATATTTCCTTCCATCATGGGAATTAGCTAGCAGAAAACAACTATATGAATTCATCTGTAAATAATGTGTAAAAGTAAATCATAGCAACATAAACAAATTTAAACTGAATAATCAAGTTTATGTGACAGACGAGGCAGGCTGAAAGGTTGAACAAAATAAGAAATCATGGGAGCAAATTTTTACATAGCGTCATTTCTAGCCATTAGTTCAGTTTTTGCTGTGACTTAGAAAAGGACCTCCATTCTTACAGCACTGTTAGAGAAGCAACTGCCATGTGGAGGCTCATGTTGTAGTTATCTCTTGCTGTGTGACAAATTAACCCCAAGATTCAGTGGCTTAAAAGGACATACATTTATGATCTCATAGCTGCTGTGAGATGACCTGGGGGTGGGCTAGCTGAGTGCTCTGGCTCAGGGTTTGAGGTTGCGGTACAGCTGCTGACTGTGGCTGCACTTACCTCAAGGATCAACTGTGGTGGAGAATCTGCCTCCAGGCTCACTTATGTGGCTGCCTGGGCCTCTCCACAGGCTGCCTGAGTGTCCTTACCACATGGCAGCTGGCCAGCTGAGAGAGTGCCAGAGAGCACTCAAGACGGAAGCCACCGCCTTTGTAGCCTAAACCTGGAGGTGCTGTCCCATCTCTTCTGCCATGTTCTGTTCATTAGAAGTGAGTCACTTATTTCCCTCCACCCCACCCCCCACCTCTTCTTTTTTTTTTGGAGACAGAGTCTTGCTATGTCGCCCAGACTAGAGTGCAGTGGCACAATCTTGGCTCACTGCAACCTCCGCCTCCTGGATTCAAGTGATTCTTCTGCCTCAGCCTCCCAAGTAGCTGGGATTACAGGTGCACGCCACCATGTCCCGCTAATTTTTTGTATTTTTAGTAAAGACGGGGTTTCACCCTGTTGCCCAGGCTGGTCTCGAACTCCTGAGCTCAGGCAATCTGCCCGCCTTGGCCTCAAAAAGTGCTGGGATTACAGGCGTGAGCCACTGTGCCTGGCCAGAAGTGAGTCACTTCTAATGTGAAGTCCACACTCAAGGGGAAGGAATGACACAGGGGCATGAGTTCCAGGAGGTGGGGACCACTGAAGGCCATCTTAGGGGCTACCCTACCATGGGTCACCAACTTTGGGGAGCAGTCCCTTCACAATGGGCACATCTGTGAATTTTTAGTCTGGGGAATTGTCACATATATTTCCTATATTGGGGGGGCAATCCTTTGACTCTACTTCCTAGCTGCTTCCCAGAGACGCACACTTCCTCTCTGTTCCCTTCCCTTACCTGGCCTCAGTGGTACCTTCTGGTTCTCAGATCTCCCCTGCCCTCAGGAAGGTGTCTCTGGAGGGGAACCCACTGCCGGAGCAGTCCTATCACAAGCTCATGGCCTTGGACAGCACGTGAGACTCCCTGCCCTCACCCCCTTTCTCTGGGCCTGTCTCGAAATTCCAAGCCATTTTTAGTCCCCGCCCTTCCTTGTCCCCCTACCATCTCGGCAAGGGCCCTCGATTTCTGCCCCTACATCCTCAGACCAGACCGCCCCCTCAAGCGCTCAAGTCTCCCATATTCCGGCGGACGCCCTGTACCTTTTCCAGCGACCCACATTCTCCCTCCGGCTGCCCCAGGATTGCGCACTTGTCTCTGCGGAACAATAACATCGACGACCGCGGGGCGCAACTCCTGGGCCAGGCGCTGTCCACGCTGCACAGCTGCAACCGGACCCTCGTCTCGCTCAACCTGGGTTTCAACCACATCGGTGACGAGGGCGCAGGCTACATCGCGGACGTGAGTGCACGGCGGGGAGGGACCTGCTGGGAGCAGGGGCGGCTTGGGCGGCTCACGCGTCCCTGCCCGCCTCTTAGGGCCTCCGGCTGAACCGTTCCCTGCTCTGGCTGTCCCTGGCCCACAACCGCATCCAGGACAAGGGCGCCCTGAAGCTGGCTGAGGTGGGTGTGCCGATCAGGTGGGGCAGGGGCGTGGGCGGGCCGAGGGAGCCGACCCTGACTACCCAGGCGTCCGACCGCTGAGCGCCCGCCTCCTTCAGGTCCTGCGCGCCTTCGAGCTGACACACACCGAAGTGGTGGAGCGCCGACGCCTCCTGCTGGAAAAAGGGACACAGGAGCGCTCGCGATCGGTGAGGAGCTACCAGGCCCCAGGACCAGCCGAGAGCCCCTCTGACCCTCGAGCCCACTCCCCAAGTCCGCTGCTTTTCAGCAAACTGGCCATCCAGTTTAATCTCCACCCTCTGTCCTGACTGTCTTTCCCTCCGATTTCTGCACAGACTTTTGCCAAGCCCCTGCTGGGGGGGCTCTAATTGCAGAACCACACTATGGGCAGTAGAGTGTACTGGTTCAGAGATAGGACACTAGATTGAGACCACCTGGACCTGAAATCCGGCTCATCCATATCCCAGCTTGTAACCTTGGGCATGTTACTAAACAACTTCTTCTTCTTCTTTCTTTTTTCTTTCTTCTTTCTTTCTCTTCTTCTTCCTCTTCTTCTTCTTCTTCTTCTTCTTCTTCTTCTTCTTCTTCTTCCTCTTATTCCTCCTCCTCCTCTTCTTCTTCCTCTTCCTCCTCCTCTTCTTCTCCTTCTTCTCTTCTTCCTCTTCCTCCTCCTCCTCTTCTTCCTCCTCCTCCTCCTCTTCCTCTTCCTCTTCTTCTTCTTCTTCCTTTCTTCTTTCTTCTTCTTACTTTTTTTTTTTTTTTTTTTTTTTGGGAGATGGAGTCTGGCTCTGTTACCTGGGCTGGAGAGCAGTGGTGTGATCTCGGTTCACTGCAGTCTCTGCCTCCTGGGTTCAAGCGATTTTTCTGCCTCAGCCTCCTGAGTAGCTGAGATTTCAGGTATGTGCCACCATGCCCAGCTAATTTTTGTATTTTTTAGTAAGATGGGGTTTCGCTATGTTGACCAGGCTGGTCTCGAACTCCTGGTCTCAAATGATCCGCCCACCTCGGCCTCCTAAAGTATTGGGATTACAGGCGTGAGCCACTGCACCTGGCCTGTGTTACTTAACTTCTCCTTGCCTTAGTTTCCTCATCTGTAAGTGGGGATAGTTGTACCTATTTCATGACTGTCGAGAGGATTTAAAGACTCAATTCCTGCAATGCAGTTAAAATAGCACCTGGCACTTAGCTCAATAAAAGCTGTTATTTTTTCCCCCTCAATATAAGTCTGAGACCCTGCCTCACCCTTCATCTCACCCCACCCAGGTCCCTCTGCTATTTCTTCCCGAAAGCATCTCACCCCAGAGGAGTCCTATACAAATTATTTTAGCATTTAGGCAGGGAGGTGGGTGGGAGGGTGCTGTCAGCTCGACTGCTCCCCAAGTATGGGTATAGCTACCTTTCATGCCCCCATTGAGGAAGGGGCTCTGGCTTCTTCCCCCCTTCCCTCCCATTTGTGAGCACAGCCCTCCTCCTCTCGACACGGGGACTCCAAAACGGACCGTGAGAAGAGTCAGATGGTAGGGATCAGCAATAGTGCATTGGTGGACAAGACAGACAAGACGCAGACAATGAAAACCCCTAAGGGCCTGGGCAAGAAAAAGGAGAAATCATGGGTAGGTGTGCAATGGGACAGATCCTGGGTGCTGGACGGACAGGGGAGGGGGCTTCCATCATGTACAGAGGTGGTGGAGGGAAGAAGGCCACATGGGCCTTTGAAGTTCCCCCTAAGGCCCCGGGTCCTAACCTGGGCTCCTTCCCTCACCACTGCCCATCCCCTCCGGAGGTGGGACTTGCCCCTCTCTTCTCACATTCTCCACAGGAATTGGCCAAGAAAGAGGAGAAGTTGGGGTCTGGGCAGTCACCCACACAAGGAACCCCTAAGAAGGAAGATGCCACAAAGGCAGGCAAGGGGAGTAAGTGCGGGTGCCCCTGGGTGGCATCTTCCTGTGTGGAGGAGGGAAGAGTGCCGGGCCGGGTGCAGGAAGCTGTTCTGGGCCTGGGTGCGCCTGCCTGGAGCTCATCTCGCCATGCCCCTCTGGGCTTGATTTCCTTCTCACAGTGGGATGATGTGGAGAGCCGCATCCAGCCCAGACATCCTGACCCACTGCTGTCCTCATTCCCTTTGTTGGAGCTGGAGCTCTGTGGCCCTGTCTTCAAAGAACCCATACACCTAGCTGGGGCCCCCTCCAGCCATTTCTTTTTTCTTTTCTTTTCTTTTTCTTTCTTTCTCTTTCTTTCTTTCTTTTTCTTTCTTTCTTTCTTTTCTTTCTTTCTTTCTCTCTCTTTTTTTTTTTTTGATGGATTCTCACTCTGTTGCCCAGGCTGGAGTGCAGAGGTGCAATCTTGGCTCACTGCAACCTCTGTCTCCTGGGTTCAAGCAGTTCTCCTGCCCCAGCTTACCCAGTAGCTGGGATTACAGGTGCGTGCCACCACGCCCAGCTAATTTTTGTATTTTTAGTAGAGATGGGGCTTCACCATGTTGGCCAGGCTGGTTGCGAACTCCTGACCTCAGGAGATCCTCCTGCTTCGGCCTCCCAAAGTGCTGGGATTACAGGTGTGAGCTACAGCGCCCAGCCCCCTCCAGCCATTTCTATTGCACCCAAACCCAAAGTTGGGGGGTCTCTTTGCCTCACAGCCTGTTTTCTCTGGGGAGGGAGCCTGGGTGGTATCAGAAGTGTGCACTGTGCATTCTGGCTCCTCTTCTGGCCCCAGAGGTAACCATCCCTGAACAGAAGCCAAGCAGGGCAAAAGGGATCAAGATCGGGAGCAGAGAGAAGCGCAGCATCCTCCTGGAGTCCGAGGTAAGTTGCCAGGAGGAGTGGAGGCAGGGGGCACACCCCTGGGATTCCAGGCTTGCCTGAGACGTCTCACCCCAGCCCCTCCTGGAATGTGGTCTCCAGCCCCATGCTGTGGCAGCAGCCATTTGCCTTCAAATTTGTCCTCCACTCCTGTCCCAACCTCACCTGAAACCCCCTCCCATCTCACCTTGGGCTTCTGTGGGAATAACAAGAGCAGACCCCTTCTATTTTTCCTTGTCTATTAGTAGCCCACACTTTGGATCTGCTGTCTCAACTCAGCCAGGCTACTTCCCCAGAGGCCCAGAGGCACAGAGGCCCTCAGTTCCTCATCACCACCTCCATCACTTGCTTGGACTGTTGCATAGGAACAATGCGTCTTCTTTTTTGCCCCTCTCAGCAGCTCCCTGAGGAAGGCAGGGCATTTTTATGGTCATGGCACTGCCCCACGCTACCCTGTGCATGGGTCCTTCTTCAGACCCTCTCTCTTTTGCCCCTGGATCTTCTCTGCCCCCTTACAACCTGGACCAACTTGCTGCTTGCATTGGAAATCTTCCTGGGCTGCCTTCAGTGCTCTTATGGTCCCTCATCCCTCCGTTCTGTCAGCTGCCTGAGCATCCGCCTCTCTTTATTTTTCTCTTCCATTGGAAGACTCCCTGCACACCCTAGGCAGGGAAGGGCCCCTCTCCTTTCAGGAGTCTTCTCTGGCACTCAAGACAAAATCTTACAAAAGAGGACGTTCAGAGGGAGGAAGAGATTGGGGTTGCCTTTCAGTTTCCATTTTTCATCTCTGCCTCTGTCTTGATCAGGCTGCTGATTGTACTAGGACTACTGCAATTTCTTTTCATCATGCCGTCATTGTTACTTCCCTCCAATCCATTCTCCTCATTGCTCTAGGTGTTGGGAAACACTTAGTAAAATCTGAATGCGACATACTGTTTCACGCTTCCAGAGCCTTTGCACCTGCTTTCTTTGCCTAGAACACCTTTCCCGTCTTCATCTGACAATATCATGTGCGTTCACAGGAGGCCCTTCCTGGCCTGGCCTTTTCCGTGCTCCCACAGTGCTCTGAGCTTGCCTCTGTCAGCGCTCACTCCAGACCACGTTACTTTCACTTTCTGGCTCCTCCACACAAAGGAGCTTCTTGAGGGTATGGGCTTATTTATTTTTGTATCCCCAGCACTTGGGACAAAGCCTGGACTATAGCCGGCAGTCAAAACATGTATGTTGAATGAATGAATGAATGAATGGCCTGTTGACCAGCTCCCCTGCTGTCTGCTGCAATTAGTATTCTGCTTTAGCAGCTGGTTGTTGAGGCTACTGAGGTGGTCAACCCTCTCCTGGAGCCTGTGGAGCACCGAGATGGGAAAGTTTTCATGCCTGGGAACAAGGTCCTTTTGCACCTCAACCTCATCCGTATGTCTGCCAACCTCCCCTGTCCTCCTGTCATGAGGCTACCCGGGCCCTGTCCTGCCTGAGGGTGTTTACCCCGACTCTATGGAGCAGAGCTGGTCCTCCCATCTTTGGGCTACATGTCCCCCAAGGCTCTCTGGCACAGGGCTGGAGGGGCCAGAGGAAGTGCTGAGTCTGGGAGGAGGCTGAGGACAGGCGATTGGAGTAATGAGAGGAGTTAGAGAGATGGGGAGTGTGTGAGTAAGAGCTGAGTGAAGGGCTAGGTCAGGGAAAGGTGTGCCTGGGCCAGTGAGTCTGGAGTGGGGAGCTGGAGGAACTGGGATGCTGGGGATGTCTGGTGTGTCAGGTGCCAATGAGGCCTGTGGTGCTAAGAGGCCACCTGTCTGTAACTTCCACCAGGGAACCGCATCACAGAGGTGGGGCTGGAGGGCTTCCTCGCCACGGTGCAGTATCAGATGCAGTTCTCCAAGGCCAAGAGTGCATCCAAGGGTCCAGTGGGGCTGCTGTGGCTGTCCCTGGCTGTGAGTCCCTTTCACTCTCTCCTGCTGAAGCAGACGTTGCCCCTATCAGCTGTCATACTAGACAGCTGCTGCAGGCAGCTTCTGTCTCCCCATTTCCAAGGAAGGTCTGTAGTTTCTCTGCTTCTTTTTAATAATCACAACATAACCTCCATTCCTCTTGCTGGAAAATCAGCAGTATTAATCACTCTGCTTTTTCTGCATGTCCCCCAGCCCCTAACCCACCCTGCCCCAGGACCATTTTTTTTTTTCTGCCAGAGGACTAATCTTCATTCCTCTTGTCAGATGTCAGCCTTCCTTTTCTTTTCAGAAAAATTGCTTCGCCCCACAATGTCCTGCGTACGCCATAATCCAGGAGCTGATGTTGCCAAGGGATCCCATCAAGGCCAAACTCAGGGAGGATGAGGCCATGGCATTCTTCCCCTAGCCCCCTCCCACCTGCTTGCCTCTAAGACTCGGGGCTACAGAAGCACCTCCTGTCCCTGTGTGGGGTGACCTCCCTGGGGGAGATCTCAGACCAATAACAAAGTCTGTTGCTATACTTTTCCTTGAGGTCGTCTGAAAACTTTCTTCCAGAACTACTTGGAACATTTAGATTTTGCGTCTGTCCATGTTACATGCCAGGAATGGCAGAAAAGTGGTCTGAATTACAGTTCCGCTGGGGATGATCTCAGCTCCTCTGGCCTCAGTTAGCCAGGGGCATTGCCGTTCTGCCTCCTGGGGGCTAGTTCTTCCTTGCTCAGGCAATAGCCATTCCCCCACCGTGTTCCCTAGGGGACATGCATTATGCCAGGGTTTGCATTCAGAAGGATTTGGGATAGGGATTAGTAACTGACACACATAAGCTTGGGAGGGAGTGGGAGCAGGAGTAGGTGAAGCAGAGGAATTAAGCACAGGCTCCATGCCCGCTCCCTTCTGCTTCCCCGTCTGGCTGGCCCAGGTGTTTGACTGCTTTGGAGGAGAGGTAAGGGTTCAGCTTAAGAAAATGAACAAAGGCTTGGCAGGCCACTTTGGAGAGGGTGCTAAACGCTCAACATCTACATAGCAAAGGCTAAGCATTGAACATGAACCCTAATAACCTGCCTGCAGAAGTCAGCAATCTGAAACCAGAGGTTCCTGAGCTGAGTCAGGGTCCCCAAACCTTTACCCTTCAGTGCTGCCTCCATTGAGGTCACCTGCCAGTGCCCAGAGAGCACAGGACTGGCTTCGGGGAGCCTACCTGTAAACCTATACAGCAGTGTCCAAGATGGCGCAGATCAGCAAAGACCAGCCTTTCTTCCTCACTTCTAAGCAGATTCAACCTGTTCCACATTCTCTAGTCCTACTTCCCTCATCCCACTGCCTCTGCCTACCTAGAATTCCCTTGTCCTGCTGTCTTACTTTGTGTGGCTCAGTGGCACCTAGGCCTGTCTCCTGCCTCTGAGTGCCTGGAGCCCTCCTAGTCTGACTGTCCCAGCTCTGTCTCTGCAGCTGGCTGTGGAGCCAGCTTCACCAGGGAAAACCTATCATTTCTTTGAATTCCCAACACTGAACACATTGAGGTGCTGGATGATGGTCACCCCAGCTTCTGCAGGGAAACTTGCCATGTCCTCCAGAGCTTCAGTGACCCTTTCAGCCCATATCTTTATCCCACCCTTCATCACTAATGACTCCTGTATCAATTCTGATGCCCAAATAGACTGTACCCTAATGAGGACACAGCTGAGGATTGTGAGAGGTAGAGGAGTCAGGGTTGGGCTGGAAGAGACAGAATTTGTCACTTTAATCCAACACTGAATGCCAGGAGACAGAGGTGAATGGTTACAGTCTTGGTGATGTGGCTGCGTCTGTGGGAGGATGTGGATGGATGATGACAGTGATGAACTGGCCAGGCCTGAGGCAACCCTCCCACTTAGATTTGGCTTTTAAAGTCTTCAAGCTCATTGAGGGCAGCTCATGAGACCTCTTGACTCTGGGTCCACTGCTCCTTTATATACACATATATGTGTATATATATGTGTGTGTGTGTGTATATCTATATATGTGTGTATATATATGTATCTATA